>NC_000023.11:66212542-67462542 GCF_000001405.40 Homo sapiens
GTTTTCTCAGCACTATTTATTAAAGAGGATGTTCTTTCTCCAATGTAAGTTTTTGTCAGTTTTGTCAAAGATCAGTTGTTGACTGTAAATATGTGGCAATATTTTTGGATTTTCTATTCTGTTTCATTGGTCTATTTGTCTATTTTTATACCATGCTGTTTTGATTACCATAGCCTTTTAATATATTTTGAAGTCAGGTAATGTAATGCCTCCAGTGGTTTATTTATTTATTTATTTGTTTATGGCTCAGGACTGCTTTGGCTATTTGGGCTCTTTTTTGGTGTCATATAAATTTTCAAATTTTTAAAAAGTTTTGTGAAGAATGACATTGATATTTTGAGAGGAATTGCATTGATTCTGCAGATTGCTTTGGACAATATGGTCATTTTAATGATATTAATTCTTTTGATTTTTTTTATTTGTTTTTATCCTCTTCAATTTCTTTCATCAGTGTTTGTAGTTTTTTTTAAATTAATTTATTTATTTTATTTATTTATTTTAATTATTATACTTTAAGTTTTAGGGTACATGTGCACAAAATGCAGGTTAGTTACATATGTATACATGTGACATGCTGGTGCGCTGTACCCACTAACTCATCATCTAGCATTAGGTCTATCTCCCAATGCTATCCCTCCCCCCTTCCCCCACCCCACAACAGTCCCCAGAGTGTGATGTTCCCCTTCCTGTGTCCATGTGTTCTCATTGTTCAGTTCCCACCTATGAGTGAGAATATGCGGTGTTTGGTTTTTTGTTCTTGTGATAGTTTACTGAGAATGATGATTTCCAATTTCATCCATGTCCCTACAAAGGACATGTTTATTGTGGCACTATTCACAATAGCAAAGACTTGGAACCAACCCAAATGTCCAACAATGATAGACTGGATTAAGAAAATGTGGCACATATACACCATGGAATACTATGCAGCCATAAAAAATGATGAGTGTTTGTAGTTTCTATTGTAAAGCTCTTTCACCTCTTTGGTTAAAATTTTTACTATGTATTTTTATTATTCCTAGGTATTTTATTATTTTGTATAACTACAACTGGATATATTTTTGTATTGCAATGAAATTCTTGTATGCAAAGTTCATTTGGAAAAATAAAGAATACCTGGGCAAGAAGAGCCAAAACATTAAAAAAAAATACTGATGAAATCACACTAGTGTAACCCAATAGTATAGCATATTATAAAGATGAAGTTACAATAATTAAAGTGACATGATACTGTAAATAAAAATCAGTAGGACAAAACAAACATTCCTGAAGCAGACCCAAGCTTCTGCCTTTGTCAATAGCAATGGGAATACAGATAATACTAGTCTATTACTAACTGCACAAATCTGCCTTCTAGAACTCCATCAGCTTCAGACAAGAAAGATGTTAATTTGATTAGTCAGAACCTAAAATGTTTGCTGGAAATGTCTTACCAGTGGGCAGGATTACAGTTTCTTTTATCTCAGCACTCCCTATTGCACTACCCCCTTCCATGTGGTAAGTTGACCTATGCCTGCAACTGGGTAAACTGGATATGTGAATTAGTACAGGGTCTGTGCTGTAGATCTAGCTATCTTAATTTAATGAAATTTGAGAGTCATCAGCATGTAGATGATATTTAAAGTGATAATATGGATGAGATCACTCAAGGAGTGAGTTATACAGTAAATAGTGACCAAGGTGGCTGGATTAATTCAGGTAAGAGATGATGGCAGCTTGGACCAGCCTGATAAAGTAGAAAGGGTGAGAAGTTTTCTAATTCTGGATATATTTTGTTGGTTAAGACAATTAGCTTGTGAATTGGGGTTTCTAGATATTCTTTTTTATTTTCGGTAGTTGCTATATTTTAGTCATTAATCCCTTCTAGGTTTTAAACATGGCAGATATCTTTTCCCGATTTGTCATCTACTTGTTAACTTTGTTTGTGATATCATTTGTTGAACAGAAATCCTTGATGTGATGTGATCAAATCAATGGAATTTTGGCCTCATAGTTTGTGCTTTTGAAATTTTGTTTATCAAGTCCTTCCCAACCCTTGGTCACAAAGACGTTCTGCTGCATTATCTTCTGTTAACTTTATAAGTTTCTTTTTTCACATTCAAATCTGTAATCAGACCAGAGTTTGCATTTTTATATGCTATTAGCTATAGATCCATTTTTAATTTTTCTTTATATAGAAAGAAAATTTTCTTAATAACATCTTCTAAACCATTCAACTTTCCCCCCTTTGAGTTGCTTTGCCACCATTATTTCATGTTTAGTTTCTGTAAATATATTAATCAGTCTCCAATCTATTCTGTTATATTTGTCAATTCAGTTCTTGCAATAATATCATATTATTTTTATTATTATGGGTTTGAAATTTGTCTTACTATTTGAAGAACAAACCTCTTTTATTGAGGATTTACTTAGGTGTATGTTATTTTTCCATATAGATTTTAGAGTAAGTTTCAAGTTTCTCAAATACAGCTAAAATTTTGATTGACATTGCATTAAATTTATAGATTAATTTGGAGAGAATTTACATCTTTATATTATTTGTTGGAATGGATTTCCATTTATTCAGATGGTCTTCTATGACTTTATAGTTTTGTAAAAATGTTGTCATAAAGGTTGTACATATGCTTGGTTAAGCTAATCCATTAATGCTTCTTAGTTTTTCTTACTACTTTTAAATTATATTTCTAATAGATTATTTATAATGTAGAGAAATGCTATTCATTTGTGTAAGTTGAACCTGTATCTAGTAGTCTTCTTGAACTCCCTTATTAGTTTTACTAGTTTGTTGATTCCAGAAATATTGAGAGTTTTATTCTTCTATCTCTTATTCCTTTCCATTTCCATATATGTTTGCCAGGATCACCAATACTAGTGATGGTAGTGGTCATCTTCAACTTTCTCCCAATCTCAAGAGAGTGCATGTAAAGTTTCTCTCTCTTTGCTATGATTCCTTTTTGGAAATTTATTTAAATTTCCAAATGAACAAACATTTATTTAAAATTTTAATCAAGATAACTGACCTAAAACCTTCAGTAGAAGAATAATTTTAAAACCATCTTCGGGGTGGAGGAGAAAATGGTGGATAGGAAGACTAACTTGCAGCTCCCACTGGGATGGACAGAGCAGCATGTGAAGATCCATATCATGAATCTTTGCTCCAGGAACTACAGCAGAAACATACCACTGAGAGAATCCACAGACCCTTTGATGGAGGTGCATTGCCGCTGCAAGCTCCATGGGACAGCCAAGGGACTGTGAGTTGTCTTGCTTTCTCAGTTGGGAGGCTTGTAGCCTGGGGAAAGTTCTCAGCCCTGCTCACCAACTACCTGGAAATAAACTCAGTGCTGTTGGGGAGGCATGGTGCAATTGAGACCAGCCTTTCGGCTGTGGGCTGTCATCTTTCTTTCACTTCCCTGGTGACCTGTGTGATGCAGCAGAGGCAGCCATAATCCCCCTAGGAACATAACTCCACTGGCCTGGGAACCACACTTGCATCCCCCAAAGCAGCCACAGCAAGCCCTGCCCAAGGAGAGTCTGAGTTCAGGCACACCTAATTCTGCACTCCTGGTAGCCAAAGACAACGAACACAATCTCTTAGAGGCTCTATGACCCTGCGTACAACCTGACAAAACTGAACACTTATCCAAAGGCGACCCTATGAGAAGCATGTATCCTCCCTACACACCTGCAGCTGATGTGTTCTTGAAAGCACCACCTCCTGATTGGAGGCCAAACAACACAAAACCAATGCACTTAATAAAAATACAACCGAGGACTCTTACATAGTCCACTTCACTCCCCTGCTACCTCCACTGGAGCAGGTGCTGATATCCATGGCTGAGAGACATGAAGACGGATTATATCTCAAGATTCTTTGCAGACACTCCCCATTGCCAGTCTGGAGCCCAGTAGCTCTGCTGGGTGGCTGGATCCAGAAGAGAAATAACAATCACTGCAGTTTCTCCCTAGGGAAAGGGGAGAGCACCACATCCAGGGAGCACCCTGTGGGACAAAATAATTTGAACAGCAGCCTCTGAGTCCCAGATCTTCCCTCTAACATAGTCTACCCAAATAAGAAGGAATTGGAACACCAATTCTGGTAATATGACAAAACAAATTATTTAACAATCCCCAAAGATCAAACTACCTTACAGCAATGGATCCAAATCAAGATAAAAATCTCTGAATGGCCAGAAGAAAAAATCAGAAGGTAGACTATTAAGCTAATCAAGGAGGCACCAGAGAAAGGTGAATAACAACTTAAAGAAATTAAAAATATGATACAGGATATAAATGAAAAAATATCCAGTGAAATAGACAGCATAAGTAAATAGTTATGGTATGACAAAATGCACTGAAAAGTCACAGCAGTAGAATTGAAGAAGTAGAATAGCTTCAGAATTCAAAGACAAGGCTTTTAAATTAACTCAATCCAACAAAGACCAAGAAAAAATAATTTTAAAGAAAAGCCTCCAAGAAGTTTGGGATTATGTTAAATGACCAAACCTAAGAATAATTGGTGTTCGGGAGGAAGAAGAGAAATCTAAAAGTTTGGAAAACATATTTGAGGGAATAATAGAGGAACATTTCCCTGGCCTTGCTAGAGATCTAGACACCCCAAAACAGGAAGCTCAAAGAACACTTGGGAAATTCCTCTCAAACAGATCGTTGCCTAGGTACATAGCTGTCAGGTTATCTAAAGTCAAAACTAAGGAAAGAATTATAAAAAGTTGGGAGGCAAAAGCACCAGGTAACATATAAAGGAAAACCTATCAGATTAACAGAAGATTTCTCAGCAGAAACCCTACAAAGTAGAAGGGTTTTGGGTCCTATCATCAGCCTCCTCAAACTAAACAATTATCAGCCAAGAATTTTTTAACCAGCAAAACTAAGCTTCGTAAATGAAGGAAAGATACTGTGTTTTTCAGACAAAGAAATGCTGAAAAGAATTTGCCACTACCAAGTCAGCACTACAAGAACTGCTAAAAGGAACTCTAAAACTTGAAACCAATCCTCAAACTACACCAAAATAGAACCTCCTTAAAGCATAAACCTCACAGGACCTATAAAACAGCAACAATGAAAAAAAGCCAAGGTATTCAGGCAACAAACAGCACAATGAATAGAACAATACCTTACATCTCACTACTAACATTTAATGTAAATGGCCTAAATGCTCCATTTAAAAGATACAGAATAGCAGAATAGATACGAATTCACCAACTAAGTATCTACTGTCTTCAAGGGACTCACCTGATACATAAGGACTCACATAAACTTAAGGTAAAAGGGGGGAAAAAGATATTCCATGCAAAGGGACACCAAAAGTGAGCAGGAGTAGCTATTCTTATATCAGACAAAACAAACTTTAAAGCAACAGCAGTTAAAAAAGGCAAAGAGGAACAGACATTATATAATAATAAAAGGACTAATGCAACAGGAAAATATAACAATCTTAAATATATATGCACCTAACACTGGAGCCCCCAAATTTATAAAACAAGACCTAAAAAATGAGGCAGACAGCAACAGAATAATAGTGGGGGACTTTAATATTCCACTGACAGCACTAGATAGGTCATCAAGACAGAAAGTCAACAAAGGAACAATGGACTTAAACTATACCTAGAACAATTGGACTTAACAGATATTTACAGAACATTTTACCAACAACTGCAGAATATGCATTCTATTCATCAGCACATAGAATGTTCTCCAAGATAGACTATATGATAGACAAAGTCCAAGATAGACAAAACAAGTCTCAACAAATTTAAGAAAACTGAAATTATATAAAATACTCTCTCTGACCACAGTGGAATAAAATGGGAATTCAACTCCAAAAGGAACCCTCAGAACCACTCAAATACCTAGATATTAAATAACCTGCTCTTGAATGATCATTGGATCAACAATGACATCAAGATAGAAATTTAAAAAACCTTTTGACATGAGCAATAATAGTGACACAACCTATCGAAACCTCTGGGATACAATAGTGGTGCAAATGTAGCAGGACAAGCTACAGACAAAACCCTTTAGACACTGAGTTAAAGAAGTAAGGGCTTTATTCGACTGAGAGCTTCAGCAAGACTCATGTTTCCAACAACCGAGCTCCCTGAGTGAGCAATTCCTGTCCCTTTTAAGGGCTCACAACTTTAAGGGGGTCCACATGAGAGGGTCGTGATCGATTGAGCAAGCAGGGGGTACGTGACTGGGGGCTGCATGCACCGGTAATTAGAATGGAACAGAACAGGACAGGGATTTTTACAGTGCTTTTCTATACAATGTCTGTAATCTATAGATAACATAACTGATTAGGTCAGGGGTCAATCTTTAACTACCAGGCCTAGGGTGTGGCACCGGGCTGTCTGTTTGTGGATTTCATTTCTGCCTTTTAGTTTTTACTTCCTCTTTCTTTGGAGGCAGAAGTTGGGCATAAGACAATATGAGGGGTGGTCTCCTCCCTTATTCCCCCACTTTGAGAATCTCACTCAATAGTGGGAGTTCTCACTTTCATTCTCACTACCTATGTCTTCTTGCAAGACAGATCGATAGTGATTCATATAGTACACTTGTGCCGAAGTATTTTGGTGAACTAAGGTAGCAATGAAGCTTTTTATCATTTGAAGAAGTACAGGTAGCAAGGAAGCAGTAAGCAGGTTTCTATTACTATTATAACTCCTATTATAAGAGTTTTAAATCTTTTTAGCACTGGGAACCACTTTCCAAACATGGCCCCAGGATCGAATCCATGCCACACTTGCACGGGCACATGTGCCAGTTTTGTCATATTTCTAACTATGTCTTCAACTACTTGCCTTTGATCGTCTATGTGTAGACAGCAATTAGTAAGGTTAAATTTTCTACAGACCCCTCCTTCAGTTGCTAGCAAGTAGTCGAGAGCCAATCTATTTTGATAGATAGCATTTCTCATCTGAGTTTCTTGCCAGGCAAGAATAGTCAAGGCTCTGCTGGTCTTATTAGTGATTATTTCTAAGACAGCTTGTAACCATATGATTCAGTTGAGCATGTAAATGGGGGTCGGGTATCCCCACGAGCTGTCTTGTGCCAAAGTACCAGGACCATAGTATTGTATGATTCTCTCAGGGGGCCATGTATCATCTTTTAAATTTTCTATAGCTATGCTTCTCTTTTTGTGGGAAGCACAGACAGGGAAGCCCAGGAGTTCACCTGTCTTTGTAGGCAGTAGGAAGAAAGATGGTTTAATAGTGCCAATAACACAACTACCTGCCCACTGGTCGGGTATTTTGGTGTAAGCTCTATGCCCACAAATCCAGTATAATCCAGTGGGGGCTGTCCAGTCCCGGTGGGACTCTGGGTGGGTTCACAGAGTTTGCAACTTTGGGAATTTACTAAATGGATTTTTCTTAGTGTGGTTTGAACTCCACTAGGTGGCTGTTTTTGTAGTATTACTATACAGTTTTTGCCCGAGGCAGCTGAGTCTTCCCACAGGAAAGGTGAAGTCCTTTCCGACTCTTGCTATACAGTATTGTCTAATGATTGAGGCTTTTAGGACCCAAAAGTTATCAGGGTGATTCTTTTGAGCCAGGAATTCATCAGGAACTGGGTCTGTAGGTACTAATTATTGGGCTTCCTATGGCCATTGATCTCCCATTACAGTTCCTCTACATACATAACAGGAAGTGACATTGAGAGACTGGGCTACATGCTCAGCTAATTGCAAAAACAAATTTCTTGTTTTTCCTGGAATTTCTGGTACTGGCACATTCAGTTTATCATAGAAGGTTTGAAATACTGGCTCAGGAGCACGTTTATAAACTTCTCCTCAAACCACGATATTTACTCAAGGATCCAGTCCAACCCCATCGATTCCTAGGTCTACACACTCCCCTTTTTTCCAGCAAGGATCAAGGGGGTTGGTTATTACTAGCTTTAAGGGGTTACACTGACCACTGGTACAGGAAGGGCCACTTTTCCTTTTCTGAAGGTGGACAGCATCCTTTTTATTTTTTATCCAAGTAGCCTAAATGACACAAGACCAGCATCCACATTCATTTCCACACAGTCCTAACTCATGACAAATGTACTTATTTTCTGCCATATAGCCTCTTTCCTAATTAAAAGAACCACATCTTATTCCTAACATTACTATTAATAACAGCACAGGCATCAAACTTCAAGGTGACTTGTTTGGGCACCCCTTTTTCTTTTGTTTTGGCTAACACATTACTCATATCATTTATGAGCCCCCACCAGTCCTCAGACCTTAATCTTACTTCAAAAACTGTGGTCATGGGAGGCTCAGATGGATCATAACACACATCAGGTTGGTCATTTCCTGGGCTACATACCTTGCATAGGATAGCATGATACAAACAAGTTTTTTTTAGATTCCCGGTACACTTATAATAATCATAAAATAATAGGACTGTAGCACATTTTTGTCCTACCTCAGTAACTTGATGTATACACTGGGAACAGTCCTCATTCTGAGGAAGGTCAGTTAATAAGTCCTTACTGTACAAGTCTGAATTTTAAGGAAAATGAGTCCCCGCAATGAGTTTTCTCATGCTTCGGCTGTGCGTGGACCAGTCAGCTTCCGGGTGTGACTGGAACAGGGCTTGTCGTCTTCTTCAGAGTCACTTTGCAGGGGTTGGCACAGCTGCTCCTGTCCGCGTACCACTCACAGTCTACTGATGTTCAAGGATGGTTTCAGAGGTTGGGCCTCCTAGCATAAACTGAGTCCAACACCTCTACACAGTTATGCTTGACCGGGCTCTCTGATACTGGGAGCAAGGTGGCGGGATTTAGGGTGTTGCAAACTTCAATGGTTATGTGGAGATTTTCACATAGCAAGCTTTGGTACTTGGTTAATCTAGCATTTGTTAACCAATAATGTCCTTTGGTTGTCATTAAAGTTACCACAGCATGGGGGGCCTTTATATTCAGATTTTGCCCAAGGGTTATTTTGTCTGCTTCTTGTGCTAACAGGGCCATTGCTGCCAGGGCCCTTAGACATGGGGGCCAGACTTTGGAAACCCTGCCTAGTTGTTTTGAAAGCTAGGCCACTGGCCTTGGCCAGGGCCCCACAGTCTGGGTTAAAAGTCCAACTGCCATTTTTTTCTCTTTCTGATACATAGGGTGTAAAGGGTTTTGTCGGGTCAAATAGCCCCAGGGCTCGGGCTGACATGAGTTTTTCTTTTAACTCGTGAAAAGGTAATTGCTGTTGGTTGTAATAGATGTAGTTTATCCAATTTACATTTTTATTAACTGTCACCTACCAAAATATTGACTCAAATCCTGCAGCTATTTGATTTCAAGCTTTTAATTAATCTGGTATTCTCTGTGGGACTCCAATTGCATCTAAATGGATGTGAGAGTCAAAAGACCCATAAGGGGCTTCTCTTGTGTTACGATGTCTTATTTTTCCTCCCTATGGTTGATGAAATGCCAGGGTGAAAGGGATAGCCAATTGGACTAATGTACAAGTGCCACTCCAGTTATTTGGCAGAGTGCCCAGTGAAGGTCTACCACAATACCACCACACATCTGCTCAGGGATGAACAAGGGCTGACTGATTAGTAAGCTCTTGAAAATGTTTAAGCTCACTGCATCCTTTCAGGTCTCCAAGGAATGCTAAGTTTCCTCCCTGTCATGAGAGACACAAAGTGAACTTATGTTGGGAGACGGAGGTTGGATGGCCCTTGGGGGCTGACCCGCAGGGTGCCAGACTTTGGGATACAGCAGAGAGAGCTTGGCATGACTTATTACTCCAGGCTGTAGAATCCTGGAAAAGGGTTACCATGCAGCCCACACCTGGTTGACTGGAGGACCACCTTAGTGGAAAGGGGACAATCTGGGCCTCTGGCTTGCCATGTGCACAAGCATAACAATTGCTTTTTTTTAACGTGTGGATGGAATATTTGATCCATTCCAACCAGGCATTTGCATCTTGGTATGCTGTCTTAATTGCCAAAGTTTGTTTTAAGTCTTTAACTTCTATGATCCTCTAGTAAAATGAATGTATGATTTTGGGAAATTAAAAAAACTGGTTGGGGCAGTCCATCCTTGCTCTCTAGTGGTCCACAGAATGTTGGGCCAACTATGGCATAAAAGCTCTACATTTGGGGAGCAAGACTCCTGGTTGACATTGGAGTCTTTATTGAAATTTCCCCAGATTAAATGGTCCTAATTTACTAATGCCCAGTCTGAGGAGAGTCAGGAGGGACAGAGGTACTTTTCTGAAGTAGAGAGCTGTCTTTGACTTGGCAAGTCCCCACAGGGTATAACAAGGCAAGCATTAAATACAATAGTTTGAGGCAAAATCGACTTGGTTATGTTAATAACCAGACGGTCAGCAATAGAACGAGGAAAGAAGAAAGAGCAATAGAATAGATGAAAGAGTTAAATTTTTCTTAGCTTTAGTTTGGTAGGGTTTTCCCCTGAGACTGCAGTCTAGGAGTCTGGAGGGGGTGGCGCTTTAACTCAGGTGTGATGAGTCCATCCCTTTTCTGCTGTACGAACAGCAGTCTCGGAGGTTAGCAGCACAAGGTAGGGTCCTTCCTAGGCTGGCTAGAGTTTTTCTTCTTTCTGCCCTTTGATAAGAAGGTGATCTTCAGGCTGGTGCTGGTTTACTGGAAATTCTAGTGGTGGTACCTGTGCTAAAAGACTTTTAGTTTTGAGGGAAAGGAAAGTGGAAGATAAACGAAGTATATAATTTCTAAGAAATTGACTTTTTGTTTTAAATGTGGGGACATCAACAGTGGACTTTGTAGTCTTTGGTGCCTTCTTACTGAGAAATTTCCTTTAGCACCTATTTTTATTAGTTTCTAGACCAAAGAAACCCAAACACCATTTTATATTTAATAATGCTTCTTGTATGATTTTTATGCCAGATAAGCTAAATTTCACCTTTATATTAGTATACTATTAATGTTAAACTTAGTTTTAGTAAAACTTTGTATACGTATTTATTCAGTTTTTAATGTCGGACCATAAGGTAAGATTTTTATAGACTCTTTTTAACCTTTTATAATCTTTGTTAAAGAGCAGGTTAGTGCTTTAAGAAAAACCCATTGTGTTTTTACTTTAATGTCCAGTTCACAGAAAAACTGGATGATACCCCTTTAACATTAGCTAATATGTTTACACACAGATTTTTTTTATAATTAACATTTTAAAACTTGCCAAAACCTTCAAAACAATTTTTTTTAACCTTTTAATGTAGGTAAAAATTTACATTCTTATGCCTCCTTCTAATCTTTTTACCAAAGGCATATTTTACGTTCCTTATACACCTTGCACATAAACTTTTTTTTTCCAATAGTTTTACATTTAGGAAGCCTAGTTAGTTTTAAATTATACAACATTTCTTGCATAAATTCTTTTTTATAACATTTTTCTCTTTCACGACTTTCACAGACAATTCTTCGACATGCCTTAACTTTCTGACTTATTACAAACATTTCTTTCTTTAAACAACCAGTTAATGTATTTCAGGATAAGAATTTACCATATAACACTCTTTTTACTAAATTCTGCAGCCCCTCTTTCCCCCGCTTTTTTTTTTTTTTGAAGATGATAACCATTCTTTTCCAAAGTGAACTTCTTTTATGTCTGTGGACTAGACTGTCTAAGGCCACAAGATTAGAAATTACTATAATATATGTTATATTGTTAACTTTTAGCAAACTTTACTTTTGTTGAAAACCTTGTAAGTTTGGGATTTTAATTATCCTTTGCTATTAATCAGACCTTGTTTTGTCCAAATTAACTTAGAATTGGTATAGATGACTTTTTTTTTTTTTCCTTCAGTTACCTGGGAGGAACCATTGATTGTCCTGTCCTGAAGGGAGTTCCTCCTAGGTCTGGTTGGAACTTTGTATGGTAATTAAGATTTAGTTCCCCTGTTAGGAAACCTGCTGGGTTAAGGGAATTTTCAGTGGTTAATGTTAAATCATCCTTTTCTTTTATTGCCTTAGGATACTTCTCAACTGGTGAGGTGTGCTCACAATGAGGTTTCCTCTAAAAGTTATTTTTTTACTTTTTTCTGTTAGCAAAGCTCTTGCTGCTATAGATTGAATGCATTTGGGCCATCCAGGGGTTACTGGGTTAAGGATTTTTGATAGGAAGGCTTCAGTGCTTTCTGGATATGCCCTTGTTTACACTGACAACAAAGTGGTATTGGAGTGTTATAGGGTTACAGAGAATACCTTCAATTACCAATTATAGGTTTTTAATTTACCTTGGCTTTTAAAGGAATAGGGTACACTTTTTTTTTCTTAACTACTTGTATCTCTCTCTCTCTCTCTTTCTTTCTCTCTCTCTGTCTCTGATTTTCTGTCTCTTTTTCTCTTTGACTTTCCTTTTACCTCTGTCTCTTTCTCTCTCTCTGCCTCTCTCTTTCTCTCTCTCTCTGCTGATCTTTCCTTACCTCTGCCAGCTGCTTATGCTGCTGCTCTCTCAACCACTGTGGTGGGGGTTGGTGGTGGAGGGGTCTAAAACCAGCTGTAACCAAGTGTCTATATATGGGAACTGGTCTGGGTACCTTGGCTTACAGGTTACCTTGTGCCATACCTTTGAAACAAGGGACCTGTCCAGGCTTCCTTCTGATGGCCAACCCACCTCTAATGCTGGCCAGTCTATCTTACAAAAAGTTTTAACTTTTCCTGGTGTAATAGTACTCCATCGTCTCCCTTAAATCCTTTCTTGAAATTTTTCAACATAGTTCCTAGTGGAGTGGGCTTACTTTGTGCCTGACCCATGCTTCTTCAAGACAAAACACCACGCTTACATCACACACACACCACAAAACAAAGAATGGGTAAAAAGGGCACATAAACACTTTTACAGTTTACACCAAAGCAGAATCAAAACCAAAATCAGAGTATCAAGAAATCCAAGCCAGGTCAAAACTAAAACCAAAGTATCAAGCAATCCAAGTCAAGTCAAAAAAAAGAACTAAAGTGCTGGTACAGGCACACCATGGGTGATCAGGCCACGCTTCCACTCAAATGGAGTAGGCAAGTTCCAAAGACTAGTCTTACCAACTTTCAGATGTCTGGACTCCAGGTGCCATTTCCTTCCCGGTGTTCAGCCACTGCATTGATCCTCCACAGGGGCCTGCCATGCGCTGCTCTGGCAAGGCATTCCACTGGGGCAATTGCCTACTTGGGAGCACTCTCAGGATCTGTGTCACTCAAGCTGGCCAGAGTCCCCCGCAGGGATGCTCCACAGGGCAGGCCTAAGCCGCCTAAGGGGCTGCCTCGACTATCTGTTAATCACCTTGCTTCCTGGTCAAGGAACCAAGAAATGTAGCAGGAAAAGCCACAGATAAAACCCCTCAGACACTGAGTTAAAGAAGGAAGGGTTTTATTCGGCCGGGAGCTTCGGCAAGACTCATGTCTCCAACAACTGAGCTCCCTGAGTGAGCAATTCCTGTCCCTTTTAAGGGCTCACAACTTTAAGGGGGTCTGTGTGAGAGGGTTGTGATCTATTGAGAAAGCAGGGGGTATGTGACTGGGGGCTGCATTCACTGGTAATTAGAATGGAACAGAACAGGACAGGGATTTTTACAGTGCTTTTCTATACAGTGTCTGTAATCTACAGATAACATAACCGATTAGGCTGGGGTTGATCTTTAACTACCAGGCCCAGGGTGTGGTGCCGGGCTGTCTGCTTATGGAATTCATTTCTGCCTTTTAGTTTTTACTTCTTCTTTCTTTGGAGGCAGAAATTGGGCATAAGTCAATATGAGGGGTGGTCTCCTCCCTTACTAAGAGAAAAGTTTAAACATTTAAATGCCTACATCAGGAATTCTGAAAAAGCATATATAGACAATCTATGGTCATGCCTCAAGGAACTGGAGAAACAAGAACAAATCAAGCCCAAACTCAGCAGAAGAAAGGAAATAACCAAGATCAGAGCAGAACTAAATACAACTGAAACAAAAATATACAAAAGATAAATGAAATAAAAAACTGGTTCTTTGAAAAGACAAATAAAATTGATAGACCGTTAGGGAGATTAACCAAGAAAATAAGAGAATCCAAATAAGCTCAACTAGAAAAGAAACAGGAGATATTACAACTGATACCATAGAAATTCAAAAGATCACTCAAGGCTACTATGAACACCTTTACATGCATAAACTAGAAAACCTAGAGAAGATTGATAAATTCCTGGAAATATACAATGCTCCTAGTTTAAAGCAGAAAGAAATAGAAACCTGTACAGACCAACAGCAAGCAACGAGATTGAAATGGTAATAAAAAAATTGCCAACAACAACAAAAAACCCAGGGTACACAGCTGAATTCTATCAGACATGCAAAGAAGATTTGGTACCCATGTTATTGACACTATTCCAAAATACAGAGAAAGATGGAATCCTCCTCAAATCATTTTATGAAGCCAGTGTCACCCTAATACCAAAACCAGGAAAGGACACAACAAAAAAAGAGAACTACAGACCAATATCCCTGATGAACATAGATGCAGAAATCCTCTATGAAATACTGGTGAATGGAATCCAACAGCATATCAAAAATAATCTACCATGATCAGGTGGGTTTCATACAAAGTATGCAGGGATGTTTTAACACCCAACAGTAAATAAATGTGATACACCACATAAATAGAATTAAAAACAAAAATTACATGGTCATTTCAATAGATGCAGAAAAAGCATTTGACAAAATCTAGCATCCCTCAGTAAAATCGGCATAGAAGGCGCATACCTTAAGGTATGACAGGCCATACCTTAAGATATGTCAAGCCATCTATGACAAACCCACAACCAACATTATATTGAATGGGGAAAAGTTGAAAGCCTTCCCCCTGAGAACTGAAACAAGACAAGGATGCCCACTTTCACCACTTCTATTCAACATATTACTGGAAATCACACAAGGGAAAGAAATCAAGGGCATCCAAATTGGTAAAGAGGAAGTCAAACTGTCACTGTTTGCTGATGACATGATTGTATACCTACAAAACCCTAAAGACACATCTGGAAAGCTCCTAGAACTGGTAAATGAATTCAGCAAAGTTTCAGAATACAAAATTAATATACACAAATCAGTACCATTTGTCATACCAGTACCCAGCACCTTCTGTTGAATAGGGTATTCTTTCTACACTTTATGTTTTTGTTTGCTTTGTTGAAGATTAGTTGACTGTAAACATTTGGCTTTATTTCTGGTTCTCTATTCTGTTCCATTGCTCTATGTGCCTTTTTTTATACTAGTACCATGCTGTTTTGGTGACTATGGCCTTATAGTATAGTTTAAAGTTGGGTAATGTGATTCCTCCAGATTTCTTCTTTTTGCTTCACCTTGCTTTGGCTATGTGGGATCTTTTTTGGTTCCATATGAATTTTAGGATTTTTTTTCTAGTTCTATGAAGAATAATGTTGGTATTTTGATGGAAATTGCATTGAATGTAAAAAAATGAAACTGAATCCTCACCTCTCACTGTATTGGTCCATTTTCCTGCTGCTGATAAATACATACCTGAGACTGGACAATTTACAAAAGAAAGAGGTTTAATGGACTCACAGTTCCATGCAGCTGGGGAGACCTCACAATCAGAGCAGAAGGTGAAAGTCACATCCCACATGGCAGCAGAAAAGAGAAGAGAATGAAAATCAAGCAAAAGGGGTTTCCTCTTATAAAACCATCAGTTATTGTGAGACTTATTTACTACTATGAGACAGTATGGAGGAAAGCACGCCCATGATTCAATGATCTCCCACTGGGTTTCTCCCACAACATGAATTATAGGAGCTACAATTCAAGATGAGATTCGTGTGGAACACAGCAAAACCATATCGCTCACCTTATATAAAAATCAACTCAAGATGGATCAAAGTCTTAAATCTAAGACCTGAAACCATAAAAATTCTAGAAGATAACATTGGAAAAATCCTTCTAGACATTGGCTTGTGCCAAGATTTTATGATCAAGAACCCAAAAACAAATGTATCAAAATCAAAGATAAATAGATGGGACTTAAATAAACTAAAGTTACTGCACAGCAAAAGAAATAATCAGTAGAATAAACAGACATCCCAGAGAGTGAGATAAAATCTTCATAATCTATACATCTGACAAAGTATTAATATCTGGAATCTACAAGGAACTCAAACAAATCAGCAAGAAAAAAAATCCCATCAAAATGTGGGCTAAGGACATGAATAGACAATTCTCAAAAGAAGATATACAAATGGCCAAAAACATATGGAAAAAAATGCTCAACAGCACTAAGGATCAGGGAAATTCAAATCAAAACCACAGTGTGATATCACATTACTTCTGCAAGAATGGCCATAGTCAAAAAAATAAAAAAAAGTAATGGATGTTGGCATGGATATGGTGAAAAGGGCACACTTTTAAACTGTTGGCGGAAATGTAAACTAGTACAGCCTCTATGGAAAACAGTGTGAAGATTCCTTAAAGAACTAGAAGTAGAACTACCATTTGATCCAGCAATTCCACTCCTGCGTATCTACCCAGTGAAAAGAAGTCATTATACGAAAAAAGATACTTGCACATGCATGTTTATAGCAGCACGATTTGCAATTGCAAAAATATGGAACCAGCTTAAATGCCCATCAATCAGAGTGGAAAAATAAAATGTGAGATAGATATAGATATAGACATAGACATAGATATAGACATAGACATAGATATAGATATATAGATATAGATGTAGATATATATGTGCCATGGAATACTACTCAGACAGAAAAAGTAATGAAATAGTAGCATTTGCAGCAACCTGGATGGAATTGGAAACTGTTATTCTAAGTGAAGTAACTCAGGAATGGAAAACCAAATATCGTATATTCTCACTCATAAGTGAGAGCTGAGCTATGAGGATGCAAATGCATAAGAATGATACAATGAACTTTGGGGATTCAGGGGAAAGGGTGGGAGGGAGGTGAGGGATAAAAGACTACACATTGAATACAGTGTACACTGCTCAGGTGATGGGTGCACAAAAGTATCAGAAATCACCACTAAAGAACTCATTCATGTAACCAAATACCACCTGTTCCCCAAAAACCTATTGAAATAAAAATAAAACATTTTGAAGACTACCTCTATAAAGTACCTTTTCCAAGATGTTTATACCAGATATATCTTAATCTCTAAATTGTATTAGATGGCATAGATTCTAATAAGCTTTGATAAGCTTGGAATTTGTTCCTTTCATCCTACTCTCCAAAGAAAATTTACTCTTTTTTTTTGTTTTGTTTTATTATACTTTAAGTTTTAGGGTACATGTGCACATTGTGCAGGTTAGTTACATATATATACATGTGCCATGCTGGTGCGCTGCACCCACTAACCCGTCATCTTGCATTAGGTATATCTCCCAATGCTATCCCTCCCCCCTCCCCCCACCCCACCACAGTCCCCAGAGTGTGATATTCCCCTTCCTGTGTCCATGTGATCTCATTGTTCAATTCCCACCTATGAGTGAGAATATGTGGTGTTTGGTTTTTTGTTCTTGCGATAGTTTGCTGAGAATGATGATTTCCAATTTCATCCATGTCCCTACAAAGGACATGAACTCATCATTTTTTATGGCTGCATAGTATTCCATGGTGTATATGTGCCACATTTTCTTAATCCAGTCTATCATTGTTGGACATTTGGGTTGGTTCCAAGTCTTTGCTATTGTGAATAATGCCGCAATAAACATACGTGTGCATGTGTCTTTATAGCAGCATGATTTATAGTCATTTGGGTATATACCCAGTAATGGGATGGCTGGGTCAAATGGTATTTCTAGTTCTATATCCCTGAGGAATCGCCACACTGACTTCCACAATGGTTGAACTAGTTTACAGTCCCACCAACAGTGTAAGAGTGTTCCTATTTCTCCACATCCTCTCCAGCACCTGTTGTTTCCTGACTTTTGAATGATTGCCATTCTAACTGGTGTGAGATGGTATCTCATAGTGGTTTTGATTTGCATTTCTCTGATGGCCAGTGATGATGAACATTTTTTCATGTGTTTTTTGGCTGCATAAATGTCTTCTTTTGAGAAGTGTCTGTTCATGTCCTTCGCCCACTTTTTGATGGGGTTGTTTGTTTTTTTCTTGTAAATTTGTTTGAGTTCATTGTAGATTCTGGATATTAGCCCTTTGTCAGATGAGTAGGTTGCGAAAATTTTCTCCCATTTTTTAGGTTGCCTGTTCACTCTGATGGTAGTTTCTTTTGCTGTGCAGAAGCTCTTGAGTTTAATTAGATCCCATTTGTCAATTTTGTCTTTTGTTGCCATTGCTTTTGGTGTTTTGGACATGAAGTCCTTGCCCATGCCTATGTCCTGAATGGTAATGCCTAGGTTTTCTTCTAGGGTTTTTATGGTTTTAGGTCTAACGTTTAAATCTTTAATCCATCTTGAATTGATTTTTGTATAAGGTGTAAGGAAAGGATCCAGTTTCAGCTTTCTACATATGGCTAGCCAGTTTTCCCAGCACCATTTATTAAATAGGGAATCCTTTCCCCATTGCTTGTTTTTCTCAGGTTTGTCAAAGATCAGATAGTTGTAGGTATGCGGCGTCATTTCTGAGGGCTCTGTTCTGTTCCATTGATCTATATCTCTGTTTTGGTACAAGTACCATGCTGTTTTGGTTACTGTAGCCTTGTAGTATAGTTTGAAGTCAGGTAGTGTGATGCCTCCAGCTTTGTTCTTTTGGCTTAGGATTGACTTGGTGATGCGGGCTCTTTTTTGGTTCCATATGAACTTTGAAGTAGTTTTTTCCAATTCTGTGAAGAAAGTCATTGGTAGCTTGATGGGGATGGCATTGAATCTGTAAATTACCTTGGGCAGTATGGCCATTTTCACGATATTGATTCTTCCTACCCATGAGCATGGAATGTTCTTCCATTTGTTTGTATCCTCTTTTATTTCCTTGAGCAGTGGTTTGTAGTTCTCCTTGAAGAGGTCCTTCACATCCCTTGTATGTTGGATTCCTAGGTATTTTATTTTCTTTGAAGCAATTGTGAATGGGAGTTCACTCATGATTTGGCTCTCTGTTTGTCTGTTGTTGGTGTATAAGAATGTTTGTGATTTTTGTACATTGATTTTGTATCCTGAGACTTTGCTGAAGTTGCTTATCAGCTTAAGGAGATTTTGGGCTGAGACAGTGGGGTTTTCTAGATATACAATCATGTCTTCTGCAAACAGGGACAATTTGACTTCCTCTTTTCCTAATTGAATACCCTTTATTTCCTTCTCCTGCCTAATTGCCCTGGCCAGAACTTCCAACACTATGTTGAATAGGAGTGGTGAGAGAGGGCATCCCTGTCTTGTGCCAGTTTTCAAAGGGAATGCTTCCAGTTTTTTCCCATTCAGTATGATATTGGCTGTGGATTTGTCATAGATAGCTCTTATTATTTTGAAGTACGTCCCATGAATACCTAATTTATTGAGAGTTTTTAGCATGAAGGGTTGTTGAATTTTGTCAAAGGCTTTTTCTGCATCTATTGAGATAATCATGTGGTTTTTGTCTTTGGCTCTGTTTATATGCTGGATTACATTTATTGATTTGCATATATTGAACCAGCCTTGCATCCCAGGGATGAAGCCCACTTGATCATGGTGGATAAGCTTTTTGATGTGCTGCTGGATTCCGTTTGCCAGTATTTTACTGAGGATTTTTGCATCAATGTTCATCAAGGCTATTGGTCTAAAATTCTCTTTTTTGGTTGTGTCTCTGCCCGGCTTTGGTATCAGAATGATGCTGGCCTCATAAAATGAGTTAGGGAGGATTCCCTCTTTTTCTATTGATTGGAATAGAAAATTTACTCTAAGTGTTGTTACAATAATACTGCAGAAGGCATACAGCTTCTCCTGTATTTAGTTTTCTCTTAATAGAGAATAAAAATCCAACCTAGTTATGACATCAACCATACCACTATTGAAAATATGTAATATCTGCTTCAGAATGCTGACATAAGCAATTTTTATGTTTTAATATAATGTCCGTATGAAATCCTAGTGTAGTATTAGTATTGTCAGTTATAAGGTTGGTTAATATGTGGTGCAATGGGGGCATATGAAAGTTATAATGTAGCATAACATCTTATTTTTACGAAAACAATTATAGTCTAGTCAGGAGAAAACTACCTGTACACCCACCTTAATGATAAGCTCTCCTATGTATCAATGTACAATATTTAATTTTAAAATATATAAAAAATACATAAATAGCACCAAAATACATAAAATCATTATGATAAATGCATATGGTATATTCTATCAGTAAATCTGATGCCAGATTTACTTTTTTTAGGGTACTGTAAATTATTACATAGAAAAATTATACCCTTTGAAAAGCTTTTGCTCTGTCATAGTGATGTGTGATTGGACTTAATGGGCCCAATTATTAAATATCTGGATTTAGGTATGAGCTGTATTTTATAAGGACCCTGTATACAAGTATATCAATTATAGTACCTTAAGAGCTAACCAAAAAATCATTAACCTACAGAAGCATGATTATGATCTAAGCAAAAAATGGGCTTACTTAAGTAAAAATGCAGCATATTATAAACAACTTTTTACAAATATGTCACACGTTAAAATTAACATAGTTTACACAATTAATTACAAAACACCATACAAACTGCCTCTGTATATAACCAATTGGCCAACTGGATATATATGTGTATGATGAACTAATTATTGAGAAAGGATGGTACATATGTGAGCATGCTGCAAAATCCCACCAGGTATGATTCACCAGCCTCCTGAAAGGCATCCATCACTGCCTTACCAAACCTCAAGCCTGTTTTGAGGCCCCAGAGAGCAGTTGTCATATTAGATGCTTTGTTCATGTCTGGTAATGACAACAATTCTGGGTCTGTGAGGAGGCTTTGTAGTGCTTTGGCTGAGAGTGTTGCTCTTTGTGTCTGCCTTAATTGCCAGCTATTTGTGAGGAGCTTTCCTAGAGTGGATTTATGAGCACTGGGCTTACTGAGCAGTTTGTTTGGACAGAACATTTTCTTTTGCCCAATGTTAAACTTTTAACTACTTCACTGCCAACATTAAACATTAAAACCATTAACATAAAAAAATTTAAGTAACTCAGTGAAGAAAATCTTCTTCAACAATGGCTAATCTGTGCATCTAGTATTAGATTTTTGTCTTTCTCAAGGAAACATTATTAGTGACTATACTATATATTAAAATTAAATTGAATATATACATTTCCAAAAAGCATAACATGGAAATCAAGGCATCCATCAAATTTATGTACTGAACCAAAGTCTTGATTTTCAGAATTCACTGGTCAGTCATGATTCTAGACCAAGGCTGTCAAAACATGTTTTTATTTTTATGTATTTATTTATTTAGTTTATTTAATTTTTAATTTTTTATTTTAAGTTCAGGGGTACATGTTCAAGTTTGTTATATAGGTAAACTTGTGTCATGGACATTTGTTGTACAGACTATTATCTCACTGAGGTACTAAGCCTAGTACCCAATAGTTATTTTTTCTGATCCTTTCCCTCTTCCCACCCCTCACATTTGAGTAAGCTCCAGTGTCTGTTGTTCCCTGATATGTGTCCATGTGTTCTTATCATTTAGCTCCCACTTATAAGTGAGAACATGCAGTATTTGGTTTTCTGTTCCTGCATTAGTTTGCTAAGGATAATGGCCTCCAGCTCCATCTATGTTTCTGCCAAGGACATGATCTCATTCTTTTTTATGGCTGCGTAATCTACAGTGTACTTATAATGCTTCTTTTTTTAAAAAAAAAAATCCAATCTACTATTGATGGGCATTTCAGATGACTCTGTGTCTTTCCTATTGCGAATAGTGCTGCAATGAACATATTCATTCATGTCTTTATGATAGAACAATTCATATTATTTGAGTATATACCCAGTAATGGGATTGCTGAGTTGAATGGTAGTTCTGTTTTTATGTCTGTGAGGAATCGCCATACTGTTTTCCACCATGGTTGAATTAATTTACACTCCCACCAACAGTGTATAAGCATTCCCTTTTCTCTGCAATCTTGCCACCATCTGGTTTTTTTTTTTGACATTTTAATAATAACTGTATGGGTATGAGATGTTATCTCATGTGGTTTTGATTTTTTTTTTTTAGAGGTAGTCTTGCTCTGTTGCCCATGCTAGACTGCAGTTGCATAATCTCAGCTCACTGCAACCTCCGCCTCCTGGGTTCAAGCAATTCTCATGCCTCAGCCTTGCGGGTAGCTGGGATTGCAGGCACATGCCACCACACCTGGCTATCTTTTTTGTTTTGTTTTGTATTTTTAGTAGAGACGGGGTTTCACCATGTTGGGCAGGTTGGTCTTGAACTCCTGACCTCAAGTGATCTGCCTACCTCAGCCTCCTAAAAAGCTGGGATTACAGGCGTGAACCACCACACCTGGCCATTGAGCAGTTTTTTTTTTCCTATATGATTGTTGGCTGCATGTATGTCTTCTTTTGAGAAGGGTCTGTTCATGTCCTTTGCCCACTTTTAAATGGGGTTGTTTTTACCTTGTAAATTTGTTTAAGTTCCTTATAGATATTGAATATTAGACCCTTCTTGGATGCATAGTTTGCAAAACTTTTTTCAATTCTGTAGGTTTTCAGTTCACTCAATTGATAGTTTCTTTCACTGTGTAGAAACTCTTTAGTTTAACTAGATGCCATTTGTCAATTTTTGCTTTTGTTGCAATTACTTCCTGTGTCTTCGTCATGAAATCATTGCCTTTTTGTAGATCCAGGATGGTATTGCCTAAGTTTTCTTCCAGTATTTTTATACTTTTGGATTTCACATTTAAGTCTTTAATCCATATTGAGTTGATTTTTGAATAAGGCGTAAGGAAGGGGTCCAGTTTCAGTCTTCTGCATATGGCTAGTGAGTTATCCTAGCACCATTTATTCAATTAGGGGATTGTTTGTTTCCCCACTGCCTGTTTCATTTTTAGCTTTGTTGAAGATCAGATAGTTGTAGGTATGTGGCCTTCTTTTTGGGCTCATTATCCTGTTATATTGGTCTATGTGTCTATTTTTGTACCAGTACCATGCTGTTTTGGTTACTGTAGCTTGTTAGTATAGTTTGAAATCAGGTATTGTGATGCCTCCAGCTTTGCTCTTTTTGCTTTGGTGAACTATTTGGGCTCTTTTTGGTTCCACATGAATTTTAAAATAGTATTTTCTATTTATTTGAAAAATGGCATCTGTAGTTTGATAGGAATAGCATTGAATCTATACATTGCTTTGGACTGTATGGCCATTTTAGTGATATTGATTCTGTCTATTCATGATCCCATATTTGCATTTGTATAATCTCTGATTTCTTTGGCAGTGTTTTAGGAATGGAATGGAATGGAATGGAATAGCATTCCTGATTTAGCTCGTGGCTTAACTGTTGTTGGTGTATAGGAATGCTAGTGATTTTCCTGAGACTTTGCTGAAGTTGCTTATCAGCTTAAGAGCTTTTGGGCTGACACTGTGTGGTTTTCTAGATATAGGATCATGTTGCCTGCACACAGGGATAGTTTGACTTCCTCTCTTCCTATTCATATTCCCTTTTTTTATTTCTCTTACCTGAATGCTCTGGCCAGAACTTCCAATACTATGTTGATTGGGAGTTGTGGGAGAGTGCATCCTCTTCTCGTGCTGGTTTTCAAGGGACAAAAGGTGGTTTCCAGTTTTTGCCCATTCAGTATGATGTTGGCTGTGTGTTTGTCATAGATGGCTCTTATTATTTTGAGATATGTTACCTCATTACCTAGTTTATTGAGAGTTTTTAACATGAAGGAGTGTTGAATTTCACTGAAAGCCTTTCCTGCATCTATTGTGATAATCATGTGGTTTTTGTCTTTAGTTCTGCTTATGAGATGAATCCCATTTATTGATGTGCATATGTTGAACTGATCTTGCATCCCAGGGATAAAGCCAATTTTATCATGGTGGATAAGCCTTTTGATGTGCTGTGGAATTCGGTTTGCCAGTATTTTGTTGATGATATTTTCATCAGTGTTCATCAAGGATATGGCCTGAAGTTTTCTACTTTTGTTGTGTCTCTGTCGGGTTTTGGTATCAGGGTGATGCTGGCCTCGTAGAATGAGTTAGGGAGGAGTCCCTCCTTCTCATTTTTTTGCAATAGGTTTAGTAGGAATGGTAGCAGATCTTTGTACACCTTGTAGAATTGGGTTGTGAATCTGTCTGGTCCTGTGCTCTTTTTTTATGGAGGATGTGGCTGGTAGGCTATTACTGATTCAACTTCAGGGCTTTTTATTGGCCTGTTCAGAAATTTAATTTTTTCCTGGCTCTGTCTTGGGAGGGCGTATATGTCCAGAAATTTATCAATTTCCTCTAGATTGTCTAGTTTATGTGCATAGAGGTGTTAATAATATTCTTTGTTGGCTATCTGTATTTCTGTAGGGTCAATGGTAATATCCCCTTTGTCATTTCTAATTGTGTTTATTTGGATATTCTTTCTTTCTTCTTTATTAATCTAACTAGAAGTCTATTTTATTAGTTACTTCAAAAAACAAACCCCTGGATTCATTAATCTTTTGAATTTTTTTTTGTGTGTGTTTGTGTTTCTCAGTCTCCTTCAGTTCAGCTCTGATTTTTTTTTTTCTTCTACTAGCTTTGGGATTGTTTTTTTCTTGTGCTTCTTTAGTTCTTTTAGTTGTGATGTTAGGTTGTTAAATGGAGATCTTTCCAACTTTGTGATGTGGGCATTTTGTGCTGTAAACTTTCCTTTTCCCTCTTCATACTGCCTTAGCTGTGTCCCAGAGATTCTGTAATGCTGCACCTTTGTTCTCACTGGTTTCAAAGAAGGCCTTGATTTATGCCTTAATTTCATTATTTACCAAAAAGTCATTCAGAAGCAGGTTATTCAGTTTCCATGTAATTGTATGGTTTTGAGTGAATTTCTTAGTCTTGATTTCTAATATGATTGGACTTTGTTCTGAGAGACTGTTATGATTTCAGTTTTTTTGCATTTGCTTAGCAGTATTCTGTGTTCGATTATGTGGTTGATTTTGATGTACATGTGGTGATGAGAAGGATGCATATTCTGTTGTTTTGGGTGGATAGTTATGTAGATTTCTATCAAGTCCATTTTATCCAGTGCTGAGTTCACATGTTGAATATCTTTGTTCATTTTCTGCCTCAGTGATCAGTCTAATACTGTAAGTGGGATGTTGAAGTATTCCACTGTTATTGTGTGGGAGTCTAAAAGTATCTTTGAAGGTCTCTAAGAATTTGCTTTATGAATCTGTGTGCTCTTGTGTTGGATGCATATATATTTGGGATAGTTAGGTGCTCTTGTTGAAGTGAACCCTTTGCTATTATGTAATACCTTTTCTTTCTTGATCTTTGTTGGTTTAAAGTCTGTTTTGTCAGAAACTTGGATTGCAACCCCTGCTTCTTTGTGTTTCCATTTGCTTGGTAGATTTTTTTCATCCCTTTATTTTAAGCCTGTAGGTGTCACTGCATGTGAGATAGGTTTCTTGAGGACAGCATGCCAACAGGGTCTTGGTTCCTTACGCAGCTTGCCACTTTGTGTCTTTTAAATGGGGGCCTTTAGCCCATTTACATTCAAGGTTAGTATAGGTATGTGTGGATTTGAATCTGTCATCATATTAGCTGGTTATTATGCAGACTCGTTAGTGTGGTTGCTTTATGTTGTCATTAGTCTGTGTACTTCAGTATTTTTCTGGAGTGGCTGGTAATGGTCTTTCCTTTCCATATTTAGTGTTTCCTTCAGGAGCTCTTGTAAGGCAGTTCTGGTGGGAGCAAATTCCCTTGACATTTGCTTATCTGAAAAGGATCTTATTTTTCCTTTGCTTATGAAGCTTAGCTTGGCCAGATATGGAATTCTGAGTTGCAATTTATTTTCTTTAAGAATGTTGAACTTGGGTGGCTGAAGTGCGAGGATCCCTTGAGCCCAGGAATTCAAGGTTGCATGTAGCTATGATCATGCCACTGCACTCCAGCCTGCATGACAAAGTGAGACCCTGTCAAAACAAACAAACAAACAAACAAAAGAATGTTGAACATTGCCTGGCTTGTAGGGTTTCTGCTGAGAGGTCCACTGTTAGTCTGATGGGTGTCCTTTTGTAGGTGACCTGCCCTTTCTGTCTAGCTGCATTTAACATTTTTTTCTTTTATTTTGACCTTGGAGAAACTGATGACACAGAAGTATAGAGCTGTGAAATGGGAAATCAGGGGTCTCACAGCCTTCAGAGCTGAGAGCCCCAAACAGAGATTTACCCACGTATTTATTAACAACAAGCCAGTCATTAGCATTGTTTCTATAGATATTAGATTAACTAAAAGTATCCCTTATGGGAAATGAAGGAATGGGCCAAAATAAAGGGATGGGTTGGGCTAGTTATCTGCAGCAGGAGCATGTTCTTTAGGCACAGATCGCTCATGCTATTGTTTGTGGTTTAAGAATGCCTTTAAGTGGTTTTCTGCCCTGGGTGGGCCAGGTGTTCCTTGCCCTCATTCCAGTAAACCCACAACCTTCCAATGTGGGTGTTATGGCCATCATGAACATCACAGTGCTGCAGATATTTTGTTTATGGCCAGTTTTGGGGCCAGTTTATGGCCAGATTTTTGGGGCCTGTTCCCAACATCCAGTATCCCTGGTGGTTGAAGGGTCTCTTTCTGTTGGAATTTCAGAGGCCCGTGGTGACAGGAGGTTGCTCCTTGTCGGTTCAACTCACCCATTCCCCTTAATTTGTTGGGGACCAGGAATAAGTCCGAGTGCATGGTAGCCCCTTGTAGAGTCCCCAGAGTCTTCCCCCTTCAACCCAGCTTTTGTGTCTTCCTTCCATCTATTCTCAGTATCTTCCATTTGAATACTTTTTAGGAGCATGCCATTTGTGTCAGTACCTCAGTGGCATCTGTTCCACCTGGCTGTGTCTGGTCAGCCACTTTACTTAACAAGTGTTTATAAATGGTTAAGATTTCTTGTTCATAAATGGAACAGACCATCCTCTATGTGATAATTACTTTCACATAATCATTTTGGGGTCCTAGATATTTTAATTGTTGTTCTACTTCATCATGTGAAGATATGCATGATTCTCAGCCAGAGAAAAATGTGAAACCAAGCAGGATCTAGACCCTGACCTCATAGAGCATGGCCTGGCCAAATCCTATGGTTCCAGAGCAGAAAGGACACACTCTTCTAAGATTTTTAAAATTTAAATTAAAACTTTATATTTAGTAAAATTCTCTCATAATGTAGTGTTTTTATGAGTTTACAAAATGAGTCATATATCTACCATAACAATCAAGATAAAAATTAAATCACCTCACAATTATCCCTTATGCTGTCCCTTTGTTGTCAAGCCCTTCTCCCACCTTCGTCACCCTTGGTAAACACTGCCACTATTTTCTACGTTTCTAAGCTTTATCTTCTTCACAATGGCATATAAATAGAATAATACAGTCCATACTCCTGAGAAACAAACACATCAAACAAACCAGATTCTGATAATGATATAGATGTTGGAAATGCCTGAAAGGGAAGTAAAAATAACTATGATTAAAATGTTAAAGGCTCTAATAGAAAAGGTGAACCACCTGCAAAATAAGATGGGTAATTTCATTAGAGAGATTAAAACTCTAAGAATAAAATGGAAATGCTAGAAATTAAAAACACAATAATAGATATAGTCTCTTTATTGGCCTTATCAGGAGACTTGACACAGCTGAGAAAATCATTAGTGACCTTAAAGATATGTCGATAAAACTCGTCCAAACTGAAACACTAGGAAAAAGAAAAGGAAGAAAATGAAATATATCATCCAGGATCTGTGGGATAATATCAAACTCCCTAATATAAATGCAATTCTAATTGTATAAGGAAAAGAAATATGTGACAGAAGAAAGACTTCAAATAAAATGGCTGATAATTTTCCAAAATTGTTGACAGATATTAAACCACAGACTCAAAAAACTCAAAGCACCACAACTTGGCTAATTATTAAAAAAAAAAAAATGCACCCACCCCAGACATACAACGTAAAATCTACTGAAAACCAAAGACATTCAGAAAATCTTAAAAAAACAGAGAAAATAAAATGAAATATAGAAAGAAAAGTTATAGCAATTTTTTCATCAGAAGCCACAGAAGCCAGAAGTTAATGTTACAAAAATCTTTTACATGCTGAAAGAAAAAATAGTTTACTCAGAATTCTGTACACTGAAAATAAAAAGAAAACACAAACAACATTTTCAGAAAGAAAAGTCTATGAGGATTCATTCCCTACATACCTATACTACAAAAAATGTTAAATAAATTACTTCAGGATGAACATCCCCAATACACATAGTCATCAGATCCTGCAAGGTCAACATAAAAGAAAAAATATTACACCAGGCCCAGTGGATCATGCCTGTAATCCCAGCATTTTGGGAGGCCAAGGCAGGCAGATTGCTTGAGGTCAGGAGTTTGCAATAAGCCTGGCCAACTTGGAGAAACCCCATCTCTACTAAAAATATAGACAAGCACTTAGCATTTGTTAAGGGAATTCATTACCACCACACCTGTCTCACAAGAGGTCCTTAAGGAAGTGCTAAACATGGAAATAAAAAACCACTACCATCCACGACAAACACCAACTTACATGAATAGTCCATGGACACTATTAAGCAACTATAGGATCATGCCTAAATAAAAACCAGCTAACATCATGATGATAGGATCAAATCTCCACATATCAGTATTGGCCTTGAATGAAAATGGGCTAAACACCTCAATTAAAAGGCATGGAGTGGCAAGTTGGATAAAGAAGCAATACCCAATTCTATGCTGTCTTCAAGAAACCCAACTCACATGCAATGACACCCATAGGATCAAAGTAAAGTGATGGAGGAAGATCTATCAAGAAAACAGAAAACAAAAAAGAGCTGAGGTAGCTATTATTATTCAAGATAAAACAGACTTTAAACCAACAACAATCAAAAAGGCCAAACAGGGGTACTATATAATGATAAAGGGTTTAATTCAACAGGAAGACATAACTATCCTAAACATAAATGCGTTCAACATTGGAGCACCCAGATTGATAAAACAAGTTTTTAGAGACCTATGAAGATACTTAGATAACCAAACAATAATAGTGGGAGACTGCAACACCCCAATGACAATGTTGGACAGATTATCAAGAGATAATATTAACAAAGATATTTGGGACATAAACTTGACATTCAACCAAATTTCATTCACAATAGCCACAAAAAGAATAAAATACTTAGGAATAGAGCAATTCAGGGAGGTGGAGGATGTCTGTAACAGAATTACAAAACACCACTCAAAGAAATCAGAGATGACATAAACAAATGGAAGAGGATTCCATGCTCATGGGTAGAAAGAATCATTATTGTTAAAATGACCATACCACCCAAAACAATTTGTAGATTCAATGGTATTCCTATCAAACCACTAAGGACATTCTTCACAGAATTAGAAAAAAAACTATTTTAAAATATATATGAGCCAAAAAATAGCTTGAGTAGGCAAGACAATCCTAAGCAGAAAAAAAAAAAAACTGAAGGCATCACATTACCCAACTTTAAACTATACTACAAGGCTATATTAACCAAAACAGTGGGGTATTGGTACAAAAGCAGACACATAGACCAATATAACAGGTTAGAGAATGAAGAAATAAAGCTGCACATGTAGAACCATCTGATCTTTTTTAAATATGACAAAAGCAAGGAATGGGAAAAGAAGTTCCTAATCAATAAATGATGCTGGGATAAATGACTAGCAATATGCAGAAGATTGAAACTGGACCCTTTCTTTAATCATATACAAAAATCAACTCAAAATTGATTAAAGACTTAAATGTAAAACCTAAAACTATAAAGACCCTAGAAGAAACCTAGGACATATCATTATGCACATAGGCCTTGGCAAGATTTTATGAGAAATACTCCAAAATCAATTGTAGCAAAAACAAACATTGTCAAGTAGAATCTAATTAAACTAAAAAGCTTCTGTACCAAATAAACTACCAACAAAGGAAACAGACAGCCTACAGAATGGGAGAAAATATTTTCAAACTATGCATCCAACAAAGGTCTAATATCCAGAATCTATAAAGAACTTAAACAAATCAACAAGCAAGAATCAAACAACCCTATGGACAAAAGACACGAACAGATACTTCTTGAAGACATAGACGTTATATTCTGTGGCCAACAAGCATATGAAAAAATTCTCAACAACACTAATTATTAGAGAAATGCAGATTGAAACCGCAATGAGATGCCATCTCACACCTGTCAGAGCAGCTGTTATTAAATAGTCAAAAACCAACAAATGCCAATGAGATTGTGGATAAAAGGGAATGCTCATACACTGCTGGCAGAAATGTAAATTAGTTTAGTCACTGTGGAAAGCAGTTTGAAGATTTCTCCAGGAACTTAAAACGGAACTACTGTTTGACCCAGCAGTCTCATTAATGGGTATATAACCAAGGAAATACAAATAATTCTATCATAAAGACACCTGACGTGCATATTCATCACAGCACTTTTCATGATAGCATGAACAGTGTATTGAATAATAAAAAGTGGTACTATTCACTATGGTGTACTAGGCATCCATGAAAAAGAATGACATATTTTTGCAGAAACATAGATGGAACTGGAGGCCATAATCCTAAGTGAACTAATGCAGAAACAGAAAACCAAATACTGCATGTTTTCACTTATAAGTGGGAGCTAAACTTAGAGTACAAGCAAACGTGTACTCAAAGTTATGGGTAACAATAGACACCAGGGTGTACTTGAGGGTGGAGGATGCCAGGAGGCTAAGGATCAAAAAGCTAGTTAGGTATTTTTGTTGAATTGAACCCTTTACCATTATGGAATGCTCTTCTTTGTCTTTTTTTGATCATTGTTGGTTTAAAGTCTGTTTTGTCTGAAATTGGAATAGCAACTCCTGCTTTCTTCAGTTTTCCATTTGCTTGGTGGATTTTTATCCATCTCTATACTTTGACCCTATGGGTGTCATTGCATATGATATGGATCTCTTTTAAACAGCATGCAGTTGAATCTTGCTTGTTTATCCAACTTGGCACTTCGTGCCTTTGAATTGGGGCATTTAACCAGTTTACATTCGGTTAATATTGATACATGTAGGTTTGATCCTGTCATTGTGTTGTTACCTGGTTATTATGCAGACTTGATTGTGTGCTTTCTTTATAGTGTCAATGGTCTACGTATTTAATCATGTTTTTGTGGTCATTGGTAAGGGTCTTTCCTTTTCCAGGTTTGGCACTTCCTTAATGACCTCTTGTAAGCCAGGTGTGATGATAACTAATTCCCTTAGCATTTGCCTGCCTGAAAAGGATCTTAGGATCTTATTTCTCCTTCTTGTATAAAGCTTAGTTTCACTGGTTATGAAATTCTTGGTTTGAATTTCTTTTCTTTAAAGATGCTTTATATAGGCCCCCAGTCTCTTCTGCCTTGTAGAGTTTCTGCTGAGAAGTACACTGTTAGCCCAATGGGGTTCCTTTGTAGGTGACCTGCCCCTTTCCTCTATCTGCCTTTAACATTTTTTCCTCTATTTTGACCTTGAAGAAAACTGAAGACTATGCACACTAGGAATAGTCATCTTGTATAGTATCTTTCAGGTGTGCTATGCAATTCCTGGATTTGAATGCTGGCTTCTCAAGTGAGCTAGGTGAAATTTTCATGGATATTTTCAAGTGTGTTTTTCAAGTTGTTTGCTCTCTCTCTTTTTCAGGGTTGTCAATGAGTCATAGATTTGGTATCTTTACATAATCTGATATTTCTCAGAGATTTTGTTCATTTATTTTTATTTTTGTCTTAATGGGTTATTTCAGAGAACTAGTCTCCGAGCTTTGAGGTTCTTTCCTCAGCTTGGTTGATTCTGCTGTTAATACTTGCAATTTTATTATGAAATTATTGAGGTGAATTATTCAGCTCTATCAGATTAGCTTGGTTCTTTCTTAAAATGCCTATTTTCTTTTATCTCCTATATCATTTTATTATATCCCTTAGATTTTTTTAAATTGGGTTTCTACTTTCTCCTGAATGTTGATCTTCATTCCTATCCATACTCTGAATTTTATTTCTGACATTTTACCCATTTCAGCCTGATTAAGAACCATGGCTGGATAACTAGTGTGGTCATTTGGAGGTAAGAGGACACTCTAGCTTTTTGAGTTTTCAGAGTTTGTGTGCTGATTCTTTTTCATCTGTGTAGGCTGATGTTCCTTCAGTCTTTGAAGTTGCTGTCCTTCAGATAAGTTTTTCTTGCTTTTATATTCTTTGATTCCCTTGGGGATTTGATTGTGGTGCAAGGTGGGTTCAGTAGAATGTTTTTTTTTTTTTAAGTGATCCTCTTAAAAATATTTTAGTACATAGAAAGTCATTTATACATATTATTAAAGCAAATTATGAAACATTATGTGTAGAAAACTTCCATTTATGTGAAAAATAGGCCAACTGAGGACCAATTGTAAAGACCATCAAGGCTAGGAAGAAACCGCATCAACTAATGAGCAAAATAACCAGCTAACATCATAAAGACAGGATCAAATTCACACATAACAGTATTCACCTTAAATGTAAATGGGCTAAATGCTCCAATTAAAAGACACTGACTGGCAAATTGGATAAAGAGTCAAGACCCATCAGTGTGCTGTATTCAGGAAACCCATCTCATGTGCAGAGACACACATAGGCTCAAAATAAAGGGATGGAGGAAGATCTACCAAGCAAATGGAAAACAAAAAAAGGCAGGGGTTGCAATCCTAGTCTCTGATAAAACAGACTTTCAACCAACAAAGATCAAAAGAGAAAAAGAAGGCCATTACATAATGGTAAAGGGATCAAGTCAACAAGAAGAGCTAACTATCCTAAATATATGTGCACCCAATACAGGAGCACCCAGATTCATAAAGCAAGTCCTTAGAGACCTACAAAGAGACTTAGATACCCACACAATAATAATGGGAGACTTTAACACCCCACTGTCAACATTAGACAGATCAACGAGACAGAAAGTTAACAAGGATATCCAGGAACTGAACTCAGCTCTGCACCAAGTGGACCTAATAGACATCTACAGAGCTCTCCACTCCAAATCAAAAGAATATACATTCTTTTCAGCACCACACCACACCTATTCCAAAATTGACCACATAGTTGGAAGAAAAGCACTCCTCAGCAAATGTAAAAGAACAGAAATTATAACAAACTATCACTCAGACCACAGTGCAATCAAACTAGAACTCAGGATTAAGAAACTCACTCAAAACCGCTCAACTACATGGAAACTGAGTAGAATGGTTTTGATTCTAGTCTACTCCTTGGTGTTTAAATAACTCCCTCTGATTACTGTCTCTGTGCCTATGTTTCTTTTGTTGGGTGTTCTTGTCCATGAAGCTCCCTCAGGCAGAGGCTGCAGTTGCAGACAGGCCATGTCCTTGCCGGGTCAGCTGTAATCTGCTGTCGGAGTATTTCCTGGGGGAACATGGGGTTGTGCCTGCCCACAGAGTCCCAGCAGAAGTGGGACTGCTGGGTTGGAAGCTCTAGCAGGTGTAGCCTGTCTGTCCATGAGAGGTGGAGGTGGATGGAATTGATTGCCCTGTTGTCTGGGTGTTTCCTGGGAAAACAGGAAGCTGAATAGGACTGAGTTCAGACAGAAGTGAGACTGTTGGGTTAGAAAATCTAGCAGGCATTACCTGCCTGGCTACCAGTGGCAGGAGTGGGTGGGATTGCCCTTTCTGCCATCTGGGTGCTTTTTAAGACAGCAGGGGGCTACAGATGTTGGCTGAGTTTAGGTAGAAGTGAGACCATTGTGCCAGAAGCTGGTGCTAAGCCCTGTCTGATGAGGGGCAGTAGAGCAATCTTACTCCTTCTAGGCACCATGACTTTAGTCTTTATTGGGGCTGTGGTGTCAGTGCTGGTCTATTCTGTGGCCTAAGACTTGTAGAGTTTCCCTTGGAGTCAAGAGTTTCCCCTGCAAAGCATCCAGGTGGTCCTCTGCCTCAGTCTAGAAGCATGGTGGGGGCAGTGTGTGGGGGCCAGGGTGATTCTGCTGTTCCCAGTCTTGCATAGGCTCCTGTGGAGGATGTGAGTATCCCAGAAGATTCTCACTTACTCACCTTTCCCCTGTTGGAGAGGTTCTTCTGGCTCTTTGCTGTGCCCATACAGGCTGGTGCTCAGCTTCCCTCTTCTCTGATTTCTGTAGCCCTGCTACCTTGATGAATCCTGACATGGTTTCTCTGTTGATTGGCCTTCAGGGCCAGTGTTTATTAAACTTTTTGTTTCTTCTCTGTGAGAGTGGAGTACATGAGCTGCTTCTATTCTGCCATATTGGCCCCTCCCACCCTCTCATTTTTGAAGGGTCATTTTGTCAAATATAGAATTCTTTATTGACGAGTATTTTTTTCTTTCAGCACTTTAAATATGTCAGTTAACTTATTTCTAACCTCCATGGTCTCAGAGAAGAAATTGGCTATTAATCTTATTGAGAATTTCTTTTCTGTGACAAATCTTGTTTTGCATCTTTTCAGGTTCTCTTTGTCTTTTTTAAAATAGTTTAATTACAATGTGCCTTGGTGTGGGTAGAGTTTTGCTAATCCTACTTTTAGTCAGCTGAGCTTCTCGGATGTGTAGATTTACATGTTTTGTCAAATGTGAGACATTTTTAGCCATTATTGTTTCAGATGTTTTTTCTCCTTTCTCTCTCCTCCTTCTTTGACTTCCATAATACATATATTAATCCGCTTGATGTTGTCCTACAGGTCCCTTATGCTCTGTTCACTTTTCTTCATTATTCTCTCCTTCTGCTCCTCATACTAGATATTTTCCATTGTCCTATCATCAAGTTATCTGATTCTGCCTTCTGCCTGCTCAAATCTGCTGTTTAACTCTTCTAGTGAATTAAAATTTCAATTCTCCTTTTCTATTCCAGAATTTGTTTGGTTCCTTTTTATTTCCATATCTTTATTTATATTTGAATTTTGTTCAGATATGGTTTTAAGTTTTTCTTTACTTTTTATTTATGTTTTCAGTTCTTTAAGCATACTTAAGCAGCTGTTATAAGTAATTACATCAGTGATATAGTGGGAACAAAAGTCAAGTTACATGAACCAAAAAGTAAAAAGGAGTTGTGGGAATGAAAATAGGGAGTATCAACAACTTTTCTCAAGGCTTGTTTTAAAGGGTATTGAAAAATGGGATATTGTAGTTCGATAGAAATGTGTGACTAAGGAAGGTTTTTTAAATTGCATAGTTTGGGCTAACTGTCCAATACCATAGCCACCAGTTACATATGGCTGTATGAACTTAAATTCATTATAATTAAACTAAATTATAAATTAAGTTCCTCAGTTATATTAGCCACATGTGACTACTGTATTGGACAGCACTGAAAACTCCTCTGATTTGCACCATCTTCCCTTTCTTTTATCCAGTTACAAATAATAAGGCATCTTTTCTCTCATTAAATATTAATTCCTATCATTCATACTCTGGACCCCATTCCCTCTCCATTTTTTTACTTACCTAAGTCCTATGGTTATTATTTCTCTCTCTCTCTCCCACCTAATTATCAGTCTCTCCCTCTTTGCTAGATCAACATGCTCTAGTACTGTAGTACCACCTCATTCCTGGTTTCACTTTCTATGCTTTCAATTATTCATGTTCAATCATAATCTGATAATATTAAATGAAAACTTCCAGAAATAAACCATTTTTAAGTTTTAAACTTTGTATAAGTGGTGTGATAACATCTCATACTATCCCACCTGGGATGAGAATGTTTCCTTTGTCCAGCATATCCACACTGGATATGCCACCTGCCCATTCGGCACTTAGCTGTCTCAGTTACCAGATCAACTGTCACAGTTTTGCAATTCTTGCGTTAATGTAGCTTTTATTTTACTTAATAAAGGCCCCAAAGTGGTAGAGTAATGATGCTGGCAATTTGTATGTGCCAAAGAGAAGCCGTAAAGTGCTTCTTTTAGTGAAAAGGTGAAAGTTTTTGAATTAATAATGAAAAAACTTGTATGCTGAGGTTGCTAAGATTGATGGTAAGAATGAATATTCTATCTATGCAATTGTGAAGAAGGAAAAATAAATTCATGCAGGTTTTTCTGTAGCACTTCAAACTACAAAAGCTATGGCCACAATGTATGATAAGTGCTTAGTTAAGATGAAAAAGGCATTACATTTGTGGGTGGAAGATATAAACAGAAATGTGTTTCAATTGACAGTAATCGGCTTCAGTACTATCTGTGCTTTCAGGTTTCCACTGGTTTTGGAATGTATCCTCCTTGGATAGAGGGGACTACTGTATAGTGAGAGAAGTTTGCGGATTTTACAATAGTATGATGAGAGTTTTTTCTGATGGTTTCAATTTTCTTATTCATATCTAAGTAAAGGCCATCAGTGTTGTGGAGGTGGGTGTGCTGGTGTAGGAGGTTTGAAGAAAAGGAAAAAATGTATGAAATTGTTGATTCAAAGGGTAGAAAAACAAACTTTTCTGAGAAATGGAATAAGACTGATGAACAGTATAGAGGACCCACGTGAGTAGAAACACTTCCCCCTCTGAGGCTCAAGGGCTTGGTAGACATGGATAAGGAATGGAATTTTAAAGGATGAGAGCTTTTGTAGAGTAGTGGTAAAAGGAATTTTCAAGATAGACTGCATGGGCTCAAATTTCAGCTATGATGTGTGATCTTCAGAAAGTGATATAATATCTATGAGCTGAAGCCTTACTTATTTCATATATACAATGGAATTAATAGTAATATCTGTCTCATAGGGATTTTGAATTAATGTATTTTAAGTGCTATGCAAGTTTTTGCCAATATTATTCTTATTCTGTGAAATTTGAGTTGAATTCAGTTGTTGAGAGTGAGAAGGTAAGGAACAAATGAGGCTTGAGGAGTGTATTGAAAGTTTGTACTTGTCACCCAGAGGAACAGGATTGGAAGCTATTGAACCAAACAGCACTGAGGACACAATTGAGACTGGAAAATAGAAATTTGAAGAAGCAGCACTACAGAAGGCTGTAGAGTTTTCTCCAGCTGTGTTCAGCACATCACAGTCTAAGATCAGAGAAGGCAGATTGTAAAATACACCTAGGGAGGTTAGTGGTACCCAACTTTAGTGGACATGACAATCACTTAGAGGGATTGTTAGATTGCCCATAGGCTGCTGAGCCCATGCCCAGAGTTTCTGAATCTTCAGGTGTGGAGAGATTCCCAACAATTTGCATTTCTACAAATTGCTAAGTGGATTCTGATGCTGCTGGTGGAAGAAATAAACTTTGAGGACCACTGATTTACAGGAAGTTATTATGGGGTGGGAGTGGTGAAGGGGATGCATTGTGTAGAATAGAGTAACAGGCAAGAAGACATGAGAGTGCAGGATATTTGTAAAAGAGTAGTTCAAATGCTGACCATGGCAGTGAGGGAATTTGGACCAGATAGGGAAAAGAATGGAGTCAGGAGGAACCTGATTAAAAAAGGTAGAGGAGAGTAGGGATCTTCTCAAGGACATAGCACTTATCCCACCTTGTAATTCTACATGGTTTTTTTGTTGGTTTACTTGTATGTTGTTTCCTCTCCTGACTAGATTCTAAGAGGACAGGCACTATGTTGTTTTGTTGATGACTCTTTCCAACACTCAACATGTAGTATTTGTTCAATACAGCTTTGTTGATTGTATGAGTGAAAAAAAATTGCATGCTTTCACCTCTGACTCTTCTTTAAGCTCTCCTCATTCCTTGAGATTCAGACCAAGCCTAAACTCTTCTATAACACTTTATCCGGTGATTAATACCTCTAAACTCCTGTAGTTGTTTAAGTCTTACAGTATAATTGACTTTTTTGATGTACAGTTGTATGAATTTTAGCACATGAATAGATTAGTATAATCACCACCGCAATCAGGAATTAGAGCAGTTACTTTCTTGCTATCCCCGCCCTCTTTGAACCACTGATCTGGTCTCAATTCCTATTGTTACATCTTTCCTAGAAAAAATATGCATATATATGTATATATATTCTTTGATTTACATAAGTGATATCTACATATAAATGGAATATATTTATGTATATAAATGGAATAATACAGTATGCAATACTTCAGGATTAACCTTTTTCACTCAGCGTAATTCTCTGGAGATTCATCTAAGTTGTTGTATGTGTCAATAGTTTACTATTTGTTATTGCTGAGTAGTATTCCATGGTATGAATGTACCACATTTTGTACAACTTTTCACTGTTAAAGGGAATTTAGATTTTATCCAGTTATTAGCTCTTGTTAATAAAATTACTATGACTATCTGTATAGAGGCATTGATTGATTGAGACAGAGTCTCGCTCTGTCACTTAGGCTGGAGTTTAGTGGCACAATCTTGGCTAACTGCAACCTCTGCCCCCAAGGTTCAAATGACTCTCATACATCAGCCTCCCGAGTAGCTGGGATTACAGGTGCCCACCACCACATTAAGCTAATTTTTGTATTTTTAGCAGAGATAGGTTTTGCCATGTTAGCCAGGCTGGTCTCAAACTCCTGACCTCAAGTGATCCACCCACTGTGGCCTCCCAGTGTGCTGGGATTACAGGTGCTGTGTAGAAGCTTTTGTGTGAACATCATTCACATTTCTCTTTGGTGGATACCTAGAACTAGGATTTCTGGATCATATAGTAAGGGGATATTTAACTTTATAAGGAACTGCCAAACTTTTTTCCAGAGTGTCTGAACCATTTTACATTCCCATCAGCAAAGTGTGAGTGATTCAGTTGTTCCACATCCTTGCCAGCATTTGGTGTTATCACTGATTTTTAAAGGCCATTGTGACAGGTATGTAATGATATCTCATTGTAATTTTGATTTGCATTTTCCAAATGGCTAATAATGTTTAACATCTATCATATGTTTATTTGTCATTCTTATATCTTGTGTTGTGAAATGTCCGTTCAATTTTTTTTTGCCTATTTTTAATTGGGCTGTTTTTATTTTGTTAAAATTTAAGAGTTCTTTATGTATTTTGGATACAAGAGTGAAGCCTTGACTACTATGGTCAGTCCAGGGCTCTCTGAGGAAATTATATTTAGGCTGATATTTGAATGTAGCATAGAAATCAGCCATATTAAGAAAGTTACAGGACAGCTTCAACTGCAAGTGTAAATACCTTGAGACAGGAATGATCTCAATGTATTTAAGGAATAATAAGAAGACAGTGTGGCTGTAGCATACTGAGAATGATGAAGAATAATAAGAAATGAGTTTGTAGATATAAAGAATGATAAGTAAGATCATGTAGAGTCTCGCAAGCCATGGTAGGGAATTTTTGTTTAGATTTACTCACAGTGAGGAGCTGTTGCAGAGATGTGGCATGGTTTACTTTGTATTTTAAAAGGTTACATTTGTTGTTATGTGAAGCATATGTTATGAGAGGAACAAGAGAGGTGGCTATTGTAGTTTTTCAGGTGCCAGAAGATAATAGCGCAGACTATGGTGGTAGCAGTGGAGATGGGTAGAAGTGGATAATATGAGATAGACTTTTCAGGTAGATCCCTCAGAATTTTGATGATGGATATGAGATGTGAGGAGTGATAATAATCAAAGATAACTCTTGTGTTTTTGGCTTACATAACTGGTGGCACTATCTATTGAGATAAGGAAGACTGAAGAGGAGAAGGTTTGGGGGAAAATCAAATATTTATTTTTAATATGTTGAGTCTGAGATAAAAATTAGACAAATGGAGGTGCCAAGAATGCAGTTGAATAAGTCTTGAACTCGATGGAGAGGTTGGAGAGAAGTTCATGTAAACAGAACAACATGACAAAAGATACAGAGCTGTGAAAGTATGAGGTATGCCCAGAGGTGAGCATGTAGTTAGGTTCGACCAGTATATATTTTGCAGAACCAGAAAGAGTAAGAGATATGGCTGAAAAGGCAGGCCAGGGCTGAGTTAGAGAGTGCTTAGCTGATGGGGAAATTTTTGAAATTTATTATTTGAATATTAGGGAGCCATTACAGGCCTTTGATAAAAGGTATGACATGAACAAAGAGAGATTTTGGAAAGATTAATATGGCATAGCCAAAACAATGTTAAAAAAGAACAACAAAGTTGGAGAACTCATACTTACTGGTTTCTAAACTTACTACAAAGCATAGAATTCAAGATTGTGTGGCATTGGCATAAGGATAGACAGATAGATCAATAGAATAGAATTGAAGATCCAGAAATAAACCCTCTAATTTTTGGTCAATTGATTTTCAACAAAAGTGCCAAGACCTTTCAATGGAAAAAAATAGTCTTTTCAATAAATTGTGCTGAGGCAATTGGATATCCACATGCAAAACTATGAAGTTGGACCTCTAACTCACAACATACAGAAAAATCAACTCAAAATGGGTCAAAGACCTAAATATAAAAGCTAAAGCTATAAAACTTTTAGAAGAAAACAAAGGAGCAAACCTTCATAACCTTGGATTAGGCAATGGTTTCTTATATACAACACTAAAAGCACAAGTGAACAAATAAATTGAAATACCTTAAAATTTGAAATATGCTTTAAAGGACACCATAAAAAAGTGAAAAGACAATCCACAGGATGTGAAACAATTTGACAATCATATATCTGATAAGGGACTTGTATCCAGAATCCATAAGGAACTATTGCTTGATGTCATTGTTATTTGACAATGCTATTATCAAAAAACCCATAACCCAATTTAAAATGGGCAAAGGATTTGAATAAACATTGCTCCCAAGAAGATGTTAAAATGGATATTAAGCACAAGAGAAGATTCTCAACATGGTTAACCGTCAGAGAAATGGAAATCAAAACTATAGTGAGATAACACTTTTCACATGCTAGGATAACTAAAATAAAAGATTTTTAAAAGCAGACAATAACTAATTTTCATGCAGATGTTGAGAAATTGGAACCCTAATATGTTGCTGGTGAGAATGCAAAATGGTGCACGTGCTTTGGAAAGCAGTTTGGCAATTCTTTAAGTGGTTAAACATAGCATTACCATACAACTCAGGAATAAATGAAAACATATATCCACATAAAAACTTGTACACAAATGCTGATAGCAGCACTATTCATAATAACTAAAAAGTGGAAATGACCCAAATGTTCATCAACTGAAGAATGAATGAATAAAATATGGTGTATCTATTCAATGGACTATTATTTGGCAATAAACACAACTAAGTATTGATATGTGCTACAAAGGGGGTGGACAATGAAAACATATTAAATAAAAAAATTCAGTCACAAAATAAAATGTATGATATAATTCAATATCTATGGAATGCCCCTAATGGACAAGTCTATAGAGACAGAAAGTGGAATATTGATTACCTTGGGTGGGGTGGGGCAGGAATGGATGGGTGGATTAGGGGATGAGGGCAGTACAGGAGTTTTTTTGGTGGTAATGAAATGGAAAATGAATCGTGGTGGTTACAAAGTTCTGGTAATATACTAAAAACATTGAATTGAACATTTTAAAAGGGTGAATTGTATGGCATGCAAATTACATCTCAATAAAGTTGTTAGAAAAGATTAATATAGCATTATTTGGAAGATGAATTGGAGGGGGCAAGGCTGGAGGCAGAGAAACATGTTAGGAAGCTTTGTAATGGTTGAGTTAAGAAAACAAGGGTCCAAACTAGGGCAAGAGTAATGATAATTGAAAGGAGAAGAGGATGGTTCTAAAATATAGGGTAGAGGTATAATCAATAAGACCTGCCATTTGGTTAGATGTTGAATTACGAAAGTGAAGAAGTAAAGATTAAAGTTTTGAGTCTGAGTAAGTAAAAGAGTGATAATGTTATTTCTAGATAGACACTGAGAGCACAGATTGGGAAACGGTGGTTTTTCAAAGGAGGGAGGTGAGTTCATACAATCTGTTTTCCTGGTGCTGTCAGGACAATCTTTAAAAGATATTCAGCATCTAATTGAATATTTGGAGTTGGAGCTTAGTAACAAGGGGAGTCTGGCTGGAACTAAGTATTTAAGAGTCATCGATGCACAGATCATAGTTGAAGTCAGAAAGGTGACTAAAGGTTCCAAGGAGAGAGTATGGAAAGAGAGAAGAGAACTGAGACAGAACTTTGTGCAAACAACTGCATTTAGGATATAGCAGCTGGAAAAAATAAACCAAAGCAGAGCACCCCACCCCACCCCCGCCCCGCAAAGAAAAAGATGATATTAAAAGCAGAGAAAAAAAAGTAGCAAGGCTGCCTTACTAGAGGATTGGACCTGGGCCTTTGAGGATAGGGAAAGTAGAAAAGAAAGGTTGAGGGTGTCCCAGGAGGGAGAAGAGCAAGGTCACAAAAATAAAATGATGGAGGAATGATGAAGAAAGATCCTAAAGAAGATGGGATTCACTCACCACTGCCTCTTGGGGAGACCTGGGAGTTGAGAGAAATTTCTGACCCGGTGCAACTGGAGGTTCCTTGTTACACTTCTAGGTGAGGTGGTCACTTATCAGTGGAACATCCCAGAGAGGTCTGGCCCTGGGCCCAATGACTCTGCTTGTGTTTCCTGGATCTATTATTCTGCAGTGGATCCCATCAAGGTAAATACAAGATTGGCTACCTGGAGGTGGGTCAAACTCCCTGGCAAAAAGAAGCTATTAACCAGGTGTAGTAAGAAGCTTACTCCTGAGATTCTAGAGCCTAGAATTTGGGGAACATTCTTCAAAAGCTGGACTTATTTTAATAGACAGGAGGAGGGACGAAGGGAATGGGTAGCACCAGATATTTGTCATGAAGATTTTCTTCCTTATCTTTTCATTTTGGATCCTATAAAGCAACATGTTCTCATTATAAAAAAAAACAAACACACAAACAAACAAAAAACACAAAAGAAACCTGGGATTGGTTGTACAGAGATTGAGGTTCTAGTCCCAAATTTGGTTATAGCATGCTTTTAGAGTGACCTTAAATAAGTCATTCTGCCTCTGTTTTCTCATCTGGAAAATGGATTTATCGATCTAGCCATCCATCTACAGCCAGCCATTAGTAATCATTTATTGAGTGCCTACCACATTTTAGGCATTTTACTTGGTGCTTTGGATGATATAAATTTAAGATACATTTCCCACCTTCAAAGAGTATGGTCTAGTTGAGCAAGAGGGAACCTGGAGAAGGCATCACAATGGGAGGTGCATGTACTCTGGGCCTTGAAAGCTGAGTCACATTATGCCATCAGATAAGGGATATGATGATGGAGAGGGCATTGCAGGCAGAGGAAACAGCACAAAAAAACACTAGGTTGTAAAAATGCTTGGTAGGCTAAGAGATCAATAAATAGTTTAGCCTAGATAAAGCATAGGTCAGATAGTGCATCTTAACTGAGTCCCAAGATAATTGTTAGAATGAATTCAAATAACATAGTGGGGTACTTATAAATGTAAGATATCATGAGGAAATGCTGAGAGGCACAGTGGGCTTGTATGAGAAGCTGGCTCCCTGCGGAGTACTGCTACCCAGAAACAACTCCATCTCTTTCTCTCTCTCCCACTTCCTCCCTTCCTCAGGACATGTATAGTGGCCTGGTGGGGCCCTTGGCTATCTGCCAAAAGGGCATCCTGGAGCCCCATGGAGGACGGAGTGACATGGATCGGGAATTTGCATTGTTGTTCTTGATTTTTGATGAAAATAAGTCTTGGTATTTGGAGGAAAATGTGGCAACCCATGGGTCCCAGGATCCAGGCAGTATTAACCTACAGGATGAAACTTTCTTGGAGAGCAATAAAATGCATGGTCAGTAGTAAAAAACCTACTCTTGTTCCAAAGCAGTCCCTACTGGTTACATGGGGATATTTAATAGGCCTATTGCTACCTAAGGGAACATAATCCCAGAGAGGACACGAACATGGGAAGGTGAAATGGGGATGAGTTAGAAGAAGCATTTCCTATTATTGTACATTTACATATACAAAGGCAGATATGTGGTCCAGGTTAGATTGGGTGCCCAGAAAGCAGGAAGTTGACTCTGTAAATTGCCATGGCGATACCAGAAAATTTTAACATATTAGAGAAGGCAAAATGGACATGTATGACCTTCAATGTACTTGTCAAGCTGGCTGCTTAGTGCCCCTCTATTTTAAAACCCTGAGTTTAGTCTGCCAATATCATCTTATTTATTTACCACTCTAAATTTGGGATCTGTTTTCTCAATGGATTCCAATACAGCCAGATGAAAGCTTGTATTTTAGTCTCTTTTTAAAAGAGTTTCAATTTATAGATGGAAGAATTGAAGAGATCCTCAGTGAGAAGCATACTGGATTTATGTCAGATACAAGGAAGAACTTTTTGGTACTTGAATGGATTTTGGAGAGAAATTGTGCATCAAAGCCTTCCTTTGTTTGAGAGATCTGTGTAGCTTTTCAAAAACAAGAGAAAGAGGGGAGAGCATAAGTGCAGTAGAATGAAGTGATCTCTCACTATTCCTTCTAGCCCAAGATTTCTTTGATCTGAGAATGAGGAGCATCTTTGATAGTGATTCTAATGGAACTAAAAAGTCGTATATTATTATCCCACAGATTTTAGCTATTTCACCTTGATGGAGTGATGAATGATTCACATTAGAACAGATGATTCACAGACTTCACAAGGCAGAAATTTTAGCGCCTGTCAAATCAGAGAAATGGTCCAGGATAAAAAGGGAAAGAGGACACAGTTAGGTCCTGTTAATGCAGGGGTTTGGCTAATGCTTACTTTCTTCTGTTTGTTTATGTGTCTATCCACACTCTTCAGGTATAAGTCTACCTACCTATCGATCGAGCAGGTATTTGTTAAGCAGTTTCTGAGTGCTAGCCCTGGAGATATTTGCATCTGAGGGGTAAATAAATAACATCCCTCTCTTCCTTTTCAGGTTCCTGAACCAACTGAGAAAGAGAGATGCTTAAGATCAAATGTGAACCTTAATACTAAGAAGGCTAATTGAAAAACTGATTTCAGTTCTACAACTAAATGGGCTTACTAACACTTCTCTGGCAACAGATAGACATTTCCACCTTGTCATTGACATAGATGGGCAGCAATACTCACCTCTTTGGCAGAGGGAGAATCATACCCCACAGTGAAATAATGAATCGGCTATTGCCCATTTCTGTGGCCTGATTGATGAGGGAGAGAAAAGATCAATAAGAGGCTGAGTTGATCATGTTTAGTTTCCTCTCTGAAATCCACAATTTGGTAGAGGTAGACATAGAGACAGATTATAAATGATTGCTTCCTCTCTTGGGTGATAAAGTGGAAATTATCTTCTCTCTGTAAGAACATAAGAAGTGGGGGAAAATTGTCCAGGGAAAAGTCCTGGAAGTGTGAATTATTGTAACAATGAGTAGTTTGATGTCCTTGGAGCATAGGATGTGGCCTGGGAAGAGACCCATGCATTAATATCATTATTAATTCCATGCATTAATATCATTATTAATTCTATGCATTAATGTTATTAATTCCATGAATGTGGCAGGTATTTTTTTAACATTTATTGTAGGCTCAGCTGTCTACTGGGTGTTCTGAGAAAATACAAGGAAGCTATAGTAATGCAGTGTATACATACATTCTTTCCTGCATATTAGGAACCTATAGTCTAATTGGGGATGTAAGCTTTCACGCATGAAAAGACAGGTAAATGTAGAAGACAATTTCTTATGAGTTTCAGTGAGTCATGCAGACAGTACTGGAGGAGTTCACAGGTGGAAGGGGATGCAGGGAATGAGAGTTATGGAGAGGAACTAGGAGATCAGGAAAGTCTTTCTGGGGGAGTGAAGATTTGACTGGACTTTAAAAAATGGGTAAAAGAAGGCAGGATTTCTAGTAGGGAATCTTAGAAACACAAGGACACAAAGAACATGCATGGACCATTTGAGGGATGGTGAAGAAATCACCCCAACTGGAATAAATGTGTTGGGTAGTGGGAGATGAGTCTAGGAAGGTGGTTTGGAGTTATATTTTGAAGGATCTTGTTGGGTGAAGTAAGGATCCATGGACTTGCTCTTTGGAGCAGGAGAGAGTAATTAAAATATTTTAAGCAGCAGAATGATGTCATCAGATTCAGTCACTTAGAGAGATAATTTTGATAATATCAATGTAAGAAGATACCTTGAAGAGGGACAGATGGAAAAAAGATGAGACAAATTAGAAGCCCATTGCTATCTTCGGTAAAAAAGATTAGGCCTAGGATAGTGGAAATGGGAAGTCCAAAGGAGAGATGTAAGAAGCTTTTTCTTTTCTTTTCTTTTCTTTTCTTTTTTTTTGACAGCAATCAATGGGAAACTCTATGCCAACCTTAGGGGTCTTACCATGTACCAAGGAGAACGAGTGGCCTGGTACATGCTGGCCATGGGCCAAGATGTGGATCTACACACCATCCACTTTCATGCAGAGAGCTTCCTCTATCGGGTGAGCTGGAAAATGGGCTGAGTCCCTCAAGGATGATTAGAACAGTGGTTTAACAGCAATTGAGAAAAAAGGTAACAGTGTGGAACAGGTAACAATTAGTTAAAGAGCAGAGGTCTAGTACATGGAGCACTGAGCTGGAAATTCTAGTCTGGCTGTATATCCTAGACTCAATAACTTCCCGCTAGGCCCTAGCTTTCCCTTCTGATGTGGAAGACAAAAAAGGCCCATTTATCAGTAAGGAGACTGAAGGAATCAATATCAAGTCTCAGTCAAGGACTTGAGACTCAATGAGCAGTGATTTTTAAGAACAAGGAATTTCAGAGTGGCATCTCAGAATTGCTGAAAGTCCTTAATCTATTATAAGAAGAGCTTCAACTTAGGGGGTACATGGAACAATATGTAGATTTTGAAAACAGTTTAGTCTTAGGTAAAGGAGGAAGAGTTGGGGGCATTGATACAGACTTCGAGATTTAGAAGTGCTGAAAAAGACAATGGCAAAGATAACTTTATTTGAATCAATTTCTAAAGGAAATATATGCCTCATTCATAGGGGTCAAAGCTTAAGCCAAATTCCCCATATTTTAGCCTGCTGAAAATTATAAAGATACTTGTTTTGAACCTTCTAAAGTAACCTAGAAATTCTTTTTCTTTGGGACATTTTAAGAGGAGAAAGTCACCTCTGTTGATTTAGCTTCGGTGGGTGGGTTCATTGGAGATATGAATAAAGTGGACTTTTTTTTTTTTTTTGAGATGGAGTCTCACTCTGTCATCCAGGCTGGAGTGCAGTGGTGTGATCTCAGTTCACTGCAAGCTACGGCTTCTGGGTTCACACCATTCTTCTGCCTCAGCCTCCCGAGTAGCTGGGACTACAAGCGCCTGCTACCATGCCCGGCAATTTTTTTTATTTTTTTTATTTTTTATTTTTTTTAGTAGAGACGGGGTTTCATCATGTTAGCCAGGATGGTCTTGGTAAAGTGGACTTTTAAAACCACTCACTGGTCTAGGAACCTTGAAGTCTCAGCTCCCTAATGTGGACATCACAATTTTTTGGTTCCTGAAAGCTCTAAGATGATTTTTATACCCTTCACTTCCTCTCCCTCATTCCCAATCTCTCTTGCAGAATGGCGAGAACTACCGGGCAGATGTGGTGGATCTGTTCCCAGGGACTTTTGAGGTTGTGGAGATGGTGGCCAGCAACCCTGGGACATGGCTGATGCACTGCCATGTGACTGACCATGTCCATGCTGGCATGGAGACCCTCTTCACTGTTTTTTCTCGAACAGGTAAGTCCTAACTTCCCCAAAATGATCATCTTCTAACACTTTATCTAGCCTATAGGAAGCAGGTAATACCAAAAAGCCTCTTGATTGTCTCCTTCTGATCCCACAATAAGCAGGTCTTAAGGCAGAGCATAGCCTCCCTCTAGGTATTGCCCCAACCAGTATTTCTAATCCTCCATTGCACCTGTCCCTCCATTGCCCCAACTGATATTTCTAATCCCCTGACACCTGTCCCTCTCCAAATTACTTCAAAACCTGTTGAGCTCACATGAATTGACCCAGCCTGAAACCGGTTTGGCTCTATGCATTGAAGCCTAGTGCAGGCCTGCTTCTTTTGAAATAAATTTAACTTATATACAAATGTATTACTTGACTTCATTAGAGTAACTGATTATTTCAAGGAATATTGCTGATTAGTCTTTCTAAAAAGAGAATAAAAATAATTCTAATAGTCACCCATTAAATTGATTTGTTCTATGGGGTTGTGAAAGGCAATTCTTTCTTTTTTTCTTTTTTTTTTTCTTAGAGTAAAGGTCTTGATCTGTCACCCAGGCTGGAGTGCTGTGGTGCAATCATGGCTCATTGGAGCCTCAGACTCTTAGACTCAAGCAGTCCTCCCACATCAGCCTCCCAAGTAGCTGGGACTGCAGGAATGTGCCACCACATAAGGCTAATTTTTATACTTTTTGTAGAGAAGGGGGTCTACCTATGTTGCACAGGCTGGTTCTAAACTCTTGGCCTCCTTCTGCAGCAGCAATCCTCCCGCCTTGGTCTCCCAAAGTGCTGGGATTGCAGGCATAAGGCACTGAACCTGGCCTAGTTTTTATTTTTTAGGCAGGGTTTTGCCTAGGCTGGTTTCAAATTTCTGGGCTCAAACCATCCTTCCACATCAGCCTCCCAAATCGCTGGGATTACAGGAATGGGCCACCACATCTAGCAAGACAGTTCTTTTTGGTTTTTGAATATCTTCATCTAAGGCTAGAAAGAGAGATTGTCCTTCAGTTACAGCTTATCTGAGTTACTACCAAGGGTGGAAACAACTTTTTCTTTATATTTTATATGGAGAGGGAGCAGCTGGGACAATTTCTTTACCAGCCACTCTTTGTTCCTCACCAAAAAATGTAGATGGGTAGGCTGTGTTGGCTTTTGTGTCTTTGAGTAATTAAAGGGTCAAATGTCTTACTTCTTAAGGTTCTTGACCTGAGTCCAATCCCCAACACTATTTGCCTTCCAAGAAGCCCTGTAGAGCCTTTTGGGACCCATACAAATCAAGGCTGTGTTTTTTTTTTTTTTTTCTATGCTTTTAAAGAATATATAGCCACCATTTGAACAAAAATGGTTTTCTGGGGTTGTCAGTCATTGGCATTCTATCAACAAGAATAGTGAAGGGGAAAATGTCTTTGAATATTCGTACAGACTTAGCAAATGTGGGTGGAGAATACAACTCTTCTGTTTACCCTTAGAGAGAGAGATGAATGATTGCACATTATGACTTCCTATATAATTTAAAATATTTATTCTCTATCAACTAATACTGCTAGAATGCAGCTTCCACTTAACTACTCAGGAGCTATTCCCTAGCACCCAGATTTACAGAAACTTCTTTGTTGTGTTGTAAGTACATAGAACAAAAGTCAAGTGATCAATTGATACATCATCAGGTTGATATAGATCCAAGACAACAGGTTTTCTCTATATGTAGTAATGGGTTATCCCAAATATGAACCATCCAATATATGAGACCATTTCAATACATATTGCCAGGGTACTTCCATGAGGAAGGATAGCTCATATCTCTCTATGACAATGAGCCAGCCCATAAATCTTTTCTATTTGCCCTTTTGTTTTTTTATAACCCGCTATGGCCTAATTTCATATTGTTTCAACTCCATGTGTGTTAACAGGCCAACAGGAAGGAAGAGTTGAAAAGACAGAGGGAAAAGACTAATTTTTGGAACAAGGTTTCTGATAAGGCAGCAGGGAATGAGAATCAGAGCTAACATGAAAGATTAGTGCAAGAGTGGAGGAAAGTCATCTTTCTACTCTAAGAAGAAAGAAGACAGAAAATATAAGGATCAATGTGTAGGTTTGACCAGGGGGTTTGACAGACTGACAGATAATTTCAGCCTATGGTCTTTCTCTTCTCTCTGATGGAGCAAATAGAGTCATCTGCTGAGAATGAAAGGCAGGTTATAGGGTACAGGGCTTGAGAAAAGTGGATGAAAGTTTGAAATAGCCACTCTGGGGGATGGGAAATAAATAATTATCACCAGCCAGCATTGAGGGCTTAGTTGAAATTGGACACAAAGGATAATAATCTTTACAATTGTGTTATTTTCTCTAACAGCAATTAAGCATACCAGACAAAATACAGGGTAATTACAGTTACTGGAGTTTTGGTAGATTATTGCAACACTCTTGGTAGATTAGTAGTTGAAGTGATAGACCTTGGAGTCTCACTTGGTCAGGAATGGAAGAAAAGACAGGATGAAGCTACTAGGTTGAGGAAAAAAACTGAAGGTTTTGAAAGCTAGAGGTCTCATGGCAGGGGAGGATAACAGGTTTTTGAAATAAAGTGTATTAGAGCACTGAAAGGATGGGAGGTTGTTGTTAGATTTTAGATTTCTGAGATGTAACAATTCTTGATAACAAGGTTAATGTGACCATGGGAGTGGTTGGTAGAATTGGAGTAGACATCAAAGTTATTGGAGTTAAAAGGGCTAGAAACTGTGAGGCTTGAGTATTTGATGGGTCAGCACCCATGGTTGGAATTGAGGGAGAGGAAGACTGAGCCAGGTACTAAAGACTTCCATAAATGAAGAGAACTGCTAGCTAACAATAACAAGAAATGATTGTAGTTCTAGCCAAATAATATGAGCCTCAAAAGAGATATGTTTTTACAAAAAGAGGAGGAACAATGATCTCAAAGAAGTATTGAGATGATGTAAATGAAGTATGGTCCTCAGAGAAGAACTCAGCTTTATTAAATCAAGGAGAGGAAGAAGTGTTCTGAGAAGATGTTGAATGTGTAGAGAAGTAGGTTTCACAAGGAGCAGGGATTTCCTGAAGGAAGTGTGGCAAATGGTTGGAAATAGAGCAATAATGGGGATAGAGGAAGTGCCAAGAAATATTTAAATAATAGCAGAGGGGTGATTTACATTTTGGACTCCAAGCCTGTTCTCTTGCCCATATTTCATGTCACTGTTCAAAATCAAATCAACATACCAATATTGACTTGGACTATAAAGTAGTAAATTCTGCCTTTATTTTGCTTACTTAATCACAGAGAAATTTCTGCAACCAATGTTGACCTTTCATAGGGGGCCTATGGATTGGTAGGAAGAACAATAAGGCTAACCTCTTGTCTTTTTTCCCCCCAACCAGAACACTTAAGCCCTCTCACCGTCATCACCAAAGAGACTGAAAAAGGTACGTAAAATGATGCACAGACTGGGTACTTATACATAGTGTGTCTGTGTATGAGGTTGGGTGAAGTACCTTTAGGGTATGGGACTTATGTGACTGAGAGTTAGAATACATCAGCAGAAAGTATCCTGAGACTTCTGCAAGACTTCAGAAGCCAAAGAACCAAGGTTTAGCTTCCCTCAGCAGGTTTATTCTCTCTGGCTTCCACCTCAAACCTCCTGAGTTGGGGAAAACAGCCTCCTCCCCATTTAAAGGCTGCTGTCTTAGCCTCTCATCTAATGTGTGAGGGGGGAAGTAAATTCTAGATACTAGTCGAAAACCAAATACTGCATGTTCTCACTTATAAGTGGGAGTTAAGCTATGAATATGCAAAGGTATACAGAATGGCATAATGGACATTGGAGACTCAGAAGCAAGGAGAGTAGAAGGGCAGTGAGGAATAAAAAACTACCTATTAAGTACAACGTACACTACTTGGGTGATGGGTGCCCTAAAATCCCAGACTTTACCTCTACACAATTCATCCATGTAACCAAAAACCACTTGTACTCCTGAAGCTGTTGAAATATATATATATATATGTAAAATATATATATTAAATATATATATATATTAAATCTAGGTCCTGCTGGGTTGGACATGGAAAAGTTATAGCACAAATATGAATCCCCCCTAGGGACAGTATGAGACTAGTTCCAACACCATATGTTCTTCAACAGCTATTTTTATTCTTGCCTCTTTCCCTTTCATCTATGGAATACCAAGGAGTTAAACCTTTGGAACCAGCCATTTCTGACCTTGAATACTGTAGAGATTATTTTTCTGTGCAGCCCAGGTCCAAATAGTGTTGTTATTCTCCACCTCATTTGTCTCTGGACTAGGAAAGATCCAGAAAGGTATGAGAGCTAAAAGGAACATTAGAGATAATTAGTAGTTTAGTCTGAGGTTTTACAGCTGTTTGGAGAAGTCTTAATGATCTGCCTAAGTATCTCATGAACTGTTAACCAGGGGACCAGGATATGTCCTGGAGGGGATGGGGAAAGGTAAGGTGTGATTGTGTGGGTGGGCTTTCAGGCCATGTCTCTTTCAACCTGAGCAACTAAATTATTTTATATATATATTATATATATATATTTTTATATATATTTTAAATATTTAAATATTTTATATATTTTAAATATTATATATATATTTGTGTTCACACATACTTTGTGTGTATATTTGTATATATACATACATATTTTGTGTACATATATACATTCCTCATAAGCTCTCATTTGTTAAAAAGTTTCTACAATGGGGAAAAAAGCCTTTGAAACTGTTGTTCTAATAAAACTCAATAATTTTCTACATGAGAAGCTGAGAAATTGAAAATGATTTGTTCAATGTCACAAAAGGAGTATGTGGTAGAATGTAAACTCAGAACCAGAAAGTTTTGAGCTTCTATTTGAACTCATTATATTCTGTCTTCTCTCAGTTGTGTTAGAACATTAATTCAACCAGTTATGTTGAATTACATTGATTGATGTTGATGAACAATCATCAAACAAGTGTCAGGTACCAGGGATATCAAAATAAGTAAGACATAGCCGCTATTTTTCAGCGTCTATAAATGGAATGAGGCACAGAAATAATAATGCTGGATGCTGTGTGCTGTACAAAAAGGGCAAGCAATAATAACAGTTAACATGTATTGGGTACTTCCTGTCTGCTAGGTGCTATACTAGATATTTTATAAGTATTAATTCACTTAAATTTTACAATATGCCTCTGTGTTAGGTATGGTTGTTATTCTGATTTTATAAAAGAAGAAACTGAGGTTTAGATGGGAAGTGAGGGATTAGGTCTCTTGGCCCAAGGTCACACAATAAGTTAATTATGGGGGTACAAGGTACAGGCGCTTGGAAAACATAGAGGAAAGAACAATTGTCTAATGAAATCAAAGAAAACTTTGCAGAGACATGTAAAATTTAAGGTAGGGCTAGAAAGATAAGGAGTAAAGTGTGTTCAGACAAAGGGATTAGCATGAGCAAAGTCTTAGAAGCCTGAAAGGGGATCACTTTTTATGAGGAGGAAAGAATGTGTTGCTATGGCTGAAAACTAGTAGATAGGACTAGAAGGATAGATTAGAGCCTGATACTGAGAGTTGGAATGTCTGGTTTAAAAGTCTGAGCTTTTCTCTGTAGGCTAATTGGGAATCATCAAAAGTGTGTATGCCAAGAACTAACAATCAGATATTTCTCTTGGAAAGGTCTATGTGACATCAGCGTTAACATGACCCAAAGAGGTAAGACTGGACAGCCTAGTAGCAGGTTCTTGTCATGGTTTAATTGTCAAAATTGCTATTGATAAGCTGGATGACTGAGTCAAATTTCTTTCTGAAGTTTCCCTTATTGCCTCCAATTCTACCCTCTGAAGCCATACAGAACAAGTCAAATTCATCTTTTTTTTTTATATCACAGTCCTTTAGATATTTGAGAACATGTATCAAGGGCCTTCCCAATCTGAGTCTTAGCTCTTTCCATGAATGGACTGGGGCCTCAGTGATTCTCAAGGACCCTTATAGCTGTTACATCATGTTTTCTTGATTCTCTAACCTCTAAATCTGTCTTCATCAGCTAGTTTTGTGAAGGATAAGGACAGGCCTCCTGTCCTATTTGGATTGACTTGTTTTTTTCAGGTGATGACTATAGATAGTTACCTTTTAGAGTACTCCCCATCCCAGGATGCCCATTTTTTTTTTCTCCATTTCAGCAGTGCCCCCCAGAGACATTGAAGAAGGCAATGTGAAGATGCTGGGCATGCAGATCCCCATAAAGAATGTTGAGATGCTGGCCTCTGTTTTGGTTGCCATTAGTGTCACCCTTCTGCTCGTTGTTCTGGCTCTTGGTGGAGTGGTTTGGTACCAACATCGACAGAGAAAGCTACGACGCAATAGGAGGTCCATCCTGGATGACAGCTTCAAGCTTCTGTCTTTCAAACAGTAACATCTGGAGCCTGGAGATATCCTCAGGAAGCACATCTGTAGTGCACTCCCAGCAGGCCATGGACTAGTCACTAACCCCACACTCAAAGGGGCATGGGTGGTGGAGAAGCAGAAGGAGCAATCAAGCTTATCTGGATATTTCTTTCTTTATTTATTTTACATGGAAATAATATGATTTCACTTTTTCTTTAGTTTCTTTGCTCTACGTGGGCACCTGGCACTAAGGGAGTACCTTATTATCCTACATCGCAAATTTCAACAGCTACATTATATTTCCTTCTGACACTTGGAAGGTATTGAAATTTCTAGAAATGTATCCTTCTCACAAAGTAGAGACCAAGAGAAAAACTCATTGATTGGGTTTCTACTTCTTTCAAGGACTCAGGAAATTTCACTTTGAACTGAGGCCAAGTGAGCTGTTAAGATAACCCACACTTAAACTAAAGGCTAAGAATATAGGCTTGATGGGAAATTGAAGGTAGGCTGAGTATTGGGAATCCAAATTGAATTTTGATTCTCCTTGGCAGTGAACTACTTTGAAGAAGTGGTCAATGGGTTGTTGCTGCCATGAGCATGTACAACCTCTGGAGCTAGAAGCTCCTCAGGAAAGCCAGTTCTCCAAGTTCTTAACCTGTGGCACTGAAAGGAATGTTGAGTTACCTCTTCATGTTTTAGACAGCAAACCCTATCCATTAAAGTACTTGTTAGAACACTGAAAGACTGAATTTGGTGATTTTTGACAGTCTCTGTGGCTTCTGTCACTGTGATTGAAACAGAAAATACTTAGGGGGTGAGTGAGTATAGTATGTATTTGTCTAGCCTTTGTAGAACCTACAAGTTTTTGTTTTAGAGATGAGGAAGCTGTTCCAGAGGAAGCATCAAAGAGTGCTGGGTACCACCCTAGAAAAGGAGCTGTCGCATAAATGACAAAAATTTTCTGAGTGTCAAGAAAATTTGCCAGAGGGAAATAGAAGTCTGAGACGAGACTCAAACCTGTCCAGTGGGCCAGGGGAAGTAGGACCATATCTTATGGGGCCTTTTTGGCAGTGGTGGTGTGAAAGGTCTAGTTGCAACTTTGGGGGCTTCCTTATAGGATGGAGTCATTCTTTCTGGTATTTTACAGCAATATTCCTTTGTTACATGCAAATTTGAGCCAAATATTGGTTAGAGAGCACAGATAAGTGATAAATTTTAGATTGGGTAAGATGGCCCACCCCACTGCAATATCCATAATATTGTACCACATGGCAAGTGGAGAACAGAAGAGGTATCAAGGAGAGAAAAGATGATAACTATGTACTGTTTTACACTTTAAAAAGCATTTTAATTCTTGATTGCGTTTGGATTACCTCAGGGCAAGTCATTTTACATTTGAGTAATGTTATCCATTTATACATTTGAGTGAACAAAAGCTTATGGACATTAAGTAACTTCATCCAAGATCCCTCAGGTAGAAGTTGAGCAGGGATTCATGTATTCATCTGTTTGACTCCAAATACCTATTTCATCCTCATATATCATGGAAACATCCACTAATCTCCATCCACCTTACCCATATTGATTCCAACTTTTCTGTCTGTCCAGCAATCTGTCTGTCTAGGTAGCAATCTCTTGAAGATAAAATGTAGAAACTCACAGAGCTGGTGTTCAGTTACGATATAAGTTTGGAGGAGAAAACACAATCCAGAAGCTATGATTCCTCTTGTTTTTCCATGGTCAATGGGTTTCTGGAGAGCTTTACTGAGAATCTCAGAAATAAAGTGTGGGTGGAAGGGGGATTTAGATGGCTAGTTATCCAAGAGTTAGTGTTTAGGCCATTGCAGAATCAATGATTTAACAGCAGCAGAACTGTTTTGGCCTGCAGTTAACATGAATGTTAATGAAGACCAAGTACATGCTAGGAATTCCAGTCAATTAATGGTTATAATTTACATGCAACTAGGAGGTTCTTAGCTTGGTCTCAGTTATAACTCTAAGAGACTAGGAGAGGTAGATGAGATGGAATGCATTTCTTCTTATTTTGTAATCCTGCTCCAGGTCAAGGAATAGAAACTCAGAGCCCATGTATTTAAGAAAGAAATGTATTTTTGTGGTAAGTTTGCTCCAAGTAGGGATACAAGTATCTATTTTTGACAATCAAGTGACATTGCCATCTATTCAGTTGCTCAAGCTGGAAATTATCAGTGTCAACACATCAGTGAGTCTCGGTTTTATCTCCAAAATGTATTTATCCTATTCATTTGTTTCTATCTCCATTGCTATTCGTTTCCATCTCCATTGCTACCACCTAAGTTTAAAACACAACCATCTGACCCAAAGCAATCTATAGATTCAGTACAATCCCTATCAAAATACTAATGACATTCCTCACAGAAATTAAAAAAAAAATCCTAAAATTCATACAGAACCACAAAAGACACAGAATACCCACAGCTATCCTGAGGAAAAAGAAAACTGGGGGAATTACATTACCTGATTTCAAATTATACTGCAGAGTTATAGTAACAAAAACAGCACAGTACTGGAATAAAAGTAGTCACATAGACCATTGGAAAAGAATAGAGAACTCAGAAATAAATCCACACACCTACGGTGAACTCACTTTCATAAAGGTGCCAATAACACACACTGGGAAAAAGAAAGTCTCTTCAATAAATGGTGCTGGGGAAACTGGATATCCCTATGTGGAAGAATGAAACTAGTTCCACTGTCACTGGCCATATACAAAAATCAAATGAAAATGGATTAAATACTTAAATTTAAGACAAGAAAAAATTAGGGAACACCTCCAGGACATTGGTCTGGGCAGAAATACCTCAAGGAATACCCCACAAGCGCAGGCAACCAAAGCCAAAATGGACAAATGAGATCACATCAAGTTAAAAAGCCACTGCAAAGCAAAGGAAATAATCAACAAAGTGAAGAGACACCAAACAGAACGGGAGAAAATATTTGCAAACTACCCATCTGACAAGGGATTAATAACTAGAATATATAAGGAGCTCAAACAAATCTACAGGAAAAAATCTAGTAATCTAATCAAAAATTGGCAAAATATTTGAATAGACATGCCTCAAAAGAAGACATACAAATGGCAAACAGTCATATGAAAAGGTGCTCAACATCATCAATCATCAGAGAAATGCAAATCAAAACTACAATGAGATATCATCTCACCCCAGTTAAAATGTCTTATATCCAAAGATAAGCAATAACATGCTGGCAAGGATGTGGAGAAAAGGGAACCCTCACAAACTGTTGGTAGGAATGTAAATTAGTACAACCATTATAGAGAACAGTTTGGAAGTTACAAAAATAAAAATCAGGGAGTGGCCAAGATGGCTGACTAGAAGCAGCTAGTGTGTATGGCTCTATCTCTCATGGAGAGGAAGGGAAGGGGTGAGTACATATGGTACTTTAAACTGAAATATCCAGGTACTCACATTGGGACTAATCAAGTAAACCACTTGACCCATGGAGAATGAAGAAAAGCAAGACAGAACAGTGGCTCACCTGCGGGCAACACAGAGCCAGGCGAACCACGGTACCATGGTTCTCCCAAGTATCTTTACAGCCCTTAGGTCAGGAGATCACCTGGTGAAGCCACTCCACTGTGGCCTTCAGTCTGAACATGCAGGGCTACGTGGAGTCTTGGCAGGGCATCTGCTCAGGTATGATTGGAGACCCTGGAGCCTTAGCTATTTGGGTTTTTTGGCAAAAATAGCTGTAACTTGGGCAAAGTGGGAGGTTAGACCCCCATACATACCCATAGGAAAGAGGCTAAATTTACAGGGCTGAGCAGCAACAGCCTGCAGTCCCAACTTCCATGGCACATGGCACGTCACAAGATAAGATCCACTGGCTTGGAATTTCAACCAGCCTCCAGTAACTGCATTTCACACCCTAAGAAGGAGGTCCTGGGAGGAGGGGTGGACTGCCATCTTTGCTGTTTGGGTGCCTTAGTCATTCCAGCCTTCAGGCTTTGTAAAGTCCAAGCTGATGGGTGGCAGAAGGGATCCCTCAACACAGCCCAGCTGCTCTACCAAAACGTGGCCAGACTGCTACTTTAATCAGGTGCCTGATCTCATTTCTCCTCACTGGGTGGGAACTTCCAACTGGGGCCTCCAACCATTGCTGTTGGCATTCTACAGCAAACAGAGATTTGTAATCTCCCTGGGATGGAGCTCTGAGAGGGAGGGGTGGACCACTATCCTTTCTGTCTGGGCGACATATCCTTTCCAGCCTTCAGGCTTCATAGTGTCTGAGGCAACTGGTGCGCTGAAGCAGATTCCCAGCACAGCACAGCTGCTCTACCAATATGTGGCCAGACTGCTTTTTAAAGTGGATCACGGATCCTGTTCCAACTCACTGGGTGGGAACCCCCAACTGGGATCTTCAGCCACCTCCTACAGGTGTGTTTGGACCAGCAACTGGCCCATATCTCCCTGACGCAGAGCTCCCAGAGGGAGGAACAGACTGCCATCTTTGCTGTTTTACAGCCTTCACTGGTGATACCAGGTACTGGAAAATCTGAGGTAACTCAGGGCTGGAGCAGTTTCCAAGCATACTGCAGCAGCCCTGTGGAAAAGTGGCCAGAGTGTTACATAACTGCCTGTTCCCATTTCTCCTCACCAGATAGGTCCTCCAGACCTGGGATTCCAGCCACTTCCTGACAGAGCTATTGAGCCAGTAACAACTCAGCAACTCTCTGGATAGAGCCTCCAGGAGCAACTGAAAGCCTTTCTGCCACTGCCTCTGCAGTGGAATTGCTTTTGTCACTTACAGACTAATGAAGGAACAAAGACTCTAAGTGCCCTATCCACACCTCCAACAAGCTGCAGTGGACCCAAGGAGAGGAGGCAAGTCTGTCCCCCATGAGTTCCCCACACACAGCTACTGCTCATGACCAGAGAACCCCTAGCTTGGGCCCACAGCACAGGAGTCCCATACTGGGCTGATTGCACTGAGCTATTGCTGACCTGCATCTTTCTGAGAAGTATGGGATTATGTAAAAAAGCCAAATCTACAAATTATTGGCATCCTTAAAAGGGAAGGGGAGATAGCAAACAACTTGGAAAACATATTTCAGAATACCATCCATGAAAACTTTACCAACCTTGCTAGAGATGCCAACAGTCAAATTCTGAAAATACGGAGAACTGCAAGATTCTACACAAGATTATTTCCAGGACACTTAATTGTCAGAAATTCTAAGGTTGAAATGAAAGAAAGAATGTTAAAGTCAGGAGAAATGGGCAGGTCACCTACAAAGGGAACCCTATCAGGCTAACAGAGGACCTGCTAGCTGAAACCCTACAAGCCGGAAGTCATTTGGGGCCTACATTCAACATTCTTAAAGAAAAAATATCTTCAGCCAAGAATTTCACATCCAGCCAAACTAAGCTTCCTAAGTGAAGGAGAAACAATGTCCTTTTCAGACAAGCAAATCTTGAGGGAATTTATTACCTCTAGACCTGTCTTACAAGAGATCTTGAAAGGAGCACTAAATATAGAAAGGAAAGACTGATACAAGCTAATACAAAAACACACTCAAACACACAGAGCAGTGTTAATGTATAGCAACTGCACAAACAAGGCAACATAATAACCAGCTAACAACACAATGGCGGGATCAAATCCACACATATCAATGCTAATCTTTCATGTAAATGGTCAAAATGCCTCACTTAAAAGGCACAGAGTGGCAAGCTGGATAAAGAAGCAAGACTCAATGGTATGCTGTCTTCAAGAGATCCATCTAACACGTGAGGACACTCATAGGCTCAAAATAAAGGGATGGAGGAAAATATACCAAGCAAGTGGAAAAAAAAAAAAAAGAGCATGTGTTGCAATCCTTAATTCAGACAAAGGAGATTTCAAACCAACAAGAATAAAAAAAAAAGGCAAAGAAGGGCATTACATAATGGTAAAGGGTCCAATTCAATAACAAGAAGTAACTATCCTAAATATATACGCACTCAACACATAAGCATCCAGATTCATAAAGAAAGTTCTTAGAGACCTTCAAAGAGACATAGATCCCCACACAATAATACTGGGAGGTTTCAACACTCCACTGACAGTGTTAGATCATGAGGCAAAAAATAAAGATATTCAGGATCTAAACTCAACATTGGACCAAATGGATCTGATAGACCTTTACAGAACCCTCCATCCCAAGCAACAGAATATACATTCTTCTCATCACCACATGGCACATACTCTAAAATCAACCACAAAATTAGACATAAAGCAATTATCAGCAAATATAAAAAAAATCAAATTCATACCAAACACAGTCTCAAACCACAACACAATAACAATAGAAGTCAACACTATGAAAGTTTCTCAAAACCATGAAATTAAATGGAAATTAAACAACAGGCTCCTGAATGATTTTGGGGTACATAATGAAATAAAGGCAGAAATCAAGAAGATCTTTTAAAATAATGAGATAAAACATACCACAATCACTGAGACACAGCTAAGGCAGTGTTAAGAGGGAAATTCAGAGCATTAAATATCCACACCAAAAGTTAGATCTCAAGAATGTAACTTCAAAACTGCACAAGCAAGAACAAATCAACCCCAAAGCTAGCAGAAGATGAGAAACAATAACAAAAAATTAGAGCTGAACTGAACAAAATCAAGACACGAAAAGCCATCCAAAAGATCAATGAATCCAGGAGTTGTTTTTTGAAAAAATTAATAAAATAGGACACTAGCTAGAATAATAATAAAACAGAGAAGATCCAAATAAACACAGAAATGATAAAGGGAATGTTACTATTGATTGCACTGAAATAAAAGCAACACTCAAAAACTACTACAAAAACATCTACGCACACAAACTAGAAAACCTAGAAGAGATGGATAAATTCCTGGATACTTACATCCTCTCAAGACTGAGCCAGGAAAAAACTGATTCCCTGAACAGATTAATCTTGAGCTCCAAAATTGAATCAGTAATGAATAGTCTACCCACCAAAAAAAAAAAAAAAAAGCCTGAAACCTGACAGATTCACAGCCAAATTCTACAAAAACAATGGTATCATTTCTACAAAAACTATTTCTAAAAATTGAGAAGGAGGGACACTTCCCAAACTCATTTTATGAGAGCAGTATCATTTTGATAACAAAACCTGACTGAGACAAAAAAAAAAAATTTCAGGCCAATATTCTTGATGATCATCAATGCAAATATTGTCAACAAAATACTTGCAAATCAAATTCAGCATCACATCACAAAGCCAATCCACATGATCAAGTAGGTTTCATCCCAGGATGTAAGATTGGTTCAACATAAGCAAATCAATAAATGTGATTCATCACATAAACAGAACTGAAGACAAAAACCACATGATTATGTCAATAGATGCTGAAAAGGCTTTTGATAAATCTCAATACCCTTTCATGTTAAAAGCTCTCAATAAATTAGGTATTGAAGGAACATATCTCAAAGTAATAAAAGCCATCTTTGACAAATGCGCTGCCAGTATTACAGCAAATAGGCAAAAGCTGGAAATATTTTCCCTTAAAACCAGCATAAGATACGGATGACCTCTCTCACCACTTCTATTCAACATAGTGGAAGCCGAAGCCAGAGCAGTCGGGCAAGGGAATAAAATAAAGGGCATCCATATTGGAAGAGAGAAAGTCAAAGTGTATCTATTTGCAGATGACATGATTCTGTATCTAGAAAATCTCATAGTCTCTGCCCAAAAGCTCCTCCAGCTGATTAACAACTTTAGCAAAGTTGCAGGATACAAAATTAATGTACAAAAATTACTAGCATTCCTATACACCAGCAACAGCCAAACCAAGAGCCAAATCGGAAAAAACAATCCTATTCACAATTGCCACAAAAAGAATGAAATACCTAGGAATACAGCTAACCAGGGAGGTGAAAGTCCTCTACAATGAGAATTACAAAACACTGATCAATGAAATCAGAGAAGACACAAACAAATGAAAAAAAAAAATCCCATGCTCATGAATAGGAAGAGTAAATAAATAAATATTATTAAAATGGTCATAGTTCCCAAAGCAATTTACAGATTTAATGCTGTTTCTATGAAACTACCATAGACATTATTTACATAACTAGAAAAAAAACTGTTTTGAAATTCATATGAAACCAAAAAAGAGCCTAAATAGCCAAGGCAGTTCTAAGCAAAAAGAACAAAGCTGGAGGCCTCATGTTACACTACTTCAAACTATACTACAAGGCTACAGTAACCAAAACAGCATGGTACTGGTATAAAAACAGGAACAGAGATCAATATAACGGAATAGTGAGCCCAGAAATAAGGTCACACATCTATGACCATCTAATCTTCAACAAAGCTTACAAAAACAAGCAATGGGGAAACGACTCCCTATTCAATAAATGGTGCTGTGATAGCTGGCTAGCCATATGCAGAAGACTGAAGCTGACCCCTTCCCTATAAAAACCTTGGATGACAACCTCAGCAATATTATTCTGGACATAAGAATGGGCAAAGATTTCATGACAAAGAAACCAAAACCTGTCACAACAAAAGCAAAAATTGGCAAGTGGGATATAATTAAACTAAAGAGCACAGCAAAAGAAACTATCAACAGAGTAAACAGACAGCCTACAGAAATTATTTGCAAATTCTGCACCTGACAAAGGTCTAACATCCAGCATCTATATGAACTTAACTTTACAAGAGAAAACACCATTAAAAAGAAGGTAAAAGACTTGTACTGGCACTTTTCCAAAGAGGACATACATGTGGCCAGCAAGCATATAAAAAATTTTAGTATCACTGGTCATTAGAGGTACTTAAATCAAACCACAATGAGATGCCATCTCACATCAGTCAGATGGCTACTATTAAAAAGTCAAAAAACAACAGATGGTGGTGAGGTGGTGGAGAAATGGGAACACTTATACACTGTGGGAGTGTAAATTAGTTCAACCATAGTAGAAAACAGTATGTTTACACTCCCACCAACAGTGTATAGTGAATCACCTGATGGTGATTCTTCAAAAAGCTTAAAGCAGAACTACCATAAAACCCAGAAATTCCATTACTGGCTATATACCCAGAGGAATACCAATCATTCTACCATAAAGACACATGCATGTGAAGGTTTACTGCAGCACTATTTATAATAGCAACAACCTGCAATGAACATAAATGCCCATCAATGACAGATTGGATAAAGAAAATGTGGTACACATACACCATGGAATACTATTCAGCCATAAATAAGAACAAGATCATGTCTTCTGGGGAACATGGATGGAGCTAGAGGCTACCATTTTTAGCAAACTAAGGCAGGAACAGAAAACCAAATACCATGTGTTCTCACTTATAAGTGGGAGCTAAATGATAAGAACTTATGAACACAAGGAAACGACAGACACTGGGGTCTATTTGATGAGGGAGGGTGGGAGAAGGAAAAGCAGAAAAGGTAACTATTGGGTACTGGGCTTAATACTTGGGTGATAAAATAATATGTATGAAAAATTCTGGTGACACGTGTTTGCATATGTAACAAACCTTCACAAGTACCCCCCCAAGCCTAAAATAAAAAGAAAAAAAAAACTAAAAATTTAGGTACAATAGCATCCAGCAATCTCACTTCTGGGTGTATACCCAAAAGAATATAAATTAGTATATTGAAGAGCTACCTGCACTTCCATGTTTGTTGCAGCACTGTTAACAATAGCCAAGATTTGAAAGCACTCTAAATGTCCATCAGCAGATGAATGAAAAAGAAAATGTGGTAAGTATACGCAATAGAGTACTATTCAGCCATAAAAGAATGAGACCCTGTCATTTGCAACAATGTGGATGGAACTGGAGGTCATTATGTTAAGCAAAATAAGCCAGACACATAAAGACAAACTTCACATGTTCTCATTATTTTTAGGATCTACAAAGCAAAACAATTGAACTCTTGGACATAGAGAGTAGGATGATTACCAGAGGCCAAGAAGGGTAGGGAGCAGGGAGATAGATACAGTTAACGGGTAAAAAAAAAAAATAGTTTAAAATGCATAAACCTATTTAATAGCCAAACAAGGTGACTATAGTCAATAATAATATAACTGTACATTTAAAAATAACTGAAAGAGCATAAATATATTGTTTGTAATACAAAACATACATTCTTGAGGAGATGGATACCCCATCCTCTACGATGTGATTATTACACATTAAATGCATGCATCAAAACCACTCATGTACTCCATAAATATACACACTTACTATGTACCCATGAAAGCTAAAAATTAAAAATTCCCACAATGATATGTTACCTCAACTATTATAGTAGTCTTCTGCTTAATTTTCTCACATTCTCTCTAGCTCCATCCAATTTATTCTTCACATAGAAAAGTAATATTTTGCAAATAAATTAGGCTTCTATTTTGGACAAAATGTCATAGACTTGTCTCTCCTTTAAGATGAAAAGACACTGGAAATTGTGAGAGAGACAACAATAAAAGTATTCAAATGTTAAAAAGAGAAAGGCAGACTGGCTAGGGACACAGACCTGGAAGAGCAATACAGAAACTTGACATCATATAAGCCTCAACCCAGAAATTGAAGTTGATATAGGCCCAGCCTCTCCCAATGTAGCAAAATGCAGCCTGAGGTTGAAGGAGAGTCCTACTGACAATTCCAGGTGGGCCTGGCAGCAGTGGCAGGAGACACTGAGAAGCTTTGTTAACACTAAGTAGTCAGGGGAGCTGCTCTTCCTCTCCACTAGCCAGTGACTCCAGTCCCCCAAATAGACACAAGGCAGCACTTGCAAGGGGGGATCGCATCCCAGCAAGGTGCCCAATTCAGAAAGCACTCTTTGATCCTTCAAGCTAGAGAATCCTTCTCACTGTCCAGAGACACTAACTGGCTCTGGCAGAGATCAATAAGAGCCCTCATGACACCAGAGAATCCAGGCAAAATAATACAGCACATAAAAATCTCTGAAAATTATTTTGTTATTGGAACTCAAAATTATGCCACAACCTGTTTGCTAAACGTAAACAGAGTGACTGCCTGCTAAAATAGAGAATTTCTATATAGCCCAGAATTTTATCATATGGAGAACAAGGAAAATTACAACTTGACTCAGAAAAGTCAATCAATAGACACAAATACTGATATAAATGACGTGTGGGAATTACCCAAAAATTATTTTAAAGCAGCAGCCATCATAAGAATGCTTCCATGAGCAATTATAAATGCTCCTGAAGCAAATGATGTATTAGTCTGTTTTCACACTGCTATAATGAACTGCCCAAGACTGGGTAATTTATAAAGAAAAGAGGTTGAATTGACTCACTGTATTAGTCCATTTTCACACTGCTAATAAAGACAAGCCCAAGACTGGGCAATTTACGAATGAAAGAGGTTTAATGGATTTACAGTTCCACATGGTTGGAGAGGCCTGAGAATCATGGCAGAAGGCAAGGAGGAGCAAGTTACATTCCATGTGGATGGTGGCAGGCAAAGAGAGAATGAAGAAAATGCAAAAGCAGAAACCCCTGATAAAACCATCAGATCCTGTGAGACTTATTCACAACCATGAGAACATTATGGGGGAACCTGCCCCCATAATTCAATTATCTCCCACTGGGTGCTTCCCACAACATGTGGGAATTATGGGAGAACAATTCAAGATGAGATTTGGGTGGGGAAAAAGAGCCAAATCATATCACTTACAGTTCCACGTGGCTGGGGAGGCCTTAGGAAAATTACAATCATGATGGAAGGGGAAGGAGGCACATGTTACATGGTGGCAGGTGAGAGTATGTAGGAGGAACTGTCATGCACTTATAAAGCCATCAGATCTCATGAGAATTCACTCACTATCATGAGAACAGCATGGAGAAAACTTCCCCCATGATCCAACCAACTCCCACCAGGTCCTGCCCTCAACACATGGAGATTATGGGGATTACAATTGGAGATGAGGTTTGAGTGGGGACTCAGAGCCAAACCATATTATTTCACCCCTGGCTCTTCCAGATCTCATGTCCTTTTTACATTTCAAAACCAATTATGCTTTCCCAACAGTCCCTCAGTCTTAACTCCTTCCATCATTAACCTAAAAGTTTACATTCCAAAGTCTCATCTGAGACAAGGAAAGTCTTTTCCACCTATGAGCCTGTAAAATAAAAAAAAAAAAAAAGTTAGCTTTTTCCAAGATACAATGGGGGTACAGGCATTGGATAAATTCACTCATTCCAAATAGGAGAAATTGGCCAAAACGAAGGTGCTACAGGCCCCATGCAAATCCAATATCTAACAGGGCAGTTATTACATCCAAATGCAAACAAAACATGGGTTCCCAACACCTTGGGCATCTCTTCCTCTGTGGCCTTGTAGGGTTTAACCCCTGTGGCTGCTCTCATTGGCTGGAGTTGAGTGCCTGCAGATTTTCCAGGTTCACAGTGTGAGCTGTTGGTGGATCTACCATTCTGGGGTCTCGAGGATGGTGGTCCTCTTCTTGCAGCTTTACTAGGCAGTGCCACAGTGGGGACTCTGTGTGGGGGCTCCAACCCCACATTTCCCTTTTCTACTATCCTAGCAGAGGTTCTTCATCAGGGCTCTGGCCCTGCAGCAGACTTTTGCCTGTACATCTAGGCATTTCCATACATCCTCTGAAATCCAGGCAGATGTTCTCAAACCTCAATTCTTGACTTCTGTGCATCCACACTCCCAATGCCACATGGAAGCTGCCAAAGTTTGGGGCTTGCACCCTCTGAAGCAAAGCCTGGAGCTGCACCTGGACCTCTTTTACCCACAGCTGGAACTAGAGTGGCTAAAATGCAGGGCAGCAAGTCCTAAGGCTGCACTCAGGAGTAGGGTCTGGGGCCCTGGGCCCAGCCCATAAAACCCAATTTTTTTCTCCTAAGCCTCTAGGCCTGTGATGGGTGAGGCTGCTGCCAAGATCTCTGACATGCCCTTGAGACATTTTCCCCATTGTCTTGGTAAATACCATTTGGGTCCTTGTTAATAATGCAAATTTCTGCAGCCAGCTTGTATTTCTCCCCAGAAAATAAGTTTTTCTTTTCATCACATTGTCAGGCTGCAAATTTTTCAAACTTTTATACTTCTCTTCCCTTTTAAACATAACTTCCAATTTTGGATCATCTTTCTCAAGTTCAAAGTTCCACAGAACTCTACAGCAGGGGAAAAATGCCCACCAGTCTCTTTGCTAAAGTATAGTAAGAGTGATCTTTATTCTAGTTCCTAATAAGTTCCTCATTTCCATCTGAGACCATCTCAGCCTGGACTTCATTGTCCACATCATTATCAACATTCTGGTCAAAACCATTCAACAAGTCTCTAGGAAGTTCCAAACTTTCCCATATTTTTCTGTCTTCTCCTGAGGCCTCCAAACTGTTCCAGTATCTGCTTATTATCTAGTTTCAAAGTCACTTCCACATTTTTAGGTTATCTTTATAGCGGTGCTCCACTCTTACTACCAATACCCTGTATTAGTTCATTCTCACACTGCTATAAAGAACTACCTGAGATTTGGTAATTTATAAAGAAAAGAAGTTTAATTGACTCACAGTTCCACATGGCTGAGGAAGCCTAGGAAACTTACAATCATGGTGGAAGGGAAAGCAGGCACAACTTACACAGTGGCAGGCAAGAGTCAGCATGTTTAAGAGGAGCTGTCAAACACTTATAAAATCGTCAGATCTTATAAAAACTGTGATAACTCACTATCACAAGAACAACATGGGAAAAACTTCCACATTATCTAATAACCTCCCACCAGATCCTGCCTTCAACATATGGAGATTATGAGGATTACATTTCAAGATGAGATTTGGGCGAGAATACAGAGCCAAACCATATAAAATGAAAAATATAAAATCTCAACAAAGCAACAGACATTAGAAAAAGAAAACAAGTGAAAAAACAGATCTGGAAACTATAACTGAAATTTAAAAAACTTACTAGATGGATGGGCTGAACAGTAGAATGGAGATAGCAGAAGATAGGATTAGCGAACTTGAGACCAAGTCAACAAAATTTACGAAATCCAAACAGCAGAGAAAATAGACTGAATGAACAGTGTCCCAGGGGCTTATATAAATATTACAATACATCCATAATTCATATTATAGGAGTCTCAGAAGAGAAGAAATGGATGAGATTGAAAGAGTATTTGAAGATATAATGGTTGAAAACTTACCAAATTTAGGAAAAGTTATGCTCCTACAGATTTAATAAGCTGAGTTTTCCCCAAATATGATAATCCCAAAGCAGTCTGTGCCAAGACACAACATACTTAAATTCCGAAAACTAAAGACCAAAACCAATCTTGAAAAGATCCAAAGAGAAATAACATATTACATATAGTGGAACATCAATTTGAATAACAATGGGCATTTATCTGAAGTTCTAGAGGCTAGAGGGAAGTAGCATGCCCTTTTTTTTTTTTTTTTTTTTTTTTTTTTTTGACAGAGTCTTGCTCTGTCACAGAGGCTGGAGTGCAATGGTGCAATCTTGGTTCACTGCAACCTCCACCTCCCAGGTTCAAGCAATTCTCCTGCCTCAGCCTCCTGAGCAGCTGAGATTACCTGCACCCACCACCACACCCGGCTAATTTTTTGTATTTTTAGTGGAAACAGGGTTTCATCTTGTTAGTCATGCTGGTCTCGAACTCCTAACTTCAGGTCATCCACCTACCTCGGCCTCCCAAAGTGTTGTGATTACAGGCATGAGCCACCACACTCAGCCTGAATTCCGTTTTTTAAGTGATGAATAAAAAATATTGTCTATATCCAGTGAAACTATACATCAAGAATGGAGAAATAAAGACATTCTCAGACTAAGAAAATTTAAGATACATTTTTAATATCAGACATACTTTTAAAGAATGGCTAAAAGAAAATTCTTGAAACACAAAATACATAATAAAAGTAAAAAATTCTGAAACATTATGAAGGAAAGAAAAAAACAGAAACATAAAGCAAAAATATGTATAAATGAGGACAGAGAAGGTTTGAACAATACCATCAATCAACAGGATCTAACTGATATATATAAAATACTCTACCAAGAATAGCAGAATACACATTTTCAAACAACCATGGAACATTCATCAGGATATACCATATCTTGGACCATACAACAAACATCAGCAAATTTGAAAGAATTGAAATCATACAGTGTGTGTTCTCCAATCACAATAGAACCAAGCTAGAAATCAATAACCAAAAGACAAAGGAAAAATCTTTAACACTCAGAAATTTAAAAACACATTTCTTAATAATCCATGGATAAATGAATTCTTAAAGGAAATTAAAGAAATACATAGAACTGGTTGAAAGTGAAAATACAACATAACAAAATTTGTGGCTTGCAGCCATACCAGTACTAAATAGGGAATTTGTAGAACTAAATTGCTTACATTAGAAAAGGTCAAGCCTTGTCCCCTCCATAGAGTATTAATTACCATTCCATTTCACAGTGATTTAAAGTATCTAAAAAAGGGCAGTATTTATCATTTACAACTCATGGCTTTGAGCTGTTCTATAATTTCTAACAAATTCAATTCTTACAGATGAGGAAACTAAGAGTAGAGGAGAATAGGAGTCTTTATTAGGCCATAAAGTCAGGGTGGGACTTAAATGGTGGTCTGCTGGCACTGTTGAGTGCCCTTTCCACTACAGTATATTGCTTCTAAGTGTTACATATAAATGTATTGCTTGGTGAGATGCAGCTAAAGCAGTATTTAGAGGAAAATTTATAGCACTGAATAAGTATATTAGAAAAGGAGAAAGATTTAGAATTAATAATCTAATTTCCTAATTTAGGAAACTAGAAACAGAAGAGCAAATTAAATCAAGAATAAACACAAGAAAATAATAAAAATTGGAGCAGAAAGTAATGAAACTAAAAGTAGAAAATCAATAGAGAAAATCAACAAAACCAAAAGTAGATGATTTGAAGATATCAATAGACAAGCCAACTAAAAAATAAGAAAAAATGAAAATTACTAATGTCAAAAATTCAAGAGGAGTCATTACTGCAGTTTCTGAAGACTTTGAAAGGAAAACACATGGATACTATGAGCAACTATATGTCCATAAATTAAAACCTAGATGAAATTGACCCATTTCTTAAAGACACAATCTGCCAAAATTCACACAAGAAGAAATAATCTGAATACTCCCATATTTATTAGAGAAGATGAATCAATAATTAATGATATTTTTAAAAAGAAAGCACTAGACCCCAGTGGATTTACTTGGTGAAGTCTATCAATATTTAAGGAAGAAATCACACCAATTCTCTATAATCTCTTTCAGAAGAAGGAATTTTTTTTAACTCATTCTATATGGCCAGGCAGCATTACTGTAGTACAAAAAGCAAAGACATTGCAGAAAAAAATAACTACAGGCTACTATCTCGCATGACCATAAATGTAAAAATTCTCAGCAAAATATAAGCCAATCAAATTTAATCATGTATAAAAAAATTATACACCTTGACGAAGGGGGATTTATTCCATGTATGCAAAGCTGGTTCAAGGTTTAACAATCAATTAGTGTAATCAATTTTATCTACACACTAGAAGAATAATCACATGATCATACAAATAGATGAAGAAAAAAGCATTTGAAAACTTCCAGCACCCATTCATGATAAAAAACTCTCAGCAAATTAAGAATATACAGGAACTTCCTTAATTTGATAAGAACATCTACAACAACCTACAGTTAACGTTTCCCTTAATGATGAACTAAAAACTTTCCCACTAAGATCAGGAACAAGGCAAGGATATCTCCTCTCATCACTCCTTTTCAACATTGTACTGACAGTCCTAGCCAATGCAATAAGACAGGACAATGAAAGAAAATTTATACAGATTGGGAAAGAAGAAATAAAAGTCTTTGTTCACAAATGACATGATTGTCTGTGCAAAAAATTTGAAAGAATAGATAATAAAACTCCTGGAACTAGAAGGCAATTATAGCAAGGTGGCAGGATACAAGGTTAATACACAAAAGTAAATCATATTCTTATATACCAGCAGTAACAAGTAAAATTTTGAATTAAAAACACATTACTGTTTTCATTAGCATGCCCTAAAAGAAAATGCTTAGGTATGAAACTAAAAAATATAAGTAGAAGATCTATATTAGGAAAACTACAAAACTGATGAAAGAAATCAAAGAACTAAATAATGAAGAGTTGATAGGAAGGCTTAATATTGTCAAGATGTTACTTTTTCCAAGTTGATATATAGACTCAATACAATTCCAATTAAAATCCCATCAAGTTATTTTGTGGATATCAACAAATTTATTTTATAGTTTATATGGAAAGACAAAGGACAGAATAGCTAACAAAATATTAAAAGAAAAGAACAAAATCAGAAGATTGACACCACTTGACTTCAAAACTTATTATAAAATTGTAATAATCAAGACAGTGTGATCTTGGTGAAAGAGTAAATAAATATATAATTCAGCAGACTAGAGAGGCCACAAATAGATCCACATAAGTATAGTCAACTGATCTTTGACAAAGGAGTAAAGGCAATACTATGTTGAACACAATGTTGAATGTAGAACAATGTTGAAAATACTTAACAAGGCCCTGGCTAGAGGCTGTGCACCATCCTGAAGAATGCCTGCCAAACCAGGGATGAATCCTATAGCTCCTGATCATGGGAAAGCCTGGAGAGGACCCACTTGGGTAAGCTAATGGCAGTGCTAGTTTACCACTCATATCGGATATACTTTAATATTTAACTGTTAAGTTTGTGTCTGTATATGCCAATAGATCATCAGTCTTGGTGGCCCACTCCTGCTTCATGCCACATCTTTCAATATGACCCCGTGGTATAACCAAAGCAAAGATAGGCAGAGACCACAACCACTCCAGGGGACTGCAAACTCTAAGGACTTTAGGACAAGTCAGTACCAACCAAATTGAATGTTTCAACTGGAGATCATTCAAGACTTTGGACATCAGAACCACATGGCCTTAAAATTCACCTTGGCCAGTGAGGAAGAATGTGAGGGGTCTTTTACCGGCAAAGAATAAGTAACCTTATCCTGCCAAAACATAGGTCACCCAAGAGTCGATCAGCCTCAGTTAGGAAGGAGTAGCCACAACGTGACAGACAGAGAGGCTGGGGACCTTTGTGGACATTTCTGGGGATAAATCAATTTTACAAGGAGTTGCAGGAATGCTAGAATCCTTAATTCATAGGCAGCAGGAATGGTTATTGAATGAGGCCCAACTATACCTTAAATGCTGCATAACAAACCCTGCCCCTGGACACAAAAGAAGCAGAGGGAGGAATGCTGAGGTCAGGAACAAGCACCTCAGAAGGATTCAAATCTAAGGTGAGGGATCAAACAAGGGCCCCTTAGTGAAGGACTGAGGAAGCAAAATTCTGCTTGCCCTTAGTCTACGTTATAATAATCTTCCTCTGGCCTTTCACTTTCCACATTGTACATTTTGATGTTCACAATTATTCCTCACCAAGTGCTAATGGAATCCCATAGTTGACCTTGAAACCTAACGGTTCCTAACTGGTAGTCAAGAGAAATCTCAGCAAGGTGAGTAGAAAATGTTCCTCTTCCTCCAAAACTTAAAAGGAAGCCACAATCCTGTGTCAGGAATTGGTCCTTGTGAGTGTTACATTTAATGACACCGAAAATTCAGAAGTTGCTACTACGCCTTGTGAAAGTGCCTCCAAACTCAATTTTGGGAGTTCCAAGGGGCTGTTTCAGCAGCTGTCCTAGGTTAATAATACTGAAATAGTTCTTCCCATGAAATCATCTGATGACCCTGCAAGATTTCTTATAAATGAGGAATGAGAAAATCTATGTCTCATTTAAACTAACATAGAAATAGGACCAAACTGTAACTCCCAGGCTATAGAAAAAGATTTTAATATAATTTTCAAGTGTAACATTTGCTACTTACAACGTGTAAATAGTGCCCCTTCCTAAATGGTTAAAATAAAGACTGTCAATAAATAAGTCGAGCTACAAAATTGGAGAAAATATTCACAAAAGGCATATCTGATAAAAGACTGTTATCTAAAATAAAAAAAAGAGGCCAGGCATGGCAACTCACATCTGTAATCTCATCATTTTGGGAGGCCAAGGTCGGAGGATTGCTTGAGACCAGGTGTTCAAGACCAGCCTGGGCAACCTAGAGAGACTCCCATCTCATATATGTGTGTGTGTGTATGTGTGTGTGTATATATATACACACATATATACGTATATATGTGTGTGTATATATATACACATATATACGTATATATGTGTGTATATATGTATATATGTATATATGTGTATATATGTATGTGTGTATGTGTGTATGTGTGTGTCTGTGTATGTATATACGTATATACACACATATATGTGTATATACGTATATATGTGCATATATGTATATGTATATACACATATATGTGTATATGTGCATATATGTATATGTACATACACATATATGTGTATATGTGCATATATGTATATGTATATACACATATATGTGTATATGTGCATATATGTATATGTATATACACATATATGTGTATATGTGCATATATGTATATGTATATACACATATATGTGTATATGTGTGCACGCATATGTGTATATATGTGTACACGTATATGTGTATATATATGTGTACACGTATATGTGTATACGTATGTGTGTATATATGTGTATACATATGTGTGTATATATGTGTATGCACATATATGTGTGTATGTATATACACATATATGTATATATGTGTATATATGTATATATGTGTGTATATATATTATATGTATATATGTATATATGTGTATATTTATTATATATATAATAAATATAAATATATATATATATAACATTAACCAGACATGATAGCATGTGCCTGTCACCCTAGCTACTCGGGAGGCTGAGGTGGGAGGATCACTTGAGCCTAGGAGGTTGAAGCTGCAGTGAGCTATGATTGTGCCACCACACTCCAGCCTGGGTAACAGAGTAAGACCTGGTCTCTAAAAATAAATATAATTAAAAATTTACAAATTTGTTCATTTCAGATTTAGTAAAAAATTAAAAAAACAAAACTTCCCCAAATAATGTATACAATAAACTCTTAAAATCCAACAATAAAAAACCAACAACCAATTTTAAAAATGGGAAAAGCCCTGATATCCTCCCTACTCTCTCTCAAAATTATCATGCTTAATTTTTCGATAAGGGCCCTAGATGATGCTCCCCTAGAATAATGTCTCATGTTTCAAATGTATTCTTCCCTCTTCTCATCAGAATTCTTATTCGTTCAGAGCATTTATCATTGCTTTCACAGTACTAATTCACAGTTTAGAATTAATGACTGTTAGCAAATGAAGGCATAATCTGACTTAGAAATATTTTCTATTTTGAAAAGTAAAGCTTGGTGGGATAATGCAATAATCTAAGGTGATGTAACTCAAAAAATGAAAGACAAGTGGCAACAAAACTTTGTTTAGTTCCCATTGTCTCATTCTTTCTTTCTTTCTTTTTTTTTTTTTTGAGACAGTTTCCCTCTGTAGCCCAGGCTGGAGTGCAGTGGCACGATCTCGGCTCACAGCAACCTCCACCTCCCAGGTCCCTGTTCAAGCAATTCTCTTGCCTCAGCCTCCTAAGTAGCTGGGATTACAGGCACGTGCCACCATGCCCAGCTAATTTTTGTATTTTTAGTAGAGACGGGGTTTCACCATGTTGGCCAAGCTGGTCTTGAACTCCTGACCTTGTGATCCACCCACCTCAGCCTCCCAAAGTGCTGGGATTACAGGCATGAGCCACCATGCCCGGCCCTCATTCCTTCTTAATTCCCTCCTATGACAAGTCCTATAGTAGGGACCAAATGTCTGGAGTCTGAATCTACAAGCTGAGATTGAGCCAGAGTGGCATGACGTTATGGGGATGGTTGTGTGGGGGCTGAAACTGAGAATCATAAAGAAGTGAGGCTAGGCCCAACAATTTCATTGCAGTGGAGGCAGAGTGGGAAGTTTAAGGAATTTTTGCTCCAAGTTTACTATGAAGATTTTTAGAGACTCTACAGCAACTGTTTCCACAGCTCTCCTTGATCTCTTCTGTGGCCTGCCTATACACAGGATTTTGATCTCTATCAAGATAATCTGAACAGTGCTGATGGGGCTGCCACATCTCCAGAGCCCTCTGCCCTAGGGAATATAACAGACCTACCACTTATGTTACTTTAACGTTGAATGGGATGTTATTTATAAATAATTGTGAGGTAAAAGTTAGATGCCTGGTTTTATAGAGTCAAGGGATAATGACTCTTTTGGGAAACAAATGGAACCTAGGAAGGAATCTTGGTCTGAGGACAGAAGCTAGACATTGCACCTTTCTGAAATAAGCCAGGCACAGAAAGGCAAACATAGTATGTTTTCACTTATTTCTGTGATCTAAAATTAAAAATAATTAAACTCATGGTCATAGAGAGCAGAAGGATGGTTACCAGAGGACAGGAGCAAAAGTAATGCCAATTTTTAATGCACGTTCTTCCACATAGAATGCCCTCTTTTTATCCTTCTGTCTCTGTAGCAGCTCTCCATCCTTGGAAGAGGACCTTCCTAATTACACCAGCTTTCAGTGACCTGAGCTTCCACACTTCCATGCCACAAAGAACCTGTACCACATTACATATCACTTAGTCTATTGTATTGTGAGCTGTTTACAAATTGTGCCCAGGGGGGCAGATGGCATAGGATACTGATCAAGAACATGAGACATATTCAGGCACACCTGTAATAAATTCCTACCCCACACTAACTAGTAGTTTAACTTAGGGTTGCATTTGGCTGTAAGTACGAGAAACCCAACTATAGTGGCTTAAAAAAAAGAAGTTGTTTTTTTTTTTTCCTCACATATCAAGAAATATAAAGTGGTTGCTATGGTTCAGTAACTCAATCATTTCAGGGCTGAGGTAACTGAGATACTTATGGTATCTTCCTCAAAAACACAAAATGATTACTGTTGCTGCAACCATCATAACTGTATTTAAGGCAAGAAGAAGGAGGAAGAGGCAGTGCTCACACATTTGTTTTTTTAATTTTAAGTCTTTTTTTTTTGTGAGTACATAGTAGGTGTATATTTTTATGGGATACATGAGATGTTGTAATACTGGCATGCAATGTGAAATAAGCATATTATGAAGAATGCCATATCCATCCTCTCAAGCATTTATCCATTGAGTTATGAACAATGGAATTATACCCTTTAAGTTGTTTTAAAATATACAATTAAGTTATTATTGACTATATTCACCCTGTTGTGCTATCAAACAGTAGGTCTTGTTTATTCTTTCTCACTGTTTTTTGTACCCATTAACCATCCCCATCACCCCACTCAGCTTCTCACTACCCTTTCTAGCCTCTGGTAACAATCCTTCTGCTCTCTATGTCCATGAGTTAAATTATTTTGATTTTTAGATCACAGAAATAAGTGAGAACATACTATGTTGGTCTTTCTGTGCCTGGCTTATTTCACTCAACGTAATGATCTTTGGTTCCATCCATTTTGTTGAAAATAAGTGGATCTCACTCTTTTAAATGACTGAATAGTACTTCATTGTGTATATGTACCACATTTTCTTCATCCATTCATCTGTTAATGGACACTTAGGTTGCTTCCAAATATTAGCTATATATAGCTATATATATTAGCTATATAAATGACGTTGCAATAAACAAAGAAGGGCAGATATATCTTCAATATGTTGATTTCCTTTCTTTTGCATATATACCCAGAAGTGAGATTGCTGACTTGTGTGGTAGGTAAATATTTTGTTTTTTTGAGGAACCTCCAAACTGTTCTCCATAGTGCTTATGCTAATTTACATTCCCACCAACAATATACAGGTGTTCCCTGTTGTCCACATCCTTGCCAGCATTTGTTATTGCCTGTCTTTTGGATATAAGCTATTTTAACTGGAGTGAGATAATAGCTCATTGTCTTTTTGATTTATGTTTCCCTGATGATCGATGATGTTCAGTATCTTTTTACATGCCTGTTTGTTATCTGTATTACTTCTTTTGTAAAATATCTATTCAGATCTTTTGCCCATTTTTTGATCAAATTATTAGATTTCTTTCTATAAAGTTCTTTGAACTCCTTATGTATTCCGATTGTTAATCCCTTTTCAGATGGGTAGTTTGCAAATATTTTCTTCAATTTTGTGGGATGTCTCTTCACTATGTTGATTGTTTTCTTTGTTATACAGAAGCTTGTTAACTTGATGTGATCCCATTTGTCCATTTTTGCTTTGGCTGCCTGTGTTTATGGGGTATTGCTCGAAAAATTTTGTCCAGACCAATATCCTGAAGATTTCCTCCAATGTTTTCTTATAGCAGTTTTGTAGTTTGAGGTCTTGGATTTAAGTTTTTACTCCATTTCGATTCCATTTTTATATATGGTGAGAGGGGAGTAGCTTTATTCTTCCGCATAAGAAATATCCAGTATTCCCAGCACCATTTCTTGAAGAGACAGTCTTTCCCAGTGTATGTTCTTGGCACATTTGTCAAAAATGAGTTCACTGTGGGTATGTAGATTTGTTTCTGGGTTCTCTATTCTATTCTATTTAGGTGTCTTTTTTTTTTTTTTCCCAGTATCATGTTGTTTTGTTTACCATAGCTCTGTAGTACAATTTGAAGTCAGGTAATGTGATTCTTTCAGTTCGGTTCTTTTTGTTTAGGATAGCTTTGGCTATTCTACGTCTTTTGTGGTTTCATATAAACGTTAGAATTTTTTTTCCTATTTCTGTCTAGGATGTCATCGGTATTTCAATAGAGATTACATTGAATCTGTAGATTGCTTTGGGTAGTATGACAATTTTAAGAATATTGATTTTTTTTTCAATTTATGAACATGGAATAGTTTTCCATTTTTGGTGTCCTCTTGAATTTCTTTCATCAGCATTTTATAGTTTTTATTATAAAAATCTTCTAGTTATTTGGTTAATTCCTAGATATGTAATTTTATTTGTGGCTATTATAAGTGGAGTTTAAAAAATTTGTTTTTCAGATTAATCCCTGTAGGCATATAGATATATTACTGTTTTTGTATGCTGATTTTTTATTCTGAAACTTTATTGAATCTGTTTATCAGTTCTAATAGTTTTTTGTGGAATATTTAGGTTTTTCTAAATATAAAATTTTATTATCTGCAAATGAGGATAATTTGACTTTTTAAATTCCAATTTGGATGTCTTTTATTTCTTTCTCGTGTCTGATTTCTCTAGCTAGGATTTCCAGTACTATGTTAAAGAGCAGGAGTGAAAGTGGGTGTCCATGTCATGTTCCCAATCTTAGAGGAAAGGCTTTCAGCTTTCTCCCATTCAGTATCATACTAGCTATGGAACTGTCACATATGGCTTTTATTATGTTGAGGTATGTTTCATGTTATTTAATCTATCATTCTGTTGATATGATGTATCACATTGGTTAATTTGCATATTTTGAACCATCCTTGCATCTCAGGGATGAATCCCATTTGGTCATGATGAATGATATTTTTTATGTACTGTTGAATTTGGTTGGCTAGTATTTTTTTTATTTTATTTCTTACTATTATACTTTAAGTTTTAGGGTACATGTGCACAATGTGCGGGTTAGTTACATATGTATACATGTGCAATGCTGGTTTGCTGCACCCATTAACTTGTCATTTAGCATTAGGTATATCTCCTAATGCTATCCCTCCCCCCTCCCCCTACCCCACAGCAGTCCCCAGAGTGTGATGTTCCCCTTCCTGTGTCCATGTGTTCTCATTGTTCAATTCCCACCTATGAGTGAGAATATGCAGTGTTTGGTTTTTTGTTCTTGCAATAGTTTACTGAGAATGATGATTTCCAATTTCATCCATGTCCCTACAAAGGACATGAACTCATCCTTTTTTATGGCTGCATAGTATTCCATGGTGTATATGTGCCACATTTTCTCAATCCAGTCTATCATTATTGGACATTTGGGTTGGTTCCAAGTCCTTGCTATTGTGAATAGTGCCACAATAAGCATACGTGTGCATGTGTCTTTATAGCAGCATGATTTATAGTCCTTTGGGATGGCTGGGTCAAATGGTATTTCTAGTTCTAGATCCCTGAGGAATCACCACACTGACTTCCACAATGGTTGAACTAGTTTACAGTCCCACCAACAGTGTAAAAGTGTTCCTATTTCTCCACATCCTCTCCAGCACCTGTTGTTTCCTGACTTTTTAATGATTGCCATTCTAACTGGTGTGAGATGGTATCTCATTGTGGTTTTGATTTGCATTTCTCTGATGGCCAGTGATGATGAACATTTTTTCATGTGTTTTTTGGCTGCATAAATGTCTTCTTTTGAGAAGTGTCTGTTCGTGTCCTTTGCCCACTTTTTGATGGGGTTGTTTGGTTTTTTCCTGTAAATTTGTTTGAGTTCATTGTAGATTCTGGATATTAGCCCTTTGTCAGGTGAGTAGGTTGTGAAAATTTTCTCCCATTCTGTAGGTTGCCTGTTCACTCTGATGGTAGTTTCTTTTGCTATGCAGAAGCTCTTTAGTTTAATTAGATCGCATTTGTCTATTTTGGCTTTTGTTGCCATTGCTTTTGGTGTTTTAGACATGAAGTCCTTGCCCATGCCTATGTCCTGAATGGTAATGCCTAGGTTTTCTTCTAGGGTTTGGTTGGCTAATATTTTGTTGAGAATGTTTGCATCAATATTCAGCAGATACTCGTATGTAGTTTTCCTTTTTTCATGTGTCTTTGTTTCACTTTGGTATCAGGGTAATACCAGCCTCTTAGAATGAGTTTGGGAGTCCTCCCTCCTCCTTTATTTTTTATGAAAGTTTGAGTAGGATTGGGATTAATTCTTTTGATATGCTTGGTAGAGTTCAGGAGTGAAGCCATCAGCTCCCAGGCTCTCCTTTATGGAGAGACTTTTTATTATGACTTTGATCTCATTACTTGTTATTGGTCTGTTCAGGTTTTAAATTTCTCCCTGGTTCCATCCTGGTAGGTTGTATGTGTCTAGGAATTTGTCAAATTCATCTAGATTTTCTAAGTTATTGGCATTTAGTTCCGCATAGTAGCTACTAATGTTCCTTTGAATTTCTGCCATATCAGTTGTAATGTATCCTTTTCATTTCTGATTTTATTTATTTGGATCTTCTCTTTTTTCTTAGTCTGGCTAAAAGTTTGTCAGTTTGGTTTAACTTTTTAAAAGCACAACTTTTTGTTGAATTGGTCCTTTGCATTTTTTAATATGAATTTTATGTATTACTGCTCTCTTTATTATTTCTTGTTTTAGAAGTAATTTGATTTTTTTTTGCTTTTCTAGTTCCCTAAGATGCATTATTAGATTGTTTACTGAAAGATTTTCCTCTTCTTTGATGTAGGCTTATAGCTATAAACTTCCCTCTGTGTACTGCTTTAGCTATATCCCATTGGTTTTGATATGTTGTGTTTCCATTATCATTTCTGTCAATAAATGTTTCACTTTTCTTTTTAATTTCTTCATTGACCCTCTGGTCATTCAGGAGCACATGGTTTAATTTCCATGTATTTGTATAATTTCCAAAATTCCTCTTCTTATTGTTTTCTAGTTTTATTCCATTGTGGTCGGAGAATATGCTTGATGTTATTTCAATTGTTTTTGTATGTTTTAAGAATTGTTTTGTGACCTAACATATGGTCTATTTTTGAAAATAATCTGTGTGCTGAGAAAAAGGATGTGTATTCTGCAGCCATTGGATGCTATGTTTTGTAAATATTTATTAGATCCATTTGGTCCGTAGTGCAGATTAAGTCCAATGTTTCTTTGTTTATTTTCTGTTTGGAACATCTGTCCATTGCTGAATGTGGGGTGTTAAAGTCTCCAGCTATTATTGTATTGGGGTCTGCCTCTGTCTTTAGCTCTAATATTTGCTTTATATATCTGGGTGCTCTGGTGTTGGGTGCATAGATATTTAAAGTTGTTATATCCTTTTGCTGAATGGACCACTTTATCATTATGTTGTTGTTGATAAGTAAGGACTTGGTTATGTCATTTTGTTATTTGTTTTCTAGTTGTTTTGTGGTCTTCTTTTCCTTCCTTCTTTCTTTCCTTCCTGCACTCCTTTATTGGTAATTTTTCTCTCATGACATGACTTAGTTTCTTTCTTTTTTGTGTATGTGCATCTGTTGTATGCTTTTTGGCTTGAGGTTACCGGGAGGCTTGAAAATATTATCTTATAACCCAATATTTTAAGTTGATATTTTAATACTGTTTGCATATAAAAACAAGCAAGAAGAAAACTAATAAAGACTTGAATCCTTAACTTTACCCCCCTACTTTTCAACATTTTGTTGGTTCTATTTATATCTTATTGTACTATCTGTGTCCCAAAAAGTTGTTGTAGTTATTATCTTTATTAATTCATGGTTTAGTATTTCTACTTAAGAGTAGTTTACAGACCACAGTTACGCTGTTATGATGTTTTGTGTTTTTCTGTTTATTTACCATTACCAGTAAGTTTTGTACCAGTAGGTGCTTACTTACTGCTCCTTAATGCCCCTTTCTTTCTGATTAAAGTAATCCCTTGAGAGTTTCTTATAAAACAGGTCTGGTATTGATGAAATCCCTCAGCTTTTGTTTGTCTGGGAAAGCCTTTATTTGTCCTGCACGTTTGAAGGATATTTTTGCCAGATCTACTATTCTAAGGTAAAAGTTTTTTCAATCAGCACTTTAAACATGTCATGGACCTATCTCCTAGCCTGTAAGGTTTCCACTGAAAAGTCTGCTGTTCAGTGTATTGGAGCTCCATGGTATGCTGTTTGTTTCTCTTCTCTTGCAGCTTTTAGGATTTTATTCTTGACCTTTGAGATTTTGATGACTAAATGCCTTGAAGTAGTCTTCATTGTATTCAATCTGCTTGGTGTTCTATAACCATCTAGTGTTTGTATATTGATATTTTTATCTAGGTTTGGGAATTTCTCTCCTATTACTTTCTGAATAAACTTTTTATCTCTATCTGTTTCTCTACATACTTTTTTAGTCCGATAACTCTTAGATTTGCCCCTTTGAAGCTATTTGCTAGATCCTGTAGGGGTGCATCATTGTTTTTTATTCTTTTTCTTTTGTCTCCTCTTACTGTGTATTTTCAAATAGCCTTTTGTTGAGCTCACTAATTGTTTCTTCTGCCTTATCAATTCTGCTGTTAAAGGACTCTGACACATTCTTCAGTATGCCAATTGCATCTTTCAGCTCCAGAATTTCTGCTTGATTCTTTTTAATTATTTCAATCTCTTTGTTAAATTTATCTGATAAAATTCCTGTGTTATCTTGAATTTCTTAGTTTCCTCATTGCAGCTGTTTTGAATTCTCTGTGAATTCAGGCCTGAGACAGACCTGAAGCCAGCACAGTCCTGGGTCTTGCCCAAGGCCCACTGTAATCACTCACTGGCAACTGCCTGTGTTCACTCTATCCCCTGGGGTTCCACAGCCACCCATGGCAAAGCCAGTCTGGCCTGTGTTCTTCCTTTCAGGATGATAAGTTCCCTCAGGCCCTGAGTAGGTCAATAGGTGCCATCCATGAGTGAGGGAGTAGAGTCAAACACCTTAGAAGTATATCTGGTGTTTTACTGTGGCTTAGCTGGCACTAAAACCACAAGATGCAGACCTTTCCACTCTTCCCTCCCCTTTCCAAAGAGAGATGACCCTCACCCTGTAGCTACTGCAACCCCAGGCCAAGAAGAGTACTGCCAGATTATCTCAGATGTTCCCTTAAGGCCTAAGGGCTCTTAAGTCAGTTTGTGGTGAATGCTGCCTTGCCTGAGACTCACCATTCAAGGAAGTGGGCTCCCCTCTGGCCAAGGGCAGGTATAGAAATGCCATTCAGGAGTCAAGTCCTTGAATCAGGGATCCCAAGAGCCCACTTGCTGTTCTACCAGTCTGTGTCTGTGCTGGTACCTAAGGTGCAAGACAAAGTCCCCTTTACATTTTCCTCTGCTTTTCCCAAGCAGAAGGAGTTTTAACCCATAGCCACCACAGCTGGTAATGTGCTGAGTCTCACTTGAAGCCAGCAAGTCACAGAGGCTCAACCAAAGCCCTTGATGTAGTAACTGAATATCACTGCTCTTTATTCAGTATGGGAGAGTTCTTCATTTAGTAGATGATAAGTACTGCCAGAACCAGGTCCTTCCCTTCAAGTCAGTGTGTTCTTTTCTGGCCCAAGGCATGTCTAGAAATGTTTTCCAGGAACAAGGGCCTGGAACAGAGGCCTCGTGACTCTGACCAGTAACTTATCTTGCTGTGGCTGATCTGATCTGGTATCCAAAACATAAGACAAAGATCTGTTCATTTTCCCCTCTCCTCTACTCAAGCAGAAGGAAGAGGTTTCTTTTGGAGCCATGAGCTGTGCAGCCTGGATTTAAGGGAGGGGTGATGCCAGCACTCCCTTGGCTGCCCCAGCTGGTGCCTCAGTATATTGTATGCCCCTTCAGTCCACTTTCTCTGGTACTAATTCAGTACTAGGACTCACCTAAGATTTGCTGTCCTTATCGCCTAGGCTGCCTTTTAAATTTACTTGGAGACACAGAGCACTGTAGCCCTCAGTGGCGAGGTTTACCAGAACTCATGTTTAGACCTCTGGGATTGGAGAGTCCCCTCTGGCTAGGGATTCTTTAAATGCCCTCCGTGGGTGGGCATCAACTGAGTTTGGTCTGGTTTTCCTTTCTGTTCTAACAGGATAACATTGAGTTCAGTGCCTCACAATTTCTGTGTTCTCCCTACCCCAGCACCCAGAAAAGCTCTCTGCACCAGGCTGCCACTGTCAGGGATGGAGAAGGGATGGCGTTAGTAATTCAGAACTGTTTTTTCTATCTCTTCAATGTCTCTTTCAGTGATATAAAGTTAAAACCAGGTACTATGCATGCTTAGCTAATTTTTGATTCTTATGAAGGTGTTTTTTTTTCTGTGCAGACAGTTGTTAAATTTGTGTCTTTGGGGGAGGGACGATTGATGGAGCCTTCTATTCCACTGTCTTGCTCTTCATCTGTCTTTTTAAAATAAGCAAATACATAAGCTTTCCTAGAATTCCCAGCACCCTTTCCCTTAGGTCTATTTGGCAAGACCTATATCATATAGTACTTCTAGCCACAAAGGAGCCTTAGAAAGCAGGTATTAAGGTTTTTAGCCTCTATATAGTGAGAAAGAGTTAAGAATGAGTATGTATTCACCTTTGTATTAATCATAGTTGAAATTTTTCCATCCCAACTCTCTACATATATTTTCCCATATCTCTATCTTTCACAGATACATAAAGTAGAAGCTGATGTTATGTTTCCTAAGCAGAAACTGATTCCAGAGGAGATACCTCACCCATGCTTTATTATTCGTATTCATACTGATAACTGACCTAAGGACCTGCTTGTTACATGCACATTATAACATCCAATTGACTGGAATGCCCAGAGTGTACTCAGGTGTTTTTTTTTTTTTTTTTTTTTTTTTTTTTGCGGCTTGAATGCCTGGGTTTATATCCCAGTCATTGTCCCTCCCCCTGTGCTCTCAGGCAATAGATGATTGGCTATTTCTTTACCTCCTGTTTTTTCCTAATTAGCATTTTAGTGAGCTCTCTTTACTACTTGGTTGGTCAGGTGTGAGCTAAGTTGCAAGCCCCATGTTTAAAGGTGAATGCGGTCACCTTCCCAGCTAGGATATCCAGCTAGTCCTATCTCTCAGTACCCCCCTCAACAGGAAAACCCAACTGCTTTTGGGGAGATTGGCTGATGACCACTCTAACTGCTTCCTGCTGAACTGGGGTGTAGCAGGGGTCGTGCAGTTGAGATTTCCTGTGGAGGGGTGCCTTTGATGTCATCAACATCAGAGCATGGGCTAGCAGGCCAGTCCAGGGGTCTGCAGTAGATCTTAGTCATGGACTGCAACTGAGGCTCCATTTAAAGAACAATTTGTAGTTTTACAGCTTCAATTCTGGAAGAGACAAAATTAACAAAGAGGTTAAAGATACAGGGATTGAAATGTATGGCCTGCAGTACAGGGGATTATTTCTTTGGCACACTTCACAGGCCCTGACTATGTGCTTGATGGTTTTGAAAAGGCCTTGTCCAGTAAATAATGATTTGGCCATCTGATGGGTACTATCAATGCCTAAGGGAAAGGTTTGGTGAAGGGTTTTAAGTAATTTCCATTGGTTAGCTGTAGGCAAAAGTATTTTTCTTTCTTCAGTGGCTAGCCATCCTGAGGGGAGGAAACTGTGTCCTCAAGAGGTTCCCCATTCTATTTCTCCTGCTGAGTGCTGGGGCTTGGTTTCCTGGAGGGAATTACCCTATACTAGGGGTCCTTCTAGAAGCATTTCTAATGGAGGGTCCTGCCTTGCGGCTCTTTTGGCTTCAATATCCGCTTGGCTGTTCCCTTCTATTTCTTTTTCCTTTCCTTTCTGATGACCCCGGCAGTGTAAGACTGCCACCTCTTTAGGTTTCTGTACAGCCAATAATAATCTCTTAATGGCTTCCTGATGTTTGATAGGTGTTCCCTTGGAAGTTAGGCATTCCCTTTCTCTCCATATTGCTGCGTGGGCATGGAGGACTAGGTAGACATACTTAGAGTCTGTATATATATTTACCCTTTTTCGTTCTCCTAATTCTAGTGCCTGAGTGAGGGCTATTAGTTCTGCCAGTTGAGTGCTAGTTCCTGGAGTGTGGGGATTACTTTCAAGGATTCCATTATCACTGACCACTGCATACCCCACTTTTTGAAGTCCTTTTTCTACAAAGGAACTTCCATCAGTATACAAGTTGAGGTAGGGATCAGTCAAGGGAACCTCTAGAAGGTCCCCTCGAGCAGCGTAGGTTTGAGCAATCACCTGTTGACAGTTATGTTCTATCTTTTCTTCATTGTCTGGAAGAAATGTGGCTGGGTTAAGAGTTGCACAAGTGTGCAGTCGCAGCAATGGCCCTTCAAGTAATAGAGCCTGATATTTAAGCAAATGGTTGTCTGACAGCCACAAGTCTCCTTTGGCAGTGAGTATGCTGTTTTACCTCATGAGATGTCCACACAGTAAAATCTCTTCCCTGTATTATTTTAACTGCTTCAGATACTAAGACTGCTACTGCCACCACTACATGTAAATAATGAGGCCAACATTTTGCCACTACATCAATTTCCTTACTCAGGTATGCCATGGGTTTCAAGCTGGTCCGTCGGACCTGTGTAAGGACTCCTGGAGCTATTCCTGTTTTTGTGTGTGTGTGTGTGACATATAAAGAAAAGTCTTGCCCTGTTGGCAAGCTTAACAATGGGGCTTGGGTTAGGGCCTTCTTTAAGGCCTGGAAAGCTGCTTCTGCTTCAGGTGTCCATCTTACTAAATGGGCATTGGCTTTCTGAGTTTCCTTAATTAGTATATATAATGGCCTGGTTATTTTGCCGTACTTGGGAATCCATATTCGGCAGAAGCCTGTTATGCCAAGGAACCCTCTTAGTTGCTTTAGGATTTTGGGATGAGCATAAGCCAGAATAGATTGCATACGTTCCTCACTGAGGGTCCTAGTGCCTTTGGATAATTTTAACCCTAAGTATTTCACCTGCTGTGAGCAGAGCTGAGCCTTTGGTTTGGAAACCTTGTAGCCACAGGTGGCAAGGAAGTTTAAGAGCGCTTGGGTGGCTTGATGGCACAAGGTTTCTGAACAGGCGGCTAAAAGTAAATTATCCACGTACCGAAGGATATGAGTGTCCAGGTATGAGAACTGGCTCAAGTCTTGTACTCAGTTTTTGTTACCTCCCCACCTCCACCCGATTAATGATAGGCCAAAGGCTTTCCTGTTGCTAAGTGTATTAGGTATGCAGTATTATAAGTACTTTCAGGCACTTAGTGTTATTACTAGCAAGTCAGCTTCACCATTTTTTTTTGGAAGGCCACTGCCTTTTGGTCTTAGTTTTGAGACTTGAGCCAGTATCAAATTCTAGGAAATACTGGTGACTAGACAGTATATTTTATTTTTTATTTATGTTTATTCATTTACTTATTTATTTATGAGACAGGTTCTCCCTCTGTCACCCAAGCTGGAGTTCAGTGGCACAATCACAGCTAACAGCAGACTCAAATTTTGGGGCTCAGGTCATTCTATCACTTTAGCCTCCTGAATAGCTGGGACTACAGGTGCGCACCACCATGCCTGGCTAACAACAGGGTTTTGCCATGTTTCCTAGGCTGTTTTCAAACTCCTGGGCTCAAGTGATCCACCAACTTTGGCCCCCCAAAATGCTGGAATTACAGGCATGAGCCACCATGCCTGGCCTAGGTTTTTATTTTTTCTTTACTGTGGAGAAACTAGAGGAGATGTAGGTTATAGAGTGAGCAGCAGAACATATGGTAGAGGATAGAAAATATTTTTTTCCAATGAACTCTAAGATTTCTATATGCAACTCTCTATTTGATATCTTTATTTAAATTTCTAATAGATATCTCAAACTCAACAGGACCAGAACATGTGTTCCTCTATCAGTATTACCCATCTCAGTGAAGTCTCCATCGTGCACTCAGTTTCTTAGACGAGCAACCTCGGGGCCATTCTGGCATTTAATCGGCCATTCTTACTTAAAGTTGGTCATTTCTGAAGCATACCTATATTCAGAGACTTCTCTGAATCTCTGCCACTGCTGCAATTATTTCTCATTTGGACTACTGCAATAAATCTATCTTGCCTTTTGTTTCTGTTTTTGTCACCATTTCACAGTAGCAAAAAGTCATCTTAAACTTTTCATAAGGTTATATTATCTTACTGCTTAAGATGCTCCAGTGACTTTCCACTGAGTTTGTTCTCATGGCCTACATTACCCTGTATGACCTGATATATGTCAATCTCTCCAACTTTATCTCCTACCTCTCCTCCCTTCACTCTTCTTAAGTCTCATTGGTCTTTTTATTCCTCTAACATACCAAGATCATGACATCCTTTTTCTTGCATTATTTGCTCCTTTTTTTCTGGAATGGTCTTCACTCAATATTCACATGGCTTTTTCTGAACACTTCAGATATCAGCTCAAAAATCACCTTCATGTAGGAACCTTCTTTGACCTTCTATCTGTAATAGTCTTCTGGGACTGAAAATAACAAAATGCCACATATTGGGTGATATGCAGAACAGAAATTTATTTCTCACAGATCTGGAGGCTGGGAAGCTGAAGACCAAGGTGCCAGCATGGTTGGCTTTTGGTGAAGGTCCTATACTAGTTTGTAGATGGATGGATGCTTTCTTGCCATGTGTTTACATTACCTTTCCTCTGAGTTCACACAAAGAAAGAACAAGAGCAAGTTCTCTTATGTCTCTTGTTACAAGGACTTTTACTCCATTGTACTAAGATTTTTCTCTGATGACTTAATCTAACCTTAATTACATCCCAAATGTCCTATTTTCAAGTACCATCAAATTGCAGGTTAGGGCTTAAACGCATGAATTTTTTGGGGGACATGAACATTCAGTCCATAGCATTATCCAAAGTAGCTCTTGGACCACCAGCCCACTCCTTATCACGTTTACCATATGTCATATTATTTATAGCATTTTGCATCACTTCTGATAGAATCCTGTTACTATATTTGTTTACTTGTTTATTGTCTGTTTCCCTCCACTAGAATGTAAGTTCTGTTAGCACAGGGTCAATGTCTCTTCTTTTTGGTCATTGATATATCCCTAGTGCTGAGAATTGTGCCAAGAACGTGATATGGGCTTAATAAATATTTGTTGAATTAATTAATTGGTTTCAAGCCCCACCTCCATTCATTACATTACTTCCATTATGATGATCATAACTCCACTAAAAGGCTCTGAATATCTTGCAAAGTGGCATTTTGTAGTGTTTAGACCTACTGATGCAAGAGTACCCTCTGAAGCTTCAATGTCTTATCTGTCTCTCTTATGGTTCCTGTTGTTCTTGAACTTCTAATTATTTGGGAGTTAACTTAAATCTGCTGCACTCCATACCCAGGCTAGGAGTAGGACACAGACTGTCTCTACTCTTCTTATTCACTACAAGGAGGAGCATATAGTCCCTAACAAGTGGCTTTGTCTTATTTCTTGGGAATACAATATGTCTGCAAATCTAAGATGCTGACAATGCCACCTGGAAAGAAGAATCAAGTGCTTAATGCAGACAGTAAGGACTGGAGGTGGTTAGAGTTGGACAAAATCATGAGGTTGTTATAAAAATCTTCCAGGAATGAAGGAGTTTTCAGTTCAGCCTTAAAGGATGATGAAAATTCAGGTAAGATAGGAGAAGAAGGGAGGGGCCTCCACTGGTAGAAATGGGGAAATGACATAAGAAAAGGTCTGGAGGTAGAAGTGGTGATGCATTTACACTTGCTGGGAACATTGTAGCAACCAGCCATGTCTAGCAAATCTACTACTCAGAGTTCCATTGACCTCCACAACCAGAGAGCAAGCTCATGGCTATTCCATTGAGTTTTTTCTAACTTGGGGTGGGGGGAATAACTGATTAAGAGACAGGAAAGTTTGTTTTATGTTGATATATGTGGTCATTTTCTTTCAGCTTTATGTCAAGGTTTGTAACTTTAAAGGTTCACACACCAAGTAACAACAATTCTCAGTGGTATGGTAATCTTGGCTTTGCAGTTAAGTTCAAGGTTAGATGATGGGAGCAGAATGCTCCTAATTTCGACCAACTCCACCCAACTCCTCTTTCTCTCCCCGTCAATCTTTTTTTGTTTCACAACATATTTTCTATTTGCTTACTTAACATTCCAAACCAAATGATATTTTATAATTACTTAAGAAATCAACTGCTTTATCCAAAGTAGACAAAATCAATTCCTTTAATTGTCCAAGTGGTAATTTTGCCTCCACCGAAAGGTACTGCTTAAATATTTTTTGAATATGTGGACAGAAATGTAGAATTGTCCTATAATAGTAATGTAGTAGTTGGGTTTTACCTGTACTACATTCTAAAATTCTAAAAAGATAATCCCCTTGGTCTGAGCCCCAGTTTTAAGGTTCACTTGCATCATATTTATATTATAAATTTGGAAAGACATTTAGAAAAATAGACAACAATATGTCTATTATTGGCTTCACTCAGGAAAGTATCCAAGAGTGAGCTGACAGTGAAAGAAAGCAAGTTTATTAGACCAACAGTGTACAGCAAGATGGCTTCTCCATACACAGAGCAGGGCTATGCCATAGGGAGCGTAGCACTTGTGGAGTGCCGGTTAGCTATATTCATACCTACTCCTAATTATATATTAAATAAGGAGAAGGCTATTGACAAATTTTCTAGAAAAAGGACGGGAATTTCCTGGAACAATATAAGGTAAATTCTGGGTTGTTGCCATGGCATTTGTAAACTGTCATAGTGCCAGTGGGAGTGTCTTATGAAAATGTATTATAATTCCTAGTCCTAGCTGGTTTTAGCCAATTTATTTGCTACAACCTGTTTTGATCAGCAGGATCATGAAAACGAGTCTTGTTTATCTGCTACCTCAAATATACAAGCAAACATTTATACATGTATATGTACTTATATCTTTATGCCTCTCCCCCCTTTTTCCTAATATAAATGACAGTACACTCACTATACAGGATATCCTATAACCTTTTTTCCATTTATATAGCTTGGAGATTGCTCCACTTCAGTACATAAAGAGGATTCTCATTCATTTTAGCACCTGTCAATAAGATGTGTAAAAAATAAATGTAGTTTTAAGTGCAAATTATAATGCATCAGGTAGAGCATCTCTTTATGTTCTTGAGTTATTTGGTTTTCTTATGAATCATTAAGATTTTTAACCCCAGAACATAATACAGTAGAACTGCAATAGCACTGGGTTAGTAGTCAAGAGACCTTTCTGAGCACCACCAGTGTATATCTGAGCAACAGAAAATCTTGGGGGTAAATTTCCCCTAAGGATCTTTAGTTGCTGAGATATTGTAGAAGTCTATGAGGAAGTACTGAGGCAATTATTCAAGGCAAAGAGAGCAACAGGTGAACAAAATCTTAGAGGAGGAAAAATGCAGATCAATTTCAAGGACCCAAGATGTCCATTTGATAGAAAGGCAAAAATCTATTACCATGATGATTCAGCATCATTATAGACTAAACCCAACTTACAGGCAGATATTTTGGATACGTACCCGGAGAGTTTAGGCAACATGCGTAAGAACATTCTGAACCAAATAACCTTGAAAGTGCCTGTTATAGCTCACCATTACAGAGACATTCACACACTTATAGAATTTCACAATTGAAAGGAGCCTTAAAGGCTCTCTAGTCCAACTCCCATCCAATATTTGCATCTGCCCTGCAACACTGTGGCAATTATACACACAGCCTTGGCTCACATACCTCTAGTAATGGTGAATTTCTGACTTCATATATTCATCACTCAATTGTCTGTCTTTCAGTAGTGGAAATGTTTCCATTGTGTTAGGCATTAATATATTATCTGCTTATATACTGAACAAATCTCTCTCAAAACTTCACTATTTCAGGTCCTGTATACTGTGCTAACATTTGTTAAAGAATAGACCCTCAATAGATCTACTTTTAATCCTAGTTCCATAGGGCTGTAGGAATTATTTGAAGCACTTTTCATAAACAGCTAATCTGACATTTTAAAAAAACATTCATGTCTCTTGTCTCTCCATACCACCATATCCAAGCTGAAATTCTCCAGAGCACAGTTGTATTGCTTGGGGCACTCATATTCACTCTCCAACGAACCAGCTCCTGTTTTTCTGTGGTCCAGAACCAAACTCAAAGCACAGCGAGGTGCAGAGTAAAGAGGAGCTATTACCATTGATTATAGCAACACTCTTTTCCATTAATATAGCCTAAGGAGATATTAGTATACACCTACAAAGGCTAAGAGGATATTAGCATTTTTATGCAACTAAGTTTCCCTTGACCCATAAGAGGCTTTGTTGCCAGCTAAACTCCCAAGGTCTTTTTCACATGAGCATCTTGACTATAAGCCACATTTTGACCATCTTGTACTTGGGTAGTTGATTTTTTTAGTTGAAGTGCATGATTTTACATTTATTCCTATTAAATTTCATCTTGTAAAAATTGGTCCATTGTTTCGGTCAAGATCTCTTTGGATCTCAATTTTATCATCCCTTACATTAGTTTCTCCTCCCAACTTTGTATCATATGCAAATTTGATCAGCAAAACGTTAGCGTCTTTATCCAAACCATTGGTACAAATTGAGGATAGATTAGACAAGAGTCTAAATTGTGTGCTACTTGACAAATCATCAATTCATCCTCTTTGGTGTTTCTCACAGGCATAAACATCCACTAAACTGGGCCATTATTCAGTTCAATTGATATTTGAGTTTGCACACTAGCCTGTGACAGCAAAGTTTGTAAAATAGTTTCCTAAAACTATGAAGCCCTAAAGTCTTCATCATTCCTATCATTTACCAGTATAGGGACCCTATTAACAAAGAAAATTTAATTGTTTGGGGTTAGGTTGTTTCTAGTGAAACTGTTGGAATCTCTGGTGATCATTGCTTTTCCAAGTGTGATCATCCTGCAGTATTGTAGGGATAATGGTTTCAAGACCCCTGTAGATAGGAAAATCTGTGGATGCTCAAGTCCATCATATAAAAGTCCATTATATACAATACATGTAAACACACATTATATATAGTGTTTACATATAACCTATGTGATTCCACCTGTATAAATAGCATGTAGATTACTTGTAATAACTAACACAATGAAAATGGCATATACATAGTTGCTATACTGTATTTTTTAAATTCTTATTTTATTGTCATATTGTTATTGTTATTTTAAATTTTATTTATTTATTTATTTATTTTTTATTATTATATTTTATGTTCTGGGATACATGTGCAGAACATGCTTGTTTGTTACACAGGTATACACGTGCCATGGTGGTTTGCTGCACCCATCAACCCGTCATCTGCATTAGGTATTTCTCCTAATGCTATCCCTCCCCTGGCTTCCCACTCCTGACAGGCCCCAGTGTGTGATGTTCCCCTCCCTGTGTCCATGTGTTCTCATTGTTCAAATCCCACTTATAAGTGAGAACATGCAGTGTTTGGTTATCTGTTTCTGTGTTAGTTTGCTGAGAATGATGGTTTCCAGCTTCATCCATGTCCCTGCAAAGGACGTTAACTCATCCTTTTTATGGCTGCATAGTATTCCATGGTGTATATGTGCCATATTTTCTTTATCCAGCCTATCATTGATGGGCATTTGGGTTGGTTCCAAGTCTTTGCTATTATGAATAGTGCCACAGTAAACATATGTGTGCATGTGTCTTTATAGTAGCATGATTTATAATCATTTGAGCATACACCCAGTAATGGGATTGCTGGGTCAAATGGTATTTCTGGTTCTAGATCTTTGAGGAATTACCACACTGTCTTCCACAATGGTTGAACTAATTTACACCCCCACCAACAGTGTAAAAGCATTCTTATTTCTCCACATCTTCTCCAGCATCTATTGTTTCCTGACTTTTCAATGATCGCCATTCTAAATGGCATGAGATTGTAGGTATCTCATTGTGGTTTTGATTTGCATTTCTCTAATGACCAGTGATGATGAGCTTTTTTTCATATGTTTGTTAGCCACATAAATGTCTTCTTTTTAGAAATGTCCATTCATATCCTTTGCCCACTTTTTGATGGGATTGTTTTTTTCTTGTAAATTTGTCTAAGTTCCTTGTAGATTCTGGATATTATCCCTTTGTCAGATGGATAGATTGCAAAAATTTTCTTACATTCTATAGGTTGCCTGTTAACTCTGATGATAGTTTCTTTTGCTGTGCAGAAGCTCTTTAGTTTAATTAGATCTCATTTGTCAATTTTGGCTTTTGTTGCAATTGCTTTTGCTGTTTTAGTCATGAAGCCTTCGCCCATGCCTATGTCCTGAATGCTATTGCCTAGATTTTCTTATAGGGTTTTTATGGTTTTAAGTCTTACATTTAAGTGTTTAATCCATCTTGAGTTAATTTTTGTATGAGGCATAAGGAAAGGGTCTGGTTTTAGTTTTCTGCATATGGCTAGCCAGTTTTTCCAACACCATTTATTAAATAGGGAATCCTTTCCTTATTGCTTGTTTTTTTCAGGTTTGTCAAAGACCAGATGGTTGTGGATGTGTGGTGTTATTTCTGAGGCCTCTGTTCTGTTCCATTGGTCTATATATCTGTTTTGGTACCAGAATAATGCTGTTTTGGTTACCATAGCCTTGTAGTATAGTTTGAATTCAGGTAGGGTCATGCCTCCAGCTTTGTTCTTTTTGCTCAGGATTGTCTAGGCTATATGTACTCTTTTTTGGTTCCATATGAAATTTAAAGTAGTTTTTTTTCTAATTCTGTGAAGAAAGTCAATTGTAGCTTGATGGGGATAACATTGAATCTATAAATTAGTTTGGGGAGTATGGGGAGTATGGCAGTTTTCACGACACTGATTCTTCCTATCCATGAGCATGAAATGTTTTGTCATTTGTTTGTGTCCTCTCTTATTTGCTTGAGCAGTGGTTTGTAGTTCTTTTTTTTGAGACGAAGTCTCGCTCTGTGGCCCAGGCGGGAGTGCAGTGGCGCAATCTCGGCTCACTGCAAGCTCCGCCTCCCGGGTTCACGCCATTCTCCTGCCTCAGCCTCAGCTGGAGTAGCTGGCACTACAGGCGCCCGCCATCACGCCCGGCTAATTTTTTTGTATTTTTAGTAGAGACGGGGTTTCACCGTGTTAGCCAGGATGGTCTTGATCTCCTGACTTCGTGATCCACCCGCCTCAGCCTCCCAAAGTGCTGGGATTACAAGCGTGAGCCACTGTGCCCGGCCCAGGTTTGTAGTTCTTAAAGAGGTCCTTCACATCCCTTGTAAGTTGTATTCCTAGGTATTTTATTCTCCTTGCAGCAACTGTGAATGCAAGTTGACTCACGATTTGGCTCTCTGTTTATTATTGGTCCATAAGAATGCTTGTGATTTTTGCACTTTGATTTTGTATCCTGAGACTTCGCTGAAGTTCCTTATCAGCTTGAGGGGATTTTGGGCTGAGATGACCGGGTTTTCTAAATATATAATCATGTCATCTGCAAACAGAGACAATTTGACTCCCTCTCTTCCTATTTGAATACCCTGTATTTCTTTCTCTCACCTGATTGCTCTGGCCAGAACTTCCAATACTATGTTGAATAGGATTGGTGAGAGAGGGCATCCTTGTCTTGCGCTGGTCTTCAAAGGAAATGCTTCCAGGTTTTGCCAATTCAGTGTGATACTGGCTGTGGGTTTGTCGCAAATAGTTTTATTATTTTGGGATGCATTCCATTTATTGAGAGTTTTTAGCAAAAAGGGCTGTTGAATTTTGCCAGAGGCCTTTTCTGCATCTATTGAGATAATCAGGTGGTTTTGTTATTTGTTCCATTTATGTGATGAATTACGTTTATAGATTTTTGTATGTTGAACCAGCCTTGCACCCCAGGGATGAAGCTGACTTGATCACAGTGGATAAGGTTTTTGATATGCTGCTGGATTCGGTTTGCTAGTATTTTACAGAGGAGTGTTGCATCGATGTTCATTAGGGATAATGGCCTGAAAGTTTTTGTTGTTGCTGTGCCTCTGCCAGGTTTTGGAATCAGGATGATGTTGGCCTCATAAAATGAGTTAGGGAGGAGTCCCTCTTTTTCTGTCGTTTGGAATAGTTTCAGAAGGAATGGTACAATCTCCTGTTTGTATGTCTGGTATAATTCGGCTGTGAATCTGTCTTATCCTGGGCTCTTTTTGGTTCATAGGCTATTAATTACTGCCTCAATTTCAGAACTTGTTATTGGTCTATTCAGCGATTTTACTTCTGGTTTAGACTTGGGAGGGTGTATGTGTCCAGAAATTTATCCATTTCTTCTAGATTTCCTAGTTTATTTATTTAGAGGTGTTTATAGTATTCTCTGATGGTAGTTTGTATTTTTGTGAGATCAGTGGTGATATCCCATTTATCATTTCTTATTGTGTCTATTTGATTCTTCTCTCTTTTATTCATTATTAGTCTGGCTAGTGGACTATCTACTTTGTTGATTTTTTCAGAAAATCAGCTCCTGGATTCGTTGATTTTTTGAAGGTTTTTCATGTCTCTATCTCCTTCAGTTCTGCTCTGATCTTAGTTATTTGTTGTCTTCTGCTAGCTTTTGATTTTGTTTGCTCTTGTTCCTGTAGTTCTTTTAATTGTAATGTTAGGGTGTTGATTTTAGATCTTTTGCCGTTTCTCCCTGTGGGCATTTAGTGCTATAAAATTCCCTATAAACACTGCTTTACCTGTGTCCCAGAGATTCTGGTACATTGTCTCATTGTTCCTATTGGTTTCAAAGAACTTCTTTACTTCTGCCTTAAATTATTATTTACCCAGTAGTCATTCAGGAGCAGATTGTTCAGTTTCCATGTAGTTGTGCGGTTTTGAGTGAGTTTCTTAAATGAAAAAACCTCCAAGAACATAGAATTATGTGAAAATACCAAACCTATGTTTAATTGGTGTACTTGAAAGTGATGGGGAGAATGGAACCAAGTTGGAAAACACTCTTCAGGATATTATTCAGGAGAACTTCCCCAACCTAGCAAGACATGCCAACATTCAATTTCAGGGAATTCAGAGAATATCACAAAGATACTCCTTGAGAAGAGCAACCCCAAGACACATAATCATTAGATTCTCCAAGGTTAAAATGAAGGAAAAAATGTTAAGGGCAGCGAGAGAGAAAGGTTGCCTTACCCACAAAGGGAAGCCTATCAGACTAACAGGGGATCTCTCTGCAGAAACCTCCATTCCAGAAGAGAATGGGGGCCAATATTCAACATTCTTAAAGAATTTTCAAACCAGAATTTCATATCCAGCCCAACTAAGCTTCATAATTGAAGGAGAAATAACATCCTTTACAGACAAGCAAAAGCTGAGAGATTGTCAACACTAGGCCTGCCTTACAAGAACTCCTGAAGGAAGCACTAAACATAGAAAGGAAAAACTGGTAGCAGCCACTGCAAAAACATATCAAATTGTAAAGACCATTGATACTGTGAAGAAACTCCATCAACTAATGGGCAAAATAACCAGCTAGCATCACAATGACAGGATCAACTTCACACATAACAATATTAACCTTAAATGTCAGTGGGATAAATGCCCGAATTAAAAGACACAGACAGGCAAGTTGGATAAAGTGTCAAGACCTATCGGTGTGCTGTATTCAGGTGACCCATCTCACGTGCAAAGACACACATAGGCTCAAAATGAAAGGTGGAGGAATATTTACCATTTATCAAAAAAGACAAAGAGGGCATTACATAATGGTAAAGTGATTAATGCAACAAGAAGAGCTAACTATCTTAAATATATGTGCACCCAATACAGGAGCACCCAGATTCATAAAGCAAGTTCTTAGAGACCTACAAAGAGACTTAGACTCCCCCACAATAATAGTGGGAGACTTTAACACCCCACTGTCCATATTAGATGGATCAACAAGACAGAAAATTAACAAGGATATTCACGACTTGAACTCAGCTCTGAACCAAGCGACTTAATAGACATCTGCAGAACTCTCCCCTCACCCAAATCAACAGAATATACATTCTTCTCAGCACCACATCACACTTATTCTAAAATTGACCACATAATTGTAAGTAAAACACTCCTCAGCAAATGCAAAAGAAAGGAAATCATAACAGCCTCTCAGACTATAGTGCAATCAAATTAGAAATTATATTTATTTTTTATTTATTTATTTTGAGACGGGGTCTTGCTCTGTTGCCTACCCTGGAGTGCAGTGGTGCAATCTCAGCTCACTGCAACCTGCGCCTCCTGAGTTCAAGTGATTCTCCAACCTCAGCCTCCTGACTAGCTGGAATTACCACTGTGCACCACCACACTCAGCTAATTTTTGTATTTTCAGTGGATATGGGGTTTCACCATGTTTCTCAACCTGGTTTTGAACTCCTGGCTTCAAGCAATTTGCCTGCCTTGGCTTCCCAAAATGCTGGGATTACAGGCATTAGCCACAATGCCTGGCCTTTATTTTTTATTTTTATTTTTATTTTTTGCAATTATTTTTGATCTGCAGCTGGTTGAATCTGAAGTTGCAGAACCCATGCAGGCAGAGACCTGACTTACTCAGAAACTATCTGTTCATAATAATTTTTTCTGGAACCTTTTTCAAGCTCACTAGGCTTCAGCTCCTGGAATTATCATCACTTCCCCATTGGAAAAGAGAAACAACATTTAATGAGCTACACTTCCTCAAAGACGATCAACAGTGGTGCTATGATTGCTTCTTCAAGTTTGTTGAATGTCACAGTGATGTGTTTTATAAAATTCTATAATATTTGAATTAGAAGGAGCCTTAGAGATTGTCTAGTTCAAGCTCCATATTTTACAGGAGGGGAAATAGAGTTCCAGAGAGGGAAAATGACTTGTCTTAGACAAGCAAGTTAGAGGCCAAACTTAATTTTTGTTCAACAGAAAGGTGGGATGGAGAACATGGTAGACATGTTTCCCCAATACCACCATTCTGCTGAGAGACAACACTTCCTGCACAATTTATTCATCACTTCAAGCAAAGCCTCTCTAAAATTAGGCTTCAGAATATGAAAGATCAGATTGGAATGCAGGCAGGAACTTGGGACAAGCATAGGTCTTCCATAAGTTTCCCCAAAGTGCAGTGTAGTGGGAAGAGCACTGGACCAAAAGTCAAGAGCCCTGGATTTTAATCCCTCTCTGTAAATCACCTACTGTGTGACATTAAGCAACTCACTTGCCATCTCTGAGCTCAGTATTCTTATTTCTTTAAGGTCGTTCAGATTCTGCCTCTGCCCATTCACTCAGCAAATATTTATTAAGTACCTACTTTGTTTCAGACTCTGTGCTAGGTCATCTCAGCAGAGATGAATTTCTTAAGATGAATTTTAACAGCAAATAGGAAAGGTAAATTTTGATGGATGGAACAAGGATGAGGTAGGTTGGAAGGAAGCAAAGAAAGGTCTTCTTCATAATAGTTTCCTCTGGGGTAGGTAGGCTTGAATAAAACACACAGTGAAACAGCTACAAGAGTGTCAAACAACTCATGAGCCAAGGAAGTCAGAAATGAAGAAGGGACTATAGAGAAAGGGTAAAAGAGAGATCAAGGGGGCCACTTATATTTTCCGTATTTTCAAAGCCACTGAGCCCAAAATGTGTTGGTCTTTCCAGTTTTTTTTTTCTATCTTTCCTCCTCCATTCTTCTCCCCTTCCTTTTTTTTCTCTCTTCTCCACTCCCTCTATCTCAGGTGTCTGAATTTAGCTACCTCCACTGGGTTTCAGATTCGTATTTCTTTGTTAATACCCCACTTGGATTCTTCTGCTCCAGCTTCTCCTCTCTCCTCTGCCCACCAGAAAACTCAGGAAAATATCAATGCACATTTGTATAAATGCATCAATTTTTTTTCTTCCTCTGCCAGGTAAGGTGCCTAAAAATAGCTCTGATGACAGAGTAAAAAGTAGGCAGCCAAATGAAAACAGAACGACAGCCTAGGGAGCAGTACATGCCTCAGAAGTGGGCAGCACCAAGGCCCTCTGCATACTCTCCTCCTGCACATTCCCTCCACCTTTAGGAGCTAAGGCTGTTTGGCAGGTTTTCTGGTCCAGAACGAATAGAAAAAATTCGTTTTCTACTCTTTCTGGGTGAGCTGGACAGTGTAGCCTCTGCCATCCATCATATGAATATAGTGTATGACACCTCACAAAGCACCTTTAAATCTGTTATTTAATTTCATTTTTTCTAATATCTGTCTAGTAGGAGGAAAGTAGAACTTGGATTTTACATTTTTTTCCTCAATGAATAAGTTAAAGCTTAGAGAGGGAAAGGGATTTGTCTAAGACCTCACAGCCATGAGTTAGTAGCAGAGAACAAGATCCCTGAGATTGATCTGGTGTTCTTAACTTTATGCTATGCTTCCACTGGCTTTAGAGAAGCTGTGTACCCATGTTTTATAACCATAGGACTCCTTTCATTGATAGTGATGGAGTTAAGAATACAGACGCTGTAGCTAGATTGCCAGGGATGATCGCTCATCTCTGCTGCTTAACAGCTGTATGATTTTAGGCAAGTTACTTAACCTCCCTGTGCTTCTGTTTTCTCATCTGTAAAATGAGGATTAAAAATACCATTTTCTAGAACTTTTTTGGGGAGAAATTTAAATGAATTAAATGAATTATTGTTTGTAAGACACTGAGAGCAATGCTTGGCTTCTAGTAAGCCTACCCATTGAGTGCCAACATTCCACTCACAAGCCGTCAGAAACAAAATGAACTTTTTTCTTTCTTTTATTTTCCTCATTTGGTTAGTTTATAAATTTGATCCAGTGGACAGCATGGTTTCATGCCAAGGACGCTGGGCCTGGAGCTTGGACTTATGAGTTTGAACATTGGTATATTTATCACTTATAAGACAATGAGAGAATTATTTTCCCAATCTAAGTCTAAATTTTCTGTTCTGTATAATGAGATTTACAATAAAGGCATGTGAGATAGTGTGATTTTGTTTCAGACAACTGCAATAAAGCAAGTCACATGAGTTTTTTTTGTTTCCCAGTGCATAAAAATGTTATGTTTACACTATACTATAGCCTATCAAGTATGCAATAGCATTGTCTAAAAAATGCATATAACTTACTGAAAAATAGTTTATTGCTAAAAATGCTAACAATCACCTGAGCTTTCAGAGAGCTGTAATTTTTCTGATGGTGGAGAATCTTGACTCAATATTAGTGGTTGCTGACTGATCAGGGTCGTGGTTGCTGAAGGATGGGATGGCTATGGCAATTTCTTAAAATAAGACAGCAATGAAGTTTACTACATTGATTGACTATAAATGTCATGAAAGATTTATCTGTAGCATGCAATGCTGTTTGATAACATTTTACCCACAGTAGAACTTCTTTCAAAATTGAAGTCAATCATGTCAAACTCTGTCACTTCTTAATCAACTAAGTTTATGTAATATTCTAAATCCTTTGTTGTCATTCCAACAATGTTTACATCATTCTTCACCAGTTGTAGATTCCATCTCAAGAAATTCCTTTCTTTGCTCATCTATAAGAAGCAACTCCCCATCTGTTAAAGTTTATTATGACATGGCAGCAATTCAATCACATCTTCAGGTTCCACTTTTAATTCTAATTCTCTTGCTATTTCTACCACATCTGCAGTTACTTACTCCACTGAAGTCTTGAACCCCTCAAAGGCATCTATGAGGGTTTGAATCAACTTCTTCCAAATTCCTCTTAATTTTGATATTTTGAGCTCCTTCCACGAATTACGAATGTTTATAGTAACATCTAGAAAGATAAATTTTTTCCAGAAGGCTTTCTATGTACTTTGCTCAGACCTCTCAGAGGAATCACTATCTATGGAAGCTATAGCCTTACAAAATGTATTTACTAAACAATGAAACTTGAAAGTCAAAATTATCCTTGATCTATGGCTGCAGAATGGATGTTGAGTTAGGAGACATGAAAACAACATTAACTTCCCTGTACTTCTCCATCAGTAATCTTTGGTGACTAGATGTATTGTTACTGAACTGTAATATTTTGACAGGATCATCTTTTTCTGAGTAGTGGATCTCAACAATGGTCTTAAAATATTCAGTAAACTATGCTGTAAATGGATGTGCTGTCATCCAGGCTTTGTTTTTTTTTTCTTTTTTTTATACTTTAAGTTTTAGGGTACATGTGCACAAAGTGCAAGTTTGTTACATATATATACATGTGCCATGTTGGTGTGCTGCACCCATTAACTCGTCATTTAACATTAGGTATATTGCCTAATGCTATCCCTCCCCTCCACCACCCCACAACAGGCCCCAGTGTGTGATGTTCCCCTTCCTGTGTTCATGTGTTCTCATTGTTCAATTCCCACCTATGAGTGACAACATGAGGTGTTTGGTTTTTTGTCCTTGCGATAGTTTGCTGAGAATGATGGTTTCTAGCTTCACCCATGTCCCTACAAAGGACATGAACTCATCCTTTTTTTATGGCTGCATAGTATTCCATGGTGTATATGTGCCACATTTTCTTAATCCAGTCTGTCATTGATGGATATTTGTGTTGGTTCCAAGTCTTTGCTGTTGTGAATAGTGCAGCAGTAAACATACGTCTGCATGTGTCTTTATAGCAGCATGATTTATAATCCTTTGGGTATATACTCAGTAATGGGATGGCTGGGTCAAATGGTATTTCTAGTTCTAGATCTCTGAGGAATTGCCACACTGTCTTCCACAATGGTTGAACTAGTTTACAGTCCCACCGACAGTGTAAAAGAGCTCCTGTTTCTCCACATCCTCTCCAGCACCTGTTGTTTCCTGACTTTTTAATGATCACCATTCTAACTGGTGTGAGATGGTATCTCATTGTGGTTTTGATTTGCATTACTCTGATGGCCAGTGATGATGAGCATTTTTTCATGTGTCTTTTGGCTGCATAAATGTCTTCTTTTGAGAAGTGTCTGTTCGTGTCCTTCACCCACTTGTTGAGGGGGTTGTTTGTTTTTTTCTTGTAAATTTGTTTGAGTTCATTGTAGATTCTGGATATTAGCCCTTTGTCAGATGAGTAGATTGCAAAAATTTTCTCCCATTCTGTAGGTTACCTGTTCACTCTGATGGTAGTTTCTTTTGCTGTGCAGAAGCTCTTTAGTTTAATCAGATCCCATTTGTCAATTTTGGCTTCTGTTGCCATTGCTTTTGGTGTTTTAGACATGAAGTCCTTGCCCATGCCTATATTTATAGCACAGAGGCAGAGTAGACTTAGCATTATGCTGAAGGCCCCAAGGATTTTTGGAATGGTAAATGAACGTTGGCTTCGACTTAGAGTCACCAGCTTCATTAGTCCTTATGCAATAGTCAGCCTGTCCTTGGAAGCTTTGAAGTGAGGCCTTGACTTCTCTATAGCTTTGAAAGCCTTAGATTTCTTCTTCTTCCAATAGAAGGCTCCTTAGCCTACATTGAAATCTATTTTTTAATTAAATACACATGGACACAAAAAAGGGAACAGATACCAGGGGCTACTTGAGAGTAGAGGGTGGGAGGAGTGTTAGAATGGAAAATCTACCTATTGGTTATTATGCTCATTACCTGGTGATATAGTTTGGCTGTGTCTCCACCCAAATTTTGTCTTGAATTGTAGCTCCCAAAATCCCCGCGTGTAATGGGAGGGATCTGTTAGGAGGTAATTTAATTATGGGGGCACAATTTTCCCGTGCTGCTCTCAAGATAATAAATAAGTCTCATGAGAACTGATGGTTTTATAAAGGGCAGTTCCCCTGCACACGCTCTCTTGCCTGCTACCACGTAAGATGTCCCTTTGTTCTTCCTTCATTGTCTGCCATAATTGTGAGGCCTCCCTGCCCATGTGGTACTTCAAGTCCATTAAAGCTCTTTCCTTTAGAAATTACCCAGTCTCACATATGTCTTTATTAGCAGCATGAGAATGAACTCATGGCTAATCAAACAATCTGTACACCATACCACTGTTACAGGCAATTTACTGATGTAACAAACTTTCACGTGTACCCCTCTCCAAACCTAAAATAAAAGTTGGAAAGAAAAATAATCTACTCTTTAGTGTAGCTACCTTCATTAATGATCTTAGCTGGATCTTCTGGATAATTTGCTACAGCTTCGTCATCAGCACTTGGTTCTTCACCTTGCACTTTTATGTTATGACATGGCTTCTCTCCTTAAACCTCATGAAACAATAAACCATATGAACCACATGAAAAGCTTTCAACTTTTCTTCTGTATCATCCTCACTTCTCTCAGCACTCATAGAATTGAGGAGAGTTAAGGTCTTTCTCTGGATTAGGCTTTGGCTTAAAGGAATGCTGTGGCTGGCTTAATCTTCTATCCAGAGAACTAAAGCTTTCTGCATCTCAGTAATAAATCTGTTTTGTCTTATTATTATTTGTGTTCACTTGAGTAGCACTTTTGATTACATTCAATAACTTTTTATTTGTATTCACAACTTGGCTAACTAGCCAAGAAGCCTAGTTTACAGCCTGTATTGACTTTCATCATGCTGTTTCTCACTAAGTTTAATAATTACTAGATTTGATCTAAAGTGAGAGACATGAAACTCCTCTTTTCACGTGAACACTTAGAGGACATTGTAGGGTTATTAATTTGCCAGATTTTATTATTATTGTCTTTCAAGGAATAAGGAGGACCTAAAAGAGGAAGAGAGACAGGGGAACTGCTGGTCAGTGAAATAGTCTGAACACGTACAACATTTATTGAGTAAGTGTCCTGTTTTACATGGATGTGGCTGATGGCACTCCCAAAAATTGCAATCGTAAAATCAAAGATCACTGTTCAGAGATTGCCATAACAGATATAATAATTTAGAAAGTTCAAAATGTAAGAATTACCAAAATGTGACACAGACATATGAAGTAAGCATATACTGTTGGAAAAATGGCACAAATAGACTTGCTTGATGAGGGTTGCCAGAAACCTTCAATTTGTAAAAAATGTGATATCTGGTAAGCACAATAAAATAAAATGCAGTAAAACAGGGCATGCCTGTAGTGTAGAACATGTCTCATGGGCCAGGGTATAAGCTCCACATAGGTAGGAGTTTTAAACTGTTTTGTTCAGTGATACATTTCTGCACCTGGAAAAGTTTCTGGCAATGCAGAGTGGGCACTGAATAAATATTTTTAATGGGTGAATAAATATATGCACAAAGTCTTTGCAAAGACAAAGTTATATAGCAGATGTAGAAGTTTTTGTAAGTGGATACAGAAGTCCTTGTGAATAGTAAAATGCCATACATACTTTAGGGGTTCTTGTAATTTTACCTTGGTGACATTGCTTCTATCTGTACTCTCCCTTCCAGCTTCATATGTCTCTTTCTCTCTTCCTCTACTTTATGTTTCAGTCCTGCTGGGTGACTTAATGTTTTCTGATTGTGCGTTTTCTTTGCTCTTGGTATTTATACTCTACAGAATGCCCTTCCTACATTGCTGTCTATGTAGTTGAATAGAATTGAGTGGACCTAGCTGGGTGCTCCAGGGTCCAGTTCAACCTCACCATAAAGTGTTGTGGCAGGAGAGCTCATAACATAACCTGTACAGACAACAATTTTTTTGCTGTTCTTAGAAAGCATCCAATACATTCTTAAAACAATCTGAGAATACCCATCTTAGTATGTGCCAGATATTTGACTTGTGATGTCTCATACCTACCCTATGGAATAGGTATTATGATGACCACTTTTATACAGATGAGAAAAATTGAAGCTCAGCGAAGCTGAACAAATTAACCCTTATAACACAGCTAGCCATAGAACCAGGATGGAAATTCAGCCCTATCTTTCTTCGTTTTTCTCACTGGATTGTGCTGTCTCTCTCTGGGGTATCCATTTCTGAATTTCACTCAGGTGCATCTTTCTTCACTTACTTGTTGAATCTTTAAAGCTGTAGACAAAGTCACAAATTCACAAAGAAGGCCTGATACTTCCAAAGGGCCTTCAACTGCAAGAATTCCAATTGTCTGTCTGGGTTCTCCATGGTAGCTGTGTATAAGTAATCATAACCACACCAGTTCACTTCTCTTCCTCATAGGACACATCCGCACATACTGAATCACACATGATCTCTGTGTCTGGTTAAAAAAAAAAAATGCACAAAGAGTGAGAAGTCCAAACTTGTCTGAACTTGCTTCTGTCTCTGATACCATTTTTCTGATACAAATTCAGGTCTCAGCTGCAAAGTAAATTATCAACTTATTGTCAACTGTTTCTCACTCTGGAAGCAGCATTTTATCTGGAAGACAGATAGTCCAAGCCTCCTTCCTAATTTTTTAGTCTTTTGCCTGCTATCATTGTTCGTCTAGCTCTCTGTTAAACTGGGACACTGACCAGGGTATTGGCCTGAGACTCAGTTCTAGGTCTACCATTAATGCACCATTTGTCTTGGGCCAGTCACTTCACTTTTTGTGGCCTCACTTTCTTTGTCTGTAAAACGGAAAGAACAAAACTTAGCTTATTTAATTCCCAGGGCAGGAATGTATATGTTCATAATGTGTGAGGCACTGTGCTAGCTCTTTGGGACAAAAATGTCCAAGCTAGACTAAATCTATTTCCTCATGGAGATGAAAGAGAATATAATAAGAAAATTATATATATATATATATATATATATATATATATATATATATATAATTCAAGCTGCAAAAGTCAACGATAAAGAAAGGATGCTAAAAGCGGCAAGAGAAAAGAAACAAATAGGATATAATGAAGCTTCAAAATGTCTTGCAGTAGACTTTTCAGTGGAAACTTACAAGCCAGAAAAGAGTGGCATGACACATTTAAAGTACTGAAGAAAAACAAAAACAAAAACCTTTTACCTTATAATAGTACATCTGGTGAAAATATCCTTCAAACATGATTGGCCAGGCACAGTGGCTCATTCCTGTAATCCCAGCATTTTGGGAGGCCGAGGTGGGCAAATTGCTTGAGCTCAGGAATTTGAGAGCAGCCTGGGTAACATGGTGATACTTCATCACTACAAAAATACAAAAATTAGCTAGACACAGTGGTGTTCACCTGTAATCTCAGTTACTTGGGATGCTGAGATGGCAAGATGGCTTGAGACTGGGAAGCAGAGGTTGCAGTGAGCCAAGATTGTACCACTGCACTCCAGCCTTGGCAAAAGAGCCCAACTTTGTCTAAAAACAAAAACAAAACAAACAAACAAACAAAAAACAAAAAAAGCATGAAGGAGACACAAAGATTTTACTATATAAACAAAAGCTGAGGAATTTTAGCAACACCAGATCTATTCCATAAGAAATGCTATGTTCCCCTCCCTGTGTCCATGTGTTCTCATTGTTCAACTCCCACTTACGAGTGAGAACATGCAGTGTTCGTTTTCTGTTACTGTGTTAGTGGGGCAAGAAGACAGAGAGCATTAGGACAAATACCTAATGCATGCAGGCCTTAAAATCTAGATGGTGGGTTGATGGGTGCAGCAAACCACCATGGCACATGTATACCTATGTAACAAACCTGCACATTCTGCACATGTATTTCAGAACTTAAAGTATAATAAAAAATAAATTAAAAAAAAGAAAAGAAAACAAATATTTTCTTCCATTCTGGAGGTTGTCTGTCCACTCTGTTGGTGGTTTCCTTTGCTGTGCAAACGCTCATTAGTTTAAGTAGATTCCAAGGGGGAAAAAAGAATGCCAAAGGGAGTACTTCAAGCAGAAAGAAAAAAATGTTAATAAGTAATAAGAAATCATCTGAAGGTAAAAAACTCACTGGTAATAGTAAGTATACAAAAAAACCACAGAATATTATAACACGGTAACTGTGGTGTGTAAACTACTCTTAAGTATGAAAACTAAATAATGAACCAATCAAAAATAATAACTGCAACAACTTTTCAAGCCACAGACAGTACAATGAAATATAAATAGAAACAATAAAAAGTTTAAAAAGTGTGGGGTCAAGATTAAGGCAAAGAGTATCAGTTTAATTTTTGCTTGGTTGGGTGTTTGTTTGTGCAAACAGTTTTAATTTGCTATCAGTTTAAAATAATGGTATGTAAGAGTATTTGCAAACCTCATGGTAATTTCAAACCAAAAAGCATGCAACAAATACTCAAAAATTAAAAAACGAGAAACTAATTCATATCACCAGGAAACTCAACCTCACTAAAAGGAAGACAGGAAGAAAAAAGAAGACCCCAAACAACCAGAAAACAAATAACAAAATTGCAGGAGTATGTGCTTACTTATCAATAGTAAAAATGACTGTAAATGGACTAAATAAACTCTCCAGTCAAAGACATACAATGGCTGAATGGATATAAATATATGACCTAATGGTCTGTTTCCTACAAGAAACACACTGTCCCTATAAAGACACACATAGACTAAAATCAAGGGATGGAAAAAGATATTCCATGCTAATGGAAACATAAAAAGAGCAAGAGTTACTAAACTTATGTCAAACAAAATAGATTTTAAGACAACAACTGTAAGAAGATACATCAAAGGTCCCTATATAATGATAAACTGGTCAATTCAGCAAGAGGATGTAATAATTTTAAATACATATGCACCAAACACTGGAGCAGCCATACACATAAAGAAAATATTATTAAAGCTTAAAAGAGAGATAATAACTGGATATTTCAACACCCCACTTTCAGCACTGGACACATCTTCCAGACGGAAAATCAACAACAACAAAAAATCAGACTTAATCTACACTATTGACCAAATGGGTCTAACAGATATTCACTGAACATATCATCCAACAGCTGTAGAATACATATTATTTTCCCCAGGACACGAATCAATCTTAGGAAAAGATCATGTGTTAGGTCACAAAACAAGTCTTAAAATATTTTTAAAAAATGAAATAATATCAAGTATCTTCTCTGAGCACAGTGCAATAAAACTAGAAATCAATAACAAGAGAAATCTTGGAAACTATACAAATAAATGGAGATTAAACAATATGCTCCTGTGTGGCCACTGGGTCAATAAAGATATTGAGAAATAAATCTTAAAAGAATTACTGGAACAAATGATAATGGAAACACAACTTATCAAAACCTATGGAATACAACAAAAGCAATACTAAGAGGGAAATTTAGAGCTATAAGTGCCTATGTCAAAGAGAGAAAAATGTGAAATAAACAAACTGAAGATACATCTTAAAGGACTAGAAAAGAAAGAGCAAATCAAACTCAAAGTAGTAGAAGAAAAAAATAATAAAGCTCAGAGCAGAAATAAAATTGAAATGAAGAAAACAATACAAAAGATCAGTGAAATAAAAGGTGAATTTTTGAATTTTTTGAAAAGTAAAACTAAATTGACAAACATTTAGCTAGACTAAGGACAAAAAGAGAGGAGGTCCAAATAAATAAAATCAGAGGTGACAAAGGAAACATTATCATTGATACTGCAGAAACTCAAAGAACCATTAGTAGCTATCATGAGCAACTATATACCATTAAATAGAAAGATCTAGAAGAAATGAACAAATTCCTAGATATATACAACCAACCAGGTTGTATGTCTTTTGGTATTTTGATAAGGATTGCATTGAATCTGTAGATTGCTTTGGGTAATATTTGCATCTTAATAATATTAATTCTTCCAATTCATGAACATCTTTTCAATCAGGAAGAAATAAAAAAACCCTGAAAAGATTGATAACAAGTAATGAGATTGAAGCCATAATTAAAAGTCTACCAGTAAAGAAAAGTACAGGAACCAATACCTTCACTGTTAAATTCTACCAAAAATTTAAAAAACTAATACCAATCCTACTTAAACTGTTCTGAAAAACAGAGGAGGAATGAATATTTTCATAGTCATTTTGTGAGGCTAGTATTACTCATACCAAAACCCGACAAAAATACATTAAAAAAAATTTACAGGTTAATATCTCTGATGAATGTTGATGCAAAAATCTTCAGCTACATAATGGCAAGTCAAATTCAACAATACATTAAAAAGATAATTTATCATGACCAAGTGGGATTTATTTTTTGGATGCAAGGATGGTTCAACACATGCACATCAGTCAATGTGATACATCATATCAAAAAAAATGAAGACAAAAAAGCATATAATAATTTCAAATGATGCTAAAAAAGCATTTGATAAAATTCACCATCCCTTCATGATAAAAATCCTCAATAAAAACTGTATAGAGAAGGAACATACCTCAACATAATAAAAATCGTATGTGACAGACCCACAGCCAGTATCATACTGAATACAGAATAACTGAAAGCCTTTCTTCTAAGATCTAGAACATGACTAGGATGCCCATTTTCACCACGGTTACTCAACATAGGACTGGAAGTCCTACATGGAGCAATCAGACAAAAGAAAAAAATAATAAAGGCTTTCAAACTAGAAAGGAAGAAGTCAAATTATCCTTGTTTGCGGATTGTATGATCTTATATTTGGAAGATTCCACCAAAAATATTAGAACTCATTTAAAAATTCAGGAAAGTTACACAACACAAAATCCACATACAAAAATTAGTAACATTTCTAGGCCAGGCACGGTGGCTCACATCTGTAATTCCAGCCCTTGAGAGGCTGAGGTGGGCGGATTACTTGAGATCAGGAATTGGAGACCTGACCAGCCAACATGGTGAAACCCCGTCGCTACTAAAACCACAAAAATTAGCTGGGCATGGTGACACACGCCTATAATCCCTGCTACTTGGGAGGCTGAAGCAGGAGAATCACTTGAACCCAGGAGGCAGATGTTGCAGTGAGCTAAGATTGTGCCACTGCACTCCAGCCTGTCTCAAAAAAAAAAAAAAAAAACAAAATAGCATTTCTATATACCAACAGTGAACAATCCAAAAAATGAAAATAAAAAAATCCCATTTACAATGGTCACAAATAAAATTAAATATCTATAAAATAGATATAAAAATATCTATAAAACACAGGTGAAAGAAATTGGAAAGAACACCAAAAAATGGAAAGACATTCCATGTTCATAAATTGTTAAGAATCAATATTATTAAAATGTCCATATTACCCAAAGCAATCTACAGATTCAATGCAATCCATATCAAAATCCCAGAGACTTTCTAAACAGAAATAGAATAAACACTTTCTAAAATTTATATGGAACCGCAAAAGATCCAGAATAGATAAAACTATCCTAAGCAAAAAGAACAAAACTGGAGGAATCGCATTACCTGACTTCATATACTATATGTTATACTACATATAACATGTAGTATAACATATACTACAGAGGTATAGTAATCAAGGCAGCATGGTACTGGCATAAAAACAGACACATAGACAAATGGAACAGAGTAGAGAACCAAGAAACAAATCCACACACCTACACTGAACACATTTTTGACAAACGTGCCAAGAATATACTGGGGAAAAACAGTCTGTTCAATAAATGGAGCTGGGAAAACTGTGTATCTATATGCAGAAGAATAAAACTAGACCATTTTCTCTCACCTTGTTCAAAAATCAAATCACTATGGATTAAATACTTAAATCTAAGACCTCAAACTATGAAACTACTACAAAATAATCCATTGGGGAAAACTTCCAGGGCATAGGTCTGGGCAAAAATATCTTGAGTAATATTGCACAAGCACAGGCAACCAAAGCAAAAATGAACAAATGAAATCACATCAAGTTAAAAGGCTTCTGCACAAAAAAGAAAACAATAAACAAAGTGAAGAGACAACCTACAGAGTGGGAGACAATATTTTTAAACTCCCTATCTGATGAGTGATTAATAATTAGAACAAATAAGGAGCTCAAACATCTCTATAGAAATAAAATCTAATAATCCGACTAAAAATGGGCAAAATATTTGAATAGACATTTTGCAAAATAAGCCATACGAATGGCAAACAGGCATATGAAAAGGTGTTAAACAACATTGATCATTAGATAAATGCAAATCAAAACTTTAATAAGATATCTCGTCCGAGTTTAAATGGCTTATATCCAAAAGACAGACATTGATAAATGCTGGCAAAAATGTGGAGCAAAGAGAACCCTCATAAACTTTTGGTGGGGATGTAAATTAGCACAACTACTGTGGAGAACAGTTTGGAGATTTCTCAAAAACTCAAAATAGAGCTACCATAAGATCCAGCAATTCCATTTCTGTATATATACTCCAAAGAAATGGCATCAGTATATTGAAGAGATATCTGCAGTCCCATATTGGTAGCAGCACTGTTCACAATACCTGAGATTTGCAAGCAAACTAAGTCTCCGTCAACAGATGAATGAATAAATAAAATGTGCCATTTATACACAATGGAGTACTATTCAGCCTTAGAAAAGAATGAGATGTTGTTATTTGCAACAACATGCATGTAGTTGGAGAACTGGAGGTCATTATGCTAAGTGAAATAAGCCAGGCACAGAAAGATAAAGACCTCATGTTTCCTTTACTTGTGGGATCTAAAAATCAAAACAATTGAACTCATGGAGACAGAAAGCAGAAAGAGGGTTACCAGAAGTGGCGAAGGAGTGTGGGTGTGGGTGGAGATGGGGATAGTTAATGGGTACAAAAATAGAAAGAATGAATAAGACTTACTATTTGGTAGCACAACAGGGTGACTATAGTTAATAATGATTTAATTCTACATTTTCAAATAACTAAAATAATTGGATTGGTTTTAACACAAAGGATAAAAGCTTGAGGGCATGGATATCCCATTTTACATGATGTAATTGTTACAGTGCATGCCAGTATCAAAACATCTCATGTACCCCTTAAATATATACACTATGTACCACCCAAAATTAAAACTAAAAATTAAACTGTGGCATACACATATAATGAAATATTATTTAACCTTAAAAATAGGAAAATTCTATCATTTGTTACCATATGGATGAACCTGGAAGACATTATGCTAAGTGAAATTAGCCAGATAGATAAACATAAATACTACATGATATCACCGGTATGGAGAATCTGAAATAGTAAAATTTATAGGAGTAGAGATAGAATGGTGGCTGCTGGGGGAAAAGGGAGGAAAAAAGTGGAGGAATTAGTCAAATAATATAAAGTTTCAGTTATACAATATTTAACAGTCTCAGAGATGTTAAATGGTGCTTATAGTAAATATTGTGTTATATACTTAAAAATTTGCTAAGAGGGAAGGTCTTATGTTAAGTGTTCTTATGTCTGTCTTGCACACACAAGAATCATAAATAAAGAGGGTGGGAGGAAACTTTTGGAGAGGGTAGATATGTTTATTACATAGATTGTGTTGATGGTTTCATGGGTATATACATACCTTCAAATTCATTAAATTAAATACATTAAATACATGCAGTTTTATGTATGCCGGTTATACCTCAGTAAAGTAGTTTTAAAAATAAATAAATATTAATAAGTCTTTTCCGTGAGTGCATGTATAATCTCTTCAGTTACAGCCTCCAGGCAAAGCATCAAACGGATCTTCTGTTTCGTCTCTTTCCATCCCTCACTGCCATATTCTCCCTTCTCAGCACTGAGTTCAACACACAGAGCATTTAATCGTTCTTTTTAATTCATCCAATGATATGATCACTGGGGAGTGGGATGACCCCTGTTCTGTGTGTGATTTAGGGAAAGTGAATTTTCTTCTCTGGGTTTCAGTTTCCTTGTCAGTTAAATCAAGAGAGGCATTCAACTCAATCTAATATATTATGCAATGTAATGTTGTCTTACAATTTACTTAGTTGTGGGGGTGAATTTGGGGGAGGCAAGCACCATATAATAGTAAGGTGTAGACTTTGGAGTCAGACTGTCTTATGTCCAAATCTCAGCCCTACCACTTTCTAGCTTTGTGAAGTTAGGTTAAGACCCTTCTTTTTGCTAAGCCTCTGTTTTCACTTTTCACATCTTTAAAATATGAATAATGACACTGTATGGAATATTTGTGAGGTTTAAATGCATCAGTTTTTCTCTCTCTCCCATTAATATCTTAGTGTTAAGTTTGTCCCCAGTGTCCCCTCCTTGGTAGCCTTCACACAGGCTGGACTCTCTGGTTATATTGAGCACAACCCTTTCTGTGCCACTATTCTTTTGGTGAAGGGAGGCATAACACTCTAAACATGGGGCTTAGTTTTTCCACATGTAAAACTTGCAAGAAGGCTCAAATGAAACTTTCTAACGACACTTATGGCTATGATATTTTCTGCATCTGTGAGCCTTTACCCATCTCTCACTCTTTCTCCCCATTCAAACTCTTATATTTAAGCCTGTCAACTTCCCCTCATCCCTAGAAACAGAACTGAAAAGTGAGGTTGAGTCCAATGGCTCCAGAGGAAGGGAAGGAGGGGAAGAAGTAGATGAAGTTGGAACACTTTGGAGTTCAATCTTAATTCACATGTTTTGGCCTCCCTGTAGGCACTTCACTGCAGAACACGTGCTCCTTCTAAAGGTTCTTACTTATTAAATTCCAACTGCTGCTCTGCTGGTTTTCAATCAGTTTCCATATATTTCTATCTTTTAACTGTAGGACTTCGAACCATTACTCTGAGCCCACATTTTTATTTTCTCCAAGTTCTTATAATCTCCAGACTCTAAATTCCAGGGGAAAAAAAAACACAATGTAGCAGAGTTAATAGCATGGATGGGGGTTGTAGAAGGAGAGCTAGAGCCAGACTTCAATAGTTTTGGTACTAACCTTTGCATGCACACAGTGTACATAACATTATGCTGAGGAATTTGCTTCTTCAGCCAGGGCAGTGTTCCAGTGCTCAGCCCCTGCTCAGTCTAGCTTCTACCATCGAACTCTTTCCGTAGAGGAGACTATGGCCACCCATAATGCTAGACTGAGTCATCTACTGCTTTCCAAATGAACAGAGTCAGAAAAACTTGTATGACCTCTGCTAATGTGAGATAAAATTTGAAGGCTCTGACAAGAATCTGGTTTGACCCTGAGTTCATAAAATAGGTTAGGACTGTGTCATTTGATGGGTGACACTAGACAAGTGCCTTACCCTCTCTGAGCCCCAGACACCTTATCTGTAATACCAGGGAAAGGATGTGGATGGGCTAGAAGGGCCTTTCTGGATGGTACATATATAAAAAAGAAGACACGTAGGGCTGTCCAACTTAAAAACAGGAGGTAAAGTGAGATCTTCGTGGATTAAATGATAATAATAGTATTAATGAATAATATAATGAACAAAGGTGTACTTATTTATTCAACCAATATTTGAATGCCTACTATGCATTGTCATGGAGCTAGGCATTGGGGATACATGGGTGGATAAAATGGACAAAATCTTTTATTCTTATGATTTATACTCTGATTGGGACAGAGAAAGACAAAAATAGTAAAGCAAAATATTTAGTTTATTAGATGGTGCTAAGTGCTATGGAAAAACTAAGCAAGGTAAAGGATATGGCCCATCATAATTTTAAGTAGGTTCTCACTGACAAGATATCTTAAGCACTTACTATGTGCCAGGCACTGTTCCAATCATTGGACATACATGAACTCATGGAAGCTACTTATTATAACAATTATTTCACAGTTGGTAAAATAGCATTGAATGGTAAAATAACTTGCCCCAAATCACAGAGTTAGTAAAAGGCAGTTCCATGATACAACCCAGGCAGTCTGCCTTTAGAGGCCATGTCTTAACTTCTACACAATACATCCTCAAGGTGGGTTTATATTCTCAGTGGACCCACTGTAAGAGGCATAACAATAATGAATGCATACAGTGGTGCATGCCTGAAGTAGCTGTGGATTAGAGAAATATTCACTTGCTTTGGATTCCAATAATTACGGGTATGATTTTGGGTTCTACCACTTAACTAGCTATCAGACTTTGGACAAGTCACTTAACCTCCGTGTGCCTCCGTTCCCTAATTTGTAAAATAAGCATAATAAGACAGACTCTATTGACTTTTCATTAAGATTAAATGAGCTAAGGCATGTACTCATTTATTCCCTCATTCAATAAATATTTAAGTACTTACAAAACAGGCAGTGTATAATAAGGTTTAAAGCTTACAACCTATGCCAGACTATCTACTTTCTAGCTGTATGACCTTCAGCAACTCACTTAACCTGTTTTAATCAACAGTAAAATGGAGCAGTGGCATTAGCTGTTACTATCATGAGCTAGCGACTGGAAATATATAATGAGTAAAAACAAAGTCCTAGTTTCTGGGGGGGGGCGGGGGAGAGGGGTAGAGAGAGAGAGAGACAGTGTTACTTTGCTTTATTAATGCAAGGATTCATTTATTTCACAGATACTTATACAGTACCACGTGACATATTCTGGCCTAATCACTTAAAAATATTAACTCATAATGTTTAAGCCAACCTCAAGGCAATTATTATTAAACTCTTTCTATGGAAGACAAAATCTCTATGAGAGAAGTTAAATGAAACTTGTCCAAGTTCTTGCAGTCAATAAGAGAAAACACCAAGATTCAAATCCAGGCAATCTATCCCAATGATTATTAACCACTACGTTATGCTGCCTCGCGCAACAAAGGAAAACCAAAAATCACCCAGGATCTCACCACCAAGATAAAATCTATGACTTTCTATACAAGATGAATGCTTTAAATTTCTTTTACTTCTTTTATGTTTCCAGCTAAAACTTCCAATACTATGTTGAATATCAGTCATACAAGCACATCTCCTTGCCTTGTTCCTGACATTAGGGGAAAAGTGTTCAATCTTTCACCATTAACTGTGATATTGAGAGGTGACAACGTGCTAGCAGCCTTCATTTGCTCTCAGCGCCTCCTCGGCCTGGATGTCCACTCTGGCCTCGCTGGCAGAGCCCTTCAGCCCACTGCTGCGCTACAAGGGCACCTCTCTCCGGCTGGCGGAGGCTGGAGCTGGCTTCCTCTGCTTGTGGGGAAGTGTGAAGAGAGACGCGCCAGTGGGAGCCGGGGCTGCAAGCGGTGCTCGGGGGCCAGCCCCAGGTTCCAGGTGAGCATGGGCTGGGCAAGCCACGCACTGGGCACCGCCGGCCGCGCCTGCTGGGCTTCATCTGAGGCTGAATCCTGTGTGTGGACAGCCGTTCCCTCTTCGCGGGATTGTTGGTCAGGATAGCAGGTCTCCCTCTCTTTCTTGCTTCCTCTCTTTTCTTCTTGATTGTCTGGGACGAGTTCCCTCTGGCTTGCCGGAGCTCCCAGACTAGGTGCCGCAAAGTCCCCTGGCCAGTGCCAGTGAGCCGTGAAGCCGGCTGGGCTTCTGGGATGGGTGGGGACTTGGAGGACTTTTCTGTCTAGGTAAAGGATTGTAAATGCACCAATCAGCACTCTGTGTCTAGCTAAAGGCTTGTAAATGCACCAATCAACACTCTGTGTCTGGCTAATTGGGTGGGGACTTGCAGAATTTTTGTGTCTAGCTGAAGGATTGTAAACGCACCAATCAGCACTCTGTGTCTAGCTAAAGGTTTGTAAACGCACCAATCAGCACTCTGTCAAAACGGACCAATCAGCACTCTGTAAAACGGACCAATCAGCTCTCTGTAAAATGGACCAATCAGCTCTCTGTAAAATGGACCAATCAGCAGGATGTGGGTGGGGCCAGGTAAGGGAATAAACGCAGGCCACCCGAGCCAGGAGTGCAACCAGCTAGTGTCACCTTCCACGCTGTGGAAGCTTTGTTCTTTTGCTCTTGATAATAAATTTTGCTGCTGCTCACTCTTTGGGTCTGCACCCCTTTATGAGCTGTAACACTCACTGCGAAGGTCTGCCGCTTCACTCCTGGAGCCAGTGAGACCACAAACCCACCGGGAGAGATGAACAACTCTGGATGCACCACCTTTATGAACTGTAACACTCACTGAGAAGGTCTGCAGCTTCACTCCTGAAGTCAGCCAGACCACGAACCCACCAGAAGGAAGAAACTCCAGACACATCTGAAGGAACAAACTCTGGACATACCATCTTTAAGAACTATAACACTCACTGCGAGGGTCCACGTCTTCATTCTTGAGCTCAGCGAGACCAAGAACCCACCAATTCTGGACACAATATTAGGTGTAGGTTTATCTTTACCAAGTTGAGGAAGTTCATTTCTATTCCTATTTTTTGAGATTTGTTTTTTCTCATGAATAGTTATTGGATTTTGTCAAATACTTTTTTCCATGTCAATTTATATAATTATGTGATTTTTTTCTTATTAGTTTGTTGGCACGATGAATTATACTGGTTGATTTCCAAATGTAGAATCAGTCTTGCATACCTGGAATAAATCCCACTTGGCTTTGTTGCATAAGGTTTTATAAATTTCTAGATTTGATTTGCAAATATTTTGCTGAGGATTTTTGCATTTAAATTACAGATATTGGTCAATAGTTTTGTTTTGATTTTTATTCTGTATTCTATTTGTATAATTATGGCATCTGGGTAATATTAGCCTTATAAAATGATTTGAGAAATGTTCCTTCTTCTATTTCCTGGAATGATTGTGTAAAATTGATGTTAATTTTTATTTAAGTGTTTGGTAGAATTTGCCAATGAAACAAACAGGACTAGGAGATTTTTTTTGAGAGGCTTGTAATTACAAATTCAAACTCCTTAATGGTTATAAGACTACTCACACTATTTTGTATAGGTTATACTTCAGGGATGTGTGGTTTCTGAGAAATTGGTCTTTTCCTTCTAAGTCGTCAAATTTATGAATACAAAATTGCCCGTAGAATTGCTAAATAAAGTTGATGGGGGTTAATTGTCCTGTACTAAGCTTATGCTCTAGGCTTAACAGACCAGATCAAAACAGAATGGAGTAACTCGTGCTAGGTGTCTTGTGATCAAACTGAACTTAAAAGCAGAACAGTTTTTCATAGAACAGGAGATTCACAGCAATCAATTTTAAGGGGTTCTATCAACCTGGTATGGTAAGGAAGTTGAATCTGCTTTAGCACTATAAGAAAAATAACTTTGAAATTACCAACCCTCTTTTTGTTCCTCGTTTCTTCTTTCTTTGGCTTTTTGTGCCTATAAAGCCCACCTCTTCTGCTTAGCTCATCAAAGCTCCTTATTATTTCATAGATGAAATGCTGCCTGATTGATGAATTTCTAATAAAAAACCAATTCGATATTTAAACTACATTTGTTGACATTTTGATTGTGACAGTATTCTCTTATCATTACTTTAATGCCTGCAACATTTTAGTTACATCTCCTGCTTCATTCCTGACATTGGTGACTTCTGTCACCTGTGTCACCTCTCTCATTTTTCTTTCTCAGTATTGCTATAGGTTTATCAATTTTACTGATTGTTTTCAAAGAACCAGAGTTCTATGTCATTAATCTTCTCTATTGTCTATTTTCAATTCTATTAATTTCCACTCATATGTTTATTATTTTCTTCCTTCTGCTTGCTTTCATATTATTTCACTCTTTTTCTTCTAGGTTTTTGAAGCAGAATTTTAGATTATTGATTTGAGACCTTTATTTTATTCTAATGAAAACATTTAGTGTGATAAATCTTAGGATTGCTACATCTACATCCAACTTTTTTTTTAATTTTCAGATTTTATTTTAGATTGAAGGGGTAATCTGCAGGTTTCTGACATGGGTACATTGTTTGTCATAGAAGGTTGGTGTATAGATAATTTTGTCACCCATGTAATCAGCATAATACCCAATAGGTAAATTTTCAATCCTCACCTTCCTTCCACCCTCCACCCTCAAGTACACCCTGGTGTCTATTATTCCCTTCTTTCGGTCCATGGGTACTCAATGTTTATCTCCCACTTAAAAGTGAGAACATGGAGTATTCAGCTTTCTGTTCTTGTGTTAATTTTCTTAGGATAATGATTTCCAGATCCATGCATGTTTCTGCAAACATGATCTTTTTCATTTTAAGGCCGCATGATATTCCAATGGTGTGTGTGTGTGTGTGTGTGTATATATATAAACATATACATATATATATACATATATACACACATATATGTATATATGTGATAACATATCACATATATCACATATATATGTGTATATATCACATATATACGTATATGTGTGATATATATCACACGTATATGTATATATATCACATATATACGTATATGTGTGTATATATATCACATGTATATGTATATATATCACATATATACGTATATATACGTATATATGTGATATATATACTTATATATATCACATTTTCTTTATCTAGTCCACTGTTGATGAACATCTAGATTGATTTTATGTATTTCCTATAACAAAGAGTTCTGTAATGAACATACATGTGCATGTGCCTTTATAGTAAAATTATTTATATTTTTGTGTATATAACCAGAAATGTAATTGCTGGGTGGAATGGTAGTATTATTTTAAGTTCTTTAAGAAATCACACTGCTTTCCACAATGGCTGACTTAATTTACATTCCCACCAGCAGTGAATAAGCATTCTCTTTTCCCTGCAACTTCACTAGTATCTGATTTTTTTGTTTGTTTGTCTTACTTTTTAACAATAGCAGTTCTGACTGGTGTGAAATGGCTTCTCATTGTAGCTTTTATTTGTACTTCCTCCAACAATTAGTGATATGTACCATTTTTTTCATATGCTTGCTGGTCACATGTATGTCTTGTTTTAACAAGTATCTGTTCATATCCTTTGTCCATGGTGTTTTTTGGTTCTTGCTTGTTGATTTGCTTAAGCGTCCTACAGATTGTGGATATTAGACCTCTGTTGGATGCTAGCTTGCAAATATTTTCTCTCATTCTGTAAGTTTGTTTATTTTCTTGTTAGTTTTGCTGTGCAGAAGATTTTTAGTTTAATTAAGGTTCCACGTGTCAATTTTTGTTTATGTTGAAATGGCTTTTGGAGTCTTTGTCATTAAGGCTTTGCCAGGGCCCCTGTCCAGAATAATATTTTCTAGATTTCCTTGTATCACTTTTATAGTTTTAGGTTTTACATTTAAGTCTTTAATCCACATTGAGTTGCTTTTTGAGTATGATAAAAAGAAGGCGCCACATTTCAATCTTCTGCATGTGGCTAGTGAGTTATCACAGAACCATTTACTGAATAGGGAGTATTTTTCCCATTGCTCTTTACTGTCAGCTTTGTCGAAGATCTGATTGTTGTAGGTTTATAGATTTACTTCTGGATTCTCTGTCCTATTTATTGATATATGTGTCTATTTTTATACCAACAGCATGCTGTTTTGGTTACTGTAGCCTTGCAGTATAGTTTGAAGTTGGGTAACGTGATACCTCCAGCTTTGTTCTTTTTGCTTAGGATTGCCTTGGATATCCAGTTCCTTTTTTGGTTCCAAATGAATTTTAGAATGATTTTTTTTCAAATTCTGTGAAAAATATCATTCATAGTTTGATAGAAATAGCACTGAATTTGTACATTGTTTTAGGAAGTATGGCCATTCTAACAATATTGATTCTTCTTATTCATAAGCGTGGAATGTTTTTCAATTTATTTGTGTTGTCTCTGATTTCTTCCAGCAGTAATTTGTGATTCTCACTGTAGAGATTTTTCTTTTCTCTGATTAGCTGTATTCCTAGATATTTTATTATTTTATGGCTTTTGTGAATGACATAGCATTCTTGATTTGGCTCTCAGCATAAATGTTACTGATATATAGAAATGCTATTGATTTTTGTACATTAATTTTGTATTCTGAAACTTCACTGAAGTTGTTTATCAGATCTAGGAGCCTTTGGACAGAGACTGTGGGGTTTTTTAAGTATAGAATTATATTGTTTGTAAAGATAGGTAGTTTGATTTCCTCTCTTTCCCTTTAGATGCCTTGCATTTCTTCCTCTTGCTTGATTGCTCTCACTGAGACTTCCAGTACTAGGTTGTATAAGAGCGATGAGAGCACATTGATTTTGCATCCTGAGAATTTGCTGAAGTTGCTTATCAGCTTAAGGAGATTTGGGGCTGAGACCATGGGGTTTGCTAGATATACAATCATGTCATCTGCAAACAGGGACAATTTGACTTCCTCTTTTCCTAATTGAATACCTTTATTTCCTTGTCCTGCCTAATTGCCCTGGCCAGAACTTCCAACACTATGTTGAATAGGAGTGGTGAGAGAGGGCATCCCTGTCTGGTGCCAGTTTTCAAAGGGAATGCTTCCAGTTTTTGCCCATTCAGTATGATATTGGCTGCGGGTTTGTCATAGATAGCTCTTATTATTTTGAGATACATCCCATCACTACCTAATTTATTGAGAGTTTTTAGCATGAAGCATTGTTGAATTTTGTTAAAGGCCTCTTCTGCATCTATTGAGATAATCGTGTGTTTTTTGTCATTGTTTCTGTTTATATGCTGGATTACGTTTATTAATTTGCATATATTGAACCAGCGTTGCATCCCAGGGATGAAGCCCACTTGATCATAGTGGATAAGCTTTTTGATGTGCTGCTGGATTCGGTTTGCCAGTATTTTATTGAGGATGTTTGCATCGATGTTCATCGGGGATATTGGTCTAAAATTCTCTGTTTTTGTTGTGTCTCTACCAGGCTTTGGTATCAGGAAGATGCTGGTCTTGTAAAATGAGTTAGGGAGGAATCCCTCTTTTTCTATTGATTGGAATAGTTTCAGAAGGAATGGTACCAGCTCCTCCTTGTACCTCTGGTAGAATTTGGCTGTGAATCCATCTGGTCCAGGACTTTTTTTGGTTGGTAAGCTATTAATTATTGCCTCAATTTCAGAGCCTGTTATTGGTCTATTCAGAGATTCTTCCTAGTTTAGTCTTGGGAGGGTGTATGTGTCAAGGAATTTATCATTTCTTCTAGATTTTCTAGTTTATTTGCATAGAGGTGTTTATAGTATTCTTTGATGATAGTTTGTATTTCTGTGGGATTGGTGGTGATATCCCCTTTATCATTTTTTATTGCATCTATTTGATTCTTCTCTCTTTTCTTCTTTATTAGTCTTGCTAGTGGTCTATTAATTTTGTTGATGTTTTCAAAAAACCAGCTCCTGGATTCATTGATTTTTTGAAGGATTTTTTGTGTCTCTATTTCCTTCAGTTCTGCTCTGATCTTAGTTATTTCTTGCCTTCTGCTAGCTTTTGAATGTGTTTGCTCTTGCTTTGCTGGTTCTTTTAATTGTGATGTTAGCGTGTCAATTTTGGATCTTTCCTGCTTTCTCTTGTGGGCATTTAGTGCTATAAATTTTCCTCTAAACACTGCTTTGAATGTGTCCCAGAGATTCTGGTATGTTGTGTCTTCATTCTCATTGGTTTCAAAGAACATCTTTATTTCTGCCTTCATTTCGTTATGTACCCAGTAGTCATTCAGGAGCAGGTTGTTCAGTTTCCATGTAGTTGAGTGGTTTTGAATGAGTTTCTTAATCCTGAGTTCTAGTTTGATTGCACTGTGGTCTGAGAGACAGTTTGTTATAATTTCTGTTCTTTTACATTTGCTGAGGAGTGCTTTACTTCCAACTATGTGGTCAATTTTGAAATAGGTGTGGTGCTGAAAAGAATGTATATTCTGTTGATTTGGGGTGGAGAGTTCTGTAGATGTCTATTAGGTCTGCTTGGTGCAGAGCTGAGTTCAATTCCTGGATATCCTTGTTAACTTTCTGTCTCGTTGATCTGTCTAATGTTGACAGTGGGGTGTTAAAGTCTCCCATTATTATTGTGTGGGAGTCTAAGTCTCTTTGTAAGTCTCTAAGGACTTGCTTTATGAATCTGGGTGCTCCTGTATTGGGTGCATATATATTTAGGATAGTTAGTTCTTGTTGAATTGATTCCTTTACCGTTATGGAATGGCCTTCTTTATCTCTTTTGATCTTTGTTGGTTTAGAGTCTGTTTTATCAGAGACTAGGATTGCAACCCCTGCCTTTTTTTGTTTTCCATTTGCTTGTTAGATCTTCCTCCATCCCTTTATTTTGAACCTATGTGTGTCTCTGCATGTGAGATGGGTCTCCTGAATACAGCACACTAATGGGTCTTGACTCTTTATCCTATTTGCAAGTCTGTGTGTTTTAATTGGAGCATTTAGTCCATTTACATTTAAAGTTAATATTGTTATGTGTGAATTTTATCCTGTCATTATGATGTTAGCTGGTTATTTTGCTCGTTAGTTGATGCATTTTCTTCCTAGTGTTCTCAAAGGATCTGCTTACAGCTTTTGCCCGTTAGGTACAATGTTGGATATGGGTCTGTCATAGTTGGCTCTTATTATTTTGACATATGTTCCCTAGATGCCAAGTTTTCTGAGAATTCTTAGCATGAAGGCATTTTGAATTTTATGGAAAGTCTTTTCTGTATCTGTTGAGATAACCACGTGGCTTTAGTTCTGTTTATGTGATGAATCACATTTTTTATTTGTGTATGTTGAAGGAAACTTCAGCCCCAGAATAAAAGGCTTCTTGATCATGGTGGAATCCTTTTTTAGTGTGCTGTTGGATTCAGTTTGCTGGTATTTGGTTAAGAATTTTTACATCTGTGTTCATTAGGGATCATCAGGGATATTAACCTGAAGATTTTGTTTTGTTTGGTTTGGTTTTGTTTTTTCTGTGTCTCTGCCAGCCTTTGGTATCAGAATGATGATGGCTTCCTAGAATGAGTTAGGGAGGAGTCTCTCCATCTTGATATTTTGAAATAATTTCTATAGAATTAGTATAAGCTCTTGTTTATGTTTGATAGAATTTGAATGTGAATCCATTTCCTCCAGAACATTTTATTTTTTTTGGTTGGCAGATTTTTGTTTTCAAGTGATTCAAATTTGGAACTTGTTTCTAGTCTTTTCAGGTTTTCAATGTTTTCCTGGTACAATCTTGAAAGGTTATATGTTTCCAGAAATTTATCAATTTCTTCTAGATTTTCTACTTTGTAATAATCTCTGAGTTTTTTTCTTCTATTTCATAAGGTCAGTTTTATTGTTCCTTTTACCATTTCTGATTGTATTTATTTGTCTGTTGTCTCTTTTTTTCTTTATTAGCCTAGCTATTGATCTATCAGTCTCATTTATTATTTAAAAAGAATATTTTTTGTATGTTTTTTCTCATCTTCACTTCATTCCGTTTTATTTTGATTTATATTATTTATTTTCTTCTACTAGCTTTGGGTTGGTTTGCTCTTGTTTTCTAGTTTTCATAGGTGTGATATAAGGTTGTTATATTAAGAGCTTTCTACCATTTGATACTATAAACTTCCCTCTTAACACTGCTTTAGCTCTGTGTGAAAGATTCTGGTACATTATAACTTTGTTATAAATTTGTTATATTACTAATATAACTTTGTTATTATTAGTTTCAAATAATTTCTTGATGTCTGTCTGCCTTAATTTCAATGTTTACCCAAAAGTTATTCAAGAGCATACTGTTTAATTCCATTTATTTGTGTGGTTGTCAGAGATCTTCTTGGCATTGATATATACATATATATATATATATATATATATACATGCACACACACACATATATACACACATATATATACACATACACATATATATGTACACATATATATACATATACACATATATATGTACACATATATATACATATACACATATATATGTACACATATATACACACATATACACACACATATATATACACACATATATATACATATATGTATATATATGTGTGTATATATATGTGTGTGTGTGTATGTGTGTATATATGTGTATATATGTGTATATGTGTATATGTGTATATATAGGTATATATGTGTGTATATATGTGTATATATATGTATAACTTTAAGTTCTGGGATACATGTGCAGAATGTTCAGGTTTGTTACATAGGTATAAGTGTGCCATGGTGGTTTACTGCACCTATCAACCTGTCATCTAGGATTTAAACCCTGCATGCATTATGCTATTGTTCCAATGCTCTCCTTCCCCTTTCACCCACTCCCCGACAGGCCCCAGTGTGTGATGTTCCCCTCCCTGTGTTCATGTATTCTCATTTTTCAACTTCCATCTATGAGTGAGAATATGTGGTGTTTGGTTTTCTGTTCCTGTGTTAGTTTGCAGAGAATGATGGCTTCCAGTTTTATCCATGTCCCTGCAAAGGATATTAACTCATTCTTTTTATGGCTGCATAGTATTCCATGGGTTATATGTGCCATATTTTCTTTATCCAGTCTAACATTGATGGGCATTTGGGTTGTTTCAAAGTCTTTGCCATTGTAAATAGTACTGCAATAAACATACATGTGCATGTGTCTTTATAGCAGAATAATTTATAATCCTTTGGGCATATACCAAGTAATGGAATTGCTGGGTCAAATGGTATATCTGGTTTTCGATTCTTGAGGAATCACTACATTGTCTTCCACAATGGTTTAACTAATGTACACTCCCACAAACAGCATAACAGCATTCCTATTTTTCCACAGTCTTGCCAGCATCTGTTGCTTCCTGATTTTTTAATAATTACCATTCTAACTGGTGTGATGTGGTATCTCATTATGGTTTTGATTTGCATTTCTTTAATGACCAGTGATGATAATCTCTTTTTCATGTTTTTTGGCCACATAAATGTCTTCTTTTGAGAAGTGTCTGTTCATATATTTTGCCCACTTTTTAATGGGGTTGTTTTTCTCTTGTAGATTTGTTTAAGTTCCTTGTAGATTCTGGATATTAAGCTTTTGTCAAGTGGGTAGATGGCAAAACTTTTATTTCACTCTGTAGGTTACCTGTTCACTCTGATGACAGTTTCTTTTGCTGTGCAAAAGCTCTTTAGTTTGATTAGATCCCATTGATCAATTTTAGCTTTAGTTGCCATTGCATTTGGTGTTTTAGTCATGAAGTTTTTGCTTATGCCTATGTCCTGAATGGGATTGCCTAGATTTTCTTCTAGGGATTTTATGGTTTTGGGTTTTACATTTAAGCCTTTGATCTATCTTTAGTTAATTTTTGTATAAGGTGAAGAAAAGTGGTCTAGTTTTCTGTTTTCCACATATGGCTAGCCAGTTTTCCCAGCAACATTTATTAAACAGGGACTCCTTTTCCCATTGCTTGTTTTTGACAGGTTTGTCAAAGATCAGATGTTTGTAGATATGTGGTGTTATTTCTGAGGTCTCTGTTCTGCTAAATTGATCTATATATCTCTTTTGGTACAATTACCATGCTGTTTTGGTTACTATAGCCTTGTAGTATAGTTTGAAGTCAGGTAGTGTGATGCCTCCAGCTTTGTTCTTTTGGCTTAGGGTTGACTTGGTGATGCAGGCTCTTTTTTGGTTCCATATGATCTTTAAAGTAGTTTTTTCCAATTCTGTGAAGAAAGTCATTGGTAGCTTGATGGGGATGGCATTGAATCTGTAAATTACCTTGGGCAGTATGGCCATTTTCACGATGTTGATTCTTCCTACCCATGAGCATGGAATGTTCTTCCATTTGTTCGTATCCTCTTTTATTTCCTTGAGCAGTGGTTTGTAGTTCTCCTTGAAGAGGTCCTTCACATCCCTTGTAAGTTGGATTCCTATTTATGCAGCCAAAAAACACATGAAAAAAATCCTCATCATCACTGGCCATCAGAGAAATGCAAATCAAAACCACAGTGAGATACCATCTCACACCAGTTAGAATGGCAATCATTAAAAAGTCAGGAAACCACAGGTGCTGGAGAGGATGTGGAGAAATAGGAAGACTTTTACACTGTTGGTGGGACTGTAAACTAGTTCAACCATTTTAGAAGTCAGTGTAGCGATTCCTCAGGGATCTAGAGCTAGAAATACCATTTGACCCAGCCATCCCATTACTGGGTATATACCCAAAGGACTATAAATCATGCTGCTATAAAGACACATGCACACATATGTTTATTGCGGCACTATTCACAATAGCAAAAACTTGGAACAAACCCAAATGTCCAACAATGATAGACTGGATTAAGAAAATGTGGCACATATACACCATGGAATACTATGCAGCCATAAAAAATGATGAGTTCCTGTCCTTTGTAGGGACATGGATGAAATTGGAAATCATCATTCTCAGTAAACTATCACAAGAACAAAAAACCAAACACTGCATATTCTGACTCATAGGTGGGAATTGAACAATTAGATCACATGGACACAGGAAGGGGAATATCCCACTCTGGGGACTGTTGTGGGGTAGGGGGAGGGGGGAGGGATAGCACTGGGAGATATACCTAATGCTAGATGACGAGTTAGTGGGTGCAGAGCACCAGCATGGCACATGTATACATATGTAACTAACTTGCACAAAGTGCACATGTACCCTAAAACTTAAAGTATAATAATAAAAGAAAAAAAAACGGTTGTAAATGGGAGCTCACTAATGATTTGGCTCTCTGCTTGTCTATTGTTGATGTACAGAAATGAGTGTTATTTCTGCACATTGATTTTGTATTCTGAGACTTTGCTGAAGTTGCTTATCAGATTAATTAGTTTGGGGGCGGAGACAATGGGGTTTTCTAAATATAGAATCATGTCATCTGCAAACAGAGACAATTTGACTTTCTCTCTTCCTGTTTGAATACCCTTTATTTCTTTCTCTTGCCTGATTGCCCTAGCCAGAACTTCCAATACTATCATGAATAGGAGTGGCAAGAAAGGGCATCCTTGTCTTGTGCCAGTTTTCAAAGGGAAGACTTCTAGCTTTTCCCCATTCAGTATGATGTTGGATATGGGTTTTTCATAAATAGCTCTTATAATTTCAGTTATGTTCCATCAGTACCTAGTTTATTGAGAGTTTTTAACATAAAGAGATGTCAAATTTTGTTAAAGGCCTCTTCTGCCTCTATAGAAATAATCGTGTGGTTTTTGTCATTGGTTCTGTTTATGTGATGGATTATGTTTTTTGATTTGTGTATGTTGAAAGAGCCTTGTATCCCAGGGATGAGACCAACTTTATCGTGGTGGATAAGTTTTTTGATGTGTGGCTGGATTTGATTTGCCGGTATTATATTGAGGATTTACAAGTCGATGTTCATCAGGAATATTGGCCTGAAATATTCTTATTTTTGTGTGTGTGTGTCTTTGCCAGGTTTTGGAATCAGGATGATGCTGGCCTCATAAAATAAGTTAGGGAAGAGTCCCTATTTTTCTATTATTGGAAATAGTTTCAGAAGGAATGGTACTAGCTTCTCTTTGTACCTCTTCTAGAATTTGGCTGTGAATCTGTCTTGTCCTTGGCATTTTTGTTTGGTAGGCTATTAATTACTGCCTCAATTTCAGAACTTGTTATTGGTCTATTCACGGATCTGACTTCTTCCTGGTTTAGTCTTGGGAGGGTGTATGTGTCCAGGAATTAATCCATTTCTTCTAGACTTTCTAGTTTATTTGCATAGAGGTATTTATGGTATTTTCTGATGGTAATTTGTATTTCTGTGGGATCAGTGGTGATATACCCTTTATCATTTTTTGGTGTCTACTTTATTCTTCTCTCTTTTCTTCTTTATTAGTCTAGCTAGTGGCCTATATTGTTAATCTTTTTTGAAAAAAAAAGCTCCTGAATTCATTGATTTTTTGAAGTATTTTTCGTGTCTCTATCTCCTTCAGCTCCACTCTGACCTTAGTTTCTTGTCTTCTGCTAACTTTCAAATTTGTTTGCTCTTTTTTCTCTACCTCTTTTAATTGTGATGTTAGGGTGTCGATTTCAGATCTTATCAACTTTCTGATGTGGGTATTTAGTGCTATAAATTTCCCTCTTAACACTGCTTTAGTTGTGTCCCCTCTGGTACGTTGTCTTATTGTTCTCATTGGTTTCCATAAACTTCTTGATTTCTGCCTTAATTTCGTTATTTACCCAGCAGTCATTCAGGAGAAGGTTTTTCAATTTCCTTGTACTTGTGCCCTTTTGAGTGAGTTTCTTAATCCCAAGTTCTAATTTGATTGCACTATGGCCTAAGAGACAGTTTGTTATTATTTCTATTTGTTTGCATTTGCTGAGGAGTGTTTTACTTCCAATTATGTGGTTGATTTTAGAATAAGTGCTATGTGATGCTGAGAAGAATGTATATTCTCTTAATTTGGGATGAAGAGTTCTATAGATGTTTATTTTGTCCGCTTGGTACAGAGCTGTGTTTAAGTCCTGAATATCCTTGTTAATTTTCTGTCTCATTGATCTGTCTAATATTGACAGTGGGGTATTAAAGCGTCCCACTATTATTGTGTGGGAGTCGAAGTCTCCTTGTAGGTCTCTAAGAACTTGCTTATGAATCTGGATGCTCCTGTATTGGGTGCATATATATTTAGGATAGTTAACTCTTCTTGTTGCATTCATCCCTTTACCATTATGTAATGCCCTTCTTTGTCTTTTTTGATCTTTTTTGTTTAAAGTCCATTTTATCAGAGACTAGGATTACAACCTCTGCTTTCTTTTTGCTTTCCATTTGCTTGGTAAATATTCCTCCATCTGTTTATTTTGAGCCTATGTATGTCTTTGCATGTGAGATGGGTCTCCCGAATATAGCACAAATGAGTCTTGACTCTATCTAATTTGCCAGTCTGTGTCTTTCACTTGGGGCATTTAGCACATTTATATTTAAGTTTTGAATTTTTATGTGTGAATTCGATCCTGTGATCATGTGCTAGCTGGTTATTTTGCATATTATTTGATTTGATGCAGTTTCTTCATAGTGTCGTTGGTCTTTATATTTTGTGTGCTTTTGCAATGGCTGCCACTGGTTTTACCTTTCCATATTTAGTGCTTCCTTCAGGAGCTCTTGTAAGGCAGGCCTGGTGGTGACAAAATCCCTCAGCATTTGCTTGTCTGGAAAGGATTTTATTTCTCTTTCACTTATGAAGCTTAGTTTGGTTGGATATGAAATTTTTAGTTGAAAATTGTATTCTTTAAGAATGTTGAATATGGGCCCCCACTCTCTTCTGGCTTGTAGGGTTTCTGCAGAGAAATCCGCTGTTAGTCTGATGGGCTTCCCTTTGTAGGTAACCTGACCTTTCTCTCTAGCTGCCCTTAACATTTTTTCCCTTGTTTCAACCTTGGAGAATCTGACAATTATGTGTCTTGGGGTTGTATCTTAGTGGTATTTTCTCTGTATTTCCTGAATTTGAATGTTGGCCTGTCTTGCTAGGTGGGGAAATTTCTCCTGGATAATGTTTTGAATGTGTTTTTCAACTTGGTTCCTTTCTTCCTGTCACATTCAGGTACACCAATCAATCACAGGTTTGGTCTTTCCTCATAGTCCCATATTTCTTGAAGTCTTTATTTGTTCTTTTTCATTCTTTTTTTTTTTTCTCTAATCTGGTCTTCACGCCTTATTTCAGTAAGATGATCTTCAATCTCTGATATCCTTTCTTCCACTTGATCACTTCGGCTGTTGATACTTGTGTATGCTTCACAAAGTTCTCATGCTGTGTTTTTCAGCTTCATCAGGTCATTTATGTTACTCTCTACACTGGTTACTCTAGTCAGCAATTCCTGTAACCTTTTATCAAGGTTCTTAGCTTCCTTGAATTGGGTTAGAACATGCTGCTTTAGCTCAGAGGAGTTTGTTATTAGTCACCTTCTGAAGCCTACTTCTGTCAATTTGCCAATCTCATTCTACGTCCTGTATTTTCGTCTTGCTGGAGAGGAATTGTGAACATTTAGAGGAGAAGAGGCATTCTGGTTTTTGTAATTTTAAGCATTTTTGAGCTGGTCTTTTCTCATCTTCGTGGATTTAGCTACCTTTGATGTTTGAGGCTGATGGTCTTTAGATGGGGTTTTTGTTTGGGTGTCTTTTTTGTTGATGTTGATGTTGTTGCTTCCTGTTTGTTAGGTTTTCTTCTCTTAGGCTCCTTTTCTGCAGATCTGCTACAGTTTGCTGGAGGTCAAATGCAGACCCTGTTCATCTAGGTATGACCAGTGGAGGCTGCAGAACAAAAAAGATTACTGCCTGCTCCTTTTTCTGGAAGTTTCGTCCCTAAGGGACCCCAGACTGATGTCAGCCAGAGCTGTCCTGTATGAGTTGTCTGTCCACCCCTCTTGGGAGGTCTCTCCCAGTCAGGTGGCACGGGGTTCAGGGACACACTTGAGAAGGCAGTCTGTTCTTGTTCCTTAGCAGAGCTGGTGTGCTGTGCTGGGAGAATCATTCTGGTCTTGATCAGCTGCCTTCTTCAGACCTGACAGACAGGAAAGATTCAATATGCTGAAGCTGTAAGCACAGCTGCCTCTTCCGTTAGGTGCTTTGTCCCAGGGAGATGAGAGTTTTATCTGCAAGCCCCTGAATCGGACTGCTGCCTTTCCTTCAGAGACGCCCTGCCCAGTGAGAAGGAATCTAGAGAAGCAGTCTGGCCACAGCTGCTTTGCCACACTGTGCTGAATTCCACCCAGTCCAAACCTCCCATCCTCCTTAGCACTGTCAGTGGAAAACTGCCTAATAAAGTCTCAGTAATGGTGGATGCCCCTCCCCCCAGCAAGCTCGATCACCACAGTTTGGCTTCAGACTGCTGTGCTGGCAGTGATAATTTCAAGCCAGTGGTTCTTAGCTTGCTGGGCTCCATGGGAGTGAGACCTGCTGAGGGAGGCCTTTTGGCTCCCTGGCTTCAGCATTTTTTACAGGGGAGTAAACAGTTCTGTCTCACTGGATTTCCAAGCACCACTGGTGTATGATAAAAACTCCTTCAGCTAGCTCAGTGTCTGTCCAAACAGCCACCCAGTTTTGAGTTTGAAACCCAGACCCCTGATGGTGTAGGCACACGAGGGAATCTTTTGATCTGCAGATTGCAAAAACCATGGGAAAAGCACAGTACCCGTAGCTGGATAGCACAGTCCCTCACGGCTTCCCTTGGCTGGGGAAGGGAGGTCCCCCAGCTTCTTGCCCTTCCTGGGTGAAGTGATGCCACACCCTTCTTCTGCTCATCCCCCATGGGTGGCACCCACTGCCTAACCAGTCCCAATGAGATGAACTGGGTACCTCAGTTGGAAATGCAGAATTCACCCGCCTTCTGCATTGATGTCGCTGGGAGCTGCAGATTGGAGCTGTTCCTAATCAGCCATTTTGGCTTCTCCTGGTTCTCTTATAACTTGCTTTTCTTTGATAAAATTTTGGTTTTCTAAGTGTTTCAAGAAAATTCATAATTCTTTATTGAAGAATTTTTTATAACGACTTCTTTAAAATCCTTGTTAGATAATTTCAACATCTGTGTCATCTCAATGTTTGCATATGTTGATTGTCTTTTCTCATTGGAGTTGAGGTTTTCCTGATTCTTAGTATAGCTATATTTTTCTATTGTATACTGAACATTTTAGATACTCAATAGTGCTGTCTGGATATTATTTAAATCTCATGTTTTAGTAGGCACATCCAACACTACACTGCTTATTTTTTCCCAATCTATCTTTTTTTGCTCATGGTGTCTGGTTTCCTGATGTTCTCAGAGGTACTCTTATTCAATTGGAAGAGAAAAAAGCCTATATGGTTAGCCTTTGATTGATTTGTGCTTAGAAAATGTCATTTCTAAGCAATCTTTTTCTTTTGGGTGGAATTAGTCATAGAGTTATAGGTCTTCTAGTCTTCGTCCTCTAGTTTTTGATTCTATAAGTATGTTACCCGTTTTTTCCCACCAATCAGAACTTTCCATTTGTCGTCTATTGTGTTATTTCAAGATTTCTTAGTGTAGTAATCAGGGAGAAGCAGGGAAAATGAGTCTACACCATTCTGTCCTGACAGGCAATCCCAAATATAACCTATTGACATGTAAAATAGTCAGAAATATAGAAATGCAAGGGAGATGCAAGATGTAGAACTAGAAAAATCCAGACACTTGCTCTTCCATGAAAACAACAAATAAGTAAAAACAGATTGACCAACATAGCTTTGTGAGAACTCTAGAATAGTTAAGAAGCTGCAAAAACCAAGAAAACACCTAACAAGAACAAAAAAAAAAGCTGCAATCAAAATGGTAGAGGATTTGTGGAACTTTAGCTCATCTTTGCCCCACCCCTTCTCTGGTACAGCAAGGTGCAGATAGGAGGAAGCCAAACAATTTATGGATCTTCCCTGAGAATGAAATAAAAAGAAGCAACTTGCTTGCAGCATTTTGACTTGTTTGAAAGCTGTCTGAGGGATTAGCTTTTGTCTCACCTGACTTAAAGAACTGATAGGAATCGTGGCACCGTTTAAATAACAGATTGGAGACCACTGAAAGCAGTGGAGGCATAACTAGTAAGAATAATGAGCCCAACAAGTGGATTCATAGCTAGTAAGGCCAATAACTAATAAGAAGATTGAATCTATAAACAAAAACCTTCCAAAAACACAATAACAAAATTCTAGAAAGAGATGCTTTCACAGGTGAATTCTCCGAAACATACAAAGAAGAATTAACATCAAATTTTCCCAAAATTTCTTTGGAAGATGACAGAAAACACTTCTAAACTCATCCTTTGAAGTCAGCATTATTCTGATGTTAATGCCAGACCAGGACACTACAAATAAACAAACAAACAAACCCTTCTGCCAATATCTCTGATAAATATAGATACAAATATCCACAGCAAAATACTTGCAAATATAATTTAAGAGGGCATAAAAGGATTATACATCATGACAAATTGAAAGTTATTTCTGGAATACAAAAATAGTTCATCATATGACATTAATCAAATAATATATAATAAAAAGGAAGGTAAAACCATGATTCTCTCAATAAATTCCGTAAATAAAAACAAAATTCAATAATTTAATGCCCTACCACAATGAAAACACTTAACAAACAGTACAAGAAAACTACCTATATATAATAAAAGACAGATTAGAAAAGTTTACTGTCAACATTATGATCAAAGGTGAAAGTTGGAAGGCTTTTATTCTAAGATCAGGAACAAAAAAATGGTGCTCCAGTTTACCTCATTAATTCAATATAATCTAGAATTCCTAGGTAGAGCTATGTAGAGCATTTAGAAGAGAAAAAGAATAGGCATCCAAATGAAAAAGAGGAATTAAGATCATGTTTGTTCACAGACGGCAGAAACATATGTAGAAACCTCTCATGACTCAACAAAAAGATGTGTAAAAGCTAATAAATTAAACAAATTACAACATACAAAATTAACACACTAATTCAATTGTTTTTATATCCAGCAACAGTGAACAATCTGAAAAGAAAATTAACAAAACAATGCCACTTATAATAGCTTCAAAAAATTAAGATACAAACAAAATTCAATAAGAAGTTAAAACAGAACTACATGAAGAATGCAGAACCCTCAGGAGCTGATGCGATCAACTGGAAGAAAGGGTATCAGTGATGGAAGATGAAATGAATGAAATGAAGTGAGAAGGGAAGTTTAGAGAAAAAAGAATAAAATAAATGAACAAAGCTTCCAAGAAATATGAGACTATGTGAAAAGACCAAATCTATGTCTGATTGGTGTACCTGAAAATGATGGGGAGAATGGAACCAAGTTGGAAAACACTCTGCAGGATACTATCCAGGAGAACTTCCCAAATCTAGCAAGGCAGGCCAACATTCAGATTCAGGAAATACAGAGAACGCCACAAAGATACTCCTTGAGAAGAGCAACTACAAGAAACATAATTGTCAGATTTACCAAAGTTGAAATGAAGGAAAAAATGTTAAAGACAGCCAGAGAGAAAGGTCGGATTACCCACAAAGGGAAGCCCATCAGACTCACAGCGGATCTCTTGGCAGAAACTCTACAAGCCAGAAGAGAGTGGGGGCCAATAATCAACATTCTTAAAGAAAAGAATTTTCAACCCAGAATTTCATATCCAGCCAAACTAAGATTCATAAGTGAAGGAGAAATAAAATCCTTTACAGACAAGGAAATGCTGAGAGATTTTGTCACCACCAGACCTGCCCTAAAAGAGCTCCTGAAGGAAGCACTAAATTTGAAAAGGAAAAACCGGTACCAGCCACTGCAAAATCATGCCAAATTGTAAAGACCATCAGGGCTAGGAAGAAACTGCATCAACTAATGAGCAAAATAACCAGGTAACATCATAATGACAGAATCAAATTCACACATAACAATATTAACTTTAAATGTAAATGGACTAAATGCTCCAATTAAAAGACACAGACTGGCAAATTGGATGGAGTCAAGACTCATCAGTGTGCTGTATTCAGGAAACCCATCTCACTTGCAGAGACACACATAGGCTCAAAATAAAAGGATGGAGGAAGATCTACCAAGCAAATGGAAAACACAAAAAGGCAGGGGTTGCAATCCTAGTCTCTGATAAAACAGACTTTAAACCAACAAAGATCAAAAGACAAAAAGAAGGCCATTACATAATGGTAAAGGGATCAATTCAGCAAGAAGAGCTAACTATCCTAAACATATATGCACCCAATACAGGAGCACCCAGACTCATAAAGCAAGTCCTGTGTGACCTACAAAGAAACTTAGACTGCCACACAATAATAATGTGAGACTTTAACACCCCACTGTCACCATTAGACACATCAACGAGACAGAAAGTTCACAAGGATATCCAGGAATTGAACTCAGCTCTGCACCAAGTGGACCTAATAGACATCTACAGAGCTCTCCACCAAAAATCAACAAAATATACACTTTTTTCAGGACCACACCACACCTATTCCAAAATTGACCACACAGTTGGAAGTAAAGCTCTCCTCAGCAAATGTAAAACAACAGAAATTATAACAAACTATCACTCAGACCACAGTGCAATCAAACTAGAACTCAGGATTAAGAAACCCACTCAAAACCACTCAAGTACATGGAAACTGAATAACCTGCTCCTGAATGACTACTGGGTACATAACGAAATGAAGGCAGAAATAAAGATGTTCTTTGAAACCAAAGAGAACAAAGACACAACATACCAGAATCTCTGGGACAAATTAAAAGCAGTGTGTAGAGGGAAATTTATAGCACTAAATGCCCACAAGAGAAAGCAAGAAAGATCCAAAATTGACACCCTACCATCACAATGAAAAGAACTAGAGAAGCAAGAGCAAACACATTCAAAAGCTAGCAGAAGGCAAGAAATAACTAAAATCAGAGCAGAACTGAAGGAAATAGAGACACAAACAACCCTTCAAAAAATTAATGAATCTAGGAGCTGGTTTTTTGAAAGGATCAACAAAATTGACAGACTGCTAGCAAGACTAATAAAGAAGAAAAGAGAGAAGAATCAAATAGATGCAATAAAAAATGATAAAGGGGATATCACCACCGATCCCACAGAAATACAAACTACCATCAGAGAATACTACAAACACCTCTATGCAAATAAACTAGAAAATCTAGAAGAAATGGGTAAATTCCTCGACACATGCACCCTCCCAAGACTAAACCAGGAAGAAGTGGAATCTCTGAATAGACCAATAACAGGCTCTGAAATTGTGGCAATAATCAATAGCTTACCAACCAAAAAGAGTCCAGGACCAGAGGGATTCACAGCCGAATTCTACCAGAGGTACAAGGAGGAACTGCTACCATTCCTTCTGAAAATATTCCAATCAATAGAAAAAGAGGGAATCCTCCCTAACTCATTTTATGAGGCCAACATCATCCTGATACCAAAGCCAGGCAGAGACACAAACAAAAAAGAGAATTTTAGACCAATATCCTTGATCATCATTGATGCAAAAATCCTCAATAAAATACTGGCAAACTGAATCCAGCAGCACATCAAAAAGCTTATCCAACATTATCAAGTGGGCTTCATCCCTGGGATGCAAAGCTGGTTCAATATATGCAAATCAAAATATGTAATCCAGCATATAAACAGAACCAAAGACAAAAACCACATGATTATCTCAATAGATGCAGGAAAGGCCTTTGACAAAATTCAACAACCTTCAAACTAAAAACTCTCAATAAGTTAGGTATTGATGGGACGTATCTCAAAGTAATAAGAGCTATCTATGACAAACCCACAGCCAATATCATACTGAATGGGAAAAAACTGGAAGCATTCCCTTTGAAAGCTGGCAGAACACAGGGATGCCCTCTCTCACCACTCCTATTCAACATAGTGTTGGAAGTTCTGGCCAGGGCAATTAGGCAGGAGAAGGAAATAAAGGGTATTCAATTAGGAAAAGAGGAAGTAAAATTGTCCCTGTTTGCAGACGGCATGATCGTATATCTAGAAAACCCCATTGTCTCAGCCCAAATTCTCCTTAAGCTGATAAGCAACTTCAGCAAAGTCTCAGGATACAAAATCAATGTACAAAAATCACAAGCATTCTTATACACCAATAACAGACAAACAGAGAGCCAAATCATGAGTGAAGTCCCATTCACAGTTGCTTCAGAGAGAATGAAATACCTAGGAAACCAACTTACAAGGGATGTGAAGGACCTCTTCAAGGAGAACTACAAACCACTGCTCACTGAAATAAAAGAGGATACAAAGAAATGGAAGAACATTCCATGCTCATGGGTAGGAAGAATCAATATCGTGAAAATGGCCATACTTCCCAAAGTAATTTATAGATTCACTGCCATCCCCATCAAGCTACCAATGACTTTCTTCACAGAATTGGAAAAAACTACTTTAAAGTTCATTTGGAACCAAAAAAGAGCCCATATCACCAAGTCAATCCTAAGCCAAAAGAACAAAGCTGGAGGCATCATGCTACCTGACTTCAAACTATACTACAAGGTTACAGTAACCAAAACAGCACGGTACTGGTACCAAAACAGAGATATGGATCAATGGAACAGAACAGAGCCCTCAGAAATAATGCCAGATATCTACAACTATGTGATCTTTGTCAAACCTGAGAAAAACAAGCAATGGAGAAAGGATTCCCTATTTAATAAATGGTGCTGGGAAAACTGGCTAGCCATATGTAGAAAGCTGAAACTGGATCCCTTCTTTACACCTTATACAAAAATTAATTCAAGATGGATTAAAGACTTAAAAGTTAGACCTGAAACCATAAAAACCCTAGAAGAAAACCTAGGCATTACCATTCAGGCATAGGTATGGGCAAGGACTTCACATCCAAAACACAAAAAGCAATGGCAACAAAAGCCAAAGTTGACAAATGGGATCTAATTAGACTCAAGAGCTTCTGCACAGCAAAAGAAACTACCATCAGAGTGAACAGGCAACCTACAAAATGGGAGAAAATTTTCACAACCTACTCATCTGACAAAGGGCTAATATCCAGAATCTAAAATGAACTCAAACAAATTTACAAGAAAAAAACAACCCCATAAAAACTTGGGCAAAGGACATGAACAGACATTTCTCAAAAGAAGACATTTATGCAGACAAAAAACACATGAAAAAATGCTCACCATCACTGGCCATCAGAGAAATGCAAATCAAAACCACAATGAAATATCATCTCACACCAGTTAGAATGGCAATCATTAAAAAGTCAGGAAACCACAGGTGCTGGAGAGAATGTGGAGAAATAGGAACACTTTTACACTGTTGGTGGGACTGTAAACTAGTTCAACCATTGTGGAAGTCAGTGTGGCGATTCCTCAGGGATCTAGAACTAGAAATACCATTTGACCCAACCATCCCATTGCTGGGTATATACCCAAAGGACTATAAATCATGCTGCTATAAAGACACATGCACACATATGTTTATTGCGGCACTATTCACAATAGCAGACTTGGAACCAACCCAAATGTCCAACAATGATAGACTGGATTAAGAAAATGTGGCACATATACACCATGGAATACTATGCAGCCATAAAAAATGATGAGTTCATGTCCTTTGTAGGGACATGGATGAAATTGGAAATCATCATTCTCAGTAAACTATCACAAGGACAAAAAACCAAACACTGCATATTCTCACTCATAGGTGGGAATTGAACAGTGAGAACACATGGACACAGGAAGGGGAACATCACACTCTGGGGACTGTTGTGGGATGGGGAGAGTGGGGAGGGACAGCATTAGGAGATATACCTAATGCTAAATGATGAGTTAATGGGTGCAGCGCACCAGCATGGCACATATATACATATGTAACAAACCTGCACGTTGTGCACATGTACCCTAAAACTTAAAGTATAATAATAATAAAATAAAATAAAATAAAATAAAATAAAAAACAAAAAAACAATAAGCACCTCAAAAAAAAAGAAGATAAAACAGTTCTACCCTGAAAAACATAATACATTACTAAAAGAAATAAAAAGTCACCAGTAAATGGAAAACCATCCCATTTTTGTAGATTATAAGACAATATTGCTAAGATGTCAATGTTATCCAAAGAAATCTACAGATTTAATAAAACTTGTCAAAATTTTAATGACCTATTTTTTTGTAGAAATACACAATTTTATTCTAAAATGTATATAAATTTCATGGGGTAGTGAATAGTCAAAACAATTTTGATGAAGAAGAAAGTTAGATGACTTACACTTTCTGATTTCAAAAGTCATTTCAAAGCTACAGTAATCAAAACAGTGTGGTACTAACATAAAGACAGACATACAGACCAATAAAATAGAATACATGACCTGGAAATAGCCCTCAAATATATGGCCAAATAATTTTTGACATGGGTGCTAAGATTTTATTAAGAAAGAACAGTCTCAACAAACAATTTCTGGAAAAACTGAATATCCACATGCAAAAAAATGAAGTAGGAGCTTTACCTTATACCACATGCAAAAATTCAAAGTAGATCAAAGAACAAGTTATAAGACCTAAAACTGTAAAATACTTAGAGAGAAAAGTAGAGGGAAAGCTTCAAGACTTTAGAAATAACAATATTTTTATTGGATATGACACCAAAAATAAAGGCAACAAAAGCAAAAATAGGTAAATTGGACTACATCAAAAGAAAACAATTATCTGTATCAAAGGACATAATTAGTAGAGTAAAATGGCAATCTATGGAATGGTGGAAAATATTTTCAAGCCATGATATATGTTAAGGGGTTGGTAGCTAAAATATATAAAGAACTCCTACAACTCAACAGTAAAAAACTCACAAAACCTATTTTTTTAAATGGGCAAATAATTTGAAAAGACACTTCTCCAAACAGTATATGCATAAGGCCAATAAATATATAAAAGATGCTCATCATCACTTATTATTAATGCGAATCAAATTACTGTGATATATTGTCCCACACCCCTTACAATGGCTACTACTAAAAAATCAGAAAAAAAAAAAAAAAAAAAAACTAGCATTGGTGATGACATAAAAAGAGTGGAATCCTCATGCATTGTTAGAGGAAATATAAAATTGTGTAGCCACTATAAAAATAGTGTGACAGTTTATAAAATAATTTAAAAATAGAAAGTTACATCAGCAAGAGACAGAATAGGAGATTCCAGCTCTTATAAACTCACACAAATGTTGATTTTGACAACTTTCATGGATGGAGATATTTTTAAGGGAATGCAAGAGTCAAATAGACTCTAACACTGTATTTAAGGAACAATTCAAGAATAGACACATCGAAAGGGAAATGAAGAACAATTCACTTTGTCCACATCATTCTTCTCACAAGGTGTCACATCTCACTACTAAGGGAAACCTCTCAGCCTGGGATTTTTTTCCATGGATAACAGTGACTATGATGTAAATGGCCAGCTTCCCTAGCCTTGCAGAAAGCTGCTCAAAAGGACTACTTTTTCCTCACAGCACCCAGATCACTGACTAGGTTTGTATGGCTGAATAGTCTAAGAGAGATAAACACAATAAAAAGGAGTGAGAAGTTATGGCAATAACCACACGCATTTCAAAATCTAACTGAAGATCTTACTGACATGTTCATAGACTTCACCAAGAGGCCAACTCAGAAACCCCGTAAGACGTATCATCTAAAGCATTCCCCAGTACTGCCTGAGGCATGTCCCCAGCACTCACAAGTGTCCCTGAGTCAGTAAATGCGAGCCTCTGAAGACAATATGCAAGTGATTTTGCAGATGGCAAACATGAAACTCCATTAAAATAAGATGCAAGAAAACCCCCATAGAAAGGACACAGATAGCAGCAGCTGGCATGATGCTGTGTGATTGGGTAAAGGTTTACAAACTTGAAAACGTGGGGGCATTCCCCTGGGAAAGATAATTAAGAGGCTTTCATCACCTGTTCTGACTTTGTAGCATTGAGAGAAGACACACAGTCCTAAGACGTCTTCTCAACAGAGGAAAAAAATAGTGGTCCAGGCACATCAAAAGAAAAAGCCTGAGAGACTGCCCAGATTTCCAGCTAGGCTGAATGGTGAAGGTCTTCTTTTCTAAAGTCAGTCAGTAAACACTGAAGGAGTGAACTGTTCTTTTCATCAGAGAATACAGCAAGTTAAGTCTTCAGTGGACATAAAAAACAAAACAACAACAACAACAACAACAACAAAACATTTCCATGAAAGGAACAAAATGACAGTTCTAATGGCTAACCCCCCAAAATGGAGATCTAAAAATTGCCTGACATAGAGTTCAAAGTAATTATCTAAGGAAGCTCAGTAAGCCACAAGAGAACACAGACAAGTTAATAAAATTCAGAGAAATAATACATCAACAAAATGATAAATTCAACAAACAGATATAAAACATTTATAAAAACAACCAAATGGAAATTCTGAAGCTGAAGAATACGCTGAATAAACTGAAAGAAATTAGTTTTATCAGCAGACTTTATCAAGTAGAAGAAATAATCAGCAAACTTGAAGACAAACTATTTGAAATTACCCAGTCATAGGAACAACAACAAAAGAAGACTAAAGAAAGCCAAAGGGACTACAGGACACCATCAAGTGAAACAAAATACACATTATGGAATTCTTAATAGAAGCAGAGAAGAAGAGAAAGGGATAGAAAACATATTTAAAGAAATAAGGACAAAAAGTATTCAATCTGGGGGAAAAGTGAACATTCAGATCCATGATGCAGAAAGAAACGCCAATAATCTGAACATCAAGAGATCTTTACCAAGTGATATTATAATCAAATTGTCAAACATTCAAGACAGTGAAATGATCTTGAGAACAGAAAAAAATAAAACAGCTGATCATATGCAAAGAATCCTCAAATGATATCAGCCGACTTTTCAAATGAAACCTTGCAGGCCAGGAGGGAGTGGAATGATATATTCAAAGACACAGAAAGCTTATATTTAAATTTCAACAGTATAATCAAATTTCAACATGTACATATATTTTAATAATGTGTTTATAAAATGTAAAAAAACACTAGGGTTACAAAGTTTCAGTTATGTAAGATGAATAAGTTCTGGAGTTCTAATATATTTTGTGATGACTATAGGTAATAATACTGTGTACTTGAAATTTGCTTAAAAAGTGGATGCTAAGTATTCTCAACACAAAGAAAGAGAAGGTAATATGTCAGGTGATGACCATGTTAATTTAGCTCGATTGTGATGATTATTCCACAATGTATACTTATATCAAATAATCTATTTGTATACCATAAGATACAATAAAAACAGAAAACATAAAAATAGAATTAACACATGATCTATCAATTCCATTTTACAGTATTTACCCAAAAGAATTATAAGCAAGGTCTCAAAAAGATATTTGTACAGTATATTCATAGCAGCATTATTCATAATAGCCAAAAGATGGAAGTAATCAAAGCGTCCACTGGTAGATGAATGGATAAACTAAATGTAGTATATATGCAATGGAGTATTATTCAACTATAAAAAGAAAGAAATTCTGGAGCATGCTACAATGTGGATGATCTGTGAAGACATTATGCTAAGTGAAATAAGCCAGACACAAAGGAAATAACATATATTGTATAATTCCACTTATACGAGTTGTCTACAATAGTCAATGCAAGAAGATAAGGTAGATTCCAAAGCCCAGCACTACCTTCAAACGTGTCACTGTTGAGACAAGTGCTGACATTTATTGTCACTCCATTTGCTAAGAAATAAGAACAAAAAACCATTCAAAACATCAATAAATACAGGAGCTTTTTTTGGTAAAAAATAATGAAATAGACTGCTAGATAGACTAGTAAAGACGAAAAGAGAGAAGATTCAAATAAACACAATCAGAAACAACCTGGGGAATATAACCCTGACCCCCACAGAAATATAAACAACCAACAGAGAATATTATAAACTTATCTATGAATATATACTAGAAAATCTAAAAGAAATGGATACATTTCAGGACACATAACCCTCCCAAGACTGAACCAGAAAGAAATTGAATCTCTGAACAGATCAATAACAAGTTCTGAAATTGATGAAGTAATAAATAGCTTACCAACCAAAGAAAAAAAAAAAGAAAAAGCCCAGGACCAGATGAATTCACAGCTGAATTCTACCAGACATACAATGAAGACCGGGTACCATACCTACTAAAACTATTTCAAAAAAATTGAGGTGGAGGGACTTCTCCATAACTCATTCTATCCTGATACCAAAACCCGGCAGAGATACAACAACAACACAGGCAGTATCATTGATGAACATCTATGCAAAAATCCTCAGCAAAATACTGGCAAACCGAATCCAGCAGCACATCAAAAAGCTTATCCACCATGATAAAGTTGGCTTCATCCCTTGGATGCAAGGTTGTTTCAACATACACAAATCAGTATAGGTGATTCATCACATAAGCAGAACTAAATACAAGAATCATGTGATTATCTCAATAGATGCAGAAAAGGCCTTTGATAAAATTTAACATTGTTTCATGTTAAAAACTTTCAATAAGCTAGGCATTGAAGGAACATACTTCAAAATAATAAGAGCCATCTATGAAAAACCCACAGCCAATATCATACTGAATGGGCAAAAGTTGGACACGTTCCCTTTGAATACCAGCAAAATACAAGGATACCCTCTCTCACCACCCCTATTCAACATACTATTGGAAGTTCTGGCCGAGGCAATCAGGCAAGAGAAAGAAAAAAAGGGCATCCAAATAGGAAGAGAGGAAGTCAAAATATCCGTGTTTGCACATAACATGATCCTATATCTGGAAAATTCCATCATCTCAGCCTAAAAAGTTCTTAAGATTATAAGCAACTTCAGCAAAGTCTCAGGACACGGAGTTAATGTGCAAAAACAGTAGCATTACTGTACACAAACAACAGGCAAGCTGAGAGCAAATCAGGAATGAACTCCCATTCACAATTGCCACAAAAACAATAAAATACCTAGGAGTGCAACTAAGTAGGGAGCATTAGGAGATATACCTAATGTTAAATGACGAGTTAATGGGTGCAGCACACCAACATGGCACATGTATACATATGTAAGAAACCTGCATGTTGTGCACATGTACCCTAAAACTTAAAGTATAATAATAAAAAAAAGAAAAATCTCTACAAGAATTACAAACCACTGCTCAAAGAAATCAAAGATGACACAAACAAATGCAAAAACAATCCACACTCTTGGGTAGGAATAATTAATATTGTTAAAATGGCCATACTGCCCAAAGCAATTTATTGATTCAATGCTGTCCCCATTAAACTACCACTGACATTATTCACAGAATTAGAAAAAACTATTTCAAAATTCATATGTAACCAAATGAGCCCAAACAGACAAGATAATACTAAGAAAAAACAACAAAGCTGGAGGCATCAGGCTACTCAACTCCAAAGTATACTACAGGGTAACAGTAACAAAAACAGCATGGTATTGGTACTGGTACAAAAACAGACACATAGACCAATGGAACAGAATAAGGAACCCAGAAATAAAACCATCCACCTGCAACTATCTGATCTTTGGCAAACCTGACAAAAGCAAGCAATGGCAAATGTATTCCCTATTCAATAAATGGTGCTGGGATAGCAGAAGATAGGAACTAGACTCCTCCCTTACACCATATACAACAATCAACCCAAGATGGATTAAAGATTTAAATATCAAACCCCAAAGTATAAAAACCCTGGAAGACAACTTAGACAATACCATTCAGGACATAGCCATGGGCAAAGATTTCATGATAAAGATGCCAAAAACAATTGCAACAAAATCAAAAATTGACAAATGGGATCTAGTTAAACTAAAGAGCTTCTGTACAGCAAAAGAAACTGTCAACAGAGTATGCAGACAACCTACACAACGTGAGAAAATTTTAGCAAATTATGCATCTAATAAAAGTCTAATATGCAACATCTATAAGAAACTTAAAAAAATTTACCCCATTAAAAAAGTGGACAAAAGACATGAACAGACGCTTCTCAAAAGACATACATGCTGCCAACAATCATATGAAAAAAAAAAAACTCAACATCACTGATCATTAGAGAAATGCAAATCAAAACCACAATGAGATTCTGTCTCACAGCAATTAGAATGACTATTATTAAAAAGTCAAAAAATAACAGATGCTGGCTAGGTTGTAGAGAAAAGGTTTGCTTATACACTGTCGGTGGGAGTGTAAATTAGTTCAGCCGTTGTGGAAAACAGTGTGGTGATTCCTCAAAGACCTAAAGACAGATATACTATTTGACTCAGAAACCCCATTATTGGGTATATAACCAAAGAAATATAAATTATTCTATTATAAAGACAAATGCACGTGTATGTTCATTGCAGCACTATTCACAATAGCAAAGACATGGAATCAGCCTAAATTTCTGTAAATGATAGACTGGATAAAGAAAATGCGGTACATATACATTATGGAATACAATGCAGCCATAAAAATTAATGAAATCATGTCCTGTGCAGAGACCTGGATGGAGCTGGTGGCTTAGCAAACTGACACAGGAACAGAAAACCAAGTACCACATGTTTTTACTCATAAATGGGAGCTAAATGATAAGAACACGTGGAAACATAGAAGGAAAAAACCCACACTGGGGCCTTTCAGAGGGTGGAGGGTAGGAAGAGGGAGAGAATCAGGAAAACTAACTGATAGGTACAAGGCTTAATGCCTGGCTGATAAAATAATCAGTACAACAAATCCCTATGACACAAGTTTACCTATGTAACAAATCTACTCTTGTAAAGCTGAACCGAAAATAAAAGCTGAAATAAAGAAAATACAGTACATATACACAATGGAGTATTATTCAGCCATAAAAAAATAAGATCCTGTCATTTGCAACAGCATGTGTGGCAATTGAACTCATGTTAAGTAAAATGAGCCAGGCACAGAAAGATAAACTGCATGTTTTCACTTATATTCTGGGAGCTAAAAATTAAAACAAACTAATGGAGATAGAGAATAGAATGATGGTTATCAGAAGATAACAAGAGGGGCAGTGTGAGGTGGGGGGAGTAGGGATGATTAATGGTTACAAAAATATAGTTAGTGTATCTAACTCTAATGAATAAGATCTAGTATTTGATAGCACAACAGGGTGTCTATAGTTAATAATAATTTTATTGCACATTTAAAGTAGCTAAAAGTACAATTAGATTTTTGCAACACAAAGAAATGATAAACACCTGAAGTGATAGATATCCCGTCTACGCATATGTGATTATAATGTATTGTATGCCTGTATCAAAATATCTCTTATACCCCATAAATATATATACCTAGTATGTACCCAAAAAATTGAAAACAAAAGGAACAAAATTGAAATACACCAAAATGTTAAAAACACACACAAATATTTACTCATGGTAGGATATTCTGGCATTAACTGTAGCTGAGTTTATAAGAAATAGAAAAATCATTAAGATTTATAAGATATTTAAAAAATAATCATTTACATCAAGTGGTTAAAAGCTCTAGATAAGAAAAGCAATTCTCCACTTTCTAATAACACCTATGGTTTATATTGCATAATACAATTAAACAAAATAGCATTCTGGCCAATGATAAATAATTTATAGAAAATTTGCTTGCTTAATGTTTCACTATAAAGTTAATATTTTGACCAATATTAAAGATTTTAAAACTCTATTCTGATATTTCCAGAAGTATTAACTTAGCAAAATAATATTTATAATGCTATTTATTAAACTGAAAGAAAAGATGATACATTCTGGGTTTTACTTAAAAGGATATTTAAATCACTAATTTGATTTGTTACTATTTGAAAACTACATTTTCTTCTTCTGTCCTGGATGACAATGAGGTAAAAACAACTTTCCTAGTTCTGAACTTCCCTTTAATGGAAAGCATTATGGAATTTCAGCGGGGACTATCACCTGGTTTCTACTCAAATCCCAGCTCCAAGAAAATGTGAGAGAGGATCTAGTATATAAATTCTGTTTAAGGCAAGAAGTTTCCAATCTCAAGTATTTCATGCCAACAACTTATGTTATACTAGCTGTTCCACCATTGAATACTAAGTGATTATTCAAAACAAACAAAAATAACCATACCTTATAATGGTAACAATTATAGGTTAAAGCCATTGCCATCATTCATTACTAATTTTACATAAACTGTCAAAAAACATGCATATAAACATTTATGCAGATAAACTAGTGTTAATAATAAAAATGTGCAGTAACATCCACAAGTGTCCTCTCTGTGTTCTAAAATCTATACAATTGTTTTCAAGACGGGAAATCTGAACACCCTGGCTACACATTAGAAACACATCTGAATACACATATGCTGAGGAGAATGCCAAAACTGAACATCTCATAAAAGCAAAACCAAACTTATTGTGCTTTTGTTATTGTTTAATCCTCTAATTAGACTGAAAAGGAGACCACTGAATACTAAAATCAGGTATTTGCTAAATAGTATTGATTTATACTAGTCAAAGTTACCCCTCACAAACCAATAGTTGAACCAGGATAGTCTTTTGCAGTTCATTGTCTATTAGGAGTTTGTTATATTTTCCATTAAAGCCTTCATTTTTCCTGTTGACTTCAACATGTGTAGTGCAGACAACTCTGTATCTGAGGTGGCCTCTGATTCAGACTTTGGAACTCCTTTTTCAACTTCATCCTGGGTATACCAATAAGCCTATTGGTATACTACTTTGATTCCGATAAGCAAATTTTTCTTTTTCAGAGCCTCTGCTATGAGGGGAGCAAGTCCAGCAGCATCCACTGGCTTGGGCTGTACATCTTGCTCTGAGGTTTTTACTGACTAAAGTTTTACACTGATCATGTCTTTAAGAGTCTCTAGCATTTTTGGCATGTCAGCTTTTTTTGGATTGTTCTTAACCAACGTCTTTCCAGAATTGGCTTTTCTCCCTCCTCACTCTCTAATCAGATCAATATCAAATATACTTTGGTGGAGTCCCAGTGGAGAGGGCGGGCAAGACTGGTGGAGAGGTGGAGGGGATGGTGGTGTGGTAACAGATGTGGTAAAATCTAAGTCACTTGAAATTAGATTTTCCTGCTATTGCTGAGTCACAATTTTGGTTATCTGAGCTCTGAGAGCAGCAAGTTCATTTTCAAGAGCACAAATCTTCTGCAGTGCTTCCTCATTTACCAAGCTGGAGTCTTCAGCTGAGGCTCCTCTTGAGACAAGTCTGGTAAGGAAATCTGTCTGCTTGGGGCCTTCTCAAAGAAAAGGTCATCTTGAAAGGATGGCCTTGGCCTGGTCTCTGTTCTTAGTCTTGTTGAACACTCTCCTTTGGCTACCCATTCGACAGCCACAAAAGACAACACTGCATCCTCTCCTGGGTGGTTGGGACACGATTCTGTTGCATGGCAGGTAAGCTTGGACACCAGATCACGGATAAATTATTAATAGTAACAATTTTCTTCATGATACTTAGAGACAAACCATATGGCTTCCCAGGCCAAAATACCAATTGCATGCTTACTCCAACTTGTTGGAAAATCATCCTAATTAGGCTATTAACCCAGCGAAGCATTTAGATGCAAAGTGTCTTCAAGTACTTGAGGCATACATAGCAGTGCATGGTCCAACCGTCACACTCAGACATGCAGCAGCCAGCACCTTCTTCCCTTCTTGTCTTGTTTTCCTTGATTTTTTAGATACAGCTTTCTTCACCTCTCTAAACATATTTTATTTTTATTTCTTATTGGTACGTAATATTTGTACATATTTTTGAGGTATATGTGATACTTTATTACATGTGTAGACTTTGTAATGATCAAGTAATGATATCTGGGGTACCATCGCCTCAAGTATTTTTTTTTATTTTTATGTATTTAAAGCATTTCAATTCCTCTCTTCTAGCTATTTTGAAATGTACAATGCATTGTTGTTAACTATGGACACCTTACCTTGCTATCAAGCATTAGAACTTCTTTCTTCTTTCTAACACTATTTTCGTACCCATTACTGACCCTCTCTTTATCACCCCAACCCCAACCCACACAAGCTTCCCAGCCTCTGGTATCTATCATTCTATACTCTACCTCCACAAGATAAACTTCTTTAGCTCCCACATATAAATGAGAATATATAATATTTGTCTTTCTATGCCTGGCTTATTTCACTTAACATAAGGACCTTCAGTTTCATCCATGTTGCTGCAAATGACATGATTTTATTCCTTTTCATGTCTGTATAATACTCCCTTGAGTATATATACCACACTTTCTTTATCCATTAATCCATTGATGAACATTTTGGTTAATTCAGTATCTTTGCTATTGTGAATAGTGTTGTAACAAACATGCAAGTGTGGGTATCCCTTTGATATACTGATTTATTTTACTTTGGATAAATATATAGTACTGAGATTACTGAATGGTATGGTAGTTCTATTTTTAGTTTCAGTTTTTTTTAAATCTCCATAATCTCCATACTCTTTTCCATAGTGGCTATACTATTCTACATTTCAACCAACAGTGTGTAAGAGTTCCCTTTTTTCTCTATACTTACCAGCATTTGATATTTTTTCTTACTTTAATAGTAGGCATTCTAATTGGAGTATAATGATGTTTCATTGTGACTTTTATTTGCACTTTCCTGGGAATGAGTGATGTTGAACATTTTTCTATATACCTGTTGATCATTTCTGTGTCTTCTTTGGCAAAATATATCCTTATGTCCTTTGCCCACTTTTTCATAGGATTGTTTTTGTTTTTTTACTGTTGAGTTGTTTGAGTTTCTTGTATATAGTCCCTTGTTGAATGAATAGTTTGCACATACCCAATTCAAGGCATGGACTCTTCACTTTGTTGATTGTTTCCTTTGCTGTTCAGAAGCCTTTTAACTCTGACGTTTTTACTGACACATTCATCTATTTTTTGTTTTTGTTGCCTGTGCTTTTGAGGTCTTAGCTATGAAATATTGGGGCCTAGACCAATGCCCTAAAGTGTTATTCTTATGTGTTCTTCTAGTAGTTGTGCAGTTTTAGGTCTTATGTTTAAGTCTTTAATTCATTTTGAGTTGATTTTTTTTATATGGTAAGAGATAGGGATCCAGTTTCATTCTGCATATGGGTGTCCAGTTTTCTCAGCACCATTTATTGAAGAGGGTACCCTATCCTCAATGTATGTTCTTGTTGTCTTTGTTGAAAATCAGTTGGCTTTAAATATGTGGCTTTATTGGATTCTTTTTTATGTTCTGTTCTGTTGGTTGACATGCCTGTTTCTATACCCAAACAATGCTGTTTGGGTTATATAGCCTTGTAATATATTTTTTAAGTCAGGTAGTATAATGCCTCTAGCTTTGTTGTTTTTTTAATCAGGACTGCTTTGGCTAGTCAGCCTCTTTTTTTCTATCCATATGGATTTCAGAAATTTTTTCTAATTATGTGAAAGATAACATTGGCATTTTGATAAAAATTGTATTGAATCTGTCAATTGCTTTGGTCCATATGACCATTTTAATGATATTAATTTTTCTGATCTATGAGCATGGGATGTCTTTCCATTTGTTTGTGTTGTCTTCAATTTCTTCCATCAGTGCTTTGTACTTTTTCTTGTAGTGTTTTTTATCTTATTTGTTGAATTTATTTCTAGGTATTTCTTTTGTAGCTATTGTAAATTTGATTAACTTACTGATTTATTTCTCAACTTGTTCATTATTGGTGTATATAAATGCTATTGATTGCTGTATATTGATTTTGTATCCTGCAACTTTACTGAATTTATTTATCATATCCAAGAGTTTTTTGGCAGAGTCTTTAGTTTTTTCTTGTTATAAAATTATGTCATCTGCAAAGAGGGACAATTTAACTTACTCTTTTGCAATTTTAATGCCTTTTATACTTTTTTCTTGCACGATTGCTCTGACTACGACATTTACTCTGCTGAATAGAAGTGGCAACAGTGGGCATCCTAGCCATGTTTCAGTTCAGGCGAGCAATCACAGTACCTGATTTTAACTTTATATCTTTGAAAGAGATATTGAAGAGGGTCGAATAGAAAGTCCTGAATTGCTGAGGCCATTTATGTCCCATCCCCCAGCAGTGGTTGTGTGGCACTGAGAGTCTGTGCACTTTCGGAGAGATAGCGCAGTGGCTGGGAGACTTTACATGTAACTCAGTGCTGCCCTGTCATGGCTGACTTCTGGATGGGTTATTTTTGTGGGTTTTTTTTTTTGTTTTTCTTCTTGTTTTCTGATTGTTTACTTTTATTTTTACAATCTGGACATTCTTCTATAGGGTTGGTGCAGTTGGATAGGGTCTGCTTGAGACCCTAGTTACCTCAGATTTTCCTGTACCTGGAAGTATCACCAGTGAAGGCTGCAAAACAGCAAAGATGGCATCCTGCCCCTTCCTCTGGAAGCTATGTCCTAGGGGGTTACTGACCTATTGCCAGCCTGAAAGCACCTGTAGGAGGTGGCTGGAGACCCCAGTTAGGAGGTTTCACCCAGTCAAGAGGAATGGAATCAGGGATCTGATTAAAGAAGCAGACTGGCTGCTTTTTGATAAAGCAGCTGTGCTGTGTTGGGGATTCCTTCAGTCCCTGATTAGTATGGTCTCTCTAAGGCCCACAGGCTGGACTGGCTGAAATACCCAAACAGCCAAGGTGGTGTCCTGGCCCACCCTCTTAGTACTCCATCCCAGGGAGAAATTAGAATTCTGTCATAGAACACGGGCAGGGGTGACCAGAGGCCCTGGCTGTGAGTACCCGCATCACAAGGAGGAGTGGATCAGGGTCTTGCTTATAGAAGCAGTCTAGCCATGCCTCAACCAAATATCCATGTCATGCTTGGGAACCACCTCTACCCATGTCAGTTTAGACACTCCAAATCCCGCAGGCTGGAACAGCTGAATCATCCAGAAAACCAAGGTGGCAGTCTGCCTCTCTCTGGGCACTCTGTCCCAGGGAGAGTTCAGCACTCTACCTGTAGAATACAGGCAGGGTTGTGGGAGTGCCGAGGTGGGAGGTCCTCCCCAGTGAGTAGGAATGGATCAGGGTCCCACTTTAAGAAACAGTCTAGACATGATCTGGCAAAACAGCTGTGCTGTGCTGTGGGGAACCTTCCTCATCTGGACCATTTGGACTCTCCAAAGCCTGCAGACTGGAACAGCTGAATCAATCAAGCAGCATAGGTGGCTGCCTGCCCCACCTCCCAGGGGCTCTGTCCAGTCTCAGGCAGGCTCTACCCTGTTGCCTGTGTCTGACTGGAATTCCAAGTCAGTGGGTCTTATCTTGTAGGATGCCATGGAAATGATGTCTGCTGACCAATGCTGCTTGGCTCCCTGAATTTAGCCCCTTTCCTAGGGGTGTGTACTGATTTCTCGCCTTGCCTGAGTTGCAGATAACTTTGTTGTGGATCCTGGGGCTGAAGTATGTAAAGCTCCCAGGTCTCTGTGTATGCCTGAGAAGCTGCTCTGCTGAGATTCCACATAGCTGTGTGTGTCGGACCCCAGGCCCTGTTGGCATGGGCTCGCTAAGGGATCTCTTGATCCATGGGTTGCAAAGATCCATGGGAGAAGTGTGGTCTCCCAGGGTTGCACAATTACTCACCACTTCCCTTGACTGGGGTTGGGGATTCCCTTGGCTCCGTGTCACTCCCTGGTGGGCCATCACCCTACCCTGCTTTTCTTCATTCTCTGGGGGTCAAGTTGATTTCCTGATCAGTCCCAATGCACATGAGAACCTAGATATTTCAGTTGAATGTGCTGTATTCACTGGCCCCTTTTCTTCCTCTCAGTGAAAGCCACAGACTGCAGCTGCTTCTAATTAGTCATCATCTTGAAGAGGGATCAAATACAATTGTTGGAAAGTCAAGAGGAGCAGGACTAAATCTGAATAGCTCCCAAAGCCACACTGCCTCTGTTGTGATCAGGAAAGCTGCTTCTGCAAGAACCTTACAATTCAACAGCCTGCAGCATCAGACTTTCTGTCTGATTTCCATCTAAATTTATTGTGAGGCTCTACAAAAAATATAAAACTTAGCCAGGTGTGGTGGTGTATACCTGTAATCCCAGCTACTCAGAAGGCTGAGGTTAGAGGATTGCTTGAGTTCAGAGGTTGAGGCTGTAATAAGCCATGATCATGCCACTGCACTTCAGCCTTTATTTGAGGCTCTGGCTCCTTTTCCTTCTTATATTCTGGGTGTCATGACTTTCACACTGAGCTCACCACCCTGTTCAATGAGTTTTACCTATGCACATCCTACTATCCCTGCACTCTGTCACTTGACCATTCCCAAGAAAGTTGTGTTGTGTGTTGGAGATCAGAAGGTCAGGCTTTTCAGTGCACACTTCTTCACCAGCAAATGTGTGGTCTTAAATATTGAAACGTTCCGATTTTTTTTTTTTAATTCCTTGGCTGGGCCGCCTCCTCCTCATTTTAGTGCTGGTTGTCATATGCTTGGGGCTTCTTGGGCTCTGGAAAGAAGCTCAGTGGAAGGTAAGATCACTATGACTCCACTCCAAAGTTGCCTCGTGCAGTTGCTGCCATACTGCCTCACTGCCTCCAGCATCCAAGGAGAGTGCAGGCAGGTGGCACCCAGTCCTTTTCCTTCTCCTCCTTCCCCTAGTGGAGCAAAGGGAGCAAAGGAGCTGGAGCCATTCACCTTATTTCTTAATAACCATTTAAATATTGCCACCTTTCTGGAATGAGTCATTTGACTCTCACTTTTGCCTTTCCCCATTATCATTTTAACTAACCTATTGTTTTTATCAACATCTGTGAGACCCATGAAGGGCGGATGAGACAGCAAATTTGATAAGCCTTCTCAAACTGTTGTTAGATTCTGCAGGATCAACATCACATGAGTGCCCCTTAACCGCGGCATTTACCATGAATGGGAAACCAGCATATTCAGTGGGTAAATATTCCTGTCTTTATGTAGCCAGTCCCACATGGCTTGCATCCAAAGCATATCAGCTGCCTGATCTAGGGTGTTCCACATGGCATTTATAGGTAGAGTTGGACAGTCCCAATTCTCAGGGTAAAGAGACCTTATGGTGGCTTTTATCCAGTCCACCAGGCTGGCTGTTTCCTCAGGAATAACCTCCTTTGTGTCTGGATCATATATACTCATCTGTGATTGTTTAATGGTGAGCTGTGGGTCCTACATCAACCCAAACACACTGTTCCACCCTGCAACATTTAAAACCAAAAATACTGCCCCTACATTAATCACTCTCGTAATCCATTCTAACAAACGTCTCCCAGTAAGCTGACGATACTGATCTACAAAATGAAACAATTGCTTCACAATATATCATATGGTTTCAACAGTTACCTGGTTTTGCTGTTCCTTCACATTCACTACCTCCTTGGTAATCGCAGGTCTCAGAGATATTTCTGTTGTCCCTGCATAATTTTCTGCTTCGTAGGTGACTTTGAGGCTAGTGGCCTGAGCTCAGACAGACTGAAATATGAGCTTGGTCTAGCATGAAAGTCTGACCCAATATTCTCTTTTAACTTCATTTTATTTATTACAGATAACAATAACCAAGGGATTGAATATTTCACTTTTCTCTTACTATTTTACATTTCCTTATGCATTTAGCAGATCAGTTCCTGGGGAGTTTGATCCATCTCTAAATTCCACCGGTCAATTTTACCTTTTGAAACTGATGTCAACATAACTGTGGCTTCATACCATGGATGATCATGTGGACACCCAGGAATCAAAATTTTCTCATTCTCCACCCTTTTTTCCTTTCTCTCTTCAAACCACATGTTTCTGTGAGTCAGGACAATCGGCAAATTCCAGTTTTGACACAAAATGCTTAGGGAAAACACCCTTTAACCATCATTTGCCTCTACACTCACACAAAAACAATCATCAACATAGAAGACTTCTGTGATCAAATGTGTGTGGGGTTTTCCCCACACAGCAAGTAGTGAAAACAACCTGGGTGTTTTATAATTTAGTTCCATCACTATCTACACAGTAATAGTGTCAAATCTCACAAGTTGAGAGCTCAGTCCCCAAGACTGACACTTCTACACAGTAGTCAAAAGTCTGGGCTTCCAGAAATTCTGACCAACTGGCTTTGAATTAGGATTTCCATGACCCCCTCTTTAGGTTCCTTTAATTTGTTGGGGTGCCCCACAGAACTCAGGGGAACACTTACTTTGCTGGTTTATTATAAAGAATATTTCAAAAGATACGGATGAAGAGATGCATTGGGTGAGGTATGGGAGAAGGGGCATAGAACTTCCATTTCTTCTCTGGTTGTACTACCCTCCAGGAACCTGCCTGTTTTCAGCTACATGGAAGCTCCCTGAACCCTGTTCTCTTGAATTTTTATGGAAGCTTCATGACATCAGCATTTCTTCTTCTCCAGGGTATGGGGTGAGACCCTCTCATGGAAGGGTCTTAAGATTCATAATCAGAAAGTCAGAGAAACATTGGAGTTAAAGAAGGGCAGGAGAAGGGCAGAGGAGTGCCTCTGAAGTCTAACACATCCAATCTTATAACAAAAGACTAACAAGAGATATGGGAGTAATGAGCCAGGAACCATGGATGAAAACAAATATATATTATAACACCATACCCTCTTCAATGACCCTTTCAGCGATACAAACTTAAAAACAGGTACTGTGAGTGCTCATCTGACTTTTGGTTTTCTCAAAGGTGCTTCTTTTGTGTAGATAGTTGTTAAATTATGTGTTCCTGTTGGTGGGCATGAACAGTGGGGCCTTCTACCATCCTGCTCTGCCCCTTTCAATTTCTTTAAATAATACTGCACATTTTATTGTACAAGTTTGTGTTTTTGTTAGTTTTATTCCTAAGGCTTCTATTGTTTTGATGTCATTTTAGTAACAGATTTATTGACATATAATTTACATAATTTACTCATTTAAAGTGTATAGTTTGTTTTTGAAATATTCACAAATATATGCAACCATCATCATTGTTGCTTTTAAAATAGTTTTAACACTCCAAAAGATATTGCTCTCCTCATTATCAGTCAGTCTCTATTTTTCCCTCAATTCTTCTAGTCATAGCCAACCAACAATCTATTTCTCTTTTCTATAGGTTTGTTTACTTTAATGTTTTGTATTAATGGAACAATACAATATGTGCTTGTTTTTGATTGACTTTCACTTAAGATGTTTTCAGGGTTCATTTTTGTTTTAGTATATATCAATTCTTCATTTATTATATTACTAAATAACATCAGTTGTATGGATATACTACGTTTTATGTATCCATTCTTTGATTGATGGTAATTTGCTGCTTTTAACTTTTTGGCTATTATGAAAAATACTGCTATGAGCATTGGTGTAGAATTTTTGCTTGAACATAGTCTATTATTCTTTTCGATTTATACCTAGGAGTGGAATTGCAGCATCATATGGTAATGCTATGTTTAACCTTTTTTGGAACAGCCAGACTGTTCTGCATACTGTAAATACCATTATCCTTTATCTTACCATCAGTGTACGAGTGGTCTGATAAATCTGTAACCTTGACACTACATGTTATTGTTCATTTTTTATTATAATCATCCCAGTGAGTATTAAGTGATATTACATTTAGATTTTGATATTGATTTCCCTGATAACTAATAATTTCAAACATCATTTTTGTGCTTATTAGTAATTAGTGTATCTTCTTTACAGAAATATTTATGTAAATATTTTACTCATATTTTTATTAGCTATTTACATTTCATTGTTTAGTTGTAAGAGTTCTTTATGTGTTTTACTCACAAGTTCCTTATCAGATACATGTCTTGCAAATTATATGGTATACTGTGAATCTTTTATATGTTCTTGTGTTTGCCTTCGAAGCAAAACATTTTAAATTGTGATGAAGTTATATTTTTTCACCTTTTTCTTGTGCTTGGTTTTGTGTCTAAGAAATTATTACCTAACAAATATTCATGAAAACTTATGTCTTGTATGAGTTTTAGGGTTTAAGGTCTATTTCTACTGCTCCTTTATGATATAGTATCATAAAAAATACATGTTTCATTGCGATATATTGGATATTTTTCCTGCACCAGTTGAGATGATCATGTGTTTCTTTTATTTTTTTTCCTATTAATGTGGGCATTACACTGATTGATATTTGAGTGTGGAAACTGTTGTATTTCTGGTATAAATTCCACTTCATCATAGTGTGCAATCATTTTGTTATGCTGATGGATTTGTTTGCTTGTATGTTGAGAATTGTTTTATATTTATTGATAAGAGATATTGCTCTGTAATTTTCTTCTGATATCTTTGTCTGGTTTTAGTATCAAGTTACATCTGTTCTTACAAGAATGAGTTTAAAAGTTTTCCATTATTTCCTATATTTTCTGGTGGAATACAAAAAAGACATGTTAATTTTCTTTAAATAAGAAAATTCACTATGAAACTATCTAGTCTTGGGCTTTTCTTAGTTGAGAGGTTTTTGATTGCTAATTCAATTTCTGTACTTGTTAGGCCTATGTGAGTTCTCTATTTCTCCTTGATTTAGTTTTGGTTGTTTGTTTCTAGAAATTTGTTCATTTCATATAGATTATATAATTTGTTGAATTACTATTGCTCAAGATGTTCTCTTGAAATCAACCTACTTCTATAAAATTGAAAGCAATGCCTATGATTTCACTTCTGATTTTATTAATTTAAGTCATCTATCTTTTCTCAGTCCAAAGTTCTTATAAAGATTTCTCAATTTTGTTGATCTTTTAATAGAACCAATCTTGTTTTCACTGATTCTCTGTATTGCTGTTTTGATTTATTCTGTTTTATTTTTCTTCATTTTATTATTTATTATTTAATTCCTTATGCTTCTTTTGGTTTTAGTGTGCACTCCTTTTTCTAGTTTTAGAAGATGTAAAGTAAGGTTATAAATTTGAGAACTTTCTTTTTTATTTTGTTGCAGTTGCAGTAAACTGTATGGAACATAAAACATCTGATTTTTACAATTTTAAGTGTAAAACTTAGTGGTACTAATTACATTCTGTATATTGTACAATCTTTAACACCAAAATAGTCAAGATTTTTCACATATTAAACAATAATTACACATTCTTTTTCTTCTTTTCTTTTTTTTTTAAATTATACTTTAAGCTCTGGGATACATGTGCAGAATGTACGGGTTTGTTACATAGGTACACATGTGCCATGATGGTTTGCTGCACCCATCAACCCGTCATCTACATTAGGTATTTCTCCTAATGCTATCCCTCTCCTAGCCCACCCCGCCCTTAACCTGACAGGCCCTGGTGTGTGATGTTCTTCTCTCTGTGTCCATGTGTTCTCATTGCTCAAATCCCACTAATGAGTGAGAACAGGAGGTGTTTGGTTTTCTGTTCCTGTGGTAGTTTGCTGAGAATGATGGTTTACAGCTTCATCCATGTCCCTGCAAAGGACATGAACTCATCCTTTTTTATGGCTGCATAGTATTCCATGGTGTATATGTGCCACATTTTCTTTATTCAGTCTATCATTGATGAGCATTTGGGATGGTTCCAAGTCTTTGCTATTGTGAACAGTGCTGCAATAAACATACGTATGCATGTGTCTTTATAGGAGAATGATTTATAATCCTTTGGGTATATACCCAGTAATGGGATTGCTGGGTCAAATGGTATTTCTGGTTCTAGATACTTGAGATTTTGGCGATTGAGAAATCGTCAAACTGTCTTCCACAATGGTTGAGCTAATTTACACTCCCACTAACAGCATAAAAGCATTCTTACTTCTCCACATCCTCTCCAGCATCTGTTGTTTCCTGACTTTTTAATGATTGCCATTCTAACTGGCGTGAGATGGTATCTCATTGTGGTTTTGATTTGCATTTCTCTAATGACCAGTAATAATGAGCTTTTTTTCATGTTTATTGGCCATATAAATGTCTTATTTTGTGACGTGTCTGTTCATATCCTTCAGCCACTTTTTCATGGGTTTTTTTTTTTCTTGTAAATTTGTTTAAGTTCTTTGTAGATTCTGGATATTAGCCCTTTGTGAGATGGATAGATTGCAAAAATTTACTCCTGTTCTGTAGGCTGCCTGTTCACTCTGATGATAGTTTATTTTGCTGTGCAGAAGCTCTTTAGTTTAATTAGACCCAATTTATCAATTTTGGCTTTTGTTGCCATTGCTTTTGGTGTTTTAATCATAACGTATTTGTCCATGCCTATGTCCTGAATTGTATTGTCTAAGTTTTCTTCTAGGGTTATTTTTTTATGGTTTTAGGTGTTATGTTTAAGTTTTTAATCCATCTTGAGTTAATTATTGTGTAAAGTGTAAGGAAGGGGTCCAGTTTCAGTTTTCTGCATATGGCTAACCTGTTTTCCCAACACCATTTATTAAATAGGGAATCCTTACCCCATTGCCTGTTTTTGTCAGGTTTGTCAAAGATCAGATGTTTGTAGATGTGTGACGTTATTTCTGAGGCCTCTGTTCTGTTCCATGGTTCTGTATATCTGTTTTGGTATCAGTACCATGCTGTATTGGTTACTGTAGCATTGTAGTATAGTTTGAAGTCAGGTAGCATGATGCCTCCAGCTTTGTTCTTTTTGCTTAGGATTGTCTTAGCTATTCCGGCTCTTTTTTGGTTCCATATGAAATTTAAAGTAGTTTTTTAGAATTCTGTGAAGAAAGCCAATGGTAGCTTAATGGGAATAGCATTGAATCTATAAATTACGTTGGGCAGTATAACCATTTCCACGATATTGATTCTTCCTATCCATGAGCATGGAATATTTTTCCATTTGTTTGTGTCCTCTCATTTCCTTGAGCAGCGGTTTGTAGTTCTCCTTGAAGAGGTCCTTCACATCCTTTGTAAGTTGTATTCTTAGGTATTTTATTCTCTTTGTAGCAATTGTGAAGGGGAATTTGCTCATTATTTGGCCCTCTGTTTGTCTATTTTTGATTTATAGGAATGCTTGTAGTTTTTGCACATTGATTTTGTATCCTGAGACTTTGCTGAAGTTGCTTATCCACTTAAGGAGATTTTGGTCAGAGACTATGAGGTTTTCTAAATAGACTCGTCATCTGCAAACAGAAAATTTGACTTCCTCTCTTTTAATTTATATACCCTATATTTCTTTCTCTTGCCTGATTGCCCTGCCCAGAACTTCCAATACTATGTTGAATAGGAGTGGTGAGAGAGGGCATCCTTGTCTTGTGCCGGTTTTCAAAGGGAATGCTCCCAGCTTTTGCCCATTCAGTAAGATATTGGCTGTCAGTTTGTCATAAATAGCTGTCATTAATTTGAAATATGTTTCATCAATACCTAGTTTATTAAAAGTTTTTAACTTGAAGGGGTGTTGAATTTTGTTGAAGAATTTTTTTTGCATCTATTGAGATAATCATGTGGTTTTTGTCATTGGTTCTGTTTATGTGATGAATTATGTTTATTGATTTGTGTATGTTGAACCAGCCTTGCATGCCAGGGATGAAGCTGGCTTGATCATGTTGGATAAGCTTTTTAATGTGCTGCTGGATTCGGTTTTCCAGTATTTTATTGAGTATTTTTGCCTCAATGTTCATCAGGGATTTTGGCCTGAAATTTTCTTTCTTTCTTTTTTTTTTTTTTATGTTGTGTCTCTGCCAGGCTTTAGTATCAGGATGATATTGGCCTCATAAAATGAGTTAGGGAGGAGTCATTCTTTTTCTATTGTTTGTAATAGTTTCAGAAGGAATGGTGCCAGATCCTCTTTGTACCTCTGGTAATATTTAGCTGTGAATCTGTCTGGTCAAGGGCTTTTTTTTTGGTTGGTAGGCTATTAATACTGCCTCAATTTCAGAACTTGTAATTGATCTATTCAGGAATTGACTTCTTCTTGGTTTAGTCTTGAGAGGGTGTATGTGTCTGGGAATTTATCGATTTCTTCTACATTTTCTAGTTTATTTGCATATAGGTGTTTACAGTATTCTCTGATGGTAGTTTGTATTTCTGTGGGATCAGTGGTGTTATCGTCTTTATCATTTTTTACTGTGTCTACTTGATTGTTCTCTCTTTTCTTCTTTATTACTCTGGCTAGCAGGCTATTTGTTTTGTTAATCTTTACAAAAAATCAGCTCCTGGATTCATTGGTTTTTTTGAAGTGTTTTTCATGTCTCTATCTTCTTCAGTTCTGCTCTGATCTTAGTTATTTCTTGTCTTCTGCAAGATTTTGAGTTTGTTTGCTCTTCCTTCTCTATTTCCTTTAATTGTGATGCCCTTCTTTGTCTTTTTTGATCTTCTTTGGGTTAAAGTGTGTTTTATTAGAGACTAGAATTACAACCGCTGCTTTTATTTTGCTTTCCATTTACGTGGTAAATATCCCTCTATCCCTTTATTTTGATCCCATGTTTGTCTTTGCACATGAAATGGGTCTCCTGAATACAGCACACAGATGGGTCTTGACTCTTTATCCAATTTGCTAGTCTATGTCTTTTCACTGGGGCATTTAGCCTATTTACATTTAAGGTTAATATTGTTATGTGTGAATTTCACCCTGCCATTATGATGCTAGATGGTTATTTTGCTCGTTAGTTGATGCAGTTTCTTTATAGTGTTGATGGTCTTACAATTTGGTATATTTTCGCAGTGGCTGGTACTTTTTTTTTCCTCCATACTTAGTGCTTCTTTCGGGAGCTCTTGTAAGGAAGGCCTGAGGGTGACAAAATCTCTCAGAATTTGCTTGCCTGTAAAGGATTTTATTTCCTCTTCACTTATAAAGCTCAGTTTGGCTGGATATGAAATTCTGGGTTGAAAATTCTTTTCTTTAAGCATATAATATTGGCCCCCACTGTCTTCTGGCTTGTAGAGTTTCTGCAGAGGGGATCAACTGTTAGTCTGATGGGCTTCCCTTTGTGGGTAACCTGACCTTTCTCTCTGGCTGCCCTGACCATTTTTTACTCCTTTTCAACCTTGGTGAATCTGACAATTATATGTCTTGGGGTTGCTCTTCTCAAAGGATATCTTAGTGGTGTTCTCTGTGTTTCCTGAATTTGATATTGGCCTGTCTTGCTAGGTTGGGGAAGTTCTCCTGGATACTATCCTGAAGAGTGTTTTCCAACTTGGTTCCATTCTCCCCCTCACTTTCAGGTACACCAATAAAATGCAGGTTTGATCTTTTCACATAGTCCCAGATTTCTTGGAGGCTTTGTTCATTCCTTTTCATTTTTTTCTCTAATCTTGTCTTCACACTTTATTTAATTAAGATGATCTTCAGTCTCTGATATCCTTTCTTCCACTTGATCAATTTGGCAATTGATACTCGTGTATGCTTCTCGAAGTTCTTGTGCTGTGTTTTTCAGTTCCATTAGGTCATTTATATGTTTCTCTAAACTAGTTATTCTAGTTAGCAATTTTTCTAATTTTTTTTCAAGGTTCTTAGCTTCCTTGCATTGGGTTAGAACAATCTCCTTTAGCTTGGAGGAGTTTGTTATTACCCATCTTCTGAAGCCTATTTCTGTCAGTTCATCAAACTCATTCTCTGTCCAGTTTTGTTCCCTTGCTGGCGTGGAGTTGTGATCATTTGGAGAAGAGGCATTCTGGTTTTTGGAATTTTCAGCCTTTTTTGCGCTGGTTTTTCCTCCTCTTTGTGGATTTATCTACCTTTGGTCTTTGATGTTGGTGAACTTTGGATGGGGTTTCTGTGTGGATGATTTTTTTTGTTGATGTCGATGCTGTTCCTATCTGTTTGTTAGTTTTCCTTCCAACAGTCAGGGCCCTTTCCTGCAGGTCTGCTGGAGTTTGCTGGAGGTCCACTGCATACCCTGTTTGCCTGGGTATCTCCAGTGGAGGCTGCAGAACAACAAAGATTGCTACCTGTTTCTTCCTCTGGAAGCTTCGTCCCAGATGGGCACCCACCAGATGCCAGCCAGAGCTCTCCTGTATGAGGTGTCTATCAACCCCTGCTGGGAGGCATTTCCCAGTCAGGAGGCACAGGTTTGCGGGACCCATTTGAGGAGGTAGTCTGTCCCTTAGCAGAGCTAGAGAGCTGTGCTGGAAGATCCACTGCTCTCTTCAGAGCCAGCAGACAGGAATATTTAAGTCTGCTGAAGCTGTGCCCACATACGCTCCTTCCCCAAGGTGCTCTGTCCTAGGGATGTGGGAGTTTTATCTATAAGTCCCTAACTGGGGCTTCTGCCTTTCTTTCAGAGATGCCCTGCCCAGACAGAAGGAATCTAGAGAGGCAGTCTGGCTACAACAGCTTTGTGGAGCTGTGGTGGGCTCTGTCCAGTTTGAACTTCCCAGTTGCTTTGTTTACACTGTGAGGGGAAACCCTGCCTACTCAAGCCCACCGTGCTCGCTTGTCCCAGGTCGACTTCAGACTGCTGTGCTGGCAGTGAGAATTTCAAGCCAGTGGATCTTAGCTTGCTTGGCTCCGTGGAGGTGGGTTCCTCTGAGCTAGACCACTTGGCTCTCTGGCTTCAGCCCCGCTTCCAGGAGAATGTATGGTTCTGTATTGCTGGCATTCCAGACACCACTGGGATATGGAAAATACTTCTACAGCTAGCTAGGTGTCTGCCCAAACAGCTGCCTATTTTCTGTATCCATAAATTTACCTATTCCAATATTTCATATAATATAATATAATCATACAATATTTGCCCTGGTGCTTCTTGATTTTTTATGTGTTTTCAAATCATTGTCTGATGTCACTTGCTTTTAACCTGAGGAACTTCACTTATTGTTTATTGACAAATTATCTGAGATTTTATTTATATTAAAATTTCATTAGTTTTCCTTAATTTCTGAAAGATAGTTTTGCTGGATATGAGATTCCTAGTTGAAGGGTTTTATTGTCTTTCTGAAAATTGAATGTGTCATTCCAGTGCTTTCTGATCTTTATTGTTTTGGCTAGAAACCAGCTGTTAATATTTTGGGGCTTTGCTTGCATGTGAAGTATCATTTTACTTTTACTGTTTCAAGCTTATTTTTCATGTTTGATTCTCTACACATTTACTATGATATCTATGTTTTCAGATGCTCTTGAATTTATTTTAATTTTATTTTAATTTCATTGTATTGTAAGTTTTGGAATACATGTGCAGAACATCCAGGATTTTTACATAGGTAACGTGTACCATGGTGCTTTGTTACTCAGATCAACCCATCAACTAGGTATTAATCCCTGCATTCATCAGCTATTTATCCTGACGTTCTCCCTCCCACACCACAACCCCGACAGGCCCCAGTGTGTGTCGTTCCCCTTTCTGTGTCCATGTGTTCTCATTGTTCAGCTTCCACTTATAATAAGTGAGAACATGAGGTGTTTGGTTTTCTCTTCCTGTATTAGTTTGCTGAAGATATTGGCTTCCAGCTCCATCCATTTCCTTTCAAAGGACATAATCTAATTCCCTTTTATAGCTGTATAGTATTCAATGGTGTATATGTACCACATTTCCTTTATCCAGTCTATCACTGACGGACATTTGGGTTGATTCCATGTCTTTGTTATTGGGCATAGTGCTGCAACAAACATACACATGCGTGTATCTTTATAGTAGAATAATTTCTACTCCTTTAGGCATATACCCTGTAATGGGACTGTTGGATTAAATGGTATTTTCGGTTCTAGGTCTTTGAGGAATCACCATACTCTCTTTCAACCACAGTGGTTGAACTAATTGACTCTCCCACCAACAGTGTAAAAGCATTTCTATTTCTCCACAGCCTTGCCAACATCTGTTGTTTCTTGACTTTTTAATATTTGCCATTCCAACTGGTGTGGGATGGTATCTCATTGTGGTTTTTGTTTGCATTTCTCTAATGATCAGTGATGTTGAGCTTTTTTTTTTTTCATGTTTGCTGGCCACATAAATGTCTTCTTTTGAGAATATCTGCTCATATCCTTGGCCCACTTTTTATTGTTTTTTTTTTTTCTTGTAGATTTGTTTAAGTTCCTTGTAGATTCTGAATATTAGCCCTTTATGAGATGGATACATTGCAAAAATTTTCCCATTCTCTAGGTTGTCTGCTCACTCTGATTGATAGTTCCTTTTGCTGTGCAAAAGCTCTTTAGTTTAATTAGATCCCATTGGTCAATTTTTGATTTTGTTGCAATTGCTTTCAAAGTTTTTGTCATGAAATCTTAGCCCATGCCTATATCCTGAATCGTATTGTTGAGATTTTCTTCTAAGGTTTTTATAGTTTTGGGTTTTATACTTAAGTCTTTAGTCCATCTTGAGTTAATTTGGGTATAAAGTGTGTGGAAGTGTCAAGCTTCAGTTTTTGCAAGTGGCTAGCCAGTTTTCCCAGCACCATTTATTAAATAAGGAATTTTTTCCTCATTGCTTGTTTTTGTCAAGTTTGTCGAAGATCAGAGGTTTGTAGATGTGCAATCTTAGCCTTGGCATTTGTTGTGCTTCTTGGATCTTAGGTTGATTTTTTCATCAATTTTGGGAAATTTCTACCACTATTACTATTAATATCTTTTCTGCCTCTTTTTCCCCTGCTCTTCTAGCACCCACGTTACATTTGTTTTGGTGTGTTTAATTGTATCTCCTATTTTTCTCTCTGCTCTTTGGATTTCACTGTATCTATCAATCTATCTTAAGTTTACTGATTTGTCTGACAAATGGAATCTAAATTTGAGCTTCTTTAGTGATTTTATAATTTCAGTTATTATTTTTTTAACTTCAGTATTTTAATTAAAATAATTTCTATCTGTTTATTTATATTCTCTATTTAATGAAACATTATCAGAATACCTCTATTTTCTGAATTAGTATTTTTTGTCTAGCTCTTTAAATATATTTATGATTGCTGCTTTGATATCTTACAGCCAAGATACAGTCCTCTTACAGAAAGTTTCTGCTGCTTGTATTTTTTGTTTTGTATGGGTCACAATTTTTATTTATTTGTAGGTTTTATTAAATTTTGTTGAGAACAGGACATTTAGATAATATATTATAGAAACAGAATATCACCCCATTTCTGGTTTTGTTGTTGTCTTATTTGTTTAGTAACTAGCGAATATTAGTGAAATTTATTTTCCCCACAGTGTCGATCCTTTGATGTACCTCCTCAAGAGCACAGCCTTGGGCATTCACTGACTTACCCTGGGGGTAAGTATTAGCAGCAGAGTGGTTTTAGCAGGAATCTCTTTCACTGTCTCTTCCCTCGATTTGTCTGCTAAGATGTCTGCCTCTATTGGTATCACATTTGGCTGTTACCCTCCACTAAATGACATCTGACTGCTTTTGACCACTAGCTGGGTCATAAATTTCCCCACAGCTCAATCTAATTGAATTCAGGCGCCCGTGCAAGGGTAGCTGTTGAGCCTAGCCTTTGAGTTTCATTCAGACCCCACACGAGCTCTTTTTAGTTTGCTCTTTTTTTAATTTTCTTTGGTAAACCAGTTGACCTATGGTTTAGCTTGTTGCATTTTTAAAGCTACCGGCCTCCTCTTGCTTACTACCAAAATTGTTCTTAAATGTGCCCTTAGGCTTCAACTTTCTCCACACTCTTTTCCAAATAAATTCAGTTTCTTTGTAAATAACTTCACAGGTTTCTATTCTAATAGAATCTGCAGAATCTCTAAGAAAGTGCTCTGGAGCTGGTGGCAGGGACCATAGCCCACTTTTATTGGAGTGGCATTTCTGCTTTATGAACAGGGTTCTAGGTGGGGCAGTAACTTCTTGTATTCTCAGCTTGCCTTCTATCATTGAATCTCTGCCCTACAAGTTAGCTGGGAGTTGGGAAATTGGGGCCCCATGATTCTCAGCCTGTCACACCTAGGGTAAAGTTTCCATCTTGTGAGTTGGGGCTGGGTGGAGGAAAAGAGCCCCTGACTTCTCAGGAACTCTTGGCTGGTATTTAGCCTCTAAAACACAGAGATGAGAGTGAAGAGAAGTGCGAAGACCTTCTCCTTCTAGGAAGATATTATGGCAATTCTCTGGAGATAGAAAGAGGGATCCCTGTCTCCTTGGTCACCCCTACCCAGAGCGGAGTTTCTGTCATGCTAAAATTGGGAGAGGAGTAGATGAGTGGATTTGTCCATTCTCATGCTGCTAATAAAGACATACCCAAGACTTGGTAATTTATAAAGAAAAGAGGTTTAACAGACTCACAGTTTCACATGGCTAGGGGGGCCTCACAAACATGGTGGAAGATGAAGGAAGAAGAAAGGGACTTCTTACATGGCAGTGGACAAGAAAGTTTGTGCAGGGGAACTCCCATTTATAAAACCATCAGAACTCATGAGATTTATTCACTGCCATGCGAACATTATGGGGAAAACTGCTTCCATGATTTAATGATCTCCACGTAGTCCCACCCTTGACACGTGGGGATTCTTACAATTCAAGGTGAGATTTGGGTGGGGACACATCCAAACCATATCAGTGTGAGTGAATGGACCAAGACTCGAGTGCCATAGACTCTACTCTTAACAATATTTAGTTACTCCACTTGCTGTATGTTATTGGGACACTTTCTGATGGCTTTAAGTAATTACTGTTTTTTTCTATGTCATTATTTTTCAACTTTATCATCCAATGTCTTCATCCTTTGATTAAATATTAGCAATGGTTTTCTGACTTGTTTCCTTGCCTCCAATCTCTCACCTCTCTAACCAGAGGTATCTTCCTTGTATCAAATCTGAAAACATCAGTTCACTTGGTCACTTCAGACATTATAATGTTTCCTCATTATATAACAGATAGAGTTGAAACTCCATAATGTGCCATTTCAGGCCTCTGTTATTTGATCTATAACCACCTTTCTGTCCATATGTACACCATTTTGTAGCCATAATTAACTATATCCTGAACATGCCATCACTTGTCTTATCTTTGAGCCTTTGCTTATGCTATTTCTTCCACCTAGGATGATATTAACCCACGTTTTTCTCTGCCTGTGAAATTTGCCGATACTTGAAGGCATGTGTTTATGTTACCTTAACAGTGGAACTATTCATGATTTCTCTTCCGAAAGAACTAATCTCTCTTTTCTTTTTGTTCTCTCAACACCTTTCTCATATTTATAATTAACACTTATTTACTTTGTGTTGTTAAATGTGTTTACAAGTCTGTCTGTTAAAGACTGTGTGCTCATTGAGGATGGGAACTGTATTCTTGTGTGTTTTTCATGACTTACATGGTGCATAATATAGCATAGGTGCTCAATACGTTTTAAATCAATGGCATAATCAAAATAAATATTTTATGAGTTAAATAACTGGTGATACTGATTCCGGGGTAACTTTTAGTGTTTATTTTCTCTTATTCCATTTTCTCAAATCTTCCAGGGAAGATCTAAACAAACTCTAAAAGTTAGCCTGACTTGCAGCTCGGGCTGCCCAAATCATAGTTGCTATGGCATTAATTTTATGATATTAATTTTAGCAGGGACTTTCTCTAGCCTTACAAAGCATTGTGAATTTTTGTGGACTGTGAATGTGTTTTGTGTGTATTTATGTGTTTGAGTCATGTAAGTGTGTACTGTGTGGTGGTATTGAAACAGGAGGAGGTGAAGTTGTTTTTCCATCTACTTAGCTATCCAAATCACCCAGAAATGCTTTTCTAGCTTTCTAGCTTTTTGTTCTACTTCATTTTTAATATATTTTTGTTGCTTTTTAATTGTTCTTAATGGAAATTTTGAAAATTTTACTTTTATTTTGTTAGTTGTGGTAGTTTTCATTAACTCGGCAGTATTCATTTATTGGCTTCTTTTTTGAGGTAGCTCTTAACTACAACTCCCCAAAATCCTCTTGGAGAATAATTAATTCTAATGGAGCATGATGTTTCCCTGTAATTTCTCATTTTATACTCAGTGATACAGACAAGTGGGGGGCAATTCAGAACTTGTTTGTTCATGGCTGCATGAAGGGTCATTAACTAAGTAAATCTCTCCACTGTGTTCTTGAAAGCTATTGGCAATATAGCCCCTGGTTGGCAAAGCTGGGATCCAAGGCTTCTCATGCCCAGTTCTTCAGGAAACTGAGTATAGGTCCCCTCTGGAGCTTCTGTTTTTCTGCCTTGCAGGGTTCCTGAAGGCAGGTAGAATAGAGACTGCCATCCAGCCAATGAGCTTGCCCACACTTGTCAGCACTCTGCTGTTTTTGGATGAGATTCATGGCAATCTCATAATCTATGAAAGATTCTGAAGCATAATGGAAAGAATATTGGAACTTCAGTTAGCCAGACTTAGTCTCTGGCCCTGATTTGCCTCTGCTATTTATTAGCTATATGTCCTTGAGTAACTCTCTTGACCTTCCTGGAATTCTATTCTTTCACTGAACTAAAACTTAATGAGACTTAGGGTGCATGAAGGGAAAATTAATATGAAGTGGAAGTGAGGACAGAAGTTACTAAAATTGATTGAGTACTTATTATATGCCAGGTACTATGTTTGTAGTTTATGTAAATTTATCTTATTTAATTCTCCATAAGAGTTGGTGATATAGGAGACATTATTTTTATGTGACATATAAAGAAACTGATGCTCAAAGAGATGAAACACTTGGCTTAAATATCACATGACAGGTGAGTAGCAGAGATACAATTTGAATGGAGAACTATCTAAAACCAAACTCCATATTCTTTCCATTGCATTTTTATGCTTGGTTCCTTTTGCTAGTCCTGCTCAATGCCAGTAGTCTTCCATACAGACAGGTTGATGGGGCCCAACTTGTTGCTATAGTTTCTACAGACCCCATTTGAAGAACTCAACAATTTATCCAATGCTGGAGGCAAAATAAGTGAATGTCGAAGCATCTGAATAACCATTTAAAGATTTGGGAGGTATGTTTTGATAGAATCCACTTCCCCAATGACTTGGAAGAAATCCTTCCTTTGAACTGGACTGTCTCATCACCATGGGCTCCTGGGAAATTTCTCAATGAGCCACCTAAGATTTTACCAATAGAGGAAAAGATGTGGGATACACTACTGAATCTGCACTAGACCGTAATCCTGAGCAGCCTGGTGAGGTCAACCTCTTCACCAATCTGAGGAGCATGGATCCCATGTCATTCCGTCATTCCCATCTTCAGACCATTAAACTTTGGGGGAAAAGTGGCTTACTGGTGATGTTTTCCCTTTTTCAACATCTCTAGCTTTTGGCATTAAATGCTGCAGAATCACTTCGACTGTGGTGTAAATTCTGTGTCCCTGTTCTACTGGAGACCATCCAGAGCCTCTTCTACTGGATATTGATCCTAATAATCACCCCAGTTGCCATCATTATCACACCAGTGGTATTTCAGCCCCCTCAACAAGCTGAGATCAGTTGATAAATTCAAAAGTGCACGTGCCTTATACAATGTTAATATGGGAGTTATATGGAACACTGTCTTAGAAGCTTAAAAATCCTTCACAGATCCAGAAAATTACATATGTTCTCATCATTTCTGATAGCTTACAGTCAAGTTCCAAATAGGTCAGATGTCTTCTCTCCCCATCACCCTGTAATTTTGATCCAGAAGATTATCTTTTAAGCCAATAGCTGTCACACTAGATTGAATGTGGATATTCAACCCAGAACTTTAGGCTTGCTCATGTTCTACTACTTGGCAGGGCAGAGAAGGAAGCTGGGTTTCCTACCAATGGTGATAGCCAGAGAAACAGCAGGTGTAGCTTCTCTGGTGTTGGCCTGAAGGTGACATAAATGGCCTTTAAGAGATGAGTTCTTTTTGCTCAGAAGCTTCAAATTTGTTCTCCCCACTGCCTTCTTCCTCCATTCCCCCAAAAAAACCTACTATATTTTACATTTCCAAAACATCATTCTTTCCCTTATTGTCAATGTCTTCAGTTTGGCTGATTTCCAGCAAAGATGCCTCTCACCTAACTGGGCCTTTCCCCAGCCATGTAGACATTGTCTTGGAAGCACACGTACACACTCAAACAACTTAATTTAAATTAGGTTACCAGCAGTGTAATTATGGACAAGCTACTGGACACTTTTTGCCTGAGCTCTCCATCAGTAAAATAAAAATAGTTTACCTCATAGGGTTATTATGCTTGTTACAACATTATGAGTGTTAAAATCCAAGCATAATGTCAGGTTCTTAACCTTTTCTTCTCTTACTCCTGTTATACTTCCTCTTCCTTCCTTTCTTTCTGTAAACCAGAAACCACAATATAAGTGATCTGTTTAGACTTTTTTCTCTTTTTGCTAGAGGAAAGAGGCTGGGAACTTCTTGCTGATACTTCTTCAGCAAGTGCCTGAAGAAAATGTTCATAATAGACTTGAATAAAGTCTTAGGGTCTCACTCATGAGTAGTACAGACCCAAATGTAAATCAGTAGCCTTTTCAAAATAAAGACAAACATCAAAGATTAGTTAATTAATGAATTTGTATTGAGCAATTACTGTTGATATGTTCAGTGTTAGGCAACAGAAGAAGGTAAAGCCTTTGCTCTATTCCTTTGAGAAAGACAAAAAATGTATGAAGACATTGAGGGAAAGGCCAATGTATGGTTATTTGTGTGTTGTACTGCATCATAGAATGATAGATACTCATAGCCAGAAAGAGCTTCTACGATGTACCTGTCACTGTATCTCATTTACACCTCAGAACAACTCTGCAGTGCAAGCACCGTATTAGTACCTAGAGTACATAAGGAACCTTTCAAATTTTCACCATGATAAAGGAAGGATTTGAACCCAGCTATGTCTAGCTTTCAAACCTGTCATAGTACTACTGCACTACAGAGCTTCCAAAGCATAAGGTGGGCTGGAACATTTTGAGAACTCTATGAAAGAACTGTATGCCTTTCACATCCTTTTAATTGCTGGCCTCAGCAATTATGTCATCTATCGTAAATGATTTGTATGTGTCTTATACATTATTACATGCAGAAACTTGTTGTAAATTGTAAATATTCTAACTTAGATCATTTCACACATTACTTCTCTTGTTGAATGAGCCTAGACTATGCTTTATACCTGAGAACAATATGAAGATATTTATTTGATCAGTCTTAGATTTTGATTCTTTGTTAAGTGTATCCATTGTTGTCAACCCTAGCCATGTGACTTGCCATGTAAATAATCCCATGGAAATGTTAGTAAGACAGCCTTGGAAATATTTTTTCATTAAGTGGCTGTTTGTCTTGTATTGTTTCCTGTCTAGTTCATGTCTTTCAACTTTCTTTCCCTTTGTTCCTCCCACCGTCTGACTCTGCTTACAAAGATGTACACAGTTGATGGTGGACATGTGAAAGATAGAAAAATGTCAGGAGAAAATGGATTTTGGATGGACTGGTGGGGTGACACTGACTTGTGCTCTCTCCTCCATTTTATTCCTAATTTCCAGAGAGAACTATTTTCCTGTAAACTGTCATTGCTTCTTTTGCCTCATGTCACTCCCATCTCAGCAAAACATTTCTGCTGTAATTACTTGTATGTCAAATTAAATGTATCACAGCAAAGCTTCTTGCTGCATTTCTTGTGGCAGAGAAAGAGAGAGATAGAGAGAGAGATGGCAAGAGGTATGAGGGAAATGGAAGGTCCCCGTGGACTCAGTGTGGAAACACCAGTTATCCATAACACTTTCTTTAACTGTACAGGAAGGAATGGCAGAGAGGTTGGGTGAAATCCACTTAGTCTGTTTTGCAATAAATTCAGCATTCTATCGCTTTGCAGTGAGTAAGGAGTTAAGAGGGTTAGCAGGGATGCATTCTTATTTTCAGTTTAAGTACAAAGTATCCATGGAAGTTTTACAACAAATTGGAAAGATGAGGCAACACACACGTGAGACAATAAAGTGATATCAGGCAGCCTAGGAGTAGATGTAAAGGCTGCTGACAGCCTTTGCAATCTTGAAGGCTCTGGAGAGAGTGCACTACATGTTAGCTGGGGTGAGGAAAATGGCTTACTAGATAGAAAAGTGTTCCAGCTAGGGCTGAAAGGAAGCATTTGGAAAGTCAGTGCAGTGGTTGACATTTCAGGGCAGGGAAATGGAGAATCTCAGCAGAGTCAAAGGCTGTACAAGCGATGGCTGAAGTTTCTAAGTAGGCTGAAGACTGATAGACCAATACTGGGACAGGCCCAGCTAGCTTTTGATAGTGGGAGTTATTATTGTTATTATCAATGATCACAACTGACTATTTTGTACATACAAGGAACTGTGCTAGATGTTTCACATATTTTCACTTTAATTTCATGAGGGTGATGAACCTGATTTCTCTCCATTTTACAGATAAGCAAAATGAGGATCAGAAAGGTGCAGATACTTTTCCAAGGTTTTTTAGCTTAGTAGAAAAACAGTCTTGAAACTCAAGTAACCCTAATCTATCTGACTTAAACTAATCTAGGTGGAAAAATCTCACAATGTCACTCTTTAAAGAACTGTTACCTTCTACACTGGAAAATATGGATGCAGGTAGCTTGGCTCAAAATCTCTTGAGGGGTCTTAGAAGAGCCTGACATGCTGCATAAAAGGAGTTTCTGCTTCTCAAATCTAGTCTCCTCTCCCAGATAGATTGGTACAGGGACCCATGACATCGGCTCAGAAATACTTCTGGTCCACTGTTTGTTTTGTACACACAGCCCAGAATGTCTCCAGGCATACGCTGCTGCTTTCACTCAGAAAGCAAAGTTTGTACCTGGTAATAAACATTGGGGTCTGAGGGGTTTGCAGTTAATTGGTTGGATCATTCTTCATTTGTAATCTATAGAAGTTTTGAGAGTGAGGGAGAGTACTGTAATACATGTGCTGGGACAAGTAAAGTAAGAAACTGTCTTTGAGAAAACTAGGAAATATGGGCATCCTACTTTTGTCTCGGCCTTTCTTCTGTCATCAGCTCATTGCATGACTTGGTCTTTTTTCACCTTCAGGCTGACTTGATACTTCCTGAAAGAGGTCTTCCATGCCTGCTCTGAATAGGCACCATACTCTCCCCTTACAATTATTTTATATTACTGTGTTCTATTTATTTACATTTTACAACTTATGAAAATCTGTATTTATATGTTTATTTGTTTAATTATTTAATGCTTGTCTCCAACACTAAACTATAAATTCAAGAGAGCAGGGGCCTCGTCTGCTTTACTTATAAATATACACCTAGTGTACAGCATAATGCCTGGCACATAGCAATAATAAGAATTAATATTAATTAAAGAAGTAGAAGTATGTTTGTGTCAAAGAGACCAAACAATTTCGACGGTTGAATAATTCCAGCTATACAGCATGAAGGAGAGAAAGGAGGGCACAGTAGTTCCTCCATGTCTAAAGACTTCAGGTCAACTAGGATGTGGTCCCCTTTAAGAAAACTGCCTCCTAAGTGCCCAGCCAATAAGGTGGCAAATTTTAGATGAGACAGATTTCATCTTCTCTCAGTGCCCCCTTTGGCTGCTCCAAGCATAGGGTTTGGAACAACAAGAGGGGATAACCCAAAGCTATTTGCATAGGTGACTAAAGGATAAAACTAAATGGGCCAGGCATGAGGATCTTGAAGTATTTATCCAATTCTGCCTTGAGAGCTCTGTTCAGGTTTAGAAGCTTTCCTGAGCATATACATATCTGTACCTGTGCTTAGGACTAGGACAAGGGGAGGACACCATAACACTGTTATTTCTTCAACAGCTTCATTGTGTTACATTAGCTTCCTTTTGTTGGAGGGATGGTGTGGTTGAATACTCAGAGTAAGAGGGAAAGTGAATAGAATCAGCTGATATGCATTTTTAGCTCTCTATCTTCCAGGTCCACTTCTTGTCATCTTCTTTCCATAAACCTGAGCATATCATACCTGGCCTCATTCATACCAGGACAGCATCAGCTCACTCCTTAGCAAAATTTAGGGTGTATGGGAAGCTTGGGACCATGAGAAGGAATAGAATTGAAGAGATGAGTAATATGGGGTAGGGTCACTTGGCCAACTGATAAACTTGTATATTAATTTTATATTATGCCCCCCTTTTTAAGTCAGTGAGTTGGGCTTCATTTCTTCCCAAGGCCATGCACACTTTTAAGAAAAGTGTGCATACTTGAGAAAAAAATCTAACTGTATTTTCAATGCAATTTCTTTTATTTATTTATTTATTTTATTATACTTTGAGTTCTAGTGTATGTGTGCACAACATGCAGGTTTGTTACATATGTATACATGTGCCATGTTGGTGTGCTGCTCCCATTAACTTGTCATTTAACATTAGGTATATCTCCTAATGTTATCCCTTCCCCCTTCCCCCTTCCCCCACCCCACAACAGGCCCTGGCGTGTGATGTTCCCCTTCCTGTGTCCAAGTGTTCTGATTATTCAATTCCCACCAATGAGTGAGAACATTCTGTGTTTCGTTTTTTGTTCTTGCAATAGTTTGCTGAGAATGATGGTTTCCAGCTTTACCCATGTCCCTACAAAGGACATGAACTCATCCTTTTTTATGGCTGCATAGTATTCCATGGTGTATATGTGCCACATTTTCTTAATCCAGTCTATCATTGTTGGACATTTGAGTTGGTTCCAAGTCTTTGCTATTGTGAATAGTGCTGCAATAAACATACGTGTGCATGTGCCTTTATAGCAGCATGATTTATAATCCTTTGGGTATATACTCAGTAATGGGATGGCTGGGTCAAATGGTATTTCTAGTTCTAGATCCCTGAGGAACCGCCACACTGTCTTCCACAATGATTGAACTAGTTTACAGTCCCACCAACAGTGTAAAAGTGTTCCTATTTCTCCACATCCTCTCCAGCACCTGTTGTTTCCTGACTTTTTAATGATCGCCATTCTAACTGGTGTGAGATGGTATCTCATTGTGATTTTGATTTGCATTTCTCTGACGGCCAGTGATGATGACCATTTTTTCATGTGTTTTTTGTCTGCATAAATGTCTTCTTTTGAGAAGTGTCTGTTCATATATTTCGCCCACTTGTTGATGGGGTTGTTTGTTTGTGTTTTTTTGTTTTTTTTTTTTTGTAAATTTGTTTCAGTTCTTTGTAGATTCTGGATATTAGCCCTTTGTCAGATGAGTAGATTGCAAAAATTTTCACCCATTCTGTAGGTTGCCTGTTCACTCTGATCATAGTTTCTTTTGTTGTGCAGAAGCTCCTTAGTTTAATTAGATCCCATTTGTCAATTTTGGCTTTTGTTGCCATTGCTTTTGGTGTTTTAGACATGAAGTCCTTGCCAATGCCTATGTCCTGAATGGTATTGCCTAGGTTTTCTTCTAGGGTTTTTATGGTTTTAGGTCTAACATTTAAGTCTTTAATCCAACTTGAATTAATTTTTGTATAAGGTGTAAAGAAGGGATCCACTTTCAGCTTTCTACATATGGTTAGCCAGTTTTCCCAGCACCATTTATATAGGGAATCCTTTCCCCATTGCTTGTTTTTGTCAGGTTTGTCAAAGATCAGATGGTTGTAGATGTGTGGTATTATTTCTGAGGGCTCTGTTCTGTTCCATTGGTCTATAACTCTGTTTTGGTAGCAGTACCATGCTGTTTTGGTTACTGTAGCCTTGTAGTATAGCTTGAAGTCAGGTAGCGTGATGCCTCCAGCTTTGTTCTTTTGGCTTAGGATTGTCTTGGCAATGCGGGCTGTTTTTTGGTTCCATATGAACTTTAAAGTAGTTTTTTCCAATTCTGTGAAGAAAGTCATTGGTAGCTTGATGGGGATGGCACTGAATCTATAAATTACCACGGACAGTATGGCCATTTTCACGATATTGATTCTTCCTACCCATGAGCTTGGAATGTTCTTCCATTCGTTTGTAACCTCTTTTATTTTGTTGAGCAGTGGTTTGTAGTTCTCCTTGAAGATATCTTTCACATCCCTAGTAAGTTGGATTCCTGGTATTTTATTCTCTTTGAAGCAATTGTGAATGGGAGTTCACTCATGATTTGGCTCTCTGTTTGTCTGTTCTTGGTGTATAAGAATGCTTGTGATTTTTGCACATTGATTTTGTATCCTGAAACTGCTGAAGTTGCTTATCAGCTTAAGGAGATTTTGGCCTGAGATGATGGGGTTTTCTACATATACAATCATGTCATCTGCAAACAGGGACAATTTGACTTCCTCTTTCCCTAATTGAATACCCTTTATTTCTTTCTCCTGCCTGATTGCCCTGGCCAGAACTTCCAACACTATGTTGAATAAGAGTGATGAGAGACGGCACCCCTGTCTTGTGCCAGTTTTCAAAGGGAATGCTTCCAGTTTTTGACCATTCAGTATGATATTGGCTGTGGGTTTGTCTTAGATAGCTCTTATTATTTTGAGATACGTCCCATCAATACCTAATTTATTGAGAGTTTTTAGCATGAAGCATTGTTGAATTCTGTCAAAGGCCTTTCCTGCATCTATTGAGATAATCATGCGGTTTTTGTCTTTGCTTCTGTTTATATGCTGGATAATGTTTATTGATTTGCGTATATTGAACCAGCCTTGCATTCCAGGGATGAAGCCCACTTGATCATGGTGGATAAGCTTTTTGATGTGCTGCTGGATTCGGTTTGCCAGTATTTTATTGAGGATTTTTTTCATCGATGTTCATCAGGGATATTGGTCTAAAATTCTCTTTTTTTGTTGTGTCTCTACCAGGCTTTGGTATCAGGATGATTCTGGCCTCATAAAATGAGTTAGGGAGGATTCCCTTTTTTTCTATTCATTGGAATAGTTACAGAAGGAATGGTACCAGCTCCTCCTTTTACCTCTGATAGAATTTGGCTGTGGATCCATCTGGTCATGGACTTTTTTTGGTTGGTAAGCTATTAAGTATTGCCTCAACTTCAGAGCCTGTTATTGGTCTATTCAGAGATTCAACTTCTTCCTGGTTTAGTCTTGGGAGGGTGTATGTGTCGAGGAATTTATCCATGCTATATTTTATTATGAACGTTCTCCTGATAAAAAGGCAATGACAGATCCAGGCCCAATATCCCCCACTTATAAACATTCAGAGGTATTAAAATAGATTGTTTCTTGCAAAAGTTTATGTTTAAAATCAAGAAAAACTTTTCTCAGTGAATCTCCAGTGGACTTCTCGTGTCTAACTGACCAGTTTTTTCTTACATGCCAATACCTAAACAAATCATTGACAAAAATATGTGTCCTCATGATTGGCTTAACTCCATTAAGATTTATTCCATAAGGCTGTTGAGAGCACCATCCCTTGAAACACATGAAATAAAAGTATTTAAAAAAATCAGAATTATTTTACCCAAAAAGTGGGTAATGGCTCTTAAGTAGGCACACAACTGTATTTACTACACAGGGCACAATAAAATTACAGCCATGGCAGCCCACAGCTACAATAGGCTGTCTAATAAGAAGTAGCAAAATTTCAAAATGAAGGAGCCAGTTGTTCCTCTAGGTGGGCAGTGATAATAACCAGCAAAGCAAACAAGTGACACTGGGAAGTGGCAGCATAAGGTAGGAATTCAAAGCATGGAATATGAAATCAGACAGATTTAGTCTCAAAATCCAGCCCTTTATTAGTAGCTGCATAACTAACATGTCATTTACCTCTTCTCTATATTAGTCCCCTTTATTTATAAAAATGAGAAGACAATCAGTTTACCTGTCCCAGAAAGTGTTTTAGATCATTTATTAAGATAACTGTGAATAAAGGTTGCTATTTCCATATACAAAGTAAATGCTCAAGACCTATTTTTGTTTTGTTTAGTTGTATTTTTTCCTGTGGATACCACCACTATTATTCTATGGAAAATCCATCAATTTGAAGTTGAAAAGCAAAAGTCTAGTCTACTTGAGGTCACAGATGAAATAAAGTGGATATAAAGGCGTTCTGCAGATAATGAAATAAAGACGCGAGAAAGGAAATAAATTAGAAAACCATTATCCAAAAACAACAACAGTAGGTCACAATCGTCCTTATTGTAAAAGTTAATGGATGACCTCATCATGATGGTGGAATAGTGCAATGGTGTGAATGTTTGTGTCCTCCCTTCCCAAAATTTACAAATCAAAACCTAATCTCCAATGTAATAGTTTCAGAAAATGGTGTTTTAAGAAATTATTAGGTCATGAGGGCACAGCCCTCTAGAGTGGGATTTGTGACCTTATTAATAAAAGATTCCAGAGAGATAGCTAGCTCCTTCTACTGTGTGAAGACACAGGTAGGAGTTGCCAACTATGAGGCAGAAGGCCTTCACTAGACATAAAATCTACTGGCAACTTGATCATGGGCTTCTCAGCCTCCAGAATTGTAAGCAATATATTTCTGTTGTTTATAAGTTATCAAGTCTCAGATATTTTGTTATAGCAGCCAGGATGAACTGAGGAAACTAGGGAATTTCAGAAATTCAAACTCTTTGTCATTCTATGAATACATATTTTTTATAAATCTGAAGACTTTCTAGAGCTTCTTTAAAGGAGCTCTAGAAAACAGTAAAAAAGAACTACAACAACTGATAAGGTTTGGCTCTGTGTCCCAAACCAAATCTCATCTTGAATTTTTCCCCTTAATTCCCATGTGTTGTGGGAGGGACCCAGAGGGAGATAATTGAGCAGTTTCTCCCATACTGTTCTCCTGGTAGTAAGTAAGTCTCACAAGATCTGATGTTTTTTTAAGGGGTTTCTGCTTTCACTTCCTCCTCATTCTCATCTCTTGTCTGCCACCATGTGAGATGTGCCTTTCATTTTCTGCCATGATTGTGAGGTCTCCCCAGCCATGTGTAACTGTAAGTCCATTAAACCACTTTTTTTTGTAAATTGCTCAGTCAGTGGTATGTCTTTATCAGCAGCATGAAAATGCACTAATACAGTAAATTTGTACTAGTAGTGTGGGGTACTGCTGAAAAGATACCAGAAAATGTGGAAGTGACTTTGGAACTGGGTAATGGGCAAAGTGGAGTTTTACCTCAGGTCTGACATACAGTGGGTTCAGTGTGCCCCAGACTCATCCTGTGGTCTTTGCCCCAGTGCCAGAATGCATAATTGGCATGGACATACTTAGCAGCTGACAGAATCCCCACATTGGCTCCCTGACTAGTAGAATGAGGGCTACTATGGTGAGAAAGGAAGCCATTAGAGCTGCCTCTACTTAGAAAAATAGTAAATCAAAAACAATATCACATCCCTGAAGGAATTGTGGAGATTAGTGCCACCATCAAGAACTTGAAAGCGGTAGAGGTGGTGATTCCCACCACATCACTCTTCAACTCTCTTATTTAGCCTTTGCAGAAGGCAGATGCATCTTGGAGAATTACAGTAGATTATCATAAGCTTCCCCAAGTGGTGACTCCAATTGCAGATGCTGTACTAGATGATGTGGTTTCATTGCTTGAGCAAGTGAACACATCTCCTGGTACCTGGTATGCAGACATTCACTTGGCAAATGCTTTTTTTCTCCATTTCTGTCCAGAAGGCCCACCAGAAGCAATTTGGCTTCAGCTGGCAAAGCCAGCAATATACCTTTACTGTCATACCACAGGGTTATATCAACTCTCTAGCTTTGTGTCATACTCTTATTCAGAGAGAATTTGATTGCTTTTCACTTCCACAAGATATCACACTGGTCCATTACATTGATGACATTATGTTGATTGAATCCAATGAGCAAGAAGTAACACATTAAATTTATTGGTGACACATTTACATGACAGAGGATTGGAAATAAATCTGACTAAAATTCAGGGACCTTCTAACTAGGTAAAATTTGTAGGGGTACAGTTAAATGGGGACTGTGGAGGTATTTCTTCTAAGGTAAAGGATAAATTGCTGCATTTGTCCTAGAACCAGAAAGAGGCACAATGCTAGTGGGCATATTTGGATTTTGAAAGAAACACATTACTCATTTGGGTGTGTTACTCTGGTCCATTTATTGAGTGGCCTGAAGGGCTGACACTTTTAAGTGGGGACTCAGAACAGAAGAGTACTCTGCAACAGGTCCAGGCTGCTGTGCAAGCTGATCTCCTACTTGGGCCATATGACCAAGCAGATCCAATGGTGCTTGAGGTGTCAGTCACAGATAGGAATGCTGTTTGGAGCCTCACGCAGGCTCCCATAGGTGAATCACAGCAGAAGCCTCTAAGGTTTTGGAGCAAGGCCCTGCTGTCTTCTGCAGATAACTACTCTTTTTTTTTGAGAGACAGCTTTTGGCCTGTTACTGGGCTTTGGTAGAAACTGAATGTTTGACTATGTGTATTCAAGTCAGTATGCAAACTGAACTGCCTATATTGAACTGGGTGTTTTCTGACCCATCTAGCCATAAAGTGGGTTCTTCACACAAACATTCCATCATGAACTGGAAGTGGTATATATGTGTTTGGTCTTGAGCAGGTCCTGAAGACACAAGTAAGTTACACGAGAAAATGTCTCAAATGTCCATAGGCTCCACTCCTGCCACCGTGTCTTCTCTTCCCGAGCCTGCACTGAAGGCCTCATAGGGACTTCCCTATGATCAGTTGATGGAGAAAGAGAAGACTAGGGCCTGGTTCACAGATGGTTCTGCACGATATGTAGGCACCACCCAAAAGTGGGCAGCTGCAGCACTATAGCCCCTTTCTAGGACATCCCTGAAGGACAGCAGTGAAGGGAAATCTTTCTAGTGGGCAGAACTTCAAGCAGTGCACCTGGTTGTGTACTTTCCATGGAAGGATAAATGACCAGATGTGTGATTACGTACTGCTTCATGAGCTGTAGCCAAGTGTTTGGCTGGATGGTCAGGGACTTAAAAGATGCATGATTGAAAAATTGATGACAGAGAAATTTGTGGAAGATATATGTGAATCGACCTCCCTGAGTGGTCAAAAACTGTGAAGATATTTGTATTGCATGTGAGTGCTCACCAACAGGTGACCTCAGCAGAGGAGGAGTTTAATAATCAAGTGGACACTACACAGCCTCTTTCCCCAGCCACCCCTGTCATCGCCCAATGGACCCATGAACAAATTGGCCATGGTGGCAGGGATGGAAGTTACACATCGGCTCAGAAACATGGACTTCCACTCACCAAGGCTGACCTGGGTACGGCCACTGCTGAGTGCCCAATTTGCCAGCAGCAAAGACCAACACTGAGCCCTCGATATGACACCCCTCCTCGGGGTTATCAGCCAGCTACCTGGTCGCAGGTTGATTATATTGGACCTCTTCCATAATGGAAAGGGCAGAGTTTTGTCATCACTGGAATAGACACTTAACTCCAGATATGGGTTTGCCTATTCTGCATGCAATGCTTTTGCCAAAACTACCATCTGTGGACTCATGGAATGCCTTATCCACTGTCATGGTGTTCCACACAGCATTGCCTCTGATGAAGGCACTCACTTTAAGGCTAAAGAAGTGCAGCAGTGGGCTCATGCTCATGGAATTCACTGGCCTTACCATATTTCCCATTATCCTGAAACAGCTGGATTGATAGAATAGTGGAATGGCCTTTTGAACTCATAATTACAATCCCAAGTAGGTGACAATACTTTGCAGGGCTGGGGAAAAGTCCTCCAGAGAGCCATGTATGCTTTTAATTGGCTTTCAATGTATGGTACTGTTTCTCCCATCGCCAGGATTCACAGGTCCAGGAATCAAGGGGTGGAAGTGGAAGAAGCACCATTCACTATGACCTCTAGCGATCCACTAGCCAGTTTTTTTTGCTTCCTGTTCCAGTGACATTACGTTCTGCTGTGACTAGATTCTTAGTTCCAGAGGGAGGAATACTGCAACCAGGAGACACAACAATGATTCCATTATACTGGAGGTTAAGATTGCCACCTGGACACTTTGGGCTCCTCCTACCTGGAAGTCAACAGGCTAGGAAGGGAGTTACAGTGTTGACTGGGGTGATTGACCCAGACTCTCAAGATGGAATCAGTCTAGTACTCCACAATGGAGATAAGGAAGAGAATACATGGAATATATGAGATCCATAAGGGCATCTCTTAATACTACCATGCCCTGTGATTAAGGTCAATGGAAAGCTACAACAGTCCAATCTAGGAAAGACTACAAATGGCCCAGGCCCTTCAAGAATGAAGATTTGGTTCACTTCACCTGAAAATAAAATGACCTGCTGAGGTGCTTGCTGAAGGCAAAGGGTTACAGATTGGGTAGTACAAGAAGGCAGTCATCAATATCAGCTATGACCACGTGACTAGCTGCAGAAATGAGGACTGTGATTGTCATGAGTATTTTCTCTTTCTTTAGTTAAAAACAGGTTTGTGCATGTATGTACACTTATACTAAGAAAATATCTTTTTATTTTCTTTATCCTTTGTCATGTGACATAAGATTAATTGATGTTGTATCAACATGAAAGTATTGTTAAGTTTATGTTATAGTATTTGGGTTGGATATTGGTGTATTTTTGGTTGTATGAAGGATAGTTGTATGTTGTTTGGTGTAATTATGACATTATTATTGTATTTATTTGAAGATTATGTATGATCTGAGGAGATATGTATGGGTTCAAGTTTACAAGAGTTGTACTTGTGGTGGTTAATACTGAGTGTCAACTTGATTGGGATAAAGGATGCAAATTATTGTTCATGGGTGTGTCTGTGAGGGTGTTGCCAAAGGAGATTAACATTTAAGTCAGTGGGCTGGGAAAGGCAGACCCACCCTTAATCTTGGTGGGCACGATGTAATCAGCTGCCAGCATAGCTAGAATATAAAACAGGCAGAAAAACGTGAAAAGATTAGACTGGCCTAGGCTCCCAGCCTACACCTTTTTCCCGTGTTGGATGCTTCCTGCCCTCAAACACTGGACTCCCAGTTCTTCAGTTTGGGACTTGGAAAGGCTTTCCTGGATCCACAGCTTGCAGATGGCCTATTGTGGAATCTTTTGATCATGTGAGTTAATACTTAATGAACCCCACTTTGTATCTATCTATGTATATCCTATCAGTTCTGTCTCTGTAGAGAACAATAACTAATACAGAGGGGTTTAATAGCAGATTTGAATAGGTGGAACAAAGGATCAGCAAACCTGAAAAGAGCCTAAGAAACATTGAAACACCATCAAGCAGACCAATATACACATTATACATGTTTTAGGAGTAGAAGAAAGAGAGAAATGGGAAGAGGTTTTAACTGAAGAAATAATGGCTGAAAATCTTCCATATTTGAGGAAGGATATAGATCTACAAATCCAATAAGTCTAACCAGCTGCAAGTGGAATGAAAGAGAAATATTCACACTAACACATATTATGATCAAATTGTCAAAAACCAAAGTCAAAGAGACAATTTTAAATGCATTGAGAAACAAAAATGACTCATTAAGTATAAAAAATCTATATAATGCTCTTAGTAGATTTCCCATCAGAAATCTGCAAGGCCAGAAGGCAGTGGGATGATATATTTAAAGTGCTGAGAGTAGAAAACAACTGTCAACTAAGAATTTTATATCTGAAAAGAATTGTTCTACTAAAATGGAGCATAAACTGATAACTTCCCAGATAAACAAAAGCTGGGGGATTTTATTGCCACTAGACATACCATGTATGAAATCATAAAGGGAGTAATTGAAGTTAAAATTAAAGGACATTAGACAGTAATGAATCAATATGAAAATATAAAGTCCTTTGGTAAAACTGGGCACATAAAAAAATATTTTTGAAAGTGTTACTGTAATTTTGATTTGTAACTCCACTTTTTAATTTTTTATTTTATTTTTATTTTCTACAAATTTAAAAAAATAAATGCATAAAAATAATTGTAAACTTATGAGTATGTAATACATAAAGATGTAATTAGTAATATCAATAAAATCAAGGGAGGAGTGGAACAGTAAAGGGGTAGAGTTTTTGAATGTATTAAAGTTGTGTTGGTATTAATATAAAACAGGTTATAACTTTAGGTGTTATATGTAATCCTCAGGTTAGCTACAGAGAAAATATCTATAGAAATGAGAAGAAATTGAAATGTGCTACCACAAAAATCAACTAAACACAATGAAAAGTAGTAATAGAGGCAGGCAGAATAAAAAAAAGCTATAATATATACAGCAACAAGTAAAAAAAATGGTAAAAGGAAGTCATTCTCTATCAGTAATTACTTGTAATAAAATTGATTAACTTCCAATTTAAAATATATATATTATCAATCTAACTATATGCTGTCTACAAGAGATTCAATTTAGATGCAAAAGCTTAAATAAATTGAAAGTGAAAGTATGAAAAAACATACTCCATGCAAAAAGTAATCAAAAGAGAACATGGGTGGCTATTTTGCTAAAATAAAGTTTAAGTCAAATCTATTACAAGAGGCCAAAAAAGATACTAGATATTTATAAAAGAATCCATTTACCAAGAAGTAATATTTATTATAAATATATATATATATATAAAACTCCAAAATATGTACTGTAAATATAGACAGAATTAAAGTGAGAAATTGGCATCTCTTTATTAATGGTAGCATACTTCATTATCCCACTTTCAATAATGAATAGATAACCAGGTAGAAAATCAACAAAGAAAGAGAGGACTTAAATAACAGTATAGAGAAACTTGACCTAACAGACATATTCCAGACAGCAACAGAAGAATACACATCTTTCTCAATACACACAAGGAGCATCCTCCAGGATATTGTACATGCTAAGCCAAAAAACAAGTCTTTATGTTTTTTAAAATATTGAAATAAAGAGTAGCTTTTGAAACTAAATGGAATAAAGCCAGAAATCATTAAGAAAAAGACGGGATCTTGAAAATCAGTGGAAATTAAACAATGTACTTTTTTTTTTAAACTTCTATTTTAAGTACAGGGGTACATGTGCAGGAAGTGCAGGTTCGTTACATAGGTGAACATGTGTCATATGGGTTTATTGTAATCATTATTTCATCACCCAGGTATTAAGCCTAGTATTCAATGGTCATTTTTTAAAATCCTCTGCCTCCTCCCACCCTCTACCCTCTCATAGGCCCCAGTGTGCATTGTTTCCCTCTATGTAGCCATGTGTTCTCATCATTTAGCTCCTACTTACAAGTGAGAATACATGGTATCTGGTTTTCTGTTCCTGTGATATTTTGTTAAGGATGATGGCCACCAACTCCAACCATGTCCCTGCAAAGGACATATCTTATTCACTTTTATGGTTACATAGTATTCCATGGTGTATATGTATCACATTTTCTTTATCCAGCCTATCATTGCTGGGCATTTGGGTTGATTCCACGTCTTTGCTATTCGGAATAGTGCTGCAATAGACATATGTGTGCATGTGTCTTTATAATAGAACAATTTATATTCGTTTTGGTATATATTCAGCCATGGGATTGCTGGGTCTAATGGTATCTCTGACTTTAGGCCTTTAAGGAATCACCACACTGTCTTCCACAATAGCTGAACTAATTTACACTCTCACCAACAATGTATAAGCGTTCTTTTTCCCCACAACCTTGCCAGCAACTGTTATTTCTTGACTTTCTATTAATAGCCATTCTGACTGGTGTGAGATGGTATCTCATTGTGGTTTTGATTTGCATTTCTCTAATAGTCAATGATGTTGAGCTTTATTTAGTATGCTTGTTGGCTGCATGTATGTCTTCTTTGAAAATTGTCTGTTCATGTCATTTGTTCACATTTTAATAGTTTTTTTTGAAAATTGTTTAAGTTCCTGATAGATGCTGGATATTAGACATTTGTCAGATACATAGTTTGCAAAATTTTTCTTCCATTACGTAGGTTGTCTGTTTACCCTGATGATAGTTTCTTTTGCTGTGCAGAAGCCCTTTAGTTTAATTAAATCCCATTTGTCAATTTTTGCTTGTGTTGCAATTGCTTTTAGCATCTTCATCATGAAATCTTTGCCTATGCCTATATTCTGAATGGTATAGCCTAGGTTGTCTTCCAGGATTTTCATAGTTTTGAGATTTACATTTAAGTTTTAATCCATCTTGAGTTGATTTTTGTTTAAGGAAGAGGTCCAGTTTCAATTTTCTGCATATCGCTATCCAGTTTTCTCAGAACCATTTATTGAATAGGGAGTCATTTCCCCATTGCTTGTTTTTGCTAGGTTTGTTGAAGAATGGATAGTTGTAGGTGTGGTTTTATTTCTGGCTTCTCTCTTCCATTTCATTGTTCTATGTGTCTGTTCTTGGACCAGTACCATGCTGTTTTGGTTACTGTGGCCCTGTAGTACAGTTTGAAGTTGTGTAGCATGATGCCTTTAGCTTTGTTCTTTTTGCTTAGGATTGCCTTGGCTATTTAGGCTCCTGTATGATTCCATCTGAATTTTAAAATAGTTTTTATCTAATTCTGTGAAGAATGTCAATGGTAGGTTTTTTTATCATTATTTTCTTTTTTTTAATTATTATTATACTTTAAGTTTTAGGGTACATGTGCACAATGTGCAGGTTAGTTATATATGTATACATGTGCCATGCTGGTGCTCTGCACCCACTAACTCGTCATCTAGCATTAGGTATACCTCCCAATGCTATCCCTCCCCGCTCCTCCCACCCCACAACAGTCCCCAGAGTGTGATGTTCCCCTTCCTGTGTCCATGTGCTCTCATTGTTCAATTCCCACCTATGAGTGAGAATATGCGGTGTTTGGTTTTTTGTTCTTGCGATAGTTTACTGAGAATGATGATTTCCAATTTCATCCATGTCCCTACAAAGGACATGAACTCATCATTTCTTATGGCTGCATAGTATTCCATGGTGTATATGTGCCACATTTTCTTAATCCAGTCTATCATTGTTGGACATTTGGGTTGGTTCCAAGTCTTTGCTATTGTGAATAATGCCGCAATAAACATACGTGTGCATGTGTCTTTATAGCAGCATGATTTATATGGTAGTTTAGTGGGAATAGCATTGAATCTATAAATCACTTTAGGGAATATGGCCATTTTAACTATACTAATTCTTCCTATTCATGACCATGGAATGTTTTCCTATTTGTGTCATCTGGAAACAAGAATATTTTGACTTTCTCTCTTATTTGGATGCCCTTTGTTTCTTTCTCTTGCCTGATTGCTCTGGCCAGGACTGTCAATACGATGTTGAATAGGAGTGGTGAAAGAGGGCATCCTTGTCTTGTGCCAGTTTTCAAGGGGAATGCTTTCAGGTTTTGCTTATTTGGTATGATGCTGACTGTGGGTTTGTCATATATGGCTTTTATTATTTTGAGGTATGTTACCACAATATCTAGTTTATTGAGAGTTTTTAACGTGAAGGGTTGTTTAATTTTATTGAAAGAGTTTTCTGCATCTATTGAGATAATCCTGTGGTTTTGTCTTTAGTACTCTTTATGTGATGAATCACTTTTATTGATTTGTTTATGTTGAGCCAACATTGCATTCCAGGGATAAAGCCTCCTTAATTGTGGTGAGTAAGCTTTTTGATGTGCTGCTTGATTCACTTTGCCAGTATTTTGTTAAGGATTTTGCATCAATGATCATCAAGGGTATCGGCCTAAAGTTTTCTCTTTCTGTTTTGTCTCTGCCAGGATTTGGTATCAGGATAATGCTGGTCCTATATAATGAGTTAGAACGATATCCCTTCTTTTCAATTATTTGAAATACTTTCAGCAGAAATAGTTCCAGCTCTTCTTTGTACAGCTGGGAGAATTCAGCTGTGAATTCATCTGTTGTTGGGCATCTTCTGTTGGTAGGCTGTTTATAACTGACTCAATTTTAGAGCTTGTTATTGCCTATTTAGGGATTCAATTTCTTTCTGGTTCAGTCTTGGGAGGGTGTATGTGTGCAGGAATTTATCCATTCATTTTTAGATTTTCTAGTTTGTGTGCATTCATAATATTCTCCTTTTATTTGTATTTCTGTGGGGTCAGTGGTAATACCATTTTTTCTTTCTGATTGTGTTTATTTGAATATTCTCTCCTCTCTTTTTTATTAGTCTCACTAGTGATCTATTTTATTACTCTTTTTCAGAAAACCAGTTATTGGATTTGTTAGTCTTTTTGAATGGTTTCTTGTGTCTTAATTTCTTTCAGTTCATCTCTGATGTTGATTCTTTCTTGTCCTCTGCTACCTTTGGGATTTCTCTCTTGATTCTCTATTTTTTTTTAATTATGATATTAGGTTGTTAAATTGAGATCTTTCTAACTTCTTTATGTGAGCATTCAGTGCTGTAAATTTTCAACTTAACACTGCCTTAACTGTGTCTCAGTGATTTTGGTATGTTGTATTTATCTTCTTATTAATTTCAAATAACTTCTTGATTTCTGCCTTAATTTTATTGTTTACCCAAAAGTCATTCAGGAGCAGGTTATTCAATTTCCATTTAATTGTATGGTTTTGGATGAATTTCTTAGTCTTGATTGCTAATTTGCTTGCACTATGGTCTGAGACATTGTTATCATTTCAGTTCTTTTGAATTTGCTGAGTAGTGTTTTATTTCTGATTATGTGATTCATTTTAGAGTATGTGACACATGGCAATAAGACTAATGTATATTCTGTTTTTTTGGGTGGAGCATTCTCTCCATGACTATCAGGTCCATTTGATCCAGTGTTGAGTTCAGGTCTTGAATATATTTGTTAATTTTCTGTGTCAATTATCTGTCTAATATTGTCAGTGGGGTGTTGATGTCTTCCACTATTACTGTGTGGGAGTCTAAGTTTCTTAAGGTCTACAACAACTTGTTTTATTAATCTAGGTGCTCCTGTGTTGGATATATATATATATCTTCTTGTTGAATTAACCCCTTTACAATTATATAATGACCTTCTTTGTCTTTTCTGATCTTCATTGGTTTAAAGTCTGTTATGCCTGAAAGTAGGTTTGCAATCCTTGCTTTTATATGTTTTCCATTTTCTTAGTAGATTTTTCTTCATCTCTTTATTTTGAGCCTATGTGTGTCATTGCATATGAGATAGGTCTCTTAAAGACAGCATACCAATGGGTATCTTGGTTCTTTATGCAGCTTGTTACTCTGTGCCTTTTAATTGGGGCATCTAGCCCATTTACATTCAAGGTTAATATTCGTATGTGTGGATATAATCCTGTCATCACAATTTTATCTGGTTATTTTGCAGAATAGTTTACGTGGTTGCCTTATAGTGTCACTGGTCTGTGTACTTTAATGTGTTTTTGTAGTGGCTTGTAACAATCTTTCCTTTCCTTTCTATATATAGTGCTTCCTTTAGGAGCTTTTGTAAGGCAGTTCTGGTGATAATGAATTTCCTCAGCATTTGCTTGTGTGAGGTGGATCTTATTTATCTTTTGTTTATGAAGCTTAGTTTGCCTTGTTATGAAATTCTGAGTTGGAATTTCTTTTTTTTAAAGAATGTTAAATATTGCCTCCAAATTTCTTCTGACTTGTAGAGTTTCTGCTAAGAGGTCCACTGTGATTGGCTTCTCTTTGTAGGTGACATGAGCTTTCTCTCTTGTTGCCTTTAACATTTTTTCTTTTCATTTTGACCTTGGAGAACCTGATGATTATGTGTCTTGGTGATAATCTTTTTAGAAAGTATTTTACTGGGGTTCTCTGCATTCCCCGAATTTAAATGTTGCCCTCTCTATCTAGGTTGAGAAAGTTCTTATGAATGATATACTGAAATATGTTTTCCAAGTAGGTTCTCTTCTCCCCATCATTTTTCATTTTCAGGAACACCAAAGAGTTGTAGATTTGGTCTCTTTACCTAATCTTATATTTCTCAGAGGTTTTTTTCCCCTTCATTGTTTTTGTTTTATTCTTATCTGACTGTCTTATTTCAGAGATAAGTTTTCTGAAAACTTATTTGAAACTTATTTGAAAATTTGGTTTTCAAGCTCTAAGATTCTTTCCTCCACTTGGTCTATTCTGCTATTACTACTTGTGATTGCATTATGAAATTCTTGTAGTGTGTTTTTCAGCTCTATGATGTTGGTTATGTTTTTTTCTATACTGTTCATTTTGTCTGTCATCTCTGCATTGTTTTATCATAATTTTTCTCTTTCTTGGATTGTGTTTCATTGTACTTCTATAGCTGAATGATCTTTATTTTTATCCATATTCTGAATTCCTTTTCTGTAATTTCAGCCATCTCAGCTCATTTCAGAAGATCATTTGGAGAAAAGAATGCACTATGGTTTTTTAGTTGTCAGGATTCTTGCACTGATTTTTTCTTTATTCATTTTTGTGGGCTTACCTTTCTTCAATCTTTGAAGTTGGTGATGTTTGGATTTTTTTGTTTTATCTTATTTGATAAACTTGAGGGTTTGATTATGGTATAAGGTGGATTAAGCTGAATGGTTTTATTTCTGGAAGATTTTTGGGGTCCAAAACTTAGCTCCCAACTCCAGACTGCATGCTCTAACTCTGGGGGACTTGTATTGGGCCCTGACTTTGTTCTGTGGCTCTTTGAGGTTAGAAATTCACTGTGCTGGTGGGACAAAGTGCTCCCGGACAGCTAGTCCCTGCACTTCGATGGGTGGTGCCAGCCAAAGCATTTCATTGTGCGGTGACAGTGAAATCCATTCTCATTTGCACATGGCAGCATCAGCAGCAGTATCGGCAGATGCAGCACAGTGCTAGGAGATGCTGGTGTGCCTAGCTACCTGTGGCCTTTCACAACAGTGATGGAGACAGCACAGCTAGGATGAGGGGGTACACTGCTAGCTAGTGTGTGTGGTCGTGCTGGAGGTGGTGGTGGCTTGGGGGGTGGGCACTGATGGGTGCAGGTATGGGTGCCTTCCCTATGGCCTACAAGCAGGAATAGTTAGTTGTTCAGGGCAGGAGATCATCTTTTGTTCTCTGTGCATTGTTAGTGTAAGGATGGAATGATGGAAGTGATGGGGCTGGCTGGATTTTTCCCACCAATGGTTTGTCTGCAATGCCAGTTGGGGTGAGGTGATTCAGGCTGTACCTCTGCATGCTGGCAGGGAAAGGAAAGCAAAAACCACCTGCACAGACATGTGCCAGCAAAGCAATGTGGGAATTTTCCATCCCAGGGGAAGGTACAGTATGGGGAGGGAGCATGTGGGCTTGCATGGCCCTAGGGTCTTTCCTGCTGAAGTTCTCTGCCAGTCAGCCATGGTCCACAAGTGCAGAATGTATAGTCTGTGCCCCTAGGGAACCGAAGGTTGCCCTGCAAGCAGGTGTGGCCAGATGAGACCCCAGGACAGGCCAGCAGACCAAAGGGTGCTGAGGTCTGACCTGCTCCTTCTGATTGGCAAGACCACTCTGCAGAGTTCAGAACTGATAGTTCCCCTAAGGCTAACATCTCCTACAGGAGCAAGTTGAGCCTAGGACGATGGCTGTCTCTGGCCATTCTCTGTACAGATGCTCCTTCATCAAACCCTCTGGGTTCCACATTAGCTGGTTTGCTGCTCCTATCACTTATCTAAGAAGCTCTTCCTGCCAACTGGAGTGTCTGTGTTGGTCAAGGGGTCTCCTGCTGCTGGGGTCCCAGGGAGTATGTTGAAAGTGGGTTGCTCTTTGCTGTTCAACTCACCTATTCCCATGGAGCCATTGTTGACCAGGAATAAGTCTGGGTGTACTGCAGCCCTGCCTAGTGTTTCCAGCTTTCTTCCAATTCAGCCGAGCTTCTGTGTCTTCCTTACATCGACTCCTGTTGCCTTCTCTCTGGAGATCTATTAGGAGCACCTCCAGTCATCTCAGTTCCTTGGTAGGAGCTGTTACACCTGGCTGTGTCTAGTAGGCCATCTTGCCCTTTCCGTGGTTTCTGCAACATACTTCTAAACAACCATTCAGTCAAGGAAGAAATCACAAAAGAAATTAGGACATATCTTGAAACACATGAAAATGAAAACACAACATACCAAAACTTAGGTATAATGTGAAGACAGTCCTAGGTTAGAAATGTATAGCTATAAATGCTTACATTTAAAAGAATAAAGACCTCAAATCAACAACTTAACATTACACTTTGATAAAATAAAAAAGAACAAACAATTCAAAACTGGTAGAAGGAATAAAATAATAAAGAGTGGAGCAGAGATAAGTAAAATAGAAAATAGGAAAATAGGAAAAATGAAGTGTTGGTTCCTTGCAACTATCAACAACATTGATCAAATTTTATCTAGATTGACTATGAAAAAAAGAGAAGACTCAATAAGCAAAGTAAGAAATGAATTAGGGGAAATCACTACCATTTATAAATTAAAGCAATCTACTCCTAGGTGTATACCCAAAGAAATTGAAAGCAGAGATGTGAACAGATACTTATATGTCAATGTTTATTGAACTATTATTTGTATTATTTAAAAGGTTAAAACAACACAAATGTCTGTCAACAAATGAATGAATAAACAAAATGTGATATATACATACAATGGAATATTATTCAACCATTAAATGAGTAATGTTCTGATATTTTCTAAAGCATGACTAAAACTTGAAGACACTGTTCTAAGTGAAATAAGCTAGACAAAAAAGGACAAATATTATATAATTCCACTTGTATGAACCACATAAAATAAGCAAATGTATAGAGGCAGAAAGTAGATTAGAGGTTAGCAAAATTATAGAGAATGGGGAATGGGGACTTAGTGCTTAATTAGTACAGAAGTCCTGTTTGTAGTAAAAGAGTCTTGGAAATTGATAGTGGTGACAGTGGCAAAATCTTATAAATGTAATTAATGCCACTGAATTGTACACTTATAATTGGTTAAAATGTCTAATTTTGTATCCAATGTATAAGCACATTTACTACAATTTTTAAAAATTAACAATGTAGGTGATACCCAATGTAGGTGTTGTCCCTTCTAAATCTCATGTTGAATTGTAACCCCCAACGTTGGAGATGGGGCTGGTTGGGAGATGTTTGGATCATGGTAGTAGATTTCTCCTGGCATGGTGCTATCCTTATTATAGTGAATGAGTTTCCATGAGATGTGGTTGTGTAAAAGAGTGTGACACCTCCCCCTATTCTCTCTCTTTTTGCTCTTGCTTTTCTCATGTGATGTGCCTGCTCACCTTTTAAATATAAATTTCAACTTTAAGTCACTGATTGGCCCTCACATCTGAGCATAGTTTGTTAGAAGCAGACAGGCCACATCTTGAACACTTTGCTGGTTAAAAACTTTTATTCAACAGATGCTTGAAGTCATCACTCTTAAGTTCAAAGTTTCACAGATACTTAGGACATGAACACAATACAGCCAAGTTCTTTGCTAAGGCATAAAAGAGTGACGTTTGATCTAGTTCACCAAATGTTCTTCATTTCTTTCTGACTGATATCTCATAAGCCTGGACTTTACCATTCACATCACATAAGCATTTTTGTCTCCATGATTTAATTAGTTTTTAAGGCGCTCAAGATTTTCCCTTATTTTCCTATCTTCTTCTGAGCTCTCCAAACTTTCCAACCTCTACCTGTTACCCAGTTTCAAAGTTGCTTCCACATTTTCAGGTATCTTTTCAGCAATACCCCACTCTTGGTACCAACTTTTTATGTTAGGCCATTCTTGTATTGCTGTAAAGAAATACCTGAGGCTGGGTAATTCATAAAGAAAACAAGCTTAATTGGCTCACAGTTCAGAAGACTGCACAAGCATGACACCGGCAACTGCTTGGCTACCAGGGACACCTCAGAGGGCTTTTACTCATAGCAGAAGGTGAAGGAAGAGCAGGCATGTATCATGATGAGAGCAGAAGCAAGGGAGAGAGTTGGGGAGTGAGGTTCCACACACTTTTAAACAACCAGAGCTCGTGAGATCTTACTCACTATCATAAGGACAGCACCAAACCATGAGGAATCAATCTCCATGACCCAAACACCTCCCACCAGGCTCTAACTCCAACACTGAGGATTACAATTCAACATGAGATTTTGAGGGAATAACATCTAAACTATATCAGTGATATACCAAAATCATTTAGTTTGTACACTTTAGATTGGTGAATTGCACCTCAAAATAAAGCCGTTAAAACAAACAAGCAAAAACAAGAAAGATATGAGCCTGTGTCAGTGTAGACAAATAGACCCCAATGAGTGTAAGTGTTCTCTGCCAGGTAGAAAAATTTCACATAATTTATATGGGTTCTTACAGAACATCATCCCTCTTTCCAGGCCTCAGTTTCTCCACTTCTTGAAAATGGAAAGGTTAGAGTAGATTATCTTAAAGATCCCCCTGAAGCTCTGACATTCTAGGATTTCGTAACTCAAAGGTGATAATGCTTAAGAGAGAATCTTGTTTGGTTTCATGAGGGAGGGGGTTAGGATATGTGGATCAAATATTGAGAGTCCCGGATGAAAGGCCACCCTTTGTGGAGATTCATAGTTTTGGAGTATGGCGGAGGGGAATCCAAAAACATTGTTTTCAGAAAACCAGGTAGACTGATGTAAATGGTGAATAGGTACTACTGTAAAACAGAAAAAATAAAAATAAAAAAGGAAGAAAATTAAAGCAGGACGGCTTGAAGAAATTTGGTATATGAGAGCCACATATCAAGATGAGTAGAAGTAGAGGAGATTATTGTTCCCAAGAGTGTGAGATTGAGGTGGAGCATCCATATATTAGGAGGCAAAATTTTGAAGACTAAAGATTTTCACCAATGTTTTAATGTGTGCTAAGTTATTCAGTAGGAGGCATAACGTTTGTTACTAGTAAGAGTTTAAAATATTAATTATTTGGTATGACAATAGCACCAACTAGTGACAGGAAATATGATCGTTCAGAATTGTCACAAACCCTAGATAACAGGTAAGCTTGTACTGGCATGTACTGGCTGAACTTCTGATGTGTTTGTGCTACGGGTAGGAAGTCTCCAATTGAATGGACTGTGTATACACTGAGCTCCAGTAGGCAGAGTAAGGGAACATCTTTAAAGGCATAGTTCAGAAGAATCTCTAAGGACCCAGGGTAGTATCAGGGTCAGAAAGAATTACTCAAAGTGGAAGAGGAAATGTTACCCCAAAGAGTTTCTTGTATGGGCTGTTCTAGGGTTACATTTCAGGACTTCACATTTTTGCCCTGCTAGGGAACTTGATAGAGTGCAACTGTGATCCATGGGCCTTCAGAAATTTGAAGTCAAGTCAAGACTACAAGAAAGAGCAGACAAACGGAGCCAGTTCCGGGTCACACTGGGAAAACTTAAAAACATGAGAAATGTCTGGGAGACATAAGTGCAGTGAAACAGAAGGCTTGAAGCCAGAGTTTCTGCCAGCTAAACATTGTGATAAGTAAGCATCCAATGGGAAATGGTCAAAAAACAATGAGAGACCTTTGAAGTTCTGGGTAGGTCAGACTTCTTTAGACCTAGCCTTTCTGCTTCTTAAATTGACCAAAGTCCAATTCTAGGCTGAGGTTGGTGTTTTAGACAGTCTATTTGACACGTGCCTGCCCCCAAATGTAGATACAACTTCATGGGAAGAAGATTAGAATATACGGATGAAAAATTTGGAGTCCTGGATGACAGTGAACCCTTTCCCAGGCGGTTTTGTTTTCCAGAATTCTGAAGAAATTTTTTCAGCCTTCTGAGATCCCACATGTGTTGCTTGGGGATTCCCATGTGGAGTTTGGATTTAACCAAAGCCACATATAGTTTGTAGTTTCTTTCTTTTCTTTTTTCTTTTTTCTTTTTTTTGAGACGAAGTTTGTCTCTTTTTGCCCGGGCTGGAGTGCAATGACGCGATCTCGGCTCACTGAAACCTCCGCCTCCCAGGTTCAAGTGATTCTCCTGCCTCAGCCTCCTGAGTAGCTGTGATTACAGGCGATGACCACGACGCCTGGCTAATTTTGTATTTTTAGTAGAGACAGGGTTTCACCATATTGGCCAGGCTGGTCACAAAATAGTTTGTATTTTCAACAGATCTGCCCTCTAAAGCACTGATTCAAATGGATACACTGGAAGTGCTGGAAGCACTGGATCTTTAGGAGCATGATGGATTTTCTGGCTGGAAATATATGATGAATGTTATATTTCCTAGAATGTTGTCTGACATTCGTTAGGCTCTGAAGAAGAAAAGAGAATTTCTGTAGAAAAATCTAGATGCCAAATGGAATGGGGACTACTGATCACATGTTCTTGCTTATTTCTCCCTTGTGTGTGTGTTCTATTGCTGCTTCTCTATCTCTGTCCATCTCTTTTTGTTTTCTCCATCTGTTTCTCTGTCTCTCCATTTCTGTCTCTTTTGTCTTTTACTTTAGCCACATTTAGCTCTGACTTTTGTTCGCCTACCCACCTCCTCTCTAAATACATACTACATATTGCTATCCACATCCACTGGACAGTCATCTCTATAATTCTTGAGAAAGCTCCTGGGACTTTGAATCAAACCCAAATACAGCTCATTGCCAATAAGTTGGGAGTCAGAGGCCTCCATATGAGTTTCAGGTGTAATTCAAGGAACTCTCATCCCCTGGGCCTATGTTGAGGAAGAACAATATAGACTGCTAGCTACACGCTATGATTTAAAAACTGCTCCAAACTATGTCACTCACTAGGCACTGTGGGATATGAAATTATACTAATCAGAACTCATTTGTTTAGGGTTAGCACTGTTGGAGTACTATGGACCTCTTTAAATGCAAATTTCCTTGAAAAAGGGTAACATATTTTGGCTCATTCAATGTTACAGTATCAGGCTGGATGTGATCTTAGAAATTACTTTATTCAATCCCATCAGGTCCTAACTTCATTTCTCATTTCATAAGCTCTCCGCCTACTATACACTACCATTGTAGGCATTTCTCTGTAGTGGTTCTCAGCTTTGGTTGCACATTAGAATTACCTAGGGAACTTAAAAGAATCTCTATGCACATGCTACACTCAAAGCTAATTAATCAGAATCTCTGGGGATGGCAGCTAAACACTGGCTCCTAGATAATTAAAATGAGCAGCCAGGATTGAGTAAAAGGTAAGTTGATAGCTCCTCATTGCTCATCTTCTGAGACAAGCTTTCCAAAGCAGCCTATTCCAACTGTGGACAGCATTGCCTCTTCTAAAATTTATCTTCCACTTGAGTCAAAATTTGTCTCAACTGTAATTTCTACTCATGAGTCCCAGCTCTGCCTCCTGGGCCCACACCGATTGTTTTCTCCCCTGTGACAGCCTTTGAGAGGTCTGAGGGCTGAGACTGTGACCCCTGAGTCATCTTCTTCAGGATAATCAGTCATGCATTCATACAACTGTTTTCCATCCTCAGAGCATTCAAAAACTCACCCTTTCACCACTGACTCTTGTATCTCCAACAACTAATTATGGATTTTGAACTTGGAAATACCCAGTGAGGTAGAGCTCACTATTTTCTAAGGCAACTCATTTTATCTTTGAATAACTTTAGCTATTTAATTCTTCCCCTACAGCCACACAGGTCCTGTATATTATTTCTTTCCCATGATGACCCTTTGGAGGTCTGAATACAGAGACCACATCCAATCTCTACCCTCCTCCATCTTTTTCACAGGCTAAATATCCCCAACTCCTTTTACTGGTCCTGGCAAAATCTTGGATCCATCCTAATTGTTCTCTTATAGATAAGATCAGCTTTTTGCAGGTCCTCATCTAAGCATGGGGCTAGGGCTGACAAAAGTGCTCTGGGTAAAGCCTGAGCTGCTTGGGGTAAAGTGGGGCCATCACTACATTTGTTCTGGGACCCAATATTCCATGAATGCAGTTTTTTTCCATTTGCTTTGTTGGCAGCACCAGCCATAGCTGACTCCAATTAAAATGACTATCACCTGAAATCATAAGTCATTTTTTCTGTGCTGCTCCTAAGCCCCATATTCCTTTAATCTGGGCTGCTGTACCAGATAAATCCAAATTCATCAAGCATATGATTATTTTGAATCCCACACCTCTGACTGTAGAAATCTGGAGTGTGTGGGAGAGTATGTATAAAAACATAAATGTGAAGTCTGTACTTTGTGCCTTCATGTTCCTATCTCTTCCTTAACAGTCTGTATTCATCTCTTCCTACCATTCTTTATCTCCAGATGTCTCTGACTTCAACCTGCTCCTCTTCAATAGCATGCTTAGTACCAAGACCAATGACTTTTATTTTTCACAGTGTCTGGTTTTATTCTCCCTCACCTATAGTCTTGTCTGGCCCAAAACTTTCAAATTTAAACCAAAACAGTCCCCAGATCTCCTTCCTTTGTTTTTAGTAACATTGTGTTTTCCCAAACTCCTTATATTGTGTTTTCCCAAACTCCTTATTCTGGTTGCTACTTTTCCATCACCTTCATTACTTTCCTGTCCTAAAGGTGACACCCACCTAAACTGTGGACATTCTGCCATCTTAGGAAATAATTCTCAGCTTTTGGCTTAAATTTAGAGAAAGTATGTAAGTTGCTATCCTAGTATTGACTCTCCATTAACCTCCTGTAGGAAAATTGCATAACCACTTTTATTGATTCCTGGTAGCTTTTAAATCTGGTGCAGATGCTTTACCTGGCAGGTGACTGATTACTTGTTTCTACTACTCTCAGGAAGACTGTGAATGAATGCCAGACCAATCAGTAGTAGGAAGCTAGATGTCCCCTTTTTCTACCCATTAACTCCTGGTTTCCTGCGTCAATGATGGGAGATGTGGCATGGATTTCCTGGTTTCTAGTTACCTGTCCATAAACTTATCTTTTATATTGTATATAATCAAGCTAATTAATACATCATCACTTCACATAAGATAGCTTTCAGCACATAGGACTCAAGAAAATACTTGTTTAATGGTAACTGTTGCAAAGTATTCATCTCATTCCATTTCCTGATGACCTAAGAATGAAACATCAACTTTTAAGGAGCCTGGGTCAGAAAGTAAATCAAAGGAGGGTAGGGAAAAACACACTCCTGTAGCTTCCTGAGTGAGATTGCACAGGTAGAGATCATGGTTTGAGCTAATAGAGTCAAAAGTCAGAACCAAATGCTTGAAACACAACACAACTAGAATGGTTAGTTAAGTAGAATCCATTGAATTATGAGGATTTGTAGACTATCTGTGTCCAATATTGCCCTTTCCTAATAGTACAACATGTACATTATCTAAGGAAGCTTGGGCAATGGAATACCACTTTTCTGCAAGTTGGCCTTTATATTTCCCCACCTCACATAAATGAGTTCATGATTCCTATGAGGCAGAAAGTTATTGTTGATATGCCCCCCCAACATACTTCTTTTTACAGAGCCTGGCATGCCCAAGGAGGTGATTCATTGTCTAGGATAATCCTTAGAACATCAAGTTACTAAAGAACTTCACAAGGTAGTTGTAAGAAAAGGACACCAATTTGCAGCTATTAGAAGATAGAAAAATTTATAATAACTTGCTATATGATCTTTGGCAAGTCATTAACCTATTAGAATCTCAATTACAAAAATGTACAATAATAACTGTTCTACTTTGCTTGTGCCATATGGTCATTTGAAAGATCAAGTGGAATTATGTGACTGTGGTTTGTGAAATATGAAGCCCTATTCATTGAACATACCAAATATTGTCCTGCCTCAGGGTCTTTGTACTTTCTGTTAGCTCTGCCTGGAATGATCTTCTCCCAGATATCCTCATGGCTTACTCACCTCAATTCTCTGTTCAAAGGTTACATCCTCAGAGACTTTCCTGACCATCTAATATAACACAACCCCCAAATCATCATTTTATATTCTTCTTAATCAACTTTTCTTTCCCTTAGCAATGATCATCACCTGATATAGTATACATTTATTATTATTGTATCTCTTCTCATTAGTTTATAAGCTCTTAGGGAGCAAAAATTCTCGATATTTTGTTCACTTCTCTACACACAGAATCTCATATAGTACTTTACTCGTAGTAAACTCCTAGTAAATATCTGTTGAATTAATTACCCAAATGAAAGGTTTTTAATAAATTAATTTTGGACAAAATCTATCTGCAGTTGCCGCCCCCACCCCGCCCATGTGGGCCATGGTTTATCCATTTGGATTATGCGGGGCATGGGCCAAGTAGTATCTAGTAGGGGCATCCAAAATTTGCCATTTCAATACTCTCTGGTGAATGCAGTCTGGAGTGGTTAAAGACTATTTTCTGTAGAAAGCTAAATTTGAGTTACTTGGGTATAAGTATGAGTGGAGAAGTTAGAGGCATTCAAGACTAAAGTAGCAGTTAAGCATCTGAAATAACTCAATTTACTGATATAAAGGAAGACCTTTCCTATCTTAGAGTCCATGGAACTGCCTTGATGCATAGGAATGCATCCTGGCCAAGGAGGTAGAAAACCTTGCCAGGCATTGCAGTGTAGTGTAATGGTTATTCAGGAATCAAACAACCTGAGTTTTAATCCTGATCCTGAAACTTACTAGCTGTGTGATGCCAGACAAGTGACCTTTTCTTTTGAATTGTCCTTCCCACTAGGAAGAGTGTTTGTATTTGATGGTTTTCTGCCTTTATTAAGTATAATTAACAAATACAAATTATATTTATTTACAATATGCAACATGTTTTGATTATTTCTACAATAATAAAAATTATTACCACAATCAAGCTAATTAATATATCCATCACTTCACATAAGATAAAAAAGTCTTTTTGTTAACTTCACATTTCACATAAGATAGATAGCAAAAAGTTATATTTTTTTGTGGTGAGAACATTTAAGATTAGAAATTTTCAAGTATACAAGACGCTATTATGAATTATAGTCACCATTCTGTACAATAGCTACACAGACATTTTTCATCATGTCTACCTGAAACTTTGTTCCTCTTGACCAATATATCCCCATACTCCAGCCCCTAGCCAAGCCCAGCAACAACCATTTAACTCTGTTTCTGTAAGTTCGACTTTTTTAGATTCCACATATAAGTGAGATTATGCAGTATTTGTATTATGTGCCTGGCTTATTTCACTTAGCATAATGCCAGACAAGTTACTTAACTTCTATATGCTTCAGTTTCCTCATCTGTAATATGGAGATAATTGTTTTTATTACCTCCTAGATTGATACATATAAAGTACTTAAAATAGTGGCTGGCAACAGATAGGTACTATATAAGGACTAGCAGTTACTGTTGTTGTCTCAGCTCTGCTATAGTTGGCTGAAGCTTAGTAAGTCCTATCACCTCTTCTAGTCCTCCATACACAATTAGAAGTTTAAAATAGGCAGTATCTCTTCTATCTGTCTCTTCCCCAATCTATTCTCCATAAACAGGTGAATGGTTAAACTGTATTATACCAATATTACTCAGCAATAAAAAGGAATGAACTATAAATACACACAACTTGAATGGGGCTCAAAGACAATTATACTAAGTGAAAAAGTCAATCTCCAAAAATTGCTTACTGTATGATTCCATTTATAAGACATCCTCAGAATAACAAAATTGTAGTTATGAACAAATCAGTAGTTACCATTGGTTAGAGTTCTAAGAGGCTGTGATTATAAAGAAGTAGCACAGGGAATTTCTTTGTCATAATGAAAGAGTTTGATATTCTGATTGTTGTGGTGGTTACCTAAATCTATAAACATGATAAAAATTTCATAAGACTACACACAAATACACACAGAAATTGCATGTAAAAACTGATGAAATTTCATTAAGATGTGTAGTTTAGTTAATAGTATTAAGCCAATATCAGTTTCCTGGCTTTGATAATATACTATGACTATGCAAGTTGCTATCATCAGGGAAAATTAAACAAAGGATAAATGGGAACTCTCTGTAACAATTTGTAACTTTTATGAGTCTAAAATCCTTTCAAAATAAAAAATAGTGAATAAGAATGTCCTGAGGGTAAATGACACTGGATATTTTGCTTATGAAGCAGGAGTGAATGGCCTGGACCTCAGAGATAGTCCACTGGAGTTGGGGTCAGGAATATCTGGGGTAAAAATCCCAGCTCTGCTACTTTCTAGTTAAATGGTCTTGGACAAGTTGTTTGACTTCTAGACACTTTAGTTTATTCACCTGTGAAATGAGGATAATACTAGTTTCTTCCCTGGCTGCACTGAGATTTAAAGTACCCAGAGCATAGTGAGTGCTCAGTATCTGTTCCCTTTCCAGAACTTTCAAGTGTTTCAAAAAAAAAAGCTATTATTTAGGATTTAGGATTCCAAACTTTATTGGTTGATTCTGGGATTCACAGAAGAACAACTCAAAGAACAACTCAGGCAAAGACTTCAAAGTTTTAGAGCATTTTCATACATCAAATGTCTACCAGATGAAGAGAGTAGTAAGTCAGATTTGCACTTCAGGTATTTTACCACCCAGGATAAGGTGTAGATTTAAGAGAACTGGGCCTCCTCAGATCCTTGCATTTATGACAAGTTTTCTTCCCAAAAGACAGACACTGATGGTTTACTTCTTTGAATATTTTATGGTGGAATTTTGTTGCATTGACCTGACTTTTGGACATAGTGACAGCTTAGAAGGCATCTCGTGACAGACCCATCATTTGATAATTGAAGGTTTTGTATAGCATCTCTGGTGGAAAACCGTCTAGTATCTGTGATAAAACCTCATGCATTATTTACCAAGGCATCCAATTCCATCTCAGGAGAGCTCAGGCTATTGGAAAGTGCTCCTTTATCTGACACCTTGGAGCACTACAGAAGTCATGTGTTTCTTCTATCGGATAGAGGCCAGGTGCCCTTGAGTCCTTAATGAGCCCCAGATCTTCCATTTTACTTCATTCCTTTCTGACAAGCAGATCTCTATATCAAACGGTCGAATTGAATTTTCAATTAGGATATAACAAATCCTCCTCCATCTAAGCATTGTTCAACATGGTCTTGCTTCCCAAATCTGATTCTTTTATAGTCTTCTTCTCAGTGTAGATGGCTTTACCATCTACCTAGAGACCTGGAAGTCATTCTTGACATTTCCTTCTCCCTCACACACATACCCAATCTATTGCATCATCCTGTGAGTGACACCTGTCTCTGAAATATCTCTTTAATTTATTATTATTTCTAGAATATTTATAATAATATTATCTCCAATCTTACTGCCACAAGTCTATTCTCTCACTTAGACTTCTAAAATGACCTCTCATTAATTATATCTGAATTAATGCTTTTGAATTTGTTCTTTGCACTGCAGCATAAGTTATCTTCCCAAAACATGAATCTGATAATATCACCCACCCTTATCCTTTCTTAGAAACACTTTAAGAGCTTATTTCTTTTACTTTTAGTATGATGTTCAAAATCCTTACTATGACCTGAAGGCCCTGCATGGACTGGCCTGGCCTACCACTGCAGCTGTACCTTTGCTTTGTTTTTCCACATTTTCTGGGCTCCAGTTTTATTGCCCTTATTTCAATACCTTGAATATATCTTGCTGCAGGGCCTCTGAACATACTGCTGTATCTGGAACATTTTTTCCCATCCTTATAAACACATTTTCTTTACCTGGTGGTCTTCTGTTCTTTCTTCAAATTTTAATTTATGTGACTTGCTCAGAGAAGCCTTACCGGATATTCCTAACTAAAGAAAGCTTCACTTTTTAATACACATTCATAGCACCTGTACTTCCCAGCACTTATTCTACCTGTAATTTTACTTTCATGTGTGTGACTTTTAAAAATAATTTGTTTTTCCTGAAGTAAAATGTAAACTCAGTGAAGAAAAGAACCAAGTCTGTTTTGGTTCATGACTGATTCTATCTCCAGCAACAAGCACCATACCTGGCATATGTTAGGTATTTAAACATTTTTGGTAAGTACAATAGATTAAAATTGTGAAGAAGACAGGGCCTGTTAGGGGCTGGGGTGTTTACAATGATTTTGGGAGGCAAAATGTGTAAAGAAGGGAAAGGTGAAAGTATTTGTTAAAGAGTTATGCCAGTAGGAACCAGGAAATGGTAAGTAGCCAGGAATAATGGGTTGTGAACCCTAACATTCCTGAGAAGTTAGACAGCACCTGTGTGCAGTTATTCAAGATATCTTTTTTTTTAATTATTTTACTTTAAGTTTTAGGGTACATGTGCACAACGTGCAGGTTTGTTACATATGTATACATGTGACATGTTGGTGTGCTGCACCCATTAACTCGTCATTTACATTAGGTATATCTCCTAATGCTATCCCTCCCCACTCCGCCCACCTCACAACAGGCCCCGGTGTGTGATGTTCCCCTTCCTGTGTCCAAGTGTTCTCATTGTTGAATTCCCACCTATGAGTGAGAACATGCAGTTGATTTTTTTGTCCTTGTGATAGTTTGCTGAGAATGATGGTTTCCAGCTTCATCCATGTCCCTACAAAGGACATGAACTAATCGTTATGGCTGCATAGTATTCCATGGTGTATATGTGCCATATTTTATTAATCCAGTCTATCATTGTTGGACATTTGGGTTGGTTCCAAGTCTTTGCTATTGTGAATAGTGCCGCAATAAACATATGTGTGCATGTGTCTTTATAGCACCATGATTTATACTCCTTTGGGTGTATACCCAGTAAAGGGATGCCTGGGTCAAATTTCTAGTTCTAGATCTCTGAGAAATCGCCACACTGACTTCCACAATGGCTGAACTGGTATACAGTCCCACCAACAGTGTAAAAGTGTTCCTTTTTCTCCACATCCTCTCCAGCACCTGTTGTTTCCTGACTTTTTAATGATTGTCATTCTAACTGGTGTGAGATGTTATCTCATTGCAGTTTTCATTTGCATTTCTCTGATGGCCTGTGATGATAAGCATTTTTTCACGTGTCTTTTGGCTGCATAAATCTCTTCTCTTGAGAAGTCTCTGTTCATATCCTTTGCCCACTTTTTGATGGGATTGTTTGTTTTTTTCTTGTAAATTTGTTTGAGTTCTTTGTAGATTCTGGATATTAGCCCTTTGTCAGATGAGTAGATTGCAAAACTTTTCTTCCATTCTGTAGGTAGCCTTTTCACTATGATGATAGTTTCTTTGCAGAAGCTCTTTAGTTTAATTAGATCCCAATTGTCAATTTTGGCTTTTGTTGCCATTGCTTTTGGTGTTTTAGACATGAGGTCCTTGCCCATGCCTATGTCCTGAATGGTATTGCCTAGGTTTTCTTCTAGGGTTTTTATGGTTTTAGATCTAACATTTAAATCTTTAATCCATCTTGAATTAATTTTTGTATAAGGTGTAAGGAAGGGATCCGGTTTTAGCTTTCTACATATGGCTAGCCAGTTTTTCCAGCATCATTTATTAAATAGGGAATCTTTTCTCCATTTCTTGTTTTTGTCAGGTTTGTCAAAGATCAGATAGTTGTAGATGTGTGGCATTATTTCTGAGGGCTCTGTTCTGTTCCATTGGTCTATAACACTGTTTTGGTACCAGCACCATGCTGTTTTGATTACTGTAGCCTTGTAGTATAGTTTGAACTCAGGTAGAGTGATGTCTCCAGCTTTGTTCTTTTGGCTTAGGATTGACTTGGCAATGCAGGCTCTTTTTTGGTTCCATATGAACTTTAAAGAAGTGTTTTTCCTATTCTGTGAAGAAAGTCATTGGTAGCTTGATGGGGATGGCTACCATCCCCAACAATTATTTAATTGATCTGGCAAAGGGCTAATATCCAGAGTCTACAAACAATTCAAACAAATTTACAAGAAAAAAACAAACAACCCCATCAACAAGTGGATGAAGGATATCAACAGACACTTCTCAAGAGAAGACATTTATGCAGCCAAAAGACATGAAAAAATGCTCATCATCACTGGCCATCAGAGAAATGCAAATTATTTAATTGATCCCCATCAATTGTTTAATTATAGATTACCTTGGGCAGTATGGCCATTTTCATGATATTGATTTTTCCTATCCATGAGCATGGAATGTTCTTCCATTTGTTTGTATCCTCCTTTATTTCCTTGAGCAGTGGTTTGTAGTTCTCCTTGAAGAGATCCTTCACATCCCTTGCAAGTTGGATTCCTAGGTATTTTATTCTCTTTGAAGCAATTGTGAATGGGAGTTCACTCATGATTTGGCTCTCTGTTTGTCTGTTATTGGTGTATAAGAATGCTTGTGATTTTTGTACATCGATTTTGTATCCTGAGACTTTGCTGAAGTTGCTTATCAGCTAAAGGAGACTCTGGCCTGAGATGATGGGGTTTTGTAGATATACAATCTTGTCATCTGCAAAGAGGGACAATTTGACTTCCTCTTTTCCTAATTGAATACCCTTTATTTCCTTCTCCTGCCTGATTGCCCTGGCCAGAACTTCCAACACTATGTTGAATAGGAGTGGTGAGAGAGGGCATCCCTGTCTTGTGCCAGTTTTCAAAGAGAATGCTTCCAGTTTTTGCCCATTCAGTATGATATTGGCTGTGGGTTTGTCATAAATAGCTCTTACTATTTTGAGATGTGTCCCATCAATACCTAATTTATTGAGAGTTTTTAGCATGAAGGGCTTTTGAATTTTCTCAAAGGCCTTTTCTGCATCTATTGAGATAATCATTTGGTTTTTGTCTTTGGTTCTGTTTATATTCTGGATTACATTTATTGATTTGCACATGTTGAACCAGCCTTGCATCCCAGGGATGAAGCCCACTTGATCATGGTGGATAAGCTTTTTGATGTGCTGCTGGATTCAGTTTGCCAGTATTTTATTGAGGATTTTTGCATCGTTGTTCATCAAGGATATTGGTCTAAAACTCTCTTTTTTTGTTGTGTCTCTGCCTGGCTTTGGTATCAGGATGATGCTGACCTCATAGAATGAGTTAGGGAGGATTCCCTCTTTTTCTATTGATTGGAATAGTTTCAGAAGGAATGGTACCAGTTCCTCCTTGTACCTCTGGTAGAATTCGGCTCTGAATCCATCTGGTCCTGGATTTTTTTTGGTTGGTAAACTATTAATTATTGCCTCAATTTCAGAGCCTGTTACTGATCTATTCAGAGATTCAACTTCTTCCTGGTTTAGTCTTGGGAGGGTGTATGTGTTGAGGAATTTATACATTTCTTCTAGATTTTCTGGTTTATTTGTGTAGAGGTGTTTATAGTATTCTCTGATGGTAGTTTGTATTTCTGTGGGATCGGTAGTGATATCCCCTTTATCATTTTTTATTGCATCTATTTGATTCCTCTCTCTTTTCTTCTTTATTAGCCTTGCCAGCGGTCTATCAATTTTGTTGATCTTTTCAAAAAACCAGCTCCTGGATTCATTGTTTTTTTGAAGGGATTTTGTGTCTCTATTTCCTTCAGTTCTGCTCTGATCTTAGTTATTTCTTGTCTTCTTCTAGCTTTTGAATGTGTTTGCTCTTGCTTCTCTAGTTATTTTAATTGTGATATTAGGGTGTCAATTTTGGATCTTTCCTGCTTTCTCTTGTGGGCATTTAGTGCTACAAATTTCTCACTACACACTGGTTTAAATGTATCCCAGAGATTCTGGTATGTTGTGTCTTTGTTCTCGTTGGTTTCAAAGATCATCTTTATTTCTGCCTTCATTCCATTATGTACCCAGTAGTCACTCAGGAGCAGGTTGTTCAGTTTCCATGTAGTTGTGCGGTTTCAAGTGAGTTTCTTAATCCTGAGTTCTAGTTTGATTGCACTGTGGTCTGAGAGACAGTTTGTTATAATTTCTGTTCTTTTACATTTGCTGAGGAGTGCTTTACTTCCAACCATGTGGTCAATTTTGGAATAAGTGCAGTGTAGTGTTGAGAAGAATGTATATTCTGTTGATTTGGGGTGGAGAGTTCTGTAGATGTCTATTAGGTCCACTTGCTGCAGAGCTGAGTTCAATTCCTGGATATCCTTGGGAACTTTCCATCTCGTTGATCTGTCTAATGTTGACAGTGGGGTGTTAAAGTCTCCCATTATTATTGTGTGGGAGTCTAAGTCTCTTTTTAGGTCTCTAAGGACTTGCTTTAGGAATCTGGGTGCTCCTGTATTGGGTGCATATATAAGATAGTTAACTCTTCTTGTCAAGTTGATCCCTTTACCATTATGTAATAGCCTTCTTTGTCTCTTTTGATCTTTGCTGGTTTAAAGTCTGTTTTATCTGAGACTAGGATTGCAACCCCTGTCTTTTTTTGTTTTCCATTTTCTTGGTAGATCTTCCTCCATCCCTTTATTTTGAGCCTATGTGTGCACATGAGATGGGTCTCCTGAGTACAGCACACTTATGAGTCTTAACTCTTTATCCTATTTGACAGTCTGTGTCTGTTAATTGGAGCATTTAGCCCATTTACATTTAAGGTTAATATTGTTATGTGTGAATTTGATCCTATCATTATGATGTTAGCTGGTTATTTTGCTCGTTAGTTGATGCAGTTTCTTCCTAGCCTTGATGGTCTTTACAATTTGGCATGTTTTTGCAGTGGCTGCTACCAGTTTTTCCTTTCCATGTTTAGTGCTTCCTTCAGGAGCTCTTTTAGGGCAGGCCTGGTGGTGACAAAAATCTCTCAGCATTTGCTTGTCTGTGAAGGATTTTATTTCTCCTTCACTTTTAAAGCTTAGTTTGGCTGGATATGAAATTCTGGGTTGAAAATTATTTCCTTTAAAATTGTTGAATATTGGCCCCCACTATCTTCTGGCTTGTAGAGTTTCTGCCAAGAGATCCGCTGTTAGTCTGATGGGCTTCCCTTTGTGGGTAACTCGACTTTTCTCTCTGGCTGCCCTTAACATTTTTTCCTTCATTTCAACTTTGGTGAATCTGACTATTTTGTGTCTTGGAGTTGCTCTTCTTGAGGAGTATCTTTGTGGCGTTCTCTGTATTTCCTGAATGTGAATGTTGGCCTGCCTTGCTAGATTGGGGGAGTCCTCCTGGATAATATCCTGCAAGGTGTTTTCCAACTTGGTTCCATTCTCCCATCACTTTCAGGTACACCAATCAGACATAGATTTGGTCTTTTCACAATGTCCCATATTTCTTGGAGGCTTTGTTCCTTTCTTTTTTATTATTTTTCCTCTAAACTTCTCTTGTCACTTCATTTCATTCATTTGATCTTCCATCACTGATACCCTTTCTCCCAATTGATCGAATCAGCTACTGAGGCTTGTGCATTCATCACGTAGTTCTTGTGCCATGGTTTTCAGCTCCATCAGGTCCTTTAAGATCTTGTCTGCATTGGTTATTCTAGTTAGCCATTCGTCTAATCTTTTTCAAAGTTTTTAACTTCTTTGCCATGGGTTCAAACTTCCTCCTTTAGCTCGGAGAAGTTTGATCATCTGAAGCCTTCTTCTCTCAACTCGTCAAAGTCTTTCTCCATTCAGTTTTGCTCCATTGCTGGTGAGGAGCTGCATTCCTTTGGAGGCGGAGAGGTGCTCTGATTTTTAGAATTTTCAGTTTTTCTGCTCTGTTTTTTCCGCATCTTTGTGGTTTTATCTACCTTTGGTCTTTGATGATGATGACATACAGATGGGGTTTTGGTGTGGATATCCTTTCTGTTTGTTAGTTTTCCTTCTAACAATCAGGACCCTCAGCTGCTGGTCTGTTGGAGTTTGCTGGAGGTCCACTCCAGACCCTATTTGCCTGGGTATCAGCAGCAGATGCTGTAGAACAGTGAATATTGGTGAACAGCAAATGTTGCTGCCTGATTTTTCCTCTCGAAGTTTTGTCTCAGAGGGGTGCCCGGCTGTGTGAGGTGTCCATCTCCCCTTACTGGGGGGTGCCTTCCAGTTAGGCTACTTGGGGGTCAGGGACCCACTTCAGGAGGCATTCTGTCCATTCTCAGATCTCAAGCTTCATACTGAGAGAACCATTACTGTCTTCCAATCTGTCAGACAGGGACATTTAAGTCTGCAGAGGTTTATGCTCCTTTTGTTTGGCTATGTCCTGCCCCCCGAGATGGAGTCTACCGAGGCAGGCAGGCTCCTTGAGCTGCAGTGGGCTCCACCCAGTTTGAGGTTCCGGGCCACTTTGTTTACCTACTCAAGCCTCAGCAATGGTGGGCACCCCTCCCCCAGCCTCACTGCTGCCTGCAGTTTGATCTCAGACTGCTGTGCTAGCAATGAGCAAGGATCCGTGGGTGTATGACCCTCTGAGCCAGGTGCAGGATATAATCTCCTGGTGTGTCGTTTGCTAAGACCATCCGAAAAGTGCAGTATTAGGGTGGGAATGACCTGATTTTCCAGGTGCCGTCTCTCACCCCTTTCCTTAGCTAGAAAAGGGAATTCCCTGACCCCTTGTGTTTCCCAGGTGAGGCAATGCCTTGCCCTGCTTTGGGTCACACTCAGTGTGCTGCACCCACTGTCCTGCACCCACTGACTGACAGTCCCCAGTGAGATGAACCCACTACCTCAGTTGGAAATGCAGAAATCATTCATCTTCTGTGTTGCTCATGCTGGGAGCTGTAGACTGGACCTGTTCCTATTTGGCCATCTTGGAACCACCCCCTATTCAAGATATCTTAAGCCACATTATCTCTGCATCATGCCAGGTGGTTCCAAGTATCAATGAAGTAAGACAAGCAAGAAGCATAATTAGTAATCTTGGTCCCTTTGAAGGTTTAAAGACATGTAACTCTCTCCTATTCTGAATTACCACCACTTGAAATACACTAGATGTTTTATTGGAGGCCAGATAGTTCAAGCCCTCACTTTAAAAGGGGAAGAGAGTCTTTTACAATATAATGTAATTTAGAAGCAGAGGTGTCACTAGTTCAGTTTAGGCATCAAATCTTTCATGAAGCAACCCCAGATTATCAGTGCCCCCTCTAACTGTGGATATGCCTTTATTATACCCCACTGCAATAATCTGTAGACATTTCTGTGACATCATTGGATAGGGATTCCTCAAAGTCAAAGATTTTGTCTTAGTTATCTCTGTACTCTAAGGTTAAAGATGGAGCCCGGCTTAGGTGAGATACTCAGTAAATTCTTTTGGATTCAAAGAATGTGTAAATAAATGAAGAAAACCCAAGTCTCTTGATTCCCCAGTGCAAAGTTATTCCATTGTATGGTTGCCCTTTATTCAAATTTCCAAAACAAAACCCCTTGAGGGTAATCTGTCTTTATGAAAAAAAGCTCTGAATTATTTACCAGATTTACACTTGTTTAATGCCTGCTTTGTACTTAGTAGCCTTGTGATTTTAGGTATTACTTTAACCTCTGTGTCTCATTTCCTGAGATTGTAAAATGGGAGCAATAAATTCTACTTTGCCTCCTTTGCAGGATAGTAAGGCCTTGAAACAGTGGTCTTTAAAAGTCCTTCTGTCAATTCTAAAATGCTTCATATGTATTGGATTAGAATTTTGGTGGCCACCCAACTATATGGAAATTGAGTAACCTGTTCCTGAATGACTCTTGGGTAAATAATGAAATTAAGGGAGAAATCAAGATGTGCTTTTAAACTGAAGAGAACAAAGATATAATGCACCCAGAATCTCTGGAATGCAGCTAAAGCAGTGTTAAGAGGGAAACTTATAGCACTAAATATCCACATAAAAAAGCTAGAAAAGTCTCAAGTTAACAACCTAACCTCAAAACTAAAAGATCTAGAGAACCAAGAGCAAACAAACTCCAAAGCTAGCAGAAGACAAGAAATAGCTAAGATCAGAGCTAAACTGAAAAAGATAGAGACACAAAAACCCTTCAAAAATCAGCAAATTCAGGACCTGTTTTCCTGAAAAAATAAATACATAAATAAATAAAACAGACCACTAGCTAGTCTAATAAAGAAGAAAAGAGAGAGGAACAAAATAATATAATCAGAAATGACAAGGAGGATATCACCACCTACTTCACAGAAATACAAATAACCATCAGAGAATACTGTAAACACACGTATTGTGTGCACATGTATGCACATAAACCAGAAAATCTAGAAGAAATAGATGAATTCCTGGACACATACACCCTCCCAAGACTGAACCAGGAAGAAATTGAATCCCTGAATAGGTCAATAATGAGTTCTGAAATTAAGATAGCAATAAATAGCCTACCAACCAATAAAAGCCCAGGACCAGATGGATTCATGGCCAAATTCTACCAGACTTACAAAGAAGAGATGGTAACATTCCTACTGAAACCATTTTAATAAATTGAAAAGAAAGGACTCTTCCCTAACCTATAGATTAAAGACTTAAATGTAAACCCCAAAACTACAAAAATCCTAGAAAAAAAATCAAGGCAATATCATTTAGGACATCAGCTCAGGCAAAGACTTCATGACAAAAACGCCAAAAGCAATTGCAACAAAAGCAAAAATTGACAAATAGGATTTAATTAAACTAAACAGCTCTGGGCAGCAAAATAAATTATCATCAGAGTGAACAGACAACCTACAAAACTGGAGAAATTTTTTGCAGTCTTTTCTTCTGACAAAGGTACAATATCAAGAGTCTACAAGGAACTTAAACAAACGTACAAGAAGAAACAAACAACCCCACTGAAATGTTGGCAAAGGATATGGGATACATTGCAAAATTTGAGGAGTTTTGCAAAGGACTTCTCAAGAGAACACATACATGCAGCCAACAAACATATGAAAAAAAAGCACGACATGAGGAGGAGCCAAGAAGGCCGAATAGGAACAGCTCGGGTCTACAGCTCCCAGCGTGAGTGATGCAGAAGAGGGGTGATTTCTGCATTTCCATCTGAGGTACCGGGTTCATCTCACTAGGGCGTGCCAGACAGTGGGCGTAGGTCAGTGGATGTGCCCACCATGTGCAAGCCGAAGCAGGGCGAGGCATTGCCTCACTTGGGAAGCACAAGGGGTCAGGGAATTCCCTTTCTGAGTCAAAGAAAAGGGTGACGGAAGCACCTGGAAAATCGGGTCACTCCCACCCGAATACTGCGCTTTTCCCACCAGCTTAAAAAACGGCGCACCACGAGATTATATCCCGCACCTGGCTCGGAGGGTCCTACGCCCACAGAGTCTCTCTGATTGCTAGCACAGCAGTCTGAGATCAAACTGCAAGGTGGCAGTGAGGCTGGGGGAGGGGCGCCTGCCATTGCCCAGGCTTGCTTAGGTAAACAAAGCAGCCGGGAAGCTCGAACTGGGGGGAGCCCACCACAGCTCAAGGAGGCCTGCCTGCCTCTGTAGGCTCCACCTCTGGGGGCAGGGCACAGACAAACAAAAAGACAGCAGTAACCTCTGCAGACTTAAATGTCCCTGTCTGACAGCTTTGAAGAGAGCAGTGGTTCTCCCAGCATGCAGCTGGAGATCTCAGAATGGGCAGACTGCCTCCTCAAGTGGTTCCCTGACCCCTGACCCCCTAGCAGCCTAACTGGGAGACACCCCCCAGCAGGGGCACACTGACACTTCACACGGCAGGGTATTCCAACAGACCTGCAGCTGAGGGTCCTGTCCGTTAGAAGGAAAACTAACAAACACAAAGGACATCCACACCAAAAACCTATCTGTACATCACCATCATCAAAGACCAAAAGTAGATAAAACCACAAAGATGGGGAAAAAACAGAACAGAAAAACTGGAAACTCTAAAAAGCAGAGTGCCTCTCCTCCTCCAAAGGAACGCAGTTCCTCACCAGCAACGGAACTAAGCTGGATGGAGAATGACTTTGAGGAGCTGAGAGAAGAAGGCTTCAGATGATCAAATTACTCTGAGCTACGGGAGGACATTCAAACCAAAGGCAAAGAAGTAGAAAACTTTGAAAAAAATTTAGAAGAATGTATAACTAGAATAACCAATACAGAGAAGTGCTTAAAGGAGCTGATGGAGCTGAAAACCAAGGCTCGAGAACTATGTGAAGAATGCAGAAGCCTCAGGAGCTGATGAGATCAACTGGAAGAAAGGGTATCAGCAATGGAAGATGAAATGAATGAAATGAAGCGGGAAGGGAAGTTTAGAGAAAAAAGAATAAAAAGAAATGAGCAAAGCCTCCAAGAAATATGGGACTATGTGAAAAGACAAAATCTACGTCTGATTGGTGTACCTGACTTCAAACTATACTACAAGTCTACAGTAACCAAAACAGCATGGTACTGCTACCTAAACAGAGATATAGATCAAATGAACAGAACAGAGCCCTCAGAAATAACGCTGCATATCTACAACTATCTGATCTTTGACAAATCTGACAAAAACAAGAAATGGGGAAAGGATTCCCTATTTAATAAATGGTGCTGGCAAAACTGGCTAGTCATATGTAGAAAGCTGAAACTGGATCCCTTCCTTACACCTTATACAAAAATTAATTCAAGATGGATTAAAGACTTAAACGTTAGACCTAAAACCTTAAAAACCCTAGAAGAAAACCCAGGCATTACCATTCAGGATATAGGCATGGGCAAGGACTTCATGTCTAAAACACCAAAAGCAATGGCAACAAAAGCCAAAATTGACAAATGAGATCTTATTAAACTAAGGAGTTTCTGCACAGCAAAAGAAACCTCCATCAGAGTGAACAGACAACCTACAAAATGGGAGATAATTTTTGCAACCTACTCATCTGACAAAGGGCTGATATCCAGAATCCACAATGAACTCAAACAAATTTACAAGAAAAAACCAAACAACCCCATCAAAAAGTGGGCGAAGGACATGAACAGACACTTCTCAAAAGAAGACATTTATGCAGCCAAAAAACACATGAAAAAATGCTCACCATCACTGGCCATCAGAGAAATGCAAATCAAAACCACAATGAGATACCATCTTACACCAGTCAGAATGGCAATCATCAAAAAGTCAGGAAACCACAGGTGCTGGAGAGGATGTGGAGAAATAGGAACACTTTTACACTGTTGGTGGGACTGTAAACTAGTTCAACCCTTGTGGAAGTCAGTGTGGCGATTCCTCAGGGATCTAGAACTAGAAATACCATTTCACCCAACCATCCCATTACTGGGTATATACCCAAAGGACTATAAATCATGCTGCTATAAAGACACATGCACACATATGTTTATTGTGGGACTATTCACAATAGCAAAGACTTGGAACCAACCCAAATGTCCAACAATGATAGACTGGATTAAGAAAATGTGGCACATATACACCATGGAATACTATGCAGCCATAAAAAATGATGAGTTCGTGTCCTTTGTAAGGACATGGATGAAATTGGAAATCATCATTCTCAGTAAACTATTGCAAGGACAAAAAACCAAACACCGCATGTTCTCACTCATAGGTGGGAACTGAACAATGAGAACACATGGACACAGGAAGGGGAACATCACACTCTGGGGACTGTTGTGGGGTGGGGGGAGCAGGGATGGATAGCATTGGGAGATATACCTAATGCTAAATGACGAGTTAATGGGTGCAGCACACCAGCATGGCACATGTATACATATGTAACTAACCTGCACATTGTGCACATGTACCCTAAAACTTAAAGTATAATAATAATAAAATAAAAAAAACCCATAAACAACCCAATGACCATCAACAGGTGAATGGATGAACAAACTCAGCGTGTTCATATAATGGAATATTACTTGACAATTAAAAGGAATAAACTATTAAAAAAAATACCATGTGCCCACCAAAAAACGGTAGAGAGGGAGAGATGCTAATGGAGTTACCGCCTGCAGCATTTGCCTACTTTTACTGACACACCTGTTTCCTTGGGTTGTAAAAATTCCTGCACATTACATACATAGACAGAATAGACACAGCAACCGTGGATAAAAAAGAAAGGGAAATTTGATGACAGGGTAGTCGTAAGAGAGCCTTGAGATTAAAGGACAGATCTGAGGTGGAGATTCATTCCATTCTCACCACTCCAGTGAATGTTATACCTTGGTTTCCCAGTCAACACACCACAATGTTATTGCTCTGATGAGTAGAGAAACACTGGGGTCCTTTGTCTCATGCCAATTAAATGACACGAACACACGTAGAGTGGTTTTAAGGAGCAAAGAGTTTAATAAGCAAGAAAGAAGGAAACAGCTCCCCTATACAGAGACAGAGGGAGGGGGGCTCCGAATGGAGAGAAAAAGCCCTGTGTGTGGCAGGAAAGTAGTAGGTTATATTGGGAGGCTGGAGAAGGCAGTGTCTGATTTGCATAGGGCTCAGGGGATTAGTTTGACCAGGTTTGCCATTCATGTAGCACATGACGAAACTGACCCTCTCATCCTAGCTTTTTAATATGCAAATGCAGGTTGCTATGATGTCTTGCAGATGTGGAGTCATCTGGAAGTGGCCATGATGCTTGGCACACGCGATGACAAGAAGAAGAGGGCAGGAATTGCCATGTTGGATGAACACAGATTCTAACTGCTGGCATTTACATTTCAAAGTTTGCTGGCCTGGCTTTTCTTTTTTCTTTTTTTTCTTTTTTATTGTATATTAAGTTCTAGGGTACATGTGCACAATGTGCAGGTTTGATACATATGTATACATGTGCCATGTTGGTTTGCTGCACTCATCAACTCATCATTTACATTAGGTATTTCTCCTAATGCTATCCCTCCCCCAGATCCCCACCCCACGACAGGCCCCGGTGTGTGATGTTCCCTGCCCTGTGTCCAAGTGATCTCATTTTTCAATTTCCACCTATGAGTAAGAACATGCGGTGTTTGATTTTCTGTCCTTGTGATAGTTTGCTGAGAATGATGGTTTCTAGCTTCATCCATGTCCCTGCAAAGGACATGAACTCATCCTTTTTTATGGCTGCATAGCATTCCATGGTGCATATATGCCACATTTTCTTAATCCAGTTTATCATTGATGGACATTTGGGTTGGTTCCAAGTCTTTGCTATTGTGAATAGTGCCACAATAAACATATGTGTGCATGTGTCTTTATAGTAGCATGATTTATAATCCTTTGGGTACATACCCAGTAATGGGATTACTGGGTGAAACGGTTATTCTAGTTCTAGATTCTTGAGAAATTGCCACACTGTCTTCCACAGTGGTTGAACTATTTTACACTCCTACCAACAGTGTAAAAGCGTTCCTATTTCTCCAGATCGTCTCCAGCATCTGTTGTTTCCTGACTCTTTAATGATTGCCATTCTAACTGGAGTGAGATGGTATCTCATTTTAGTTTTGATTTGCATTTCTCTGATGACCAGTGTTAATGAGCATTTTTTCATGTGTCTGTTGGCTGCATCAATATCTTCTTTTGAGAAGTGTCTGTTCATATTCTTTGCCCACTTTTTGATGGGGTTGTTTGTCTTTTTCTTGTAAATTTGTTTGAGATATTTGTAGGTTCTGGATATTAGGCCTTTGTCAGATGGGTTGATTGCAAAAATTGTCTCCCATTCTGTAGGTTGCCTGTTCACTCTAATGGTAGTTTCTTTTGCCATGCAGAAGCTCTTTAGTTTAGTTAGATTCCATTTGTCTATTTTGGCTTTTGTTGCCATTGCTTTTTGTGTTTTAGTCATGAAATCCTTGCCCATGGCTGTCCTGGCTTTTCAAGACCCTTTTGTATTAAAAAAAGAAATGTTTTGGGAGCTTCCTTTATTAAAAGAAAAAAAAAACTTACTGAAGACTCCTTACCCTCTCTATCTGCCTAAAATGACTTCTTAATAACCCCTGTGTTAGTTTCAGTTACTATTTTATTACGAATAGGTACAAAATACCTCTAAGATTCCCACCCCCAATCTCAGAATCATTTACTGAGATTAAAGTTTTAGATGATGTGTTGTATCTTTGCTTACTTCTATACACACTCCATGTATGGTTTGAAACATAAAAGTCAAAAATAGCTTTACTTTTCTGTGTAATGACAGTGATGGATATCAAAGGATATTTCAGCTAGAAAATCCCTTAGAATATTTACTCTAACCTCCTCATTGAGCAGATAGGAATACTGAGGCCCAGAAAGGAGTAAGCACTCACTGTAGTTTACATTTGATTACATTGTAATTTAGAGGCAAAACAGGATTCAGAAGTCATATTCACAACTCACAATTGTTAAAAGACAAAGATTGGGACACTCAGTTTTCTGAACCAAAAGAAATAAGCAGATTGATTAGATGTCTCTCAGGAATCTTCCAGCTTGGAGATTCCAAAATTAGATAGTCAGCTAAGAGCAAACATTCATTTGTTCATTTATTCATTCAGTTTGTGTTTATTGAAGGCCTACTCTGTGTCAAGAAAGATTAGAGAATGCCCACCAGAAAACCCTTCTTTCTTTTCAGGGAGGGAAGAATAAGCCCATAGTCAGAAGGATGACAAATTGCAGAAACTGAAGACAGGGAAAAGAGCCCTAGAGTAGACAGCAATTAGGAATCTTGGTTTCTAGTGACAACTTATCCTTTTTGGCTATAGCCTGTCCCTCTCTTTGTCTTAGTGTCCCCATGTATGAGAAGGTGGGCTTAGAACTCCTTGTTCTCTGCCACTGTCACTGCTTTTGATTTTGTGATTTAAATCCTGTAAGAGCACAAAACAAAATCACTTCAATGTATACTAACATGTTAAATGACTGATAGATAATTTCCTGAATTCCAGCTTAATGGAGGTGGTGAGGAGGACATTGCAGGAAAATAGCAGATGTCTGAGCTCTCTAGATCCAGTTAGCAGTCCTCTCTGACCCTCTGTTTCCTTCTTTGAATACTGTGGAGGTTGGATAAGCTATTCTCTGAGCACTTCTCTCTGTTATACATTCTGCTCAGACTCTCTCAGTATTCTATCATTGCTACTACCACAGCTATTTGAGAAAGTGGTCAAAGTTAACCTGGAGGAAGAGGCAAGAGCCTTAGGTGGGGACAAAATTGCTTTCTTCAAATAGCTAAAAGGCTATCATGTGGAAAATAAATTAGGCTGATTATAGAAGCCTCTAGGAGAGAACTGTGACCATGGGTGAAAGTTAGAGAGGCAGATTTCGTCTCTTTAGAAGGCTGCATTTGCTAACATGCAGAATTATCCTAATGGAGATTGGGCTAACTCCACAGTTAAAAGCTCTGGACATTCTCCTCAGATAAACACACAGACATACACACACATACACACACACACACACACACACACACACACATTGTACTCACAGCTGGACTTATTTATGAAGGAAGAGGCAGAAGGCTGCCTCTCCTGCCCTCTCCCCACATCTCCAAGATTAACTGTTTCCTTGTTCTTTTTCCTGCCTCTCCTACTGCTTTTATTGCAATAAAATATGCCCTGAGGAGAAGGCAACCCAGGAAAAGCCGTATCTTCCAAATAGGTACTGTGGTGCTGGTGCTGCTTGCATTGTTTCTACCCATCTCAGCATCTCAGTGTTTCCTCTCTGAGTTGTCAGGGACAGTTTTTTATTCATTTTCTCTCTCTCTCTCTCTCTCTCTCTCTCTCTCTCTTTCTCTTCCACCTACAAGGCTCTATCTACCTCATAGTCTTGACAAAATGAGACCCAAGGAAACATATGAACATAGTCTTAAACTATCTGGACAGTTGTCATGAGAAAGAGTAATTACACTGATTATGTGTGATCCCAGAGAGCTAAAGTAGAGTCATAGGTTGGAAATCACTAGAAAGCAAGTTTTGGCTCAGTGGAAAGCTGAACGTCTCAAGTTTACAATAGAAAAGGCAGCTGTGGGGTACCATCTTCTCTCTCTGAAGGAGTGCAAGTGGAAGCTAGGTGACCCTTTGGAAATGGAATGCCTTTACTGGATAAAGAGATGGCATAATTGACAGCCACGGAACTCCTTAATTCAAGAATTCACTCTGATTGTCTCATTGGTTTCTACTATCCCCAGTCACCAGCAGTTGGCAACAACAAGGTAATCTCTGTCCTCATTTGAAATAAGGTTTTTCCTTCTACTTCTTGTCTCTTTCTGGTAATGGAGCTGCTGCTGATCCTCTAGAGTTGGGAGGACCAGGCTAGAGAGGTTTCCCAGCCAGTCCTGCTACATCAACAACAAGGTAATCTCTGTCCTCATTTGAAATAAGGTTTTTCCTTCTACTGCTTGTCTCTTTCTGGTAATGGAGCTGCTGCTGATCCTCTAGAGTTGGGAGGACCAGGCTAGAGAGGTTTCCCAGCCAGTCCTGCTACATTATTTCATGGATTCCTGCAGAGATAACCTTCTAGAGCTGCATTTGACCATAGCCACACTGACCACAACTTGGCATAACCCTCTGTGACCCCTTAGACAAGGCACTTTTTTTATTGTTTTAGATCAGGGAACTGAGGCAACAGGGCATGCGGCAAAAACAGCGTTTGGATGTGAAAAGTTGTGAAATTAGGTGTGAGGTGTCATAGATTGCTTTTGGCCACAGCAGGGAGGATGACATATGGGGATAAAATCAGCATCTGGCTCTGGATCCCTGTAGGACAATGTGTCAAGCAGCTGAAGGTACTATCGCCAATAGAAGTTTTTGGATCTGGTAACATAAGCTGGTGATCCTTGCACAGCATCCAGTGGACATGGCTATTTGGTCATGTCCCTTACGGTCTATCAGTACCAGAGGGGACAATCTGGTGGGCACTCCAGTGCCGGGAAATCTTGGTGGAAATTAGAAGGGGCTGACCATCACTAGCAAGCCAGTCCATAGGTGACAGGAACCCAGGAATTAGGTAAAAGTTTTAAGCAGGCACCAGTCCTGAACAGGGATTTAGTCACTAATAGGGTGACTGAAGAAAGATGAGGAGTTGAGGCCAAAGTTAGATTAAGGCAGGGAAAAACATGGTAAGTAGCTAGCTTAGGACTTCTGATCTGAGTGAGACCCAATAGATGCTGACACCAATGGGGAGCTTTGCAGTTCTTCCTGGCTCCCTGGACCCTGAGTTTGGAAGGAAAATGTCACCCAAGTTCCACTGAATGCTGAGGCTTACTGTAGTGGGTGTGGTATTTTCCTTTCCTTGTCAGCATTTGAGCAGAAACTGGGGCATCCAGGAAGAGCTGAGATCTGCACTGAGGGCCAAGGAACCAAGGCAGGAGCTGTCACTGGAGGTCTAATGAAAGATGTAGGAACTTTATGCCTGATATGTGTGTGGTTTTTGTTTCTTTGGTTGCTTCTTTTTGTGTTTATGACTGAGAAGGTGGAGGAGGGAAGTGGTGGTGAGTTTAGAGGAGAGAGAAAATTCACAATATGAAAGTAGCTGTGCAGAAAGTGAATGTTCTGCAGTGACTAAGACTGAGTACCTTCAGGAAAAAAGCAGTTGTAAGAACTGGGAGCTATTTTGCTTGAGCTGAGACTTCTTGATTGTTACAGGACTGGAATGAATTTCAGAGGCTCCAAAAGATAACTTTCTGCTGTATTTGATACAGGCTTTTCTAATATACAGAACTATGCAAACTTGACGTGGGGGGCAATGGGTGGAGGTGGGCTCCCTGCCCTGAAATATACACAACCATTTTGTTTGGATTCAACCTTTTCTCCAGTGGCTGAGTCTCAAGCCCTGGAGAAAAGGTTGAATCCATCTAAGAATTATTGAAGTCGTCTTTTCTGAAATTAAATGTCTGAATCTTGGGGCAAGAATGAAGAGGGAGGGAGAGAAGAAGAGAGAGAGAGAGGAACTCGCATTCAGAGAGACCAAAGAGAGCAAGGACCACAGTTAATAGGCTAGTGGAGGCCAAGACTACATCTTTGCACTTTTGCTTGCCTCTGCCTATCTGATCCTCCCACATTAACCCCGTTCTACCACTCCTCTGTACTTCTCCAGATAGAGTTCAGAAGTTTTGTCTTCAGCTACTTGTCAAAACATTTGTCATTTCCCAACCAAACCTTAAGCTGTTTTGGGCCCTTAGGAAACCAGCTCAGGGTCAGATACAGAGAACATGCTCCTTGGACTTCCAGTTGATGTATCTTAGCAGTCTTTCTGTGGAAACTGCTGCAGAGGGATCAAAGAAGATCAATGATTCCCAGCCCCCATTCAGTATCTGTTCTAGGGTGGATCTATATGGTAGAACCAACATTTATTAACTCCTTCAAATGTTTTTACTTATGGTCTCTGCTCTGTGGACTAAAGGCACAGCTTTTTTTTTCCTATTCTTTCCTCCTTTTTTCTTTATTCATTTTTTCAAAAATCTTATCTGGTAGCCATATAATTTCTCCAAACGTAGTTCTAGCTAAATACAGAAGGTTTAACTCCCACTCAGAATACCAGGATTCAATTAAATTTTCTGACTAGCCATTCAGTGGTAACCTATCAGCCCATCTTCCCACGAGTTGGAGCACTCCAAAAAGGCTACAAGACACTCAGAGCTTTTCTTTAATCATTCCTTAACCCATAAGCAACAAAATGTAACCAGGGTTCCTGCATGTACACACACACACACACACACACACACACACACACACACACACACACACAAGTGTGTATGGTTGAAGTTTGCTTGCCTCTTTTATGGCTGCTTAATGACTTCTCATGCCTGGATAATGATGATGACAATAATAATGGTGATAATGAATTTCTGCTTATGCCTTAATAAGTAGTTACTGACATTATTGACATCGAGTGGCTCCTCTTCAGGATCCTCTAGGAGAAGAGGGATGCAGCTGCTGACCTCCTCCACAGCCCTTGTGTGATGGGGTTGAATAGGATGTCATGAGATTGTGGTTAAAACAAATACCAGGACTTCTCCGAATGACAGCTTGCTGCAGAGCAAATCATTCTCAATGCCAGGCTCTTCGCTTCTCATTTCTAGTCTTGATGCTTCTGGTAACTCTTTGTGACCTTAAACTCTTCACCTCCCAAGCCTCAGTTTTTCTACCTGTAAATGAGAGTGGGGCATGTAGGGGATGATAAGAAAAGGACACTCTCTAACTCTGAAAAGTTCAGGGCATTGTTTTGTGCCCCCCCAAACATTTCCAAGGGGCAGCTCTGTTACTCTACTTGTGGCTCAAACGTTTCTGGACTCCTTCTCTGGAAGGTAGCTTAAAATTCTCAAGGGAAAAGGCAGTCTCCGCCCATGAGCCCTAGCCTTTTTATTACTGTAACCCCAAAGATTGAGCTCCATCTCTTCATTTGCGGTTTTGGACTCCGGAAAAATAGTTTTACAGAGGTTTCCTAAGCCCTAAACTGTCCTTGGGGACATGGTTTCAGTCTCATGAGTAACCTGCCACAGTCCAGTTCCCAAAGTGGTACTCCCTGAATGTCTCAGGGGACTATAGTGTCTCCCATGGCCAGACACAGAACCCCAGGGTCACCTCATCTAGTTTTGAGGCTGATAGCTGTGCATAGTGCAGGAGAAAACAGAGGTGATACCATTCCAAGCTACCCTCACTTGGGCTCAAAAGGACTCTAGTGTACCCTCCCGATTCTCATGCTACCTCCTGCCTCCTTCTCCCTGGAAAACTCTAAAATTTGTTCATGCCTTTCCTGGCGACCATTCTCCTTCCTGATGGCTGCCTGGGTCGCTGTTATCCAGTGAGGCATCCCTCTCATCCACCAGACCATGGGTCTCCCAGTCCAGGGGACACCATAGTCTTTACAGATCCTTCTCAGTTCCTTGCTACACAGCTCCTCCTAGCCAGTGAAAAAAGAAAAGAGAGTAAGGGAAAGAGGAGGTGAAGAAGACCGATGGTGGGGAGTGCCTAAAGAAGATCCGATATGTCCCAGCTCTCAACTACACCAGGAGAGAGGTGGGAAAGCCAAGGGGGAGCAGGAAAAAATGTCGGGCTGAGAGAGGAGCAGCAAAGACTTTGCCAGCCCCTTTGGAGCCCCACCTGGATGGACAGGATGAGGTTCAGCTTTGCCTCTCCATTGGCTCTAGCATGGCCCCTTGATTTTCTATAGAGGGGAGCTGCAGAAGGCACTCACACTGGCACGGCTCCCAATGCTAGTAGCAGTGTCTTGCTCCGCCCTGCCCAGAGCACCTGCAGGCCTTGGATGGACAGACTCATAGACTGATTGAAGGCAATGGAAATTGAACGATCTTGGGCTGCGCAGAGGAGGAGGGGTGCTAGGGTAATGCTTGATGCTGTCCCCAGGTTCGGAACGGATGCTGCCTGAGCTCTCCAGGCTGAAGAGCATTTGGAGCCAGCCGCATTCTCCTGACCAGCGCTCTATTGCCCAGCTCAGCATTGCGCACTTGCCCACTCCAAGCCAGTCCAGTCCTTCTTGCTGGTTACCGGCGTTTCTTCCCTCTTCCTAACCCATACACCTTAGAAAACTCCGTTTCTGCTAGCCCAGAGCTTCATGGACGCTCCACTCCTCCTTCGCCCTTCCCCAGGTGCTCCCTGACCCATTAGATTAAGGACTCGCTGTACTCCAAAGGAGTCAAGCTGGACACCCCAACCACAGAATCGCCCCAAGGGACTTTCCTGAACTCCGGCACCATGAGTCATGAAGCTCTGAGTGTGCCCAGCGGCTTTGATGATCTTATCACCTCCACCACCTCTCAGGTGCTATTGGCAGCGCTGGCTAGGATAGCCTGCTATCCATGATTGACAAGCTGCCTGACCACACGTGGAACACTGGCGACCTGGCCAACACATCAGGTCCCATAACTTCGGAGATGGTGTCTCAGGATGAACAGGTGCAATTTTGGTTAGTAATAGGGTACACGGTGGTGATCTTTGTTGCCATTTTAGGCAACTGTGTCTTAAACCATCTGATTATGAAGTACGAAAGGGTGCACACCGCCACTGGCCTCTTCATTGTCAATATCTCTGTGACCAACATGATGCTGGCTTTTCTTATTTCCCCCTTCATCATGGTAAGCCTACTATGGTGAAGGGGGGAGCTAAGAAAAGCAGGGTATTAATTGAGGAGGGCGACCTTGGGTGCAGGATGAGAGCAAAGGTACAACTTTGCATTTGCAAAGGAGAAATCTCTTTGGCTGGAGGGAGTCCCGGAATGGGTTGAGCTGATTTGGAAGGTGTTTGCATGGACAGGGGAATGGTTGAGAGACAGCACAAAGGGTTTGCAAATTGGGGAAAACAAACTACAGCAGACAAGATTGTGGTTGTGTTGCTGAGTTAATCTCCTACCTTGGCAGTTGTTGAGAGAGTCTTAGGTTGACCGCAGCAGTGACCTGTTGCAGGTGAACTCTGGGTGACATGTGTTTCAGAGCTATGTCACAAAGACCCAGCCTCAGTTTCCTCAACTTTCAAATGCATTGTTTGGACTCTGAGGTGGCTAATAGCTTTTGTGATTTGATATCTCTTTCTTCAAGCCTGAATGTTTGCATGTGAGAAGATGGGGAAGGCATGAGAGCTGCAGTGTGGAAATTTTTGTTTGTTTGTTTGTTTGTTTGTTTGCTTCCTGAGACAATAATGCCAGTGGTTTGCCATTATTATAACAAAAAGGGCTTTATTTGTGTTTGGGGTCTTGTAAGAGGACTCAGAGGTGATTTCCTGTGCCTCACATTGCCATTGCCCTTTCTCCCATAGGTGCATTATCTGTGTAATTCCTTGGTGTTTGGGAAGATGACAGGCCACTTCAGTCGCTTTGCCCAATACTCTTGTGCCTATGTAACTGTGATTACCATGGCTTCTATTTCCCTAGACAAATATCAGATATGTGTTTCTCACGGGACTTTAGGTCTTCTTGTAAAGGGGCAAATTCTTATCTTAGATACAGATAAAATAAAAAATAACCTAGAAAGTTCTTTGAATTGTTTAAGATATATAAATGTATAAGTATAGTTTGAGGGATTGCAAGATAGTGAAATACAGACCTTCACCAAATCAAATCTTTTTTTATTTTGTTTTTAATAGAGATGGAGGTTTTGCTATGTTGCCCAGGCTGGTGTCGCACTCCTGGGCTCAAGCAATTCTCCTGCTTATGCCTCCAAAAGTGTTGGGATTACAGGTATGAGCCATCTATGGTGCTATGGGAACAGAGATGTGGCAATGAGCAAATGATAAAAGAGTGCTCTTCTTCTCATTTGGAAAACATTTCTTATTTGCTGCATTCCAGGACCGGCTAAGGGAAGAAAGAGGGAAGGGTTGAGTCAGAGGTGTGTGTGGCTTCAGGACTGGTGGTAAGTTGAGTCTGGGTGGTCAGCGTGAAGTCTGTGAGTGAGAGCTGAGGAACTAAAGTGGGAAAGAACTAAAAGAATTGTGGAGGAAAGAGCTGAGAGGAGGACTGACAGTGATTTCAAAGGAAGGAAGTAGGGTAGGGAGTGGGAAACTGGGAGGAATTACATAGTTAATCACTTGAGAGGGAGGGAGCCAGAAAACGAGTGAAGTGGGAGAGACATAAAGGTAGATTAAAGAGATTGTAACTGAAGCCAGATGGGAGAGTCCATGGAGGTATCTAGGTGATAGGTGATGGGGAGATAGGAGGGAGCATGGAAGGAGGGAGGGAGGAGGGGGGCGTGGAGGTATCAAAAGGAAAGAGGATGAAGCTAGAAGGAAAAGGGGTATGAAGAAATCCAAGTGGAAGAAAGAATGAATGGATGTGTGGAATTCTTACCCACTTATATACGATAAAGGGAAAATAAGTCACACCTTTGAGCATCTATTCCTCTTTTCCACAGAACTCCCTGCTCAGAGTCAAAAGCTTTAAAGTCAGTCCACTTGCGTTTCTTTATTTTTTCCACTGAAATTCATAATTAATTTATTTATTTTTAATTTCCAACTTCTATTTTAAGTTCAGAGGTACAAGTTCAGGATGTGCAGGTTCGTTACATAGGTAAACATGTGCCATGGTGGTTTACGGCACAGATCATCCCCTCACCCTGGTATTAAGCCCAGCATCCATTAACTATTCTTCCTGATCCTCTTCCTCCTTCCATCCCCTGCCCTCTGACAGGCCCAGTGTGTGTTGTTCCCATTGAAAGATTTCCCTCATTATTAACTAATGTTGGTCTTTCATGGAGCAAAATGCCACCCATCTACCAACTGAATTAGTACATAAGCATACTTCTCACCTACCTACCCAGTATTTGCTGGTTTGTACCATAATGCCAGTTGATGAACGGCTAATAAGTAACCCTAATTTGAATTGTTGAATGGGTCTGGGGTCCTTTTTATTCCAGGTGATGCTACATCCCCTGAAATCTTGGATTACTCCAATACAAGACAATGTTAGCATCATTATCATCTCGATTGTGAGTACCTGTGCTCCTTTGTCACATTCCATTTGCCAGAAGTTTTACCAGGTGGAGATTGGGTAAGAATAACACAGTATAACCAGTGTTTGGATTCTAGCAACCTGTGACCTTGGAAGTCCCATGGAATAACTTACAGAGTAGGGGCTGGAATAGTACATTTCCAAATATAGGTATAAAAATAAATTTCTTTTACTTGGGATTTACCATAACGGTTTCCAATAACTCTCATAGCATTTGATTATTAGAAATAAGTCTTCACATTTGGGGGCCATAATTTCCTTATATATCACATGAGAGGTCTGGAATAGGTGAACCCAAAGTCTCCCGGATTTTTAACTCTAGATTTTAAGCTTAATGCAGACACAAACAGTAAATATGTATCTTCCTTCGGCCAAACTTCCATAAAATAGCTGGCTGTAGGTCTCAGGGAAAAGACAAAGCTGATGTTTCTCTTTCTGTCTGTCTTATAACCTAGAAACATAGCTGAAGAAACTGTCTGCCTACCCAGTTTCCCGTATACTTCAAAATCTTCAGGGAAATACCTTGACCTGAGAATTGTTTTTGCTCTTCCTCATCTTGCCATTAATGGCACTAGTGGTTGTTTATGGTCATGTGGCCAAAAAGCTGTGGATCCATAATGCTGTTGATGACATCAGCATCCACACCTATATCTGGCAGCATGGGGAGAAGAAGGAGACCCTGAAGATGCTGATGACAATGGTGCTTGTCTACACAATCAGCTGGCTCCCTCTTAACCTCTACCTGGTGCTGCCATGCAGAGAATTCATCTCAAGCCACAATGGCCTCTGCTTCTTCTTCCACTGGCTGGCAATTAGCAGCTCCTGCTACAACCCCTACATCCACTTCTGGCTCAGCAATAACTTCTGGATTGTTCAGAAAGTTATCATGGAAATTCAGAAGATGCTGCTAAAGAAATCAGCTGCCTAAGAGGGGAGCACTGCTGACTCAGCTCTGTCTCACCCACTCACCACCTTGCCTGGGTAGATTCCAAACCCAGAGTGCCCAAATTCCCACAATTCAAAGATATTGATGAGCTACCCAGTCCCCCTCCATTCCAAGAGGTGGAAATCTTCTTTCTCTATTCACAAGTGCCTAGACTTTAAGCTGCCCAGACGGCAATACGTTCTCCATCCTCAAAATCCCTAAGATAGAGTGGGACCAAAATAAATAGGATTCATTCATTTCTCATGGCATGGGGGCCAGGTGAACAGAAGGGGTACTTGAAGGACTGGGGACATGTGAACCCCCATATTTGTGTCACTCAGTCTTTCATTTCCTTCTCTCTTCTTTTTTTATTTTTTTCCTGTTCGGTTTTCTTCCTTTATTCTCTCTCCCAACGATAAGGTGAAGGTATTAGATTTTCAGGCTCATCAGAGATCTTTCTCCATCACTCAAAGGAAAGCTTTATTCTGACCTGTGAGGGGATAGATCTCCTGAACTCTATCTCTGATTCTGGTCACCATTCCCTTCTCTATCCTTATGTGCCAGTTGGCCATGACACTTGACATCTGATATCACAAACGTTGTCTCAGGAAGTGCAAGGTACCCTAGAAATTCTGATTTATATTTCATTTAGATGATTGAGATCTAATTTGTCTATCATATTCCCAGGGAAATGCCAGGAGGGGAAGGTATAGTTTCTGAAATTGTATTGGGTTATCCGGGAACTCAATGCTTCTCATAAGTGTAAGTAGTTGGTCGTAACTATCTCCTTGTGGCAGAGTGAGAATGAGAAACTTACACATGCAGAGGAGTTGCACCGTGGTTATTTTCCCAAATTGATATACAATAATTTGCTGATAGCTCTCCTTTGAATGCAATGAAAATTGAGGTGCCGAATTTAGCACTACAAAATCCAAAATATTCTCCATGTTTCCTCACTCTACATTTAGCATCATACTTTCTCTTGTATAAATTTGTGCTGTCTAGTTTTGCCTTTCTTTTTCTGGAAAGAGAGGAGACATAATGTGCTTGCTGCTGTTTTATTGTTCCCATCTCTTTAGTCTATGAGAATTTCAACTCAGTGGGAAAGAAGTAATATCTCATCCTCCTGCGACTGCCTTTCATCTGGAGATAATATTATTAAGGCACGTTGAAGAGTATTGCTCATTGTGTGACAAGATAATGTGGGTATAAGAGTGGGATTTCTTCCCCTTCTCATCTTCTTCCCCTCCTCTTCTTTGTTCCCTTCCTCACTACTCTGGGAATTCACCTTTTTATTTTGACCTTCCCTGTCTTCTTTCTCTCCTCCCACTTCTTCTTGTTTCCCTTCCACTTTTTCCTCCTCCCCTCTGTTCCACCCTTCTACTCCTCTTCATCCTTTTCCTTCTCATCCTTTCTTCATTCAAATTCCACCTCATGCCTTTTCCTATCCTCCATCTCCCACTCTCCTGTGTTATCCTCCTCCCCTCTTCTCCCCATTCCCTCCTACCCTTACCCATCTTCTTTCCCCGATCCTTTTCACTTCTGTCCCCACTCTCCAATTCTCTCCCCTCTCTCCAATTCTCCTCTTCCCTTCTCTCCTCTTCCTTCCTCTTCCCTCCTACTCCCTCCTCCCCCTTCTCATTTTTCCTCAATCCTCCTGAGCCCTTCCTTCTTTAGCACCAGTCCTTCTCAAATTCTTTATTCTTTCTTTATTCCTCTCCTTTATCTATCTTACATCCTTTATCTCTTCGAACTCTCATGTATGGTTCAAAATATTGCTTTCCTATTGCGTTTTAGCTATTGTCTGTCATTTCCCTTTCATATTTCTCACTTCTCTTTAGAATTCAGATTTCTTTTACACTTACTGGAAGCCTGGGAATCCAGGAAGCTGCAGCCTCTGAATATAAACAAGTCTTTGCACTATTCCGTAGGCCTCCTTGTAGTATATGTGATGGTCAAAGTGAGTGGTAGCCACTGCTTACATTTTTCTCTTCTGCATCTCTCTTTCTCATTCAATTCTAACTGTCAGAAGTTGACTACCCATTATGCCCTCCTGGGGAGTAAGCTGGATCACCCCAGAAGCATAAAGGAAACTGTCCAGGCTTAGTCCATAGCTGCTGTGTCTGTTGGGAAGTACCACTGTGCAGCATCTTCCAAGAATATGACCCAGTTTAATTTGAAGGAATTGTACCCAAGTCAGACATGTCTTTTCTCTGGCCACTCATTTTTTTTTTCAACCACTTCTTATTCTATAACATTTTAGTTATTGAACATTTCCCTTTCTGCTCCTTCTCCATAATTACTTCCCTAAAGACACAAAATAACTTCCGAAAATGTAATAGAAATAATAACAACAACAGACTCCTATCACTACAGGACAACCCTGGAGGTTCTTGGAAGTCCCAGGCCCAAATGACTGGCTCTCAACTTTTGCTGCTGCCTTTGCTGTAACTTTTGTAGTCATCACACCACCTCATTGGCTTTAGCAGCTTTTAGAGTGGGTTATCATCATGTTGTTAGGGTGTATGCATGTGTGCCTCAGCTTACATTTCTTTCTCCTCCACTATCTTCTTTTTCTTTTCCTCAACTTAATCATTCTCTTTTTAACAAGGATATAATTCAATGACATTTTAAGTTTCCTCTGGAAAGGAATGAGCTAGTTTCCAGGAGCTTGAAGCAGGTTAACTGAAGTTTAGATTTTGGCTAGTCTGATTGTACTTGGTTATAGGATAAGGTAGGGTTTTTGGAGTCAGGACCCCAAATATCTCCGGTAAATTTCCACACTTGCTACAATATTTAATTCTTTTTGTTGGATAAAAAAGAAATTGGGGAAAAAGAGCTACTTGTAGTTTTTGCTTTGTTTCTTTCCATTTTCACTTCCATGAATTAATCCTTTATTTCATCTCCCTTTCTATCCTCAACATCCAAACTTTTTAATATATTTTATCTATATATAATACTTTCATCAAGCAAGTACAATACTAGATACATGGAGAAGTCCTGAGCTGAATAGATGATCACATCTGCTGTTCTCACCCTTATAATCTGCACATCTACCTATTATTTGCTTTTGTCTTCAGCTGTCTTTGAGATTAGAAGTCTTTTTGAGTGGTGAGCTCTACTGGTATATTTTTTCCCCTGCTTATGTAAATCCTTCTCATTAACCTAGGGAAGGACAGATACATATCTTTTCTCTTCTCCTTTTGGCAAGATGTATACATCCCAGGACAATGAGCTGACTGTCTAGGCCTCTGCCTCTGCATAAGAGGGCATAGTGGAATTGCCCCTGGGTACCTGGTGCTTCTTTGAGGAATTACACTTTGCTCTGATACTTTCCTTCTCCTGCTTAGATTTAGGAGAAATTTGGGTGAAAAGCGCTCTCATTGTAATTTAAATGATGATTGTGCTATTGTATTTTCACCTAATGTTCTCTTATTCCCAGGAAAAAACCCTTCCTAATCCCACGCTTATTCTCTACAAAAGATTAGACTTTTTTTTTCACCCTCAGTAAGGCTGGGGATATGGAATGGTGAATGCTTGACAAATGAGCCAGCTTCAATGTTGGCTGCTGCCGCAGCTGTGAACTTCAAACACACAGAATTTTGTCTGCCTATCAGCTTTGGTGCTGTATGAGATGTTTGAAGATTTAGGGCTCTGAGTAGTCTGAGTTTCATGTGGGGTTTTGTTTATATATTTTTTTGGTAGCAACTAATCTGAACTCTGAACCCAGCCATGTCTGAGGGTGCTACCATTGTAGTTTCTGGCATGGGGGCTCATTTGGTTGGAACATGATGCTAGTGAACTCTAGGTCCTAGAGTCTAACCCATGTATGACCATTAAGCTCTGTGGGTTTGAGAATGGTGCTAAATAACAATGGTCATGTGGTTTCAAAACCGCACATGTTTTCATTTACACAGACCGCACCACCCACCCTAGGCAGCCTTTTTCTGAACATGATTATCAGCCCCCTGGAAGACTCAGCAAAACTGTTGTGTAAATAACCCTGCAAAACCCATTTCCCTTCTGGATAAAAACTTAAAGTGTATTTCCTACTGACTGTGTGTTAGTAGTGTCATCTTCTTCTTAGAAGAACATCACTTGTAAAATGTATAATTGAACAAAAAGAGTTACAGCAATGGAAGGCAGAAGAAGTTGACAAATACATATAAATACATATACTATCCTTTGTCCAATGTCAAAAAAACCTGTATGTTTGTCCAAGCTGGGATATTTAGAGAAATTATTTGATAAGAGTAACTTCTATATGAAGTTCATCCAATGTTGCACCTCTATGAGGCAGATTGAAGTGGGGGAATTCACCCTATGATATAGATATCTGAGCTGCTGGTAGTCAACCATATGTGTTGGTTACTCGTGTATGTGGCATGTAGATTCACTCCTAGGTTTTCAGAGCTGAAGCCCTCTTTCAATGAGAATTCTCTTCCCTCCTGTAGTTAAGGTATCTTTCTATGTTACCACACATAATCACACACATGTATGCACACATATATACAAAAATACACACATATACCAATACACACAGCTACATGCATCACATGTGAACACACATAAACACACACATATATAAGCATATACAAACATGCACACACATACAGAAAAATGCACACACAGATTGTACGCTATTTTAAAACAAATATAGCAGATCTTTCATAATGCCAATTTCAAATCTAAATTTTGTTTTTAATTCATTATTCTTTCACTCAGTTATCTGTTTGAATGAACAAACTGAACTTTTCAATATCTTTGTCATTTCTCTGGGTGATTCAGTGTTGTTTTGTACTTTGTTGTGGTCACTGACACTATTTTATTAAAACCTGTTGTATCACTCACATTTCTAGCACCCTAACATAGCAAATGTCTCATTTACAAATCTGTGTAACAATGTCAATTGGATATTTATTGTTCTAAAGAAAATCTACGTATTTTAATGCCTACATACACGTAAAAAGAAAACCTTAAAGGAGTAGCATCTTTAATACACATGAACATAAACACATCCATACACAATTTCACAAAGATATACAGAGGAACACAAGCATATACGTGGACACAAAAGTTGCGCACATAGATTCAAGAAGCCCTTGATGAGAGAACAAGGACCTTGCTGGCCCATGCTAGACTACTAAAGGTTAAATGTCCTTTTATTTAAAAAGACCACACATGAAGTTGGTAGGCAATTGGAAACTCATAAGACAGTGGGACTTGTAGGTTTTGTCCCTCCTTAGCACACGTGGAGTAGAAGAGAGAACGGAGGTCTAAAATTACCTTGCCTACCCTGTGAGAATATGTTTAAGCTTGGATATGTTTGTTTCTCTATAACCTGATCTAATAGGTAGTTTTGTGTCAGGAGAGGTATATGCCATAATATCAGCAAGTGCCTACCTGGAACCATAATTACACATTCAGACCATCTATTTGCTACCCCACCACTGCTGATGGCTGAAAACATCTCTAGACAATGGGGTGAAGTCTGCTGTCCTCTGGGCCATATGAAGAAGAAAAGATTGACCCAGTTGGGACAGCATGAAAGTGGAGGTAAATTTGTTTATTTGATAACTTGTTCAAAGATATTTCTGTGTTTAGTTCAAACTCTGTTCTCTTGTAATAGTAAAAGTAGAAATAGTAATAACAATATCCTATATGTGATGATAACTTTGTGATTTCCAAAATAAGATCTTTTAGTATTTGTCAACAAATATTTGTTCTCAATGTTTTTTTTCATATTGAAAAATTAAAGAATGTGGGGGTGCCTGGATAGGACTGTAGATTTTATTTTCAAATATGCTGGTGAATGGGAATGTTCTCTGAAAACTGCAAAGCACTGGATCAACTTCTATTGTTCCACAGCTCTGAGGGTCATCTTATTCATCTTAAACAAAGTTTGATATTAAAGGAAAGAATTGCCTTATCTAGATGCCCAAGGTGAGCATGGAGGAAACAGTTTAGTTATTATTATAACTTAGTGTAAGCTTCTTGAAGTAATAGATTCAGGTATGAAAGAAGTGCTGGTATTTAGATTTACATAAATATAATTATGTTAATTGGACTAGTTGAAATGTAGCATCAGAATTTACAAATCAGGAGTGAATCCTGCTATTCTTTTGTGATGAGATCCTGCTGGAAATAAAGTTTCTACCAGTTTAGGTATTTTTTATGGGATGTTGCTAAAAGGCATCTAGGGAGAGAGACACAGATCCAGCTGGCCCATAAGACCTTTTATCTATAGGGTTTCCCACTCTGACCACTGATCTAAAGGTGGTAGAAAACCTTCATTAAGAGTTAGACAACTTGAATACTTTATTTGTAGCTTTAGAGAAGAGACTGTTTGTCAATGCCTTTATACCTTCAACTCAGAACTCCAGTTGAAAAGTCTAGTGTAAAAAAAATCCTCAATAAAATAAAATTTAAATGCAAAAATATTAAAAAATAAATAAAGAAAATAATTGACCCTTAGACTTCATAAGGTAGTTAGTGAAATTTATTTCATAGTGCAACACCCGCCTGAGTTGTGCCCCTCCACACGCTCTCCCGACTACTCACCATGCAATGAAGCTGAACTTAATGACTTTAAGTTGTTTAGCTTTTACTACTGCCCTGTTCTTTCTCACAAGCTCTGTGAAATGGTAGAAAATATCCTAAGCACGTATGTACAAGCACATCACATACTAGCTACTTGGTTTAAACCTAGTGGTAATTTGGGCTGTGTGGGACCGAAGACCCAGAGAATAAGGTTGTGAGATTACCAAATTCTTTTATGCAAGCTGCAGCTGCTGTGTTTAAATGCCTCAGGAAATAAAATTTCCTGTTTAGACACTGGTAAAATGCAATGGGACATCCTAACAAAGGGGAATGAGAGAAGTCTCACTGTATTACGACAGAAGAATGGACATTATTTTGGGTTCCCAGATGGGATGTGTTATTTATTTACTTGTGACTGTTTCTTTAAATATTCTCTACCCTGTCCCTATTTTTCTGTACCCTAATTTAATGTTTGATTGTTAATTCTGAGTTGGGAAGGAGAGGGACTACAGGTAGGAGATAATTTGTGGGGTAGGTCGGTGTATGGGAAGTGAGAGTAGATTAGGACATATATGTATTCACACACACACACACACATGTTTGTTCACAGCACTTATAAGCTCTTCTCATAGGAATGGGTCTGGTTGGTGGAAGGGAAGGCTGAGAGTATACATTACAGTAGTGGGTATTTGTAATTCATAGTGGCTGTCATAAAATAAAGTCAACGCTGAAAACTTCTTATGTGTTCAACTTGTAGACATTGAGGTGGAAATGGATGGCGGTGGGGGTATAACATAAAAGCAAATCCTAAGATGTCTGACTTGGAAAATTTTCCAGGGTGAACAGAGGAAACAAACAGTTTATTCTAGAATCCACTGAGGAATCAAGTCTCTGTCTTCTGTTTTCATAACTAGAAAATATGATAAAATACACAAATGTTGAGAGTACAGCAAAATGAATTTTTACATATGCATGTGTTTGTATAACCACTACTCATACCAACATATATAAGATTTCCAGGACTTTAGAAAGCTCCTTAATGCCCTCTGTCTGTATTTCCCTAGAGGTAACTGTTATTCTGATTTCTATCACCATAGTTTAATTTTACATGTTCTTTTTCAATGGAAATTTTTTCCTAGTCCCAAAGACAATGGGTTTGTCTACTTTGTACTAATACAAGATGCTAATAAGAACTTTTTCATCACTTTGGTTCAAAAGCAGCCAATTCTTAAATGGCTATCAAATACTACCACTGTTCTTTGCCTCTGTCCATCTCTGTCCATGCTAATTAAAGATCAAATTATTTTTATAGGAACTCTCAATGCACCAACAAAAATATGTACAATCTATTTGCATGTTATGATAAATCAGTTGAGCTACACACTTTTTAAATGATCTGCAAAATAATAAACATGTGAGGTTCTTCTCAGGTAAATCAGAGAAAGTCTCAATTACACAGGGTAATGTTAATGAGCATGTGATTAGTTACGATATTGGGCACACTTATGGATTTTTATTTTTTTTCAGACCTAGGTAATTTTTTCTTGAAATAACTTCAGCAACTAGGGATTAAGAGGGAAAGACATGAATGCTATTGAGTAGATCAAAAATTATTGATTGCTCCATAAGCCATTGAAATATACACAGTATATATGTGCTCAAACACCTACTTAATTGTTGAGAAGGCCCAGAACAAAATAAATATATTTTATTGCTCTCAGATTTTTGAAAAAGTCAAGCCAAAGCTGAATTCTATTTAGGAAGAATTACATTTGTTGGCTAATGATGTTATAATGATATATAAATGCAGCCTATTCAATGGCCAAGACCAAAGCATTCAATTCACAGGAACCCCTTATATTCCAAGGGTCCTGATAGTCCCTTTGTCTTTTCCATGGAACAGAAAAGATGGCCACATAACATTATAGGCTCAGACATATAACCACATCTTCATATCACACAATACTTATAAAATTTACATAGTTGTTCTTATGAATAACAAGATGACAGCTTCTCTGTGGAGATTCACAATCTGAATCTCAAAGTCTAGAAGTTCTGGAAAACTAGGATCCAGGTTGCCTTCCTCCAGATACATGGGATACTTGAATAGCGAAATTAACTTCATGCTCATGGGCTAGGTTGGTTGGGGTAGGCAGAGTAAGACAATAAAAACAGACAGCTTTTACCTAAAAGTTTGGCTTTGCCAAGTTTTGAGCCAATCTAGACCAAGGTTATCAGAACATGAGTGAACACAAACACAATGTCCAGAGGTATAAAATAATTTTCTTTTCACAAATATTGTTTCTGTTGTGGTCTGAAATAAGCCCTGGGGATTTATGTTTCAGTCAGGTTTGATGCCTGTCATATTTGATCTATATAATCAATTGGACACCTCAGCCTCTGATTCCTCTTCCACATTCCAGTTCCCACACTGGAACTGTAATCTTGTCCTAGAAAAGGCAAAATTGTGTATACAATGGAAAGTATAAGATCTTTGAACACAGTTTAACCAGGATATATATTATATCATCAGATCCCAGCAAAATTGCAGTGAAGGTTTCTTCAAGTATAGAAAACGTGACTATATATATATATATTTTTTTTATTATTTTTGTAACATTTATGTGTGTGTGTGTGTGTGTGTGTGTGTTCATTTCTAGGGAGATGAGGAGAAAGAAAGAGATATTCATTTACTACAAGGAATTGGCTTGTATGATTATGGAGGCTATGTCTCATAGTCTGCAAGATGGAGACCCCAGAGAGCTGGCTGTGTAGTTCCAGTCCAAATCAGAGGGCTTGAAAACAAAAAAAACAATGATATAAGTTCCAGTCCAAGAAAATGAGAAGATTGGTATCTAAGTTCAAAGACAAGCAGAGAGTGAATTCTCCCTTATGCCACCTGCCACTTTTTGTTTTTGTCAGGCCTCCAGCTGATTGGATGAAGCCCACCACATTGGGGAGGTCACTCTTCTTTACTTAGTCTCATTCAGAAACACTGTCACAGACACAATCAGAATAATGTTGAATGAAATATCTGGGCACCCTGTTCCCTAATCAAGTTGACATAAAAGTAATCATGACAGTAGTTTTTACAGGAGGGTTATTCCAGGACCTGCCTTCCACTATGGAGTCAACAGGGACCAGAAGTTTTTCTTTTTATGCCCCCCATATAGCCAGGATGTAAGATGTTAATCCAAGCTCTATCAACCAGATGTTTTCTCCTGAGGCTTTATAACAGACAGAATGAAGCAATCAATTGGTGGGTCTTCATTCATAACCATAAGAATAGTAGCAGCAACAGTAGCTCTCTGACTCAACTTGACTGGACTATGAGAAAACTGTCATGGTGTCTGCTTTTTGGCTTTCTGGAGTTTCCTTGGCATCTGCCAATTCTAAAATTTGGTCAGTTATCTGAGGCCCACATCCTATTTTCAGAGCCTTCAAATAATTTCCATTTTACTTAAGTAATCCAAAGGCAGATATCGACCATTGTAAATAGGAAAAGTAATAAGTATATATTAATTAAACCAATTTAAATCAGAGATATATTATTGTGGTAAGTGCCTGAGATAGTGTGATGAAAACAGACACTGCTTTCATGGAACTTACAGATAAGTTAAAGACATATAAGAAAATATTTACACAAATGTTTCAATCATTGTAGGTGCTACTGGGGGGAAATAAAATTGTGCTTTGGCAGAAGGATAATCATCTCTTTCAATGAATTAGGAGATAAAAAGGTAAAGAAGGGGGAGGATGCAGGTAAGCTTTGAATGGGTAGAATCGGAAATTTTGACTAATCATCTCAATTTTCTATGTGAAGCTTGAAATAGCCATTGTTGGGAACTGAAGAGAGAATCTCTACAAAATGTCTGGAGTCCAAGTAAGAGTGATAACCATTAATTTGCAGTGGTCCCAATATTCAAAGTAGTATTTCTATAGAAGTTGTCAGCAGCCTGAGTTTTGGATTGGAGAAGAAAGAATGATCTGAGTTGAGCTTTTTCTGGGTAAGTGCAATGGATGGATGAAAGAGAGAGAATAGTAGGGTATTGTCAAGATAGTGGTTGAAGTAGTGAACCATGGGATCAAAGATAAATGGGGAAATATTGTAGGAAGTCCCCAAAGATTTAGCGAAAGTTGAAGGATTTTGGGGACTGGAGATCTTAATGGTATTGAAAAAATTGTATCAAGTATAACATTTCTGGGTGATTATGAGGTCCAGACAATGAGCATAACTGTGGAGGGCTGAAGTAAAGCGGAGGTAATGTCTCTAATGAAGAAGTGGAATCTCAGTTAAAGGAGGGTATGAAAGGAAGATACAGTGCATGTATATAGGAGATTACTTCTCAGAGGATGGATATTTCATAGGAATTCCACAGAAATATTCAGTATAGTTAACCAGTTCATATAGGAAGAGAAACTTTCAGATGTTGCTAATAATTTGAAAGTATCACTCTTATTTATTTTTTAATCATACACCACTTCAGGTACCAAAGCATCACTTTAAAGGAGCAATTAAAATAGAATAAATAATAAGAGGACAATGCCTTTTTCATTCCAGCAACAGCGCTTCATATTCGTACCAACAAATCTTCTGCCTGTTCTAATCTCCTATTATACAAATTACAACTCATTCACTCCCGTGCAACTTTCATGGAACTTCTTCCCCAGTGCTCGGTTTTCTGATTTAGTTCATCCAATTCCAGGATTTTTGCCTTGGCCCAACATGCTCTTTGAGCTGTGGTGATGTTGTGCTTCTTTCTGTTACCGAAAGCTGAGTAAACTGGCTGGTGATTTGGAGCACAACCAAGTGGAACAAGTTCATAGCTCAGAACCTCTTTTAGGTTCCAACAAATCCTTACCAAGTTCTTGTGCCAAATGGAATCTTATTAAACAAGGATGAGGCTCTGGAGAATGTCTATTGATCACACCTACAATTTGAACTTCACAGATTTATTTCATTACAGCCTTTGCCCCTGAGAATAAACACAGATATACTCAAATGGCAATTTTCTCATCCATATTCTGGATGCTGCCGTTACCTTAAATGAAATGAAATACTGTATACATGAATACATGTGATCACAGGAGCCTTATAACATCTCATATATGATAACAGAGGTGTATATGCACAATTTGCCTTTCACATTGAAAATGTAGCATCAACCAAACCATTCCTTTTTGGGAAAGAACTTCAGAGACACCATAGTTCATGAAACAGCCACTCTTATTTCAGAATGCGGTCACTTCCTGGATGAATTTTCCTACTCCTCACTCTTTGTCCAGTTGTTCTACTCACTGTCCTAGGACAAACCTGGTTGAGATATGACTTCTGAAATCTCAGGGACTGGGATGGAATATTGGCTCCACTACTTAGAACTTCGTAGCCAGAGGAAAGAGAGCTTTGTAGTTACAACTGAAGAAGAAAAAACAAAGGTTGAAGTCAGAGAAGAAGTACTGAGCTTCAGGTCTTAAAAGAGGAACAAAACCAGGAGAGTGCATGCATGTAGTGAGCACTCAATCAATGTTTATTAAGTGAATCAGTGGGACATGAACTCTGAGTACTGGTAAGAAAGTGAAAAAGGAGGCAGGCAAGGATGCCAAAATTAGATTTATTTGTGGTATAAAATACTTGATTTAATGGTGAACTTAAAAAGGGAGATCAGGAAAGACAATCCGCTTCCTCCCAAAGAGTCTCCAAGCTACTTGTCTCTTTTGTGCTGCCTAAACAAATACTGGAAGGTCTTGGGGGTGAAGCCAAGATGGCCAAATAGGAACAGCTCCAGCGTACAGCTCCCAGCGTGAGCGACACAGAAGATGTGTGATTTCTGCATTTACAACTGAGGTACTGGGTTCATCTCACTGGGGAGTGTCAGAAAGTGGGTGCAGGACAGTGGGTGCAGTGCTCTGAACTTGAGCTGAAGCAGAGCGAGGCATCACCTCACCCAGGAAGCTCAAGGTGTCAGGGAGTTCCCTTTTCTAGTCAAAGAAAGGAGTGACAGACGGCACCTGGAAAATCGGGTCAATCCCACCCTAATACTGCACTTTTCCAATGGTCTTAGCAAATGGCACACCAGGAGATAATATCCCACGCCCGGCTCACAGGGTCCTATGCCTATGGAGCCTGGTTCATTGCTAGCACAGCAGTCTGAGATCAAACTGCAAGGCAGCAGCGAGGCTGGGGGAGGGACGCCCACCATTGCCCAGGCTTGAGTAGGTAAACAAAGTGGCCTGGAAACTCAAACTGGGTGGAGCCCACTGCAGCTCAGGGACGCCTGCCTGCCTCTGTAGACTCCACCTCTGGGGGCAAGGCACAGCAAACAAAAGGCAGCAGAATCCTCTGCAGACTTAAATGTCCCTGTCTGACAGTTTTGAAGGAAGTAGTGGTTCTCCCAGCACGCAGCTGGAGATCTGAGAACAGACAGACTGCCTCCTCAAGTGGATCCCTGACCTCTGAGTAGCCTAACTGGGAGGCACACTCTAGTAGGGGCAGACTGACACCTCACACGACCGGGTACTCCTCTGAGACAAAACTTCCAGAGGAACGATCAAGCAGCAACATTTGCTGTTCACCAATATCTGCTGTTCTGCAGCCTCCACTGCTGATACGCAGAAACAGGGTCTGGAGTGGACTTCCAGCAAACTCCAACAGACCTGCAGCTGAGGGTCCTGACTGTTAGAAGGAAAACTAACAAACAGAAAGGACATCCACACCAAAACCCCATCTGTACATCACTATCATCAAAGACTAAAGGTAGATAAAACCACAAAGATGGGGAAAAAACAGAGCAGAAAAACTGGAAACTCTAAAAATCAGAGCGCCTCTCCTCCTCCAAAGGAACACAGCTCCTCATCAGCAATGGAACAAAGCTGGGCGGAGAATGACTTTGATGAGTTGAGAGAAGAAGGCTTCAGACGATCAAACTACTCCGAGCTAAAGGAGGAAGTCTGAACCCATGGCAAATAAGTTAAAAATCTTGAAAAAAAATTAGATGAATGGCTAACTAGAATAACCAATGCAAAGAAGTCCTTAAAGGACCTGAAGGAGCTGAAAACCAAGGCATGAGAAGTACATGACGAATGCACCAGCCTTAGTATCCGATTCAATCACCTGGAAGAAAGGGTATCAGTGATGGAAGATCAAATGAATGAAATGAAGCGGGAAGAGAAGTTTAGAGAAAAAAGAATAAAAAGAAATGAACAAAGCCTCCAAGAAACATGAGACTATGTGAAAAGAACAAATTTACATCTGATTGTTACAATTGAAAGTGACGGGGAGAATGGAACCAAGTTGGAAAACACCCTGCAAGATATTATCCAGGAGAACTTCCCCAATCTAGCAAGGCAGACCAACATTCACATTCAGGAAATACAGAGAATGCCACAAAGATACTCCTTGAGAAGAGCAACTCCAAGACACATAATTGTCAGATTCACCAAAGTTGAAATGAAGGAAAAAATGTTAAGGGCAGCCAGAGAGAAAAGTCGAGTTACCCACAAAGGGAAGCCAATCAGACTAACAGCGGATCTCTTGGCAGAAACTCTACAAGCCAGAAGAGAGTGGGGGCCAATATTCAACATTCTTAAAGAAAAGAATTTTCAACCCAGAATCTCATATTCAGGCAAACTAAGTTTCATAAGTTAAGGAGAAATAAAATCCTTTACAGAAAAGCAAGTGCTGAGAGATTTTTGTCACCACAATGCCTGCCCTAAAAGAGCTCCTGAAGGAAGCACTAAACATGGAAAGGAACAACTGGTACCAGCCACTGCAAAATCATGCCAAATTGTAAAGACCATCGAGGCTAGGAAGAAACTGCATCAACTAACGAGCAAAATAACCAGTTAACATCATAATGACAGGATCAAATTCACACATAACAATATTAACCTTAAATGTAAATGGACTAAATGTTCCAAATAAAACACACAGACTGGCAAATTGGATAAAGAGTCAAGACCCATCAGTGTGCTGTATTCGGGAAACCCATCTCATGGGCAGAGAAACACATAGGCTCAAAATAAAGGGATGGAGGAAGATCTAAAAAGCGAATGGAAAACAAAAAAAGGCAGGGGTTGCAATCCTAGACTCTGATAAAACACACTTTAAGCCAACAAAGATCAAAAGACACAAAGAAGGCCATTCCATAATGGTAAGGGGATCAACTCAGCAAGAAGAGCTAACTATCCTAAATATATATATGCACCCAATACAGGAGCACCCAGATTCATAAAGCAAGTCCTTAGAGACCTACAAAGAGACTTAGCCTCCCACATAATAATCATGGGAGACACTAACACCCAACTGTCAACATTAGACAGAACAACGAGATAGAAAGTTAACAAGGATATCCAGGAACAGAACTCAGCTCGGCACCAAGCAGACCTAATAGACATCTACAGAACTCTCCACCCCAAATCAACAAAATATACATTATTTTCAGCGCCACACCACATCTATTCCAAAATTGACAACATAGTTGCAAGTAAAGCACTCCTCAGCAAATGTAAAAGAACACAAATTATAACAAACTGTCTCTCAGACCACAGTGCAATCAAACTAGAACTCAGGATTAAGAAACTCACTCAAAACTGCTCAACTACATGGAAACTGAACAACCTGCTCCTGAATGACTACTGGGTACATAACAAAATGAAGGCAGAAATAAAGATGTTCTTTGAAACCAATGAGATCAAAGATACAACATACAAGAATCTCTGGGACACATTTTAAGCAGTGTGTAGAGGCAAATTTATAGCACTAAATGCCCACAAGAGAAAGCAGGAAAGATCTAAAATTGACACCCTAACATCACAATTAAAAGAACTGGAGAAGCAAGAGCAAACACATTCAAAAGCCAGCAGAAGGCAAGAAATAACTAAGATCAGAGCAGAACTGAAAGAAATAGAGACACAAAAAACCCTTCAAAAAATCAATGAATCCAGGAGCTGGTTTTTTGAAAAGATCAACAAAATTGATAGACTGCTAGCAAGACTAAAAAAGAAAAAAAGAGAGAGGAATCAAATAAATGGAATAAAAAATGATAAAGGGGATATCACCACCTATCCCACAGAAATATAAACGACCATCAGAGAATACTATAAACACTTCTATGCAAATAAACTAGAAAATCTAGAAAAAATGGATAAATTCCTTGACACATACACCCTCCCAAGACTAAACCAGGAAGAAGTTGAATCTCTGAATAGACGAAAAACAGGCTCTGAAATTGAGGCAATAATTAATAGCTTACTAACCAAAAAAAGTCCAGGACCAGATGGATTCACAGCTGAATTCTACCAGAGGTACAAGGAGGAGCTGGTACCATTCCTTCTGAAACTATTCCAATCAATAGAAAAAGAGGGAATCCTCCCTAACTCATTTCATGAGGCCAGCATCATCCTGATACCAAAGTCTGGTAGAGACACGACAAAAAAAGAGAATTTTAGACCAATATCCCTGATGAACATGGCCAAAAAAACCTCAGTAAAATACTGGTAAGCCGAATCCAGCAGCACATCAAAAAGCTTATCCACCATGATCAAGTGGGCTTCATCCCTGGGATGGAAGAATAGTTCAACATACGCAAATCAATAAACGTAATACAGCATATAAAGAGAACCAATAACAAAAACGGTATGATTATCTCAATAGATGCAGAAAAGTCCTTTGACAAAATTCAACAGCCCTTCATGCTAAAAACTCTCAATAAATTAGGTATTGATGGGACTTATCTCAAAATAATAAGAGCTATCTATGACAAACCCACAGCCAGTATCATACTGAATGGGCAAAAACTGGAAGCATTCTCTTTGAAAACTGGCACAAGACAGGGATGTCCTCTCTCACCACTCCTATTCAACATAGTGTTGGAAGTTCTGGCCAGGGCAATCAGGCAGGAGAAGAAAATCAAGGGTATTCAGTTAGGAAAAGAGGAAGCCAAATTATCCCTATTTGCAGATGACATGATTGTATATCTAGAAAACCCCATTGTCTCAGCCCAAAATCTCCTTAAGCTCTTAGGCAACTTCAGCAAAGTCTCAGGATACAAAATCAATGTGCAAAAATCACAAGCATTCTTACACACCAATAACAGAGAAACAGAGAGCCAAATCATGAGTGAACTCCCATTCACAATTGCTTCAAAGATAATAAAATACCTAGGAATCCAACTTACAAGGGATGTGAAGGACCTCTTCAAGGAGAACTACAAACCACTTCTCAATAAAATAAAGGAGGATACAAACAAATGGAAGAACATTTCGTGCTCATGGGTAGAAAGAATCAATATCGTGAAAATGGTCATACTGCCCAAGGTAATTTATAGATTCAGTGCCATCCCCATCAAGCTACCAATGACTTTCTTCACAGAATTGGAAAAAAACTACTTTAAAGTTCATATGGACCCAAAAAATAGCCCACATTGCCAAGTCAATCCTAAGCCAAAAGAAGAAAGCTGGAGGCATCACTCTACCTGACTTGAAACTATACTACAAGGCTACAGTAACCAAAACAGCATGGAACTGGTACCAAAACAGCGATATAGACCAATGGAACAGAACAGAGCCCTGAGAAATAATGTCACATATCTACAACCATCTGGTGTTTGACAAACCTGTCAAAAACAAGAAATGGGGAAAGGCATCCCTTTTTAATAAATGGTGCTGGGAAAAATGGCTAGCCATATGTAGAAAGCTGAAACTGGATCCCTTCCTTACACCTTATACAAAAATTAATTGAAGATGCATTAAAGACTTAAATGTTAGACCTAAAACCATAAAAAACCTAGAAGAAAACCTAAGCAATGCCATTGAGATCATAGGCATGGGCAAGGACTTCATGTCTAAAACACCAAAAGCAATGGCAACAAAAGCCAGAATTGACATATGGGATGTAATTAAACTAAAGAGCTTCTGCACAACAAAGGAAACTACCATCAGAGTGAACAGGCAACATACAGAATGGGAGAAAAGTTTTGCAATCTACTCATCTGACAAAGGTCTAATATCCAGAATCTACAATGTACTCAAACAAACTTACAAGAAAAAACCAAACAACCCCATCAAAAAGTGGGCAAAGGATATGAACAGACACTTCTCAAAAGAAGACATTTATGCAGCCAAAAAACACATGAAAAAATGCTCACCATCACTGGCCATCAGAGAAATGCAAATCAAAACCATAATGAGATACCATCTCACACCAGTTAGAATGGCAATCATTAAAAAGTCAGGAAGCAACAGGTGCTGGAGAGGATGTGGAGAAATAGGAACACTTTTACACTGTTGGTGGGACTGTAAACTAGTTCCACCATTGTGAAAGTGAGTGTGGCGATTCCTCAGGGATCTAGAACTAGAAATACCATTTGACCCAGCCATCCCATTGCTGGGTATATACCCAAAGGATTATAAATCATGCTGCTATAAAGACACATGCACTCATATGTTTATTGTGGCACTATTCACAATGGCAAAGACTTGAAAGCAACCCAAATGTTCAACAATGATAGACTGGATTTAGAAAATGTGGCACATATACACCATGGAATACTATGCAGCCATAAAAAATGATAAGTTCATGTCCTCTGTAGGGACATGGATGAAGCTGGGAACCATCATTCTCAGCAAACTATCACAAGGAGAAGAAATCAAACACCACATGTTCTCACTCATCAGTGGGAATTGAACAATGAGAACACACGGACACAGGAAGGGGAACATCACACACTGGGGCCTGTTGTGGGGTGGGGGGAGGGGGGAGGGATAGCATTAGGAGATATACCTTACGTTAAATGACGAGTTAATGGGTGCAGCACACCAACACGGCACATGTATACATATGTAACTAACCTGCACAATGTGCACATGTACCCTAAGACTTAAAGTATAATTATGAAAAATAAGTAAATAAAGTGGAAAAAACTCTAAAAGAAAAAAAAGACAAATATTGGAAGGTCTTCTATCTTTCCCCTGTATTATTCAATAATAATTCCCATTCAACCATTATATTTTAATTGCTTCTGTCTTTGTACACTTCTACTTTCTATACTTGTATTCTCACATTTGAAAATCTTGGAGCATGCTTTGGTTAGAATTCAATTGTATTTCCTGGTATTTTTAAGTATTTTTTTAATGTTCAGAGTAACCATATAATCATCTTTATGACTTTTCCTGAACATGCAAAATAATCTGATAGCAGTCACTTAGTGCTTCCTGATGCCTTTTGTTTGAGCTGACACCAAATGAAATATTGAATAAACTGAAGAGTTATGGAAGAGTAAAGAAGAAGAATTATGAATCAGCCTTCACTTCAAAAAATGTTTTTCAATTACAGAACACCATCACCATCAGCAACCCAAATTTATAGCCCTGAGTTAAGCTTTAAGGTCAATGAGTCCGAACGTTTCTGCTGAACACAGGAATGTTTATCAAGAGGTGAGAAAAGTATTTGTTTAAATGTTACTGTTTTACATGATTATGGAAGTAATATGTTATAGTTATACAAATTTTGGGAGATAGAAATCACAAGAATGAAGTTAAAATCATCCATAAGCCAATGACACAAAATTATAAAACTTGTAATATTTAGTGTATGGATATCCTTTTAGTATTTTTTAAATCGGGGGGATCTGAACATTTTTAAAAGTAGTGTTATATTTTTATGCATTTGAATGTGTAGTCATTTAACAAACATTTGCTGATTTCTCACTATTAATGTGTATGCAGAAATTATTTTGTAATCTGTTTTTCTTATTTAATAATATAAAATTTATCCATACTATTAACTTTGTATCTTGACATACTTGAAAATATTTCTTTGAATAGACTCACCATATTAATCGTAAAAATTGAAACCAATTTCATATTTCCCATTTATTTTTAATATTATGATTATATATATTAATGGGATGAGCACAGCTTGCACATATATTGTTAAGCATATCTATCATTATTTTTGAACAGCTTATTAGTGATAACTGAGTCATCCAAATAATCTTCTCAAATCTCCTCAACAATTATCGAGAGCGAAGGAAAGTCATTCCAGAAACATTTATTGCATTTGTACACAGTGGCAAACAGAGCATAGTAATGGACTAGAAGAATTGTGACTATGGGCCGGGCGCGGTGGCTCATGCCTGTAATCCCAGCACTTTGGGAGGCTGAAACAGGCTGATCACGAGGTCAGGAGTTCGAGACCAGCCTTACCAACATGGGGAAACCCCGTCTTTTCTAAAAATACAAAAATTAGTTGGGACTGGTGGCACGCGCCTATAATTTCAGCTACTCAGGAGGCTGAGGCAGGAGAATCGCTTCAACTTGAGAGTCGGAGGTTGCAGAGAAACAAAAAAAGAAACAAACAGAATTGTGACTATGATGGAATACTGAGATATATAAGATATGATTATTGCAATCAAATATCTTAGGCTAGAAAAAATATTAAAATTATGCTTTATAAATATTAAACCAGTGTTTAATATCTGTCAAATTTGTGGTACACTTCAGTTGTGTTTTTCTATGTGTTAATTTTTACAATACTGCTAAATAATTGTTTAGTAACATCAGAACACATCCAGCTTCTGGTTCAGGGAGGAAATTTAGCTCCTAAGGCAGAAATTGAATAGACAGCATAGGGCTGGATGTGGCTGAAGTGGAGGGAAGGGGCGAGAGTTTGTAGATGAAGCAATGAGCTTCCTAAGAGTAAAGCAGAACAAAATAAGAACTTAAAGATAAATTAACCATGTATTTTCAAGGAAAACAGGGTCGCAGGCTGAGATGGGGACTGACCAGAAGTAAACAGAGCTCAGTTCTATGAAGCTAAATATTCCATACAGGACATAAAGATGCCCTCTGTTCAGGCAACATGGCAGAGACTATTGATTTGAGATGGAGCACAAGTATCAAAGGCAGAACATAACAGTAATGTCTTTTTTATAAGGCTAGAGTGCTTTGAGTCTTTCCTAACACCAGAGTAAATGAAATGGTGGGGGAATCAGTTCCACTCTCTTCTGGCTTTACACTTTGACCAATGTGCTAGGGACTCAGCTATTTCAAGAAAGTTCTTTGTAGCTTCCACTCAGGTCCTTAGTGTCTTCCATAAGCCATCAGCTTATGAACAGGGGCATCCATGAAAATTTTTCTTAGGTGCAGAATAGATCACACTATTTTCTTATTTCTGACCCTTCAATGGGATCTCCATATATTGCAAAAAAGGATTCATCTTTTTAAAAGTCCTCTATGACTGGCTCCTGTCTATTTCTCCAGCTTTTGTTCTACCATTAGTTGCCTTATACTGGAGACTTGAACGGAGTTGCTTCCTCACTCCCTTCTACCTGCAGCCTTTACTGTTAATATCTTCTTTGTTTGAAACAACTTCTTCCTTCCAGTCGTCTCTCTTAGCTGCTTGCCTGGATAAATACTTACTGATCTCTCAGGACTCAACAGGAATTACTTTCAGTATTCCTCCTTGATCTCACTGCCTGGCTAAGTTGAAAGCTTCTCTGTGTTCCCAGGTTACCCTATGCACACCATCATCCCAGTAATTTCAGAGTATGGTGCAGTAAATTTTTTATTTATGTTTATTTACCCATCCCCTCATGAGTGTTTCTGGAAATGAGAAACAGTCTGATTCAATAATGTCCCACACTCAAAAGTTGTGTGTTGAACTGTATGCCGAATTTCCCAGTGGCAAACTCCACCTCTGCCAAGCCAGAAAGTTCCAGGCCTTCATTGCCTGGATTTCCAGGATTGACTGATGAGGGGAGCAGTTATTTTAACCCTGGGAACCCAGATACCCTGCATGGTCCTAATATTACTGATCAAGTCTTGAATCTGAGATAAAAATTGTTCCCAGGTTCTATGGTGGCAGACCTGTGGTGCCAATTCTATCCTCCTCAGATAATGATAAGAAGGACTTGGAAATAGTTGGCTCTTGAGTTTTGAAGAATGAGTGAAAAGAGGAAAAGGGCAAGGAGGGTGTAGGTTTAGTGATATGGCAGGGGGTCATGGAAGTGTTGGGTAAAGAAGGGTGTGTTTCCTGGCGAGGGCTCCACCCTGGGGCCTATGTTCATGGACCAAAGTGAGAACAGGCACTTCTGTTTTCATGCCCAAATGTTGCATTTTCCAAGATCACCAGTCTGGCCCACCATGCCCTCCATCCTGTGCCCATAAAAACCTGAAACGTTGGCTGGGTGCAATGGCTCATGCCTGTAATCCCAGCACTTTGGGACGCTGAGACAGATGGATCACCTGAGGTTGGGAGTTTGAGACCAGCCTGACCAACATGGAGAAACCTCGTCTCTACATATATATATATATATACACACACACACACACACACACACACACACACACATATATATATACACATATATATATACATATATATACATATATATACATATATATACATATATATACATATATATATACACACACATATATACACACACACATATATATTATGATATATATATGTGTATATATATAGCTTATGATATATATATATATATATCATAAACTAGCAAGGAATCCAGACACTTCCTTACAGAATATATCTAGCTTATAAAGTAGAATTCTAAGCTAATATGCAATAAAATAACTATGACTTGCAGCCCTACAGTCCCCTTCTAATATGCTGCTATTATTCTCATACCTAGGCTTCAGGGTCCTAGTTAAATGGTAGAGTTCTCTTATCCCCCTTGCAAGACATGTGACAGGGGTGTGGATCCCTTGGTTGTCTGCTGCCCTACCCCTCAAACCCTAGGGGGAGCATGCAAACAGGCAGGTGCAGAGGCTGTGGGGAGTGGTTTTGGGCTTCTGCCCCACAGCAGTGTTTAGGAGTGGGTGTTGGTGATTCCCGAAGCCCAAGTGGGCATGTGTTACAGTGTGCTCTTTCAGCTTTGCCATCTGCAGACAGCTTGTGTTAATCATAACCAGCTTAATAGACCCTCTGTCTTAGGACAGGGGGCCAGTGTGACAGCCTGGGTTCTTGCTCAATGTACCAGAAGAATCGGATCACACATGGGATGGAAGGATGAATGTAAGGTTTTATTTTATTTTATTTTTATTTATTTATTTTTATTATACTTTAAGTTCTAGGGTATGTGTGCATAACGTGCAGGTTTGATACGTAGGTACACATGTGCCATGTTGGTTTGCTGCACCCATCAACTCATCATTTACATTAGGTAAATGATTAGGCCTGTCCTTGGGAATTATAAGGGATTCCTGTTATATGTGTAATTTTCCGCTGATTTAAGAATTTTTGAAATGTTTTACTACAGTATCCTCGCCCATTATCTGTTTTAATTTTTTCTGGAACTCCCATGACAGCAAAAAAAGATAATAAATGTCTTTTAACATGGGAAGTACTTTCTCCCGTCTGGCAGGTTGCCCATATGAAATGTGAAAAAGTATCAACTGTCACATGGACAAATGACAATTTACCAAATGAAGGTACATGTGTGACATCCATTTGCCATAATGCATCAGGACATAAACCTCTGGGATTAACCCCTGCTTCCTGAGTGGGCAGGTGTAAGGCTTGACACTGAGCACAATGTTTTACAATATTTTTTGCCTGTTTCCATGTGATATCAAATTTGTTTTTTAATCCTATTGCATTTACATGAGTCAGGGCATGAAGTTCTTGTGCTTCCATGAAGGCAGATGATACTAGCAAATCAGCTTGTTCATTTGCCTTAGTTAAAGGCCCTGATAAATTAGTATGTGCTCAAATATGAGTAATATAAAATGGGAAATTTCTTTTTGTCACAGTTTGTTGTAATAATTTAAACAGCTGATTTAACTGATCATCCATACTATATTTGATTAGGGCTGTCTCAACATCCTTTGTAGCCTGTACTACATATGCAGAATCTGAAACAATGTTAATAGGCTGATTAAAATCTTGTAACACTGAAATGACAGCAACCAATTCTGCTCTTTGAGCTGAGTGATATTGAGTTTTAATGACTCGTTCTTTTGGCCTGGTGTAAGCCGCTTTTCCATTGCTGGAACCATCAGTAAACACCATCAGAGCATTTTCTAAAGGTTTTTGTCGGTAATTTTAGGTAAAATCCAAGTAGCCAATTCCAAAAACTGTAAGATTTTTGTTTTTGGGTAATGATTATCAATAATTTCCACAAAATCAGCAAGACCAATCTGCCATGCAGCAGAATTGATAAAGGCTTGTCTAACCTGTTCCTTGTTTAAAGGAACAATGATTTTATCTGGGTCACTTTCACACAATTTTACTATTCGCAGTCTTGCCTGACCAATTAATGTAGCCATTTGATCTAAGTACAATGTAAAAGTCTTAACTGTACTCTGAGGAAGGAATGACCACTCCACAAGATCTGTATTTTGAGCAATAATGCCTGTTGGAGACTATGCAGTAGCAAAAATCAAAAGTTGGAGTGGGGCTAAGTGATCTATTCTACTTACTTGTGCTGACTGAATTTTTTCTTCAACTAATTCATTCTTTTAGTTGCCTCTGGAGTTGATGTTTTTTACTATTCAAGTCTGGATCCTCTCTCAAGATAGAAAACATATTTGACATGGCATAAGTAGGAATGCCTAGAGTTGGCTGAATCCAATTAATATCTCCTAGCAATTTTTGAAAGTCATTTAATGTTCTTAATGTGTCTTTTCTTATTTCTATTTTTTGTGGCTTAATTTTTCTTTCCTCTACCTGCATTCACAAATAATGAAAAGGAGTGGAGGTCTGAATCTTATGAGATGCTATTGTTAGGCCTGTGTTTGCAACGCCTGTCTGCAGAAATGTGTAACAGTCAATTAATTTGTCTCTTGTTTCTGCAGCACACAAAATATCAACATAATGAATGATATAACAGGCTGAAAACTTGTCTCTAACTGGTTGAAAAACTTGAGCTACAAAAGTCTGACAAACAGTTGGACTGTTAAGCATTCCCTTAGGCAACACTTTCCACTGAAATCTGGTAGCTGGTTCTTTATTATTTATGGTTGGTAGAGTAAAAGCAAATTTTTCAAAATCCTGTTTTGCCAGAGGAATGGTAAAAAAACAATCCTTTAGATCAATTATAATTAAAGGCCAATCATTGGGGATCATGGCCGGATAGGGCAGCCCAGGTTGGAGAGGCCCCATGGGTTTAATTACTGCATTAACAGTTCTCAAATCAGTTAGTATGTGCCATCTGCCTGATTTTTTCTGAATTACAATCACAGGAGAATTCTAAAGAGAGAAAGTGGGTGAAACATGTCCTTTTTTTTTTTTTTTGAGAAGCATACAGATTTATTTACTATAATAAATAAAGTGACACAGGAGCCTTCATAAGGAAATGAAGACTTGAAGAAAGGGGTAAATCTGTGTATATTTTATGCTGGGCTTGATAAGGAAGTGGATAATCGTGAAGCATGATTGGATAAAAAAGTGTGATCTAATGTTAGTCAGCTGGGGGGAATTTAGCAAGGCCTGTTTGTTCAGGTTCTACTCTGTGACTTTGTGTCTTCAAAACTAGGATGTTTATTTATTTATTAATTTATTATTATTATACTTAAAATTTTAGGGTACATGTGCACAATGTGCAGGTTAGTTACATATGTATACATGTGCCATGCTGGTGCACTGAACCCACTAACTCGTCATCTAGCATTAGGTATATCTCCTAATGCTATCCCTCCCCCCTTCCCCCACCCCACAACAGTCCCCAGAGTGTGATGTTCCCCTTCCTGTGTCCATGTGTTCCCATTGTTCAGTTCCCACCTATGAGTGAGAATGTGCGTTGTTTGGTTTTTTGTTCTTGCGATAGTTTACTCAGAATGATGATTTCCAATTTCATCCATGTCCCTACAAAGGACATGAACTCATCATTTTTTATGGCTGCATAGTATTCCATGGTGTATATGTGCCACATTTTCTTAATCCAGTCTATCATTGTTGGACATTTGGGTTGGTTCCAAGTCTTTACTCTTGTGAATAATGCCACAATAAACATACGTGTGCATGTGTCTTTATAGCAGCATGATTTATAGTCCTTTGGGTATATACCCAGTAATGGGATGGCTGGGTCAAATGGTATTTCTAGTTCTAGATCCCTGAGGAATCGCCACACTGACTTCCACAATGGTTGAACTAGTTTACAGTCCCACCAACAGTGTAAAAGTGTTCCTATTTCTCCACATCCTCTCCAGCACCTGTTGTTTCCTGACTTTTTAATGATTGCCATTCTGACTGGTGTAAGAGGGTATCTCATTGTGGTTTTGATTTGCATTTCTCTGATGGCCAGTGATGGTGAGCATTTTTTCATGTGTTTTTTGGCTGCATAAATGTCTTCTTTTGAGAAGTGTCTGTTCATGTCCTTTGCCCACTTTTTGATGGGGTTGTTTGTTTTTTTCTTGTAAATTTGTTTGAGTTCATTGTAGATTCTGGATATTAGCCCTTTGTCAGATAAGTAGGTTGCAAAAATTTTCTCCTATTTTGTAGGTTGCCTGTTCACTCTAATGGTAGTTTCTTTTGCTGTGCAGAAGCTCTTTAATTTAATTATGTCCCATTTGTCAACTTTGGCTTTTGTTGCCATTGCTTTTGGTGTTTTAGACATGAAGTCCTTGCTCATGCCTATGTCCTGAATAATAATGCCTAGGTTTTCTTCTAGGGTTTTTATGGTTTTACGTCTAACGTTTAAGTCTTTAATCCATCTTGAATTAATTTTTGTATAAGGTGTAAGGAAGGGATCCAGTTTCAGCTTTCTACATATGCCTAGCCAGTTTTTCCAGCACCATTTATTAAATAGGGAATCCTTTCCCCATTGCTTGTTTTTCTCAGGTTTGTCAAAGATCCGATAGTTGTAGATATGTGGCGTTATTTCTGAGGGCTCTGTTCTGTTCCATTGATCTATATCTCTGTTTTGGTACCAGTACCGTGCTGTTTTGGTTACTGTAGCTTTGTAGTATAGTTTGAAGTCAGGTAGTGTGATGCCTCCAGCTTTGTTCTTTTGGCTCAGGATTGACTTGGCGATGCAGCAGGAGAAGGAAATAACGGGTATTCAATTAAGAAAAGAGGAAGTCAAATTGTCCCTGTTTGCAGATGACATGATTGTATATCTAGAAAAACCTATTGTCTCAGCCCAAAATCTCCTTAAGCTGATAAGCAACTTCAGCAAAGTCTCAGGATACAAAATCAATGTACAAAAATCACAAGCCTTCTTATACACCAACAACAGACAAACAGACAGCCAAATCATGAGTGAACTCCCATTAACAATTGCTTCCAAGAGAATAAAATACCTAGGAATCCAACTTACAAGGGATGTGAAGGACCTCTTCAAGGAGAACTACAAACCACTGCTCAATGAAATAAAAGAGGATACAAACAAATGGAAGAACATTCCATGCTCATAGGTAGGAAGAATCAATATCATGAAAATGGCCATACTGCCCAAGGTAATTTACAGATTCAATGCCATCCCCATCGAGCTACCAATGACTTTCTTCACAGAATTGGAAAAAACTACTTTAAAGTTCATAATCTCTTTTCTTATGGAACTTCCATTCTAGTTTTCACTCTATAAATTTGTTTAAGTGATAAGGTACATCATTCTACTTCTCATGGCTTTTTTTTTTTTGAGGGGGTGAATAAAAGTTTAAAGAATAAAATTCTAGTGGTTTGACCTTTATTAAGATTTTGACTGCTCAGCTGTCCAGGCACATGTGATCCACCTCCTGTTTGAGTATGTATAACTGACTTAGTGGGAATTTTGGATGCGTTTTTACACTGGGAAATGTACTTGGCTACCTGGGAGTTTATTGCGTTCAAAAATCATCAAGGCTGAAAGGTTTTTTCTTTTCATCATGTATTTCTTTGTAGGGTATAGAGAGTTGGGACTACATTGCACCTGGACTATGTTTGGGGACAGAAAATAGCTGAGTAAATGCCACTGGAGTCTCCAGTTATTTCAAATGGCAATATTCTGTACTTTGGTATGAAGCATTTGGGATACAGATTATGGGAAGAGGGATTGTAGTATGGAGAAAGAACTTCTTCTCTACCAATGTCATAGGTGTAGAGAACAGATAAACAGTAGGTTTGGTCACAGACTAGCCAAGGCAGTGCGAGAAAGATCTCGCAGGTCAGGCAGATATCAGAAAGAGAAATCTAAAATGTTGAGTAAAATAAGAGAAAACCTTCTCCTTTCCCACCTTACTGATCTATCCAATGTGGGATCGGGCAGAGGTGAGTGCTGGGGAAAGTTTTGCAGAAAGGTGAAAACCTTAATTATGACTGGAAGAGTTGAGAAATTCTGAGCTCTCATTTTGAAATTACAAGCCAAAAATATTATCTCCCTTTAAATTAAAAACTTAAAATTAATTTAATATGGCTGTTTCTTTTTATTTTTGCTAGACTTAGCTTCATCATGAAAATGTCAACTCCAACAGCTTCTTTCTGTATAAGCAAAGGATGTTGAGATGGGTGGGGACATGAGGAAGGGATGTGGTCTGACTCATGGTGTATGCCAGGTTGGGAAGAAATATGAATAAAGATATTATAGGCAGGTATTGGCTTTCAACTTTAAGATGGTGGAATGGAAATTAGACTCTACTAATATGGTTCTAACATAATGCATTTCATGCTTTGCAGTTTGATTTAATTGGTGATTTTAAGTACAGTATAAAAATTATCATTGATAGGTTTTGTCACTATTTTTGATATTTTGTGTTAGCAAGGCTGACTCAACCTGTCACCCAATACTCTCCACAGTGATAATATTGTTCTTGTCATCTAGATAAGCTGTAAACTTAAACAGGCGTGGATTCTCTTCTCACCTATAAAAATGAATTTAACCATATATCAAGTTTACTGAGAAATGTGGGCCAGGACAAGTTTTAATTAAAAAAATGGTAGTTTATCATATTCTATTCTACAGTATAATGTTATCTAATAGTAAGTCATGAAAAGTCCTACATAAATTGGTTGCACACTAATTTTTCGATTTCTTCTTTCCGTGGCTCCCCATGACCTCTAGACTCTAGTCACATTGAGGTATCTGATATTCCAGGAATAGGCCATGTGAGCCCTCATCTCCATGTCTTTGCTTGTCCCAATTTATCTATCTGGAGTGTCACTCCACCCCATTCTCCTGTTCAGTTCTTCTCATCATTCAAACTCTCGTTCCTGTGACATTTCCTCTAAGAACTTTTTCCTGTGTGTCCCTTCCCTGGCCCCAATCAGTCAGAAGTAATCACTCCTCTCTCTGGGATGCCACAGTTCTTTTAGCCCTGGCATCTTTTGGCTTCGGGTTCAAATTAGTAGGAAATCCAGAAATGCTTAAAGAATTTATTTTCCTTTGATAGTAATATACGTGTCAACTCTGCATCATTAATAAACTCATAGAATTACTAAGTTGGTTAGGTTTCTTGCTCTGTTTGCAATTGCCCATGCATACACCTGAAGGAGATTTTCTGGTGTGTGTGTGTGTGTGTGTGTTTTCAGTCTTCTCCCAGAAGGATAGGTAATACATGGGCTCATCTGAAAGAAAAACAGTATAGGACACTGACCAAGAGAATTTGAACTTTGGCCAGCTGTGTGTCCTTAGGCCAATCACTTTGTTTCTCTGAGCTTAATTCACCTTATATGTAAATGGAATTAATATTTATTTTTAAAGGAGAGTGATAAAATATTTTACTTTTATTATCTTTATTATTTTTCATGATTCTGTGATTTAGATAGTAATTTTATAGATAGTAAGTTTAAATACTGAATATATTAGGCAATAAATAGATTTGTCTCATAGAAGAGCAGAACTCAAAAGCAGATGTGTCAGAAGCCCAGGGGCATGTTCTTAGACAGTATATATTTAACATTGTAACTTTCAGTCATTTAATTAGGTTATGAATTAGTTTTATATATATGGAAAAATATGATAAATCGATTGACAATGGGAGAGTGCTTGTTAATAGCATTAGTTATTTTCATTAGTTATTCTAAGAAAACTTAGAAAGTGCCTAAATAATACAATAATATTTGTAGGAAGAAGTACATTTCTAATTCACCAAATTCATATTTATAAAATTTATAACATATTGATACTTCTGTTATAATTTAATATTTCAAAATAAAAAATTGTATATAGCACAACTGTCTAAAATGGACAACCACAAATAAAATGTCCATGTCAACAACAACAGTAATATATATTGCTTTTTTCCTAGGGTTGCTGTGGAATAAAATAATACACGTCACAAAGCCTAGTCAATAGTAGGTGCTGAAGACCGTAATACAGGGCTATGTGCTTTATAGATAATGTGACTCACTGGCTGTCTGCCTAATTGGAAGCAGAGAAGCCAGAATAAAACCACTTTTTCTTACCTTTGTTACTCATGTCTACTCTCATTAGTGCACCAAAAAGGTGCAACAGAAGCAATGCCCAGAGAATGTAACAATAACCAGATACAAATTCACAATAACCTGATTCTGTGCCTGCAAATTATTAACTTTATGAACTTGAGAAAGTTATTTTGACTGCTTGGAGCTCCAATTTATCTATCTCTAAAATGAATACCTACATTTCAGGCTTATTGGAGAGTGTAGGGCTATAAAAAACTGGATATAATTCAGTGCCTAATACATATTAAGTTTAAAAATATTTGTTAAATGAATGAATGAATGAAGTAATAGATGAATGAATACCAAATGTCTAGTAAAATATTTGACCCATAGTAGGAGTTTAACAACTGTTAATCATTACTTTCAACGCTGGCTGTGAGCATTAAAAAAAATCACCCTGGTAATCTGCCTGGTACATTTTAGGTAATCAGTGGTGCTTATTTGAGATATATGAAAAAATGTGACAAAAATTACATATGGAAAGGCAAATTATTTAGATAAAACAAAAATCTGTTAAATCTCTAAATTATTTAACAAACTGTGCATTACGATATAAAGCAAATTAAGAAAAAAACAGCAGCCAAAGAACAAAACAGTGTTTACTGGGAGGAGGGAAACCTATCAGGATTCCAGCTGAGCATGGTAGCTTGCACTTTCTCTGCTTTATGGAGCTCCAGCTCTTTTCAGTGCATTTAGCCCTATTTATTCCAGATTATTTTCACTTGTTAGAGGCAAAGTGCTAATTACAGCATTGCTCAATCTTGGCTATTTTTCAGGAATAAAAATGTATCACTGCATTTTATTAACCCTCAGTTTGATTTATGTCTTCTGATTTCACAGAGTAGATAACCTACACGCCCATATTGCTACCTTCCCTGTTTTCAGCTGCCTTTGTATTTGCTGGATGTATATGATGTCCTGAATATTCTCTCCACTCCTTAGCTCTCTAAAAGGCCCATTGTTACTGTGTGCACGATGGCACATCATTTCATACTTCACAGTCAAACTTCTCAAGGGATTCAACCAATTTTATAGTAAAGCTGAACATCAGAAATATAAAAATCACATCATACACAAAAATAAATCTGTTAGCAAGAGCCACCTTTTCTCTGTTGGTTAAGCTCAGTTTTATAAAGAATTTTGTTACTTGAGGGACATATGAATAGTGATTACTTCAGCTAATTAAATACTCTAATACTGAAAGTCACCCAACAGAAAGCAAGGTGTGAGCATGCACTTTGGCAACAGTCTCCTCAACCTCAGCTCTATCTCCTTTGTGACTTTGAGTAAGTTGCTTACCATCTTCAAACTGTAGTTTTCCTCTTCATCTAAGAAATGGGGAAGCAGTTTTGCCAAGTGGTTGAGAATACAGACTTCAGTATTGGACAGAATTAGGTTTGAGTCCCCTTTCTCTCTGTGACTTAATAGTTGTGTAAAATTAAGTTATATCACTTTTTCAAGCAGTGAGGATTAAATACATACAAAATACCTATCAGAGAGCTTGCTGTGTGTATTAAGCACTCCATAAATGGCAGCTCTTCTTGTCACTACCTTCCTTAATAGCTTTTTCATTAAATGTGATAAGCACAAAACCTCTTGGCACCTTGTGAATCCTCAATCTGTCTATAGAGTTGAATTTCACCTTTCTGTGACTCCCTTAGCTAGCAGAGAGCTTGGACTGTGGAAATTCCTAAGCAACCATTTGTCGATTAAATTCTGAATTGTTCAAGTGGAAAGAGGGGTCAAGGACTTACATTGCTATTGGTTTCAAGATTTACTTTTTAGTTCTGGCTGATAGTTTGCTACTGCCTGGTACATTAGCTGACAAGACTGCATAAGAAAACTTATTGAAGACGACACCCATGCTACTCTGGACAGACTGTGCAGTCTTGACTTTGTCTGAAATATAAGGAAACAACAAAGAACTCAAGGCACAGATGTTCCTCTGTGAACAGCAACACTTCAAAACAGTGTACAGATTGAAAAACACTACAGAGCAAAGCTGGAGATTTGTTTCCCAGGGAAATAATAATGTTTTCAGTAATTGAAAAAACATTCTTGTTAGTGTTTCTCAGTACACCAAGAGATGACACACACACAATTTTGGTCCTAGGCTTGGTCCATTATTTGTTATGTTGGTGTGTCTTATGTTTGACCACAACTGATGATGCTTTAATTTAGATATGCCATATTGAACAGGATAGGAAGAGAAGTGCTTAGACTAAAGCCTTCTTTTTTGCTTCCCAGCCTCTTGCTTTCACAATGAGGTGGGAGTAGGGAAGTAACATGATTAAAATAAAATAGAAGGATGAACATTCAGATGTCTCGAAAGAATCTTGCCCAGAAGAAGGGAGGTAAATTTTATTAAGAAAACAAGATTCTCTTTCTCCTGTATGTAGGACACATTCAGATTTTATTTCATCTCTCAGGTACCTTTTTAGGCAAGCAAATGTATAGTTTGAAAAACCGGAGAAAGTTATCAGATAAGTAATAAAATAGAAATGTTGATACAAAGAAAGGAGCTAGCTCTACAACTTGCTAAGCTGTGTGAGTGTGTCAAACTGATTTCTGGGCCTCACTTTACTTAGCTGTCAAATATAAACAATAATGAAACACACACACACACACTTATATACACATCCTTCTGGCCACAGTCTCATGTTAATAATATGAGGATTTTATGAACTCATAAATGGGGAACTATTGCAGAAGTCAAATATGAGTGAAAGTTTTATTAGATAATCATTTACATATTTATATCATTAACCAGTTTCCAAAGAATATTATTGTTAATCAAAAGTTCACAGTAAAATCAGTTGTTTCAGACCAGTCAGAGTATGAGTATGTGGACCAGCAGGACAGGAGATGAGAGATTTGGCTATTATTGGTGAGTCTCAAGACATGGAAGGTTTCCAGAGTGATTTTCTCACACCCATTTTTCTCCCATTTCCCCATGCTTCTCACAGTGAGGCAGTTTAACCAGTCTACTGTTTCTACAGTGAGGCAGAGAAAGATGAGAGGCAGAGTAAGACAGAGGAGAGAGAAAGAGAGAGGGCTGCACTGGGCAAGATAGTCAGAGAAGTTCAGAGAAGAGAGGAAACACAGGCTCAGGAACTGGGGAGAAATCCTAAGATTCATCTTGGATAGTGTAATAATCTGTCTGTCACATTGAATTAAATGTAGTACACTCCTCAGTGCTTATCCAGTGCTGAAGCCATATTATACCAGTGACCATGACTGCTAGTTACGTTTCCAAGTTCAGTTTTCTCATGGGTCAAATCAGCAGTTGCACCTACCATATAGTATAGACATAATACATGATATTCTCTCTCACCCCGTAGCCTGCTGCTATCTAACAGTGCCCCAGGACTTTCTTCCTCATTAAGGCTAGTAATAGTAGTTTGCATTTTTATCCTTTACTTCTCCTTCACAGAAGCCTAGCAAGGATGGATCACTGCATGCCCTCCTAAGCATGGTAACATAGCTATCTTTTCACACAATTTATTATTGAATCATAGGCCAAAACCTGATTTTTCATTTGTAAAGCTCTTTCCTACATATTATCTTAATATTCACCACATTTCTCTCAAATAGAGCAAGTATCAAATTAGCTATCCTTTATTAAGTATTTGCTGAGCTTCAAACAATATGGTAAGCTCTTTAAACACATTATTGCATATATCCTTGAAATGGTTTCATAAGATGTATTTTTTCTATATCCCATTTTACATTTGATCTTAGCCCAAAAGGCAGAGACACAATTACATTCCATTTTACAGATGAGGTCACAAAATTGGTAAACGTCAGAGCTGGAATTTGCACCCAAATGTGTCTGATTCCAAAGTCCATATTCTTAAAAATTCCACTATTCTCAAATATTGGTAGTTCCATTTAAAGGAAGCTGCTCTTTGAACTAAACTGAAGTCTGGAGTCTGACAGTCGTAAGTTCAGTAAGATGCCATAAAAATATTACTGGACTTTTATGCCATTGATGAAAGGAATGATGGTTAATTCACTTGGATGCCTCTTTCCGTCCCTAATGCATAGCCTTGTATGTAGTAGGTACTTAATGCTCCTTTTGTGAGGGCATGCATAAGAAATGACTCAGATATAGAAAAGGATTTTTGTAATAGTCCACTCTGACTTGTGTGAGTAAAGGACTGAATACAGAATGGGGTTTCTGGCCTGAGCCTGTGTGGGCCCAGAGGAATGGAGCAGATAAGGATAGAGCATATATATGTATATCAAAACCTATAATCTGGGAAAATTCAAGAGATGAACAACAAGAAGGCTGAGATCCAAAATCTGGAAAAGTTGGGTCAAATGGGTCATTCACAGGGAGATAATGAGGTAAGTAGCAAGAGTTAGAACATGGATGGGGCCAAGGGAGTGAGAGAATCCAAGAGGACAAGAACCAGGGGCACAGAAGGAAGGTTTGAGAACAGACATAGAAATGGGCTTGCTACTGCACTAGGATACTTTATTAGATGCTCTGAGAATATCAATGCATTGGCTTCATTATATATTTTAGAAAAAACTCCAATAGATAATTTGAATCAGTGAACCAACACCATAGGACAGAAAGCCAGTAAAATATACTCAAATAAAAACTTCACTTCCTCACGGTGAACTCATAAGATGTCTGGGAGTAGACAACTTTGTCCTCAGGTAGACTTAAGATTCTGAAATTAGCGTTCACCAAGGTACATAGTACTAGAAAGATAAAATTATGCGCTTTGAGACACTTATGAAAACTGTAGAATAATTACATTTATCAATCCTGAAAGGCTTTGGTTTATGGGAGCCAGCAACATGAGCACATAGAAAAAATTGCTAACCTGTTCTTATTCTGCTTTAATCTAATATATAAGGCAGTTTGAATGGTCTTGATCAGAGGCTTGACTGAATTCAGAGAGATGTATTTGTTTTCCCTTTGGATATCTGAGTAGACTATACAGAGGCAGAGTTCAGCTGGTGGTGCAAAAGGTTTTTTCAATGATTAGAGAGATTCAAGGAAGAAATTGTTTGCTTTGTGAGAGGAATTGAGCTCCCTGACTCTGGGTGTTCAAATAGATGCTGGAAAGTTATGTGCTCTAATATTTTCATATGAAACTAGAAAATATGCCTGAATTTAATCTTGAAATCTTCTTTCTTTCAATCCTGAAATTCTATGAGTTCTAAAAACCATAAGAGGGTGGCAGGAAGAAATTTTTTTCTATAATATTACAGTCTAATTTTTAAAATGAGCTCTATGTAGTTCTCTAATGTTGATGTATATTTTAAGAAACTGCATTTATTCATTAAAATATTTCACCTTTTGAAATAATACTGGGTCCAAGATTAAGTAAACATTTGGACGTTTGATTAGAGAAATTTTGGAATGCACATAAGTGGAGGGCTTAAATACACTGTCCTATTCATTGTTACAGCTAGTTCAAAATCTGGCGCAATGGAAAGGGAACAGAACTAGGTTATGACCCAAATAATGGTCTAGGATTTGCAACCAATTCACTGTGAGACCTTGGAGAAATCCTTTCTTCTCTTATGACTTCTGGTTTCCCCTCCTAGAAAATGAAGGGATTGGATTCTATTCAATTAAAAAACATTCCACCTAGCAACACCCAATATTCTACTGTTGTTGGATGAAATGTTATCTTGCTGTTTTCAGTATTATTTCACTTTAGACCGTTTGACTTTATTGTCTTTCATCTGTTTCAAGATCTTATTCAATATATAACATTTTACTTTGTTAAGAGAAAAAATTAGAATAAAAAGTTAATTATACTTATTCATAATTATCTACTTCGCTATCTTTATTGATTTGTTTGTGTGTATTGGGATTTCTGTCTGAGATTATTTGCTTTTGACCTAAACAACTTTGTTTTTTCTTATAAGGCAAGTTTGCAATCAATAACTTTTCTGTGTCTGGTAGTCTTCATCTTTCATTTATGGATTATAGCTTTCCAATATGCAAGATTCTTAGTTGAGAGGTTTTTTTTTTTTTTCAAAACATTAAATATGTCATCTTGCTACTATCTGGTCTACATGGTTTCTGATGAGAATACTTTTGTATATGTTATTATTTAGGTTCCCTTGTATGTAACTACTCATTTTTATCTTGATGCTTTTAAGACTTTGACTTTGTCTTTTATCATTTTGACTAATTTTTCTGGGTGTAGATCTATTTACCTTTCTCCTACTTTGAGTTTATGGAGTTTCTCGGATGGTTTTCATCGCATTTGGGACTTTTCGGCCATCATTTCTTCATATGTATATTTTTTCTTCTCGATTATCTCTCTCCTCTTATTCTGATACTTCAATTATACTTACATTGAATCACTTAATTGTGTCCTACATTTATCTTATACTTTGCTTATTTTTACTCTTAATTTGCTACTTTTGTTCTTCAGATTGCATACATTTTATTTGTCTCTCTTTAAGTTCACTGATCTTTCCTCTGGAAGCGGAAATTGACTCTAATGAATTTTTAAAATCTGTTATTGTATTTCTGACTGCAGAATTTCATTTTTTGCAAGTTTAATTTTTAATCTGATGGTTTGGTATATAGATTTTGGAAATTTAAGAATATTGGTGATTTTACTAAATACAAATAAACATTTTTTCAGTTTTTAAAATTGTGGTAAAATATGCACAACATAAAATTTACTATTTTAACTATTGTTAAGTGTACAGTTCAGAAGAATTAAGTAATTTATATTTCCTTTTTAATAATTTATATCTCTTCGTTAATATTTTTGCTTGTATGAAACATCATTATATCTTCTTGTGCTTCTTTAATCATGGTTTTATTTAGTTCTTTGAGCCTATTTATAAGAAATGCTTTGAAGCTGCCCCTGCCAGATAACTTCTGGGGCCTCAAAGGCAGTTATAATACCCTGCTTTATTCTGTGCATGGTCCACTTGTTTTTGTTTCTTTGCTTGTCTTATATTTTTTATTTTTTAAAACAGGAATTTTATACAATATTTTGTAACAAGTCTGCAAACTAATTCACTATCCCCCCAGGGTCATTTTTGCTGTTGTTTGCATTTCTATGTTGTTAGTGACTTAGGTATTGTGCGGGGTGGAAGGTCTTGTTCTCAATTCTCATATTCTTGCCCTACAAGGAAGCTGAAATTAAGGAAATTGGGTTTCAGTATTTTTGTTCTACTATACCTGGGGAAGAGCATCTGCTTAATGAGTGGTAGTGGGATGGTAAAGGGAATATTAGTACTCTCAATCAGAAAAAAATACAATGGAAAGAGTAAAAATAGACTTCCCTTTTCGTCCTGAATACTGTATAGTATGCTGAACAGCTGAAGCAAAGATCATAACATTGATGTGGTTCTCAAATTACGCAGAGAAAATATGTAAAACAACTTAAACGTTGTCAAGTAAAGGGCTTAAAGAAAGATAAGGTTCCTTAACTTCACTTGTAGTGATGGAATGTTAACCCCTGTAGACTATAAAAATCATGTATTTATATTGTAATACCTACAGCAGCCACTAGAAAAATGTATACACTGACAAACACTCAAAAATAGAAAAATCATAATGGAATATGGCAAAAAAAAAAGGAAACACAGAAATAAAGAACCGAAGGAGCAAACAGAAAACAAAATAATAAAATAAGCTTAAACTTTGACTTACCAATAATTTCATTAGATGAAAATAGTCTAAGGACACCAAATAAGACAGAGATTGGAAAAGCAGCTTAGAAAACAGAACCCAAACATATTGTGTCTACAAGAAACTCCCTTAAAACATGGTGACATAAGTTGAAATAAAAGGATGCAAAAAAGTATGTCATGCCAATATTAATCAAAAGACAGAGGGAATGGCTATATTAACACAAAACGAAATAGATTTCATTGAAAAGAAAATTATCAGCAACAGAGAGAGATATTACGTAGTGATAAATGGGTCACTCCTCCAAGAAGACATAGCAATCTGAAATGTGAATGCACTAAACAATAATCCTGCAAAATAGGTGAAACCAAATTGGTAGAATTGAAAGAAATACCAGGCAAATCCACCATTACAGTTGCAATTTTCAACACTTCTCTCTAGAACTAGACAGAAAATAAGTAATGATACAGAAGAACTTGAGGACTCCATCAGCTAATAGGTTCTTAATAACATTTATGGAACACTTAACAACAGAAGAATACATATTATTTTCATGCACCTAGAGAGCATGTACCAAGGTATATCATATTCTGACCAGTAAAACAACCCTCAACAAATTAAAATAATTGGAATCATGCAGAGTGGGCTCTCTGGTCAAAATGAAATAACATTAGGATAATTGACAGACATATAACAGGGAAATAACAAACATTTGGGAGCTAAAAATCACACCGCTAAATAACTGTATTAATCAGGGTTCTCCAGAGTGACAGAACTAATAGGATGGATATATATACAAAGTGGAGTTTATTAAGTATTAACTCACACAATCACAAGGTCCCACAATAAGCCATCTGCAAGCTGAGGAGCAAGGAAAGCCAGTCTGAGTCCCAAAACTGAAGAACTTGGGGTCCAATATTAGAGAGCAGGAAGCATGCAGCACAGGAGAAAGATGTAGGCTGGGAGGCTAGGCCAGTCTAATCTTTTCACATTTTTCTGTCTGCTGTATATTCTAGCCATGCTGGCAGCTGATTAGATGGTGCCCACCAGATTAAGGATAGGTCTGCATTTCCCAGCTAACTGACTCAAATGCTAATCTCTTTTGGCCACACCCTAACAGACACACCCAGGATCAATACTTTGCATCCTTCAATTCAATCAAGTGGACACTAGGTATTAACCATCACAAGTCCACTCCTTGTCAACTTGGACCCATACATGTCTCCTGAGATCATACATAATCTTCAAATAAAGACAATAATAAGGTCACAATTATGCCTAACATAATACAACTATCCTTCATACAACCAGAAAAGTACCGAACCTAAACTCATATACTATTACATAAAGTTAACAACATTTAAATGCTGATACGAAGTCAGTAAATCTTATGTCACATGATAAAGAAAACAATGAAGATTTTTTTTTTTAGTACAAGTGTATAAATGCACAAACTTTTTTTTAAATTATACTTTAAGTTCTAGGGTACATGTGCACAACGTGCAGGTTTGTTACATATGTATACATGTGCCATGTTGGTGTGCTGTACCCATTAACTCATCATTTAACATTAGGTGTATCTCCTAATGCTATCCCTCCCCCCTCCCCCAACCCCACAACAGGCCCCAGTGTGTGATGTTCCCCTTCCTGTGTCCAAGTGTTCTCATCGTTCAATTCCCACCTATGAGTGACAACATGCAGTGTTTGATTTTTTGTCCCTGCAATAGTTTGCAGATAACGATGGTTTCCAGCTTCATCCATGTCCCCGCAAAGGACATGAACTCATCTTTTTTATGGCTGCATAGTATTCCATGGTGTATATGTGCCATATTTTATTAATCCAGTCTATCATTGATGGACATTTGGGTTGGTTCCAAGCTTTGCTATTGTGAATAGTGCTGCAATAAACATACGTGTTCATGTGTCTTTATAGCAGCATGATTTATAGTCCTTTGGGTATATACCCATTAATGGGATGGCTGGGTCAAATGGTATTTCTAGTTCTAGATCCCTGAGGAATTACCACACTGTCTTCCACAATGGTTGAACTAGTTTACAGTTCCACCAACAGTGTAAAAGTGTTCCTATTTCTCCACATCCTCTCCAACACCTGTTGTTTCCTGACTTTTTAATGATCGCCATTCTAACTGGTATGAGATGGTATCTCACTGTGGTTTTGATTTGCATTTCTCTGATGGCCAGTGATGATGAGCATTTTTTCATGTGTTTTTTGGCTGCATAAATGTCTTCTTTTGAGAAGTGTCTGCTCATATCCTTTGCCCACTTTTTGATGTTTTTTTTTTTTTTATTATACTTTAAGTTTTAGGGTACATGTGCACATTGTGCAGGTTAGTTACATATGTATACATGTGCCATGCTGGTGCGCTGCACCCACTAACTCATCATCTAGCATTAGGTATATCTCCCAATGCTATCCCTCCCCCCTCCCCCCACCCCACCACAGTCCCCAGAGTGTGATATTCCCCTTCCTGTGTCCATGTGATCTCATTGTTCAATTCCCGCCTATGAGTGAGAATATGTGGTGTTTGGTTTTTTGTTCTTGTGATAGTTTACTGAGAATGATGATTTTATCTTGTAAATTTGTTTGAGTTCATTGGGGATTCTGGATATTAGCCCTTTGTCAGGTGAGTAGATGATTACAAAAATTTTCTCCCATTCTGTAGGTTGCCTGTTCACTCTGATGGTAGTTTCTTTTGCTGATGCACAAGCATGTTTTTAACAAAAGAAGGAGAAAATACTCATGAAAATTACAATCCTCATTTCTGCAGCTGTCACGTGGTCATAGCTGGTACTGATTACTACCTTCTTCTATAAGCCATTCTGTATTCCCATTGCCTTCAGCAGGCACCTCAGCAGGTCACCTTTTTTTTTATTATTTTTTATTTTTTTCCTGGTGGAGTGACCCAAGCCTTCATTCCTGAAGGGTCTGGGCCATTTGAAGTCCTGCCTGGATTGAGCTGTTGTAGTTTCCCATTGACTTTAATCGCAGGGCATAGTAATACTAAGAGATGCCCTAACAGATCACCTTTATTCCAAGTATACCCTTCCTTACCTCCGTTGTGCAGTAGTAGTCTGATTTCTTCTTGACAGTCCAGGTCAATCACAGCAGCCAACACTGTACCTCCCTTCCTAGCCTGTTGGTTAAAGGTAGCAAGACCCCAAAGTGCCCAGGTGGCAATCTTAACTTCTGGTTTAATGGAATTGTTGTTGTGTCTCCTGGTGGCAGCATTCCTCCCTCTGGAACTAAGACCTCTAGGTGAGCAGAATGTAATGTCGAGGGAATAGGAAGCAAAAATTTTGCTAGTGGATCACTACGGGTGATGGGGAGTGGTGCCACTTCTGCTTCAGCACCTTGATTTATGGATCTGTGAATCCTGGCTATGAGAGAAATAGTACCATATATTGGAAGCTGATTCAGAGCATACACGGCCTTTTGGAGAACTTTGCCTCAGCCCTGCAAAGTATTGTCACCTAGTTGGCATTGTAATTTTGACTTCAAAAGGCCATTCCACCATTCTATCAATCCAGCTGCTTCAGGATGATGGGGAACATGTTAAGACCAGGGAATTCCATGAGCATGAGCCCACTGCCACACTTATTTAGCTGCAAAGTGAGTGCCTTGGTAAGAGGCAATGCTATGTGGAATGGACAAGGGATTCCATGAGTCCACAGATGGTAGTCTTGGTAAAAGCACTGCGTTCAGGATAGGAAAACCCATATACAGAGTAAGTGTTCTGATGAGGACAAACCTCTGCTCTTTCCATGATGGAAGAGGTCCAAAATAATCAACCTGCCACCAGATAGCTGGCTGATCACCCCGAGTAATTGTGCCATATCGAGGGCTCAGTGTTGGTCCCTGCTGCTGGAAAATTGGGCACTCAGCAGTGGTTGTAGCCAGGTCAGCCTTGGTGAGTGAAAGTCCATGTTGCTGAGCCCATGCGTAACCTCCATCCCTGCCACTACGGCCACTTTGTTCATGGGCCCATTGAGTGATGACAGGGATGGCTGGGGAAAGAGGCTAAGTGGTGTCCACAGAATGAGCCATATTATCCACTTGATTACTAAACTCCTCCTTTGATAAGGTCACCCATTGGTGAGCACTTACATGGGATACAAATATCTTCACAGATTTTAACCACTCAGAGAGGTCCATCCACATACCTCTTCCCCAAATTTCTGTCACCAGTTTTTCAATCATGCTTCTTCCAAATCCCTGACCATCCAGCCAAACCATAGGCTACAACTCATTAATCAGTATATAATTGCACATTTGGCCATTTCTCTTTTCATGCAAAGTGCACAGCCAGGTGTACTGCTCGAAGTTCTGCCCACTAGAAAGGTTTTCCTTCACCACTGTCCTTCAGCAATTTCCTCGAAATGGGCCGTAGTGCTGCAGCTGTCCACTTTCAAGTGTTGCCTGCATATTGTGTGAACCAGGGCCTAGTCTTCTCTTCCTCTGTAAAGTGGTCATAGGGAAATCCCCATAAGGCCATTGGTGTATTCTGGGGGAGAGAAAGCAGGGTGGGAGGAATGGAGACCATGGGCATTTGAGTCACTTCCACATGTAACTTTCTTTTGCCCTCAGGACCTGCTCGATCTTGATTATGCATATACCCCTTCCATTTGACGATGGAATGCTGCTGTTCATGACCCACTCTATGGCTAGATGGGTCAAAAAGCACCCAGTTCATGATGAGCAGTTAAGGTCACGTGCTCTCTTGATGACCCATAGTCAAACATTCATTTCCACCAAAGCCCAGTAACAGGCCAAGGACTGTCTCTCAAAAAGAAAGTAGTTATCTGCAGAAGATGACAGGATCTTGCTCCAAAATCCTAAAACCTTCCACTGTGATTCACCCACGGGGGCCTGCAAAAGGCTCCAAACAGCATCCCTATCTGTCACTGACACCTCAAGCACCATTGGATCTGCTGAGTCATATGGCCCAAGTTGCAGAGAAGCTTGCACAGCAGCCTGTACCTGTTGCAGAGCCTTCTCATATTATGGATCCCACTCAAAATTGGTAGCCTTTTGGGTCACTTGATAAATGGGTCAGAGTAACACATCCCAAAGAGGAATGTGTTGCCTCCAAAATCCAAATAGGTCCGCTAGACATTGTGCCTATTTCTTGGTTGCAGGAGGGGCCAAATGCAGCAACTTATCCTTCACCTTAGAAGGAATATCTATGCATGCCCCACACCACTGGACCCCTAGAAATTTTACTGAGGTTGAAGGTCCTTGAATTTTAGTTAGATTTATTTCCCTTCCTCTGTCATGCAAGTGTCTCACCAATTAGTTTAGTGTGTTTGCTACTTCTTGCTCACTAGATCCAATCAGCTTAAGGTCATCAATGTAATGGATCAGTGTGATATCTTGTGGAAGAAAAAGAAATCAAAGTCTCTGAATAAGATTATGACATAAAGCCATAGAGTTGAAATAACCCTGAGGTAGGACAGTAAAGGTATATTGCTGGCCTTGTCAGCTGAAGGTAAATCACTTCTGGTGGGCATTATAGATAGGAATGAAGTAAAAGGCTTTTGCCAAGTCATTGTCTTCCTACCAGGTACCAGACGATGTGTTAGTTTGCCCAAGTAATTAAACCATATCTGGTACAGCAGCTGCAACTGGAGTCACCACTTGGTTAAGCTTATGACAATCCACTGTCTCCAAGATCCATCTGTCTTCTGCACAGGCCAAATGGGACAGCTGAACAAAGATGTGGTGGGAAACACCATCCCTGCGTCTTTCCTTGATGGTTTCAGTAATCTCTTCAATCTCTCCCGGGATGCAATATTGTTCTTGATTTACTATTTTTCTAGGTAGAGGCATCTCTTATGGCTTCCATTTTGCCTTTCCCACCATAATAGCCCTCATTCTACCAGTCAGGGAGCCAATATGGGGGTTCTCCTACCTGCTAAGTATGTCTATGTCAATTATGCATTTTGGCACCAGGAAAATGACCATAGGATGAGTCTGGGGACCCACTGGAGCCACTGTAAGTCAGACCTGAGCTAAAGCTCCATTAATTCCCTGACCTCCATAAACCCCTGCTTTAACTGGATGACCACAATGATGTTTTGGGTCTCCTGGAATCAAAGTCAGCTCAGAGCCAGTGTCCAGTAGTCCCCACAATACCTGATCATTTGCCTTTCCAGAATGTACAGTTACTCTGGTAAAAGGCCTGAGGTCTCCTTGGGGAAGGATGAGAGAAATCTTAAAAGCATAAATTGTCATTAGTGTAGTGGGGTCCTTCTTCAAGGGTACTCGACCTTCCCTTCATTCAAGGGATTCTGGGACTGTAAACTGGGTCAAGTCTGGAAATTTATTGAGGGGCTGTGATTCTGTTTTTATAATTCAAATTAATCTTTTGTTCATTCAACCTAGAAATATTCTGCTTATGTAAATTAAGTAGGAATTCAGTAGGCTTCCTATCAATTTCACTTCTAGGAACACTGTAATTAATTAGCCAATGCCAGAGCTCTACACATGTCAGACTATTCTGATTATCACTTTGCCTCTGCTGTCCATTATGGTAGCTGTGCTCACCCTTGCTTTGAAGGTTGAGTGCTGCCACTTGGCCCCTGGCACCACGGGAACCAATTATTTTTATTTTATGTAAATTTTATAGCTGAGTGACTGTGGTTCTCACTGTTGGATCTGACATACAGAGAAGAGCAATTACAGGCCCTTCAAAGATGTAGGTGCTGCCCTCACAAATGTATTTCACAAGGCATTGATTGAGGGTATATCTTGTGGACCCTCCCAGCTGGGATGAGTAGGTCTAAAGTGACTATTCCACTCCAGCATCCCAATCTCCCTAAGCCTTTAGATTCTTTCCTCTACTTTAAATCAAGGGAGATCAGGCATTTCCAGCTCAGTTACGTGGCCCATCTCTTAATCCATATTTTAGCTAGCCAAGCACATACAGTTTTAGAACATTTTTTAACTTCTAGAGCTGCAATATTAAATGCAGAGTGCTTATGTAGTGGGCCCAAATCAATAAATTCAGCCTGATCCAACTCTATGTTCCTTCCACCCTTATCCCAAACCCTTAATATCTTTTCCCATGCCTGTTCTCTAGATTTCTGCTTATATAAATTAAAAAATTTAAGCAGCTTTTTTCGAGTGTCACACACACCCTTGTGAATTACACTCTGAACCTCTCCTCTAGGGGCCAGCCAGAACTTTAATCTAGTTATAGGTCTAGAAGCAAACAGGGATGTTGTAGGTGGCTCCTGAGGAGAATCAACATTATCTTGCCTCTCAACTGCCTCAGAGGAGACCATCACTGTTGCCTCAGGCAGCACCGGGTTTATCTTCTCAGACAAAGGTAGAAAGGCTGATGACAGCATGTATTGGGGAGGGAATGTTGGCACTACTGGGTATGGGGAAGCTGTTTCTTTTGAAAAAAAGTTTCATCAGTGTTTACAACTTCAGTTTCCCCAGCTTCATCAGGGTCCTCCCTCATGTCCCCATTTCAAATTGCAGAGTCCCATTCTTTTCCAATCAGTGCTCTCACTTTAAAAGTAGACACCTGGTGAGGTTGCACATACACCTTTTGTTGCAGGTCAGCCACTTGCATAATAAGAGATTGTGTCTGTTTTTCCACAATTTCAGCTCTTTCTCTACAGGAATAAGACTCTTATTCAGAGCAATCTTAGCAGATTTGAGGCTCAGTATCTTCTCAAGCTGGGAGTTAGAATTCCTGAATTCACCATTTTCTTTCATCACTTTGTCCACTGAACTTAGGAGCAACCAACCAGCTTCATTATGTTCTTTGGTTCTCCACATATGGTCAAAGGTAATATGTACAAAGTCACTAAACTCCTTGCCTCTCATAAGAGGTGAATTGGAAGTGTCAAATATATTTATTTTGCATAACTCTAAACAGTTCATGCCAAGGACTATCAGTGTTCTCCATACTATGAGAAGTAGAGTCCTTAGCATTTTGGATGTAATTATATTAAGCAACCAACTCTATACACACACACATATAGTAATATATATACAACTATATCTATATATCTATATATATGTATACACACACACATATAAAGGGAAGTTTAATAAGTATTAACTCACACAATCTCAAGATCCCACAATAGGCTGTCTGAAAGCTGAGGAGCAAGGAAAGACAGTCCAAGTTCCAAAACTGAAGAACTTGGAGTTCAATGTTTGAGAGCAGGAAGGGTCCAGCACGAGAGAAAGATGTAGGATGGGAGGCTAGGCCAGTCTACTTTTTTCACGTTTTTCTGCCTACTTTATATTCTAGACATGCTGGCAGCTGAATAGATGGTGACCACCCAGATTAAGGGTGGGTTTGCATTTTCCAGCCCACTTACTCAAATGTTAATCTACTTTGGCATCACCCTCACAGACACTCCCAGGATTAATACTTTGCATCCTTCAATCCATTCAAGTTGACACTCCATATTAGCCATCACAATATCCTATGGATTAAAGAAGAAAGCCTTAGTGAATTTAAAAAACACATTTAACTGGGTGAAATCGAAAATACAATATGTAAAATTTGTTGAACACAGCTAAAGCAGTGCTGAAAGAAAAATGCACAGCAATAAATGTTAGCAGTAGGTAAAAGAGAAGTCTCAAATTAATAATGTAGGCTTTCACCTAAGGAGACTACAAAGAGAACAACAATATAAACCCAAAGCAAGCAAAGAAATATTAATACATAATGTTGTAAATCAATAAAATTAAAAAAGAAATAAAATGGAGAAAATTAATAAAAGAAAGAAAATTAGTTCTTTAAAAATATTAATAAAATTGTCAAGACTCTTTGAAGAATTACAAATAAAAATAGAGAAAAAAATGCAAACTGCCAATATCAGGAATAATACCAATTCCAGAGACTATCCCTACAGTCTCTACAACCATCAAAAAAAGGGTAATTAAGAAATATTAAAAAGAACTCTAAACATATATTTAACAACTTAGATGAAATGGACAAACTACAACAGCCCAAGTAGTATGAAATAGATAATTTGAATTTTCATGTAACTTTTAAAGAAATTGAGGTTGTAAGTTAAATGCAATCTGCAGGCCCAGATGACTTTACTAGAGATTTCTACTAAAGTTTAAGTAAGAATTAACATTTATTCTCCACAAATTTCCAGAATATAGAAGGGAAAGAAACATTTTCCAAAAAGTATCATTTTATGAGGCCAATATAACCTAGATCCCAAAACTGGATATATGGTACAAATATCAGAGCAAACAGCTTTTTAATTCTTATGAATATGTTTGCAAAATCACTAAAAAAATTAGCAAATAGAATTCATGAGTGTATAAAAATAATTACACACTGTGACTAAATGAGCATTATTCCAGGTATGGCAGGCTGATTCAATATTGTAAAATCAATGAATACAATCCACCATATTAACAGGTTAAAAAAACATAATTATATCAACTTACACGGAAAGAAATTTGAAAAAAAAAAAAACACTTATTTATAACAAAAATTCTGGAAAAGTAGTAGAGGGGAATTTTGTGAACTTCATAAAGAACATCTTAAAACCAGAAACCAAAACAGTAGTTAACATTATACCTAATCATGAAAGACTGAACATTTTCCACCCAAGATCAGAAATACAGCAAGAAATGTCTGTTCTCACTATTCCTATTCAACATAGTGATGGAAGTTCTAGCCTCCACAATAAGTGATGTACAAGAAATTAAGAGTGTAAAGATTAGAAAGGAAAAAATAAAAACCTCCCTCTATGCAGATGATATGGTCATTTGTGTAGAAAATCCCAGGAAGAATTAAGAAAAGAGGATCCTGATAAAGATGGCTGACTAGGACAAGTTCCTGTCTGTAGCTCCCAGTGAGATAGACGCAGAAGGTGGGTGATTTCTGCATTTTCAACTGAAGTGCCCAGTTCATCTCATTGAGACTGGTTGGACAGTGGATGCAGCCCATGGAGGGTGAGCTGAAGCAGGGAGGGGTGTTGCCTCACCTGGGAAGTGCAAGGGGTCCAGGAATATTCTTCCCTACCCAAGGGAAGACGTAAGGGACTGAGCCTGAGTAACCAGGGACTCTGGCCCAGATACCACACTTGTCCCACAGTCTTCCCAACCCACAGACCAGGAGATTCCCTCCGGTGCCCACCCTACCAAGGCCTTGGGTTTCAAGCACAAAATTGGGTGGCCATTTGGGCAGACACCGAACTAGCTGCAGGAGTTTTTTTGTTTTCTGTTTTTTGCTTTTTTTCCTTACCCCAGTGGTGCCTGGAGCGCCAGTGAGACAGAACTCTTCACTCCCCTGGAAAGGGGTGCTGAAGCCAGGGAGCCAAGTTGTCTGGCTTGGCTGGTCCCACACCCATGGAGCCAAGCAAGCTACGATCTTGAAATTTGCTGCCAACACAGCAGCAGTCTGAGGTCAACCTGGGACACTCGAGCTTGGTGGGGGGAAGGGCGCCCACCATTGCTGAGGCTTGAGTAAGCAGTTTTATGCTCACAGTGTAAACAAGGCCACCAGGAAGTCTGAACTGGGTGGAGCCCACTGCAGTTCAGCAAGGCTGCTGTGGCCGGACAGCCAGATTACTCCTCTCTGGCAGGGCATCCCTGAAAAAAAGACAGCAACCCCACTCAGGGACTTATAGGTAAGACTCCCATCTACCTGGGACAGAGAATCTGGGGGAAGGGGCAGCTGTGGGAACAGTTTCAGCAGATGTAAACGTCCCTGCCTGATGGCACTGAACAGAGCAGTTGACCTCCCAGCACAGCGTTTGAGCTCTTCTATGGGTCAGATTGCCTCCTCAAGTGGGTCCTTAACCTCCAAGCATCCTGATTGGGCAACACCTCCCAGTAGGGGTCGATAGACATTTCATACAGGAGAGCTCTTGCTTGCATCTGGCAGGTGTCCCCTCAGAGATGAATCTTCTAGGGGAAAGAACAGGCAGCAATCTTTGCTGTTCTGTAGCCTCAGCTGGTGATACCCAGGCAAATAGGGTCAGGAGTGGACCTCCAGTAAACTCCAGCAGACTTGCAGCACAAGGGCCTGACTGTTAGAAGAAAAACTAACAAACAGAAAGGAATATCACATCCACTCAAATACCCCATTTGAAGGTCACCAACATCAAAGACCAAAGGTAGATAAATCCACAAAGATGGGGAGAAACCAGCACAAACAGGCTGAAAATGACAAAAACCAGAACGCCTCTTCTCCTTCAAAGGATCACAAATCCTCACCAGCAAGGGAACAAAACTGGACAGACAATGAGTTTAACTAATTGACAAAAGTAGGCTTCAGAAGGTGGGTAATAACAAAATCCTTCGAGCTAAAGGAGCATGTTCTAACACAGTGTAAGGAAACTAAGGACCTTGATAAAAGGTTGACGAATTGCTAACTGGAATAACCAGTTTAGAGAAGAACATAAATGACCTAATGGGGCTGAAAAACACAGAATGAGAACTTCGTGAAGCATCCACAAATATCAGTAGCTGAATAGATTAAGCGGAAGAAAGGATATCAGTGATTGAATATCAACTTAATGAAACAAAGTGAGAAGACAAGATTAGAGAAAAAAGAATAAAAAGGAATGAACAAAGCCTCCAAGAAATATGGGAGTATGTGGCCGGGCATGGTGACTCATGCCTGTAATCCCAGCACTTTGGGATGCCGAGGTGGGAAGAACACAAGGACAAGAGAACGAGACGATCCTGGCCAACATGGTGAAACCCTGTCTCTACTAAGAATACAAAAATTAGCTGGCCATGGTGGCATACGCCTGTAGTCCCAGCTACTTGGGAGGTTGAGGCAGGAGAATTGCTGGAACCCGGGAGGTGGAGGTTGCAGTCAGGTGAGATAGCGCCACTGCAGGCCAGCCTGGCGACAGAGCGAGACTTCATCTCAAAAAAAAAAAAAAAAAAAAAAAAAAAAACAAAAAGAAACATGGTAGTATGTGAAAAGACCAAATCTACATTTGATTGGTTTACCTGAAAGTGATGGGGAGAATGCAACCAAGTTGGAAAATACTCTGCAGGATATTATCCAGGGGAACTTCCCCAACCTAGCAAGACAGGCCAACATTCAAATTCAGGAAATACAGAGAACACCACAAAGATACTCCTTGAGAAGAGCAACCCCAAGACACATAATTGTCAGATTCACCAAGGTTGAAATGAAGGAAAAATTGTTAAGAGCAACCAGAGAGAAAGGTTGGGTTACCCACAAAAGGAAGTCCATCAGACTATCAGCAGATCTCTCTGCAGAAACCCTACAGGCCAGAAGAGAGTGGGGGCCAATGTTCAACGTTCTTAAAGGAAAGAATTTTCAACCCAGAATTTCATATCCAGCCAAACTAAGCTTCATGAGTGAAGGAGAAATAAAATCTTTTACAGACAAGCAAATGCTGAGATATTTTGTCACCACCAGGCCTGCCTTACAAGAGCCCCAGAAGGAAGCACTAAACATGGAAAGAAACAACCAGTACCAGGCACTGCAAAAAACATACCAAATTGTAAAGAATATCTTCAATATGAAGAAACTGCATCAACTAACAGGCAAAACAACCAGCTAGCATCACAATGACAGGATCAAATTCACACATAAAAATATTAACCTTAAATGTACACAAACTAAATGCCCCAATTAAAAGACACAGACTGGCAAATTGGATAAAGAGTCAAGACCCATCAGTGTGCTATATTCAGGAGACCCATCTCACATGCAAAGACACACACAGGCTCAAAATAAAGGGATGGGGGAATATTTATGAAGAAAACCAAAAGCAAAAAAAAAAAAAAAAAAAAAGGAGTTGCAATCCTAATCTCTGATAAAACAGACCTTAAGCCAACAAAGATCAAAAGAGACAAAGAAGGGCATTACATAATGGGAAAGGGATTAATGAAGCAAGAAGAGCGATCTCTCCTAAATATATATGCACCGAATACAGGAGCAACCAGATTCTTAAAGTAAGTTCTTAGAGACCTACAAGGAGACTTACACTCCCACACAATAATAGTGGGAGACTTTAACACCCCACTGTCATTATGAGGCAGATCAATGAGACAGAAAATTAACAAGGATATTCAGGACTTGAACTCAGCTCTGAACCAATCAGACCTAATACACACCTACAGAACCCTGCAGGCCAAATCAATAGAATATACATTCTTCTCAGCACCTCGTTGCACTTTTTTTCTAAAATTGATCACATAATTGGAAGTAAAACACTCCTAAGCAAATGCAAAATAACAGAAATCATAACAAACAGTCTCTCAGACCACAGTGCAATCAAACTAGAACTCAAAATTAAGAACCTCACTCAAAACGGCACAATTACATGAAAAGTGAACAACCTGCTCCTGAATGACTACTGGGCAAATAATGAAGACAGAAATAAAGATATTCTTTGAAACCAATGAGAATGAAGACACACTGTACAAGAATCTCTGGGACACATTTAAAGCAGTGTCTAGAGGGAAATTTATAGCACTAAATGCCTATGAGAGAAAGCAGGAAATATTTAAAACTGACACCTTTACATCAAAATTAAAAGAACTAGAGAAGCACCAGCAAACAAATTCAAAAGCTGGCAGAAGACATGAAATAACTTAGATCAGAGCAGAACTGAAGGAGACAGAGACATGAAAAACCCTTCAAAAAAATCAGTGAATACAGGGGCTGGTTTTTTGAAAAGATTAACAAAATAGATTGACTGCTAACCAGACTAATAAAGAAGAAAAGAGAGAAGAGTCAAATAGATGCAATAAAAAATGATATAGGGGATATCACCACTGATCCCACAGAAATGAAAACTACCATCAGAGAATACTATAAACATTTCTATGCAAATAAATTAGAAAATCTAGAAGAAATGGATAAATTCCTGGACACATACACCCTCTCAAGTCTAAACCAGGAAGAAGTCGAATCCCTGAATAGACCAAAAACAAGTTCCGAAACTGAGACAGTAATTAATAGCCTACCAACCAAAAAAAGTCCAGGACAAGACGGTTTCATAGCCAATTTCTACCAGTGGTACAAAAAGGAGCTGGTACCAATCCTTCTGAAACTAATTCAAACAATAGAAAAAGAGGGAATACTCCCTAACTCATTTTATGAGGCCAGCAACATCCTGATACCAAAATCTGGCAAAGACACAACAAAAAAAAGAAAATTTCAAGCCAATATCCCTGATGAACATCGATGTGAAAATTCTCAATAAAAGATTGGCAAAATGAATTCAGCAGCACATCAAAAAGCTTATCCACCACGATGAAGTTGGCTTCATACCTGGGATGAAAGGCTGGTTCAACATACGCAAATCAATAAACATAATCCATCACATAAACAGAACCAATGACAAAAACCACATGATTATCTCAATAGATTCAGAAAAGGCCTTTGAAAAAATTCAACTCCCCTTCATGCTAAAAACTCTTGATAAACTAGGTATCACTGGAATGTATCTCAAAATAATAAGAGCTATTTATGACAAACCCACAGCCAATCTCATACTGAATGGGCAAAAACTGGTAGCATTCACTTTGAAAACTGGCACAAGACAAGAATGCCCTCTCTCTCCATTCCAATTCAACATAGTATTGGAAGTTCTGGGCAGGGCAATCAGGCAAGAGAAAGAAATAAAGTGCATTCAAATAGGAAGAGAGGAAGTCAAACTGTCTCTGTTTGCAGAAGACATGATTGTATATTTAGAAAACCCCATTGTCTCAGCCCAAAATCTCCTTAAACTGATAAGCAACTTCAGCAAAGTCTCAGGATACAAAATGATGTGCAAAAATCACAAGCATTCCTATACACCAATAACAGACAAACAGCCAGCCAAATCACGAACGAACTCCCATTCACAATTGCTACAAAGAGAATAAAATACCTAGGAATCCAACTTACAAGGGATGTGAAGGACCTCTTCAAAGAGAACGACAAACCACTGTTCAAGGAAATAAGAGAGGACAGAAACAAATGGAAAAACTTTCCATGCTCTTGGATAGGAAGAATCAATATCGTGAAAATGGCCATACTGCCCAAAGTAATTTATAGATTCAATGCTATCTGCATCAAGCTACCACTGACTTTCTTAACAGAATTGGAAAAAACTACTTTAAACTTCATATGGAACCAAAAAAGACCCTGCATAGCCAAGACATTCCTAAGCAAAAAGAACAAAGCTGGAGGCATCACACTACCTGTGTGAAAGTATTTCAAACTATACTACAGGGCTACTGCAACCAAAACAGCATGGTACTGGTACCAAAACAAATATATAGACCAATGGAACAGTACAGCGGCCTCAGAAATAACACCACACATCTACAACCATCTGATGTTTGACAAACTTGACACAAATAAGCAATGGGGAAAAGATTCCCTGTTTAATAAGTGGTGTTGGGAAAACTGGCTAGCCATATGCAGAAAACTGAAACTGGACACCTTCCTTACACCTTATACAAAAATCAACTCAAGATTGATTAAATAATTAAACGTAAGACCTAAAACCATAAAAGTCTTAGAAGAAAACCTGGGCAATAACACTCAGGATATAGGCATGGGCAAAGATTTCATGTCTAAAACACCAAAAGTAATGGCAACAAAAGCCAGAATTGACAAATTAGACCTAATTAAACTAAAGAGCTTCTGCACAGCAAAAGAAACTATTACCAGAGTGAACAGACAACCTACAGAATAGTAGAAAATTTTTGCAATCTATCCAATTGACAAAGGGCTAATAGCCAGAATCTACAAAGAACATAAACACATTTACAAGAAAAGAAAACCATCAAAAAGTGGGCAAAGGATATGAACAGACACTTCTCAAAATAAGACATTAATGCAGCCATCAAACATGAAAAAAATGTTCATCATCACTGGTCATTAGAGAAATGAAAATTAAAACCACAATGAGATACCATCTCACTCCAGCTAGAATGGTGATCATCAAAAAGACAGGAAACAACAGATGCTGGGGAGGATGTGGAGAAACAGGAATGCTTTTCTGCTGTTGGTGGGAATGTAAATTAGTTCAACCATCGTGGAAGACAGTGTGGCGATTCCTCAAGCATCTAGAACTAGAAATACCATTTGACCCAGCAATCCCATTACTGGGTATATACCCAAAGGATTATAAATCATTCTACTATAAAGACACATGCACCCGTGTGTTTATTGCAGCACTATTCACAATAGCAAAGACTTGGAACCAACCCAAATGTCCATCAATGATAGACTGGATAAAGAAAATGTGGCACATACACACCATGGAATACTATGCAGCCATAAAAAAGAATGAGTTCCCATCCTTTGCAGGGACATGGATGAAGCTGGAAACTATCGTTCTCAGCAAACTATCACAAGAACATAAAACCAGACACTGCATGTTCTCACTCATAAGTGCAAGATGAGCAATGAAAGCACATGGACACAGGGAGGGGAACATCACACACCAGCACCTGTTGGGGGTGATGGGCTAGGGGAGGGATAGAATTAGGAAAAATACCTAATTCAGGTGAAAGGATGATGGGTGCAGCAAACCACCATGTCACATGTATGCCTATGTAATGTAACGGCACGTTCTGCACATGCACCCTAGAACTTAAAGTAAAATTTAAAAAATAAAATTAAAAAAATAAATAAAAATAGAAAAAAAACCTAAAACTTTCTAATGAATTCCACAAGGTCACAATATTCAAAATTAACATAAAATCATTTACATTTCTATATATTAGCAATGAACACATGAAAACTGAAATTAAAAACACCATACAACTTATGGACTCTCAAAGAAAGTAAATCACTTAGAATCAAGACTTGTTTGCTGAAAACTCCAAAATGTTGATTAAATTGAAGAAGATTTATACAATTGAAGAGACATCTGTTTTCATGGATCAGGAACCTCAAATATTATAAATTCATACATAGTTTTAATTTAAGTCATTAAAATCCCAGAAAGATTATTTTAATTTTAATTTGTTTAAAATTTTTGTGTGTACATAGTAGGTATGTATATATTTATGTGGTATATGAGATATTTTTGATACAAGCATACAATGCATAATAATCATAATGGAAAATGGGGTATCTATCCCTTTGAGCAGTTACGGTATGTGTTACAAAAAATCCAATTATACATTTTCAGTTACAGTAAATTATTTTGACTATAGCCACCTTTTTATACTATCAAATACTATGTATTATCCATTCTTTTTTTTTGTACTCATTAACCATCCCCAGCTCCCACACAGTCTCCTTAGTACCCTTGCAAGCCACTTGTAACCATCCTTCTACTCTCTATACCCATGTGTTCAATTGTTCTGATTTTTAAATTCCACCAATAAATGATAACAAGTGAGGTTTGTCTTTACATGACTGGCTTATTTCACTTAAAATAATGACATCCAGTTCCATTCATGTTTCATCCTGCTAGGATGGGCATTTCTTCTCTGGCTGGGTCTGGTCCAAATGCACCGTCCAATGTGCTGACTCTAACTAAGGCCAGCAGAGCTTCGCTCTCCACTATGACAGGGACCAACCCCATTAAAAAGTGAGCAAAGGCCATAAAGAAACACTTCTCAAAAAAAGACATACCTGCGGCCAACAAGCAATTTCAACATCACTGATCATTAGGGAAATGCAAATCAAAACCACAGTGAGATACCATCTCCCACCAGTCAGAATGGCTATTATTAAAAAGTAAAAAAGCAACACATACCGGTGAAGTTGTGGAGAAAAAGGAACGTTTTTACATGGTTGGTGGGACTGTAAATTAGTTCAATCATTGTGGAAGACAGTGTGGCAACTTTGAAGACCTAGAGAAAGAATGCCATTGGACTCAGCAATCCCATTACTGGGTATAAACACAAAGGAATATAAATATTTGTATTGTAAAGATGCATGCACGTGTTAGTTCCCTGCAACACTATTCACAATAGCAAAGACATTGAATCAACCTAAAAGCCCATCAATGATAGGCTGGATAAAGAAAATGTTGTACATATACACTATAAAATACTATGCAGCCATCAAAAGGAAAAAGGTCATGTCCTTTGCAGTGACATGGATGGAGCTGGAGGTCATTATCCTTAGCAAACTAATGCAGGAACAGAAAACCAAATACCATGTGTTCTCACTGTAAGTGGGAGCTGAATGATGTGAATGCATGGACACATGGGGAGGAACAACACACACTGGTTGGAAGGTGAGGAGGGTGGTAGTAGGGAGAGCAACCGGAAGAAGAGTTAAAGGATGCTGAGCTTAATACCTGGGTGATGGGATGATCTGTGCAGCAAACTACATTGGCACATGTTTACCTATATAACAAACCTGCACATCACTTTAAAGTAAAAGTTGAAAATTAAAAAAGAAATAAGGTGAACAAAGAAAACAAATTAAGAAGAAAAAGAAAGGGAGAGTCATGGGACTTGTCCCGGCCAGGTGAAAATCTTCAGATGGTTAAGAACCAGAATAAAGAAAATGAAAATTGATGGGGTTAAAACGAAGGTCTTAATGCAACACTATCAAAGGTTGGATGGACAAAAGGGAGCCACTTCTGGTCACCCGACATTAAAAGGTCCCTAACCAGTTTTCTGTATTTCTCCCAGTTTAGAGAAATTTTAAAAAGCTGGAAGGGGCGCAGCAGCTGTGCGTCCCGGGGCTATTGACCTCTCCACGTTTGCAGCCTAGCCCCAGTCAGTCAGTGCCGGAGGACCTCAGCAGCCATGTCAAAGCCCCATAGTGAAGCCAAGACTGCTTTCATTCAGACCTAGAAGCTGCATGCAGCCATGGCTGACACATTCCTGGAACACACGTGCCACCTGGACATTGACTCGCCACCCATAGCAGCCAGGAACACTGGAATCATCTGTACCATCGGCCCAGCTCCCTGATCGGTGGAGATGCTGAAGGAGATGATTAAGTCTGGTATGAATGTGGCTGGTCTGAACTTCTCTCATGGAACTTATGAGTATCAGTGGAGACCATCAAGAACATGCGCACAGCCACAGAAAGTTTTGCTTCTGACCCCCATCCTCTAAGAGCCCGTTGCCGAGGTTCTGGACACTAAAGGACCTGAGATCCGAACTGGCCTCTTCTGTGGGGTAACTGGTAATGGGCGCCAGGAGACGGGGCTCCTCAGATAACTGCAGTGCTGCTGCACTGTAGATGTGAACCTGAAGAAGGGAGCCACTCTCGAAATCTTGCTGGATAATGCCTACATGGAAAAGTGTGATGAGTACATCATGTGGCTGGACTACAAGAACATCTGCAAGGTGGTAGAAGTGGGCAGCAAGATCTACGTGGATGATGGGCTTTCTTCTCTCCAGGTGCCGACTTACTCGTGATGGAGGTAGAAAATGGTGGCTCCTCCGGCAGCAAGAAGGGTGTAAACCTTCCCGGGACTGCTGTGGACCTGCTTGCTATGCCAGAGAAGGACACCCGGGACCTGAAGTTTGGAGTTGAGCAGTATGTCGATATGGTGTTTGCCTCCTTCATCCGCAAGGCATCTGATGCCCACGAAGTTAGGAAGGTCCTTGGGGAGAAGGGAAAGAACATCAAAGTAATCAGCAAAAATGAGAATCATGAGGGGGGTTGGAGGTTTGATGAAATCCTGAAGACCAGCGACGGGATCATGGTGGCTCATGATGGTATAGGCATTGACATTCCTGCAGAGAAGGTCTTCCTTGCTCAGAAGATGATGATTGGGTGCTGCAACCGAGCTGGGAGGCCTGTCATCTATGCCACTCTGATGATGGAGAGCATAATCACGAAGCTCCACCCCACCCAGGGTGAGGGCAGTGATGTGGCCAATGCAGTCCTGGACAGAGTGGACTGCATCATGCTGTCTGGAGAAACAGTCAAAGGGGATTATCCTCTGGAGGCAGTTCGCATGCAGCACCTGATTGCCGGTGAAGCAGAGGCCACCTTCTAATACTTGCAGTTATTTGAGGAGCCCCGCCTCCTGGCATGCATTACCAGTTACCCCACAGAAGTCACCGATGTGGGCGTCGTGGAAGCCTCCTTCCAGTGCCGCAGTGGGGCCATAATCGTCCTCACCAAGTCTGGCAGTTCTGGTGACCAGATACCGCCCACGTACCCCCATCGTTGCTGTGACAGGGAATCCCCAGACAGTTCGTCAGGCCCATCTGTACCATAGCGTCTTTCCTGTGCTGTGCAAGGATGCAGTCCCGGAGGCCTGGGCTGAGAATGTGGACCACCGGGTGAACTTGGCTATGAATGTTGGCAAGGCCGGAGGTTTCTTCAAGAAGGAAGATGTGGTCATTGTGCTGACCAGGTGGTGCCCTGCCTGCAGCTTCCCCAACACCATGCGTGTTGTTTCCATGCCGTGATGGACCCAGAGCCCCTCCTCCAGCCTCTGTCCCTCCTGGTTCCCCCAACCCATCCATTAGGCCAGCAACACTTTTAGAGCTCACTGTGGGCTGTAATGTGGCACTGGTGGGCTGGGTCACCAGGGAAGAAGATTAATGCCTTGCTGAAACATGGCTGGTTTTAGAATCTGCTCTTGGGTGGGACAGCCCAGAGCCTGGCTGCCCATCATGTGGCCTTACCCAAGCAAGGGAAGAAGGAGGAATGCAGGACTGGAGGTCCCTGGAGTCTATGGCAAAAGGGTGACAGCTTCCTTTCCTTTCTGTGCTCTGTTCAGTTCCTTTATTAAATGGATGCCCAGAGGACTCCCAACCCTGTCCCAGGGTCAGGAAACAGCCAGCAAGAGTTAGGGGCCTTAGGGCATGAGGCAGTGGTTTCAGTTTAAGCAGACTCTGGCCCTGGCCCATACTTGCTTTCCCAACCTTCTGGACCTCCCCTATTTGCACCTGTCCCCACCCTCCACTCAGCTTTCCTGCAGCAAACACTATACCCTTCTCCTTCCATTTCTCCCCACTGCTGCAGCCACCTCCAGGCCCGTTGTTATAGAGCCTACCTGTATGTCAATAAACAACAGCTGAAGCACACACACACACAAAGGCTGGAAGGCAGAGATTACAATTAAAAATCTAATCTGAAACTGCCTGGTGCAAGAGTATGGCAGATTAATCACGAAAAAAATTGACAAAAGGACCAGGGTCGTTTGATTCAACCCTTGGCTGGGTTTTGCACAAAGTCTTTTGCACAAGAAAGGGTACAATTACCTTGGGGTGAGGAAAAGAAGTTTTTCAAACTATAACATAAAAATATAAGGGTTTATTGGATTATGAAAGTTAGTATCTTTGAACACACTTTATATGAAATAATTGCATCTCTTTCAACTGATGGTATTATGGTAATGAACATTGTAGATTATTAGGGAATGTTTCTTCTACCTGCTACTGTAAAACAGAAGGCATTTAAATTCGCCCTTCAATCAACATTATTTGGACATGCCAAGTGAGAATCTGTATGATTGCCCAAGTTCACACAGTGCAGAGTAGAAGCCAAAGTGCTGGCTGGTAATGACAAATTATTTACTTATTCCACTTGAGGGGCATTTACTGCCTTAGCTAAAGCTACCCCTATGACACCTGAAATCCCCATGCTGTATCAGGTGATGTCAGATATATATTCTAATGGGGAAGGCAGTGTCCAGAAGAGGTTTATAATAAAATGAAAATGGATTATAGAGGATCATGCTACCTGGAGAATGCAAGGAGGAGATACTCTCAAGCAGGGATTTTTTTCTTCCATAGTTCACTTGTAACTGCATGAAAAACTGTTGGATTCTACAGTGCCTGATAAATAGCTCTCAACTGACCAACCAAGAGCTACTTGGTTCACGGATGGCAATTCCAAGGTAAATGGACACCATCCTCTTTAGAAGGCTGTTACTTTAGACCAAAGAAGGTAAAAACAGGCCTGCTCTATGAGCTGAATTGCATGCTGTTTTTTTAACAGTGATGGAAAAATTAAACAATGGTACAAGCCCCTGTGTTAAGTTTTTACTAGCCCACGGGCTGTGACCAATAGCCTGACTATATGCTCAGATATCAGGGCAATGGGAGCCTGGCCTGTTAAAAGAATGCCCATATGGAGCTTGGCTCCATGGAGATTTGAGGGGTGCATTAAAGTAGAACAAGTCAATGGCCATCAGAACTCTCTTCCAGGTTCAGAAAGTGACTGAAATTGACAAGCAGATATCCCCATGTGTTCTGTTGAGGTGGTCATCTGGGTCCATCAGATAAGTGGATATGGAGGTATTGTAGCAGTGCAGAGACATGCTGAATCTAGACATGTTCCTTTTGCACCCTCTCAGGCACAAAATCCCAGAAAAACTCTTCCATTTCTCAGCAAGAGAGACAGAGACTGCTGATTACTACCGGGCGGATTTCTCTGGTGGGAAGGCCCTGAACATAACTGGCAAGTGAGACTGATGCTTATAGCCCTGAAGGGCTGAAAGTGGGTCTTGACAGGAATAGACAATAACTCTGGAGTAGGCTTTTGTTGTCCAATGAACAATGAAAATGCTCAGAGTGCCAAAAAAAAAAAAAAAAACAGAGAACATTGCATGGATTTGGATGGCTGACCATCATTTTTTTCAGACCAAAGAGCACACTGCACAGTCCACAAATTCCAACAACAGGCAGAGAGATATCCTCCTTAGAGTAATAATTTGATGGAGAAGTAGAACAGGCAATTGGTTTCAATTGGTTGTCTAAGACAGGGGAAGATAAAGGAATAAAGAGCTGGCTTGCACGCCTTCATTAGTGTGTGCTCACACTCAACATGAATGGGAATGTAGTGCCCCTGTTAGACTTTTCTGTTTTATTTTGTTTTGTTTTGTTTCTGGTTGATCTGGGGGAAGAGATAATGGGGAAGATGCATGTATAATCATGCAGTTCTCACCAAGGGAGGAGTACATTGGTATTAACACTGTGTATTTTTTTCTTTCTTCCCAAATTATCTCAAAAAATGATTTTTCTCTTCCTTACCTGATGCAGTGATCTTAGGACCAGGACTGCAAGAACAAGTGCTGCAACAGCAGGGATGATTTCTAAACAGAAAACTGTAACTATATTTTTAAACTTTATGTCAAAATTCCTAAAAGCACGATGGTGGTTGGTTGTGTCTTCACCACATCTAGCAAAATTGAGGCTAACAGTGAGTGCAGCTATGTTGCCTGGTGGTAAAAATAGCTCACTAATTCTGCACCCTACCCTGTCTGAACGGGAGTGAACTGGATTTGTATTGCTACCTGCAATGTAGACAAGCACAGTGGTGATTCTAGTGCCACTTCCAAAAGTGAAAAAGTGTCAGTGTTAATGAAGAGAAGGGGAAATAGTAGCTGAGAGTAAAAAATGAATAAATGGGTTCTTCACTGAGGAAAATTTAATATTACATTAAAAACTCAAAAGAGTCTCAGAGTAAGAGATAACATTGTCTCAGCATAATTATCCCAGATGCCTGAAAGGGTAAAGTTGTATACTTACCAAGGTCATTCCTGCTTTTGGAACCTGACAAGATTGAGAGGATGCCTGCATACTTAAGTGACCTCATCTTGGGAGATATTCATACACTATGATGGACTGGATTAATTGTTATTGATTGATTGTGATATATATATATATATATATATATATATATATATATATATATATATTTGATGTAAAGGTTCCATGGTAAAAAACCAGGAGGTGGCCCTTTGGTGTTATGGTATACATTGGTTTTTGTCCATGGTTACGGACTCATAACTCCCACAGCCCTTGTTACCATCTTTTATTATAATACTGGGTATGTTAGAACTCAGGGGCAGGGCCAGGTGCAGTGGCTCAGGCCTGTAATCCCCGCAATTTGGGTGGCCAAAATGGGCAGATGACTTGAGGTCAGATGTTCAAGACCAGCCTGGCCAAAATAGTGAAACCTCATCTCTACTAAAAATACAAAAATTAGCGGGGCCTGGTGGCATGCACCTGTAATCCCAGCTACCTGGGTGGCTGAGACAGAAGAATTGCTTGAACCCGGGAAGCAAAGGTTGCAGTGAGCTGAGATTGCACCACTGCACTCCAGCATGGGTGACAGAGAAAGACTTCATCTCAGAAACAAAACAAAGCAAATAACTCAGGGGCAGGCCTCTGACCTCCTGCCCTTCTTTCACTCTAATGTTTCTCTGCCTTTCTGAATGTGGATCTTAAGACCCTTCCATGAGAGGATCTCACCCTATACCCTGGAGGAAGAAATCCTGTTGTCATGAAGCTTCCATAAAACCCCAAGGGGGCAGACAGGGTTAAGGGAGCTTCCAGATAGGTGAACACGTGGAGGTCCCTGGAGGCTGATGCACCCAGAGAAGACATGGGAACTCTATGCCTCTTCCCTTATGCCTCACTCTATGCATCTTTTCATCTAGTCTAGCAAGTAGTCTAGTCGAGCAGGTAGGTCCTCCTCAGTTTACTCCCATTCAGACGGGGTAAGGTGCAGAATTAGTGATTTATTTTTACCATCAGGCAATATAGCTGCATTCAGTGTTAGCCTCAATTTTTCTAGATGTGGTAAAGGCACAACCCACCACCGTCATGCCTTTAGGACGTTTGACATAAAGCTTAAAAGTTGTATCCTTTGCAATATTATTTATAATAAACCAATAAACATAGGTAAGTGTTTCCCTGAGTTCTGTGAGCTGCTCCTGCAAATTAATCAACCCCAAAGAAGGAGTCATGGGGATTCTAATTTGAAGCCATTTGGTCAGAAGCTCTGGGGACCCAGACTTGCAACTGGTGTGTGGAGAGGAGCAGTCTTGGGAATTGAGGCCTCTACTGTGGGATCTGACACTCTCTTCAGGCAGGTAGTGATAGAAATGAATTAGAGGACAACCAGCTGATGTCTGCTGGTGTGGGGAAAAACCCCACACAGTTGGTCACAGAAGCCTTCTTCTGTGTTTATTATTGTTGTGGTGTGAAAATAGAGGAAAACATGGTTTGGGAGTGTTCTCCCTACACGGAAGGTAGGAAAGAAAGTATTTGATCACTGATACCAACCACACCTCCTCATCCTTCAGCAGTGGCTGCATGGAACAGAGAAGTAATCTGTATGCTGAAGAGAGAGAGAGCACAGAAATAGTGAGAGATCACATTGAACTCAGCACTGCCCTGTCACAGGGAAAAGCAAAATTGGGCTGAACTCAGCTGACCCTTGCCCATGTAGGAAATATTCAAACCAGCACTAGCCAGATGGGATCACTCATCTCAGCTGTCACCACCAAGGACTAAAGGGTTTTGGGGCTCTGAGTAAACAGGACAGGCAGTCTAGGACACAAGACTGCAATTCCTAGGTAAGTCTTAGTGCAGAACTGGGCTCAGAGTCACATACTTGGGCAGGGTATGCAGTCTCCTGAGACACAAGCCAGGGCAGCTAACAGAGTGCTTGAACCACCCATCCCAACCCTAGGCAGCATACTTCATGGCTGCAAAAGAGACCATTACTGTCTGCATGAGGATAGTAGAGGGGAGAGTGAAGAGGACTTTGTCTTGCATCTTAGATATCAGCTCATCCACAGTAGGATAGGGCATTAGTCAGAGTCATGAGGCCCTTTTCAGGACCTAGCTTCTAGATGACATTTCTGGACACACCCTGGGAATTAAGGGAATCCACTGCCTTGAGGGGAAGAATGCAGTCCTGTCAGGACCCATCACCTGCTGACTAAAGAGCCCTCAGGCCTTGAATAACCAGCACTGATATCCAGGTAGTACACCATGGGCCTTGGCTGATACTCTGAGATGTGCTGGCTTCAGTAGGGGCTAAGCACATTTCCAGCTGTGGTGGCTATGAGGAAAGGCTCCTTCTGCTTGATAAAAGAGGAGGGAAATGTAAAAGGGACTTCATCTAGCACCTTAGGTACAAGCGCAGTGACAGGAGGGTAGAGCATCAAGTGGGCTGTTGGAGTCCCTGATTCCAAGTCTTGTTCCAGAGCCAAGCATTTCTGGATTTGCCCTGGGCCAGATGAGAGCCAATCACTCTGAAAAGTGAATCCCAGGCAAGACAGCATTCACCAAAAGCTAGTGAAAGAGCCCTTCGGCCTTAAGTGAGCTTTGGTGGTATAGCCTGACAGTACTCATGATTCTTTGGTGATGGTGGCCATGGGTTGAGACTTCCCTGCCTGTGGAAAGGGAGGGAAGAGTGAGGACTGTGTCTTGTGGTTTGAGTGCCAGTTTAGCTTTGGTAAAATAGAACACCAGGTAGACTTCTAAGGTATTTGACTCCATTCCATAGCTCCTAAAGAGCATATTTAGATCCACTAAGGGCCTGGGAAATCTTGCCATACTTAGGGGAAGGACATGAGCTTGGCTTCCTTTACCACCTGCTGATTGTAGAACCCCAACGCATTGAGTGAAGATAGGCAGTATCCATGGAGTGGTTACAGTGGGTCTGGAGTAAAACCCAGGGCTCTGCTGGCTTCAGGTCTGACCCAGTGCAATCCTAGAGGTGCTGGAAATTGGGCTGCTTATGTCACACCACCACCACCTCTAGGTGGCTCAAAAAAGAGAGAAAGGCTCTGTTTGTTTGGGAGAAAGTAAGGGAAGAAAGCAGAGTCTCTGCCTGATAATCCAGAAAATTCTTTTTGATCTTATCCAAAACCATCACAGTGGTACCTCTGTGATTCTACAAGAACCACAGCATTACTGGGCTTGTGGTGACCCCCTAATGCAGATATGGCTTAGATCACAATACCCAATTCCTTTTAAATATCTGAAAAGCCCTCCCATGAAGAACAGGTACAATAAAGTTCAGACTGCAAAGACTACAGTAAGTACATAAAATCAGAAATTCTGGAGTTGAAAAATGATGCACTGAAGAATGCATCAGAGTCTCCTAATAGCAGAATTGACCAATCAGAAGAAAGAATCGGTGGTCCTGAAGACAGACTATTTGGAAATGCACAGTCAGAGGAGACAAAAAAGAAAGGAGTATAAAAAAATAAAGCATGCCTACAGAATTTAAAAGTAGCCTCAAAAGGCCAAATCTAAGAGTTTTGGGTCTTAAAGAGGAGCTAAAGAAAAAAATAGAAATAGAAAGTTTATTCAAAAGAAAAACAATAGAAAACTTTCCAAACCTAAGGAAAGATACCAATATTCAAGTTCAAGAAGGTCATAGAAGACCAAGCAGACATAAACCAAAGAAGACAATCTCAAGCCATATTAAAACCAAACTCACAAAGGTCAAAGATAAAGAAAAGATACTAAAAGCAACAAGAGAAAAACAAAAACAAATAACATACAATGGAGCTCTGCAACATTTCTGGTAGTGGGCTTTTCACTGGAAACCTTGCAGGCCAGAAGACAGTGGCATAACATATTTAAAATGCTGAAGGAAATAAAACTTTGACCCTAGAAGAGTATAAGCAGTAGAAATATTCTTCAAATACAGAAGACAAATAAAGACTTTCTCAGACAAAAAAAAAAAAACTTATGGGTTTCATCAACACAATATCAATCCTACAAGAAATGCTATAGGCAGTATTTCAGTCAGAAAAAAATGATGTTAATGAGCAATAAGAAATCATCTGAAGGTACAAAACTCTCTGGTAATAGTAAGTAAACAGAAAAACACAGAATATTATAATACTATTACTGTGGTGTGTAAACTACACTTAAGTAGAAAGACTAGAAGGTGATCCAATAAAATAATAATTACAAGAATTGTTCAAGATATAGACAGTACAATAAGATAAAAATGAAAACAACAATAAATAAAAAATCAGAGAAACAATGTTATGGTGTAGAGTTACTATTGGTATTGTTTTTGCTTGTTTATTTGATCATTTATTTAGTGTTAAGATGTGATCAGCAAAAAAAGTTATAAAATAGTATTTGCAAGCCTCATGGTAAGCTCAAATAAAAAACATGTAAAAATACACAAAAAATGGAAAGGAAGTAACTAATTTCTATCACCAGAATATCACCTTGACTAAAAAAAAAGACAAGAAAGAAGGAAGGCATGAAAAGCAGACCAGAAAACAAATAGCAATGTAGCAGGAGCAAGTCCTTATTTATTCATAATAGCATTCAATGTAAATGGACTAAGTTTTGCAATCAAAGGCACAGAGTAGTTGAATGAATTAAAAAAATAAAACCCAGTGATCTGTTGCCTATAAGAAACATACCTCATCTATAAAGACACACAGAGATTGGAAATAAAAGGATGAAAAACTATATTTATTGCCAATGGAAAGCAAAAAAAAATCAGGAGTAGCTGTACTTATATGAGTCTAAATGAATTTCAAGATAAAACCTGTAAGAAGAGAAAAAGAAGTTCACTGTATAATGATACAAAGGTCAATTCATCAAGAAGATATAAAGACTTAAATCCATGACCTCAAAATGTGAAACTACTACAACATTGGGGAAAATCTCCAGGACATTATTCCGGGCCAAATTTTTTGAGCAATCCCCCATAAGCACAGGCAACCAAAGCAAAAATGGAAAAATGGGATCACATCAAGTTAAAAAGATTCTGTGCAGCAAAGAACACAATCAACAAAATGAGAAGTCAATGCATAGGGTGGGAGAAAATATTTGCAGACTCCCCATCTGACAAGGGATTACTAACCAGAATATATAAGTAGCTCAAACAACTCTATAGGAAAAAATCTAATAACATGGTTAAAAATGGGTCAAATATCTGAATAGACATTTCTCAAAAGAAGACATACATGTGACAAACAGGTATATAAAATGGTGCTTAATATCATTGATCATCAGAGAAAAACAAATCAAAACTACAATGAGATATCATCTCACCCTAGTTAAAATGTGTTTTTTTTCCAAAAACACACAATAAAAAATGCCAGCGAGGATATGAAGAAAAGGGAACCCTCATACACTGTTGGTGGGAAAGTCAGTTAATATAACTGTTGTGGAGAAAAGTTTGAAGGCAATTCATAAAAAATTAATATTAGAGTTATCATATGATCCAGTAATCTCACTGCTGGGTATATACCTGAAAGAAGGGAAATCAGTGTATCAAGGATATATCTGCACTCCCACGTTTGTTGCAGCACTCTTCACAATAGCCAAAGTTTGGAAGCAACCAACACACATATGGATAAAAAATGTGCTACATATACACAATGGAGTACTACTCAGCCATTAAAAAAATGACAGACATTCTGTCATTTGCTAAGACCTGGATGGAACTGGAGGTCATTACATTAAGTGAAATAATCCAGGCACATAAAGACAAACTTTACATATTCTCACTTTTGTGGGAACTAAAAATTAAAACAATTGAACTCACAGACATAGCAGAATGTAATGGGCATAGTGCTTGATAGTTTTCTCATCTGATCCTCCTCTCACCCTCTTTTTTCAAGTATGTCTGTTGTTTCTTTCTTTATGGCCATGTGTACTCGATGTTTAGTTTCCACTTACACAAGAAAATGAGATGTTTGGTTTTCTTTTTCTGTGTTAATTCACTTAGGATAATTGCTTCCAATTGCATCCCTGTTGCTGCAAAGGACATGATTTTGTTCTTTTTTTGGCTGCATAGTATTCCGTGGTGTATACAGACCATATTTTCTTTATACAGTCCAACACTGATGTACATTTAAGGGGATTCTATGTCATTGCTATTGTGAATAGTGCTGTGATGAACATATGAATACATGTATCTTTATGATAGAACAATTTATATTCTTTTGGATATAGACTTATTAATGGGACGACTGGGTTTACAGGTAGTTCTAAGTTATTTGAGAAAAGTCCAAACTGCTTTCTGCAGTGGCTGAATTAATATATATATTTCCAACAGCAATGTACAAATGTTCCCTTTTCTTCACAACCTCACCAGCATCTGTTACTTTTTGACTTTTTAATAATAGCCATTCTGCCTGTTGTGAGATGATACATCATTGTGGTTTTGATTTGCATTTATATAATGATAGGTGCTGCTGAACATTTGTTCATATGATTGTTGGCTGCATTTATGTCTTCTTTTGAGAAGTGTCTGTTCATGTTCTTTGCCCATTTTTGAATGGGGTTGTTTGTATTTTGCTTTTTAAGTTCTATATAGACTCTGGATAGTAGACCTTTTTTTAGATGCATAGTTTGAAAATATTTTTTCCCACTCTGTAGGGTGGTGGCTTACTCTGTTGATGATTTCTTTTGCTGTGCAGTAGCTCTTTAATATAATTAGATCACATTTCTCATTTGTTTCATAAATTTTCTTATTATTTTCATGGGCACATTGTAGGTGTATATATTTATAGGGCACATGAGTTGTTTTGATACAGGCATGCAAGGTAGAATAAGCACATCATGGATAATGGGGCATCCATCCTGTCAGTCATTTATCCTTTGTGTTACAAACAACATAATTACATTATTTTTATTATTTAAAATGTACAATTAAGTTACTATTTACTATAGTCGCCCTGCTGTGCTATCAAATAGTAGGTCCTTTTTTATTCCTTCTAACTATATTTTGTACCCATTAACCATCTCTACCTCTCCCAAAGCTCCTAACCCCCACTACACTCCCCAGCTTCTAGTAATCATCCTTCTACTCTCTATGTCCATGAATTCAATTATTTTGATATTTAGATTTCACAAATAAGTGAGAACATGTGATGTTTGTCTTTCTGTGCCTGGTTTATTTCATGTAACATAAAAATCTCCAGTTCCATCCATATAGTTGCAAATGACAGAATCTCATTCTTTTTTATGGCTGAGTAGTAGTCCATTGTGTATACCTACCACATTTTTTATCCATTCATCTGTTGATAGGCACTTAGATTGCTTCCAAATCTTAGCTATTGTGAACAGTGCTGCAACAAACATGTGAGTGCAGATATCCCTTCGCTATACTGACTTTCATTCTTTTGGGTATATAACCAGAAGTGGGATTGCTGGATCACATTCAACTGTTGGGTTTCTTTCAGTTGTTTTTCCAGTTTTCATCATAAAAACTTTGCAGGGCCTATGTCCAGAATGGTATTTCCTAGGTTATCTTCCACAGTTTTTATTGCTTTAGGTTTTGCATTTAAGTCTTTAATTTATCTTGAGTTGATTTTTTTATATGCTGCAACAAAGGGGTCCACCTTCAATCTTCTGCATATGACTAGCTAGTTATCCTAGCACTGTTTGTTAAATACAGAGTTCTTTTCCCATTGCTTCTTATTATTGATTTTGTCAAAGATCAGATGGCTGTAGGTATGTGGCTTTATTTCTGGGTTACCCAACCTGTTCCACTGGTTTATGTGTGTGTTTATTAGTACCATGCTGTTTCAGTTACTGTTGATTTGTAGTATAGTTTGAAGATGGGTAGTGTGGTTTCTCTAGCTTTGCTGTTTTTTCCTTAGGATTGCTCTGGCTATTTGGGCTGTCTTCCTCTTCCACATGAATTTTAGAATAGTATTTTTCTAATTCTGTAATAAATTTCGTTGGTAATTAGATAGGGACATTATTGAGACTGCAACTTATTTTATGCAGTAAGGCCATTTTAATAATGTTGATTCTTCCTATCAATGTGCATAGAATGTTTATCCATTTCTTTATGTCCTCTCTGATTTTTTTAGCAGTGTTTTACAATTTTCATTGTAGAGATCTTTTTATCTCTCTGGTTATCTCTATTCCCTTGTATTTTATTTTTTGAGGCTATTGTGAGTGGGATTGTGTTCTTCATTTAGTTCTCAGCTTGTATGTTATTGGTATGTAGAAATCTTACTGATTTTTTTACATGGATTTCATATCATAAAACTTTTCTGAAGATGTTTATTAGATCTAGAAGCCCTGGACAGAAACTATGGGGTTTTTGAGGTATAGATTTATATGATCTGTGAAGAGATAGTTTGACTTCTCTTTCTATTTGGATGTCTATTATTTATTTTTCTTTTCTGATTTCTTTAGCTAGTACACCTAGTACCAAGTTGAATAGCAGTGATGAGGGTGAAACTCCTTCCCTTGTTCTTTTTCTCAAGGGCAATGCTTCCAGCTTCTGTCATTTCATTATGATGTTGGCTGTCAGTTTGTCAAATAGGAATCTTAATATTTTGAAGTATCTTCCTTTGATATCTAGTTTGTTGAAGGTTTTTAACATAAAAGGATGTTGAATTTTATCAACAGCCTTTTCTATGTCTATTGAGATGATTGTGTGGTTTTGCTTTTAGTTCTATTTATGCAACAATTCACATTAATTGATTTGCATATGTTAAACCAACTTTGCATTGCAGAAATAAAGACTATTTAGGGTGCTGGATTAGTGTTTTGATGTGCTGCTGGATTAAGTTTGCTAGTATTTTGTTGAGAATTTTTGCATCTATGTTCATCAAGGATATTGACCTGAAGTTTCCTTTCTTGTTCCAGCTCTGTCATATTTTGGTATCAGTATGATGCTGGCTTCATAGAGTGAGGGAGAAAGAAATTCCTCCTTCTTGATTTTTTGTAAAACTTTGAATAAGATTGGTAATATTTCTTTTGTATTCTTCTGGAAGAATTAGGCTGTGAATCTCTCTGATCCAGAATTTTTTCAAGTTGGTAGGTTTTTCATTATTGATTCAATTTTGGAACTCATAATTGATCTGATCAGGGTTTTAATTTCTTTCTGGTTAAATCTTGGGAGGTTTAGCATTACCAAGAGTGTATCCATTGTTCATAGTAGTCACTGAGTTTTTTTTTTTTTTTTTTTGTATTTCTGTGGGTTGGTGGTAATGTTCCCTTTGTCATTTCTGATTCTGCTTATTTGAATCTTCTCTCTTTTAATTTATTAGTCTAGCTAGTGATATACCAATGTTATTTGTTCTTTCTAAAAACCAGCTCCTGGATTCATTGATCTTTTGTGTAGTTTTTGCATCTCAGTTTCATTCTATTTAAATCTGATTTCGGTTATTTTGTTTTTCTGCTACTAGCTTTGGAGTAGATTTGCTCTTGTTTTTTCTATTTCTTCTATGTGTGATGTTAGATTGTTAACAATATTTTTCTAACTTTTTAATGTGGGTGTTTAGCACCATAAACTTCTTCTTAACATGCTTTAGCTCTGCCCAACAAGTTCTTTTTTGCTATATCTTTGTTCTCATGAGTTAAACTAATTCTTACTTGCTGCCTTAATTTCATTTTTTACCCAAAAACCATTCAGTAGCAGATTGCTTAATTTCCGTGTAATTTTATGGTTTTGAGAGATTTCTTGGTATTGAGTTGTGTTTTTATTGCTGTGTGGGCCAAGATTGTGGTTGAAAAATTAAAAAAAAATTCTTTGAGCATTGCTCTATTACTGAGTGTGTGGTTAACTTTAAAACATGTGTCATGTGCAGATGAGAAGAATGTATACTCTGTTGTTGTTGGGTGGAATATACTATAGTTATCTGTTAGGTCCATTTATTGAAATGTTAAGTTTGCATCCTGAGTATCTTTGTTAGCTTTCTGCCTCCATGATCTGTCTAGTACTGTCAGTATAGTGTCATTATCTAAGTTTCTTCATAGCTCTCTAACTACTTGTTTTATGAATATGGATGCTCCAGTGTTGGGTGCACATACATTTAAGATAGTTAATTCTTGTTGAATTCAACTCTTTATCATTATGTAATATCTTTCATTGTCCTGTTTTGATTGTTGTTGCTTTGGAGTCTGTTTTGTCTGAAATAAGAATAACAATCCCTGCTCTTTTTGTTTTTTATTTGCTTGATAGATCTTTCCCTATTCCTTTACTTTGATCCTATGATTTTCCTTGAGTGTGTGATGAGTCTCTTGAAGAGAGCATAGAGTTGGTTCTCGCTTCTTTATCCAACATGCCACTCTATGACTTTTAGGTGGGTAATTTAGTCCATTTTCATTTAAGGTTAATATTAATATATGTGAATTTGATTCTTTCATTATGTTGTTAGCTAGTTGTTATGTACACTTGATTGTGTAGTTGCTTTACAGTGTCAATTGTCTATGTATTTAAGTATGTTTTTGTTGTGGCCACTCATAATCTTTCATTTTCATGTTTAATTCTCCCTTAAGAACCTCTTGTAAGGCATATCTGGTGGTGATAAATTCTCTTAGCATATGCTTGTTTCAAAGAGACTTTATTTTTTCTTTGCTTGTGAAGCCTAGTTTGGATGGATATAAAATTCTTGGTTGAAATTTTTATTCTTTAATAATGTTGAATATAAGCCCCTAACCTCTTCTGGCTTCTGAGGTCCTGCCAGAAATTCCACTGTTAGCCTGATAGGGTTCCCTTTGTCTGTGACCTACCCCTTTTCTCTCGCTGCCTTAAATATATTTTTTCTTTTCTATTGATCTTGGATAATCTGATGACTATGTGTCTTTGAATGTCATCTTGCATAGTATCTTGCAGGGGTTCTCTGAATTTCCCGAATTTTAATGTGGACCTTTCTAATGGTTGGAAAAATCTTCATGGACAATACTCTCAAATATATTTTCCAAGTTGCTTGCTATCTCTCCCTGTCTTTCAGGGATACCAATGAATCCTAGGTTTCATCTTTTTACATAATCCCATATTTTTCAGATGTTTTGTTCCTTCTGTTTTATTTTTTCTGACTGAGTTGAATCGACGAAAGCAGTCTTTGAGCTCTGAGGGTCTTTCCTCAGTTTGGTTGATTCAACCATTAATACTTCTGATTGTATGAGGAAATTCTTGTAGTGAGTTTTTCAGCTCTGTCAGATCACTTTGGTTCTTTCTTAACATGGTTATTGCACCTTTCAGCTTTTGAATAATTTTACTGGATTTCTTAAGATTACTTGGATTCAGTTTCACCTTTCTCCTGAATTTTGATGATCTCTGTTGCCATATGGAATCATATTTATGTAATTTTTCAGCCATTTAAGTCTGGTTAAAAACCATTGCTCGTGAGCTAGTGTAATCATTTGAAGGTGAGAAGCCATTCATTTTTCAGACGTCAAATTTCTTACACTAGTTTTTTTCTCATCTGTCTTTGTGAGCTTATTTCCCTTTATTGAACTCAGAATTCTTTAGATGGGACTTATTGCTTTTTTATTCTTGGAGGTTCTTGAGGATTTCACTGTGGTATAAGTTGGGTTTAGTCAACTAGCTTTGTCTTTGGATGATTTCAGGGGGCCAAGGCTCAGCTCAGCACTCCTGGCTACATGCTCTTACCCTGTGGGTCTTGGACCATGCCTACAGCTTTGGTCTCTGGCCTCTTGAGTTTAAGCACCTTCTATGCTGGAGGTCCCAAGTTGTTCTTAGTTCACTGGCAACAATACTCCAGTGGGGAGTGCTAGCAAAAGTCTTTCACTGGAGTGTTGGAAGCAGAGTCCGTATTCATGCATGCATCTGCAGTAGAGGAGCAGTTATGCAGCAATGTTTGTGTGTGTGCTGTTAGTGTTGGGGCAGCAAAATCCATGTACACATGTGTGCCAGTGAAGAAGTGTGTGGAGGCTGCAGGTGAGTACATGACATCAAAGTAGTGATAGGAGACTGCAGGCAGGTGTGTGCTAGTGGGATCCCATCTGCAAATGCTCTCTGACAGTTTGGGAGGGACTGCCAGCATAAAAACTATGGCCATGGCTACTGGGAAGTGCCTCAGTTGTGCATCTGAGGCTGAGCTGCAAGAGGGTGTAGCCCGTCAAGGACCCTGGAAGAGTTTGGCATGTTGGGGGACAGGGGGGCACTCAGATCAAACTGGAAAGCTGGCTTTGTTCTAAGCAAGTCTCACAGTCAACAAAAGCCAAAGCCATCTAGAGGAGCATGGTGGGCCTTGGCGGATGTGTTTCCTTGGTCATGCTCCACTGCAGTCATTCCCACACCAAATCCTCCAGACTCCATGCACACTGGAGCCCTGTACTTGGCAATTTCAAATGTCCTTGGGGATCACTGAGTCGCCTGCAGCTAGGATTCCAGAGATCCATGATGAGAGTCAGCCACTGCATGCCTATTTAACTCACTCATTCCCCACGAACTACTCAGGGCCAGGAGTGAGTCGTGTTGATTGACAGTCCTCTGCAGGGTCTTCAGCATTGTCCCCCTTTCGCCCAGAGGCTGCATCCTCCCTCTGTCCACTCTCAATGCCTTTCTTCCAAAAATCTGCTTGGAGTGTGTGGGCCATCCTGATGGTCTGGTCTCTCAGTGGGAGAAGCTCTTCCTGGCTGCATCTAGTCAACCATCTTCTCTCTGTTTGTAACAAACCTGCATATGTACTCCTGAAGTTAAAATAAAAGTTAAAAAAGAGAAAAAATTACTTCAAAGGCGTGAGAAATAAAGAGCCTTGACAAAAACAAATGAGAAAGGGACAATAGGGAGGTATTTGGGGTGGGAGGTGGCCTGGGGTAACATGAGATAAGAGAGAGGGAGAACACATTCTGCTGTCTGAGATGTTGATGGGAAGGCTTTCACTCTATATTGGCTGATGTATCACAGTGATCAGGAGGGAATAGCATGCAGAGAAGACAGGCCTGTTCATCACTGTCAAGTTACAGTTTGAAAACTAACGCTGATAGCTTTCAGAGTGTGCTGTGAGGGTAAATTTCAGCAGGACTAAAATTAGCCTGAGCTGCTTTCTAAAGTTCTTACATGTCACTAATGCCTGGTCAATGAATGAATCATACAGATTAAGAGTGTTGATTTGGTCCAAGAATTATCGAGATGGTTTGCACCAGCATGTCAGCATTGTTTACTTAGTGCGAGATTTATGATTACACACTTTGGGAGTGTGCTGGTCTCAGTGTATATCTTTGCTTCTAATACACAAATGAATACTTTATTTGTACCATTTTACACAAATTAGTCATTCTTTCATTGATATCTCAACCATCACAGTTTCAATTTTCTTATACGTGCTAGTTAATGCTTTTAGAAATAAAACAGAAAGTCAATTAAAATTAGTCTTTCTTTAGATAATATCCAATAACCCAAATTCCCCTTTGACCACCCATTCTTCTTTTAAAAAAATAAAAACACTTAGTACTGCTGATATGGCTTAGACATTTGTCCCATTCAAATCTCATGTTGAATTGTAATTCCTAATGTTGGCAGTGAAGTCTAGTTGAGAAGTGTTTGGGTCATCGGGATGAATCCTTCATGAACTGCTTGGTGACATCCTCATGGTAATGAGTGAGGTGCCACTCTTAGTTCCACAAGATCTGATTTTTAGAAAGGTCATGGCACCTCCTCCCTTCTCTGTCTGTTCTTCTCTCTTCCACTATATGATATCTACATGCCAGCACTCCTTTGCCTTTTGCCATGAATGGGAGCAGCCTGAATCCCTCGTCAGAAGATGTTGACACCATGATTCTTGTACAACCTGAATATCCATGAGCCAAGTAAACCTCTTTTCTTTATAAATTACCCATCCTTTGATATTTATTTATAACAACACAAATGGACTAAGACACCCACCCTCTTAGTTACTAAAGGGCATTAATTCAGCAATTATTTCCTGTCTTTCATATATTGGCAATGTTGTCTTCTTTACTGGATCATTCTCATCAGTATATGACAGAATCTCCCATCTTAAAAAATAGTAAGTAGTTGAGTGATAAATAGATTATAAATAGATAGATGAACAGACTGATGATTCACAGATAGATATATAGTATAACTCAATCTTATGGCTTTAAATGCGTTTACAACTTTCACATTTTATGTCCAGCCTGGAACTTTCCTATGAACTCTGTGCTCATATCTAACTGCATACTTAACATCTCCCACTGGATGTCTGATAGACATCTTAAGCTTACCATGTCAAAGGACAAAGACCTAGTCTTCTTCAAGCCCCCTTCCAAAAAATTCCTTGGTATTTAGTTTTCCTAATTGCATTTAATGGCAATTCTAGCCATCTAGTTGCTTGGGCAAGAAACCTTAGATTCATCTTTAACTATTGTATTTCTTTCACTTCCTACATCCAATCCATTAACAAATCAACAATTCTGTGATCTCTCCTTTCAAAATATGTTTCAAATCTCATAATTTCCCTTTACCTTCACTACTATCACTCTGCTCTAAGATTTCATAGTCTTTCTTGGGACTGTTGCAATAACCACTTTACTGATCTCCTCACTTTTACACTTGCCTGAAATACTTTTCCTCCAAATTTTCACAGTCTCATTCTCTCATTTTCTTCCTTCTATGCTTAACATTGCCTCCTAAGAGAGGGTTTCCATAACAACTCAATTTTAAAATGTATCTTCCAGCCACTCTCTATTTTCTTACCCAACACTGTTTCTCCATAAAATGTAACATCACCTGGCATAGACCATAAGATCTACGATGGCAGAAACTTCGTTTTGTTGAAAGGAAGAGGCACTGTAACATTGAAGCAGAAAGTTTTAGTGCTAGAACAAGAAGAATTTGGATATTGCTGAGGCCTAGGATCTGTGGCACAGAGTAATAGCTGAAGCTAGAAATGTTTTGGCTGTGCCTAATTTTGAAGGGTTATAAGGCCTGGACAAGTAATTTGGGCTTTATTCTTTAGAAAATTAGGTATTGCCTTCCAATAGGCCTGAAATATCTTATCAGCTGAGGAAAGTCAAGGGTGGGTTCTGTACCTTAATTAGTCATGATTATCTATTCACTGTGCCACAGAGGAAGCTCTGAACATTTTACAGGATTTTCTGGTTTCTTCAGGCAACTGCTAAGCCCCAGAATGGTTTCGCAAATTGCCTGTTTTCACTTTGCAACTCCTGTGAGCCATAACCCTGAGGTACCAGGGCTCTGGTGAGATGGTATAGTATACGAAGAAGAGCATGGTTATTGAAGCGAGACAGCCCTGCATACAAATCCCAGTTGTGCAGTTCACTAGCTATAACTTAGACAAATTACCTAGGTAGTCAAAATTTTATTATTTATATTTATAAATTGAGAGTCAGTAGACTATTTAAAAATTATAATGGGCACAAAACACCCAGAAGAATGACTTGAACGTAATAGTTCCCTGACACCAGACCCCAGTCTAGTCTTTGAGAAGAGAACCTATTTCATTTTTCTCACCTGCTCCTTCTCACTTCCTTGCCCTGTGTACTAATAGTTAAACAGGTTTCTATTACTAAAGAAGATCCACAGTATCCAACATAGAAATGTCTACAAATATACAGTTTTACTAGAAAAAGGTACAATACAGTAACGGCATTAAAATGGGATATGCATCAGAATCAAAAGCTGTTTTACAGAAATGAGTCTGTTTTATGGGCTTCTATTGTCCTCCTTCTTTACGAGTCATGACCTAATACATTTTCTCACATCACGAACCACTGACGATTGAAAGAAACAGGGATTCCAAAATGACTGAAATTTTTAAATATTTTACTGGTCAAACAGACATATTACTGCTACGTAACTGGTCCCAAAAGCAGAGTTATTCTGGAGTCTCAGCAAGATCAGGTGTAAATCATAAATCTTGCACTTAATAAACAATGCTGACATGCTGGTGCAAACCATGTCGATAATTCTTGGACCAAATCAACACTCTTAATCAGTATGTTTCGTTCATTGACCAGGCGTTAGTGCCATGTAGGAAATTTAGGAAGCAGCTCAGGCTAATTCCAGTCCTGCTGAAATTTACCCTCACAGCACACTCTGAAAGCTATCAGCATTAGTTTTCAAACTGTAACTTGACAGTGATAAACAGGCCAGTCTTCTCTGCATGCTATTCCCTCCTGATCAATGTGATTCATCAGCCAATCTTCTGAGCATGGGGAGTGAAAAGCCTTCCCATCAAACAACTCAGACAGCACGTGTTCTCCCGCTCTCTTATCCCATCCTCCCAACCCAAATACCTCCCTATTATCCCTTTCTCATTTGTTTTTGTCAAGGCTTTTTATTTCCCATGCCTTTGAAGTAATTTTTCCCTCTTTTTTAACTTTCATTTTAACTTCAGGGGTACATGTGCAGGTTTGTTGAATAGGTAAATGTGTGTCATAGGGGTTTGTTGTACGAATTATTTCATCAACCAGGTGCTAAGCCTAGTATTCATTAGTTACTTTTCATGATTCTCTCCCTCCTCCCACCTTCCAATAGTCTCCAGTTTGTTGTTCCCCACTTTATCTCCATGCTTTCTCACCATTTAGCTCCCACTTAGAAGTGAGAATGTGTGGCATTTTTTCTATTCCTGCATTAGTTTACTAAAGATAATGGTCTCCAACTCCATCCAAGTTCCTGCAAAGGACATAATCTCATTCTGTATTATGGCTGCATAGTATTCCATGGTGTATATGTACCAAATTTTCTTTATCCAGTCTACCATTGATGGACATTTAGGTTGATTCCATGTCTTTACTATTGTGAATAGTGCTGCAATTAACATACACATGAATGTGTTTGCATAATAGAATGGCCTTATATTCATTTCGGTATATACACAGTAATGAGATTGCTTGGTCAAATGGTATTGCTGACTTTAGGTCATACAGTGTATAAGCATTTCTTTTTTCCACAACCCCACCAGCATCTGTTATTTTTTGGCTTTTTAATTAAAGCCATTCTGCCTGGTGTGAGATGGCATCTCATTTTTTTGATTTGCATTTCTCTAATAATCAGTGATGCCATGCTTTTTTTTCATATGATTGTTGGCTGCAGGTACGTCTTCTTTTGAAGTGTCTGTTCATGTCCTTTGCCCACTTTTTAATGTTTTTTTTTTTTTCTTGTAAATGTGTTTAAGTTTCTTATAGATGCTGGAAATTGTGTCTTTGTCAGATTCATAGTTTGCAAAGATTTTCTCCCATTCTGTAGGTTGACTGTTTACTCTGTGGATAGTTTCCTTTGCTGTGAGGAAGCTTTTTAGTTTAACAATATGCCATTTTTCAGTTTTTGCTTTTGTTGTGACTGCTTTTGGTGCCTTCATCATGAAATACTTGCCTATTCTTATGTCAAGAATGGTATTGCCTATGTTGTCATCCAGGGTTTTTATAGGATTGGGTTTTACATTTAAGTATTTAATCTACCATGAGTTATTTTTGTATATGGCATAAGGAATTGGTCTAGTTTCAATCTTCTGCATATGACTAGCCAGTTATCACAGCACCATTTATTGAACAGGGAATTATTTCCTCATTGCTTCTTTTTATCAGGTTTGTTGAAGATCAGATTGTTGTAGGTCTGTGGACTTGTATCTGGGTTATCTATTCTGTTCCATTCATCTATAACTCCATATTCTCTTATTTTGCAAACTTTAACATTTGTTTTCTTGGATTCCTGAAATTAAATTTAAAAGGCCAGTTTCTAAAATCAGTCAAGACTCGTCAATCCATTTGTATTTTGATGTACATAACTTAAGTTAGAAACAAAAAAACAAAAATGCCAACAAATGCCAAAGTGCTTCAAAGTGCAAGCCAGTTACAACTTCAGGTAGTCATTAAAGTAAATTAAATGCATTGTTTTGAATTTTTTAAAAATTGGCTTTGTAAATTTTTATAAAGTACTCCAGAAGTGAGGCTTTCTTATCACCTTCTAAATAAACAAAGTCTTGAATTCCACAGACCAAAGAGTAAAATAAAAACAAAATTAAAAATTGACCATGCACACCTGCCTGCTTAGCTATAACATAGTTTATTAATATAATGATTTAGTACCTAAAGATTAATGAGGCATTCAAGGAGATTAGTAAACCCAAATTTGCAGCAGTTTGATTTTTTAAGATTAAGTCATGTTCTAAAGAATAAATACTATTCTAAATAATCATAAAAGTGATTTCATAGACATGTTCTTTCACTTTAATAGTATAAATTCAATTTGCACCAAGAGTAATTAAGTAATGAGTTAGTCACATCAATGAGAGGTACCATATGTCTATGAATACAACTTTTAAAATTAATAAAATGAGATCATCAGAAATCACCACCCTTTGACATTATATCTTGACATTCCTGGCCAGCCTCCCATAAGTGTTATCAAACCACATTGCAACTCAATGGCAAGCAAAAAAGGATTGCAGTAACCCTTGTGAGGATGATAAATATTTAAATGCACGACCTCTGATTCTAGTGGAAATGGAGTGATGGAAAATCTACCTGGGCAATTTGAGGTCATCATATCAGCAAAGAGTGGGAAATTCTACATAGCAAAATGTGAGAATCTAAATGCACAAAGTATAATGATTGTGAATAACAATATTTAATTTGCTATGACAATTTCCATTATTTAACAAAATACACTGTTGACAACTTTGCATTAGAAAACTCGAAAGAATAATTCACTCAGAAAAAATCTAGTAAAATAAACTGTCAACCATATAACAATAGTACTTTTATTTTTTTTTTTATTTTCATAGGATTTTGAGGGACAGGTGGTATTTGGTTACATGAATAAGTTCTTTAGTGATGATTTGTGAGATTTTGGCACACCCATCACTAAAGTAGTATACGCTGCACCCTATTTGTAGTCTTTTATTTTTCATCCCTTTCCCACCCTTCCCTGCTGAGTCCCTGAATTCCATTGCATTATTCTTATGCTTTTGCATCCTCATAACTTAGCTCCCTTTTATGAGTGAGAACATAACAATGTTTGTTTTTCCATTCCTGAGTTACTTCACTTAGAATAATAGTCTCCATCCCATGCGGGTTGCTGCAAATGTCATTAATTCATTCCTTTTTATAACTCAGTAGTATTCCATCATATATATATATATATATATATATATATATATATATATATATATATATAATCAGTTCTACATTTTTGTAATTGCGAATTGTGCTGCTATAATCATGTGCGTGAAGTATCCTTTTGGTATAATGACTTCTTTACCTCTGGGTAGATACCAAGTAGTATAATTGCTGGATCAAATGGTAGTTCTGCTTTTACATTTTAAAGGAATCTCCACAATGTTTTCCATAGTGTTTATACTAGTTTACATTCTGACCGGCAGTGTAGAAGTGTTCACTTTTCAATGTATCCACACCAGCATCTATTATTTTTTATTTTTTTATATTGGCCATTCTTGCAGGAGTAAGGTGGTATCACATTGTAGTTTTGATTTACATTTCCCTGATCATTAGTAATATTGAGCTTTTTATCATGTTTATTGGCCATTTGTGTATCTTCTTTTGTTAATTGTCTATTTATATCTTTAGCTGAGTTTTTAAAATGAGATGGTTTGTTTTTTCTTGCTAATTTGAGTTCCATGTAGATTCTGGAGATTAGTCTTTTGTTGGATGCATAGATTGTGAAGATTTTTTGCTATTCTGTGGGTTGTCTGTTTACTATGCTGACTGTTCCTTTTGACATGCAAAAGCTCTTTAGTTTAATTAAGTCCCACTTATTTTTCTTTGTTTTTGTTGCATTTGCTTTTGAGTTCTTCGTCATGAAATCTTTACCTAAGCCACTGTCTAGAAGAGTTTTTCCAATGTTACCTTCTAGAATTTTTATAGTTTCAGGTCTTAGATTTAAGTCTTTAATCCATCTTGAGTTGATTGTTGTATAAGGTAAGAGATGAGCATCCAGTTTCATTCTCCTACATGTGGTTAGCCAATTATCCCAGCATCATTTTTTGAAAAAGATGTCCTTTACTCACACTGTTTTTGTTTGATTTGTCAAAGACCAGTTGTCTGTAAGTATTTGGGTTTATTTCTGAGTTCTCTATTCTGTTCCATTGGTCTATGTGCCTATTTTTATACCAGTAACATGCTGTTTTGATGACTATGGCCTTATGGTATAGTTTGGAATCAGGTAATGTGATGCCTTCAGATTTGTTCTTTTTGCTTAGTCTTGCTTTGGCTATGTGGGCTCTTTTTGGGTTCCATATGAATCTTAGGATTGTTTTTTCTACTTCTGTGAAGAAGAATGGTAGTATGTTGATGGGAATTGCATTGAATTTGTAGATTGCTTTTGGCAGTATGGCCTTTTTCACAATATGGATTCTACCCATCCGTGAGCACATGATGTGTTTCTATTTGTTTGTGTCATCTATGATTTCTTTCATCAGTTCCTCTACGAGGAAAACTACACCTCCTTTGTTAGGTATATTCCTAAGTATACACCTTTACTTCTTCTTTACCTATTTGGATGCCCTTTATTTTTTTCTTTTGCCTGGTAGCTCTGCCTAGGACTGCCAGTAATTTGTTAAATAGAAGTAGTGAGAGTGGGTATCCTTGTCTTGTTCCAGTTCTCACAGGGAAAGCTTTCAACTTTTCTCCATTCAGTTTTATGTTGGCTGCAGATTTGTCATAGATGGATTTTATTACATTGAGGCATGTTTCTTTTATGCCAATTTTGCTGAGGATTTTAATTATAAAGGAAAGTTGGATTTTGCCAATATGAAGGAAAGTTGGATCATGTGATTTTTGTTTCTATTTCTGTTTATGTGGTGTATCACATTTATTGACTTGCATATGTTAAACAACTCCTGCATCGTTGTTATAAAACCCACTTTATCGTGGTGGATTATCTTCTTGATATGTTGTTGGATTCAGTTGGCTAGTACATTGTTAAGGATTTTAGCATCTATGTTCATCTGGACTATTTGTCTGTAGTTTTCTTTTTTGGTTATGTCCTTTCCTGGTTTTGGTACTAGGGCTATTCATAGAACAATTTAGGGAGGATTCCCTTTTTCTCTGTCTCATGGAATAGTGTCAATAGGATTGGTACCAATCCTTCTTTGAATCTCTGGTAGAATTCAGCTGTGAATCTGTCTGGTCCTGGACTTTTTTTGTTGGTATTTTCTTTTATTACAATTTCAGTCTCACTGCTTGTTAGTGGGTGTGTTTGGGGTTTCTAATTCTCCCTGATTTAAGCTAGGAGGGTTGCATCTTTCCAGGAATTTATCCATCTCCTTTAGTTTATGATCATAAAGGTGTTCATTGTAGCCTTGAATTATCTTTTGTATTTCTGAGTTGTCGGTTGTAATATCTCCAGTTTTGTTTCTAATTGAGCTTATTTGGATCTTCTATCTTCTTTTCTTGGTTAATCATAGTTTAAATCTATTGTCTCTTTCTTGACTTTCTGTCTTGGTGACCTGTCTAGTTCTGTCAGTGGAGTATTGAAGTCCCCCACTCTTACTGCATTGCTGTCTATCTCATTCCTTAGGTCTCATAGGCATTGTTTCATAAATTTGAGAGCTCCAATGTTAGGTACATATATATTTAGGATTGTGACATTTCCTGTTGGACAAGGCCTTTTATCATTATATAATGTCCCTCTTTGTTTTTTTTAACTGCTGTTAGTTTAAAGTCTGTTTTGTCTGTTATAAGAATAGCTACCTTTGCCCACTTTTCGTGTCCATTTGCATAGAAGGTCTTTTTCCACCCCTTTACCTTAAGTTTATGTGAGTCCTTATGTGTTAGGTGATTCTCTTGAAGGCAGCAGATGCTTGAATGGTGAATTCTTATGCATTTTGCAGTTTTGTGTCTTTTTTTATTATTATACTTTAAGTTTTAGGGTACAAGTGCACAACGTGGAGGTTAGTTACATATGTATACATATGCCATATTGGTGTGCTGCACTCATTAACTTGTCATTTAACATTGGGTATATCTCCTAATGCTATCCCTCCCTCCTCCCCCAACCCCACAACAAGTCCTGGTGTGTGATGTTCCCCTTCCTGTGTCCATGTGTTCTCATTGTTCAATTCCCACCTATGAGTGAGAACATGCGGTGTTTGGTTTTTTGTCCTTGTGATAGTTTGCTGAGAATGATGGTTTCCAGCTTCATCCATGTCCCTACAAAGGACATGAACCCATCCTTTTTTTATTGCTGCATAGTATTCCATGTTGCATATGTGCCACATTTTCTTAATCCAGTCTATCATTGTTGGACATTTGGCTTGGTTCCAAGTCTTTGCTATTATGAATAGTGCCATAAAAAACATACATGTGCATGTGTCTTTATAGCAGCAGGATTTATAATCCTTTGGGTATATACCCAGTAATGGGATTGCATCACTGGCCATCAGAGAAATGCAAGTCAAAACCACAATGAGATACCATCTCACACCAGTTAGAATGGTGATCATTAAATGTCAGGCAACAGCAGGTGCTGGAGAGGATGTGGAGAAATAGGAACGTTTTTGCACTATTGGTGGGACTGTAAACTAGTTCAACCATTGTGGAAGTCAGTGTGGTGATTCCTCAGGGATCTAGAACTAGAAATACCATTTGACCCAGTTTTGTGTCTTTTAAGTGGAGCATTTACATTCAACGTTAGTATCGAGATGTTTGGTATTTCATTTATCTTGCTATTTGTTGCCTGTATACCTTGGTTTTTTAATTGTATTATTGTTTTGTAGGTACTGTGAGATTTATGCTTTATGGAGATTCTGTTTTGGTGTGTTTCCAGGATTCGTTCCAAGATTTAGAGCTCCTTTTAGCAGTTCTTCTAGTGCTGACTTGGTAGTGGCGAATTCTCTTAGCATTTGTTTGTCTGAAAAAGATGATATCTTTCTTGCATTTATGAAGCTTAGACTCACTGGATACGAAAATCTTGGCTGATCATTGTTTTGTTTAAGGAGGCTAATGATAGGTCCCCAATTTCTCCCAGCTTGTAGGGTTTCTGCTGAGAAGTCTGCTGTTAATCTGATAGGTTTTCCTTTATAGGTTATGTGGTGCTTTTGCCTTACAACTCTTAAATTTCTTTACTTTGTCTTGACTTTATTTATTTATTTTATTTTTTGTGACAGGGTCTGGCTCTATCACCCAGGCTAGAGTGCAGTGGCTTGATTTCAGCTCACAGTAACCTCTGCCTCCTGAGTTCAAGTGATTCTTGTGCCTTAGCCTCCCTAGCGGCTAGGAGTACAGGCATGCACCACCATGCCTAGCTAAATAAAAAATTATTCAAACTGAACAACAATAGTGACATAACCTATCAAAACCTCTGGGAGACAACAAAGGCGGTGCTAAGAGAAAAGTTCATAGCCCTAAAAGCCCACATCAAAAAGTCCAAAAGAGCATAAACCATCTAAGGTCACACCCCAAGTAACTAGATAAACAAGAACAAACCAACCCCAAACAGAGCAGTAGAAAGAAAATAACCAAGATCAGAGCAGAACTAAATGAAATTGAAACAAAGAAATACACAAGATAAATGAAACAAAAAGCTTGTTCTTTGAAAACATAATGAAAATTGATAGACCATTAACAAGATAAACCAAGAAGAGAGAAATTCCAAATAAGCTCAATAAGAAATGAAATAGGAGATATTACAACTGACACCACAGAAATACAAAAGATCATTCAAGCCTACTATGAACACCTTTACATGCATAAAGTAGAAAATCTAGAAGAGAAGCTTAAATTCCTGGAAAGATAAAACCCTCCTAGCTTAAATCAGGCAAGAAGAATTAGATACCCTGAACAGACCAATAATAAGCAGCGATATTGAAAGAGTAATTTAATAATTAACAACAATAACCACAAGCCCAGGAACAGATGGATTCACAGCGGAATTCTACCAGACAGACAAATAAGAAATAGTATCAATCCTATTGACACTATTCCACAACATACAGAAATAGGGAACCCTTTCTAAATCATTCTATGAAGCCAGTATCACCCTAATACCAAATCCAGGAAAGGATAAAACCAAAAAAGAAAACTATGGACCAATATCACTGATGAACATAGACTACAATTCTTAACAAGATACTACCTAAGTGAATCTAACAATATATAGAAAAGATAATCCACCATGATCAAGTGGGTTTCATACCAGGAATGCAGGAATGGCTTAACATATGCAAGTCAATAAACGTGATGCACTAAATAAATGGAAGAGAAAGCAAAGATCACATGATCATCTCAATACATGTACAAAAAGCATTAGACAACATCTAGCATTCCTTTATGATTAAAACTCGGCAAAATTGGCATACAAGGAGCATACCTCAATATAATAAAAGCCATTTATGACAAACCCAGAGCCAACATAATACTGAATGAGGAAAATTTGAATGCATTTCCTCTGAGAACTGGAACAAGACAAGGATACCCACTCTCACCACTCCTGCTCAGCATATTACTGGAAGTCCTAGCCAGAACAATCAGACAAGAGAAAGAAATAAAGGGCATCCAAATCAGTAAAGAGGAGGTCGAACTGTCACTGTTTGCTGATGATATGATCATTTACCTAGAAAACCCTAAAGATTCCTCCAAAAACCTCCTAGAACTGATAAAAAATTCAGCAAAATTTCTCGATACAAAATTAATGTACACAAATTAGTGGCTCTTCTATACACCAACAGTTACTAAGCTTAGAAGCAAATCAAGAACTCAACCCCTTTTACAATAGCTGCAACATATATAGATAGATAGATATAGATATAGATATAGATATAGATACATACACATACATACATACTTGGGGATATACCTAACAAAGGAAGTTAAAGACATCTACAAGGAAAACTACAAAACACTGCTGAAAGTAATCATAGATGACACAAACAAATGGAAACACACCTCATGCTCATGGATGCGTAAAATCAATATTGTGAAAATTATTATACTGCTAAAAGTAATCTACAAATTCAATCCAATTCCCATCAACATACCACCCTTACTCTTCACATAATTTGAAAAAGCAATTCTAAAATTAATATGGAACCATAAAAGAGCCCACATAGCCAAAGCAAGACTAAGCAAAAAGAACTAATCTGTAGACATCACATTGCCTGATTCCAAACGATGCTATAAGGACATAGTTACCAAAACAGGATAGTACTGATATAAAAATAGGCACATAGACCAATAGAACAAAATAGAGAACCCAGAAATAAACCCAAATACTTACAGCCAGCTGATCTTTGACAAAGCGAACAAAAACGTAAATGGGGAAAAGACATCCTTTTCAACAAATGGTACTGGGATAATTGGCTAACCACATGTAGGAGAATGAAACTGAATCCTCATATCTCCCCTTATACAAAAATCAACTCAAGATGCATTAAGGACTTGAATCTAAGACCTGAAACTAAAAATTCCAGAAGATAACATTGGAAAAACTCTTCTAGACATTGGCTTAGGCAAGGATTTTATTACCAAGAACCCACAAGCAAATGCAATAAAACAAAGATAAATAGCTGGCACTTAATTAAACTAAAGAGATTTTATGGGCAAGAGGAACAGTCAGCAGGGTAAACAGACAACACACAGAGGAGGAAAAAAGGTCTTCATAATGTAAACATCTGACACAGAACTAATATCCAGAATCTACCACAAACTCAAAGAAATCAACAAGAAAAAAAACAACCCCATTAAAAAGTGGGCTAAGGACATGAATAGACAATTCTCAAAAGAAGATACACAAATGGCCAACAAACATATGAAAAAAAGCTCAACATCACTAGTGATCAGGGAAATGCAAATCAAAACCACAATATGATACCATCTTTCTCCTGTAAGAACGACCATAATCAAAAAATTTAAAAAAAAATTAGATGTTGGCGTGGATTCGGTGAACAAGGAGAACTTCTACACTGCTGGTGAGAATGTGAACTAGTACAACCACTAAGGAAAACAGTTGATGATTCCTTAAAGAACTAAAAGTAGAACTACCATTTGATCCAGCAATCCCATTACTTGGTAACTACCTAGAGAAAAATAAGTCATTATACCAAAAAAAAAAAAAAAAAATACTTACACATGCATGTTTATAGCAGCACAATTTGCAACTGCAAAAATGTGGAACCAACTCAACTTCCCAACAATCAACGAGTGGATAAAGAAACTCTGATATATATATACACTAGTATTCTACAGTGTGTGTGTGTGTGTGTGTGTATGTGTATATATATACACACTAGTATTCCATAGTGTGTGTGTATATATATATATACACACACACACATATATACACACTCTAGTATTTGATGGTATATATATATATATATATATATATATATATATATATATATATACCATTGAATACTAGTCAGTCATAAAAAGGAATAAATTAATAGCATTCACAGTGACCTGGATAAGATTGAAAATTATTATTTTAAGTGAAGTAACCTCAAGAATGAAAATCCAAACATCGTATGTACTTATGAGTGGAGCTAAGCTATGAGGATGCAAGGGCATAAGAATGACACAATGGATTTTGGGGACTCAGGGGGACAGAAAGGGAAGGGAGTGAGAGATAAAAGACTACAAATAGGATGTAGTGAATACCCCTTGGGTGATAGGTTCACCAAAATCTCACAAATATCACCACTAAAGAACTTACTCATGTAACCAAATAATCTGTTCCCCAATAATCTATGGAAATAAAAAAAGGATGCCAAGACAGCAACTATATTACAACAATTTATGGTACCTTCTTTTTTAAGCTGATGACAACTTAACATCAATTGCATACAAAAATTATACACTTTTAATTCTCCTTATATACATACATTATGTGCTATTGATGACACATTTTATATCCTTTTTTACTGTATACATTAAGAACTTATTGTTGCTATATTTATTTTTAATGCTTTTGTCTCTTAACCTTTTATTCCAGATTTATAAGTGATTTACACACCACCATTACAATATTAGAGTTATCTAAATTTGAGTATATATTTGCCTTTACCAGTGAGTTTTACACTTTCATATGTTTTCATGTTGTTACTTTTTATCTTTTCATTTCAACTCAACGAACTCCCTTTAACATTTCTTGTAAAGCAGGTCTAGTTGTGATGAGCTCTCTCAGCTTTTGTTCTTCGAATGTCTTCATCTCTCTTTACTTTCTGAAGGACTGCCTTCCTGGGTATTGTATCCTCGGTTGACAGATTTGTTTCTTTTAGTGCTTTAATATGGCATCCCTCTCCCTCCTGGCCTGCAGTTTCTGCTAACTTCACTTATAGCCTTCTGGGTGATTTTTTTGTTTGAAAAAGTCTGTTTTCTCTTGATGATTTCAATATTCTCTTTTTGCCTTTTACTTTTGACAATTTGATTACAATACGTCTCCAGGTATTCTTTAGTCTTAAATGTGATCCTTTGAGTTTTGTGAATCTGCATGTCCATGAATCCTATAATACTTGGGAAGTTTCCAACCATTATCTATTTAAATAAGCTTTATCTCCCTTTTATTCACCTTTTACCTCCTGGGCCTCCCATATTTCATTTATTCATTCCTTTGATGGTGTCCAATGGTGTCCAATAGGCCACTCATGTTTACTTCAACTTTTTTATTCATTTTTTTTGTTATTCTAATTGGCTAATTTACATGGCATATATTTGAGTTTATTGATTATTTATTCTCCATAATCAAGTCTGCTGTTTATGCTTTCTATTGAATTTTTCAGTATTGCTATTGTATTCCTCAGCTGTGAGAGTTCTGGTTGGTAATTTTCTATGATTTCTACTTCTTCATTCTACTTATAATTTTTGTCATGCCTTGTGTTCCTGACTTTTTCTTTGTCTATTTGTGTTCTTTTGCATCTCATCAAACTTTTAAAAAATAGCTATTTTGAAATTTTTTAGGCAATTTGTAGATCTTTATTACTTAGAGAGTTATTGAAAGCTGATTAGTTTCTTTTGGTTATGGTACGTTTGCCTGATTCATTGATTATCCATGTATTCTTGTATTGGTGTCTGTGCATGTGAAGTTACAAATACTTCTTGTCCCTACAGACTGGTCTCAATGGTTAAAACCTTTTCATTTTAGTTCCTCAGGCTTAGGGAATTGCCTTTGGGTTCACCATAAAGTGGCATTGGAGCTGGATAATGTAGCTGTTGCTGCATCCACAGTAAGGTCTGCAGTTTGTAGGGCTGCTACCAGTGGCTCAAGCAAGATGTATCCTGTCTGGTCCCTGGGTGGACTGGACTATCTTCAAGACTTTGGTTAGTAGGGATGACCCTGAAATAAGAATCTGCTTTAGATTCTGCAGTTGAGTTTACAAACAGCAGGTCTATTACTGGGTGTGCAGCTGGATATGGCACTCCTAATATGTTACTAAGTGAGACCATGTTCAGGCAGGACTGGCCTTGGACCATGGCTGAGAATAGCTGGAACTGTCACAAGGCAGCCTCAGAGTCCAAAGCCAAGACCACGTTTTGAAGGTCTTCCTCTAGGGACACAGAAGGGTGTGCCTCCTTCCAGCTTCCTGGGTGGAGAGAACTACCCCAGACTGTGGCTGAGAAATCTGCAGCTGGGTTGAAGACCTACTTCAGGATAAACAGTTGGTTTGAGGTCTGTGGACTTGCCTTTGAGAGAATGAATGGATATGTCTCCATGCATATCCCTAAATTGGCAGGATTATGCTCAGACAGTAGCTGAGAAGAGCTTGAGCCAAGTTACAGGGCCATTTCAGGATCTGCTGTGGCACTGAGGTTTGCAGGCTTTCCCCATTGGACACAGATGTGCATGTCTCCTGGCTGACCTCTTGGTGGGAAGGACTGTCCTGAAATTTCAGCTGAGAGGGACTAGAGCAAAGTTACTGGGCCTTTTTTGGGGATCTGCAATAAGACCAAAGTCAGTGGGCTTGCCTCAGGGGCACAAATGGGGGTATCTTCTGGTGGGCCCCCAGATAGGCAATACTACTCTCAGACCACAGCTGAGAGATGCTGGTAGCAAGTTATAGAGTTGGTTCAAGATTTATAGTGATGCTGAAACAGTGTTCCTGCTTACTGCTAGGAGTAATGACAAGGCACCTCCAGCAGTGATTTCCAGCAAGTCCCTGAGCTGGTGGGATTTCCAGCCTGTCAATGAAAAGAGCTGGAGCCAAGTTCAATGACCACTTCAGGGTCCACAGCTAGCATCTGTGTTAACAGACCTGTCACCCAAGGCACAAGTGGCTGTGACTTCTCCCCGGTCCTTGGGTAATAATTCTGGTGGCAGGACCAAGGCCAAGCAGCACTATAGTTGAGTAGACAAGACAAGGAGGTCATTTATTTATCTGTAACTGAGACCAAGTTCAGCAAGCATCTTACCTAGGCATTGATCTGACCTCCCACAACAGCCTTCCTCAGTCTTGGGCTCCACTCAGGTTTTTCAGTCTTTCACCTAGTCTCAAAACTCTCAAAAAGGCACTTTTTTCATGAATGGTTTCTAAATTAGTGTTGCTGTGTAAGGATATCTGCAGAAAACCTCTTATTCTGCTGTCTTACTCATGATATAAAAGTAATTTGTAATTTTCATGACAATTATAATAAAGGCATGTAAGAGAATGTGAGGATTGACATTTATTGAGCATGTACTTATGTATCTATCTCTATGCTAGGGGCTTTGCATAAGTTTTCTTGTTTATGTTTCATAATAAATGTATAAGATAAATATTATTACATTAAGTTAATAGGTGAAGACTCAACAATATTGAGTAATTTACCAAATGTCATACATCACATGAGTGACAGAGCCAGGATTTTGCCTGACTACAAATATCATGCACTTTGCACTGTACCATATGTGACTGCTTGTGTATAAGTTTTGTTTGCTATGTTAATATTAAACTACTGAGATATATATCTTCATGTTTTAAATCAATTTTTAATTTACACTTACTAAAATATAATTTTTGTTCTAAATTCTGTGAGTTTGGACAAATATATAATCACAAAATTATAAGTAAGCCCAAGATAAAGAATATTAACATCATCACACACAAAAATTTTTCTTATCAAAGCCTTTGTAATCACTCCCTACCACTACAACCAACCCAAGGAAACCACTGATCTGTTCAATGTTCCTATAATTTTGCCTGTTTCAAATGTTATATAAATGAAACTATACTTGAGTTCTTTTATTTAACATAATGCATTTAAACTCTGTCAATGTTGTTACATGTGTCATTAGTTTGCTTTTTATTGCTGAAGAGTATTTCATATTATGGATATACTACAACTTGAATAATCATTCATCTACCCATTGATATTAAGATTGTTTCTGACTTTGAGCTATTGCAAATAAAATCATGAGTATTCCTGTGCAAGTCTTTGTATGGACATATATTTCCTTTTATTTTGGTATATCCCTGAAAGTAGAATGGCAGGATTATATAATAGGTGTATGTTTAACTGCATTTAATTTTTGTTATTTTTGTGGGTAAATAGTAGGTGTATATATTTATGGGATGCATGAGATATTTTGATAGAAGCACACAATGTGCAATAATCAAATCAGGGCAAATGGAGTATCTATCACCTCAGGCATTTATCTTTTGTGTTAAAAAGCCAATTATACTCTTTTTTTTCAATTATACCCTTATTTTATAATGTACAAGTAAATTATTACTGACTGTAGTCACCCTGTTGTGCTATCAAAGACTAGATCTTATTCATTTATTCTAATTATTTTGATAATTATTAATCATCCCCACTTTTTCCCCCAAACTCCACTATCCTTCAGACATTTTTGTAAACATACTTTACTCTGTATCACCATGAATTCAAGTGTTTTAATTTTCAACCCCTACAAATAAGTGCGAACATGCCAAGTTTGTATTTTGTGGCTGTTTTATTTCACTTAACATGATGGCATCCAGTTTCATTCATGTTAATGAAAATTACAGGGTCTCAATTTTTTATGACAGAGTAGTACTTTATTGTGTATATGTACTACACTTTCTTTATCCATTCATCTGTTGATGGAAACTTAGGTTGCTTCTAAATTTTGAATATTGTAAGTAGAGCTCTAATAAACAGGGAAATGCAGATATCTTTTAATATACCAATTTATTTTGATGGTTTGTTTGTTTGTTTTGTTGGTATACTCCCAGCAGTGGGGTTGCTGAATTATATGGTAGTTCTATTTTTAGTTTCCTGAGGAACTTCCCTGCTATTCTCCATCATGGCTGTACTAATTTACATTCTCACCAACACTGTACCAGTTTTCCCTTTTCTCCACACCCTAACTAGCATACACTATTGCCTGTCTTTTGGATAAAAGCCATTTTAACTGGGGTGAGATGACATTTCATCATATTTTTGATTTGCATTTACATAATAATTAATGATGTTGAGGACCTTCTTATATGCCCATTTACCATTTGCATTTCTTTTTTTGAGAAATGCTATTAATATTCTTTACCCTTTTTTAATGTGATTATTAACTTTTTTCTTTTAGAGTTATTTTAGCTACTTATATCAATCCCTTCTCAGATGGATAGTTTGCAAACATTTTCTTCCATCCTGTAAAAGATATCTGTTGATGATACCTGTTGCCATGCAGAAGGTTTTTCACTTGAAATCTGATTTGTCTATTTTTACTTGGGTTTCCTGTGCTTGTGTATCAGTATTGTTGCATTGGGTTCTATCTTTCTCTTTACCTTTAATAATATTTGTTTTATATATCTGGATGCTTCAGTGTTAAGTGCATATATACTTACAATTGTTATGCTGTTGTGATGGTTAATACTGAGTGTCAACGTGATTAGATGGAGGGGTACAAAGTATTAATACTGGTTGTGTCTGTGTGGGTGTTTCCAAAAGAGATTAACATTTGAGTCAGTGGGTTGGGAAAGGCAGATCCACCCTTAATCTGGTGGGTACAATCTAGTCAGCTTCCAGTAAATATAAAGCAGGTAGAAAAACGTGAAAAGTAGAGATGGGCCTAGCTTCCAAGTCTACATCTTTCTCCGTGATGGATGCTTCCTGTCCTTGAACATCAGACTCAAAGTTCTTCGGTTTTGGGACTTGGACTGGCTCTCCTTGCTCCTCAGCTTGCAGACAAGCTGAGGGACCTTGTGATGATGTAAATTTATATATATATATATATGGAACCCTGACTAATACAGATTTTTAATAAACTATATATATAAAACCCTACCAATGCAGATTTTGGTACTGGGAGTGATTCTAGAGGAATAGAATATTAAGGATGGAGTTCTTTGGTTGGTTTTGGGGTTTCTGGAGTTGGCTGCTTAATATAATTAGACCCCAAAATGCTAAGGACTCTACTTCTAGTAGTATGGAGAACACTGATAGTCCTTGGCCAAAACTGTTTAGGGAGTTATGCAAAATAAATGCATTTGACACACCTGATTCACTGATCGAGAGAGGCAAGGAGTTTAGTGACTCTATACATTATACCTTTGACCATATGTGGAGAACCAAGGAACATAATGAACCTGGTTGGTTGCTCCTAAGTTCAGTGGACAAAATGATAAAAGAAAATGATGAATTGAGGGATTCTGTCTCCCAGCTTCAGAAGCAGATACTAAGGTTCAAATCTGCTAAGATTGCCCTGAGTGAGAGTCTTATCACCTGTAGAGAAAGAGCTGAAAATGGGAAAAAACAGACACAAGCTCTTATTATGCGAGTGCCTGACCTGCAATGAGAGATGCATGTACAGCCTCGCCAGATGTCTATTGTAAAAGTGTGGGCATTGACTGGAAAAGAATGGGGTCCTCCAACTTGGAATGGGGAAGTTTGGAGGACCCTAATGAAGCTGAGGACACTGAGTTTGTAAACTCTAATGAACATTTTTTCTGCCAGAAGTAACAGCTTTCCCATCTCCAGTAGTGGCAACATCCCCTCCCCGAACATTGCTGCCATCAGCCTTTCCTTGTTTGTATGAGGAGATAAACCCTGTGCTGCTTTAGGAAACAGTGAGGGCCTCCCCTGAGGCAGCTGCCAGGCAAGATAATGTTGATTCTTCTCAGAAGCCACCGCCAACACCTCTATTTGCTTCTAGACCTATAACTAGACTAAAGTCCCAGCAGGCCCCTAGAAGTGAGTTTAAAAGTGTGACCCTTTGGATATATACCCAGTAATGGGATGGCTGGGTCAAATGGTATTTCTAGTTCTAGATCCCTGAGGAATCGCCACACTGACTTCCACAATGGTTGAACTAGTTTACAGGCCCACCAACAGTGTAAAAGAGTTCCTATTTCTCCACATCCTCTCCAGCACCTGTTGTTTCCTGACTTTTTAATGATTGCCATTCTAACTGGTGTGAGATGGTATCTCATTGTGCTTTTGATTTGCATTTCTCTGATGGCCAGTGATGGTGAGCATTTTTTCATGTGTCTTTTGGCTGCATAAATGTCTTCTTTTGAGAAGTGTCTGTTCATATCCTTTGCCCACTTTTTTGTGGGGTTGTTTGTTTTTCTCTTGTAAATTTGTTTGAGTTCATTGTAGATTCTGGATATTATCCCTTTGTCAGATGAGTAGATTGCAAAAATTTTCTCCCATTCTGTATGTTGCCTGTTCACTCTGATGGTAGTTTCTGTTGTTGTGCAGAAGCTCTTTAGTTTAATTAGATCCCATTTGTCAATTTTGGCTTTTGTTGCCATTGCTTTTGGTGTTTTAGACATGAAGTCCTTGCCCATGCCTATGTCCTGAATGGTATTGCCTAGTTATTGCGGCACTATTCACAATAGCTAAGACTTGGAACCAACCCAAATGTCCAACAATGATAGACTGGATTAAGAAAATGTGGCACTTATACACCATGGAATACCATGTAGCCATAAAAAATGATGAATTCATGTCCTTTGTAGGGACATGGATGAAGCTGGAAACCATTATTCTCAGCAAACTGTCACAAGGACAAAAAAAACCAAACACCACATGTTCTCAGTCATAGGTTGGAATTGAACAATGAGAACACATGGGCACAGGAAGGGGAACATCACACCAGGGCCTGTTGTGGGGTGGGGGGAAGGGGGAGGGATAGCATTAAGGGATATACCTAATGTTAAATGACGAGTTAATGAGTGCAGCACACCAACATGGTACAAGTGTACATATGTAACTAACCTGCATGTTGTGCACTTGTACCCTAAAACTTAAAGTATAATAATAATAAAAAAGAAAGTGTGACCCATGAAGTCACACTACCCATGAGGTGTGCTACCCATGAGGGATGGTACACTCAAAAAGAACTGTTTGAGTTCTCTAATTTATATAAACAGCAATCTGGAGAACAGGCATGGGAATGGATATTAAAAGTATGGGATAATGGTGGAAGAAACAAAGTTGGATAAGGCTGAATTTACTGATTTGGGTCCACTAAGTAGGGACTTTGCATTTAAATTTGCAGCTCAGGGAGTTAAAAATGTTCTAATAGTTAATTTGCTTAGTTAGCTAAAATATGGATTAAAAGATGGTCAACTGTGAATAAGCTGGAAATGCCTGATCTCCCTTAGTTTAATGTAGAGAAAGGGATCCAAAGGCTTAGGGAGATTGGGATGGTGAAATGGATTAGTCAATTTAGACCTACTCATCCCAGCTGGGAGGGTCCAGAAGACATATGCTTGACCTGTGACTTATGAAATAGATTTGTGAGGAAATCATCTTCCTCTTTGAAAAACCCTGTAATTGCTCTTCTTTGTATGTCAGATCTAAGGGTGGAACTGCAGTCATTCAGCTACAAAATTTAAATACAATGAGAATAATTCGATCCCAAGGTGGCAAGGACCAAGTGGCAGCACTCAACAGTCAAAGGCAAGGTGGGTGTAGCTACCATAATGAACAGCACAGGCAAAGTGACAATCAGAATAGTCTGACTTGTGTAGAGCTCTGGCATTGGCTAATTAATCATGGTGTTCCTATAAGTGAAATTGAATGCCGTAAGTCTACTGCATTCCCACTTAAATTATAAAAATAGAAAACTTCTAGGTCGAAAGAACAGAAGACTTATTTGAATTATAAAAACAGAATTATGGCCCCTCAACTAATTTCCAGACTTGACCCAGTTTACAGAACCAGAACCCCTTGAATGAAAGGGAGGCCAGGCCCCCTTGAGGAAGGATCCCACTACATTACTGACACTTTATGCAGTGAATCTTTCTCCCATCCTTCCCCAAGGAGACCTCCAGCCTTTTACCAGGGTAACTGCATTGGGGAAAGGGAAATGATCAGACATTTTGGGGACTACTGGACACTGGCTCTGAGCTGAGATTGATTCAAGGGCACCTATAACATCATTTTGGCTTTCCAGTTAAAGTAGGGGCTTATGGAGGTAAGGTAATTAATGGAGTTGTAGCTCAGGTCCAACTTATAGTGGGTTCAATGGATCCCCAGACTCATCCTGTGGTCACTTCTCCAGTGTCAGAATGCATAATTGGCATAGACATACTTAGCCGCTGGCAAACCCCCACATTGGCTCCCTGACTGGTAGGGTGAAGGCTGTTCTAGTGGGAAAAGAAAAATGGAAGCCATTAGAGCTTCCTCTACCCAGAAAAATAATAAATCAAAAACGATATCTCATCCCTGGAGGGATTGCAAAGATTAGTACCACCATCAAGGACTTGAAAGACGGAGGGGTGATGACTCCCACCACATCGTTTTTCAACTCTCCCATTTGGCCTGTGCAGAAGACAGATGGATCTTGGAGAATAACAGATAATTGTAAGCTTAATGAAGTGGTGCCTGCAAATGCAGCTGCTCAGCCATATGTGGTTTTATTGTTTGAGCAAATTAACACATCTCCTGGTACCTGATATGCAGTCATTGACTTGGCAAATGCCTTTTTCTCCATTGTTGTCCATAAGGCATTCCAGAAGCAATTTGCCTTCAGCTGGAAAGGCAAGCAATATATTTTTACTGTCCTACCTCAGGGGTATATTAGCTCTCCAGCTTTGTGTCATAATCTTATTCAGAGAGACCGTGATCACTTTACACTTCTACAAGATATCACACTGGTTTGTTACATTGATGACATTATGCTGACTGGATCCAATGAGCAAGAAGTAGCAAACACACTGGACTTAAGTGAGGCATTTGCATGCCAGAGGATGGGAAATAAATCCTACTAAAATGTAAGGACCTTCTACCTCAGTTAAATATCTATGGGTCCAGTGGTGTAGGGCCTGTCGAGATATTCCTTCTAAGGTAAAGGATAAGTTGCTGCATTTGGCTCCTCTTACAACCAAGAAAAAGGCACAACGCCTAGTGGCCTATTTTGATTTTGGAGACAACACATTCCTCCTTTGGTTATGTTACTCTAGCCCATTTACTGAGTGACCTGAAAGGCTGCAAGTTTTTGAGGGGGATACAGAACAGGAGAAGGCTCTCCAACAAGTCCAGGCTGCTGTGCAAGCTGCTCTGCCACTGGGGCCATGTGACCTCGCAGATCCAATGGTGCTTGATGTGTCAGTGGTAGATAGGGAAGCTGTTTGGAGCCTTTGACAGGCTCCCATAGGAGAACTGCAGCAGGGTCCTCTTAGGATTTTGGAGCAAGGCCTAGTCATCTTTTGCAGATAATTATTTTCCTTTTGAGAGACTGCTCTTGGTCTGTTACTGGGCTTTAGTGGAAACTGTACGTTTGACTATGGGTCATCAAGTCACCATGGGACCTGAAGTGCCTGTCATGAACTTGGTGCTTTCTGACCCATCTAGTCATAAAGTGGGTCATGCACAGCAACATTCTATCATCAAATGGAAGTGGTATATACATGATAGGGCTCGAGAAGGTCCTGAAGGCACAAGTAAGTTACATGAGGAAGCGGCTCAAATGCCCATGGTCTCTATTTCTGCCACCCTGACTTCTCACCCCCAGCCTGCACCAATCGCCTCATGGGAACTTCCCTATAATCAGTTAACAGAGGAAGAGAAGACTAGGACCTGGTTCACAGATGGTTCTGCACGATATGCGATATGCAGGCACAACCCGAAAGTGGACAGCTGCAGCACTACAGCCCCTTTCTAGGACATCCCTGAGGGACAGCTGTGAAGGGAAATCCTCTCACTGGGCAGAACTTCGAGCAGTTCACCTGGTTGTGCACTTTGCATGGAAGGAGAAATGGCGAGATGTGCGATAATATACTGATTCATAAGCTGTAGCCAGTTGTTGGGCTGGATGGTCAGGAACTTGAAAGAAGCATGATTGGAAAATTGATGACAAAGAAATCTGGGGAAGAGGTATGTGGCTGGACCTCTCTGAGTGGTCAAAAACTGTGAAGATATTTATGTCCCATGTAAGTGGTCACTAACGGGTGACCTAAGCAATGGAGGAGTTTAATAATCAAGTGGATAGGATGACCCATTCTGTTGAAACCACTCAGCCTCTTTCCCCAGCCACCCCTGTCATCATCCAATGGGCCCATGAACAAACTGGACATGGTGGCATGCATGGAGGTTACACATGGGCTCAGCAACATGAACTTCCACTCACCAAGGCTGACCTGGCTATAGCCACTGCTGAGTGCCCAATTTGCCTGCAGCAAACACCAACACTGAGCCCTCTATATGGCACCATTATTCGGAGTGATCGGCCAGCCACCTGATGGCAGGTTGATTATATTGGACCTCTTCCATCATGGAAAGGGCAGAGGTTTGTCCTCACTGGAATAGACTCTTACTCCAGATATGGGTTTTCCTATTCTGCATGCAATGTTTCTGCCAAGACTACCATCCGTGGACTCACAAAATGGCTTATCCACCATCATGCTATTCCACACAGCATTGCTTCTTACCAAGGCACTCACTTTATGGCTAAAGAAGTGCAACAGTGGGCTCATGCTCATGGAATTCATTGGTCTTACCATGTTTCCTATCATCCTGAAGCAGCTGGATTGATTGAATGGTGAAATGGCATTTTGATGTCACAATTACAATGCCAACAAGGTGACAATACTTTGCAGGCCTAGGGAAAAGTTCTCTGGAAGGCCATTTATGCTCTTAATCAGCATCCAATATATGGTACTCTTTCTCCCATAACCAGGATTCACAGGTCCAGGAATTAAGAGGTGGAAGTGGAAGTGGCACCACTCACCATCACCCCTAGTGATCCATTAGCGAATTTTTGTGTCCTGTTCCTGTGACATTACATTCTGATGGCCTAGAGGTCTTAGTTCCAGAGGAAGAAATGTCACCACCAGGGACACAACAATGATTCAATTAAACTGGAAGTTCAGATTGTCACCAGGACACTTTGGGCTCCTCCAACATTGAAGTCAATAGGCTAAGAAGGGAGTTACAGTGTTGGCTGGGGTACTTGACCGGGACTATCAAGATGAAATCAGTCTACTACTCCACATAGGAATAAAGGAAGAGTAGGCATGGAATACAGGAGATCCTTAGGGTGTCTCTTAGCATTACTATCCCCTGTGATTAAGGTCAATAAGAAACTACAGCAGCCCAATCCAGGCAGGACTACAAATGACACAGACCCTTCAGGAATGAAGGTTTGGGTTACCTGGCCAGGAAAAAACTGACCTGCTGAGGAGCTTACTGAAGGCAAAGGGAATACAGAATGTCTAGTAGAAGAAGGTAGTCATTAACACTAGCTATGACCAAGTGGCCAGCTGCAGAAACGAGGACTGTAACTGTCATGAGCATTTCCTCCTTCTTTTGTCAAAAACGTATTTGTGCATGTATACACTTTTACTAAGAAAACATCTTCATTATATTTCCTTTTTCTTTATCATGTGATGTAAGGTTTATTGACTTCATATCAACATTCAAGTATTATTAACTTAACGTAACAGTATTTGGGTTGGAGATTGGTGCATTTCCAAATGTACGAAGGATAGTTGTATAATGTTAGGTGTAATTATGACCTCATTATTTTCTTTTTTTTTCTTTTATTTCTTTTTTTTTTTTTTTTTTTTTTTTTGAGATGGAGTCTCACTCTGTCGCCCAGGCTGGAGTGCAGTGGAACGATCTTGGCTCACTGCAACCTCCACCTCCTGGGTTCAAGCGATCCTCCTGCCTCAGCCCCCCTAGTAGCTGGGACTACAGGCATGTGCCACCACGCCTGGCTAATTTTTGTATTTTTAGTAGAGATGGGGTTTCGCCATGTTGGCCAGGCTGGTCTCGAACTCCTGAGCTCAGGTGATCCACCCGCATCGGCCTCCCAAAGTGGTGGGATTACAGGCTTGAGCCACTGCACCCGGCCTCATTATTTTCTTTATTTGAAGATTATGTATGATTCTCGGGAGATGTGTATGGGTTCAAGTTGATGAGGGGTGGACTTGTGATGGTTAATACTGTGTGCCAACTTGATTGCATTGAGGGAAAGAAAGTATTAATCCTGAGTATGTCTGTGTGGGTTTTGCCAAAAGAGATTAACATTTGAGTCAGTGGGCTGGGGAAGTGAGATCCACCCTTAATCTGGTGGGCACAATCTAATCAGCTTCCAGTGACTATCAAGCAGGCAGAAAAACATGAACAGGAAAGATGGGCCTAGCCTCCCAGCCTACATCTTTCTCCCATGCTGGACGCTTCCTGCTCTTGAACATAAGACTCCAAGTTCTTCAGTTTTGGGACTCAGATTGGCTCTCATTGCTCCTCAGCTTGAAGACAGCCTATTGAGTAACCTTGTGTTTGTGTAAGTTAATACTTAATTTACCCTTTCATTATATAGTGACCTTGTCTCTTATAGTTTTTGTCTTGAAGTCACATTATATTATATTGTCAGCATGACAGTACAATATCATATTGTCAGATATAAATATATCTACTCCTTTTTGTTGTTTCTTTTCTTTTTGTGTGTGTGGTCTCCTCTTCTTTTGTTTTTCTTTTCCTTTTTGTATTTTATTTAAAGAAGCTGATTTTCTTGGGAGATATGTTTTAACTGATTGCCTTATATTTTTGTACACATTGCATGTTTTTTGATTTGTAGTTAACATGAGGCTTGTAAATACTCTCTTACAACTCATTATTTTAAACTGATGACAACTTAAAAATGATTGCATCAAAAAACAAACAAAAACTGATAAAACCTTAGCACTTTATCTGTCCCCCTTTTTGTTGTTCTCATTTCTATTTATGTTACTATACTATGTTTGGAAAAGTTGTTATAGTTATTATTTTGATGGGTTTCACTTTTAGTATTTCTACTTAAGTTTAGTTTACACACCACAAATAGTTTTATAATATTCTGTAATTTTCTGTGTAGTTACTATTACCCGTGAGTTTTGTACCTTTAGATGATTTATTCTTGCTCATTAACATCCCATCTCTTCCTGATTGAAGAACTCCCTTTAGCATTTACTGTGGGGCAAGTCTGTTGTTGATGAAATCCCTTGGCTTTTGTTTGTCTGGGATATTATTTCTTCTTCATGCTTGAATAATATTTTTATTAAATATACTATTCTAGGGTAAAGTATTGTTTCCTTCGACACTTTAAATATGTTATACCACTCATTACTGGCCTGTAGGGTTTCCACTGAGAATTTGCTTCCAGACGTATTGGAGCTCCATTGAATGCAATTTGTTTCTATTCTTTTGCTGCTTTTAGGATTTTTTTCTTATCCTTCAACTTTGGGAGTTTTATTTAAATGGCTTAATGTAGTCTACTTTGGTTAAATCTGCTTTGTATTCTACAACCTTTTTGTACTTGGATACTGATACATTTATCTAGATTTGGGAAGTTCTTCATTATTATTTCTTTGAATAAATTTTCTACATCACCTTTCTCTCTACCTCTTCTACAAGGCCAATAACTCTTAGATGTACCCTTTTGAAACTATTTTCTACGTCTTCTAGGTTTGCCTCATTGTTTTTTATTATTTTTTGTTTTGTCTCTTCTGATTGTGTATTTTCAAATAGCCTGTCTTCAAGCTCATTAATTCTATAATCTGTTTGATCAATTCAGCTTTTAAAAGACTATGATGAATTATTTAGTATGTCAATTTCATTTTTCAACTCCAAAATTTCTCTTTGATTCCATTTAACTCAATTTTTTGTTAAATTTATCTCATAGAATTCTGAATTTCTTCTCTATGTTATCTTGAATTTTTTTGAGTTCCTCAAGAGAGTTATTTTGATTTCTCTGTTGAAAATGTCACATATTTCTGTTTCTCTAGAATTGGTCCCTGGTGCTTTATTTAGTTCATTTTGTGAGGTCATGTTTTCCTGGAGGGTCCTGATGCTGGTGGATATTTTTTAGTGTCCAGACTTGAAGAATTGGGTATTTATTGTAGACTTTGCAGTGTGTGTATTTTTATACTCATCCTTCGTGGGTAGGCTTTCCAGGTATTTATAGGGATGGGCATTGTGATCGAAGCTCTATCTGTATTAAGCTTAGATCACAACACCCAAGTCCTTCAAATTTTATTATAAGCTCATTACTGCTGTGGTTCCTGTAGTCTTGTAGAGGTATCACCTTTGTGGTCTTGGATAAGATAGAGAAAACTCTTTGGATTATCAAGAAGAGATGATTGTTCTCTTCTGTTACTGTTTCCCCACCAAAATTGAGTCTCTCTGTTTTTTCTGAGTTGCCTGGAGCTAAAGGCAACTTAGCTATTACCTTTGTGGTCACAACAACAGAAACTGCACTAAGTCAGTCCTGAAGCCAGCAGAGCCCTGGGTCTTACTCAAGGCCCTCTGTACTCACTGCCTATATTTACTCATGGCCTTAGGGCTCTATGATCAATCAGCTGGTAGTAAATGTAGCCAGGCTAATCTTCTTCTCTTCATGGCAGCAAGTTCTCCCAGGTCCCAGGTGGGTCCACAAATGGCATCTGGGAGCCAGGAACTGGGGTCAGTAGCCTTAAAAATTGACTTCTACTCTATTTTACTGCAGCTATCCTGGTGCAAGATACAGGTTTTTTTTACTCTTTCTTTTCTTTTCCACTAGTAGAGGGACTTCCCCCTTTTGCCACCATCACCACAGGCCCATAGGGAGTACTGCCAGGCTACTGCCAATGTTTACTTAAGGGCCAAAAGTTCTTCAGTCAGCTTGTGGTGAGTGCTGCCAGGACTATGAGTCAAACTTCAAGGTATTGGACTACACTATGAACAGAATAGTCCAGAAATGCCATTTAAGAGCCAACTCCTGGAATTAGGGACCCCAAGAGTCAACTTGTTGCTTTACCTTTCTGTGGCCAAGCTGGTACCTAAGGTGCAAGATGAAGTCCCCTTTACTTTTCCCTCTGCTTTTCTCAAACTGAAGGTATCTCTCACCATAACCTCCACAACTGGAAATGTACTGGGTTTCACTGGAAGTCAACACATCTCAGAGTCTCACCCAAGACCCATGGCATGCTACCTGTGTATTGTTGCTGGTTATTCAGGGCTTTTTAGTTAACAGGTGATAAAGCTTGTCATAACTGAATCCTTCCCTTCAAGGCAGTGAGTTCTCTTCTAGACACTGGGTGTTTCTAGAAATGTCATCTGAGAGGTAGGGCCTGGAATGGGGCCCTCATGACTATGCCAGGTGCCCCATTTTACTGTGGTTGAGCTGGTATCCAAGTTGCCAGAACAGGCTCTCTTTATCCTTTTCTCTTCTTTCTCAAACAAAAGAAAGGAGTCAATTTTGTTGCTGCAAGCTGTACTGCCTGGGTTTTGAAAAACAGTTTTGAAGTCACTTTCTTAGCCACCCTGGCTGTTGTCTCACTAGGTTTCATGCCCTGCAAGACCACTGGCTTCAAGCCCAGCACAGCACCAGAACTTGCCTAGGAGTTGCAGTCCTTGTGACCTAGACTACCTTTCAAGCTTATTTCAGGACCAAATATCCTATGGTAGTGGGGCTTGCCAAATTCAACTTTTGACTGCTGGGTTAGGCAATTCTCTTCTGCCTAGGGCAGGTCTAAATCCTCCCTCCAGCACTGGCTGAGTTCTATTTACCTTTTCTTTCCCCTTTGACAGGACAGCACTGAATCTCAGTGCAAGGTATCACAATCACTGCACTTTCCTCCCACAAATGCACAGATTCTCACTTCATTCCACACAGCTGCTGTCAGGGGATGAGAGTTGGGTGTCACTGGCAATTCAAGATTATCTTTTCTACCCTCTTTAGTGTCTCTTTCAGTGAAATGAAGTTAAAACAATGTACAATGATTATTTGCCTGATTTTTGTTTCTCATGTAGGTAATTTTTTGAGTAGATCATTGTTGAATTGGATATTTCTTAGGGGAGGACAAGACGTGAAGGCCTCTATTCTGCCATCTTGCTCTGCCTCCACTCTAAACGAACTTTTCAATTTCAGGAACTTTTTGTGAATTCCTTAGGGGGTTATATACAGATGACCACTATGGCTGCAAATAGAGGTAATATGTTTCTTTAATTCCCATCCTTTTCTTTTTGTTTCATTTATTGTTTTATGGCTCTGGCTAGGACTGCCAGTATAATAATAAACAGTTGGGGAGATTGGAAATCTTTGCATTTTTTTTTTTTATCTAAGGGAAAAAGCTTTCTATCTTTTGCCATTAAGTGCAATCTTAGTTATACCTTTTTTTAGATATGCTTTAATAGAACACTGAAGTTTCCTTCTATTCCCAGTATGTTTAGAATTTCTTTTATAAATATATGTTGTTTTTTTCCAACGCTTTATCTGTATCTGAGATAACAGCATTTGTTATTAATTTATTGATTAGTAAAATATACTGGTTTATTTTCAAATAGGTCTTCCATTCCTGGGATAAGCCATACTTGGTGGTGAAGTATTACCATTTTTACATGTGGCTAGATTTGGTTTGTTAATATTTTGTTGATGATATTTGCAACTTGTTTATAATAAATATTAGTCTACAGTTTTCTATTTCTTGTAATGTCTTTGTTGACTTTAGAATCAAGTAACACTAGCCTCATTAAATGAGATGAAAAATGTTCTTCAGTTTTCTGGAAGAGATTTTGTAAATCAGTATTTTTTTTACTTAATTTTTGCCTAAGTATATATGGCTTATTAACCGTAAAAGTCAACTGAATTGGAATTTTCTTTCTTGGAAAGTTTAATCCATTTTGTAATGAATTAGGACTATTCAGGTTGCCCAATCATGGTTACATGAGCTTTGCTAACTTGTGTTTTTCAATGAATTTGTCCATTTTGTCTAAGTTGTTGACTTTATGGGCATAACATTGTTTATAATATTCTCTGGGTTTGTAATAATTTCTTTTTTTTATGAACACGAATACATTCTTTATTGAAGTACTTTAAGCACATTAACTTTTTTGTGAACATTGTGTATTTATTGAATGTCGCCTTTAAAACAATTTTTAGCATGCTATAGAGATGTTGAGAAACAATCTCCTTTCTTGGACAGAATTAGATTAGTCTTTTCCATTTTATGTTTTTAGCACATTTTTCTGTATATATACTTATGCTTTCTTTCTACATAGATTATTAAGTTTCTTTAATGATTGGGTTTAATTAATTTTATGACTTTATTTATTTTTTTATATTTTTAATTTTGTTATTATTATACTTTAAGTTTTAGGGTACATGTGCACAACGTGCAAGTTTGTTACATATGTATACGTGTGCCATGTTGGTGTGCTGCACCCATTAACTCGTCATTTAACATTAGGTATATCTCCTAATGCTATCCCTCCCCCCTCCCCCAACTGCACAACAGTCTCCAGTGTGTGATGTTCCCCTTTCTGTGTCCATGTGTTCTCATTGTTCAATTCCCACCTATGAGTGAGAACATGTCTGACTTCAAACTATAATACAAGGCTACAGTAACCAAAACAGCATGGTAGTGGAACCAAAACAGAGATATAGACCAATGGAACAGAACAGAGCCCTCTGAAATAATGCCGCGTATCTACAACTATCTGATATCTGACAAACCTGACAAAAACAAGAAATGGGGAAAGGATTCCCTATTTAATAAATGGTGCTGGGAAAACTGGCTAGCCATATGTATAAAGCTGAAACTGGATCTCTTCCTCACACTTTATACAAAAATTAATTCAAGATGGATTAAAGACTTAAATGTTAGCCCTAAAACCATAAAATCCCTAGAAGAAGACCTAAGCAATACCATTCAGGGCATAGGCATGGGCAAGGACTTCATGTCTAAAACACCAAAAGCAATGGCAACAAAAGCCAAAATTGACAAATGGGATCTAATTAAACTAAAGAGCTTCTGTACAGAAAAGAAACTACCATCAGAGTGAACAGGCAACCTACAGAATGGGAGAAAAGTTTTGCCATCTACTCATCTGACAAAGGGCTAATATCCAGAATCTACAAAGAACTCAAACAAATTTACAAGAAAAAAACAAACAACCCCATCAACAAGTGGGCAAGGGATATGAACAGACACTTCTCAAAAGAAGACATCTATGCAGCCAAAAAACACATGAAAAAATGTTCGTCATCACTGGCCATCAGAGAAATGCAAATCAAAACCACAATGAGATACCATCTCACACCAGTTAGAATGGTGATCATTAAAAAGTCAGGAGCAGAAGCTCTGTGAGGAGGGTAGCAGCAAGTACAGATGTAGAAGCAAGTTGGGATTTCTCCAGAGCACCAACAGGCCCAGAGCCTAGCACTATTCTTTGAAGTTAAATTGATTTTTACATAATGCATTGCCTAGAGTCTTCTGAGCTCTAGCTTAATGAAAATATCTGACAAAGAGAAGCCATGAAGTCCAGGTTTGCACTCAGAATGACTCAATGGAATATGCAGATGCTTTTTTGCCTTTAAATGAAAGAAAACTAATGCATCCATTGGAGATTATTTTCTTTTTTCTGACTCATTGGGCCTCCATCTGTGTCAGTTACATAGCATCACTAAGAATAGCAAGGATGCAAATTACTCCTTAGGCTACCAAAAGTCATTCACTGTAGACATTTTGTGAATTTCAGAAATAGCTGTAAGATTTGCCTCAAGGGCATAATGGAAATTTGCTGAGTACCTTTTAGAGTAGTTTTCTATCATCTGGTTGCAGAAGTGAAAATGAGGTGAGATCGTTATCACAAGTCCAAGTTTGAATTTGAATTAAGTTTCCCCATCCCATCACTCAGGAACTGATATGGTTTTCTTTCTAGGTGTGTATATAGGGTGAAAACAGCAGGAAAGGGTGGAAAAATCAAATAAGAGTAATAAAAGAAATCCAAATAAAAAAAAGAAAGTAAAATTATCTCTCTTCACTGACAATATAATTCTATACCTAGAAAACCCAAAATATTTTGCCAAACATTCCTATATCTTATGAATGACTTCACCAAATCTCTGGGTATAAAATAAACATTAAAAAATCGGTAGCATTTTTCTATACCAATAACATTCAAGCTGGTTACCATATCAAGAATGTAATTCCATGTAAAATACCTAGGAATGCATCTGACCAAAGAGGTTAAACATCTGTATAGGAAGAACTATAAAACACAGCTGAAAGAAATCACACATGATACAAAGAAATGGAAAAGCATGTCAGGCTTATGGATTGGAAGAATCAATATCATGAAAATGTTCATATTACACAAAGCAAGCTACAAATTCAATATGAGTTCTATCAAATTATGTCAATTATTCACAAAATAAAAAAATCTAAAATTAATACAGAAGCAAAAACAAGCCTGAATAGCTTAGGCAATCATAAGCAAAAAGAGTAAAGCCAGAGGCATCAACTTCAAACTGTACTACAAGGGTACAGTAATATATATATATATATGTGTGTGTGTATATATATATGTGTGTGTGTATATATATATATGGACACAGAGGTCAATGGAAGGGAATTCATACCTCTGAAATAAAGTCATACACCTACAACCAACTGATCTTTGACAAAGTTGGCAAAAGTAAACAATGGGGAAAGAAAATCCTATTCAATAAATGGTTCTGGGAAAAATGGCTAACCAAATGCAGAAGAATGAAACCGAATCCCTCCCTCTCACAATATACAAGAATTAACAAAAGATGAATTAAAGACTTAAATGTAAGTCTTCAATCTATAAAAATTCTAGAATAAAATATAGGAAATACTCTTCTAGACATTGGTCTAAGTAATGAATTTACAATGAAGACAACAAAAGCAAATGCAGCTAAATAAAAAATACACAAACAGGACTTTATTAAACTAAAGAGCTTCTGCTCAGCAAAAGAAACAACTAATGTGATAAGCAAAAAACCTACAGATTAGGGGAATATATTTGCAAACTATGCATTTGACAAAAGACTAATATCCAGAATCTATAAGGAACTTAAATCAGAAAGAAAAAGCAAATACCTCTTTTAAAAAGTGGGCAATGAAGATGAATAGAGACTTCTTTTTCTCTCAGGTTCTCTGTAAACTTTATTAGATGCTCTTTTTATTATCATCCATTATGAAAAAATTCAAATGAAAACAGTACAGAGAATACTATAAAGAACTAATAACCCAATTTCAAAAATTACCAACATACAACCCATTTTGTTCCAACAATATTTCTTATGCTCCTCTCCCACTATAGATACTGAAGCAGACATCAGATGGTATATTATTTTATCTGTTAAAATTCAGATAGTCCTTTCTGTGAAAAATAAGGACTATTTTTGACTTCATCATTCCTCTCAATTTAACAATCATTCCTTAATATCACCAACTATCCATTTAGAGCCTACATTTCTCTGATTATCTCATAAATATCTGCTTACAGTTGGTATCATTTGAAAAATTAATTAACATTTAAAATATGTTAACAGCATACAAGTGCAAGTTCCTTACATTCATATATTGTGTAGTGATGAAGTATGGGCTTTTAGTGTATCCATCACCTCAATACTGAGCACTGTATCCAATGGGTAAAGTTTAACCCCCACTTATAAGTGAGAACATGCAGTATTTGACTGTTTGTTTCTGAGTTAATTCACTGAGGATAATGGCCTCTAGTGCCATCAATTGGTATCATTTTTTTTTTTTTTTTTTTTTTGAGACGGAGTCTCGCTCTGTCGCCCAGGCTGGAGTGCAGTGGCGCGATCTCGGCTCACTGCAAGCTCCGCCTCCCGGGTTCACGCCATTCTCCTGCCTCAGCCTCCCGAGTAGCTGGGACTACAGGCGCCCGCTACCACGCCCGGCTAATTTTTTGTATTTTTAGTAGAGACGGGGTTTCACCGTGTTAGCCAGGATGGTCTCGATCTCCTGACCTCGTGATCCGCCCGCCTCGGCCTCCCAAAGTGCTGGGATTACAGGCGTGAGCCACCGCGCCCGGCCAATTGGTATCATTTTGAATCATGTCCTAAACAAGATCCGTATTGCTTAGTATGCTTTTTCATAGACCTAAAGAGCACATTATGACTTTTTTAACTTTAAAAATGTTATGCGTGATAGCAATATAGGCCTTAAAGTGTAAGATTAAATATATAATAGTGCAAGGGCATATTAATCAAATAGTAAAAGCAGTGAAAATTACTAAAATGTTTGGAGTGCAAGGAACTTTTTTATGTACATTATCTCATTTAAATCTTTTTTTATTATTTTAAGTACTGGGATACATGTACAGAATGTGCAAGTTTACTACATAGGTATACATGTGCCATGGTGGTTTCCTGCACCTATCAACCCATCATCCAGGGTTTAATCCCTGCATGCATTAGGTATTTTTCCTAATGCTCTCCCTCCCCTTGCCTCGCACCCCCTGACAGGAGTGTGTGATGTTCCCCTCCCTGTGTCCATGTGTTCTCATTGTTCATCTCCCACTTATAAGTGAGAACATGCGGTGTTTGATTTTCTGTTCCTGTGTTAGTCTGCTGAGAATGATACTTTCCAGCTTCATCCATGATGATGCAAAAGACATGAACTCATTCTTCTTTATGGCTGGGTAGCATTCCATGGTGTATATGTATCACATTTTCTTTATCCAGTACATCATCGATGGGCATTTGGGTTGGTTCCAAGTCTTTGCTATTGTAAATACTGCTGCAATAAACATATGTGTGCATGTGTATAATGATTTATAATCCTTTGGGTATATACCGAGTAATGGGATTGCTGAGTCAAGTAGTATTTCTGCTTCTGTATCCTTGAGGAAACACCACACTGTCTTCCACAATGGTTGAACTAACTTACACTTCCACCAACAGTGTAAAAGTGTTCCTATTTCTCCACAGCCTCAACAGCATCTGTTGTTTTTTGAGTTTTTAATAATTGCCATTCTAATGGGCATGAAATGGTATCTCATTGTGGTTTTGATTTGCATTTCTCTAATGAACAGTGATGATGAGCTTTATTTCATATGTTTGTTGGCTGCATAAGTGCCTTCTTTTGAGAAGTGTCTGTTCATATCATTCACCCAAATTTTGATGGTTTTTTTCTTGTAAATTTGATTAAGTTCCTTGTAGATTCTGGATATTAGACCTTTATTACATGGGTAGATTGCAAAAATTTTCTCCCATTCTGTAAATTTCCTGTTCACGCTAATGATAGTTTATTTTGCTGATCACAAGCTCTTTAGTTTGATTAGATCCCCTTCATCAATTTTGGCTTTAGTTGCAATTGCTTTTGGTGTTTTATTTAAGAAGTCTTTGCACATGCCTGTGTCCTGAATGGTATTGTCTAGGTTTTCTTCTAGGGTTTTTATCATTTTAGATTTTTACATTTAAGTCTTTAATCCATCTTGAGTTAATTTTTGCATAAGGTGTAAAGAAGGGGTCCAGTTTCAGTTTTCTGCATATGGCTAGCCAGTTTTCCCAGCACCATTTATTAAATAGGGAATCCCTTTCCCATTCCTTCTTTTGGTCAGGTTTGTCAAAGACCAGATGATTGTAGATGTGTGGTGTTATTTCTGAGGTCTCTGTTCTGTTCCATTGGTCAGTATATCTATTTTGGTAATAGTAACATGTTGCCTTGGTTACTGTAGCCTTGTAGCATATTTTGAAGTCAGGTGGCATGTTGCTTCCAGCTTTGTTCTTTTTGCTTAGGGTAGTCTTGGCTATACGGGCTCTTTTTTGGTTCCATATGAAATTTGAAGTAATTTTTTCTAGTTCTGCAAAGAAAGCCAATGGCAGCTTAATGGGAATAGCATTGAATCTATAAATTACTCTGGGCAATATGGCCATTTTCACGATATTTTTTCCTCCTATCCATGAGCATGGAGTTTTTTTCTATTTGTTTGTGTCTTCTCTTATTTCCTTGGACAGTGGTTTGTGTTCTCCTTGAAGAAGTCCAGGTCCCTTTTAAGTTGTATTCCTAGGTATTTTATTCTCTTTGTAGCAATTGTGAATGGGAGTTCACTCATGATTTGGCTCTCTGGTTGTCTATTGTTGGGGTATAAAAATGCTTGTGATTTTTGCATTGATTTTGTATCCTGAGACTTTGCTGAAGATGCCTAGCAGCTTAAGGAGTCTTTGGTCTGAGATGATGGGGTTTTCTAAATGTGCAATCATGTCATCTGCAAACAGAAAATTTACTTTCTGTCTTCCTATTTAAATACACTTTATTTCTTTCTCTTGCCTGATTGCCCTGGCTGGAACTTCTAATACTATGTTGAATAGGAGTGGTGAGAGAGGGCATCTTTGTCTTGTGCCAGTTTTCAAAGGGAATGCTTCCAGCTTTTGCCCATTCAGTATGATATTGGCTATGGTTTTGTCATAAATAGCTCTTACTATTTTGAGATATGTTCCAAATAGACGCTTTTTTATAAAAGACATTTGTGGCTGGGCATGGTGGCTCATGCTTGTAATCCCAGCACTTTGGGAGGTGTAGGTTGGCAGATCATTTGAGTGCAGGAGTTTGAGAGAAGCCTGGCTAACATAGCAAAACTCTATCTCTACTAAGAATACAAAAAAAAAAAAAATAGCTTGACATGGTGGCACATGCCTGTAATCCCAGTTACTGAGGAGGCTAAGAAATGAGAATTATTTAAACCTGGGTGACAGAGGATGCAGTGAGCTGAAGTCACATCATTTCACTCCAGTCTTGGTGTCATTTCTGTCTCAAATAAATAAATAAAAATAAAGAAGACATGTAAGTGGCCAAAAAACATGAAAAAATTCTTCACATCACTAATCATTAGAGACCTGCAAATAAAACCACAATTAGATACCATCTCACAACAGTCAGAATGAGTAGTATTAAAAAATAAAAATAAAAAAAGTCACTGGCAAGACGGCTGAATAGGAATAGCTCTGGTCTGCAGCTCCCAGTGAGATCAACACAGAAGGTGGGTGATTTCTGCATTTCCAACTGTGGTTCCCAGATCATCTCATTGGGACTGGTTGGACAGTGGGTGCAGCCCATGGTGGGTGAGCAGGGTGGGGTGTTGCCTCACCTGGGAAATGCAAGGAGTCAGGGGATCTAACTCCCCCAGCCAAGGGATGCCATGAGAGACTGTATTGGGAGGAACGGTGCACTCCCGCCCAGATACCGCATTTTTCCCATGGTCTTCACAACCAGCAGACCAGGAGATTCTCTCCGGTGCCTATGTCACAAGGGCCCTGGGTTCCAAGCACAAAACTGGGCAGCCATTTGGGCAGACACTGAGCTAGCTGCATGAGTTTTGTTTTTCTTTTCTCCATACACCAGTGGCACCTGGAACACCAGTGAGAGAGAACCATTCACTCCCCTGGAAAGGGGGCTGAAGCCAGGGAGCCAAGTGGTCTGGCTCAACAGGTCCCACCTCCACAGAGTCCAAGCTAAGATCCACTGGCTTGAAATTCTTGCTGCTAGTACAGCAGTCTGAGGTCAATCTGGGATGCTGGAGCTTGGTGGGGGGAGGGCCATTTGCCATTGCTGAGGCTTGAGTAGGCAGTTTTACCCTTACAGTGTAAACACAGCTGCCAGGAAGTTTGAAATTGGCAGAACCCACCACAGCTAAACAAGGCCATTGCAGCCAGACTGCCTCTCTAGAATCCTCCTCTCTGGGCAGGGAATCTCTGAAAAAAAGGCAGCAGCCCCAGTCAGGAACTTGCAGATAAACCCCCTATCTCCCTGAGACAGAGCACCTGGGAAAAGGGGCAGCTGTGGGCACACCTTTAGCAGACTTAAGTGTCCCTGCCTGATGTCTCTGAAGACAGCAGCGGATCTCCCAGCACAGTCTTTGAGCTCCAATAAGGGACAGACTGCCTCCTCAAGATGGTCCCTGACCTCATGCATCCTGGCTGGGAGACACCTCCCAGTAGGGGTGGACAAACACCTCATAGAGGAGAGCTCTGGCTGGCATCTGGCAGGTGCCCCTCTGGAATGAAACTTCCAGAGGAAGGAACAGGCAGTAATCTTTTCTGTTGTGCACCTCCCCTGGTGATACCCAGGCAAACAGTCAGGAGTGGACCTGCAACAAACTCCAGCAGATCTGCAGCAGAGGTGCCTGACTATTAGAAGGAAAACTAACAAACAGAAAGGAATAGTATCAAAGTCAAGAAAAAGGACATCTACTCAGAGACCCCATCCGAAGGTCATCAACATCAAAGACCAAAAGAATAGTATCAACATCAACAAAAAGTACATCCACACAGAAACCCTATCCTAAGGTCATCAACATCAAAGACCAAAGGTAGATAAATCCACAAAGATGGGGAGAAACCAGCGCAAAAAGGCTGAAAATTCCAAAAACCAGAACTCCTCTTCTCCTCCAAAGGATCACAACTCCTCACCAGCAAGGGAACAAAACTGGACAGAGAATGAGTTTGAAGAATTGACAGAAGTAGGCTTCAGAAGGTGGGTAATAACAAACTCCTTCAAGCTAAAGGAGCATGTTCTAACCAAATGCAAGGAAGCTAAGAACCTTGAAAAAATGTTAGAGGAATTGCTAACTAGAATAACCAGTTTGGAGAAGAACATAAATGACCTGATGAAGTGAAAAACACAGCACGAGAACTTCATGAGTCATACACAAGTATCAATATACAAATCGACCAAGCAGAAGAAAGGATACTAGAGATTGAAGATTAACTCAATGAAATAAATCGAGAAGACAAGATTAGAAGAAAAAGAGTGAAAAGAAACATACAAAGCCTCCAAAAAATATGGAACTATGTGAAAAGATCAAATCTATGTTTGACTGGTGTACCTGAAAGTGATGGGGAGAATTGAACCAAGTTAGAAAACGCTCTTCAGGATATTATCCAAGAGAACTCCCCCAATTTATCAAGGCAGGCCAACATTCAAAATCAAGAAATATCAAGAACACCACAAAGATACTCCTCGAGAAGAGCAACCCCAAGACATATAATCAACAGATTCACCAAGTCTGAAATGAAGGAATAAATTTTAAGAGCAGCCAGAGAGAAAGGTCGGGTTATCCACAAAGGGAAGCTCATCAGACTAACAGTGGATCTCTTGGCAGAAACCCTACAAGCCAGAAGAGAGTGGAGGCCAATATTTAACATTCTTGAGGAAAAGAATTTTCAACCCAGAATTTCATGTCCAGACAAACTAAGCTTCATAAGTGAAGGAGAAATGAAATTATTTACAGACAGGCAAATGCTGAGGGATTTTGTTACCACCAGGCCTGCCTTAAAAGAGTGCCTGAAGGAAGCACTAAACATGAAAAGGAAAAACCAGTAGCAGCCACTGCAATAACATACCACAATAAAAGACCAACAACACTGTGAAGAAACTGCATCAACTAATGTGCAAAATAACCAGCTAGCATCATGATGACAGGATCAAATTCACACATAACAATATTAACCTTAAATGTAAATGGCCTAAATGTCCCCAATTAAAAGAGACAGACCAACAAATTGGATAAAGAGTCAAGACACTTCGGTGTGCTGTATTCAGGAGGCCCATCTCACATGCAAAGACACACATAGGCTCAAAATAAAGGGATGGAGGAATATTTACAAAGCAAATGGAAAGAAAAAAAAGCAGAGGTTGCAATCCAAGTCTCCGATAAAAAAAGACTTTAAACCAACAAAAATCAAAAGAAACAAAGAAGAGCATTACATAACGGTAAACAGATCAATGCAACAAGAAGAGCTATCTATCCTAAATATATATGCACCCAATACAGGAGCACCTAGATTCATAAAGCAAGTTTTTAGAGACCTACGAGGAGACTTAGACTCCCACACAATAATAATGGGAGACTTAAACACTCCACTATCAATATTAGACAGATCAATGAGAGAGAAAATTAACAAGGATATCCAGAACTTGAACTCAGCTCTGGACCAAGAAGACCTAATAGACATCTACAGAACTCTCCACCCCGAATCAACATAATATACATTCTTCTCAGCACCACATCCCACTTATTCTAAAATTGACCACATAATTGGAAGTAAAACACTCCTCAGCAAATGCAAAAGAACGGAAATCATAAAAAATAGAATCTCAGACCACAGAGCAATCAAATTAGAACTCAGGATTAAGAAACTCACTCAAAACTGCTCAACTACATGGAAACTGAACAACCTGTTCCTGAATGATTACTGGATAAATAATGAAATTAAGGGAGAAATAAAGACATTTTTTGAAACCAATGAGAACAAAGACACAATGTATCAGAATCTCTTAAACACATTTAAAGCAGTGTGTAGAGGGAAATTTATAGCACTAAATGCCCACAAGAGAAAGCAGGAAAGATCTAAACTCAACAACCTAACATCACAATAAAAAAGAACTAGAGAAGCAAGAGCAAAAAATTCAAACGCTAGCAGAAGACAAGGAATAACTAAGATCAGAGCAGAACTGAAGGAGATACAGACACGAAAAACCCTTCAAAAAAATCAATGAATCTAGGAGCTGGTTTTTTGAAAAGATCAACAAAATAGATAGACCACTAACCAGACTAATAAAGAAGAAAAGAGAGAAAAAGCAAATAGATGCAAAAAATGATAAAGGGGATATCACCACCGAATCCACAGAAATACAAACTACCATCAGAGAATATTATAAACACCTCTATGCAAATAAATTTGAAAATCTAGAAGAAATGGATAAATTCCTGGACACATACTCCCTCCCAAGACTAAACCAGGAAAAAGTTAAATCCCTGAATAGACCAATAACACGTTCTGAAATTGAGGCAGTAATTAATACCCTACCAACCAAAAAAAAAGTCCAGAACCAGATGGATTCACGGCCTAATTTCATCAGAAGAACAAAAAGGAGCTGGTACCATTCCTTCTGAAACTATTCCAAACAATACAAAAAGGGAATCCTCCCTAACTCGTTTTGTGAGGACAGCATTATCCTGATACCAAAATCTGACAGAGATATGACCAAAAAAGAAAATTTCAGGCCAATATCCCTGATGAACATAGATGCAAAAATCCTCAATAAAATACTGGCAAACCAAATTTAGCATCACATCAAAAAGATTACCCACCACGATCAAGTCAGCTTCACCTCTGGGATGCAAGGCTGGTTCAACATACGCAAATCAATAAACGTAATCCATTGAATAAACAGAATCAATTACAAAAAAACACATGATTATCTCAATAGATGCAGAAAAGGTCTTCAACAAGATTCAAAAGCCCTTCTTGCTAAAAACTCTCAGTAAACTAGGTATGGATGGAATGTTTCTCAAAATAATAAGAGCTATTAATGACAAACACACTGTCAATATCATGCTGAATGGGCAAAAACTGGAAGCATTCCCTTTGAAAACCAACACAAGACAAGGATGCCCTTTCTCACCTCTCCTATTCAACATAGAATTGGAAGTTCTGGCAAGGGCAATCAGTCAAGAGAAAGAAATAAAGGGTATTAAATTAAGAGGATGTCAAATTGTCTCTGATTGCAGATGACATGATTGTATATTTAGAAATCCCCATCGTCTCAGCCCAAAATCTCCTTAAGCTGATAAGCAAATGAAGCAAAGTCTCAGGATACAAAATCAATGTGCAAAAATCACACGCATTTCTTTACACAAATAACAGACAAACAGAGAGCCAAATCATGAGTGAACTCCCATTTGCAATTGCTACTAGGAGAATAAAATGGAATATAACTTAGAAGGGATGTGAAGTACCTCTTCAAGGAGAACTACAAACCACTGCTCAACAAAATAAGAGAGGACACAAACAAATGGAAAAACATTCCATGCTCGTGGATAGGAAGAATCAGTGTTGTGAATATGGCCATACTCCCCAAAGTAATTCATAGATCCAATGTTATTCCCATCAAGCTACCATTGACTTTCTTCACAGAATTGGAAAAAACATACTTTAAATTTCACATGGAACCAAAAAGGAGGCCACATAGCCAAGACAATCCTAAGCAAAAAGAACAAAGCTAGAGGCATCACGCTACCTGACTTCAACCTATACTAGAAGCCTACAGTAACAAAAACAATATGGTACTGGTAACAAAACAGATATATAGACCAATGAAAAAGAACAGAGGCCTCAGAAATAACACCACACATCTACAACCATCTGATCTTTGATAAACTTGACAAAAACAAGCAATGGGAAAGGATTCCTTATTTAATAAAATGGTGTTGGGAAAACAGGCTAGCCATATGCAGAAAGATGAAACTGGATCCCTCCCTTACACCTTATACAAAAATTAACTAAAAATGTATAAAGACTTAAACGAAAGACCCTAAAACATAAAAACCCTAAAAGAAAACCAAGGCGATACCATTCAGAACATAGGCATGGGCACAGACTTCACGACTCAAACACAAAAAGCAATGGCAACAAAAGCCAAAATTGACAAATGCGATTTAATCAAACAAAAGAGCTTCTGCACAGCAAAAGAAACTACCATCAGAGTGAACAGACAACCTACAGAATGGGAGAAAATTTTTGCAATCTATCCATCTGATGAAGGGCTAATATCCAGAATCTACAAAAACTTAAACAAATTTACAAGAAAAAAAAAGAACCCCATCAAAAAGTGGACAAAGTATTTTACCAGACAGTTCTCAAAAGAAGACATTTATGCAGCCAACAAACATATGAATAAAAGCTCATCATCACTGGTCATTAGAGAAATGCAAATCAAACCACAATGAGATGCCATCTCATGCCAGTTGGAATGGCAATTATTAAAAAGTCAGGAAACAACAGACTCTGGAGAGGGTGTGGAGAAATAGGTACGCTTTTACACTGTCGGTGGGAATGTAAATTAGTTCAACCATTGCGGAAAACGGTGTGGTGATTCCTCAAGGATTTAGAACTAGAAATACCAATTGACCCAGCCATTCCATTACTGGGAATATACCCAATGTATTATAAATCATTCTACTGTAAAGACACACGCACACATATGTTTATTGAGACACTGTTCACAATAGCAAAGACATAGAACCAAACCAAATGTCCATCAGTGATAGACTGTATAAAGAAAATGTGGCACATATACACTATGGAATACTAAGCAGCCATAAAAAAGGATGAGTTCATGTCCTTTGCAGGGACATGAATGAAGATGTAAATCATCATCATCATTCTCAGCAAACACAGAAAAAGAAAACCAAACACCTCATGTTTTATATATATATACATATATATATATATATATGTATATATATATGTATATATATATATATTTATATTTATATATTTATATATATATATATTTATTTATATTTATATATTTATATATATATTATTTTTTATTATACTTTAAGTTTTAGGGTACATGTGCACATTGTGCAGGTTAGTTACATATGTATACATGTGCCATGCTGGTGTGCTGCACCCACTAACTCGTCATCTAGCATTAGGTATATCTCCCAATGCTATTCCTCCACCCTCCCCCCACCCCACCACAGTCCCCAGAGTGTGATATTCCCCTTCCTGTGTCCATGTGATCTCATTGTTCAATTCCCACCTATGAGTGAGAATATGCGGTGTTTGGTTTTTTGTTCTTGCGATAGTTTACTGAGAATGATGATTTCCAATTTCATCCATGTCCCTACAAAGGACATGAACTCATCATTTTTTATGGCTGCATAGTATTCCATGGTGTATATGTGCCATATTTTCTTAATCCAGTCTATCATTGTTGGACATTTGGGTTGGTTCCAAGTCTTTACTCTTGTGAATAATGCCACAATAAACATACGTGTGCATGTGTCTTTATAGCAGCATGATTTATAGTCCTTTGGGTATATACCCAGTAATGGGATGGCTGGGTCAAATGGTATTTCCAGTTCTAGATCCCTGAGGAATCGCCACACTGACTTCCACAATGGTTGAACTAGTTTACAGTCCCACCAACAGTGTAAAAGTGTTCCTATTTCTCCACATCCTCTCCAGCACCTGTTGTTTCCTGACTTTTTAATGATTGCCATTCTAACTGGTGTGAGATGGTATCTCATTGTGGTTTTGATTTGCATTTCTCTGATGGCCAGTGATGGTGAGCATTTTTTCATGTGTTTTTTGGCTGCATAAATGTCTTCTTTTGAGAAGTGTCTGTTCATGTCCTTTGCCCACTTTTTGATGGGGTTGTTTGTTTTTTCTTGTAAATTTGTTTGAGTTCATTGTAGATTCTGGATATCAGCCCTTTGTCAGATGAGTAGGTTGTGAAAATTTTCTCTCATTTTGTAGGTTGCCTGTTCACTCGATGGTACTTTCCTTTGCTGTACAGAAGCTCTTTAGTTTAATTAGATCCCATTTGTCAAATTTGGCTTTTGTTGCCATTGCTTTTGTTGTTTTAGACATGAAGTCCTTGCCCATGCCTATGTCCTGAATGGTAATGCCTGGGTTTTCTTCTAGGGTTTTTATGGTTTTAGGTCTAACGTTTAAGTCTTTAATCCATCTTGAATTAATTTTTGTATAAGGTGTAAGGAAGGGATCCAGTTTCAGCTTTCTACATATGGCTAGCCAGTTTTCCCAGCACCATTTATTAAATAGGGAATCCTTTCCCCATTGCTTGTTTTTCTCAGGTTTGTCAAAGATCAGATAGTTGCAGATATGCTGCGTTATTTCTGAGGGCTCTGTTCTGTTCCATTGATCTATATCTCTGTTTTGATACCAGTACCATGCTGTTTTGGTTACTGTAGCCTTGTAGTATAGTTTGAAGTCAGGTAGTGTGATGCCTCCAGCTTTGTTCTTTTGGCTTAGGATTGACTTGGCAATGCGGGCTCTTTTTTGGTTCCATATGAACTTTAAAGTAGTTTTTTCCAATTCTGTGAAGAAAGTCATTGGTAGCTTGATGGGGATGGCATTGAATCTGTAAATTACCTTGGGCAGTATGGCCATTTTCACGATATTGATTCTTCCTGCCCATGAGCATGGAATGTTCTTCCATTTCTTTGTATCCTCTTTTATTTCCCTGAGCAGTGGTTTGTAGTTCTCTAACTCTTTTTATGAGGCCAGCATCATTCTGATACCAAAGCCAGGCAGAGACACAACAAAAAAAGAGAATTTTAGACCAATATCCTTGATGAACATTGATGCAAAAATCCTCAATAAAATACTGGCAAAACGAATCCAGCAGCACATCAAAAAGCTTATCCACCATAATCAAGTGGGCTTCATCCCTAGGATGCAAGGTTGGTTCAATATACGCAAATCAATAAATGTAATCCAGAATATAAACAGAGCCAAACACAAAAACCACATGATTACCTCAATAGATGCAGAAAAAGCCTTTGACAAAATTCAATAACTCTTCATGCTAAAAACTCTCAATAAATTAGGTATTGATGGGACGTATTTCAAAATAATAAGAGCTATCTATGACAAACCGACAGCCAATATCATACTGAATGGGCAAAAACTGGAAGCATTCCCTTTGAAAACTGGCACAAGACAGGGATGCCGTCTCTCACCACTCCTATTCAACATGGTGTTGGAAGTTCTGGCCAGGGCAATTAGGCAGGAGAAGGAAATAAAGGGTATTCAATTAGGAAAAGAAGAAGTCAAATTGTCCCTGTTTGCAGACGACATGATTGTATATCTAGAAAACCACATTGTCTCAGCCCAAAATCTCCTTAAGCTGATAAGCAACTTCAGCAAAGTCTCAGGATACAAAATCAATGTACAAAAATCACAAACATTCTTATACACCAACAACAGACAAACAGAGAGCCAAATCATGAATGAACTCCCATTCATAATTGCTTCAAAGTGAATAAAATACCTAGGAATCCAACTTACAAGGCATGTTCTTACTCATAAATGGGAGTTGAACAATGAGAACACATGGACACGGGGTGGGGGGCATCACACACCAGGTACTGTTGGGGAGTGGGGGGTGGGGGCTGGATAGCATCAGGAGAAATACCTAATGCAGATGATGGGTTGATGGGTGCAGCAAACCACCATGGCACGTGTATACCTATGTCACAAACCTGCATGTTCTGCACAGGTACCCCAGGACTTAAATAAAAAATAAAAAGCAGGTGTTACCGAGGCTGCAAAAAAAAGGGGGGGTATATTTATATACTGTTGGTGGGAATGCAAATTAGTTCAGTCACTGTGGAAAGCAGTTTGTAGATTTCTCAAAGAATTTAAAACAGAACTACCATTTAACCCAGCAATCCTCTTACTGTGTATATATCCAAAAGAAAATAAATCATTCTACCAAAAAGACATCTGCATTTGTATGTTCATTGCAGCCCTGTTCAAAATAGCAAAGACAGGGAATCAACCTAGGTGCCCATCAACTATCAACTGGATAAAGGAAATGTGTTACATACACACCATGACGTGTTACACAGGCTTAAAAAAAGAATAAATTTATGTTTTTTTTTGCAGCGACATGGATGCAGCTGAAAGCAATTGTTATAAGCAAATTAATGCAGGGATGGAAAAACAGATGCCACATGTTCTCTCTTATAAGTGGAAGCTAACAACCAGGTAAGTACGGTAACAAAGATGGGAATGGTAGACACTAGCGACTCTCAAAGAAGGGAAGGGGAAACAGACAGTGATTGAAAAACAACCTATCAAGTACTGTGTTCACCCCTTGGGAAATAAAATCATTAGAAGTCCAAACCTCAGTATCACACCATATACTCATGTAACTAACCTGTGCATGTATTTCCTGAATCTAAAATTTGAAAAAATAAATAAATAAAATATTTTAAAACTGTATTTGTTTTAAATGTACAGTGTAATTTATATATATATATATACACATTGTGAATTTATAACCACAACCAAGCTAATTAACATATATATTATCTCAGTTACCTTTTTGTGATAAGGACATTTAAGATCTATTCTCAGCAAATTGAAGTATACCAAATAGTATTATCAACTACAGTTGCTATACTGTACATTACATCTACAACTTATTCACTCTTCATATCTAAAACTCTGTACCCTTCTCCAACTTTTCCCCATTTTCCTAACCCTCAGCCCATGGAAGCTACCTTTCTACTGTTTCTGTGTGCTTGACTATTTTAGTTTCCCCATATAAATGAGATCATACAACATGTATCTTTCTGTTTCTGTCTTATATCACTTAACATAATGTCTTCCAGGTTTTTCCACGTTGGTGAAAATGACATGACTTCTGTCTTTTGTAAGTCTGAATAATATTTCTTTATTTTATTTTATTATTACTATACTTTAAGTTTTAGGGTACATGAGCACAATGGACAGGTTTGTTATATATGTATACATGTGCCATGTTGGTGTGCTGCACCCATTAATTCATCACTTAGCATTAGGTATATCTCCTAATGCTATCCATCCCCCCTCCCCACACCCCACAGCAGTCCCCTGTGTGTGATGTTCCCCTTCCTGTGTCCATGTGTTCTCATTGTTCAATTCCCACCTATGGGTGAGAACATGCAGTGTTTGGTTTTTTGTCCTTGTGATAGTTTGCTGAGAATGATGGTTTCCAGCTTCATCCATGTCCCTACAAAGGACATGAACTCATCATGTTTATGGCTGCATAGTATTCCATGGTGCATATGTGCCATATTTTCTTAATCCAGTCTATTATTGTTGGACATTTGGGTTGGTTCCAAGTCTTTCTATTGTGAATAGTGCTGCACTAAACATACATGTGCATGTGTCTTTATAGCAGCATGATTTATAATCCTTTGGGTATATACCCAGTAATGGGATGGCTGGGTCAAATGGTATTTCTAGTTCTAGATCCCTGAGGAATCGCCACACTGACTTCCACAATGGTTCAACTAGTTTAGGGTCCCACCAACAGTGTAAAAGTGTTCCTATTTCTCCACATCCTCTCCAGCACCTGTTGTTTCCTGACTTTTTAATGATCGTCATTCTAACTGGTGTGAGACGGTATCTCATTGTCGTTTTGATTTGCATTTCTCTGATGGCCAGTGATGATGGGGATTTTTTCCTGTGTGTTTCAGCTGCATAAATGTCTTCTTTTGAGAAGTGTCTGTTCATATCCTTCACCCACTTTTTCATGGGGTTTGATTTTTCTTGTAAATTTATTTGAGTTCATTGTAGATTCTGGATATTAGCTCTTTATCAGATGAGTAGGTTGCAAAAATTTTCTCCCATTCTGTAGGTTGCCTGTTCACTCTGATGGTATTTTGTTTTGCTGTGCAGAAGCTCTTTAGTTTAATTAGTTCCCATTTGTCAATTTTGGCTTTTGTTGCCATTGCTTTTTGTGTTTTAGACATGAAGTCCTTGCCCATGCCTATGATCTCAATGGCATTCCCTAGGTTTTCTTCTATGGTTTTAGGTCTAACGTCTAAGTCTTTAATCCATCTTGAATTAATTTTTGTATAAGGTGTAAGGAAGGGATCCAGTTTCAGTTTTCTACATATGGCTAGCCAGTTTTCCCAGCACCATTTATTAAATAGGGAAACCTTTCCCCATTGATTGTTTTTGTCAGGTTTGTCAAAGATCAGATAGTTGTAGATATGCAGCATTATTTCAGAGGGCTCTGTTCTGTTCCATTGGTCTATATCTCTGTTTTGGTACCAGTACCATGCTGTTTTGGTTACTGTAGCCTTGTAGTATAGTTTGAGGTCAGGTAGCATGATGCCTCCAGCTTGTTCTCTTGGCTTAGGATTGACTTGGCAATGTGGGCTCTTTTTTGATTCCATATGAACTTTAAAGTAGTTTTTTCCAATTCTGTGAAGAAAGTCATTGGTAGCTTGATAGGGATGGCATTGAATCTATAAATTACCTTGGGCAGTATAGCCATTTTCACGATGTTGATTCTTCCTACCCATGAGCATGGAATGTTCTTCCATTTGTTTGTATCCTCTTTTATTTCATTGAGCAGTGGTTTTTAGTTCTCCTTGAAGAGGTCCTTCACATATCTTGTAAGTTGGATTCCTAGGTATTTTATTCTCTTTGGAGCAATTGTGAATGGGAGTTCACTCATGATTTGGCTCTCTGATTGTCTGTTATTGGTGTATAAGAATGCTTGTGATTTTTGCACATTGATTTTGTATCCTGAGACTTTGCTGAAGTTGCCTATCAGCTTAAGGAGATTTTGGGCTGAGACGATGGGGTTTTCTAGATATACAATCATGTCATCTGCAAACAGGGACAATTTGACTTCGTCTTTTCCTAATTGAATGCCTTTTATTTCCTTCTCCTGCCTGATTGCCCTGGCCAGAACTTCCAACACTATGTTGAATAGGAGTGGGGAGAGAGGGCATCCTTGTCTTGTGCCAGTTTTCAAAGGGAATGCTTCCAGTTTTGGTCCACTCAGTATGATATTGGCTGTGGGTTTGTCATAGATAGCTCTGATTATTTTTGAGATAAGCCCCACCAATATCTAATTTATTGAGAGTTTTTAGCGTGAAAGGTTGTAAATAAAGATGTTCTTTGAAACCAACGAGAACACATACACAACATACTAGAATCTCTGGGACACATTTAAAGCAGTGTGTAGAGGGAAGTTTACAGCACTAAATGCCCACAAGAGAAAGCAGGAAAGATCTAAAATTGACACCCTAATATCACAATTAAAAGGACTAGAGAAGCAAGATAAAACATTCAAAAGCTAGCAGAAGACAAGAAATAATTAGGATCAGAGCAGAACTGAAGGAAATAGAGACACAAAAATCCCTTCAGAAAATCGATGAATCCAGGAACTGGCTTTTTGAAAAGATCAACAAAATTGATAGACTGCTAGCAAGACTAATAAAGAAGAAAAGAGAGAAGAATCAAATAGATGCAATAAAAATGATAAAGGGGATATCACCACCGATCCCACAGAAATACAAACTACCATCAGAGAATACTATAAACACCTCTACACAAATAAACTAGAAAATCTAGAAGAAATGGATAAATTCCTCGATACATACACCCTCCCAAGACTAAACCAGGAAGAAGTTGAATCTCTGAATAGACCAATAACAGTTTCTTAAATTGAGGCAATAATTAATAGCTTACCAGCCAAAAAAAGTCCAGGACCAGATGGATTCACAGCCGAATTCTACCAGAGGTACAAGGAGGAGATGGTACCATTCCTTCTGAAACTATTCCAATCAATAGAAAAAGAGGGAATCCTCCCTAACTCACTTTATGAGGCCAGCATCATCCTGATATCAAAGCCTGGAAGAGATACAACAAAAAAAAGAGAATTTTACACCAATATCCCTGATGAACATCGATGCAAAAATCCTCAATAAAATACTGGCAAACCGAATCCAGCAGCACATCAAAAAGCTTATGCACCATGATCAAGTGGGCTTCATCCCTGGGATGCAAGGCTGGTTCAATATATGCAAATCAATAAATGTAATCCAGCAGATAAACAGAACCAATGAAAAAAACACATGATTATCTCAATAGATGCAGAAAAGGCCTTTGAAAAAATTCAACACCCCTTCATGCTACAAACTGTCAATAAGTTAGGTATTGATGGGACTTATCTCAAAAAAATAAGAGCTATCTATGACAAACCCATAGCCAATATCATACTGAATGGGCAAAAACTGGAAGCATTCCCTTTGAAAATCAGCACAAGACAGGGATGCCCTCTCTCACCACTCCTTTTCAACATAGTGTTGGAAGTTCTGTCCAGGGCAATTAGGCAGGAGAAGGAAATCAAGGGTATTCAATTAGGAGAAGAGGAAGTCAAATTGTCCCTGTTTGCAGATGACATGATTGTATATCTAGAAAACCCCATCGTCTCAGCCCAAAATCTCCTTAAGCTGATAGGCAACTTCAGCAAAGTCTCAGGACACAAAATGAATGTGCAAAAATCACAAGCATTCTTATACACCAATAACAGAAACAGAGAGAAAAATCATGAGTTAACTCCCATTCACAATTGCTTCAAAGAGAATAAAATACCTAGGAATCCAACTTACAAGGGATGTGAAGGACCTCTTCAATGAGAACTACAAACCGTTGCTCAATGTACTAAAAGAGGATACAAACAAATAGAAGAACATTCCAAGCTCATGGGTAGGAAGAATCAATATCATGAAAATGGCCATACTGCCCAAGGTAATTTATAGATTCAATGCCATCCCCAACAAGCTACCAATGACTTTCTTCACAGAATTGGAAAAAAACTACTTTAAAGTTCATATGGAACCAAAAAAAAGCCGGCATTGCCAAGGTATTTTATATGCTTTTAAATTTCAATTTCATTTATTTCTTCTCTGTTTCTTATTATTTTATTGTTTTTACCTATTTTGGGTTTGGTTTGCCCCACTTTTCTAGTTCTTTAATATTCATTGTTAAGTTTTTTTATTTGAAGTTGTTTCTTTTTTGATGTATTTTCTTATATTTATAAACTCCTTCTTTGTACCAATTTTGTTATTTTTTATAGGTTTTGGTATGTTGTGTTTTTACTATCATTTCTTTCAAGGAATTTTTTGATTGATTTCTAAATTTCTTTATTTATCTGCTGGTCATTCAGGATCGTATTGTTTAATTTTCGTGAATTTGTAGCGTTTCCACAATTCCGCTTTTTATTATTTTCTACTTTTTTTCCATTGTGGTCAGAGAAGATGCTTGATATAACTTCAATTTTTTAAATGTTTTATGAAGTATTTTGTGACCTAACATATGGTCTATCCTTCAGAATACTCTATGTGCTGAAGAAAAAAAATGTGTATTCTTCAGCTGTTAGATAAAATGCTTTAAATATTTATGAGATCATATTAATCTATAGTGCAGATTAATTCTGACTTTTTTTGGTTGATTTTCTGCCTGGAATATCTGATCAAAGTTAAAAGTGGAGTGTTAAAATCTCCAGGTGTTATTGTATTGGGGTCTATCTCTCTTTTTAGGTGTAATAATATTTTCTTCATATGTGTGGGTGCTCCAGTGTTGGATGCATATGTATTTAAAATTGTTATGTCCTGTTGCCGTATACACCCCTTCATCATTACATAGTGGCCTTCATTGTCTCTTCTTGTAATTTGTGTCTTAAAATCTATTTTTTCTGATATAATTATTGTGACTTTTGTTATATTTTGGTTTCCATTGGCATGGAATATCATTTTTATTCCTTTATTTTCATTCTCTTTATGTCTTTACAGATGAAGTGTGTTTCTTGGTGGCTACAGATTAATGGGTCTTTTTTTTTATTCATTGAGCCAGTCTGTGTCTTTTAATTGAAGGGTTTAGTCCACTGACATTCAATGTTATTATTGATAAGTAAAGGCTTACTCCTGTCACCTTATTGTTGTATGGTTGCTTTGTGGCCTACTCTTCTTTCTTTTCTTTCAGTTTTCCTCTAGTAAAGGTCATTTTTTTCCTAGTGATATCGTTTAGTTTCTTGCTTTTTATTGTGTGTCCCTTGTATGTTTTTTGGTTTGAGGCTACCATGAAACTTGCAAATATTCTCTTATAACTGTGTTTTAACCTTATAACAACTTAAAACTATTTTCATAAACAAACAAGCAAAAAGATATCTAATAAAATAAACAGCCTTAATTTTGTTCCCCCACTTTTTAACATTTTGTTGTTTCTATTTGCCGAGACCAGCTAGGTTGGGGAGAACCTAACCCAGTGGCACTAGAGAAATTAAAGACACACACACACAAATATAGAGGTGTGCAGTGGGAAATCAGGAGTCTCACAGCCTTCAGAGCTGAGAGCCTCAAAGGGAGATTTATCCAAGTATTTATTAACAGCAAGCCAGTGATAAGCATAGTTTCTATAGATTATAGCTTAACTGAAAATATTCCTTATGGGAAACAAAGGGATGGGCGGAAATAAAGGGTTGGGTTTGGTTAGTTATCTGCAGCAGGAGCATGTCCTTAAGGCACAGATCACTCATGCTATTGTTTGTGGTTTAAGAACGCCCTTAAGCGGTTTTCTGCCCTGGGTGGGCCAGGTGTTCCTTGCCCTCATTCTGGTAAACCCGCAACCTTGCAGCGTGGGCGTCATGGCCATCATGAACATGTCACAGTGCTGCAGAGATTTTGTTTGTGGCCAGTTTGGGGGCCAGTTTAGGGCCAGATTTTTGGGGGCCTGTTCCCAACACTAGTTATATCTTATTGTACTGACTATGACTTCAAAAGTTGTTGTAATTATTATTTTTGATTTTTTCATCAGTCTTTTTAGTTAGGGTAAGAGTAGTTTACACACTACAGTAACAGTGTTACAATATTCTGTGTTTTTCTGTTTACGTACTATTACCAGTAAGGTTTCATCTTTTGGGTGATTATTTTTTGCTCATTAACGTCCTTTTCTTTTTTTATTGAAGTACCCCCTTTAGCATTTTTTGTAGGATGGATCTGGTATTGATAAAATCCTCAGCTTTTGTTTGTCTGTGAAGGTCTTTATTTCTCCTTCATGTTTGAGGAATATTTTCTCCAGATATATTATTCTAGAGTAGTTTTTTTTCTTCAGCTCTTTATTTATTTAATGAGATGGAGTCTTGCTCTGTCACCCAGGCTGGGGTGCAGTGGTGTGGTCTCAGCTCACTGCAACCTCTGCTTCCTGGGTTTAAGTGATTCTCATGTCTCAGCCTCCCTAGTAGCTGGGATTACAGGTGCCTGCCACCATGTCTAGCTAATTTTTTTTTTTTTTTCAGTGGAGACGGGGTTTTGCCATGTTTACCAGGCTGGTCTTGAACTCCTGACCTCAGGTGGTCTACCTTCCTCAGCCTCCCAAAATGCTGGAATTACAGGCCTGAGTCACCACACCCAGCGTCCTTCAGCACTTTAAATATGTCATTCTACTCTCCTAGTCTGTAAGGTTTCCACTGAAAAGGCTGTTGCCAACCTTATTGGAGCTCCATTGTATGTTACTTGTTTCTTTTCTCTTGTTGCTTTTAGGATCCTTTCTTTATACTTGATATTTGGGAGTTTGATTATTAAATGACTTGAGGTAGTCTTGTTTGGGTTATATCTGCTTGGTGTTCTAAAACCTCCTTGGACTTAGACATTAATATCTTTCTCCAGGTTTAGGTATTTCTCTTTTACTATATATTTGAATTAACTTTCTATCCCTATGTCTTTCTCTACCTACTTTTTAAGGTGAATAAGCTTTAAATTTGCCTTTTTGAGGTGATTTTCTATATCTTGTTTGTGCTTTATTGTTTTTCTATTCTTTTTTCTTTTATCTCTGACTGTGTATTTTCAAATAACCTGTTTTTTTAGCTCACTAATTCTTTCTTCTGCCTGATTCAATCTGCTATTAAATAACTCTGATGTATTCTTCTGTATGTTAATTGCACCGTTCACCTCCAGAAATTCTGCTTGACTCTTTTTGATTATTTCAATCTTTTTCAATGTATCAGATATAATTCTGAATTCCTTCTCTCTGTTACCTTGAATTTCTTTGGGTTTCCTCAAAACAGCTATTTTGAATTCTCTTTCTGAATGGTCGCATATCTCTGTTTCCCCAGGATTGGATTTTTTTGTTCCTTATTTAGTTTACTTGGTGAGGTCATGTTTTCCAGGATGGTATTGATGTTTCTAGATGTTTTTCAGTGCCTGAGTATTGAAGATTTAGGTACTTTTTGTAGGCTTTATTGTCTGGGCTTATTTGTGGCTGTCTTCTTGGGAAGGCTTTTCTGATATTTAAAATGATTTCTGTTTTGTGATCTAAACTGTGTCTGCTTTAGGGGGCACCCCAAGACCAGTAACACTGGTTTCTCGCAGACCCATAGAGATACTCTTTTGATGGCCTTGGACAAAATCTGTGAGAATTCTCTGGATTATTAGGAAGAGACTCTTGTTCTCTTACTTTTTCCTAAACAAATGAAGTCTTTTTTTCTGTGATGAACCACCTAAAGGTGGGGGTAGGGTGACACAAGCATTCCTTTGGTGACCACCACTATGAATGTGCTGGGTCAGACATGAAGCCAGTATGGTGCTGGGTCTTTACCTAGGCCTGCTCTAACCACTCCCTGGCTACTGCCTATGTTCACTTAAGTTGCTAGGGCTCTACAATCAGCAAAAGGCAATGCCAGTCAGTATTATGTTTTTCCTTTCAGGGTGACAAGGTCCACCAGGCCCTGGGTGGTTCCAGAAGTGCAATCAGGGAGTCAGTGACTAGAGTCAAAAACCTTAGAATTCTATCTGGTATCCTATTGTACTGTGGCTAAGCTGGCACTCAAACTACAAAAGGCAGTTCTTCCCACTCTTTCCTCTACTTTGCAAAATCAGAAGAGCCTCACCAAGTAGCCACCACCCCAGTCAATGAGGACTACTTCCAGACTACCACTGATGTTCCCTTAATGCCCAAGATTTCTTAAGTCAACTTGAGTGACTGCTGCCTTATCTGGGACTCATACTTCAGGGCAGTGAGCAGCCCTCTAGCCCAGGGTAGGTCCAGAAATGCCATCCAAAAGTCAAGTTCTGGAATGGGGGAATGTAAGTTTCCACTTGGTGTTCTACCCCACTGTGACAGTGTTGGTACCTGAGGCCAGCAAGCCACAGAGGCTCACCAAGGCCAATGTTTTAGTACCTGGTTATTGCTGATGGTTATTCAGGGTCCAAAGTCTCTTCAGTTAGCAGATGATGAATGCTTCTATGATAGGGGCATTCCCTTCAAGGCAGCAGGTTTATTTATTGCCCACAGTGTGACTAGCAATGTCATCTGGGAGCTAGGGTCTGGTATGGGGTCCTCATTACTCTCAGCAGTGCCCTGTGGCTGAGCTGGTATCCTAGATGCAAGAAAAAGTTCTCCCCACTCTTCACTCTTCTCTCCTGAAACATAAGGAGGGGGTCAATTTTGGAGTGGAAAAAGGGGTCTCTTTTGGAGCCCTGAGCTGTAAAGCGGGAGTTAGAGGAGGGGTAATGCCAGTACTCCCTTGTCTGCCCCAGCTGGTGTCTCAGTATGTCATGTGTTGTCCGCATTCCACTGTGTCTGGGCCAATTTTAGTCCTAGGACTTGCCTAATACATGCAGTAGTCCTTATAGCCTAGAGTACCTTTCAAGTTTACTTAGTGACCAAGAGCACTTTGGCCCTCAGTGGTCAGTATGGCAGGCACTTGTGTTCAGATAGGTTGGATTGGTGATTCTCCTTTTGCTGGGGCTGATTTAAATGCTCTCTCTGTGGGCAGGCATCAGCTGAGTTTGGTCTGGCTTTTCTTTCTGCTCTAACAGAGCACCACGGAGTTCAGTGCCTCACAATTTCCAGGTTCTTCTTCCCCCACTGCCCAGAGATGCTTCCCCAACAGGTTACCACTTCTAGGTGTGGGGAAGGTGTGGCATCCACAATTGAGCACTGTTTTCTTTTTTTCTATCCCTTCAGTGCCTCTTTCAGCAATATAATGTTAAAACCAGGTATTATGAGTGCTCACCTGATTGTTTTGTTTTTATGAAGGATCTTTTCTTTTTTTTCTTTTTTTTTCTTTTTTTTTTTTTCCTGCGTAGATAGTTGTTAACTTTGTGTCTTTGCGAGGGAACAATTGGTGGAGTTTTTTATTTCTCCATCCTGCTCTTCATCCTGTAGATGTCTATTGGTTGCATTTGGTCAAATATCACTTTCAAGTCCCAAATATATCTGTTTGTTTCCTGCCTCAATGATCTAATACTGTCAGTGGGGTGTTAAAGTCTCCCTCTATTATTTTTGGACATTTAAGTTTATTCCTAGGTATCTGAGAACTTCCATTCTGAATCTGAGTGCTCCTATGTTGTATGCATGCATATTTAAGAAAGTTAGGTCTTCTTGTCGAATTAACCCTTATATCATTATGTAATGCTCTTCTCTTTCTTGTTTTTGTTGGTTTATCACCTGCTTTGTCTGAAATTATAACAACCTATGTCTTTTTCTGTTTTCACTTGTTTGGTATTGATCTCCATTTATTTACTTTAAGCCTATGTGTGACATTGCATGTGAGATGAGTCTTATGAAGAAAGCATAACTTTGGGTCTTGCTTCTCTATACAATTTACCACTCTAAGCATTTTAATTAGGGCATGTAGCCCATTTACATTCAAGGTTAGTATTGATATGTGCAGATTTGATCCTGTCATTGTATTTTTAGCCAGTTTCTATGCAGATTTGATTGTGTGGTTGCTTCACGGTATCAATGTTTTACGTACATAATTGTGTTTTTGTAGCGTCAGGTAATGATCTTTTCATAAATAGAACTCCTTTAAGGGCCTCTTATAGGGCAGTTTTCCTGGTAACAAATTCCCTGAGCACTTCCTGGTCTGAAAAGACTCTGATCTCTTCTTTACTTATGAAGCTTAGTTTGGCTGGATATAAAATTCTTGGTTGTATTTTTTTGTTGTTGTTGTTATTAATGCTGAATATATACCCCCAACCTTTTCTGGCTTGTAAGATTTCTGCTGAAAATTCCACTGTTAGCCTGATGGGTTTTCTTTTGTAGGTAACCTGACCCTTCTCTCTAGCTGCCTTTAACATTTTTTTCTTTCATTTCCACTTTGGGGAATCTGATGACTATTTGTCTTGGGGATGTTCTTCTTGTGGAGTATTTCACTGGGGCAATCTGTATTTTTCTAAATTTAAATGTTGGCCTTTTTAGTGAGGATAGAAAACTTTCCATGGATGATATTCTCAAATATGTTTTCCAAGTTGTTTGATTTCTCTCCCTGTTTTTCTGGAATGCCAATTTTCATAGAGTTGGTCTCTTTACATAATTCCATATTTCTCAGAAGTTTTGTTCATTCTTGTTTGTTGTTTTTCTTTACTTTTGCCTAAGTTATTTCAGAAAAACTGTCTTGGAAATCTCAGATTCTTTCTTCAGATTTGTTGATTCTGCTGTTAGGACTTGGGTTGTGTTCTAAAATTCCTGAAGTGAGTTTTTCAATTCTATCAGTTCCATTTTATTCTTCTTCTTTTTTTAATTTTATTGTTTTAATGGGCACATAAGAATTGTAAATATTTATGTGGTACATTGTGACTTCATTTATTTTATTTTATTTTATTTTACTTTAAGTTCTGGGATTCATGTGCAGAATATGTAGGTTTGTTACATAGGTATACATATACCATGGTGGTTTGCCACACCTATCAACCTGTCATCTAGGTTTTAAGCCCGGCATGCATTAGATATTTGTCCTAATGCTCTCCCTCCCCTTGCCCCCCACCTCCCAGACAGGTCTCAGTGTGTGATGTTCCCCTCCCTGTGTCCATGTGTTCTCATTGTTCAGCTCCTACTTATGAGTGAGAATATGTGGTGTTTGGTTTTCTGTTCCTGTGTTAGTTTGCTGAGAATGATGGCTTTTAGCTTCATCCATGTCCCTGCAAAAGACATGAACTCATTTTTTATGGCTGCATAGTATTCCATGGTGTATATATACCACATTTTCTTTATCCAGTCTATCATTGATGGGCATTTGGGTTGGTTCCAAGTCTTTCCTATTGTAAATAGTGTTGCAATGAAAATACCTGTGCATGTGTCTTTATAATAGAATGATTTATAATCATTTGGATATATAAGCAGTAATGGCATTGCTGGGTCAAATGGTATTTCTAGTTCTAGATCCTTGAGGAATTGCCCCACTGGCTTCCACAATGGTTGAACTAATTTGCCTTTCCACCAACAGTGTAAAAGCATTCCTAAATCTCCACATCCTTGCCAGCATCTGTCGTTTCCTGACTTTTTAATGATTACCATTCTAACTGGCATGGGATGGTATCTCATTGTGGTTTTTATTTGCATTTCTCTAATGACCAGTGATGATGAGCTTTTTTTCATGACAGATTGCAAAATTTCTCTCCCATTCTGTAGGTTTTCTGTTCACTCTGATGCTAGTTTCTTTTGCTGTGCAGAAGGTCTTTAGTTTAATTATATTTCATTTGTTAATTTTGGCTTTAGTTGCCATTGCTTTTGGTGTTTTAGTCATGAAGGCTTTGCCTATGCCTCTGTCTTGAATGGTATTGCTCAGGTTTTCTTCTAGCATTTTCATGGTTTTGGGTTTTATATTTAAGTCTTTAATCCATCTTGAGTTAATTTTTGTATAAGGTGTAAGGAAGGGGTCTAGTTTGTGTTTTCTACATATGGCTAGCTTGTTTTCCCAACACCATTTATTAAATAGGGAATCCTTTCTCCATTGCTTGCTTTCAGCCTGCCCTACAAGAACTCCTGAAGGAAGCACTAAATATGAAAAGGAAAAACTGGTACCAGCTACTTTAAAAACACACCAAAACTTAAACCCCAATGACACTATGAAGAAGCTGTCTCAACTAATGTGCAAAATAACCAGCTAACATCACAATGACAGGATCAAATACACACACCACAATATTAATCTTAAATGTAAATGGGTTAAATGTCCCAATTAAAAGACACAGCCTGGCAAATTGAATACAGTCAGGACCAATTGGCGTGTTGTATTCAGGAGACCCATCTCACGTGCAAAGACCAACATAGGCTCAAATTAAAGGAATGGAAGAATATCTACCAAACAAATAGAAAAAAAAAAAGGAAAAAAAAAGGCAGAGGTTGCAATCCTAGTCTCCGATAAAACAGACTTTAAACCAACAAAGATCAAAAAAGACAGAAAAGGGCATTACATAATGGTAAAGGGATCAATGCAGCAAAAAGAGCTAACAATCCTAAAAATATATGCACCCAATACACAAGCACCCAGGTTCATAAAGCAAATTCTTAGAGACCTACAAAGAGACTTAAACTCCCACACAATACTCATGGGATACTTTAACACCCCAATGTCAGTATAAGACAGATCAATAAGACAGAAAATTAACAAGGGTCTTCAGGTCTTGAACTCAGCTCTGGACCAAGTGGACCTAATAGACATCTACAGAACTCTCCACCCCAAATCAATAGAATATACATTCTTCTTACCACCACATTGCATTTATTCTAAAATCGACCCCACAGTTGGAAGCAAAACACTCCTCAGCAAATGCAAAAGAACAGAAATCATAACAAGCAGTCTCTCAGACGACACTGCAATCAAATTAGAACTCAGGATTAAGAAACTCACTCAAAACTGCACAAATACATGGAAATTGAACCTGGTTCTGAATGACTACTGGGTAAATAAGAAAATTAAGGCAGAAATAAAAAAGTTCTTTAAAACCAATGAGAACAAAGAGACAATGTGTCAGAATTTTTTGGACATTGCTACAACATTGTTAAGAGGGAAATTTATAGCACTACAAGGTCTGCAACAGAAAGCTGGGAAGATCTACAATTGACATCTTAACATCACAATTAAAAGCACTAGAGAAGCAAGAGGAAACAAATTCAAATGCTAGCAGAAGACAATAAATAACTAACATCAGAGAAGAACTGAGGGAGATACAGACACGAAAAACCCTTCAAAAGATCAATGAATCCAGGAGATGAATTTTTCAAAAGACTAACAAAATAGATGGACCACTAGGTAGACTAACAAGAAAAGAGAGAAGAATAAAATAGACTCAATAAAAAACGATAAAGGGAATATCACCACTAATCCCACAGAAATACAAACTACCATCAGAGAATACTATAAACACCTCTATGCAAATAAACTAGAAAATCTAGAAGAAACGGATAAATTCCTGGAGGCATACACTCTCTCAAGACTAAACCAGGAAGAAGCCGAATCCCTGAATAGACCAATAACAAGTTCTGAAATTGAGGCAGTAATTAATAGCCTACCAACCAAAAAAAAACCCTGGACCAGACAGATACACAGCTGAATTCTACCAGAGGTACAAATAGGAGCTGGTGCCATTGATATTTTCATATGGATTGCATTGAATCTGTAGATGACTTTGAGTAGTATGAACACTTTAACATTGTTTATTCTTCCAATCCATGAACATGAAATTTTTTTTATATCTTGTGTGTTCAGTTTCTTTCATCAGTATTTCATCAGTGTTTCATAGTTCTCATTTTAGAGAACTCACTTCAGTTAATTTGTAGGCATTTAGTTTCATTTGTGGCTATTTTAAACGAGATTACTGCTTTTTATTTTTTGTGTATGTGCTCATTGTTCACATATAGAAATGCTACTGATTTTTTGCATGCTGATTTTGCATCGTGCAACTTTACTGAATTTGTTTATCAGTTCTAATAGTGTTTTGGTGAAGTCTTTAAGTTTGTCCAAATATAAGACCACATCATATGCAAGCAAGGATTATTTGAGTTCTTTCTTTCTAATTTGGATGTCCTTTATTTCTTTCTCTTGTCCAATTGATCTAGCTAAGACTTCCAATAATATATTGAATAATAGAGGTGAAACTTTGCATCCTTGATGTGTTCCAGCTCTTATAGGAAAGGCTTTCATTTTTTTTTCTATTTAGTATAATACCAGCATTGGGTCTGTCATATATAGCTTTTATGTGTTGAGGTATATTCTTTTTAAACCCAGTTTTTTTAGGGTTTTTATCATGAAGACATGCCAAATTTTATCAAATGTTTTTCAGCATTAATTGGAATGGTCATATGGTTTTGTCCTTAAATGTGTTGATATGATTTATCACATTGATTGATTTACATATGTTGAGCCATCCTTGAGTCCCAGAGATAAATCACATTTGGTCATGATGAATGATCTTTCTAATGTATTGTAGACACTTGTTTGCTAGTATTTCGTTGAGAATTTTTGCATCAATATTCATCAGAAATATTGGCATACAGCTTTCCTTTTAGATGTGTCTTTATTTTTGGTTTTGATATCATAGTAATACTAGGCTTGCTGAATAAGTTTGGAAATATACCTTTCTCATCTATTTTTCAGAATAGTTTTATTCCTCTTTAAATATTTGTGGAAGTCAGCAGTGAAGCCATTGGGTCCTGGGCTTTTCTTTACTGGGAGACTTTATTATGGCTTCAATCTTGTTATTATTATTGGTCTGTTTGGGTTTTGGATTTCTTCATGTTTCAGTCCTGGTACTTTCTATGTGTTTAGGAATTTATTCATTTTTTCTAGATTTTCCAATTTATTGGCATATAATTTCTCGTAGCAGTCACTTATCATCCTTTAAATGTTTGTGGTATCAGTTGCAATGTCTCTGTTTTCACCTCTGGTTTTATTTACTTGAGTCTACTCCTTTTTAAGTAGTTAATCTGACTAGAGGTTTGTCTATTTTTAAAAGTCTCTTTAAAAAACCAACATTTCATTTTATTGATCTTTCTATTGTTTTCTTTATTGAATTTTATTTATTTATGCTTGATATTTTAAATTTCTTTTCTTCTATTAATTTTAGGTTTGGTTTTCTATTGATTTTCTAGTTCTTTAAAGCATGTTAATAGGTTGTTTATTTGAATTTTTTTGATATAGGTTTTTATAGCTATAAATTTCTCTCTTAGTACTGCTTTCACTGTATCCCACAGGTTTTGGTATGTTGTGTTTTTATTATCATTTATTTAAAGAATTTTAAAAATTTCTTTCTTAATGTATTCATTGATCCACTGTACATTCAGGAGCATACTGTTCAATTTCCTTGTGTTTGTATAGCTTCCAAACTGTCTCCTGTTATTGATTTGTAGTTTTATTCCATTGTGGTCAGAGGAAGTGCTTCATATTTTTAAAAATTTTTTTCAATGTTTTAAGACTTGTTTTTTCATATGGTCTTCCACTGAGATTGATCCATGTACTGAGGTGTAGAATGTATATTCTGCAGTGTTGGATAAAATGCTCTGTAAATATCTAGTAAGTGCATTTGTTCTGAAGTGCAGATTAAGTCCAATGTTTATTTATATATTTTCTGTCTGGAAGACCTGTCCACTGCTGAAAGTGGCATGCTTAAGTCTCTAGTTATTGTATTGTGATTATTTTTCTCTATATGTCTAATAATATTTCCTTCAAACATCTGAGTGTTCAAGCATTGGATAATATATATTTACAATTGTTATAACCTTTTGCTGAATTGACACTTTTATCACTATGTAATGACTTGTTTGTCTCTTATTACAGTATTTGTTTTGAAATGTATTTTCTCTGGTATAGTATAGCTATTTCTGCTCTTTTTTGGTTTTCAATGGCATAGAATATATTTTTTCATCTTTTTATTTTCAATTTATGTGTATCTTTATAGGCGAATTGTGTTTACTGTTTGCTAGAAATTATTGGGTCTTTTTTTTAAAAATCCATTCAGACATTTTATCTCGATTGATTACTTTAGTCCTTTTACGTTAAATGTTATTAATAACTAAGAACTTTCCCCTGCCAATTTGTTTTTTGTTTTCTGGCTGTTTTGTACTTTTTTTCTTCCTTCCTGTCTTCCTTTTATTAAAGGTGAGTTCCTTTCATGATGTGATTTAATCATCTCTTGTTTTTATTTTTTGTGTATATATTGTATATTTTGATTTGAGGTTGCCATGAGGCTTGCAAACACTATCTTATAACCCGTTGTTCTGAACAGATGACAACTTAACACTGATTGCATAAACAAAAAAGCAGAAAGAAACCTAATAAATACTCTATTTTAACCCCATTTCCAAGCTTTTTAACTTTTTGCTATTTCTCTTTATGTTTTATTATACCATGTATATGTATTGAAAAACTGTTGTTATACACTACAATTACAGTGTTATAACATTCTGTGTTTTTCTCTGTGCTCTTACAAGTGAGATTTGTACTGTCTGATGATTTCTTCTTGTTCATTAACATTCTTTACTTTCAGATTCAAGAACTCCTTTTAGCATTCCTTAATAGGATAGGTCTGGTGTTGATAAAATCCCATAGCTTTTGTTTGCCTGGCAAAGTCTTTATTTCTCCTTCATGCTTGAAGGATATTTTCACCATATACTTAAACTTCTTATGCTTGCATGTTGATGTATTTCTGTAGGTTTGAGAAATTCTCTGATATTATTACTTTGAATTAACTTTCTACCCCTATCTTTTTCTCTACTTCCTCTTTAAGACCAATAACTCTTAGATATGCCCTTTTGAGACTATTTTCTAGATCTTGTAGTCTTGCTTTTTTTAAAAAAAATGCCATTTTCTTTTGTCTCCACTGAGTATTTTCAAACAGCCTGTGTTTAAGCTAACAAATTCTTTGTTCTGCTTGATCAGTTCTGCTATAAACGGACTCTGGGAAAGGGTGCCAAGATGGCCGATTAGCAGCAACTGTGGTTCATGGCACTCATGGTGAGGAATGAAAGGGAAGAGTGAATACAGCACCTTCAACTGAAATATCCAGGTTCTCAGATGGGGAATGATTAGGGAAACAATTTGACACACGGAGAAGGAATAAAAACAGAGTGGGATGATGGCCCACCTGGGAGTAACATGGAGCCAAGGGAACCCACACCTCCAGCCAAGGGAAGTGGTATGGGAGAAACTGAGGCAACTAGGCTCTGGAGTAGATCTCCAGCAAACCGAAGCAGCCCTACAGAAGAGTGGCCAGACTGTTAAAAAGAAAAACAAGCAAACAGAAAACAACAACAACAAACACAAAACCCCATCAAAAATCAGCAACCTTGAAGATCAAAGGTATATAAGCCCATAAATACGAGAAAGAACCAATGCAAAAACACTGAAAACTCAAAAAGCCAGAGTGCCTCTTTTCCTCCAGATCACAACAATACCTCTCTGTCAAGGGCTCAGAACAAAGCTGAGGCTGAGATGGCTGAAATGACAGAAGTAGGTTTCAGAAGGTCGGTAATACTGAACTTTCTTGAGCTAAAGGAACATGTAGTAACCCAATGCAAAGAAGTTAAGAATTATGATAAAACAATACAGGAGCTGAAAGCCAAAATAACCAGTTTAAAAAGGACCATAACTGACCTGTTAGAGCTGAAAAACACACTACAAGAACTTCACAATGCAATCACAAGTATTAATGACAGAATAGACCAAGTAGAGGAAAGAATTTCTGAGATTGAAGCCTATCTATCTTTCTGCAATAAGACAAGTGGACAAGAGTAGACAAAAAAGAATGAAAAATAATAAAGAAAAAGTCCAAGAAATATGAGATTATGTAAAGAGACTGAATGTAAGACTGATTAGGGTACCTGAAATAGATAGGGAGAATGGAATCAAGTTGGAAAACATACTTCAAGATATCATGCAAGAGAACTTCCCCCATGTATCAAGACAGGACAGTGTTCACGTTCAGAAAATGCAGAGAACCTCAGGAAGATACTCCATGAGAAGATAATTCCCAAAACTCATATTCTTCAGATTCACAAAGGTCTAAATGAAATAAAAAATATTAAGGGCAGCCAAAGAGAAAGGCCAGGTCACCTACAAAGTGAAGCCCATCAGACTAACAGTGGGCATCTCAGTGAGAACTCTTCAAGCTAGAAGAGATCGAAAGCTTAATATTTAATATTCTTAAAGAAAAGAATTTTCAGCCCAGAATTTCATATCCAGGCAAACTAATCTTCATAAGTGAAAGAGAAATATGGTCCTGTTCAGAGAAGCAAATGCTGAGGGAATTCGTTACCATCAGACTTGCCTTACAAAAGCTCCTGAAGGAAGCAGTAAATATGGAAAGAAATACCTATTACCAGCCACTTCAAAAACACACTGAAGTACACAGATCAGTGACACTATGAAGAAACACATAAACAAGTTTGAAAAATAACCTGCTAACATCATGATGACAGGATCACATCTACACATAACAATACTAATCTTAAATATAAATTAACTAAATGTCCTAATTGAAAGACACAAAGTGGGAAGAAGGACATTACAAAATGGGAAAGGGTTCAATTAAATAATAAGAATTAACTATCCTAAGTGCAAATGCACCCAATGCAGGAGCACCCAGATTTGTAAAGCAAGTTCTTAGAGACCTTCAAAGAGACTTAGACACCCACACAATAAAAGTGAGACTTTAATACCCCACTGACAATATTAGACAGATTATCTATTCACAATAGCAAAGACTTAGAACCAACCCAAATGTCCAACAATGACAGACTGAATTAAGAAAATGTGGCACATATACACCATAGAATACTATGCAGCCATAAAAAATGATGAATTCATGTACTTTGTAGGGACATGGATGAAACTGGAAATCATCATTCTCAGTAAACTATCACAAGAACAGAAAACCAAACACCGCATATTCTCACTCATAGGTGGGAATTGAACAATGAGAACACGTGGACACAGGAAGGGGAACATCACACTCTGGGGACTGTTGTGGGGTGGGGGGAGGGGGGTGGGATAGCATTGGGAGATATACCTAATGCTAGATGACGAGTTAGTGAGTGCAGCGCAACAGCATGGCACATGTATACATATGTAACTAACCTGCACATTGTGCACATGTACCCTAAAACTTAAGTATAATAATAATAAATAAATAAATAAAAATAAAATCAACAAAGACATACAAGGCTTCAACTCAGCTTGGGATCAAGTGGACCTAATCAATATATACAAAACTCTCTACCGCAAAGCAGAATATATGTTCTTCTCATCACCACACAACACTTACTCTAAAATTGATCCCATAATTGGAAGCAAAAGTCTCCTCAGCAAATGCAACAGAACTAAAATTATAACAAACAGTCCCTCAGACCAAGCACAAATTAGAAATCAAGATTTTAAAATGTACTAAAAACCACACAACTACATGGAAACTGGACAGCCTACTCCTGAATGACTCCTGGGCAAATAATAAGGCAGAAATCAAGAAGTTCTTTGAAAGTAGTGAGAACAGAGAGACAATGTACCAGAATCTCTGGGATGCAGTTAAAGCAGTGTTAAGAGGGAAATTTGTAGGACTAAATGCCTATAACAAAAAACTACAAAGATCTCAAGTTAACAGGCTAACATTACAACTAAAAGAACTAGAGAAACAAGAGCAAACAAACCCCAAAGCTAACAAAAAACAATACTTAACCAAGATCAGAGCTGAACTGAAAAAGATAGAAACACAAAAAACACTTCAGAAAATTAATGAATCCAGGAGCTGTTTTTCTGAAAAAAATTAATAAAATAGATTGGCCACTAGCTAGACTAATAAAGAAGAAAAGCAGGGTGAAACCATTGCTCCACCTTGCTTTTCTTTCTTATGCGTATGTCAAGTTGTTTCCCTACTCATTTCCAATGCAAGATTCATATATTTCAGTTGAAGGTGCTGTATTCACTTTCCCCTTTCATTGCTGTCCATGAGAAGATTCAAATAAACACAATCAGGAATGATAAAGGTGATATCACCACTGACCCCATAGAAATACAAACAACCATCAGAGAATACTATAAACACTTCTATTTACATAAACTGGAAAATCTAGAAGAAGTGAATAGTTCCTGGACACATACACCCTCTGAAGACTGAACAAGAATGAAACTGAATCTCTGAATACACCAGTAACAAGTTCTGAAATTGAGGCAGTAACAAATAGCCTACCAGCAAAAAAAAAAAAAAAAAAAAAAAAAGGCAGCCTAGGACCAGATGGATTCACAGTTGAATTCTACTAGAGGTACAAAGAGGAGCTGGTACCATTTCTACTGAAACTATTTCAAAACATTGAAAAGGAGGGATTCCTCCCTAACTCATTCATTGAGGCCAACATCACCCGATACCAAAACCTGGCAGAGATATGACAAACACAAAAACTTCAGGGCAATATGATTGATGAACATCGATGCAATAATCCTCAACAAAATACTAGCAAACTGGATCCAGCAGCACATCAGAAAGCTTATCTACTATGATCGAGTAGGCTTCATCCCTGGGATGCAAGGTGTGTTAAATATATGCAAATCAATAAACGTGATTCATCACATAAACAGAGGTAAAGACAAAAACCACATGATTATTTCAAAAGATGCAGAAAAGGCCTTTATTTATTTATTTATTTCCCATTTCCATAGGATACTGGGTCACAGGCAGTGTTTACTTACATAAGTAAGTTCTTTAGTTTTGACTTGTGTTTTTGGTGCACCCATCACCCGAGCAGTATACACTGCACTTTTTGTAGTCTTTTATCCCTCACCCCATTCCCACCCTTTCCACCAGAGTCCCTAAAGTCCATTTTGACATTCTTATGTCTTTGCATTATCATAGCTTATCTCCCACATACCAGTGAGAATGTATGATGTTTGGTTTTCCATTCCAGAGTTACTTCACTAAGAATAATAGTCTCCAATCTCATCGAGGTCACTGTGAATGCCAGTAATTTATTCCTTTTCATGGCTGAGTAGTATTCCATAGCATAAATATATACCACAGTTTCTTTATCCAATCATTGATTGATACACATATGGGTTGGTTCCATGGTTTTGCAATTCCAAATCGGGCTGCTATAAACGTGTGTGTGCAAGTATCCTTTCTTTTTTTTTAACGGAAATACCATGTGCTTAATTTAATTTATCATTGAATATAAGGCACTACTCTAAGAAGTGAAAAGAAACTCATAGCTCCTCATGTCATTATGAAATAAGTATTATTGGCCTCATCCTCATTTTACAGAGCAGAAAACGGGAAAAGGAGATAAACTGATTTTTTGTAAGGCCAAAAGAGAATTATATGAGCTTGAGGTTGAAGCCAGGTAGTCTACCTGAGTACATTTCCTTAGCCCATGCTATAATCCCTCTGCTATAGTGTGCTGCTTAACTGGCTCACTCATCTATAAAAAATTTTCAAATCAATCTTGGACTAAAATTCAGTTTTAGATAACAAATCAAGTAAAACTCATCAAACATTATTTTACCCTGTAATATAAAGTTGAAGCACTTATTCTTCAATTTCTCTTTCTGCTTATCAAAAAAATCCCTGGCTAAACATTGAACAAAATCAAAACTGGTGAATAAAATTATTATTATCATTTTAAACAAATAACTTTTTTATTATTATACATTAAGTTCTGGGATACATGTTCAGAACGTGCAGGTTTGTTACATAGGTATACATGTGCCAAGGTGGTTTGCTGCACCCATCAACCCGTCATCTATAGTAGGTATTTCTCCTAATACTATCTCTCCTCTAGCCTCCCCACCCCCTGACAGGCCCTTGTGTGTGATGCCCCTACCTCTGTATCCATGTGTTCTCATTATTCAGCTTCCATTTATGAGTGAGAACATGCGGTGTTTGGATTTCTGTTCCTGTGTTAATTTGCTGGGAATGATGATTCCCAGCTTCATCCATGTCCCTGCAAATAACATGAACTCATCCTTTTTATGGCTGCATAGTATTCCATAGTGCATATGTGGCACATTTTATTTATCCAGTCTATCATTGATGGGCATTTGGATTGGTTTCAAGTCTTTGCTATTGTGAACAGTGCTGCAATAAACATATGTGTGCATGTATCTTTATAGTAGAATAATTTAAAACCCTTTGGGTACATACCCAGTAATGGGATGGCTGGATCAAATGCTATTTCTGGTTCTAGATCCCTGACGAATTGCCACACTGTCTTCCACAATGGTTGAATTAATTTACACTCCCATCAACAGTGTAAAAGAGTTCCTATTTTTCCATATCCTCACCAGCACCTGTTGTTTCGTGACTTTTTAATGATCGCCATTCTAACAGGCGTGAGATGGTATCTCATTGTGGTTTTGATTTGCATTTCTCTAATGACCAGTGATGATGGCTTTTTTTCATGTTTGTTGGCTGCATAAATATCTTCTTTTGAGAAGTATCTCTTCATATCCTTCGCCCACTTTTTAATGTTTTTTTTCTTGTAAATGTGTTGAAGTTCCTTGTAGATTCTGGATATTAGCCCATTGTCAGATGGATAGATTGCAAAAATTTTCACCCATTCTATAGGTTGCCTGTTCACTCTAATGATAGTTTCTTTTGCTGTGCAGAAGCTCTTTAGTTAAATTAGATCCCATTTGTCAATTTTGGTTTTTGTTGCCATTGCTTTTGGCATTTTAGTCATTAAGTCTTTGCCAATGCCTATGTCCCGAATGGTATTGCCTAGATTTTCTTCTAGGGTTTTTATGGTTTTAGGTCTTACATTTATATTTAAATCTTTAATCCATCTTGAGTTAATTTTTGTATAAGGTGTAAGGAAGGGGTCCAATTTCAGTTTTTTGCATTTGGCTAGCCAGTTTTTTCAACATCATTTATTAAATAGGGAATCCTTTCCCCATTGCTTGTTTTTGTCAGGTTTGTCAAAGATCAGATGGCTGTAGATGTGTGGCAGTATTTCTGAGGCCTCTGTTGTGTTCCATTGGTCTATATATGTGTTTTGGTAGCAGTATCATGCTGTTTTGGTTACTGTAGCCTTGTAGTATTGTTTGAAGTCAGGTAGTGTGATGCCTCCAGCTTTGTTATTTGTGCTTAGGATTGTCTTAGCTATACATGCCCTTTTTTGGTCCCATATGAAATTTAAAGTATTTTTTTCTATTTCTGTGAAGAGAGTCAATGGTAGCTTGATGGGGATAGCCTTGAATCTATAAATTATTTTGGGCAGTATGGCTATTTTCATGATATTGATTCTTCCTATCCATGAGCATGGAATGTTTTTCCCCTTGTTTTTGTCCTCTCTTATTTCCTTGAGCAGTGGCTTGTAGTTCTCCTTAAAGAGGTCCTTCGCATACCTTGTAAGTTGGATTCCTAGGTATTTTATTCTCTTTGTAGCAATTGTGAATGGGAGTTCACTCATGATTTGGCTTTCTGTTTGTCTAGAAATGCTGGTGATTTTTACACGTTGATTTTGTATCCTGAGACTTCGCTGAAGTTGCTTATCAGCTTAAGATTTTAGACTGAGATGATGGGGTTTTTAAAATATACAATCATGTCATCTGCAAGCAGAGACAATTTGACTTCCTTTCTTCCTATTTGAATGCCCTTTATTTCTTTCTGTTTCCTGATTTCCCTTGCCAGAACTTCCAAAACTATGTTGAATAGGAATGTTGAGAGAGGGCATCCTTCTCTTGTGCCAGTTTTCAAAGGGAATGCTTCCAGCTTTTGCCCATTCTGTATGATATTGGCTGTGGTTTTTTATAAATATTTTTATTAGTTTGAAATACGTTCCATCAATACCTAGTTTACTGAGAGTCTTTAGCATGAAAGAGTGTTGAATTGTATCAAAGGCCTTTTTTGCCTCTATTGAGATAATCATGTGGTTTTTGTCATTGGTTCTGTAACGTGATGGATTATGTTTATTGATTTGCGTATGCTGTACAAGCCTTGCATCCCAGGGATGAAGCCAACTTGATTGTGGTGCATAAGCTTCTTGATATGCTGCTGGATTTGGTTGGCCAGTATTTTATTGAGGATTTTTGCATTGATGTTCATCAGGGACATTGGCCTGAAATTTTCTTTGTTTTGTCTCTGCCTGGATTTGGTATCAGAATGATGCTGTCCTCATAAAATGAGTTAGGAAGGATTCCCTTTTTTTTTTTTCTATTGTTTGGAATAGTTTCAGAAGGATTGTTACAAGCTCCTCTTTGTACCTCTGGTAGAATTTGGCTGTGAATCCGTCTGGTCCTGGGCTTTATTTTGGTTGGTAGGCTATTAATTACTGCCTCAATTTCAGAGCTTGTTATTGGTCTATTTAGGGATTCGACTTCTTCCTGGTTTAGACTTCGGAGAGTGTATGTGTTTATGTGTTTATCCATTTATTCTATATTTTCTAGTTTATTTGCACAGAGGTGTTTACAGTATTCTCTGATGGTAGTTTGTATTTCTGTGAGATAAGTGGTGATATCACCTTTATCATTTTTTATTGTGTCTATTTGATTCTTCTCTCTTTTCTTCTTTATTAATCTGGCTAGAGGTCTATCTATTTTGCTAATCTTTTTAAAAAAAAAAACAGCTCCTGGATTCATTGATTTTTTGAAGAGTTTTTTCATGTTCCTGTCTCCTTCATTTCTGCTCTGATCTTAGTGTTTTACTTCCAACTATGTGGTCAATTTTAAAATAAGTGCAGTCTGGTGCTGAGAAGAATGTATATTCTGTTGATTTGGGATGGAGAGTTCTGGAGAACTCTATTAGGTCCAGTTGGTCCAGAGCTGAGTTCAAGTCCTGAATATACTTGTTAATTTTCTGTCTTATTGATTTGTCTAATATTGACATGTGTTGTTAAGGTCTTCCACTATTATTGGTGGGTGTCTAAGTCTCTTTAAAGGTCTCTAAGGACTTGCTTTATAAATCTGGTTGCTCCTGTATTGGGTACATATATATTTAGGATAGTTAGCTCTTCTTGTTGCATTAATCCCTTTACCATTGTGCAATGCCTTTTTTTGTGTGTGTTTTCTGACCTGTAGAAGTGTTCCCTATTCACTGCATGCACGCCAACATCTAATTTTTGATTTTTTGATTGTGGACTTGCATGAATAAGTTGTTATCACATTGTGGTTTTGATTTGCATTTTCCTGATCATTAGTCATGTTTAGCTTTTTTATGCTTTTTGGACAATTATATATCTTCTTTTAAGAATTGTCTGCTCATGTCCTTAACACGCTTTTTGATGGGATTGTTTGTTTGTTTCTGGATGATTTGTTTGAATTCCTTGTGGATTCTGGATATCAGTCCTTTGTTAGATGTATAGATTGTGAAGATTTTCTGCCACTCTGCTCGCTGTTTCTTTTGCCATGCACAACTGGCATGGCAGTTTAAACTAAACTAAAGTTTAATTAAATTCCAGCCATTTATCTTTTTTTTGTTGTTGTTGTTGTTTTTCTTTTTTGGGGGGAGGGGGGTTTTGGTCATAAAATCCTTGCCCAAGCCAATGTTTAGAGGGGTTTTTCCAGTGTTATCTTCTAAACTTTTTACAGTTTCAAGTATTAAATTTAAGTCCTTAATTCATCTTGAGTTGATTTTTATATAACGTGAGAGGTGATGACCCAGTTTCATTCTCCTACATGTGGCTTGCCAATTATCCCAGCACATTTGTTGAAAAGGGTGTCCTTTCCCCAGATTATGTTTTTGTTTGCTTGTCAAAGTTCAGTTGGCTGTATTTGGGTTTATTTCTGAGTTCTCTATTCTGTTCCATTGGTCTATGTGCCTGTTTTTATACCAGTACCATGCTGTTTTTTTGACTATAGCCTTATTGTATAGTTTAAAATCAGGGCATGTAATGCCTCCAGATTTGTTCTTTTTGCTTAGTCTTTCTTTGGCTATGCTATCTCTCTATTGGTTCCATATGAATTTTAGAAATTTTTTTGAATTCTGTGAAGAACGATGGTTGTATTTTGATGAGAGTTACATTGAATTTGTAGCTTCCTTTTGGCAGTATGGTCATTTTCACAATATCGAGTATACCCATCCATGAGAATGGGATGTTTCTATTTGTTTGTGTCGTCTATGATTTATTTCAGCAGTGTTGTGTAGTTTTCCTTGCAGAGGTATTTTGTCTCCATGGTTGTGTATATCCTAAGTATTTAAATTTTTTTTGCAGCTATTGTAAAAAGGGTTGAATTCTTGATTTGAGTCTCAGCCTGGTCGCTGTTGGTGTATAGAAGAGCTACTGATTTGTCTACCTTTGTTTTATATTGGGAAACTTTGCTGTATTCTTTTATCAGTTCTAGGAGCATTCTGGAGGAATCTTTAGAGTTTTAAAAGTAAAGAATCATATTTTCAGCAAACATTGACAGTGTTAGTTTCTTTTTACTGGCATGGATGCCCTTTATTTCTTTTGGTTTTCTGATTTTTCTGGCCAGGAGTTCCAGTGCTATGTTGAAGAGGAGTGGTGAGAGTAGGCATCCTTGTTTTGTTCCAGTTCTCAGAGGGAAGGCTTTCAACTTTTCCCCATTCAGTATTATGTTGGCTGTGGGTTTGTCATAGATGGCTATTATTACCTTGAGGTATGTTCCTTGTAAGCCAATTTTGATGAGACTTTTAATCATAAAGGGAAGCTGGACTTTGTCAAATCCTTTTTCTGCATCTGTTGAGATGTTCATGTGATTTTTGTTTTTAATTCTGTTTATGTGTTGTATCACATTTATTGACTAGCGTACGTTAAACCATCCCTGCATCCTTGGTATGAAACCCACTTGATCATGGTTGATTATCTTTTTTATTTGTTGTTGGATTTAGTTAGCTAGTATTTTGTTAAGGATTTTAGAATCTATGTTTATCAGGGATATTGGTCTGTAGTTTTCTTTTTTGATTATGTCCTTTCTTGGTTTTGGTATTAGGGAGATGCTAGTTTCATAGAATGATATCATGAGGGTTCCCTCTTTCTCTATATTGTGGAATACTGTCAGTAGGATTGGTACCAATTATTCTTTAAATGTCTGGTAGAATTCTACTGTGGATCTGTCTGGTCCTGGACTTTTTTTGTTGATAATTTTTAAATTGCCATTTCAATCTTGCATCTAGTTAGCGGTCTGTTCAGGGTATCTAATTCTTCCTGATTTAAGCTAGGAGAGTTGTATCTTTCCAGGTATTTATCTATCTCTTCTAGGTTTTCTATTTATATATGCATAAAGGTGTTCATAGTAGCCTTGAATGATATTTTGTATTTCTGGGATGTCAGTTGTATTATCTCCCATTTTATATCTTATTGAGCTTATTTGGATTTTCTTTCTTCATTTCTTGGATATCCTTGCTAATGGTCTATCAATTTTATCTTCTCAAAAAAACCAGCTTTTTGTTTCAATTTTCTTGTATATTGTGTTTTTTGCTTGTTTATTTAATTTTATTTAGTTCTGATCTTATCTTGGTTACTTTTTTCTTCTGTTGGGTTTGGATTTGGTTTGTTCTTGTTCTGTAGTTCTTTGAGGTCTGGCCTTAGATTTTCTGTTTGTGCTCTCTCAGACTTTTTGATGTAAGCCTGTAGGACTATAAACTTTCTTCTTAGCACCACCTTTGCCATATCCCGGAGGTTTTGATAGGTTGTGTCACTATTGTAGTTAATTTAGAAGAATTTTCTAATTTCCATCTTAATTTTATTCTTGACCCAATGCTCACGCAGGAACAGGTTATTTAATTTCCACGTATTTGCATGGTTTTGAAGGTTCATTTTGGAGTTGATTTCCAGATTTATTTTACTGTGGTCTTAGAGAATGCTTGATATAATTTCAATTTTCTTAAATTTATTGAGGCTCACTTTGTGGCCTATTATATGGTTTATCTTGGAGAAAGTTCCATGCGTTGTTTAATAGAATATGTATTCTGTGGTTGTTGGATGAAATGTTCTGTATATATTTGTTAATTCCATTTGTTCTAAGATGTAGTTTAAATCCATTGTTTCTTTGTTGACTTACTCTCTTGATGACCTGTCTAGTGCTGTCAGTGGAGTACTAAAGTCCCCCACTCTTACTGTGTTGTTGTCTATCTCATTTCTTACGTCTATTAGTAATTGTTTTATAAATTTGGGATCTCCAGTGTTATTTGCATATATGTTTAGAATTGTGATATTTTCCTATTTGATGAGGGCTTTTATCATTTTATAATGTTCCTCTTTGTCTTTTTAACTGCTTTTGCTTTAAAGTTTGTTTCGTATGATATAAGAATAGCTACTCCTGCTTGCTTTTGGCAGCAGATAGTTGGTTAGTGAATTCTTATCCACTCTGCAATTCTGTACCTTTTAAGTAGAGCATTTAAGCTATTTACATTTAATGTTAGTACTGAGATATGAGGTACCATTCTATTCATCAGGCTATTTGTTGCCTCTATACCTTGGTTTTTTGTTTGTTTTGGTTTTTTAAATTGTATTTTTGTTTCATAGGTCCTGTTAAATTCATGCTTTAAAAAAGTTATGCTTTGATGTGTTTCCAGGATTTGCTTCAATATTTACAGCTGTTTTTAGCAGTTCTTGTAGTGCTGGCTTGGTAGTGGCAAATTCTCTCAGCATTTGTTTGTCTGAAAAAGTCTGTATCTGTCCTTCATTTATGAATCTTATTTTCACAGGATACAAAATTATTGGCAGATAATTGTTTTGCTTTAGGAGACTGAAGATAGGGCCTTAATCCTTTTTAGCTAGTAGGGTTTCTGCTGAGAAATATACTGTTAATCCGATAGCTTTTCCTTTATAGGTTACCTGGTGTTTTTGTCTCACAGCTCTTAAGATTCTTACCTTCTTCTTAACTTTAGATTACCTGATGACAGTGTGTCTAGTTGATGATCTTTTGGTGATGAATTTCCCAGGTGTTATTTGTGCTTCTTGTATTTGGATGTCTAGGTCTCTAGCAAGGCTGGTGAAGTTTTCCTCAATTATTCCTCCAAATAAGCTTTTCAAACTTTTAGATTTCTCTTCTTCCTCAGAAATGCCAATTATTCTTAGATTTAGTCATTTCACATAATCCCAGACTTCTTAGAGGCTTTGTTCATATTTTCTTATATATTTTTTGTCTTTGTTGGATTGGGTTAATTCAAAGACCTTGTCTTGGAGCTCTGAATTTCTTTTTTCTACTTGTTTGATTCTATTGCTGAGACTTTCTTGAGCATTTTGCATTTTTATAAGTGCAATAACTGATTTTATATAACTGATTTTATAATAACTGATTTTATAATAACTGATGATATTTTGACACTAGTATGTGATTTTGGAAACTCCTAGGGAGACTGTCTGATGTAGTTTTCCAAGCTGAACACTATGAGGGACTCAAGGGGATAAACATCCTCTTTTTTGAGGCCTGTCTTAAGGAGGCATCTGTGGTGTAGTGGACAGTGCTGGGCCTCAGAGTCACAGTCTTGGGCTGAAATTCAGCATATCACTTGCTGCTGTATATTCACAGAAAAATTATTAAACCTTTGTGAACTTTAGTTTCTTCTTTTGTTAAATAAAGATTGTAAAAAATGCCTACCACCTAGGAATATCATGAGTATTAAATAAGACAAAGTATGGAAGTAAAAAAGCACACCAGCAATAATCACTAAATATTAGTTTTTCATCCACCTTCTCTTTCACTGCACTACTCCTTAGAAAGGAGGTCTTAAGGAAGGTAATTTGCTCTCACTAGAAACCACAAGGAAGAAAGGCTTTGTAGAAGATAACCATGTGACTGCACAGCTGCCCTCAGTGGGGATCCATTTTATCTGGACAGGCAGCAGGTGAACCCCTAACACTCATGTGTACACAATTTCTGAGGACTTAAAAGCCTAACTGCTGGGTACATAGAAACTTGCCAATCACACTGTGAGCATAAAATGCAGTAGCATCATACCAGCCCAGAAATATGCAAGTGATTTTAGTCCCTAATGAAAAGGTTATTAACAATCACCTAAGAATCTTGTCTGACAGTTTGATGACTTGTTTGCTGCTTTGATCCATCTATTCCCAGAGATCTGGTTCCCCATGTCCTTCTGGGGTATACAGTGGGGGCTCACTGCCCTTTGACTGACACAGGCACACACAAATCAACTCCAAAACAGAGAAGTGTTGCCTAAATGCTAACCCTTCCTATGCCTTTATCATCATCCATAAATCAGAGGATTCTGTTTCCCCCACTGTACCACCATTCATAATTTTATCAAGTGAGAATGCAAGGCCCAGTTAGGATTTAAAAAATGCCTTTTCTCAAATAGAGGCATGATAAATACACAAGTTCTGGCCTCTTACCTCCTGGTAATTCCAGTCACTTCTCCCCCATTCTGTAGTGGTTCCCTCAATAAGCCCTTCTACAGCCTGTGATAGTTATTTCCCAATATATCTTTTCCTATGCACACCCCTAAGCCTTAGTGGTTTCCTCCGTCCTTTCTCCTTTGGTATGAGTGATACCTCCTAAATCGTCCTCCTCTAAGTTCTGCCTAGATGTTTTCTCTCCCTCTTTTCTCTAGGCTACATAGGGTCTAGAGAGACTAAAAAGAAGAGAACGGAAAAGGACTCAAGTTCTGTCTCTTTCTTTTGCTCTGAACTGAGCAATTAAGTTGTGAGTGTGTGTGTGTGTGTGTGTGTGTGTGTGTGTGAGAGAGAGAGAGAGATTGGTTATGGAATCAGCCCTAGTAATGAACATTTTTAAGAAAGTAAATTAGTAAACCAATAGCAGTCTACTCAGAGATCAGAGATCAGTAATCATAGAATATTTTTAAAACAGCTTTATTGAGGAATATTCTAAATATTATAAAATTCATTCATAATTTCATGTATACAAGTCAATGATTTTTATTAACTTTATTGAGTGGGGAAGACATCAGCATAACTAAATCTTAGAACATCTTTATCCTTTAAATAAGATCCATCATGCCTATTAACATTTAATTGTTTTTCTCATGCCCATTCCAAGGCAACCATTAATCTACATTCTGTCTTGATTAGCATGCTTTTTATGGATATTTTATATAGATGGAATCATACAATATGTGGTCTCTTGTATCTGACTTATTTTACTTGACATGATTTAAGGTTCATCTACAATGTATTATGTGTCAGAAGTTCAATATTGTTTATTACTGAATAGTATTCTATTATATGTATATACCACAACTTTTTATCTGTTCATCAGTTGATGGACATTTGGGTTGTTTCCACTTTTCGGATATTATAAATAATGTTTCTATATTTGTATACAAGTATTGTGTGTACATATGTTTTTAATTATATTGAGTATATATCTAGGAGTGATATTACTGGATCATACTCAAGTTTAGCTTTTAGAGAAACTGTCAGACTGTTTTGAAAAGAGGCTATACCATTTTATAATTCTACCAGCAATACATGAGGCTTCTCATTTCTCCACATCCTTGCCAACATGTATTGTTGTAAAGATTACAGAATATTAAAGATGGAAGGAAACTTGATTTTCCTATCTCTTAAATTAAATTATAGTAAAGTATAGCATTCAAAATTAAATAGTTTCTCTTTAGGTGGTCTCTTTAACCTGGTAAGATTATCAACACAAATACAGACCTTGAAATGGCAAGGCAGTACTCTTAACAGGTCTAGCTAGAATATGCTTGTATTTTAAGACATTATGATCAAAATGAAAACACACACACACACTGAAATTCCTAAAGATTTTGCAGACCTCAGAAGATGTGCAGTGCACGGTTCCCTTAGGACCATGGAACCCTGTTTGATAAGTATTAGTTTAGAACACAACAATTTCTAGTAGATCCTTATCTCAGAGGAGAATATAAATGGCATAAACAATTTTAGAAAAAGAAAGAGAGCTTGAACTATAACCCAGATCTCCTGTGTGACAAGTCAGTGAATCCCATCACTACTGATGCCATGTCCAATGATCAGAAACACATTTTTTTGCTGTGCTCACTAAGAAAAGACACATGAGCAAAATGATTCACCAGGTTCTCTGAAAGTAGAGGAATAAACAAGGTTTTTGGATATATTTCTGTTTATTGGCCAATATGAAATGTTTGCAGAGCATCATAAACAAACATAGCCCTGCCAGTATCTACACATGCATATGGCTCAAGAGTTAACAAAATTTCTATAAATAACCCATTTATGAGAAAAAATAATTAAAATGTACCAATATTCAATGTAAAACACTGAAGACCTAGCTAGTAGGGTGGGGTTGGTAGAGAGGAGTGGGACAGGAGGGATTATGATCTCAATGTGACAGGGCTGTATGTTGTAGAGGGGTATGCTGTAGTGCTGAATCCTTTCCTAACCTGGATCTGAGAATCTTGGAGGAAAAAATTATTTTCCCAGGCTCCCTCCTGTCAAAATCCAAGTCAAGGTATATGGAGAGAAAAACAGTAATCCAAAAAAAAAAAAATTCATTCTCAGGAAATACCTCCCCTTCCTTACAAACAAAAACTACATTTTTTTTTTTTGCTAGTTCATTTAGAGACAACTTAACTGCTGTTTAGGCTCAATGTATGTTGAAAATGTTTTTATCAAGTGTACTTTGTTCTTCCACTGACCAATAACCCCTTTGTAGAAAGACACATAAAAGCACAGTGCTCAAAGAAATATGCCTCAGCATTGAAAAGTAAAACTGTAAAAAGAACTCTCCTGAAGCAAATACTCAACTATGGTATTTGCCATGGCCAAACAGAAATTATAAAGACGAAAATCCTTCACTTCACCTTTACCCGAAATACTTTAAAATGCAAAGCCAATTGCCACCTCCAATTGCTGAACCTCAAAAAGTTGGAATTAAGGTGATTCTGGGTATGGCTTGGGCTGTCCACATAGCATTCATGCCATGAGCAAGCACACTGAAGAAGTCTTACTCTTTCACTTTATCATATTTTTGTTATTATTATTATTATTACTGTGTTACCATCATTATCTTTCCTCTAGAGCAGCAGTGTCAAATGTGGGCTTGAACCACTGCCAGCCACATGGCAACCTTTGAACACCTGCAGCCTGCTGAAGCCAAATCATCCCCTGTCTGGATATTATTTCTTCTACCAGAAGGTCTAAACATGATCAGTGAAAGCCAGTGAGATAAGAATAACCTGTTGCAGAAAAACAAAAACAAAAACAAAAACAAAAAAAAAACAGGAAACCTAAAGGCCAAGGCCTAAAACCTTGGTTACCACATATTTGCTAATACCTGTGTGGGGCCAGGCTGCTTGCTTGGTACAGGCTTGTATTTCAATTGCTTCTAATCCTCAGTCCAGTACAATGGGACCTTTTTGCTTTTTCCCAAGTCCTTTTAGTAATCTGATCAATTGGTTGCCCCAGGGGCCCTTAATCAGTGTTTGTAGATGGATGAACCCAAAAGATGTAGTTAATAAAATTCTAAAAGCAAAAATCTTGCTGTAGACAGCACTCCTTTGCCAGAGCTAGAACCTGGTGATGAAGTGCACATTCTGCCTAATGTACTTAATAAACCACTTAATAGTTGTGGGACAGGAACTAGCTGTACAAGTTTCAGACAGATTCTTGGAGAATAAAGAATACAACCTCTAAGGAACTTGTTTTTCTCTGAGCATGAGATGTATAGGTGGGAGCTAAAGGCAAAAAGACAATTGAGAAAGAATCAAAGGGGAACGGTGGTGAGAAAGCTGGGATTGAATTGACATTTCAATAGAAAGAGGCATACTCAGATGTCCCTACATGGATTGAGGGCTGTCTTTGAGGGACTGCTGTGGGGTAGTTTGGGGAACTCAGGCCCCAGAAGGAAGATTACTTTGGCTCAGAAATGTTCTGTAAGGTTCCAAAATGGCGAACTTCAGCCCTTCTCCCTGCTGAGGGTGGTGAGAACCTCAAATACAGGGTGAGGCCCCAGGGATCTAGAGGGAAAGTGTTTGCCCTGCCTCATGCTGCAATGCAGCAGTCTGAGACATGAACTTGGGAATTATGGCACGAGGCCTCCCCCAAGATAGATATTAATGTGTGTGTGTGTGTTTGTGTGTCTATGTATATGTGTGTGTATGTGTGTGTGTGTGTGTTGAGGAGGGAGACAGTGTGGAGGAGCTAAAAGGGGAGAAGGGTTTGATTTTGTCCCTAAAGTGCTAGGTAGATGTGCCAACACAATTTTGAGAGGCTTACCTGACCAAAAATGCAGACATGAAAACCCTACCCCATTCACTGTCCTCTCTCCTCTTCTCTATAATCAAGTTGAGCTAGGAACATGTCTGGTAGTCCCATGAATGTGGAATCTGGCTCCCCAGACTACAAAAGGGAAGCAAGAAATGCTCCAGATCAGTCCTTGTGAAATGGAGAATCAATCCTCTGGTGGGATGGGATAGGATATGCCCCATCTGTAGGGTATTAGCTCTTGTGGACATCACATTTCAGGCCCCTGCTGCTGTTGTGGTATAGGAACAGAGTCCAGAGAGAACAACTGGGCAAGGCTGCCAGGGGCCCAAGAGACCTAAGGAGAGAGCAAACCAAGTTAGAAACATGTGGGGAAATCTCACTAGCACCCTTCTTTCTCTACCCCTCCAAATATCATAGGTTAAGCCAATGGTTGAGGATGTAATAGCAGAAAGACATTACCTAGATAGGGATATGACAATTCTACCCTATTCTACATTGTTGAAACCATTTATCCTGAAGATAGGTTTAGTTCTAAGCTCCACATACTTTAGAAGAACCTAAAGTGGTATTCTCCAGAGAGGTGGTGTTGTCTTCAAGCCTCTGCAGGGCTATCTTAAAGCAGAGGAAACTGATGAGGTCTGTCTGGCACGAGGAACAGAGCCAGGATGGATAGGCGGGTACTACAGGGAAAGCTCTTTCTTACATTGAGCTCAAACCCACCAGTCACAATTGTGTATACTGTAATATACATTGAGAAGTAGTCAGCCCTCTGCCACCTAAAGTATGTGAGCAAGGACTACACAAACTCTTAGTGGGGATATTATAAAATGGACCCAAACCTTGGAAGAAGAACTGGACTAGATAACCTTGAAGGTACCTAAGTTGATTGATTTGACATCAGTTATAACTTTCAAATTTGATATCAGTTATGACTTTCAAATATACATTTGTTCACGTTTTCTTAGGTTGGATGCAGGGAGCAGGGAAGTCATTGGGAGAACTGAAAATGTATTAACTGAAGAAATACGGAAGTGGGCACTGCAAGATATTTGGTTAGTTGAAAACTGGGAATCTACCTACTCTCCTACCTCATGCTACATAAGCTTTGAGAAAGTAACATTGGCTATCAAATGGTTGCAATGGTGGAGTTGAACCAACTCTAAAATGTAGCCCCCAAACCTGGGTTCTTGCACAGTTCTAGCCCACTAATTTGCCCTGTGACTTTGAGAAACTAACTTTCCCTCTCTGTGTCTCAGTTCCTGCCTCTGTAAAATGTAAAATGAAGTGACATACACACAAGGTTTGTATAGTTATTAGGGAATGAAGGTTGATTTGAAATGTAGGGTTTCCAGATGACAAGGCTTGTATATCTTTTTCTACTGTGCTATGCTGCTTGCACACATAAAGGGAGATACCTGAATATGACCATTAGATAGTGGGGCCCTGAGAGAGCTTACGAAAGACCAGAATGGAGAGACTGGTATCATGACAACCTTGCCAGTTCCCTGACAATTGTAGACCCAGAAGTGTGATATCTGTCTGGCTTAAAAGTTTAGCATCACCACTGTTGCCCCTCCACCCAAAGTGTTCCTAGCTTGCTGCTGTTCCTCCACTCCTAGTGAATAATACTATTCCAAAAGAGAATTCCTTGAGGTTAGTCCTTAATTTCTGTTTTGCTTTTTTTGTTTTTTTCTGATCCACCTTTCCAGCTCACCTCATTAGAGTTAAGGGCTGGGAACTTCAAAGGGCACATTGAGCTCCAGCCTGTCTCCAGTGCTTTCGACTGTGTTTCCCCCCAAGGTCTCAGCTCCAGTATAGGAGGCAGAGCTGGAAAACTTTTGCAGGTCCAGCTCTGTGCATTCGATGGGGCTGTGGACCCAGTGGGAGTGGCTCTCTGAGGTGCAGGAGGCCATGGTAAAGGACTCCTGTGTGGGGAAGCCACTAGTCGAGCTGCAGTCGTCCTCGAGGATAGGGTTAAGTGGCTGGGTCTGAAAGATGTTCTCACTCACTTGGGACTCAGCACTGGTCTCCTTGCTGGGTGGCACGGGGAAGAGAGATTCCTCCTTTGCTGTTTTATCAGCCTCAAACTGCAGCAAACCTCCTGCAACTCGAAGCAGAAAGCCACTGGGTTACCCAAAAGCAGGGGCTCTTCTCAGCTGGGCACTGGGTACTGAGTACAAGACAGGTAAAGGTCTGGGAGCTGATTCTTTCCTTCCTCTCCCTGGGGTCTAGAGCACCTAGCACCAGGCTGAGGTGACACAGTTGAGAAACATACTTACATTCAGGTATCAGATTGAGGCTAGCTGGTACTGGATCAGAGAAAATAATCAATTTCTCTAGAGAAAAAGAAACCTTTGTGGGAAACAGGATTTTGATACCATCTCCCTTGCCATAATCTTCATGGCCTGGTCTTATGTCTATGTACATTAAGTTACATGGCAAACTAGACTCTGCAGATGGAATTAAAGTTATGGATTTCAAAATAAGGAGAGAATCCTGGATTACTCTATGGGTCCAATGTAATCCTGTGTCCCTAAAAGCAGAAGAGGAAGGCAGAGGAGACAGAGAGTATCAGAGAGATGTGGCATGAGAAGAACTCAACTCATCATTGCTAGTTTTGAAAATAGAAGGGGGCCATGAGCCAAAGAATGTAAGTGGTCCTAGAGGCTAGGAATGACCTTCAGCTTACAGCCAGCAAGGAAATGGGACCTAAGTCCTTTAACTGCATAGACCTGAATTCTGCCACTTTTGTGCATGATCAAGCAGATTCTCTCCCAGAGACTCCAGAAAGAAACACAGCCCTGCCAATATCTTAATTTTGGCATTGTGAGACTCTAAGCAGAGACAAAATTGAGCCTACTGAACTTCTGAGCTATGGAAACTGTGATAATAAGCTACTAAATGTGTGGCAATTTGTTATGGCCATGATAGAAAAGTAATACCCCCTTCATGCATGGATCTGGTTCAACATCAGGTCACAAACTGAGAACCTATGGGATTTGTGTTTGTCCTCTTTGCTTTGGTTGTGATTTTGCTCTTTATTCAAATTCATTGACTATGGTTAACACAACTTCATTAAAAAAAATCCAGATTTCTGAATTCTCTTGAAAATGTAGAAGATCTTGCAACATTAAATATTTCCATATGGTTACAAACAGCTGGATCCAAGTAGTGGGATTCCCCTTTAGATAAGGGATGTGCTCTGTAGTTTGCCACAGTTGCACTTTTCTCTCTTGCAACCTTACACTGGATTTAATTCGCACATACATCTCACCCCAGTATGTGTGTAAGTCAGTGACTCCTGAAAAACAGTTTTCCAAAGTAAGAAAATGTCTAGCCTTCCTAGCCCTTATAAAAACAGTGAGGAAACTGCCTGCCCTCATATTCCAAGCAGGTTACCACATTATTATCTTCAGGATAGAAGGAGAGCAGAAAAGGGTTACCCATCTCTCTTCTTCTGAGGCAGCTCTCTGATATTTTCTCATTTTCATCTTCTGGACCCTGGAGTCCAAATGCTTCATTGCTCATGTTTCATGTCCATGCACCCAGGGCCTAAGCAACAACTCTTATCTGGGACACTGGCCTCCAAAGTCAGAGACAGGAAGGTCTACCTTGAGTCACAGTGTCCCAGGAGCTAGCAAGAAGTAGACTTTGAGAAAAATCATAAAGGAACAACAGTGTTCCCCGTGTATCCTGCAGCCCATGAAATGCTATATTCATCTCCAATTAAGCCAGGGCACAACCAAACATACCTCTTGGGCTTTTCAAGATCATCTGCTAGGCCCCAGAGCCAAACTGACCCAAGGCAAATTTACATTAGCAGGATCTTCCCACACAAATACTGCAGCTTTGCACACAGTATCCAGTGGGCTGAAAAGGAGTCCTGAGCACTCTTTTATCTAGTAAACTTTATCTTCCCCCTTATAAATCAACTTCATTCTCTGATCTGAGTTCCTGTTTCAGTGTCCCTGCCTAACTCTCAGTTCCCTTAATGGCAATGAAGCTGCACTGAACCTTGGTACTCTTGGCTGGAGTTCTAACTCTTTGCCTGGTCCTGATCAGCCACATTCCCACCTCCCCCATCTTTGTCCTCAGTGAGCTGGCTTTTCTGTCCCACATTCTTGTCTAGTAGCTGAAGTTGTGCTTAATAGAGATCACAATGTTACTGTGACTTTAAATATGATTTTCCATCTGGAATTTTGCATGGCTGTCTGATATGGACTGGGCTAGACCTCTTGACATCAGTATTATCTGAGGGAGAAAGTCCAGGTTTGCCAACTACTCTGGACATAGGGCTTTCAGTTATCCCCATTTGTGAAGTTATTATACTGATAGCAGTGGCCTTAGACCTCAACCACTTTTATTACAGTCGTATCTCAGATATAGCCAAGCCTTCCTCAATTCATGACATGCTCTAGAATTTATACCTACTAGTATAGATATAAAGAATTGGAAAAGAACCCAGAAATCAACAAATCCAATCCTATCTCTTATCTTAAAGATTAGGAAGAAAGAGGTCTGAAGAGGCTAGATGACTTGTCTAAGGTTACACGGTGATTTAGAGGTAGACATAGAACCTAGGTCTCCCGATTCCTTTCCTGAGGGGTTTCCCACCGTGCCACATTCCTTTAAAATCCCCTGAAACATAATGAACCAGGTCTTCTAAACTCTCAGGGTTGGCTTCAGTAATCTCTTAAGTCCCATGCTTTCCATTGCAGCCCCAGATAGTTCCCCAGGCCAACAGAAGACTATTCATGGGGTTTTCAAGCATGGTAGAAAAGGCCCATTGTCTCTCAACCCCAGAACATCCCTCTCTTCTGCCAATAAGAGCCTTGTTCCTGATTCATGTGAAACATGAAACAGCCACCCTTACCACGCTGGCAATGTCTGTTGAAGAACTGCTTGCAGTAGAGGAAGAAGAGCCCCAGGAAGGCCAGGGTAAACACCACTAGCAGGCTGCTCACCAGTGCAACAAGTGTGGCCTCCTGAGGGGGCACTGTGGGTGTATCTGCCTCCACTAAGCTCAACTGGAAGGCACCTGTGAGACAAAAAAATGGGGGAGGTCAGTTAGCATGGGCAGTAAACAGTCACCCTGACCCTGGACCTGGACTTCCTCAGGCTGTCACCCTTCTCCCTAGGGCCTTCCCCAATTAGGGTGGCTATGCTGGTTTTACTTCTTTCTAGAGCAGGCAAAATTATAAAGAACAAGGCAAAATAATTTGTATATAGTGCTGGTATGTAGAAATTAGTACAATTAATCGAAGATGCACATATCCTGTGATCTTTCTGTGCCACATCTAATTATATAATCCAGATCAATGGAAACAAGCTAAAAAATTCATCAGTAGAGCACAAGATAAACAAATCATGATATAATCCTAAAATCTTACATTATTATACAGCACTTAAAGGCCTTTATGGATCAATATAAATAATCTAGAGGGGGAAAAAGGAAGTTGGAGAAACAGAACATATAGCTTGATATCATTTCTATAAAACATTATACAATACATAACAATAGCATATATTGGTTATGAATATGCACACATATCACAAAAGAACCCAAGTATTAAAACATTAGTGGAGAGTATGGCAGAGGTATAGTGCTCACCAGTTATCCACATACTCCCATGTATTTCCCTTACACCCTTGCAGTAAGGCCATCAGAGTACTTCTGGCCAATGAACTGTGAGTTGAAATAACATGTGTCACTTCCAGACTGAGGCAGTTAAGAACCAGTATGTCTCCTCCATCTCTTCCCCTGTGTCATTGACCTGGAAGACATATGGTCTAGAATGCACAGTCAAATGATGTAGGAAGGCCTTTGCATAGTAAAAAAAAAATAAACTTTTATTGTATAAAGTCACTGAGATTTTGCAGTTTGTTTGTTACTTTAGCATAGCCTACCAACAGAATACATACAATTTCAGGATAGTGGTTGTATCTGAGGAGGTAGGGAGGTAATAGGACTCTGAGAGAATCTAGAAGAGAATTCCATTATATCTGTGGAATCTTTATTCTTTTAAAACATCTGAAGCAAATATGCAAAATGCTATGATTTATTAACTTTGGATAGATGCTGGGTGATTGCATTTTAATTTTATATTTTTCTGCACTTAAAAATATTTCTACATGTTTGAAAACTTTCATGATTTAAAAAATATGTCAATAATTTTAAAATAGGAAGTAAGTAAATAGATGGTAGACAAAAAAGATAGACGATTAGATAAATGGATAGTGGTATAGGCATAGATTGGACCCTAGTTCTTCATTCAGCCTCTTACAAGTCCTCAGCCCTAGGGGCTCCTATATACTTCATATAATAATAATATCTCATAGGTTTACAAATATTATAATTTGTGAAGTGCTTCCTAACATCCATTTTCTCATTAGACCTAGATACCCATCACACAAGGTATGAAGAAAAATGATTATCATGACTCACCCTTTTTTCAGAAGTAGGAAATGAGGTTCAATGAGATTGAATGATTTGCATAGAGTTGCAAAGATAATATGTTGTAAAACCAGACTTCTAATCTGATTCCCTTGCCACTCTACTCTACATGAAAAGGTATGAGGGGATATGGGTAGTCTTTACTACCCTATCTTGCTGCCACCCAATGGGATGAGGAGAAAGGGAAGAAGAGAACTGGGTACACACATTGAACCTCAGAGGTGGGGGTCTGCTTCGTGCACGGGATGCACTCTTGGTCCTGCAGGCCTCCAATGCGTGTCTTTCGGTAGAACCTGTGTTCAGAGCAATTAGGAATGGCAGGGTGATCAAACAAGCAATGCACTTGGACCAGTTCTTCCTGGGAAAGCAGCTCCTAAGAATCTTGCCAACCTGAAAGTAAGTGCCCACCCCTCTTTCTGAGTTATCTGCCTCTGTGTCTTTTTCTGACTCAGAGACCCAGACACTCTACTTCTTCCCCCATTCATGACACCATGTAGCCAAAAGGAGACCTAATTCCACAAGAGAGGGGTGCACTGCTTTGATACCAAGTACATCATAACTTCTTTTAAGTCTACAGTGAGATTTACCTTGAACTTTGGTCTTCAGCTGAGAGTGATGATGGAAAAGCGGTCAAGTACTCATCTGTGACTGACAATGTGCTAAGCACTTTATAGAGGTATCTTGGGAAGACACCACTTCTCTCTTCTGGGAGCTTAAACTGAATATTATGTTTATAAGAAGAATATTTCGACTAAGTTCTGAGAGGTGAGGATGGGAGAAACCTCCAACAGCTAGAAAAGCCCAGACAAGCTTGGTCTCATAAAGCAAGCTCACCTGGGCAAACAGTCCCCACAGACAGCATTAGAGGTAGCTGTGCAGTTGACCTTCTGAACACGATTGATGACAGCACAGGTGATGCAACTCTGACATCTGTGGTGGCCCCAGCTGCTTTTGTACCTGCGAGGAGGGCAGGCTGTGCAGTAGGCATCTCCACCCTCTCCATAACCACAATCCTGTAGACAGATGGGGGTTGTTAATATTGCTTTATAGGAGCTTGGAGATGGGATCACCTGTGGGACAAGTGGACTGTACAGGGTAGTATTTTGCAACTTGCAACCCCATTACTAAGTCATAAAACCAATTCACTAGCTTCCAGCCAGCATTGAAAGATAAAATAGAATGAAATAGAATAATAGTATCAAATATAAGAGTACATGGAATGAAGTAAAGCTAAGTATTTGTATCAGTCAGCATAGGCTATGCTGCAGTATGGCAAAAGTCAAACCCTAAATCTCAGTGTCTTAAAAGAATAAAAGTTTATTTCTCACTCATCATATTTGCCTACCAGGGGGTTCCTGAGGACTCTGCTGTACATCATCCTCAATGGGGTACCCGGGGTTACAGAAGCTTTATTTTTCTGCTTTTATGATTGAAACATTGTGAACTGCGTACAAGCTCTTAAAGTTTTCCCCAAGAAATGACCCATATTGCTTTACTCACATGTCCTTGGCCATACACATCACATGATCATTAATAACTACAACAGGTACAAGAAAATGCAATTCTACAATGTGACAGAATGTGGGGAGCTGAAATATTTGACAAATAGTCATAAGCACTACCCACATAAGTACTGTTTTATAAAAGTTTTACAGATAAAATGCATGAAAGTATATATTGGGTTGTGATAAAAAGTTATTTCTTACTCTAGGTCATGGTAAAAAATGTTTGAATGCCAATGGTATAGATGAGAGGCAAACACTCTAGCTGGCTCTTGTCTCAGCTCTGGTACTAACTTTGGCCATATTCCTTCCCCCCGACCCCCAGTTTCTGGGCATCAGAAGTCCCAACACTGAGGAAATTGAAATAAATGCTCTCTAGAGATTCTTAGATCTGACAGCCTAACTTCAACAGGAACAAGGCTCCTGCCTGATACCAGTCACAGCTCTTTCTCAAAGAAACAATTCTAGTTGTGAAAGCATATTAATTGTATGCTAGTTGTAGCAGAAGCTGGCTGGTTGTTCACTTAACCTATTCTTTATTTCTCCTGGGAACACCATTAGCCAAAATTCTTTAACCCCACTGCAATGAAGTGGGGGCATGTGCATCATTTCTAGCCAATGAAATATGGATACTAATATTGTTTGCCATTCCCAGGCTTGACTCAAAAACATGTCCTGTGTGATACTTAAATTTTCTTCATACATTCATTTTCCAGTGCATGCTGACACCCCTGGAAACCTTGGAATAAATATATTAAGAATGATAGCGGAAGCCAGATAAAATGGAGGAGTAGGCAGCTTCAAGCTCTTATGCCCCTACAGAAACATAGAAAAACAAGCAGGAACTGTCATAATCAATGTTGTCAGAACTCTGGAAAACATTCAAAGGCTTACATCAACCATGTAAATGTTAAATCAAGAAAAAGGTCACTTGAAAATAATAGGAAAGTTTTCTGCTATTTTTACTTGTACTTGTTACATCCCTCACCCCAGAGCAGTGGCAGTCCTAAAGTAGTGGAAGTCTTAAAGTAGCCTCAGCCTGTATTCCTAGTGTGAGACCTCAGTACCTGATTCCAGAGTGAGCTAAGCAAAACTTATTGACAAATTACTGTGTATGTCTGTCCTAACCTATTTGAGGGCTATTTGAAGGACTGATACAAGGTATTTATGTATGTTCCACTCGATTGAGAATGCAGATTGGAAAAGTGATGGGCACTGTTTCAAAATGTTGCAAGGCAAACTAACAAACCACAATACCTAGGGCAATGATTATGGATTAAGACATAAAACAGACTGTCTGAATCTGGGAGCAAAAGCTGGGGGAGGTTCCTTTAGAAATAAGTACATTCAAAAGTATCCACATGGAGGAATTTAGAAAGGTGTGTGCATACAAGACACATGCTCAGAAAATACTAGTGGAGACCTAAAGCTTACATGTCAGGCTGATCCCTAAGCTAAGTGCACATCTGGCTAACTGTTTAAGTAGTTCCCCAGCACAGAGCCAATCTAAAAATGTGAGAGTAATGTGTGACTATTTTTTCTTTTGGTTGTTGTTGTCATTTTTTAACTTTTAGCATTCAATGAAATTGCTGTCCAAACATTAGCTGAACATGAGCTAAATTAACATAGGTTTCAATGGCGATACATGACAAAAAATAGTCTCTACAAAAATAGTTTGGAAAAACACCTAAACAAATGGAGTGCTAGCCTAGGCAACACGGCAAAGCCTTGTTGCCAAAAATACAAAAATTAGTTGGGAATGGTGGCATGCACCTGTGGTCCCAGCTACTCAGGTGGCTGAGATGGGAGGATCGCTAGAGCCCGGGAAGTGGAGGCTGAAGTCAGCAATAACCATGACACTACACTCCAGTTGGGGTGACAGAGCAATACCCAGTCCCAAACAAAATAATAATAATAACAATAATGATAATAATAACAACAACAGATGGACTACTATAGCCTTCAACAACACAAATCTAGAAAACAAACAAACAAAACCAAAACCAAAAGTAAAACAGGAAGAGGGGAAATCTGACTACCAGAGTTACTTCATTACAATACAAAACTGCCCAGTTTTTAACAACAAAAAAATAAATCACACAGTGTAAAAAGAAACAGGCAAGTGTGGCCCATTCAAAGGAACAAGAAAAAGAAAGAATTGAGACTATTCTTGAGGAAGCCCAGACATTGCACTTAGTAGACAAAGACTAAAAGAACTGTCTTAAATTTGCTCAAAGACACACATGGACAAAGAACTAAAAGAAATCAGGAAACAAATGTATAAACAAAGTGAGAATATTGGTTAAGAAAAATTGTAAAATGGAACCAAACATGAATACTGGAGCTAAAAAGTAAGATAAATGAAATGAAAACTTCACTAGAGAATTTGAGTAGGTAAAAGAAAGAATGAGCAAACCTGAATGTAGGACAATTTAAATTATCAAGTCTGAGGAGAAGAAAGTAAACAGAACATAAGGAACTTGTGGAACATCATGCAGGTGACCAATATATGCATTATGGGATTCACAGAAAAAACAGGGAGATGGGGGACGAGAATGAATATTTGAAGAAATAATGGCTTAAAACTTCTCAAATCTGATGAAAGACATAAATTAACCCATCCAAGATGCTCAAGAAACTCCAAGCAGAGTAAACATAAAGAGACCTATGCTGAGATACACTATCAAAAAATGTTTATAGCTGAAAACAAAGAGAAAATATTGAAAATCAAGAGTGAAATTACTTGTCAAGTAAAGGTATTCTCGATAAGATTCAAAGCATATTTCTCATCACAAAGTGCAGAGACTTAAAGTCAGTGAGATGACATATAAGTGCCTAAACAAATAAACTGTTAACCAAGAACTCTATATACAGAAAAAAGTTCTTCAAAAATAAAGGAATAATTAAAACATCCCTAGACAAACAACAGCTGATTGATATCATTTGACCTGACTACAAGAAGAGAGTCCTTCAGGCTGAAATGAACAGACAATGGAGAGTAACCCAAAGCCATGCAAAGAGTAAATATCTCTGGTAAAGGTGACTGCATGAAAAAATATGATTCCACTTACATGAAATATCTAGAATAGCAAAATTTGTAGAGACAGAGAGTAGAGGCTATCAGGCACTTTGGGGAGGGGGAAATTGGGAGTTATTGCTTAAGGCATACAGAGACTGTATTTGGGGTAATAAAAAGTCTTAGAAATAAAGGGGTGACGGTTGCATAACATTGTGAATGTGATTAATGCTGCTGAATTATACACTTACAATGTCTAATACAGCAAATTTGAGATTACATATTTTACCACAATCTTAAAAATCATAATGCAGTATACCAAAAACCATGAATTGTAAACCTAAATGGGTGAATTGACTGGTATGTGAACTGTATTTTAATAAGGCTGCTTAAAAAACACAGAGCTCCCATAAGCCTGGCTTCCTGAATGGCTGAGAAGAATCTTCCTACTCCCCAACATGGATTGGAGTCACATTCAGGAATAAACCCTTAACCTCTTATGTCACCAAACTTTAGTATTTGTTACAGCAGTTAATATTACCTGAACTAACATTTAAGTTATACTTTCCCAGGAGTTGGAAAAAGTGAGCATCAGGCAGGCTCGAAATACTCCTTCCATTCTGCCCCATGTTTGCCCACTCAGGCTTTACTCAATGCCTTGCAGCCTCACTCACAATGATCCCATCTACCAATGGGATCTGACATGGGCAGTAGTCATTTTACTCATGCTCTAAGTTTCTTGAAAAGTTAAAGGGTTTCTTGGAATCTCTGCTACCTTATGTGCACCACTGGAATGGTGATAGCTTCCATATCTGCTTAAAACAGTGAGCTGGGGGTCAAATTATTAGGAAATATAATGTAGTGATGAAAATCCCTGATCCAAGGTAATGAAGACCTATCTTTAACTCCCACTTTTACTACTGACCAGCGATGTGACCTTGGGCAAGTCATTGGGCCTGAATTTTCTTGTCAATCCAATTGGAAATAATGCTATCCAACTTATAGATTTGTTAAGATTACATGAGCTGACCAAATGAACAAAAGGAATATCCCAAAGCAATGGAGAATAGCTGGCTTTTTAAATAGGTTATGTTGGATAACCGAATGACAATGTGAAAAATGATAAAATTTGATACATTCCTCACACTATACACCAAAATAGATCAGAAATTTATAGATAAAAATTAAAACCAAAAAGTACCAAAACAAAATATAAATAAATTCCTCTTTAATCTGGGAGTGGAGAAATTTTCTCTAACTGCAACACGAAGTCCAGAAGCAGTAAAGGAAAGATAGATATAATTACATAAAAATTTTAAAAAGTTTCAGGGTAAAAGATTCATAAGCAAAATTAGAAGACAAATAATGAACTAGTAAAAAGATGTACACCATATCACAGACTAAAGATTTATATTCCGATAACACAGAACTAGTATAAATTAACGACAACCACCTTATGAGAAACTAAACATATATTCACAGAAAAAGAAACACAAACAGCTCTTATTTAGATAAAGGATGTCTCTTAACCAGATACACAAACACACACACACACACACACACACACACACACACACACACACAGATACATATATAGCTCTGTGTGTGGGTTGTGTGTAGTGCTTGTCACCATGCCTAGAACATAGTAATCCTTCAATGAACAGATGAACATTAGGTATTGTTCTTCTGGAAAGCAAGTTTTTATTCTATCTATAGCACTGGAATCAGAAGATATGTGCCTGACTCCTCACTTACTCACTTGCTAGAGAAGGGAATGACAAAAGCAAGCTAGCATTTATTGAAAGTTAACCAATAAGTTGAGTGATTGATTGATTGATTAATTGGTTAGCACTCCCTTTCATTTTATTGGTTAACTCAGAAAACATTTTTGAAGCAACTACAATGCATGAGGATGCTATTCTGAATATTGTGACTAAATAATTGAATCAATCAGACAAAAATCCACACACTCATGAATTTATATACTTGTTTATTCATCATAAAACCTTATAAGGGTGCAATATAATCCATGTTTCACAAATAAGCAAAATTGAGGCACAAATTGTTGGCCTGAGAAGCCTCTTCCCCATGGGCCTGCGATTCCCCACACACAACTAGAGACAATAGGCTGCAGGGGGCACTTGAGATTCCACCATAAGTAACCAGCTCAAATGCTTCTTTGTCCTGTGGGTCTGAGATTATTTTCCCCCACATAGGAACAGGTGGCTGGGGTATACTGGCAAGTGGTATCCTACTAATAACAAGTGGTCGAGCATGGGAAATGTTCTTTGACTCTACAACTCAGACACTTCTTTATGCCGACCTAAATGGACCAAGTGACCTGGCCCAGGAAATCGTCTATACCTGAGGCAGCACAAGATAAACCCCGCAGACCAAAAATCACACTACAAAGGTTCTGGAAATTAAATAGCCTTTAGAACTGCAGCTCACAAACGTAGGCCAAAACCTGTATGCTAAACATAAACAGATGACTGCCTGCTAAAGTAAAAGTTTAAATAGGACCCTGAGTCTCCTGACATAATTGACAAAATGTCCAGAACACAACGAAAAACCACCCATGATAATAAGAATAAGGAAAATCACAACATGAATGAGAAAAGTCAATTAACTGACAGCAACTCTTAGATAAAGCAGATGTTGGAATGATTGAACAAGGATTCTAAAGCACCCATAATAAAAATGTTTTAAAAAACAATTTAAAATTCTCTTAAAAATAGAAAATCTCATCAAAGAAACAGAAGTTTTTTTTAAATAAACAGATGGTAATTATTAAAAATAAAATGACAGAAATTTTAAAAATTCACTGGATGGGCTTAGTAGTAGAGAAGAGACAGATGATAGAATCAGTGAACTTGAGGACAGAACAACAGAATTTATGCAATATGAACAACAGGGAGAAAATGACAAAATAAAATGAACAAAGCCTCAAGAACCTATGAGACTATAACAAAATATAGAAAAATCATATTGTCAGAATCTTATGAAAAGAAAATTTTTTAAATGTTTATCTAAAAATATTTTCAAACAAATTGGAAGAAAACTTCACAAATTTGGTAAAAGACCTACAAGTTAAAGAGGATGAACAGATCCCAAACAGAAAAAAATCCAAAGTAATGCACACCAATACACATCATAATAAAACTTCTGAAAACTAAAAAAAATATATTGAAAATAGCCAAGAATAAATGGCATTACCTATAGAAAAACACCCATTCAAATGATACGACAGTGGGTTTCTGTCAGAAGCCATGGAAGCCAAGAAGGAAGTATTACATTTTTCAAGTACTGAAATAAAAAAACTGTCAACTGCAAATTTATATCCAGTGAAAGTATCCCCAGAAATGAAGGGACATAAAAACATTCTCAGGCAAAGGAAAACTAACAGAATGAGTTGCTAGTAGGCCTACCCTTAAATAATTCTAAAGAGAGTTCATAAAACACAAATGAAATGATTTAAGAAAGAGTGGAAGTGATAAAAGAAGAAATCTTGGAGCATCAGGAAGGAAGGAACACTGGGAAAGAAAAAATATGGTTGTATAAAATGTACTATCTTTCTCTTCATACATTTTATAAATCATAGTAGATGACTAAAACAAATTTAACAAAAATTATATCTGATATTCGTGACAATGATATTTAAAAGTGGGGAAAGTAAAGGAATCTAAATGGAACAGATATTTCAATACTTCACTTGAAATGGCAAAATGTTGATACCAGCTGACATTGAAAAAGTAACGTGTTAGTTTTTCATGTAATACTCAGAACCACCTCTAAAAAAATGATACAAAGAGACACACTCAAAAACACTACAAATAAATCATGATGGAATCCTAAATAAAATGTTCATGGAACCCACAGGAAGGCAAGAAAAGACAAATAGAGGGACAAAAGAAACAGAGAAAACAAACACAAAAAGAATAAAATGTTAGGTTTAAATCTTAAAATATCAAAGATTATTTAAACATAAATGTTCTAAGTAAGCCAATTAAAAGACAGGGATTGGCATAGTGAAATAAAACCAAAGACTATCAAATTGTACTCAATAAAAATTAAATAAATGAATAATTTTTAATAAATTAAGGAGCAAATTATCATTAAAAATTTATTGAGAATTCTCCTTCATAATTAGGAGGCAAAGGAAGTTCTTTCAAATCATTAAGGTGCAAAATTTCTTTTGCTATTAACCACTTTTATAGCCAGAAAACATTGATATTCTTGATTTTGCCATGGTAGCACAATGCTGATCCAAAATTTTGATGCTGATAGTGTTACAATAATAATTATTTGTTTTAGTTAAAATACTAACTTATACAACATAAAAGGGTATTTACCTTAAAACTATAATCAAGAATGGTTTATACTGGGAATGCAGGATATTTAAATTTTAGGAATTTATTAATACATGTCATCAAATTAATACATCAAAGGGAAAATATATTTACAAATCAACAGATGATACTAAAATGAAACAAAATTTAAAAGCATTTCTGGTTTTTAAATACAAATATACTTACATTTTAAACGATTTTTAAAATACTCTGTTATCTACTATATGTCTGTCTACTTAGGTTCCTTATGTGAGTAGACAAAGAACAATACATAATGAATAGAAAGAATAGAAAGAGAAACAATCAGAAATAGATCACAAAATTGGAAAGGCAAATGGGCAAATAAACACAGTAAAGTTGGTACATTTCCCCTATCAAATAGATAAAAAGTAAAACCAAAATTCTCATAAAGTCCTCATAAATTAGTAATTACTGTTAAAAGGAAGGCATAAAATTAATAGATCATGAAAATATCTATTATTCATTTGCGTTTAGGCTTCTGGGACATGGGAATTTGTTGTGGGAAGTCAGGGACCCCGAACAGAGGGCCACAACAGGAATTCTATGCACTGTTGAAAATAAATGTAATGGTAATAGAAATTAGTATAAACAAAATTCAGAAGTGTTATCTGCTGATATATTTCAAGAGTCTTAAAATCGTACGCATTATTTAGCTTGGCAATTATACATCAAGAAAAATGTCCTGAGGAAATGGTGTTAATTTTCTGCAATGATTTATTTACAGTGATGTTTATAATTCATGAGTAAAATTTAAAAGTAAATAAAAGTTACTTTAAAAAAGGCTATCAGATGCTTCTAGCTGCTTATTCAAACAATTGCCCCTCTTCTTCCTTACTATAAAAACACTGATTTCATTCTAGGTGGCATGAAGACTAGCCTCCAGAACGGATTCTTGATTGGTCTTAATCACACAATCCCATTCTCATTGGCCAGATACTTATTTCCCAGTCTCTATTCCAGCTAAAGATAGCTACATCACCCAGTTCTGGACCATAAGATATAAGGAAAAATCTGTTGGACAGCTTCTGGGAAAAGACTTCTTCCCTACAAAAGGCAAGCTATTTTGACCTTGCCCCTGATTCCTGACTTTGACTATTGTATGGAGATATGATGCTTTGAGTTTTGCAATCATGAGGCCACAATGAGAACAAAACAGCAAGATGTCCAATATGAAGGATGAAAAGAGGCTGAGTCCTTGATAACATTGCTGATCTGCCCAACAAGCAAAAAGGTTGCCTGTCTCCAGACTTCATTACATAAATAAATATACTTATGGTTCATGTCATGGTTAAATTTTATGTTACTTTCAACTTACTACATCCTAATTGATTCTGAGGTGAAATAATTTGCCCAGAGCAAAGATGGGACTCATGCCCATGTGTATCTGGCTCTAAAGCTTATATGTATTACACATATATAAGCTTTAATATCTATTTTAATGTCCAGCATGACCTTACCTCTGGCGATCTTTCCTTGGTACTGGGATCCTTTATCAACCATGTGGGTACCCCACTGTGGGACATAATGCCATGTGTAAAAACTTAGAATTAGTGCTTGTATCTCTTGATATCCCTGCGCCTTATTCTCTTCATTTTTTAAAATACAAAGGTAGGAATAAAGTGGGCTAGATAATTATTATGTTGTTTTCCAGCCACAGATTCCTATAACTTTCCAACCCAAAACCCTCCAAAGAGCTCCTAATGCACTTAGAGAAAGATGAAAATTTCTCATAGACCTCAAGCTGCTATCTGGTCTGGTCTATACTTCTCTCTCTGACCTCTTTGTGTACTACCCTCCCTCTCATTCACCATACACCCATTGCACTACCTTCCTCCTTTTCCTTCAAAATGCCTAGTTCATTTTCACCTTGGGACTCTGCACTAGTATCCTCTCCCCAGAGGCTGTCTCCTTAGGGAGACCTTTCCTTGTTTCATAATCTGAAGTAGCCACCCAGTCACCCTAATTTGATTCTTCTCATATCTTCATATCCAGATTCTTCATTTATCTCTGTATGTGTCTCAATTATTATTTTTTCACTAATAATAGAAGGTAAGGTCCATGAAGGCAAATATTTTTGTTTGTTCTGCCATATCCATGGTGTCTACAACCATGCCTGCCACTCTGCAAGTGTTCAATAAGCAACTGCTGAATAAACAAAAATTGCATAAAATAGAGTGTGAATATGCAGAAACCATCTGCTAGCTGCTTGCTTCTGGCCTCTGTAGCCCCAGCTGCAGCCAAAATTTAATACCACCCCCAAGTTCAGGGACCTACAAGGGACCTGAGGAAAGAACAATTAAGCAGATCCAGGCTTGAAACAAGTAAGTTACATAAAGTCTCTGCCTTGCTGGTCATTTTATTCTGATCCTTATCTTTAATTGGGATTTTAGACCCTCCGTGGTTCCCTATCCCTATATTCTCCATTGCACAGCTTCCTCAGTAGCGCAGACCCTCTAGAACAGAGGTCTTCTTGGCTCTTCTCTCTTTCTCATTCCTAAGACCTGATATCTGGCTCTTGAACACCATGTGGTTGGGCCTTGCTTTAGATGACAGATTACCCTAATGCTGAACAGTCCTCATGGGTCTCTGCATTACACATCTATTCTTGAAATACTCTGTTATCTCATGGAAACTTCCCTTGACCTTGATCCTGCTAGGCTGACTTCATGCTGGAATCATGACTGCTATTGCATACTCTGTGGATCCCAGGTTTTACCCGCTGAACTGGATCAGTCATAAGTAGGGCTGACTCCCCTAATCTTGGCCTCTTTCAGTTGCCGGGCTGGTTCCTAAGATGCAACAGAAATAAGTGTACTGAATAGGATAACTTACCTTGGATAGCTCCTGTCCAGGACCACACCGTTGGCAGGTGACACACCGTCCCCATTGGTCCCAGTACTCATTTTCTTGGCAATCCATGGTGGGAAGGCTGTGGGTAGAGAACACAAGAACTAGCAAGCTAGTGGGAAGGGACTATAAGTAGTGGCTTCCATGCCACTTGGCTTCTGGGTCCCCTTAATCTATTCTCTAGATCTGAGATAGTAGGGACGAGGAAGCCAACACAAAAGAGTTAATGCTTATGTAGCTCTGACCATGTGCCATGAGTTCTTGTAAATGCTTTGCATGTAGTAACTCATTCCATTCTCAAGACAATCATATTAAGAATTATTGTTAGCAACATTTTACAGATGAAGAAACTGAGGCAAAGAGACCAAGCAATTTGCTCAAATTCACAGTCAGTGGCTATACCAGGAGCTGAATTTGTAAAGAGAGTAATAAGACAAGGAGTTGGCTTCTGCCCAGGGGGTAAAGAATAATCACAATCCCTCATGTGTGAACAGATCATAACAATTTAGAAAGTACTTTCACATCTATTATTATTTGATCTACACAACATCCATGTGAGGTAAGCATTATAGAGATTGTCATCTTTATTTTATAACTGAAAAAGCTGAAACATTGTTTCTCTTTGCCAACAGTGGCCTCAGTACCTCTGAGGACCAATACCTGCCATAGCTTCTGTCTTAGGCAGAATGGGAGGGGAGAATAACCCAGAATGTAGACATATTTTGGTGCACAAAGGTGCACAGATAGGGAAACATTACTCAGATAATAGTTCTTGGAATACAGATGCATATAGCAGTAGAGCTAGCATTGAAGTGGGATGGCTGTTCACCAAGCCTGGCTCTTACCCTTTCAATCTACAATCTGGGATGGATCACTTTATCTTTTCTGGCCTCGGTTACTTAATCTAAGAAAAAGGGATAGAATGTTCTTCACCTATTGTATATAGCTCTTGGGAGGGTTAAAGGAGCTAAGGTCCATCAAACCATTCTAAAGAGCTATACAAAATAAGACAGAGTTAAGTATGCAGAAAGGTTGTCTTCTACAAAGAGGAATTTTAATGAAGGGGCTAAAGTAATTCATAAATGGGGCTTATCCTACTCAAAGAGAAAGGTAGCATGAGGTTCTTTACTTACTCATGACTTCATACTAGGGTGAATTTCAAGTGGTTTCTAAAAGTGCCAAAGTCCTAAATGTGTACTCTTAGTCAGAAGAGACGAGAGTGTACATGTGTACCTTGAGAGGCCACCACTCCTCCACTCAAAGTTCCCCAAAAGCGACAGGTTAAGTCATTCTAAATGGCATTCCATAAGTGCACCTTTTTTTCATCATCAACTGGGCCATTCTTTCCCATTCCTTCATTCAAAGGAAAGTGGGCTACAAGATCCATGCTTGCATAAGATAAACATACTGTCTTCTGTGCTGATTTGATTGCTGGCCCATGGTGTTGGCCTCAGTAGGCATGCTTCCCTCCCCTTGCCATGCACTCTTCTCCTTGAGAACAGAAAACTTCAGTATTCTCATAGCCTTCATGACCAGGAAGTTAAGCACCACAGTAACAGGGCCAGGAAACTGCTCTGGACAACTTTCTCATATCCCTTTTTGCCCACAAAACAGAAAAACATTGGCAGGAACCAAGAAGTAGCCCTCTTTTTGAGCTAAGTTCCCAACATAGGCGTTTAAAATCTCCATGACAACTGCTGCTGGCATTTGAGGGTCTGAGACATCCTATTTCATTTGGTTTCTAGAGCTCCACCCCCCTAATAAACATCATGTGTCCTAAACCCCAACATGTCTCTCTAACCATGGCTTTGAAACCTCTGTCTAGGCAAGGCAGGCTTGGTGCCAAATTGAGCAGAGGGACTTTCTCTCCCCTCTTTTTTCCCTCCCTCCCTCCCTTCCTTCCTTCCTTCTTTCCTTCCTTCCTTTCCTCCTTTCTTTCTCTCTCTCTCTCCTTCCTTCCTTCCTTGATGGAGTTTTGCTCTTGTTGCAGTGCAATGGTACAGTCTTGGCTCACTGCAACCTCTGCCTCCTGGGTTCAAGTGATTTTCCTGCCTCAGCCTCCCGAGTAGCTGGGATTACAGGAGCATGCCACCATGCCCAGCAAATTTTTGTATTTTTAGTATAGACAGGGTTTCATCATATTGGTCAGGCTGGTCTCGAACTCCTGACCTCAGGTGATCCACCCGCCTCGGCCTCCCAAAGTGCTGGGATTAAAGGCGTGAGGCACCTTGCCCAGCCTTCCCTCTTTTTTTCTCATACTATTTATTCAAAGCATACAAATTAAATTATCTTTCATTCGACGCTTAACAAATTGACTTTATTAAAGAGAACAAAATTATAGATTCTGGACTCTTTTGAAGAGGTCAGGGCGTATGTGTAAAACTACCTAATAAGGGTTAAATGTCATTACCTAGGGAGAAAGTCAGACCTTATATGAATTTTTCCCTGTAATCAACAGTTTCCTGTAGCATATGTAACCGCCTTTTAAAAGAAAAAATAAGAAAGAATAATTATGTTTTCAGAAAATTATAGTTACTCTGAGGTATTCCATACTGCAGCTAGACACTCTTCCAAAGTATCACAAAGGATGTGGCTGAATCCTCTAAACTTCTGGCTAAGTTGGCAATATATACAGACCTATAAAGTTCCCAAGAGTAGAGACCACTGCATGCCCAGTGCCTAGCCCTGCACCTGGCACAGAGTGTGTACCTCAACAGTGCTTACTATTTGTTAGCTTATCAACATGCTACATTCCCTGGACTATGGTTAACTATGCATATGAATCTAGCAACATAGATCATTTCTCTTTAAGATAATGACTTTCCAAACAATAGTAGTAACCTCACATCCATCAAAAAAAGAGCAAAGCTCTTAGTTAGGGACATGTAGACTTGAGTTTTAATTTTAATTCTGCATCCTCAAACAAATAGTTTTACCTTTGTCAGCATCAGTTTTTTCATCTGCAAAATGGATGTTTAAATAATATACTGCACAGTAATTTAGAAAATTAAATGCAATAATACATATTAAGGGACCAAGTATAGGGCTTGATACATATGAGACGTTTGGTAATTAGCAGGTTCCCTTTCTTCTTTCCTCTTCAGAAGAGTGAGGTTTATAGTAAAAGGAGTGCACATTTGTCATTTTTGGGATGTGTGGGGAAGAAAAAGGAAAGGCACCCAAGCTTCTTCATTGACCATTTCAGCTGGAGCATGAAGGCCATGTTTAAGATGGATGCCACTATAGCAGTTTCCTCCTCATTAATCGCAACCACCAGTGACCTGATGCTTAAGGAAAAGATTCTCCAAGATACCCTCAGTGCCTAAGCCACCTTGGCTAAAAGAAACATTGTTCTAAGTGTTTGCTGGATTTTTTTCATCAAGGCATTTCTGTATAGGATTAACTTGGTCAACAAACGTTTGGAAACTTTTCCGAGACAATTGCCTTTGAAATGGAAGTGAAAAAGAAATAAAATCAGATTTGCAAATAAGTGAGGATGTTATTATGGACTTTATGAAATAGCACATGATTTTCCACAGAACAGTCCCTCTCACCTCCACAACCTAAGGTTATGGCTGCTCAAGAACATTTTTTTCACCCCAACTCTGACATGGGGTTGTGTTCTCTTTACATTACTGAGGGTTGGGGAGAGGAAGGGAAGTGGCAGATGCCTCTTGTCTCAATCCCATGGAGTATAACACATGATGAGGTTCTGATTCTGCTAAAGCGCATCACCCACTCAGTTGTACTGTTTGTCAGCTACACCCTGAAATACTTCCTCCAACTTCCCAACTTGCCCAGAGAATATCTGATCTGTGTAACTCAGAAGTTACACAGATGAGGTAATGTGGAAGTGCTCTAAAAATTCATGTGGGTAACATGCTGGGATTTTTTGTCTGTTTCTGATTGCAGTACAACATATACATAGTAAGGAGCATAAAGATTAAATAAATTAATAAATTTTTACTGTGTACATGCCCATGTAAACACCACCCAAATAAATACACAGAACTTTTCTATTACCCCAGCAGGCTCCCTCACGCCCCTTCCCAGTCAATATCGACTCCTCCCCAGATAATTACAGCACTGGCTTCTATCACTACAATTAGTTATACCTGTCCTTGAAATTCACATAAATTTGAATCATACAAGATGCGCTCTTCTGTTTCTGGTTTCTCTTGATAACTATAATGTCTGTGATAGTTATCCATTATGTTTTGTGTAGCAACATTTGTTAATTACTATTGTTGTGTAGTATCCTATTGTATGGATATACCACAATTTATATATTTTTCTTGGCAAACATTGGACTGCTTTTAATTTGAGGCCATTATAAATTGAGTTGCTATACTATGGTCAATGGATTTTTTAAAGAATGCCAAGAAAATTCAATGAGAAAAAAAATCTTTTCAAAGAAGGGTGTTGGGGAAACTGGATATCCACATGCAAAAGAATCAAATCGGACCCCTACCTCATATCATATACAAAATTAACTCACAATAGACTAAATCCCCAAATGTAAGAGTTAAAACTATAAAACTCTTATAAAAGTTTTCTTACAAGAAAACATAATAATTCTGTAATTAATGTTTTTCTTATAAGAAAATATAGGTGTAAATTTTTGTGACACTGGATTAGGAAGTAGTTGCTTAGATATAACAACAAAAGCACAAGCAACAAGAGAGAAAAACAGAACAATGACATGTCAACAAAATTTAAAAATTAAAAATGTTTGTGCTTCAAAGGACACCATCAAGAAAGTGAAAAGACAATCCACATAATAGGACACAAAAATTTTCATATCACATATCTGATAAGAGACTTGTATCTAAATATATAGAAAACTCTTGCAACTCAAAAAAAGATAGATAATTTAAAAATGAGTAGAGAATTTGAATAGATATCACTCTAAGACTTACAAATGGCCCATAAACACATGAAAAGATGGTCGGTGTTATCAGCAACAAAGGGAATGAAAATGAAAACCACAATAAAACAGCACTTTATATCCACTACCAAAAAAAAAAAAAAAAAAAAAAAATAGCCGGCCAGGCACGGTGGCTCACGCCTGTAATCCCAGCACTTTGGGAGGCCGAGGCAGGTGGATCACCTGAGGTCAAGAGTTCAAGACTAGCCTGGCCAATATGGTGAAACCCTGAATCTACTAAAAATACAAAAATTAGCCGGGGATGGTGGCAGGCACCTGTAATCCCAGCTACTTGGGAGGCTGAGGCAGGAGAATTGCTTGAACCCGGGAGGCAGAGGTTGCAGTGAGCCGAGATCGTGCCATTGCACTCCAGCCTGGGGGAGAAGGATGTGGAGAAACTGGAACCCTTGTGTATTGCTGGCGAGAATACAAAATGATGCAGCCCCTTTGGAAATTAATTTTGCAGTTCCTCAAAATGTTAAACATCATGTTACAACATGACCCAGCAATTTCACTCCTAAGTGTAAATACCCAAAAGAATTGAAAACATGTGTTCATACAAAAACCTGTAAACAAATGTTCCTAGCAGCATTATTTATAATAGCCAAAAAGTGGGGAAAATCCACATGTTCATCAACTGATAAATGGTAAACAAAATGTGGTTTATCCATACAATGAAAATTATTCAGTCAGAGAAAAGAATGATGTGCTTAACATGTGCAATAACATGAATGAACGTTGAAAACATTATGCTAAATAAAAGAAGCTAGACACAAAAGGACAAATGTTGTATGATTCTATTTACATGAAATGTCCAGAATAGGCAATCAATCATAAACTAGCTTTAGTGGATATCAGGGCCTGGGGAGAAAGGGAAATGGGAAGTGACTGCTGAATAGGTATGTTTCTTTCTAGGGTCATGAAAATGCCCTGGAATTAGACAGTGGTGACGGTCGTGTGACTTTGTGAATATGCTAAAACTAGTGAATTATACACTTTAAAAAGGTAAATCTTATAGTATGTGAATTATATCTCATTTTAAAAGATGGTTCTTTAGCTTTATTTAATACTTTGAATTTATTATTCCAATAGGATATTGCTTAAGTTAGCCCCCCAAAAAATGTTAAAGCTGCTATGAATATTTTTACACAGGCCTCCAAATATAATTTGATTCATCCAACTTCTCACCCAAACTTATCCAAGTATGTGTTGTATATACCTTGATTGTGTTTACAAGGGCCAACAAGTGGCAATATGACTAGAATTATTCCCTTATTTTGCCTGTCTGTCATGTGGCTGCTCTTCCCACCCATCTCCCTGTCCTGATTCCTCAAAAAATAATGTAGACGATTAAGAATGCAAGCAGACAGGGAAGAGGAGAAACAATACAGCTGACATCAATAGTAATCCCCAAATTAGCTCATCATGCCCTGAATAATTGATGTTGGCCAAGTTTCTGCTGGATGTGAGGTACCCAGGCTGCTGGGGGTGCAGCTGCTCCTTGCTGCAGCTTGTGGCTGCTGCTCTTCTCAACTTGCACACATGCCTGTGGGGTGAAACATGCTCTCTCTATGTAGTATGGGTAGGCAGGAAAGAAGGACAAGTCTAAATTAAGAACTCAGTACTTCAGGATATTTGCTTTGCCTGGACAGTGCAGGAGGTGTGGGATTAAAAACGATGAAGAAGACAGCAGATGGTCTCCATGCCTTGCCCATTCCTCTACTGCGAGCCCATCTATCCACCCACATGCACAAGACAGAATCAAAGAAGTTGCTCAACGTAGCCTTGAGAACACTGCTTTCTTGAAAATCAAGCTTCTAAACTGTACAGTGCCATCATTTCCAGATGCCTGGCCTGTAATTCAAATGTTGCTTTACCTTTTGGTGTTGGCACTCAGCCTTTCCCTTTTCTGAACTGACCCAAGGCCACTTCTATCCAAGGTTTATCTTGTTTATAACCTCCTTCCAAACTATCAAACATCATATCTTCCTTCTGCCCCACTATTTGTAAAGTTTGCATTTCCTGTTTTAGCTCAGCATAGTGAATGGTCCTAGTCCCAGCTCTGCCATCAGGAGAATATCCCTTCCCAATGCTGGAATCAAGTTCTCCATTCATACCACGAGGGAGTTGGTTTGGCTAATCTCTTAGACCAGTGGTTCTCAGTCTTGGTTGCACCTTGGGAGTGCCAAAAAATAGTGACACCTGGGTCCCTCCCCTAAGATTCTGTTGTAGTTAGTCAAAAATGTGGCATGAGCACGCTACATTTTACAGTTCACCAAGTGATTCTCATGTGCAGTCAATGTTGAAAATCACAGTTTTAAGGGCTCTTTTCTTTTAGTTCTGACCTTGTCTGTTTCACCTGAAAATAAAATGCAGTCAGAAAAAAAGGTTTTTCTGTATCTCTCCCCCATATTCAGAGAGAATCTGTTGAGGGAGAAACCCAAGGTCTATCCATTTTTTTCTAGGGAGAATAGAAAATAAAGATAAAGGGGATAAAACATGTTAGATCATGTCATTTCCAGCCTCAAAAGCCATTGATGGCTCCCTCTTTCACTCATAATATCACATAAGTCCTACACAGTTTTGGATATAACTTAAAAAATGAATGGGTATGTAAAAACATAAAATATACACAGTGATGTATGGCATATAATAAAGAGCTCATATTTTAAAAAATTAAGTTCTTATAATGGCCAATAGAGACCTTAGATGATACGCCTACCTCAATTTCCCCCATTATTTATTGACCTTAAGTTCTACTACTCTTTTCCTTATTGTCTTCACTCCACCCATGCTGGCCTCCTTGTTGAACTTCAAACTAACCAGAAATGCCTTCATCTTAAGGCCTTCACATCTGCTGTTCCCTCAAGCAGGAATGTTCTTCCCCAGATACCTGCATGGCTACTTCCCTCATCTTCTTCAGTTCTTTGTTCATATACAGTCTTCTTAGTCAGGCTTCCCTGACCACTCTCTCAAATTTTCACCTTCTTTCCAGAATTCCTATCCCCGTTTCCAGTTTTATTCTTTTCCATAGCACATATGACCTTATGACATATCATAAATCTTATGTACTTTATTGCTTTTTCTTCCCCAGTTAGAATGTAAATGCTATGAGGCCATGGTACGTATTGTGTTTGCTACTTCATCATCAGTGCTTACAATAGTGCCTGGCACACAGTAGGCATTAAACAAATATTTGTTGAATGATAAAATGGTGAAAATCTACAGAATACTGGGAATACTCTCCTGTCTGAGTAAAAGGTTTCATAGTTTATAAAGGATTTTACATCGATTAGCTCAACAGATCACCATCACATCCCTAGGAGGAAGCTAGGGATTGTTATCAAAAATTAATAAATTTGGGCAGGTGCAGTGGCTCCCGCCTGGAATACCGGCCCTTTCAGAGGCCTAGATGGGTAGATCACATGAGGTCAGGAGTTCAAGACCAGCCTAGCCAACAAGATGAAACCTCAATTCTACTAAAAATACAAAATTGAGCTAGGTGTGGTTGCATGCACCTGTAATTCCATCTACTTGGGAGACTGAGGTACAAGAATTGCTTGAACCCAGGAGGCTGAGTTTGCTGTAAACCAAGATTGTGCCACTGCACTCCAGCCTGGGCAACAGAGCAAGACTCTGTCTCAAATAAATAAATGAATAAATACATTAAAGAAGAAGATCACATGATGAGGAAGGAACAGACAGATCTGAGATCTTGCTCAAGATCTCAGTAAAGAAGTAGAGCTGGGGGATCATCATGGCAGACGGGAGGCAGGACTAGATTGCAATTCCAACTCAGATGGACAGAGCAGTGTGAGGAGGTTTGCATCGTGCATTTTAGCTCCAGGACGACTGCAAGAACAAACCAGGGATCTCGAGAGGACCTACAGACACTCTTAGGAAGTGGACTGCTCCTGCAGGACCCAGGAGACACTCCAAATACTTTGAGCACTCCAACAGCAGAAGTGGGAAAGGGAGATCCTCCATTCCTTAACACACACCCACACTGGGGAAACACTTAACACACTGGGGAAACACACTGGGGAAAGTCTAATTTGCAGGAGAAGTTTCTGACTTTACCTGGAGCTGAGTCAATTTAGAGAGCTGAGCAAAATACAGGGGTAGAGGAAGCAGCGGGAAAAGCCCCGGGAGTTTGCTGGGTCCCCAAGCAGGCCTGGAACCACAGGGAACCTTCAGAAGGGTCGCCAGAGGCACAGGGGAAAATGCCACGGGGAAAAGGAAGTCTCCAGCTGAACTTTGTAACAATTTGAACCAGAAGAGAAGCATCCTGGCCAGAACTTGGGGTAGGGCATGAATCTGGTGTGGAGACTCTAAAGGAGTGGGAAGAACCAAAGCCCTTTTATTTCACAGCTGGGAGGTGGGTAACCTGGGGCAGGTTCTCAAGCCCTACTCACCCATTGCCTGGAAACAGACTTGGGACTGTTATGGGAGCACAGTGGGAGTGAGACTGGCCCTTTGGATTGCATGGGAGCTGGGTGAGGCCTGTGACTGCCAGCTTTGACCCACTTCCCTGACCACCTGCATGACTCAGCAGAAGCAGCCATAATCCTCCTAGGTACACAACTCCATGGATCTGGGAACCTCACCCCCACCCACACAGCAGCCACAGCAAGACCTATCCAAGGAGAGTCTGAGCTCAGACATGCTTAGCTCTACCCCCACCTGATGGGCCTTCCCTACCCACCATGGTAGCTGAAGACAAAGGGCATATACTCTTGGGAGTTCTAGGGCCCCGTGTACTACTGGTTCCTCTCCATACTACCAAAGCTGATGCTCTCTGAAAAGCACCACCTCCTGGCAGGAGGCCAACCACCACAAAAATAGAACATTAAACCACCAAAGCTAAGAACTGTCACAGAGAACATTTCATCCCTTGACACCTCCACCGGAACAGGTGCTGGTATCTACAGCTGATAGACCAATAGATGGTTCACATCACAGGACTCTGTGCAGACAACCCCCAGTACCAGCCCAAAGCCGGATAGACTTGGTGGGTGGCTAGACTCAGAAGAGATATAAAAATCACTGCTGCTTGGCTCACAGGAAGCCACATCCATAGGTAAAGGGGGAGAGTACTACATCAAGGGAACACCCCATGGGACAAAAGAATCTGAACAACAGCCTTCAGCCCTAGACCTTCCCACTGACAGAGCCTACGCAAATGAGAAAGAACCAAAAAAACAACTCTGGTAATATGAAAAAACAAGGCTCTTTAACACCCCCCAAAAATCACACTAGCTCACCAGCAATGGATCCAAACCAAGATAAAATCTCTGATTTACCTGAAAAAGAATTCAGGAGATTAGTTATTAAGCGAATCAGGGAGGCAACAGAGAAAGGTGAAGCCCAATGCAAGGAAATCTAAAAAATGATACAAGAAGTGAAGGGAGAAATATTCAAGGAAATAGATACCATAAAGAAAAAACAATAAAAACTTCAGGAAACAATGGACAAACTTTTAGAAATGCAAAATGCTCTGGAAAGTTCAGCAATAGAATTGAACAAATAGAAGAAAGAAATTCACGACTCAAAGACAAGGTCTTCAAATTAACCCAATCCAACAAAGACAAAGAAAAAACAGAATAAGAAAATATGAACAAAGACTCCAAGAAGTCTGGGATTATATTAAACAATGAAACCTAAGAATAATCAGTGTTTCTGAGGAAGAAGAGAAATCTAAAATTTTGGAAAACATATTTGTGGCAATAACAGAAAAACTTCCCTGGCCTTGGTAGAGATCTAGACATCCAAATACAAGAAGCACAAAGAACACCTGGGAAATTCATCTCAAAAAAAATCATTGCCTAGGCACATTGTCTTCAGGTTATCTAAAGTTAACACAAAGGAAAGAATCTTAAGATCTGTGAGACTGGAAAGGAAAGGAAGAGGAGGGAAGGGGAGGGGAGGGGAGGGGAGAGGAGGACAGGGGACAGGAGGAGAGGAGAGGGGAGGGGAGGGGAGGGAAAGTGTAAAAGCACCAGGTAACCCACCAAGGAAAACCCATCAGATTAACAGCAAATTTCTCAGCAGAAACCCTACAAGCTGGTAGAAATTTGGGCCCTATATTCAGCCTCCTAAAAATATACAACTATCAGCCAGGAATTTTGTATCCACTGAAAGTAAGCATCATATATGAAGGAAAGATACAGTCTTCTTCAGACAAACAAATGCTGAGAGAATTCACCACTACCAAACCACCACTACAAGAACTGCTAAAAGGAGCTCTAAATCTTGAAACAAATTCTGGAAACACATAAAAATAGAACCTCTTTAAAGCATAAATCACACAGGACCTATCAAACAAAAACAAAATTTAAAAATAACAAAAAAGCAAGATACACAGGCAACAAATAGCACAATGAATGCAATGGTACCTCACATCTCAATACTAACATTGAATGTAAATGGCCTAAATGCTCCACTTAAGAAATACAGAACTGCAGAAAGGATAAAAACTCACCAACAAATTATCTGCTGCCTTCAGGACAATCACCCAACACATAAGGACTCACATAACCTTAAAGAAAAGGGATGGAAAAAGGCATTTCATGCAAATGGACACCAAAAGTGAGCAGAGGTAACTATTCTTATATCAGACAAAACAAACTTTAAAGCAACAACACTTAAAAGAGACAAAGAGGGACATTATATCATCATACAAGTCCTTGTCCAACAGGAAAATATCACAATCCTAAACATATATGCAAATAATACCAGAGCTCCCAAATTTATAAAACAATTACTAACAGACCTAAGAAGTGAGACAGACAGCAACACAATAATAGTGGCGAACTTCAATATTCTACTGACAGCAGAGATAGACAGCAACACAATAATAGTGGTGGAGTTCAATACTCTACTGACAGCACTAGACAGGTCATCAAGAGACAAAGTCAACAAAGAAACAATAGATCTAACCTATACCGTGGAATAAATGGAATTAACAGATATATACAGAACATTTCAACCAACAACCGCAGAATACACATCCTATTCAACAGTGCATGGAACTTTCTCCAAGATAGGCCGTATGATAGGGCTCAAAATGAGCCTCCATAAATTTAAGAAAACTGAAATTATATCAAGCACTCTGTCAGACCAAAATGGAATAAAACTGGAAATCAACTCAAAAAGGAACCTTCAAAACCATGCAGATACATGGAAATTATATAACCTGCTCCTGAATGATCACTGGGTCAAATACAAAATCAAGATGGAAATTAAAAAAATTCTTAGAACTGAATGACAATAACAACACAACCTATCAAAAGGACACAGCAAAGGTGGTGCTAAGAGGAAAGTTCATAGCCTTAAACACCTATATGGAAATGACTAAAAGAGCACAAACTGACATTCTAAGGTTGTGCCTCAAGGAACTAGAGAAACAAGAACAAACCAAACCCAAACCCAGCAGAAGAAAGGAAATAACCAAGATCAGAGCAGAACTAAATGAAATTGAAACAACAACAAAAAAAAACACACGAAAGATAAATAAAACAAAAAGCTGGTTCTTTGAAAAGACAAATAAAATTGATAGACCATTAGCAAGATTAACCAAGAAAAGAAGTCAGAAAATCCAAATAACCTCATTAAGAAACAAAATGGGAGACATTAGGACTGACACCACTGAAATACAAAAGGTCATTTCAGGCTACTATGAACATCATTACACACATAAAGTAGAAAACCTAGAAGAGATGGATAAATTCCTGGAAAAATACACCCCCCCAGCTTAAATCAGGAAGAATTATATATCCTGAACAGACCAATAACAGGCAGAGATACTGAAATGGTAATTAAAACATTACCAAAAAAAAAAAAAAATCCAGGATCAGATGGATTCACAACTGATTTCTAGAAGACATTCAAAGAACAATTGGTACCAATCCTTTTGGCACTATTCCACAAGATAGAGAAAGAGGGAAGCCACCCTAATTCATTCTATGAAGCCAGCATCACCCTAATACCTAAACCAGGAAAGGACATAACCAAAACAGAAAACTACAGACTAATATCCCTGATGAACATAGATACTAAAATCCTAACACAATACTAGCTAACTGAATTCAACAACATATCAAAAAGATAATCCACCATGATCAAGTGGGTTTCATACCAGGGACGCAGGGATGGTTTAACATACACAAGGCAATAAATGTGATATACCCCATAAACAGAATTTAAAACAAAAATCACATGATCATCTCATTAGATGAAGAAAAAGCATTCAACAAAGTCTAGCATCCCTTTATGATTAAAACTCTCAACAAAACCAGCATACAACAGACATACCTCAATGTAATGAAAGCCATCTATGACAAACCCATAGCCAACATAATACTGAATGGGGAAAAGTTAAAAGCATTCCCTCTGAGGACTGGAATAAGACAAGCATGCCCACTCTCACCACTCCTCTTCAACATAGTACTGGAAGTCCTCGCCAGAGCAACCAGGCAAGAGAAAGAAATAAAGGGCATCCAAACTGGTAAAGAGGAAGTCAAACTGTCACTATTTGCTGACCATATGATCATTTACCTTGGAAACCCTAAAGACTCCCTCAGAAAGCTCCTAGAACTGATAAAATAACTCAACGAAGTTTCCAGATACAAGACTAAAGTACAGAATTCAGTAGCTCTCCTATACACCAACAGTGACAAAGTGGAGAATCAAATCAACAACTCAACCCCTTTTACAACAGTTGCAAAAAATAATTAAATACTTAGGAATATATCTAACCATGGACGCAAAAAACCTCTACAAGGAAAACTACACAACAGTGCTGAAAGAAATCATAGACGATACAAACAAATGGAAACATCCCATGCTCATGGATGGGTAGAAACAATATTGTGAAAATGACCATACTGCCAAAAGCAATCTAGAAATTCAACACAATTCACATCAAAATACCACCATCATTCTTCACAGAATTACAAAAAAAAAATCTAAAATTCATGTGGAACCAAAAAAGAGCCCACATAACCAAAACAAGACTATGCAAAAAGAACAAATCTGGAGGCATCACACTACCTGATTTCAAACTATACTATAAGGCCATAGTCACCAAAACAGCATGGTACTGGTATATAAATAGGCACATAGACCAATGGAACGAAATCAAAAACCCAGAAATAACCCCAAATACTTGCAGCCAACTGATCTTTGACAAAGCAAACAAAAACATAAAGTGGGAAAAGGACACCATTTTCAACAAATGGTGCTGGGATAATTAGCAAGCCACATGTAGGAGAACGAAACTGGAATGTCATCTCTCACATTACACACAAATCAATTCAAGATAGATTAAGGACTTAAATCTAAGACCCGAATCTATAAAAGTTCTAGAAGATAACATTGAAAAAACCCTTCGAGACATTGGCTTAGGCAATGATTTCATGACCAAGAACCCAAAAGCAAATGCAATAAAAACAAAGATAAATAGCCGGGACCTAATTAAACTAAAGAGCTTTTGCATGGCAAAAGAATCAGTCAGCAGAGTAAACAGACAAACCACAGGGTGGGAGAAAATCTGCACAATATATACATCTGACAAAGGACTAATATCCAGAATCCACAATGAACTCAAAAAAATCAGGTAGAAAAATCAAACAATCCCACCAAAACGTGGGCTAAGGACATAAATAGACAATTTTCAAAAAAGATATACAAATGGCCAACAAACATATGAAAAAATGCTCAACATCTCTAATGATTGGGGAAATGCAAATCAAAACCACAATTTAATACCTCCTCACTCTTGCAAAAATGGCCATAATCCAAAAATAAATAAAAACAGTAGATGTTGGTGTGGATGTCGTGAACAGGCAACACTTCTACACTGCTGGTGGAAATGTAAACTAGTACAGCTGCTATGGAAAACAGTGTGGATATTCCTTAAAGAACTAAAAAGAATCATATATATATATACACACACACACACACACACACACACACAAACACACGTATATATATATACACACACGTATGTGTATGCATATATACATATATACACACACATGTACATGTGTGTATATACGTACATATATACACGTATGTGTGTATACATACATATATACACGTATGTGTGTATGTACATAAAAACACACGTTTGTGTGTATATATACATATACACACACATGTGTGTATATGTATATATACACATATATATTGATGAGATTCGAGACTATTATTCTTAGTGAAGTAACTCATGAATGGAAAACCAAACACTGTATGTTCCCACTGATATGTGGGAGCTAAGCTATGAGGATGCAAAGGCATAAGAATGACACAATGGACTTTGGGGACTTGGAGGGAAGGCAGTGAAGGGGGGCGAGGGATAAAATACTACAAATAGTGTGCAGTGTATACTGCTCAGGTGATGGATGCACCAAAATCTCACAAAACACCACTAAATAACATATCCATGCAACCAAATACCACCTGTATCCCAATAACCTATGGAATTTTTTTTAATTAATAGATTAAAAAATACTGAGGCTCAGAGGGAAAATATACAACTATCTTTATTTGGCTAGCAAAAAGCAAGGCAGAACCCAAAGGTCATTTAGAAGCTATGAGTCTGGCACACTTTTCAAGGCAGTATTGAACTCTAAAATAGAGAATGGAGGTCCTCCCAGTCTTCACTGAAATTTTTTCTTCAGTGATATTTCAGGATGGGCAAAAAAGCATTTTATTAATGTTAACCTGAGTGCATTTTAAATAATGGTTTGATAGGGTTACTGCCCAAGCTTTAGGAGACAAGGGCCAGGTCAAAGGTGGTTACAATAGGAACAGAGAGGAATGATGGTGGGAGATACAAACCTTACAAAGTGAAGACAAACAGAATGACCAGAGTTAGAGATTCTGGGAGTTTCTGCCTGGGAAACCAGAAGAATCTAAGTGCCATGAGAAGCGTGAAAGGAGCGCAGCTTGGTAAAAGAAAAGAAAATGCACTGTTTTTCAATTATTTTCAGTATAGAGAAGTTGAAGGGGACAGAGGAACATTTCAGTGGTCATGCCCAACAAGCATATACAATATGTAAAATATAAGTTGAAGTTGGAGATGTGTCAAATGCATAAAAACACCAGAATAACAGTTCTTGCTTATGGCTGCACATCAGAATCATATGGAGCACTGAAAAAAAAATCCTACGCTCTAGATTAATTAAATAAAAACCTCTGGGGTTGGAATAACCACTGGCCGAAGTAAATCATGGCAGAAGTTAAATCATGGGTAAAGAAGAATGGCTGGATGCAGTGGCTCCTGCCGGTAATCCCAGCACTTTGGGAGGTCGAGGCAGGTGGATCACTTGAGGTCAGGACTTCAAGACCAGTCTGGCCAACATGGCGAAAAACTGTATCTACTAAAAGTACAAAAATTAGCCAGGCGTGGTGGTGCATGCCTGTAGTCCCAGCTACTCGGGAGGCTGAGGCAGGAGAATCGCTTGAACCCTGGAGGCAGAGGTTGCAGTGAGCCGAGATTGTGCCACTGTACTGCAGCCTGGGTGACAGATTCTCAAACAAAGAAGAAGAAGAAGAAGCAGGAGGAGGAGGAGGAGGAGGGTGAGGAGGAGGAGAAGGGAAGAAGGAAGAAAGAAGGAAGAAGGAAGGAAGAAGAAAGAGGAAGAAGAACCAAACATTGAGGGTCACTCATACTTGAAGCTGGAAGAGGAGGAATACATGACAGCAACGAAGAAGGGGAAGCCAGAGAAGAAAAAAAAAAAAAAGAACCTTGATAGAGTAGAATAGGACAAAGCTTTAAGAAGTAAGGGATGAGTAATGTGTCAGCTATTGATACTGGGACGTGGAGGAGGCCAGGACTGAGGATGTGTCATTTTTATTTTATTTCATGGGCATGTGATAAAAGTAAATTATCTTTTTGTGTTTAAGTATACTAAAATCTGTGCCTGGAATAGACATAATGTAGAGACCACAGGTGGGTACTACAGTTTTTAATGGGCTACTTTCAACATTTCCAAAGTGGCTGAAGAATTTTAACTGTTAGTGATAGCAACATCTGGCCCAGCAATGTCAGGAATAGTATATCAACAGAGGAGAATGAACCTGCGCAAAATTAAAGAAGTCTCATCTATTCTCCTTTGTCTTTTATTCTAGCGCACAGAGCAAGAGGTAAAGCCCCAGCTGGGGAAGAAAAAGAAAAAAAAATCCTTACTAAAAGCTGTTGTCATTGTACAGACAAAATTAATAACCAACTGAACTGGGCTACTTCCACTTGGCCAAAAGTAAATGCTAACCATATGAGTCAATTGTTTTGCCTTCAAAACATGCGTACGTGCACAAAGACAACAAACAAAGCACAAACCTCAAAAGACAAATACAACTTAGCAGACTGTAAATTAAAAATATAAATATTTGGTTAGTGTTTGGCAACTGCTGAAAAATAATTGTTAAACGAATGGGGAAAAGAGACTGTGTAGCCAAGAATACAAAGATACCATTATAAAAGAAATAGGATGAAATTAAGAACAGCAAACTCTAGGCTGATTTTGAGGGAAAACGTTCTTCTACTGACTGCTAAAATACTCTTCCCAAGTGGGAGCAAAAGCACAGAAACTACCCTGGATTATGTTCAAGGGTAAAATGAGATAATGTATGTGAGAGTGCTGTGGAAACTCCAGATTGTGCTACGTATGTGAGGAGTTGCTATGATTGTTGTTACTATCCCACCCAGAGCTGGGGAACAAAGGGTATTGGAGACAAGCCCCAAGCCAGACCGGCACTCAGCTAACACCTGAAACCTCTTGCTTTGCTCTGCTGTTATCCTAGCCAAAGTGAGTCACTGGTCATGTACCAATCACCACAAGATTCCATAAAATTACGGTATAATAAAAAAATTAGTTACTCAACCAGCAGTACTGGAAGGGGAGATAAGCTGACTTCCCAAGAAGGCTTTTGGCTGAGTTGTCCCAGTTGGGTATTGAATTCATGGTATGATTTATTTGCAGGATTGGGACTGGATAAAACTCAGTCAAGTACTCCAATTTCTGATTTCTATTAAGTTTGTTGGTCTTGCCCCACACTCCCTCCACCCTGTCCCATTTACCAAGCAATCTGGAATAGCTGTATCTGAAGATGTCAACAAGAACAGTCTCTTTTTTTTTCCCATGGCAATCAAGTACTCCATCCCATCCTCATAGGCCTGGGAATAAAATATCCTAAAGGAGCAGAGATACAAACCAGTGGGCATTTACAAGCCCAACCCAGGTCCACATCCTTAACAAAGGACTGGAAGAATACAATGAGAACTATAGAATGAGGCATGTCTGTACAAAATGAAATGCTGCTGCCAAAATATTTCTTCATTTTTTCTTTAGATGTCCAAGAAAAGGGAGAAAGGTATAGTACTTTGTGAGGTTGTGGAGGGAAGGTGAGACTGATAACAAGAAGCCTATGACCTCATATGTAAATGCACATTCTTTGAGACCATTTTTAGACTCTGACAATCTTAGAGTCAAAGGGAGGTTTAAAATTAATCTTAGTCCCAGTGGCCTTTTGCCCAGTAAAGAAATACCATCCAGCTCTACTTGAAGTCCTTTAGTAACAGGCACCTCAGTACTCATAAGACAGCACATTCCATCATTTGTTTTTTTTTTCCTCCTCTTTGGCAACCAGTTAAAACTTCAAGCTATCAGATAATTGAAAACATATAGTCATGGGATCCTAAAAGTATTATTCAGGACAACTTAACCCCATTCCCTGATGATCTAAGATGAGGAAACTAATGCTCAGAAAAGGGATAGAATTTTCCCAAAGTCACACAGTGGTCAATGGTAGAGCTAAAAGTAGAATTCAAGTCTGCATATTCAGGGCCCAGTGGCTTCTCTACTTCCCATATACGAAGAAAGGAGTTGGCCCAGCTTTAGGACCAATTACTCAGTGACTATACTACCAAGGCTCCAGCTTCTTTTTCCTAACTCCCACAGCCCAATAATGGCTCATTTTATCCTCAACAGAAACAATTCCAAAGGGTGGGCTGGGTCATGGAGAGGTGGATCGTAGAAGGGAAGAAGTAATGCCCACTCTTTTTGGCTTAACCACAACGGTGACTAACAATCTCCTGGAAGTAGGACATCTCAGTGTCTGATTCCACCATATATTACATGGAAAATCCTTTATTTTTGAGAATAGCATGATGTCTTTTGGTGGTGTTTGGAAGATATAATAACTGTTGTCATCCCAAGATAGGGAGAATTAATTTCTGGTCACTCAGCAACCACTTGATGAGTACTTTCTATGCTAGGCATTCTATTAGAACTTAGTGGCAAGAGAAAAAAACAGAGGTGAATAAACCATATTCTCCAAATTTAGGAGATTGCAGTCTGGTGGGGAACATAGAAAATATATACAGTAAACTCTAATCCAAGACAAAGTATAGCCATCCTCATATCTATGTTCACAAAATAATAGTAGTCGTATTTTACATACTGATGGTGAAACTTACCCATATCTTTCCTGTTAAGCTCCCAAGAAGAGAATACACGGGTGGAGCTAGTTTCTAGAAAGAAAGCAGTGAAAAGCAGCTTCTGCTTCAATATGAAGCTTCAGCACTGAGGAATGGCTCCAAAAGATGACTCACTCTCTGCAGGAAGCATTCAAGTGGAGAAGGTCAAGAAGACATCTAAAGAAAGGAATTCTCTCAAAGAGGGAATAACTGGTATAAGGTAATTGGAGGATCCCTCTTTTTTTTGACTCATTCTTTAGTGCCAGAGTTGGCGTAATTGCCCAGCTATCTATCACCTTAAACCCTAACAGCTGTGGAAAATGAAAAGCCATACTGAACTTGGAGTAAGAAAAATGTGTCTTGCAGTTCTGGCACAGATGCTTACTAACTAAATGATCTCTAGCAAGTTTCATTTTCTCTAGGCCTGTTTGGCCACCTGTATAATATATATAAATAAATCTGCAATTCCCTCATTTGGGGATAAGGAATCAGTGGGATGATGGATTTGAAAGTATTTAGCACATAGTGGAAAAAATGATTTATATTCTTTAATTTTTTTTTGAGATAGGGTCTCACTTTGTTGCCCAGGCTGGAGTGTAGTGGCATGATCATAGCTCACTGCAGCCTCAAACTCCTGGGCTCAGGAGATTCTCCTGCCTCAGCCTCCCAAGTAGCGGGCACTACAAGTGCCCAGCACCCAGTGCCCAGCTATTTAAAAAAATTTATATAGACAGGGTCTCTCCATGTTTCCCAGGCTAATCTTGAACTCCTGGGCTCAAGCCCTCCTCTCGCCTATGCCTCCTAAAGTGCTGGGATTACAGGAATGAGCCACCCTTCCTGACCAGAAAAAAATAATTTAAAAAATAATAAATTACAAGGAATTTTGTCACATTTACCCATCCTGTTCCTTTTGCAGTATTCCTCATCACTATGAAGACATACTCATACCCCAATTTATATACTTCAAAACCACAGAGTCATATTTGACTTGATACCATGCCAGATAAGAAATGATACAATTATCTGAGCTGTTTGACCTGGGAGCAGAAGATGCAGGGGGATCTGATCTCTGGTCTTCAGATCTCTGAAAAACTGTCATGGAAGAAAAAGAACAGACTGCTCTAGGTGGCCTCAGGGAGAATGACTAGGATATCCAGGTACAAGCTTTAGGAAAACTAAGTTCAGCTTAGCAAAAGGAAGAACTTTTAACAGTCCAAGGCTTTCCCTGAAGACAGTGGGCTCTCTCAGGAAGCAGTAAGGAACCTCCCTCTAGAAGTGTTCAAGCAGAAACTGGCAAGGATGTTTTAATGTGGAATCCATTAGGGTAAAGGAAAATTACAATTCATGAAATTCTACTTGTCAGGCACTGTGCTAGACCCTTGGCAGGAAATATATCTTTTAATCCTCCCAATAACACCATGATGTGAGTACTGTTATCCCTCTTTTTCAGGTTAGAAAGCTGAGGCTCAAAGAATTTGACTACTTCTCATTGGGCTTACTACTGGCATGGTGGGTGGGAGGAACAATTATTTGTTGCATCTGTTTGGCATTAAATGCAGTAGTACCTCAGACTGTGTGTAAAACACACACACACACACACACACACACACCCCACATACTTCTAAATGTCTTGTGGAAATACCGATCCTAGTTGGGAATGTCAAGTACATAATATGCTTAGGATCACAAACAGCAGATAAATAGCAGACCCAGGACTTGAAAATAGCTGTGTCTAGCTCAGAAGGTACATACTCTTTCTATTGCGTTATCCACAGAAGTGAGATGGGAATGCACAACCTTGTAAGGTCTAAGCCAACCCGAAAAGATTCTGATTTTCTCATTCTTCCTTTTTCAATTCCATATAATGTATCAACTACAAAGTTCTGTAGATTCAACTTTTGTGATGGCTTGTTAAATTCATCACCTCCTTTCTATTCCCACAGCCACGACCTCAGTTCCAGGGCCTTGTTCCCTCTCTGCCCCTAGTTTATCCCCCTCTTGTGTTTTCCTATTCCAATCCAGCTGACTAACCTTTTACCAGATTACTCTTCCTAAAGCAGAGGATCTGACGTTTTTTTTAAGCTCAAAAACTTTCAATGGCTTTCCATTGTCTGCTAAATCAAATCAAAACTCTAGCATCCACTGTCTTTTGCAGTTTACCACCAATCTGCCTTGGCAAGTTTAACTTCCAATTTTCCGCTAATCGTACTCTAAAATCCAGCTCAGCTGGTGTTCTTTTCATATGCCCTGAGCTTCCCTGCCTTAAAGCAGTTGTTCCTATTTTCTCTGCTTAAACTGTCTTCTCTATCTCCACCTGTTGAAATCTTATCTGTGTGCCACAGTCTATCTTAAATAATAATAGTTAATATTTATTGAGTGTTTATTTTGGGCCAGCCACTGTGCTAAGTGTGTGCAAGTATTTTATATGGATTATCTCATCTAATCCTCACAACAGCCCCATGAGGTGGGTGCTATTATTATCCACTTTAGCCTGAAGTTAACAGAAACTCAGAAAGGGAGAAGTAATTTTATTTGTCCATGGTAACACAAGTTAAATGGTGAGCATGGGATCTGAACTCAAATAGTCTAGCTCTGGAGCCCTGAAAGGCGTTACAATTTCAAAAAAAGAATAAAAAAAAACCTTTTTCTGATTTCGTATGGTTCAACTTGATACAATCCTTACTTGGCAGCCTCTAAGCATTTTTATTTAACTTTTAAAACCTCTCTTGTGTTATATTAATATTTATCCGTGTTTTTATATCCAGGATGAGACTGTCAGGCCCCAGTGGGCACAGCCTAGGTCTCAGACAGACATCTCACTGTCTCACACATGGTGGCACAGACTAGCTCAGTGAGTCTGCGGAGTTGAAGGTATGTTGGGGTGAAGAAAAGAACAGAGGAGTTATCTAGGGAAGATGTTCCAAACTCTCCTGCCCCAGCCACCCAGCATGACATTGGCCAACGCTGCCAACACCTGTCTAAGTCAGACCCTGAAGTCTCTGTTTTCCTAGCCTGGTCTCTGGCGGGTCCCTTCTTGTCCCCCAGTTCTTGCAGCTTGCTGGGTCTTGGCCAGTGTTTGGAGTGAGGCAGGATCAAAATAACACTGCCCGGGGCTCAGCTTCCAGGAATGAGAGATCAAGTGAAACCAAGCTCGGCGGGTGAGGGGGTGGATTGAAAGCCCCCAAACAGAGCCAGCATGCTCTTTACACAAGCCCTGACTTGCCCTCAAGCCACGCGGGTTAGCAGTTCTGCTTTCCTCAGGATGCTCCACAAGTCTGATCCACTGTCCCCGCCTTCACTAACACCCAGCCTCCTTCTCTTCTTTATCTCCCAACCCTAGATGCTCAAGGTTGTTGGACACGTCCAGGCATGTTCTCAGAGGCAATGCAGGTCCAGTAAGAGCCTACAGGAAATGGCTCGCCAAGATCCTAGAGATGTCAGCCCAGATCCCTGATACCTCAGAAAGCGCTCTCCGGACACAAATGGATGGACTGACAGCCAGCCACAGGGCGCCTTCCCAATTGTTCTGATTTTGCGGTACCCTAGCAGGATCATCCTGACCTGATTCTGTACTTCTGCACCTAGATGCCGCAGGTCCCAGCCGCCTTGCCACACCAGGGGGTGTTCCCACACTCACCCGGTAACGGACGAGTAGATGGCTCTTGCTCCCAAATGGGACTCCGGTACAAATCCACCTCAGCGCAGAGCACACATCTCACCCAGCCCCCTCCCGTCACCCCCCGCCCTTCACCCCGCGCCCCTCAGCCCCCGCCCCTCAGACCCGCCCATCAGCCCCGCCCCTCAGCCCCCGCCCCTCAGCCCCCAGCCTGCATACACACTCACAGTATATGAAATTCCTTGTAATCAAAGTTCCGCTTGACTCATTTCACATCCACGTGTAGCAACAACAGCCCAAACCCTCCTTTCACGGTAAGCTTACCTCTTCCGCCCCCGTGAAGTTCCTAGAGCAGCTATTGGACTGTTTGAGTGCCTAGGCGTGGCTACGAAAAGAAACTGCCTTTGAGAGGAACAATGTGAGGCTGAAGAACAGTGACCCAGCCACTGGTATGGCAGGAGCTGCAAATCTCCTGGGACTGAAGCGGGGGCCAGAGAGTAGAGGGCCAGGGAGTGGGGTCCAGAGAAAGCATCAAGTTGTCTCTTTCACAGCTGAATGCAGCTCAGCTCATCAAAGTTTATTCATGACTTAGCAGGCTTGGAGTTTGACAGGGAAAATTATTGTTGGAAAAGCCAAAATTTTCAGACACATGGAGAAGCCGCTTTCCAGCTCTGCATCTGCCTCAAAAAAATACTCCTCCATTCAGAAGGGTAGATAGGATTGTGACAGGAGGAAGAGAGCAGACATGAAGCAGGGAAAAGACCACTAAAAATAAAGGAAAATTGGATTCGGCACTCAGCTTTGATCATCCATCTTCTCTGGGCCCCTGAGTGTCTGTACAAGGAGGGGGTTGAGCTACGTAGTCTCTAAGGGCACTTCAAACAATGACACTTTGGGAGTTTATTAATCCATGATCTCAGAGGCAGCGGTGGATAAATCCCGAAACGTTACTAGTCCCTGACCTTGAAGAGTTTGCAGAGCTGGGAAGATAAAGTAGACCGGACAGAGACAGAGAATTAAGGGCCAAACTATGAGGTGCAGACTGGAAGGGTTTGGGGGCCAGTAGGAAGAAGGAGTAAAAAAGAGTCTGACAAGGAAAGCAAATGCTTTTCAATAGATTAGGAGCTTTTAAAAGAGGTCAAAGAGGAAATAGCCTAATGGGTAGAGGAAAAGAAAAGCTTGAGCCAAGGTATGGGGGAGAGGACCAAGAAATGAGCCATTATCAGTCTCTGAGGGACCCCTCCTGTACTGGGCAGAGGCTATATGCCAGCTCAGGGTGGAGTCTCAGTAAAGCAGCTGAAAAGCCTTTGGTGGGAAAGGGCTGAATAGGCCCTAAGCTGAAGTAGAAAAAGTCCTAAATGAACTTCATATCTGTCCCCTAGCTAGAGTTAAGACCAGAATAGGCTACTGTGGGCTCAGGCCTAGTAGAAGGGAAAACTGCCAGAATTGGAATCCTAGGTCTGCCCCTTACTAGCTTTGTGACCTAAGGCAAGTTACTTAACCACTCTGTGGCTCAGGATTCTCTTCTGTAAAGTGGGGAAAATAACAATCCCTTACTCATAGGATTGTTTTAGGTATTATATGAGTTAATATACAAAATAGTGTTCATATGCGTAAGGAGCTTAGAATGATTTCTGGGACGTAGTGGTATAGAAGTGTTTATTAAATATAAATAAATACATGAATGCAATTTAGGGACCTCTGAAATCATCTGTGAGATTCAAATGAAAATAGCTACCCTGGGTACCTCCTAATTCTGTTCTGTCCTTTCCTAGAAAACAGGACCTCTTCTTTTTCTCCATCCTTTCCTACCCAGAGAAGCTGAATTACAGACAGTTTTGAAACTTTAGTGTAAAGAACCCTAGCTTGGAATTTAGATGTCTTGACAAAACTAAGTGTAACATCATGTAAATCTCTTCCTCTCTCTTAGTTTTCCTTTCTGCATCTGTATCCTGAAGAGACTGTTGGACTGGATGACCTTGAAACGCTAGAGCCGTGCTTCTCTCATATTAATGTGCACACAAATCACCTAAGGATCTTGTTAAAACACAGATTCTGAGTTAGCAGCTGTGGTGTGGGACTAAGACTCTGATTTTCTAACTGCTTCCAGGTGATATTGATGGTGCTGGGCCACAGACCATAGTTTTAGTAGCAAAGGTTTAGAAGGTGGACAAGAATAACATTTACTGAGCACCTATAAATCATGCATATGTGTCCCTTTATACCTTACAACCATTCTATGAGGTTGAGGTTACCATCCTCATTTTGTAGATGAAGAGGCTCCTTGTACTCTGTGATTCTGCCTGGAAGTACAGGAGGAAACTTGAGATAGAGGTACCAGGGATATGTCAGAGTCCACAAGCTATTGTGGAAAGTGATTATAAGCAGCAAATATGAAACCACTGTCCTCCACCATAACTTGTCCAATAATACTATAACAGTTAGCTGGCCCTCACTAAGCACTTGCCAGGCACTGCTCAAATTTTTTTCATGAATTAATTCATTTTATCTTCATAATCTATGAAGCCACAATCATTAGAATTATCCTCCCCTCTCCTTTTGCTCACACCTCACATTCAACCCATCAGCACATCCTATCAGCTCTGCCTCCTGCCTCAGAGATAAACTCTGAATTTCACCAACTTCTTAGCACCTTCACTGCAACCACTCTGGTGCAAGCCACGATTACTTTTCACCTGAATTATTGCCATATCCTCCAATAGCTCTCCTTGCTCTCATGCTTACCCCACTCCAGTCAATTCTCAGCAGAGCAACCAGAATGATCCTTTTAAAAGTACATCAGTCTAAGTCTGTCCAAGCAATTCTACTGGTTGGCTTCTTATTCAGCAGAAAACCCAAAATCCTTAACTATGGTCTATAATAGTCTACAATCTATCCCACGCCATCCCATCCTCACTAACCTGCCCCTCTATCTCTGATCTCACCTCTTACCACTCGCCTTGACCACCATACCCAACCCCAACTGGCGGCCTTGATATTTTTTCCAACACTCAAAGCATGCTCAAGACTCTGGTCTTTGCACTTGCTGCTCCTTCAGCCTAGCCAATTCTTCCCCCAGATATCAGCATGGCTCCTTTTCTCACTTCCTCCATATCCCTGCTTAAATGTCACTTTATCAAAGTGGACTTTCTTGAATACCCTAGCTAGTACAAGCTAATGGGATTGCCTAGGCCTTTTGAAATCCACTGGGTAGGTGAGCTTTTTCTCAACATAGCCCCAGGACCCCCGGTGCAGTGTGGTGGTGAGTAGGGTTAAGGCTCTCAACTCTGCTCTCTGTGGGGGAGCCACTCTAGCTCCATGTGCTTGTGCAGCAGAACTAAGTTTGGATCAGCTAATTTCTTGGGGGCTTTCCACAGCCCCTCCTTTTATGATAAACAGGAGTCACTTTGTGAACCCAAACTGAGAACTATCAGTACAGAGTTTCTCTACCTACATTCTACTGCTGGAACCAGCCTAACCTGACAGCAGGATAGGCAGGACCAGCCTCCACTCTGCTTATCTCTGGGACCAGACAGATTCTGGGGCTCAGTGAGATTCAGGGCTCTCTGATGCCACCCCTCAGCTCTCTCTCAGAGGTTACTTAGGGTCACTCAGGGGAATACTGGCCTTGGCTGTGTCTCAGAGAATCCTGGGTAGCCTCTAATTCTAGTGTCCAACAATGGCAGGACCACCTTTCATGAAGGAGCTTCATGGTTATCCAGGCAGAATGGGGCCCTTATAGCTCCTCTCAAGACTGGGACCAGGGGGCAGGAAAAGAAGCTGAAAGACTAAGGGGATGCTGAGGCCTGTGGGGCAACCCCTGTAAACTCAAACATTGCTAAGGATGTCCCTGAACACAATATCAGCTTCTTGTTCTCTTTAGCCTGTGAGATGTGTGTAGATAAACTTGGCCATAAATGTTTGCTGCAGTGGTGTATACAGGCTTAGGTCTTCTGAATTAGAAAGCTGGGGTATAAGAGTTACTTCTAGCCATGGGAATTTTCAAACTTCAGCTAGATTCTAGCACAGTCCAATAGTGTTATCTCTCATTTTAAATAATCTTCTATTCCACTTGCCCAAGATGGCTTTTAAAACTCACTCTTCTTAAGTCAAGTGCTCAACACAGCTCCCAAACCCCTAGCAGATGACTTCACCTCCAGTTTCACCGAGAATGTAAAAGGGCACGAAACTTGAAGTCTAAACAACTTCTGACATCTCCACATTCAAGTTCATCCTGTTTCTTACCTCAGAGTTTCCTCCTGTCCCTCCTGTCTCCATCTGTGTTTACTCCTGTCTATTCCATTTTGCTTTATTTGTATCTTCATGGTCTTTCTTCCTCTGGCTCTTTCTCCTAAATTGTCTTTCCATTCTGAACTAAGATTAATTCTTTTCATATCCTCACCTCCACCTCTTCATTTCCAAACTCACTACATTTTGCTCTTCTCAAGGTCACCCATGATTTTCATACTATCAAACCCATGGATTCTTCTGTTTTCTTATTTGAATTATCTAAAACATCCAACATTGTCTGGATTCTTTTCTTTCTGACTCTCTTCCCTTGACTTTCATGGAACTAATGTCTTCTAGTTTCACTTATTTCTCTACAGCATTTTATGGATTCTCATTCTCCACTTGCCCCTCAAGTGCAGGGATTTTACAGAGTTCCTCCCACCCTCCATTGTCCCTCTGGCCTGATTCTAACTTCTCTCACTGGAGTGTGAACCTATGTGGCAGGGACCTTATATACCATTTCACAAATTTCCACATGCAAAACTGTACCTAGAGTATTTTAAGCGCTCAATACATTTTTACATATTATATATATCAATATATCTGTTGAATAAGCCCAAGGAGAAAAATGTTCACATTTGAATGTATCCTTCTATAATGAGCTCCCAGGCCTCAGGTGTGCCACAATAAAAATAAGATGGCTAAAAAGGAATTGAAACCCACACCCAAAATAATAATAATAGCCAACACTTGATCAATGCTTGATGAACTCTATATGTCAGGCCCTATGCCAAATGTTCTGTATGCAATAGCTCATTTAATCATCACAATAATCCTATGAGGCAAAAACCATGACATCACTCCTATTTTATAGATGACAAAATTGAGGCACAGAAACGATAGGTGACTTATCTATGCCATCTATCAGTGCCACAACCAATAAGTGGCAATTGACCCAGGATTCTCAAGAATAGCTGATGCCTTAATTATTCACTGTCACACTCAAATGTACAATCCTTGCTTTCCCTTCCAATCAGAGGCTCCTTCCATCCTCTCTGAAGAGCTATTCTAAACCTCTACCTTTAGAAGTAAAGGTTAAGTTCCTACTTTAGCACTGAATTCTTAGCCCAGAAACATTGACTCTTTTCTTCTTCATCAATAAAACAGATTCTATTAGGCATTTAGTGCCTATAACTTCTTCCCTAATTCCTATAAGGTTCTCTCTGTCTTCATTCATCTTGGCCTTTCCTCTTGAAGAAGAGGAGAGAATGCCTCCCCTGATATTTATGAATCTTTCTCCATCAATTACCCCCACTCTCTATGGCATCATTATTTACCTGTCTTCTGTGCCTACCCCTTTAACTCGTAAACATATTTGAATTCCTCCCACTACAAAATAAAATCAACCCTTCTACCACATTTCCTCTTTCTCAAACAACAGCCTCGTCTCATTTTTTTTCTTAGCCAAATTTCTGGATAGAGTTTTCTCTAATAACTGTTTCCATGACTTTAATTTCCATTAGCTCCCCAACCTACTATAATCTGGCTTCTAGCCCCATTTGTTCTCCCTAAAGCTACAGGGGACCACTTAACTGCCAAATTTTAGGAAACATTTTCTCTCATCTTTTTTTTTCTTTTTTTTATTATACTTTAAGTTTCAGGGTACATGTGCACAACATGCAGGTTTGTTACATATGTATACATGTGCCATGTTGGTGTGCTGCACCCATTAACTCATCATTTACATTAGGTGTATCTCCTAATGCTATCCCTCCCTCCTTCCCCCACCCCACAACAGGCCCCGGGTGTGATGTTCCCCTTCCCGTGTCCAAGTGTTCTCATTGTTCAATTCCCACCTATGAGTGAGAACACGTGGTGTTTGGTTTTTTGTCCTTGCGATAGTTTGCTAAGAATGATGGTTTCCAGCTTCATCCATGTCCCTACAAAGGACATGAACTCATCATTTTTTATGGCTGCATAGTATTCCATGGTGTATATGTGCCACATTTTCTTAATCCAGTCTATCATTGTTGGACATTTGGGTTGGTTCCAAGCCTTTGCTACTGTGAATAGTGCTGCAATAAACATACGTGTGCATGTGTCTTTATAGCAGCATGATTTATGCACCTTTGGGTATACATGCAGTAATGGGATGGCTGGGTCAAATGGTATTTCTGGTACTAGATCCCGGAGGAATAGCCACACTGACTTTCACAATGGTTGAACTACTTTACAGTCCCACCAACAGTGTAAAAGTGTCCCCATTTCTCCACATCCTCTCCAGCACCTGTTGTTTCCTAACTTTTTAGTGATCGCCCTTCTAACTGGTGTGAGATGGTATCTCATTGTGGTTTTGATTTGCATTTCTCTGATGGCCAGTGATGATGAGCATTTTTTCATGCCTCTGTTGGCTGCATAAATGTCTTCTTTTCAGAAATGTCTATTCATATCCTTCGCCCATTGTTGATGGGGTTGTCTGATTTTTCTTGTAAATTTGTTTGAGTTCATTGTAGATTCTGGATATTAGGCCTTTGTCAGATGAGTAGATTGCAAAAATTTTCTCCCATTCTGTAGGTTGCCTGTTCACTCTGATGGAAGTTGCTTTTGCTGTGCAGAAGCTCTTTAGTTTAATTATATCCCATTTGTCAAATTTGGCTTTTGTTGCCATTGCTTTTGGTGTTTTAGACATGAAGTCCTTGTCCATGCCTATGTCCTGAATGGTATTGCCTAGGTTTTCTTCTAGGGTTTTTATGGTTTTAGGTTTAACATTTAAGTCTTTAATCCGTCTTGAATTAATTTTTGTATAAGGTGTAAGGAAGAGGTCCAGTTTCAGCTTTCCACATATGGCTAGCCAGTTTTCCCAGCACCATTTATTAAACAGGGAATCCTTTCCCCATTTCTTGTTTTTATCAGGTTTGTCAAAGATCAGATAATTATAGATGTGTCGTATTATTTCTGAGGGCTCTGTTCTATTCCATTGGTCTATATCTCTGTTTTGGTACCAGTACCATGCTGTTTTGGTTACTGTAGCCTTGTAGTACAGTTTGAAGTCAGGTAGCATGATGCCTGCAGCTTTCTTCTTTGGCTTAGGATTGACTTGGCAATGTGGGCTCTTTTTTGGTTCCATATGAACTTTAAAGTAGTTTTTTCCAATTCTGTGAAGAAAGTCATTGGTAGCTTGATGGGGATGGCATTGAATCTATGAATTACCTTGGGCAGTATGGCCATTTTCATGATATTGATTCTTTCTATCCATGAGCATGGAATGTTCTTCCATGTGTTTGTATCCTCTTTTATTTCGTTGAGCAGTGGTTTGTAGTTCTCCTTGAAGAGGTCCTTCACATCCCTTGTAAGTTGGATTCCTAGGTATTTTATTCTCTTTGAAGCAATTGTGAATGGGAGTTCACTCATGATTTGGCTCTCTGTTTGTCTGTTATTGGTGTATAAGAATGCTTGTGATTTTTGCACATTGATTTTGTATCCTGAGACTTTGCTGAAGTTGCTTATCAGCTTAAGGAGATTTTGGGCTGAGACAATGGGGTTTTCTAGATATACAATCATGTCATCTGCAAACAGGGACAATTTGACTTCCTCTTTTCCTAATTGAATACCCTTTATTTCCTTCTCCTGCCTAATTGCCCTGGCCAGAACTTCCAACACTATGTTGAATAGGAGTGGTGAGAGAGGGTATCCCTGTCTTGTGCTGATTTTCAAAGGGAATGCTTCCAGTTTTTGCCTATTCAGTATGATATTGGCTGTGGGTTTGTCATAAATAGCTCTTATTATTTTGAGATACATCCCATCAATACCTAATTTATTGAGAGTTTTTAGCATGAAGGGGTGTTGAATTTTGTCAAAGGCCTTTTCTGCATCTATTGAGATAATCATGTGGCTTTTGTCGTTGGTTCTATTTATATGCTGGATTATGTTTATTGATTTGCATATGTTGAACCAGCCTTGCATCCCAGGGATGAAGCCCACTTGACCATGGTGGATAAGCTTTTTGATGTGTTGTTGGATTTGGTTTGCCAGTATTTTATTGAGGATTTTTGCATCAATGTTCATCAAGGAAATTGGTCTAAAATTCTCTTTTTTGGTTTTGTCTCTGACAGGCTTTGGTATCAGGATGATGCTGGCCTCATAAAGTGAGTTAGGGAGGATTCCCTCTTTTTCTATTCATTGGAATAGTTTCAGAAGGAATGGTACCAGCTCCTCTTTGTACCTCTGGTAGAATTCGGCTGTAAATCCATCTGGTCCTGGACTTTTTTTGGTTGGTAAGCTATCAATTATTGCCTCAATTAAGAACCTGTTATTGGTCTATTCAGAGATTCAACTTCTTCCTTGTTTAGTGTTGGGAGGGTGTATGTGTTGAGGAATTTATGCATTTCTTCTAGATTTTATAGTTTATTTGCGTACAGGTATTTATAGTATGCTCTGATGGTAGTTTGTATTTCTGTGGGATCGGTGGTGATCTCCCTTTTATCACTTTTTATTACATCTGTTTGATTCTTCTCGTTTCTTCTTTTTTAGTCCTGCTAGCAGTCTATTAATTTTGTTGATCTTTTCAAAAAACCAGCTCCTGGATTCATTGGTTTCTTTGAAGCTTTTTTTGTGTCTCTATCTCCTTCAGTTCTGCTCTGATCTTAGTTATTTCTTGCCTTCTGCTAGCTTTTGAATGTGTTTCCTCTTGCTTCTCTAGTTCTTTTAATTGTGATGTTAGGGTGTCAATTTTAGATCTTTTCTGCTTTCTCTTGTGGGCATTTAGTGGTATAAATTTCCCTCTACAAACTGCTTTAAATGTGTCCCAGAGATTCTGGTACGTTGTGTCTTTGTTCTCGTTGGTTTCAAAGAACATCTTTATTTCTGCCTTCATTTCGTTATGTACCCAGTAGTCATTCAGGAGCAGGTTGTTCAGTTTCCATGTAGTTGAGCGCCTTTGAGTGTGTTTCTTAATCCTGAGTTCTAGTTTGATTGCACTGTGGTCTGAGAGACAGTTGGTTATAATTTCTGTTCTTTTACATTTGCTGAGGAGTGCTTTACTTCCAACTATGCCGTCAATTTTGGAATAAGTGCGGTGTGGTGCTGAGAAGAATGTATATTCTGTTGATTTGGGTTGCAGAATTCTGTAGATGTCTATGAGGTCCACTTGGTGCAGAGCTGAGTTCAATTCCTGGATATCCTTGTTAACTTTCTGTCTCGTTGGTCTGTCTTTTGTTTAAATTTGGGTGTTAAAGTCTCCCATTATTATTGTGTAGGAGTCTAAGTCTCTTTGTAGGTCTCTAAGGGCTTGCTTTATGAATCTGGGTGCTCCTGTATTGGATGCATATATATTTAAGATAGTTAGCTCTTCTTGTTGAATTTATCCCTTTACCATTGTGTAATGGCCTTCTTTGTCTCTTCTGATCTTTGTTGGTTTAAAGTCTGTTTTATCAGAGACTAGGAATACAACCCCTGCCTTTTTTTTGTTTTCCATTTGCTTGGTAGATCTTCCTCCATCCCTTTATTTTATGCCTATGTGTGTCTCTGCACGTGAGATGGGTTTCCTGAATACAGCACACTGAGGGGTCTTGACTCTTTATCCAATTTGCCAGTCTGTGTCTTTTAATTGGAGGATTTAGCCCATTTGTATTTAAGGTTTATATTGTTATGTGTGAATTTGATCCTGTCATTATGATGTTAGCTGGTTATTTTGCTCGTTAGTTGATGCAGTTTCTTCCTTGCCTCAATGGTCTTTACAATTTGGCGTGTTTTTGCAGTGGCTGGTACCAGTTGTTCCTTTCCATGTTTAGTGCTTCCTTCAGGAGCTCTTTTAGGGCAGGCCTGGTGGTGACAAAATCTCTTAGCATTTGGTTGTCTGTAAAGGATTTTATTTCTCCTTCACTTATGAAGCATAGTTTGGCTGGATATGAAATTCTGGATTGAAAATTTTTTTCTTTAAGAATGTTGAATATTGGCCCCCACTCTCTTCTGGCTTATAGAGTTTCTGCTGAGAGATCAGCTGTTAGCCTGATGGGCTTCCCCTTGTGGGTAACCCAACCTTTCTCTCTGGCTGCCCTTAAAATTTTTTCCTTCATTTCAACTGTGGTGAATCTGACAATTATGTGTCTTGGAGTTGCTCTTCTCGAGGAGTATCTTTGTGGCATTCTCTGTATTTCCTGAATTTGAATGTTGGCCTGCCTTGCTAGATTGGGGAAGTTCTCCTGGATAATATCCTGCAGAGTGTTTTCCAACTTGGTTCCATTCTCCCCATCACTTTCAGGTACACCAATCAGATGTAGATTTGGTCTTTTCACATAGTCCCATATTTCTTGGAGGCTTTGTTCATTTCCTTTTTCTCTAAACTTCTCTTCTCACTTTATTTCATTCATTTGATCTTCCATCACTGATACCCTTTCTTCCAGTTTATCGAATTGGCTACTGAGGCTTGTGCATTCATCATGTAGTTCTTGTGCCATTGTTTTAAGCTCCATCAGGTCCTTTAAGGACTTCTCTGCATTGGTTATTGTAGTTAGCCATTTGCCTAATCTTTTTTCAAGGTTTTTAACTTCTTTGCGATGGGGTTGACCTTCCTCCTTTAGCTCGGAGAAGTTTCATCCTCTGAAGCCTTCTTCTCTCAACTTGTCAAAGTCATTCTCCATCCAGCTTTGTTCCGTTGCTGGTGAGGAGCTGCTTTCCTTTGTAGGAGGAGAGGGGCTCTGATTTTTAGAATTTTCAGCTTTTCTGCTCTGTTTTTTCCCCATCTTTGTGGTTTTATCTACCTTTGGTCTTTGATGATGGTAACGCACAGATGGGGTTTTGGTGTGGATGTCCTTTCTGTTTGTTAGTTTTCCTTCTAACAAACAGTCAGGACCCTCAGCTGCAAGTCTGTGGAGTTTGCCAGAGGTCCACTCCAGACCCTGTTTTCCTGGGAATCAGCAGCAGAGGCTGCGGAACAGCAGATATTGGTGAACAGCAAATGTTGCTGCCTGATCGTTCCTCTGGAAGTTTTGTCTCAGAGTGGTACCTGTCCGTGTGGGGTGTCAGTCTGCCCCTACTGGGGGGTGCCTCCCAGTTAGGCTAATTGGGGGTCAGGGACCCACTTCAGGAGGCAGTCTGTCCATTCTCAGATCTCAAGCTGCGTTCTGGGAGAACAACTAGTGTCTTCGAATCTCAGTTGGAAATGCAGAAATCATCCATCTTCTTTGTCGCTCATGCCGGGAGCTGTAGACTGGAGCTGTTCCTATTCGGCCATGTTGGAACTGCCCGACTTGCTTTTTTCACTCGTCTTCTTACTTGATTTATCCACAGCTTTTTCCAGTAGTGGTCACTCTTTTCTTGGAAAACACTATTTCTAATGTTGAAAAAAGAATCCTGTCCCCTAGCTTCCTTCTATTTTTCTTTTTCTTTTCATTTATTTATTTTTTTATTTTTAAAATTAATATTTTTCCATAAGTTATTGGGGTACAGGTGGTATTTGGTTACATGAGTACTTTCCTTATCATTACTTCCCCTTATTGTCTGCTCTCACCTTACTCAAATCACTTCAAATGTAGTTCTGACTCAGACAAGTAGCCAAACCCTCTATGCCTACTCTATACCTTAGCAGGCCTATGCTCAGAAGCTCAGCACACACTGACCAGAAGGCTCTGCAATAATGACTATTCTACACATGTATTTGTTAATAATATTACTTTAAAGTAATGTGGGATATAACCCTTTAAAGTCCTGTATACATGTACCTCATTCAATCTTTATAATCACAGGAAAGTGGAATTACTCTTATTGTAGCAATTTACTAATTGGAAAGGGCAGAATTGCTGTCTGTTGGATGTGCACTATATACAGGCACTATACTAGGTAATTTATGTAAGTTATTTCACTAACCCTTCCAGAGCAGCTCCATAATTAGCTCCATTTTTAAAAGTGAAACAAGTAAACATATAAAACATTAAGTGGGAGTGACAGCAGCAACATTGTTGGATAGAACTTTTCAGCACTCATCCTCTTGTAGAAACATCAGTTTGAAAAACAATCCATAGCCTGAGCAACAAAGCGAGACCCCAATCTCTACAAAAAAAAAAAAAAGTAATTAGCCTATTGTCATGGTATGAGCCTGTGGTATCAGCTACTTGAAAGGCTGAGGTGGGAGGATTGCTTGAGCCCAGGAGTTTAAAGCTGCAGTGAGCTATAGATGATGCCACTGCATTCCAACCTGGGTGATCAGAGCAAAACTCTCTTAAAAACCAAAACAAACAAGCAACACAAACAATGACAATTACAAAAAATAAAACTATCCATGAACAAAAATATGTTCACAAGAGTAAAGGAATCCAGGCGAGAGATTATAGCACCTGGACATAGCACAGAAATAAGAAAAGACACATCAAAGAGGGAAGGAAAGAAAGTTTTATGTTATCCATATTATCCCTCCCCCATGTCTCGGCAAAAACCATGACATTGCTCCTATTTTATACATGAGAAAATTGAGGCACATAAATGATAGGTAAATTATCCATACTAATATATCTGGCCTAGTTACCAGGCTCACCACAGCTATAGGCCAGTCCCTATATATTGAGGTTCCAGGCCCCTCCCATACTCTGGAGAAGCCCCAGCACCAGGCTAGTCCCCACAGCATTAGACTCCATGCTGGCATCCACAGACCCAGCCTCCAGGCCTGCTAGAGTGTCAGAACAAAACTGACAGACCCCACCTCCAGTTTGGCTTACATGGCACTAGGCATGAGGCCAGCATGCACACACCAAGGCTCTATGCTAGTATTCATGGCCCCACACTCCAGTGGACCCCGAGACCAGACCTGCTTCAGTAGGCCCCAGCACCAGGCCAGCCTATGGCCTTAGGCTGCAGAATTACCCCCCACAGCCCCAGGATCCAGGCTTAGCCCACAGACTCATCCTTCAGGCCCAGACACATACTAGGCTTGCTCCCACAGATCCAGCATCCAGGCCAACCCCTATAGACCTAGCTTCCAGGCCACCAACTGCAGACTTAGAATCTAGTATGCCACCTGCAGACCCAGGATAGAGGCCTGCTACAGTGAACCCAGGCTCCAGGCCCTTTGCTGTGGATAAATGATAACAGGAAAACAATACTTCAAAAAAATGAAACATTTGACAAAGAGATAGAAAGCATAAAAGGGAACCAAATAGAAATTCTGGAGCACAATGACTGAACTAAAAATTTCTAGAGAAAGCTGGAAATAACAGGCTCAATAACACAGAAAAATAAAGCAGTGACCACAAGACAGATTATTTGAAATTGCCCACTCAAAAGCAACAGTAACAAAAATAAAAGAAAAAGGTGATGAAAGCATGTGGGACTTATGGGATACCATCAAGGAAACCAGTATGCAGTTAGCACTCCATATATGCAAGTTCAGCATCCAGATTATCAACTAACCACAGATCAAAAATATGTTTTAAAACCCAATAACAATAAAATAATACAAATTTTAAAATACAGTATAACAGGTATTTACATAGAATTTACATAATATTACATATTATGCTTACATCTAGAGATGATTTAAAGTATACATGAATAGATATGTGAAGGTTATATGCAAATAGTACACAATTTTATGTAAGATGTATATTCTAAGTCTCATGGTAACTACATAAAAAGCGAATATTAGATACACAGATGATAAAGAGAAAACAAAACATACTGGTAAAAGTCATCAAATCACAAAGACAGACAGCAAGAGAGGAACAGATGAACAAAAGAATTACAAAAGAGACAGAAAACACAATGGCAGTGGTAAGTTCTTAGTATCAAAAATTACTTAAAATGAAAATAGATTCAATTTTCCAATAAAAAGGAATAAAGTGACTAAATAGAAAAACAAGATCCAACTTATGTTTTCTACAAGAGTCACAGTTCAGCTTGAAGGATGCAGATAGGCTGAAAGTGACAGTATGGAAAAACATACTTCATACAATGGGTAATCACAAAGAGCAGGGATATGTCTACTAATATCAAACAAAATAGAGATTTTAAGTCCAAACTGTGACAAAAGACAAAAAAGCATTATATAATGATAAAGGGGACAATTCATCAAGAAGGCATAGCAATTAATTGTAAATACATATGCAACCAGCATGACAGCAACTAAATATATAAAGCAAATATTAACAGAGCTGAAGGAAGACTATTTTGCATTTCTGCAAAAATGCAAATGCAAAAATAGTAGCAAATGCAAAATACAGTAGAGAACTTCAAAACCACATGTTCAACAATGGATAGATCATCTGGACAGAAAATCAATAAGAAAACAGTGGATTTGAACAACTGGCTCAACACACATGTACAGAACATTCCATCCAACAGCAGCAGAATACACATTCTATTCAGCACACACAGAACACTCTCCAGAATAGACCATATGTCCAGCCACAAACAATTCTTAATAAAACATTTAAGAAGATTAAATCACATCAAGTATTTTTTTTTCTGAACACAATGGAATAAGACTAAATAAACATCAACAAGATGAAAATGAGAAAATTCACTAATAAGTTGAAATTAAACCACTAACTTCTGAACAATTAGTGGGTCCAAAAAAGGAAAATAAAAGTCTTAAGAAAAATGAAAATGGAAACAAAACATAACAAAACATTTATGCAGCAGAAAAGTAATTTTAAGAAGGGCATTTATAGCAATGTAAGCCAACAATAGGGAATAAGAAAGATCTCAAATAATCAACCTAACCTGAGACTTCAAGGAACTAGAGAAAGAAGAAAAAATGAAGCTCAACTTCAGCAGAATAAAGAAAATAACACAGAACACAGCAGAAATAAATAAGATAGATACAAGGAAAAGCAATAGAAAAGATTAATGTAACTAAGAGTTGCTTTTTTGAAAAAGATAAACTAAATTGACAAACCTTTAGCTAGATTGAGATAAGAGAGAATAAACAAGCAAAATTACAAATTAAAGACACGACATTAAAACTAACGCCATGGACATAAAAATGGCCATAAAAGATTACTATGAAAAACTATATGCCAAGAAACTGGATAAACTTGAAAAAAATGGTTAAATTCCTACAAACATACAGCCTATCAAGACTAAACCATTGAGAAATATGAAATCTGAACAAATCAAAAATGGATAAAAATATCGAATTAGTAATCCAAAACCTCCCAAGAATGAAAAGCTCAGAACTTGATAGCTTCACTGGTTAACTCCATCAAACATTTAAAGAAGAATTAAGGTCAATCCTTCTCAAATTCTTCCAAAAAATAAAATAGGAGGGGAGACTAGCAAACTCATTTTACAAGGTAGGCATCAACCTCATTCCAAAGCCAGACAAACACTCATATATATAAACCAAATATTATTATAGCTAAAGAGAGAGATAACCATAATGCAATGAAAGCTGAGACTTCAACACTCCACTTTCAGCACTGGACAGTTCTTCCAGACAGAATATCAAAAAAGAAACATGGGACTTAATCTGCACCATTGACCAAATGGACCTAAGAGATATTTACAGATCATTTTATCAAACACCTGCAGAATATACTTTTTTTCCCTTAGCACATGGATCATTCTCAAATATAGACCATCTGTTAGGCCACAAAACAAGTCTTAAAATATACAAAAACATTGAAAAAATATTAAGCATATTCTCTGACCATAATGGAAAAAATGTAGGATTTGTAACAAGATAGATTTTGGAAATTATATGAATAAATGGGAATTAACAAGTTCCTGAATGACCCATGTGCCAATGAAGAAATTAAGAAGAAATTTGAATAATTTCTTAAAAAAATGATAATGGAAATATGACATACCTATGGAATACAACAAACTGAGTAATAAAATAGAAGTTTATGATTATAAATGCCTGCACTAAAAAAGAAAGAAAACTTCAAATAAATAAACTTAAAGATGCATCTTTAAAAAATTAAAATAGCAAAAGCACATAAAGCCAAAAATTAGTAGAAGAAAATAAGTACTAAAAATCAGAGAATTAATAAATGAAATTGGACTCAAGAAGACAATAAAAAAGATTAATGAAATAAGAAGTGGTTTTTCTAAAAAAAAATTAAACAAAATTGACAAACTTTAGCCAGACTAAATAAAAAGAAAGAGAGAGAGCATTTCCAGCTAAATAAAATTAGAGATGAAAAAGGAGACATTACAACTGACACCACAGAAATTCAAAGGATTATTAGTGGCTTTTATGAGCAACTGTATGCCAATAAATTAGAAAATCTGGACAAATTTTTAGACACATGCCAGCTATCAAGATTGAACCATGAAGATATCCAAAACCAGGATAGACCAACAATAAGTAACAAGATTGAAGATGTAATAAAAAGTCTTCTTGGAAGGAAATAATACCAAACCTAGTGAACTTATTCTGAAAACTAGAAGAGGTAAGAATGCTTCCACATTTATTCTATGAGGCCAGTATTAGCCTGATGCCAAAAACAGACAATGACATATCAAAAAAGAAAACCACAGGCCACTATCACTGATGCATATTGATGGAAAAACCCTCAACCAAATATTAGCAAACTGAATTCAATAGCACATTACAAAGTTCATTCAGCATGACCAAGTAGGATTTATCCCTGGAATGCAATAATAGCTCAACATATGCAAATCAATGTAATATATTATATCAACAGAATGAAAGGCAAAAAACATTATCTTTCCAATTGATGGTGAAAAAACATTTGATAAAATTCAAATGACTTCCTGATAAAAACCCTCAAAAAACTGGAGATCAAAGTAATATACCTAAGCATAATGACACACAAATGGGAAAGACCAACAGCTAGTATCATACCGAATGGGAAAAAAATGAAAGCCTTTTCTCTAAGATCTAGAACACAAAAAGGATGTCCACTGTAACCACTGTTATTTAACATAGTACTAGAAGTCTTAGCTAGAGCTATCAAACAAGAGTAAGATATAAACGGCATCCAAATTGAAAAGTAATAAGTCAAATTATCCTTTTTTGGAGATGATGTGATATTATATTTGGAAAAAATGTACAGACTCCAAAAGAAAACTATTAGAACTGATAAACAAATTCAGCAAAGTTACAGGATACAAAATCAACGTATAGAAATAAGTAGCATGTTTATATGCCAACAGTGAACGTTGTAGAAAAGCAATTAAAAAGTCATCTCATTTATAATAGTTATGAATAAAAAGTACCTAGGAAAAAACTTAACCAAAGTAGTAAAATATATTAGCGATGAAAATTATAAAACACTGATAAAATAAATTGAAGAGGACCAAAAAATAGAAAGATATCCATGTTCATAAATTAGAAGAATCAATATTGTTAAAATGTCCATACTACCCAAGGCAATCTACAGATTTAACCCAACCACTATCAAAATATCAAGAACATTCTTCACAGAAATAGAGAAAATAATCCTGAAATTTATATGGAACCATAAAAGATGCACTATATCCAAATCTATCACAAGCATAAAGAAAAAAGCTGGAGAAATCAAATTAACTGACTAAGTTATACCACAGAGCAATAGTAACCAAAAAAGCACGGTACTGGAATAAAAATAGACACATAGACCAATGAAACAGAATAGAAAACCCAGAAATAAATCTATACACCTACAATTAACTCATTTTCAAGAAAGATTTTAAGAGCATACATTAGAATAAGGACAATCTCTTCAACAAATGGTGCTGGGAAAACTGGATATCCATATGCAGAAGAATGAAACTAGACCCCTATCTCTAGACATATACAAATCAAAATGAATGAAAGACTTAATGCTAAGACCCCAAACTATGAACCTACTACAAAAAACTTTTGGGAAACTCTCCAGGACATGGAAGTGGACAAAAACCTTTTGAGCAATATCCCACAGACACAGGCAACAAAAGAAAAATAGAAAAATGAGATCATATCAACATAAGAAGCTTCTGCACAGCAAAGGCAACAATCAACACAGTGAAGAGACAATCCACAGAATGAGAGAAAAATATTTGCAAACTACCCATTTAACAAGAGATCAACAACCAGAATATATAAGGAGCTTAAACAGTTCTATAAGAAAAAAATATAATAATATTATTTTAAAATGGGCAAAAGATCTGAATAGACATTACTCAAAAAAGACATACAAATGGCAAAGAGGTATATGAAAAGGTGCTCAACATTACTGATCATCAGGGAAACTCAAATCAAAAGTAAAATGAGATATCATTTCACCAAATGCCAGATGTGGTGGTTCACACCTGTAATCCCAGCATTTTGGGAGGCTGAGGGGGGTTGATCATCTGAGGTCAGGAGTTAGAGATCAGCCTGGACAACATGGTGAAACTCCGTCTCTACTAAAAATACAAAAAATTAACTGGACATGGTTGTGGGCGCCTATAATCCCAGCTACTCAGGAGACCGAGGCAGGAGAATTGCTTGAACCCGGGAGGCAGAGGTTGCAGTGAGCTGAGAACACACCATTGCACTCAGACTGGGTGACAAGAGCAAAACTCCGTCTCAAAAAAAAAAAAAAATTCTTTTATCCAAAAGACAAGCAATAGCATATGCTGTCAAGAATGTGAAGCAAAGGAAACCCTCATAAACTGTTGGTGGGCATGTACATTAGTAAAACTGGTATGGATAACAGTTTGGAGGTCCCATAAAAAATTAAAATAGAGTTACCATATGATCCAGCAATCCAGTGCCTAGATAAATACCCTAAAGAAAGGAAATCAGCATACTGAAGACTTATCTGCAGTCCCATGTTTTTTGCAGCATTATTCACAAAGATAAATTCTTAAAGACAATAAGGTACATATACAAAATGGAGTACTATTCAGCCACAACAGATAATGAGATACTGTCATTTGCAACAATTTGGATGGAACTGTAAGGGATTATGTTAAGTGAAACAAGGCAGGCACAGAAAGACAAACATCACTTTTCTCACTTATCTGTGGGTGCTACAAAATAGAACAATTGAATTCATGGATATAGAGTATAAGAACGGTTTACCAGAAGCTGGCCAGAGTACTTAGGGTTGGGGAAGAGATGATTAATGGGTACCAAAAAAAGTTAAAAAGAATAAATAAGACCCAGTATTTGCTAAAATAACAGGGTGGCTATAGTATAAACATGATTTAATTATACATTTTAAAATAATTTAGAGAGGTGGAGCAAGATGGTGAATTAGAAAGCTTCACATTCCATGCCCACAACAAGGACACCAAGTTAACAACTATCTACACATGAAAAAAAAAAAAAAACACCTTCCTAAGAACCAAAAATCAGGTGAGCATACTACCTAGTTTTAATTTCATGTCACTGAAAGAGGTACTGAAGAAATAGAAAAAATAGTTCTGAATTACATATACCATGCCACCACCAACCCAGGAAGCAGCAGAATGGTGTGGAGAGCATCTCTGGGTGCTGGAAGTGGGAGAACACAGAAATTGTGAGGCATGGAAGTCCGTGCTGTCCTGTAAAACAAGAAAGGAAAACCAGACAAATCTCAGATGATGCCCCCTCATGGAAGGAGCAACAGATAGTTTAAAAAGCAGGGAAATGATGTTAAGTTGTCAAAGTGTTATTAGTTTTCTTTTTGTCTGTTTGTTTGTTTATGCAAATAGTGTTAAGTTGTTATCAGGTTGAAATAATGAGTTACAAGACAGTATTTGCAATCCTCATGGTAACTTCAAACCAAAAATCATACAGTGAACACACATACACAAAGCAAGAAGCTAAAAACCATATCATCAGAAAAAAGCACCTTCACTAGAGGAAGACAGGAAGGAAAGAAAGAAGAAAGAGAAGACCACAAAACAACAAAAATAAAATAAAATGGCAGCAGTAAGTCCTTACATATCAATAATAATGTTGAGTGTAAATGGACTGAGCTCTGCAATCAAAAGACAGAGACTGACTGAATGGATAAAAAAACAAGAACCATTGATCTCTTGCCTACAAGAAACACACTTCACCTATAAAGATACACATAGACTGAAAATAAAAGGATGAAAAAGGATATTCCATGCCAATGGAAACCATAAAAGAGCAGGAGTTGCTGTACTTATATCAGACAAAATAAATTTCAAGACAAAAACTATAAGAGACAAAGAAGTTCACTGTAAAATTATAAAAGGGTAAAATCAGCAAGAGAATAGAAAAATGTTAAATATATATTCATCCAACACTGGAGCACCCAGATATATAAAGTAAATATTATTAGAGCTGAAAAAAAAGATAGGTCCCATTACAATAATACCTGGAGACTTTAACACCCCACTTTCACCATTGGACAGATCTTCAAGAGAGAAAGTAAAGAAAAATTAAACTTCATCTCTACTGTAGATCAAGTAAATTTAATAGATACTTACAGAACATTTCACCCAAGACCTGCAGAACACATATTCTTTTCCTTAGCACATAGATCTTTCTCAAGGACAGATCATATGTTAGGTCACAAAACAAGTCTTAAAACATCACAAAATTGGAATAATATTAAGCATCATCTCTGACCACAATGGGCTTAAGCTAGAAATTAACAAGAAGAATTTTGGAAACTATGCAAACATGAAATTAAGCAATATGCTCCTGAAAGGCTAGCTGGTCAATGTAGAAATTTATAAGGTAATTTAAAATTTTCTTGAAACAATGGATAATGGAAAGACAGTATACTAAAACCTGTGTGATACATCAAAAGCAGTACTATGAGGGAAATTTATAGCTAAAAGTACCTACAGCAAAAATGGAAAGACTTCAAATGAACAATCTAACAATGCATCTTAAAGTACTAGAAAAGCAAGAGAAAATCAAACCAAAATTAGTAGAAGAAAAGAAATAAAGATCATGGCAGAAATAAATGAAATTGAAATGAAAAAGGTAATACAAAATATTAATGAAACAAAAAGTTGTACTTTTAAAAAATTGACAATTGACAATCCTTTAGCCAGGCTAACTAAGAAAAAAAGAAGATTACAAATAAATAAAATCAGAAATAAAAAAGGAGACATTGCGACTGATATTGAAAAAAATGAAAGGATCATTAGTGGCTACTATGAGAAACTATACACCAATAAATTTAAAAATCTACAAAAAATGGACAAATTTCTAGATTCATGCAACCTGTCATGATTGAACCAGGAAGAAATCCAAAATGCAAACAGAGGACACAAAATCACAGAAAAATATTTTATGTTCATGGATTGGACCATCAATATTGTTAAAATGTCTGTAACACAGAAGGCAATCTACAGATTCAATGCAATCCCTATCAAAATACCAATAATATTCTTCATAGAAATTTAAAAAAATTCCAAAATGTATACAAATCCCCCCAACGCACAAAAATAGTCAAAGCTATCCTAAGCAAAAAGAACAAAACTGAAGGAATCACATTACTTGACTTCAAATTATACTACAGAGCTATAGTAACCAAAACAGCATGTTGCTGTAAAGACAGACATGTAGACCAGCAGAACAGAGTAGAAAACCCAGAGGAAAATCCACACACCTACAGCAAACTAATTTTCAAAATGGTGCCAAAAACATACACTGGGAGAAAGACAGTCTCTTCAATAAATGGTGCTGGGAAAACTGGATATCCATATGCAGAAGAATGAAACTAGATCTGTATCTCTCACCATATACAAAAATCAAATCAAAATTAATTAAAGATTTAAATCTAAGACTTCAAACTATGAAACTACTGGAATAAAACTTTGGGGAAACTCTCCAGGACATTGGTCTGGGCAGAAATTTATTGAGCAATATCCCACAAGCACAGGCAACCAAAACAAAAATGGACAAATAGGATCACATTAAGTTAACAAACTTCTGCACAGCAAAGAATACAATCAACAAAGTGAAGGGACAACCTACAGAATGGTAGAAATATTTGCAAACAGCTCATCTCACAAGGGATTAATAATTAGGATATTTAAGAAACTCCAACAGTTGTATAGGAAAAAATCTAATAATTTGATCAAAAGTTGGGCAAAAACAACTGAATAGATATTTCTCAAAAAAAGACACACAAAAGGCAAGCAGGCATATGAAAAGGTGCTCAACATTATTGCTCATCAGAGGAATGCAAATCAAAACTACACTAAGATATCATAGCACCCCAATTAAAATGGCTTCCATCCAAAAGGCAAAAACAAATGCTAGCAAAGATGTGGAGAAAAGGGAACCCTTGTACAGTATTGTTGAGAAACTATATTAGTACAACCACTATGGAGAACTCTTTGGAAGTTCCTCACAAATCTGAAATTGCACCACCATATTGATATGTTTTGACTCTGTGTTCCACCCATATCTCATGTGGAATTGGTAATCCCCACATGTCATGGGGTGGGGACCTGGTGGGAGGTGATTGGATCATGGGGGTGGATATACTGCATGCTGTTCTCATGATAGTGAGATCTCATGAGATCTGATAGTTTAAAAGTGTGGCACTCCCTGCCTTGCTCTCTCTCTTTCCTTCCACCATGTAAGACATGCCTTGCTTCCCTTTCACCTTCTATCATAATTATAAGTTTCCTGAGGCCTCCCCATCCATGCAGAACTCTGAGCCAATTAACATCTTCTCTTCATAAATTACCCAGTCTCAGGTAGTTCTTTATAGCAGTGTGAAAACGGAACTAATACACATGATCCAGCAATCCCACTACTGTATATATACCCCAAAGAAAGGAAATTGGCATATCAAAGAGACACCTGCACTTCTATATTTGTTACAGCACTGTTTACAATAGCTGATTTGGCTAACCTAAGTTTCCCCCAACAGATTAATGGATAAAGACAATGTGGTACTTACACACAATGGAGTACTATTCAGCCATAAAAAAGAATGAAATCCAGTCATTTTCAGCAACATGGATGGAACTGGAGATCATCGTGTTAAGTGAAATAAGCCAGGCACAGTAAGACAAACATTGCATGTTCTCACTTATTTGTGGGATCTAAAAATCAAAACAATTAAACTCATGGACATAGAGACTAGAAGGATGGTTACCAGAGGCTGGGAAGGGTGTTGAGCGGCTGGTGGGGAGGTGGAGTGGTTAATGGGTATAACAATATAGTTAAAAATAATGGATAAGGCCTGCTATTTGACAGTACAATAGGGTGACTATAGTCAATAATAACATAGCTGTACATTTTAAAATGAAGAGTGTAATTGGATTGTTTGTAACTCAAAGAATTAAATGCTTAAGGGGACAGATGGACTATTCTGCATTAATGTGTTTATTTCACCTTGCATGCTTGTATCAAACATCTCATGTACCCCATATACATATATACACCTACTGTGTACCCACAAACATTTGTTAAAGTAATACATAAAAAAATAACTTAAAGAGTATAATTGGATTGTTTGAAACACAGAGGAAAAATGCTTGATGTAATTGTTACACATTGCATGCCTGTATCAAAATATCTCATGTAACTCATAAATATATACACCTACTATGTACCCATGCAAAGTTTTTTAAAAATTAAAAAATGATGAAAAACAAGTGCTGGCATGAATGTTGAGAAAGAGGAATCCTTGTACACTGCAGCTGAAATGTAAATTAGTGTATAGACATTATAAAAATATGGAAATTTCTCAAATAATTAAAAATAAACTACCATGACTCAATAATCCCACTAGTTAGTATACATCTAAAAGAAATTCATTCATTACTGGCATACCTGAGAGATATTGTAGGTTCAGTTCCAGACCACTGAAACAAAGCAAAAGGAGCAATAAAGAAAGTAACACAAATGTTTTGGTTTCCTAGTGCATGTAAATGTTATATTTATGCTATAACATACTCTATTAAGAGTGTAATAGCATTATGTCTAAAAAAAGTACATAGGTTAATTTAAAAATATTTTATTTCTAAAAAATTGATTATGGTTATCTGAGCCTTTAGCAAATCATTATAATCTTTTTGCAGAGGAGGATCTCTCCTTGATGTTCATGGCTTCTGACTAATCAGAGTAATGGTTGCTGAAGGTTGGCGTGACTGTAGCAACTTCTTAAAATAAGACAACAGTGATGTTTGCCACATCAATTGACCTTTCCTTTCACAAATGATTTATCTGTAATACGTGATGCTCTTTGACAACATTTTACCCACAGTAGAACTTCCTTCAAAATTGGAGTCATCTTCTCAAACTCTGCTGCAGATTTATCAACAAAGTTTATGTAATATTCTACATTCTTTGTTGTAATTTCCATAATGTTCACAGCATCATCACCAATAGTAGATTCCATCTTAGCAAACCACTTTTTTGTGCTCATCCATAAGAAGCAATTCCTCATTCATTCAAGCTTTATCATGAGATTGCAGCAACTAAATCACATCTTCAGGCTCCACTTATGATTCTAATTCTCTTGCTTTTTCACCACATCTGCAATTACTTCCTCCACTGAAGTCTTGGAAACCTCAAAGTCATCCATGAGAGTTCTCATCAACATTTCCCAGATCCCCATTAATGTTGACATGACCTCTTCTAATGAACCACACATATTTTTAATGACATTTAGAGTGGTGAATCATCTCCAGAAGGTTTTCAATTTACTTCACCCAGATCCATCAAAGGAATCACTATCTATGGAAGCTATAGCCTATGAAATCTATGTTTTGAATAATAAGACTTGAAATTCAAAATTACCCCTTAATCTATGGGCTGAAGAATGGATATTGTGCTAACAGGCATGAAAACAACATTAATTTCCTATACATCTTCATCAGAGTTCTTGAGTGACTAGGTGCTTTGTCAATGAGCAATATTATGAACTAAATCTTTCTGAGCAGTAGGTATCCAGAGTAGGCTTAAAATATTCAGTAAATCATTCTTTAAACAGATGTGCTGTCATTCAGCTTTATTGTTCAATTTGTAGAGCACAGGCAGAGTAAATTTAGCACAAATCATAAGGTCCCTAGGATTTTAAGAATGGTAAATGAGTATTGGTTTCAATTTAAAGTCACCAACTGCATTAGTCCCTAACAAGAGAGTCAGCCTGACCTTTAAATCTTTGAAGACAGACATTGAGCTATCTCCAGCTTTGAAAGTCCTAGATGGCAACTTTTTCAATATAAGACTTTTTCATCTATATTGAAAATCTTTTGTTTACTGTAGACCCTTCGTCAATGATCTGGGTAACTTCCTTCAACTTTTACATCAGCACTTGCTGATTCATCTTGCACTTTCATGTTGTGGAGATTGCTCCTTTCCTTAAACCTCATGAACCAACCTCTGCTACCTTCCTACTTTTCTTCTGCCACTTCTTCATCTCTATCAGCCTTCATAGAATTAAAGGGAGTTAACGCTTTGCTCTAGATTAAACTCTTGCTAAAGAGAATGTTGTGGCTGATTTAATCTTCTATCCAAACCAATAAAACTTTCTGTCTATTAGCAATAAGGCTGTTTGACTTTGTTATCATTCATGTGTTCACTGGAGTAGCAATTTTAATTTAATTCATAAACTTTTTCTTTGTATTCACAACTTTACTCTTTGGCACAAGAGGCTTAGCATTTGACCTATATAAGCTTTTGACATGCCTTCCTCAGTAAGCTTAATCATATCTAGCTTTTGATTTAAGGTGAGAGACATGTGAATCTCCCTTTCACTAGAACACTTTTGGCCATTTTAGGGTTATTAATTGGCCTAAATTTCTATTTTGTTTTGTTTTGGGGGATAGAGAGGGGCAAGTAGAAGGAAAGTGACAGGGAAGTGGCCAGTGAGTAGAGCGGTCAGAACACACATTATCGATTTCATTCACTGTCATATGGGCATGGTTTGTGGTGCTCCAAAACAATTACCAGAATAATATTAAAGATAACTGATCACAGATCACAGAAGAAAAGACTTGAGAGGTTAGATGGTATAGGAAACAAATCAGTTGCCACCTTCAGGTGTTAGAGGACCTGTCATGAAGAATGGGGAGGATAAGACTTGCTTAGTGTTGCCTCAGGTAAAGGAAGGAGGACAGTTGTTTAGAATGTATAGAGATAAGACTACCCACATGGTCTCCACCAGTAACACAGTCTCCACTGGTAACACAGTGGGTGGTGTTAAAAGTTCAGTCTCCCCATCTAGCGTTCTAGAACTAAATAAAGTATACTCATGGTGGAGGAGGGGAGTTAGGGGGCACCTTGCTAGAGCCTGGCAAGGGTGAAAGTCTATGCTCCGCATCCGGCCATTGCCACAGTTGTTGTTTTTCCTCTGGTGTTTGGTTGTAGTGGAGCTGTCATTTAAAAATTTTGTGTGTTGCTGAGCTGCTACTTTGGATGGCTTTTTGGGGGGCTTTTTCTATGTCCTTTGGCATTACCACATTGTCAGATTCTCCAGTATCCAGTCTGGGATAGGTGACGCAAAAAGAAAACACAAAGAACTCACTGTGCTGTCACTCCTTAGATCTCAAAGATGCTAGTCATTCTTCCTTTCTTTCTCCACCTTTCAGTCTTCTTATCCTTGTTTTATATATAATGTCCAGAGTATTTAGCTGTACTCAGTGGGAGGAATAGAGAAAAGTATGTCTACTTATCTAACCTTTCACAAAACTGTCCATTGATCAAATGGGCAAATGAGAGAGATAACAAATTCCCTTTTATTAGAGATATTCAAACGGAATTGGGAACAATCGATTTGGCTACTAATGCTATAGTAGTCAAATAAATTAAGCATCAAATGGTGAGCTGAACAGAAAGATCTCAAAATTTATTTCTAATCTATAGATTCTATATTACCATGATTTTATACACATTTAATCCTTTCAATCAAGTACTTAGTGGGTTCTGTATGCCAACCATTGTGCTGAGTGCTGGGCACATAGCAGTAAATAAAAACAAAAAAGTTCTCAATTCTCACATAATTTGTTCTAGAGAGGGGAGACTGACAAGTAAACAAATATTATCAAGATAATTTCAGATATAAGTTGGGGGAGGGGGCATAAAAGACCACTTTAAATGGGGTAGTCCACAAAGACCTCTCCCAGGAGGTGATACATGAGCTAGTATTTTAATAAGGAGCCAGTCCTGTGCAATTAAGGGGAGAAGGCTGCAGACAGATGAAATAGCAATTTGCAAAGGTGGGAACAAGTCAGTTGGGTTAAATGAACAAAAGAAACCAATGTGATTTTAGCATAGTAGATAAGTGGAGAGATCATGTTGGACCTTATATACCAAGATAAAGGATTTTTATTTTATCCTGAGTTAGATTAAAGACACTTGGAGCGTTTTAAGAAAGCAACATTATCTGATTCATGTGCAGCAGATTTGGTGAACAGTGCTACTCAGCAGAATACAAGTATAAAACAGTTTTGCTTTTCTTCAATACCTTCTTGTGATGTCAAATCCTTTATTTGCTGAGTAACAAATCTTTTCTTAATAATGTCTTGGGCAGATTCCACAACTACCTGGTCACGTTTCTTATTAAATTTGACCCAGTCTAAAAATCATAATTTCATGTCAGGTGCAAACCTTTCCCTCCTGTATCACATGCCAGGTCTGTAGCTTGAGGTGCCTAAATTGTAAAGATGATCTAGAATCCTTTCTTGTCTATCTCCAGTACTTTGGAATTGTTGTGCATGTGTGTATGTCTGTGTGTGTGTGTATGTGTGTGTGTGTGTGTGCATGTGTAGGGGGGCTGTGTGAAGTTCTGTAGCTCCCTTTTTCTCCACTTCCCTTTTCAGGACCCAACTACTCTGGTCTTGGGGGAATGGGAAAAGGGAACAGGGAAGTAAAGGCAAACATCTCCTAACTGCTAATACTTGAGGTTCTCTCTGCTGGTGTTCTTGTCTTCTCAGGATAATTGAATACCAATGCCTTTTGAGTTAAAAAGGCTCACCTCTGGGTATTGGGGGCTTCCCTACTGTTTCATTTCCTAACGTGAGAAATCCAGCTCCAGTTCACCCTCTTCAGCCTCTCTCAGATGTCACTCGCACCTGCAAACCCCAAAGTTTCTTGCTGCTGGGGAACACTTGCCTTGTAGCAAGCCCTCTTGTATGGGACCCAGCAAAGCAGCTCAAGTTTAGCCATCCTCTGGGGTGACTACTAGATGCACAGGAAACATATTTATCTTTGCAAACTGGGTAATAAAATGTTAGGTTTCTTTTTCTATTTTGAAGGCTCCCACAATTGCTTTGAGTGATTCTCTTGTCTTGAAGAACACCTTCACTTGGCTCAAGGGTAAGGACACTTGTACCACTGACCTGTAAAAGTGAGAAAAAAAAAACTCTATATTGTCCATTAGGCCAATGATGCACAAGTCTCAGAGTCCTTCCTCCTACCCGTTATATGCTGCTAACATGCTAGGTGGTAACAGAGGTACTTGGATGGACTGTGACAACGATGGTGTTGCTACCTTCCAGAAAGCCTTTGGCAGAATATTTGGTCCCAGTTTTTGGCAATATTCTTTATTGTGAGGCACTTTGCATCCCTCCTTCTTCTTCTCCTCATCCTTTCTCATTTTCTTCCCTTTCTTCTTTCTTTTCTTTTTTAAAGTTCCTTATCTAGGCAATCATTATCAAAGTCAGGGCAACAGGAATATTCACATTCACCACACTGTAATATATTTTTATTTTAAAAAACATTACTCTGACTTCTGTGTAGTGAATGAATTGTAAGGGAAAAAGTGGAAGTAGGGATACTATTAGGGAGCTGGTACAGTAATCCAGATGAGATGTAATAGAAGCTTGGACCAGGTTGGTAGCAGAGTTGATAAGGATTAGTAGTAGTTAGATTCAAAATACAGTTGTGACATGTCAATAGAATGCATATAGTAACACACAAATAAAGATGACTACTAAGTTTTTGGCTTGAACAACTGGCTGGAAAGTGGTGCTAATTACTGACCTGGATAACAATAAGAGAAGAACTGGTTTGGGTGAAAGCTGTGTTTTGGCCATGTTAGGTTTAAGATGCCTATTAATCACCAATGAGAGATATCTGAATAAGAAGAATGAAACAAAATTAGATTCTCGTGTCACTGAGGTGGCTACAGCAGAAACTTTATAGGTATCTGGCTCATCAGTAATGAGATACCCATGTGGTATCTAGTTCAACCTATGAGCCAGAACTTCAGTCTTTCCAATGACCTATGCCATGTTTTTCTTCACAAATGCAACCATTCTGGCTCACCATAATACCTAACAAAAATCTTCTGTGCAATAGTAAATACCAATACATTGAGCAAAAGGTTCTTACAAACCTCAGTATAAGAACACCTTGAGAATGGCATTACTGAATATAAACCACCCTTCTTTTTAACTGCCTTGTCATCCACAGCATAGAACTTTGCTCAGCTGTAGAAAGATAAAGGCATGAAGATGGTCACTGGGGACAGCTAGAGATAAGACAATCTACATAGTGGGGACAGGTGGACAATGATTGCCAAATAAATTTGCTGGGTGTGTGAGAGTCAATCAACTCTACAACTGCTTCCCTTATTACTCCTTTATAAGTAGTCCTGGTTCCAAATATCTTCCAGGGTGTCAGTTTCAGATAAGGTGATCCCATCAATTAGGTCATCAGGTACATAGAGCTGGAAACTTCTGGCAATATTTTCAATTCTGGAGGCCAGAAAAGCAATAGTAAATACTATTACACTGAGCAAGAGGCTCTGGCAGATCTCAGGCAATGGAAGACCTCCTCTGCTAAAAGTTTTCTCCTTGAGTATCTTTCTGACTATAGTGTGTTGAATGATGATCCCCCAAAAGAGGAAAAGTATTAAGTTAAGGATCTCGAGATGAGATGAAGATTATCCAGATAGGCCCTATCTCCAATGACAAATGTTTTTATAAGAGACACACAGCAAGAAGGAAAAGGCCATGTGAAGGCTGAGGTAGAGATTGGATTTATGCAGACACAAGCCAAGAAACACCTGGAGCCACCAGAAGCTAGAAGAGATAAGGAAGGTATTCTCCCCTAGAGCTTTCAGAGAGAGTGCATCCCTCCTAACAACTTGATTTCTGACAGCTACGTAACCTCCAGAACTGTGCAAAATATGAATTTCTGTTGTTTTAAGCCACCAAGTTGTGGTAGTTTGTTATGTTAGCCCTAGCAAATACTGCCTCACTTTCTTTATCTCCCTTATTAAAACATAACATACATGCATAAACATATACATAAGTGTACAGCTCAATACATTTTCACAAACTGAACATGCTCAAGTAATCAGCACCCAGATCAATGTATAAAAGCTTCAACACCCTAGAAGTCCTCCTTGTGCCCCATTCTAGTCTACCCACCCTAAGGGTAACCGCTATTAGAACGTCTAACAGCATAGATTAGTTTTAACTGTTTTTGTCATTTATATGAATAGAAACATACAGTTTACATTCATTTCTGGCTTCCTTTACTTGATTGTGAAATTATTCCATACTGTTGCACATATCTGCAGAGGTTTTTTTATTGCTGTAGAGTATTCCTCATACAGAATGTTTTATTTTTCTTTTCTTTTTTTTTCTTTTCTTTTTTTTTCTTTATTTCTTCTAAAAAAAAACCGGGATATATATGCAGAATGTGCAGGTTTTTTACATAGGTCTACCTATGCCATGGTGGTTTGCTCTATCTATTGACCCATCCTCTAAGTTCGCTCCCCTCACCCCCACCCCCCAACAGGCCCTGGTGTGTGTTGTTCCCCTCTCTGTGTCCATGTGTTCTCCATGTCCAACTCCCACTTATGAGTGAGAACATCCTGTGTTTGGCTTTCTGTTCTTATACAGAATGTTTTTATCCATTTTATCCATTCTACTGTTGCTTTGCATATGAGGAGTTTCTAGGTTTGGGCCACTACAAATAGTGCTGTTATGAACATTCTTGAACACGTCTGTTGATGAGCATATTTCTGTTAGTTAGATACCTAGGAGCAGAATCAGTAGGTCATAGGGTATGCTTATGTTCAGTTTTAGCAGGTATTGTAAAACAGTTTTCCTATGTAGTCATACCTGTTTGCATTCCTACCAAAACTGTATGGGAGTTTCAGCTGTTCCACATCCTCACCAAAACTTGATATTTTCCAACTTTTCAAATTTTAGTCATTCTGATGAGTGTCAGTGTTACATTACTGTGGTTTCAATTTGTATTTCTTTGATTACTAATGAAACTGGGCACTTCATATGCTTATTGGGTATTTGAATACATTTAAGTCAAATATCTTCAAGTCTCTTGTCTATTTTCCTAATAAGTTGTCTTTTGTACTAATTTGTATAAGTTATTTATATATTCTGCATATGAGTCCTTTGCTGGATGTATTGCAAATATCCTCTCCAAGTTGGTGAGTTGCCTTTTCTCTCTTGGCATAACATCTTTTAAAGAGTAGAAGTTCCTGATTTTAATTTAGTTTGTGTGATAAATTTTACCTTTAAGAATGGGGCTTTTGTGTCCTGTTTTAGAAATCTTTGCCTACTCCAAGGTCATAAAAATGTTTTACATGTTTTTAAAAAGATGTATTGTTTTGCCCTTTACTTTAGATCTGTATATATCTGGAGTCGGTTTTCAGTTATGGTGTGATAGAAATTAAGATGTAGTTTTCAGTTGGGCATGGTGGCTCACACCTGTAATCCCACCACTTTGGGAGCCTGAGGCAGGAGGATCACTTGAGGTCAGGAGTTTGAGACGAGCCTGGGCAACATATTGAGACCAAGTCTCTACAAATAGATTTGAAAAAATATATATATCTGGGCATGGTAGCACAATCCTGTGGTCCTGGCTACTCAGGAGGCTGAGGCAGGATGATGGCTTGAGCACAGGATTTCAAGGCTGCGGTGAGCTGTGACAGCACCACTGCACTTCAGCCTGGGCAACACAGGAAGGCCCTATCTCTTAAGAAAAAAAAAAAAGATACAGTTCTCCCCATATGGCAACCCAATTCACATAAAACCATTTATTTAAAAGATCATTATTTCTCTGTTGCACTGCAGTGTTACCTTCAGCATAAATCAGTTGACTATAAATGTGTCGATCTGTTTCTGAATTTTATATTATGCTCAATTGGTCCGTTTGTTTATCCTTGAACCAGTATCAAACAGTCATATTTATCATAGCTTTGTAAAAGAAAATGAAATCTGGTAGTATATGTCTTCCAGCTTTGTTCATCTTAAAGATTGCCTTGGTTATTTCTTGCCCTTTTGAATTCTAAATGACTTTTAGAGTAAGCTTGAAAATTTTGGTCAAAAATACTTTTTGCTTAAGATTCTGTTAAATGTATTTGTTAATTTGGGGAGAGCTGACATCTTTATAATGCTGAGTCTTCCAATCCATGAATCTCCTCATTCATTTACACCTTCTTTAATTTCTCTCAATTGTGTTTTGTTAGTCTTGCAATTCTTTCATTAGATTTGCTCCTAGGTATTTGATAGCTAATGTAAATGTCATCTTTTTTTATAAATTTAAATTGCCATATGTTGCTGCTATGTAGAAATAAAAGTGACTTATGTATACTCACCTTGCATCCAGTGACCTTGCAAATTTTACTTAATTGGAATAATTTATAGATTCTTTTGAATGTTATACATACACAAATATGTTGCCTGGGAATAATAACAGTTTTATATATTTTTCTAATTCTTATGCCTTTTATTTTTCTTATCATATTGCACTGGCTATAACTACAGCATAATGTTGAGTGGAAATGCTGATAGTAGGCATTTGTCATTTATTCTTGATTTCAAGGGGAAGGCTTTTGATACTTCATGACTAAGTGTGATGTTTGCTGTAGATTTCTGTAGATAGTCTTTATGAGATCAAGAAAGTTCCCTTTTATATCTACTCTGCTAATAGTTTTTATCTTGTATGGGTGTTTAATTTTTTCAAATGTTTTTCTGCATCTCCTTAGATGATCACATAATTTCCACCTTTTAATGTTAATGATTTTGAATGCTAAACCACACTTTCATTCCTAGAACAAACCCCACTTGCTTGTGATGCATTTTCCTTTATATAAAGCTAGATTCGATTTGATAATACTTTTAGTGTCTCAGCATCTATGTTCATGAGAGGGCACTTTGTAGATGTGTTTTCTTGTAATGTCCTTACTGCTTTGTTTTCCATGTTGATCCAATGGCACAATAACTAAGTCAATGAAGCATACCCTAAGAAAGGCTGTGTCATCCTTGGAATGTTAGGCCTTACTCTATAAGCATCTTTGGACTCCCACACTTCCTGCCTCAGGCTCAGGAACTTGATCAGTAGAGGGCTTTGCCTTTATGTTAGTCACTCTCTTTCCCTACCTCTTATATGGCTAATGAGAATGCTAGGCTCTTTTGAAATCTCTTGTGTTGATTTTCTCCCTCATGTAGGTAGGGAGAGGGTGAAAGGGCTACTGTTCTTAGTCCTGTCTTCTGTGTAGGGGAGCCCATCTTCTTTTTGGGGCAATATTGAGGTTGGGTTAGGTTATCCCTTGCAAACTTCCTACGTATCCTCCCCTGAAGGATTGCACCTGAGTCTTACCCTCAGGTTTCAGTCAGGTAGTCCGAAGTAAAGAGTTTTTCTGACCCTATTTCACCAAAGGGAAGCCTGGCCTGAGGGCAGACTAGACAGGCTTGGCTCCTTTCTGATGTATGTGACCTATCTTGGTCTAAGTGAAAAAGCTGAGGCTTCCTGCTTACTCTTTCTCCACCTAGCTCTCTCTTAAAGCTAATGGAGTTATCTCTCAAGATTAATGAAACTCCTTACTTGAAGAGGTTTGCTAATCTTGATTTTTCCCCACATAGTGATGTCAGAACACCTTTTCACTTCAAAGTCGAAGATCACTTCTGAACAAACAAGCTTATTTAATTGATTGAGAAATCTAGGAGGGTTAGAGTATAGTTTAAGAGGCTACATAGGTAGGGCAAGAGGAGGCTGACTTGATTCAAGAAGGGTTGAAGAAGTTTCAGTGGCTTGTTATTAAGCCCAAGCTGCTAAACTACACTTGCCATTTTGGCTGGTGATTTCAGGGTCTGATTTACACGGTGGAGGTCTGGCAGGTTTCTTATGCTCATGAGTAACCCCGGAATGTTTAAAAAGATAGGAATTATGGAAGGTTTCCCTGCCTGTAGGTCAGCTGATCTGTTAGATCTTGCTATTGGGGAAGGAAACTCACATCTTCTGAACACCTATAGCACCCTGCACTGTGACTCTTATTTTATGTCTATCTTATCTACATCTCACAAAAACTGTACATGTACGTATTATTGTCCTAGTTTTACAAAAGAGAAAAACTGAAGCCCTGATGGCATGATGCAAATTGCCCAAGGTCATCTAATTAAGAAATGGGATATTAATTTGATTCCACTTGTATTGAATTTCAAAACTGTGCTCTATTGGAACAGGCTGTGTTTGGTTATAGGCAACAGAAAATCAACTCAGTTTAACTTAGACACAAACCAGCTAAACAAAAAGGCATTTATTGGCTTTATTTTAGGAAGAAATTGCTGGAATAATCTAGGAAGAAGTACTAGGGTAACTCATGGAATTGAAGAGCTGTAGGAACCAAGATTTTGGTGAGTAGAACTAGGGACTCAAAGCTGCTAGGATCCTCCTTTTCCCTGCATATCTCTTATCTTTGCTTTTCTATGCAAATTTCTTTCATGCTCTCTTACTTCAGACAGGGTTTTGTCCACTTGGCAGGAAACATGGCTGACAAGAGCCTCATTTCAGCAACTTCAGTGGGTAAAAAACTTCCTTTTTCCTAGAATCTACATATCTCAGTAAAGGACTGAGAATTGGGCTTTATCAATCACTGCTGCCAGAGAAGGTGGGATATCTTCCTTGGCAAAACCTAAATCACAAGCCCACCTAGATTTGCGAGAATCTGTTACAAGAAAAAGGAGAAGAAAGGAAGGACAGATTACAAAAAAGGAATTCCCACAGACTATTAATTGCATTTGCTTTTCCTACTCACTAGGGACTACTGCAGAGTTTGACAAGCTTTTTTTCCCAAGGGTCAGATTGTAAATGTTTTTAGGCTTTGTAGGCCACATACTGTCTCTTTTACTTCTTCTTCATCCTCCTTTTCTTCTCCTTGCAATCCTTTACATAGGTGAACACCATTTTTAGCTCATAGGCCATATCAAAACAGGCCTCAGGCTGAATATGGTTTGGCTGGCCAGTTTTCTGAGCTCTGGTTTAGTGAAGTTAAGTAAGGATCCAGGTCTGAGCCATTTTGAAACAGAGCATGCTACAGTATCTTAGGATCCAGTCAACTACACACTGGGAATGTTCAAACCTGTAGCTAAATTCATTAAGTGAAATAAGGTAGATGCTTTAGTGAGCAAGGCAAGAGGAAACTAACATTGGAGTGCCTAATTGGTGTGAAGTGTCATGCTAGGCATTTTATATAACATAATCTCATTGAGTCTTCACGATATATTTGTGAATCAGATACTATTATTATTCTTGTCTGAGAGATGAGGAAACTGAGACTGAGAGAAAAGTTACTTGTTTAAAGTCCACCTAGCCAGTAAGTGCCATAGCCAAGGTTCAGACACAAGTTTCTGTGGCTACCAAACCAAAATACTTTACAGTAATTTTAGCATGTCAGCTGCAGGTTCTGTGGTTGGTGGGTTGGGGAGGTGGTTCAGTCTAGCAGGCACATCAACAGCAATAGTTGATACCTCCCTAGGGTCACAAAAGGATGGTAGTCGTAATTATCTTTGGGCATCACATCTGTTTCAATGAAGTCACCTGGTATTTTTACAGTTTCTTATATTACACTGACTTTTAATAACCAACATGGAATACCTTTTCACAAAATAATGTTAGCCAAAGGTGATAGGCAAGGTGTTTTAATAGATAACAAAGGGTAGTTGCTTCAATGTTAATAGAATTTTATTCCTTTGAGCTCCTATGGTTGTGTGCTACATTGATTTGTGGATAGGGAGATTTAACCCACAGTAGATTTTGAAACAGCAGAATATTGTTTTGATGAAGGAATATAGCCAGGTAGACCCCTTCTTACTGTTTTTCTGCTCCCCCATATAAGAGAAAACTTGAAGTAGATAGCAGATTGACGTTATGCTTTCAGGAGTGTCTTCTTTGGACAATGATAAATTGGTAGCCTTTGAAATATGTCCTTCCAAAAATAAACTAGTACATACCTTCACAAGTCATCTGACATTAGTTTTCTGCTTTATCTTTTGAGGTCTGGCAGGGGCCACTAAGTGAAGAAAATGAAGAAAACTTATTTACTGTGTATCTACTACGTGTCAGGTGCTTTCCTAAAATAAGTTTGTAAGTTACATAGTATGATTATCCCATTTTAATTAATTTTAATGATTCTTAGTGTATGCTAAACCTTTCACACCCCCATTTATGAAGAAGTTGAGACTCAGAGAAAGGAAGAGATTTTCTCAAGGTTACACAGCTTAGCAGATCCAAGATGATGATCTCAAGTTAGACACACAAACTCTGCTCTTTTCCCAATATACCACACTATCAGCAATTGTTCACTGGTCCCTACAACTCCTGGACTAGGGCAAGAAATAGAGTTTATATTTATGAAGTTTCAACATTAGCATTTTGGCCTATGGGGGTTTCTGGAGTTCTTCATTATAGGGATTTGGAGTACAATGAGTCATGAGGCATTTTTTGGCATGTAACATACCTTTTTTGAAGATCTATTTATCCCCTGTAAGCTAATGCTTTTTCCCACAGCATGCCATGCGAAATAATTGTCCCCAGTCAACCCCTCTACCCTGGCTTGGTCCTCTCACAGTTCTCATGTCTGTACTTATGGTGCATCCCAAGGTGAAGCCTGTAAAGTTTCTCTTAAGAAAGGTCCCAGGCCCTTCCCTAGGGCCTAGAAAAATAAAATTTTATTTTAAGGTATATTATGCATAAATAAAAGAAGCAGAAACAGAGGGAAGCAATATGAATGAGAATATGCAATAATAGATAATAGCTTGCTTGCTTTTCTCTCTATATAAACACTATAGTTTACTTTTGCCTGTTTTTTAAAGTTTATATGAATGGAATCATATGCTATGTTTTCTTTTCTTGTCTCATTGCTTTCACTCAATATTATGTGTATGAGATTCATTGAATATATTGGTTATGGAAGTTATGCATTCATTCATGTTGCTAATCATTTTATTGTACAAATATAGACAAATATAGCATATTTTATGAATTTATGTGTCCTCCTTATATAAGGACGATGCTAATCATCTATTCATTTTTCCAATTTTAGTTTATGTGCTGTGAAAGTGAGCATGAGCCTTGGTTTCTTCATCTGAAAAGTGTAGATAACAGAACTAGTTAACTCATCAGTTTGTTGTGAGAATTAAATAAGACAGGTATAGGTTTAGCATTCATAGTGCCTGGTTGGTTTTCTATTATTTCCACAATGAGAGGCTTTAATATACAGAGTATGTGGTTTTGGAGCCAGAGATACTTGGCATTGATTCATAGTTCCATTGTTTCTTGCTTTTCTCAAGTCTCAGTTTGCTTGTCTGCAAGATAGAGATGAGTAATATTCCACAACCAAGTTTTGTCATAGGAGTTCTGTTAAAAATGCAGAATATCTGGCACATGGTAGGCACTTGGCATAGTTTGTTGATCTGTACTTCATTTTTAAAAAGTATTCTAAACTGTAGTGTTTAGAAATCACACTGGTGATGTGAGAGTATCGATTTCTCAGTTTAACATGGAGAAATAGAACTGGAACTCTGTGTGTATGTGAGTGTATGTGTGTCTGTGTGTGTGTGAGAGAGAGACAAATACAGAGTGAGAGAGACAGAGAGAGAGAAAAGGGGAGTGAAAGGGAGAAGTGATTCAAGGAGAAATAGTGAGGCTGTTTTCCTGTGTGTGGCTTTATAGTCAGAGACCTTGCCTAGACGCATGGAGGAAGAACCTTTGTGAAATACAGCCTATAAAAGTAATTTTAAAAAATGCTAATCCAGGATGTAGTTTTTCCCTAGGTGGGGGTTCTGATGAGTTGTTTGTGTGAGAAAAGTGTAGTTATTGCTACATTTGTCTCAGTGTGACAACCGGACATGAATTACACACCACCCAATGCGAAAAGTTACCCTTGGAACACATGCTGACTAATCAGAAACAATTTTGCCAGATGTTATTAATTGCAGAAAAGCTCCCCTTTCCTCCTCAGGAAGTTGACTCAACCCTTTCAGAACTTTCTGTTTGTTTTGATGGCTGACAAGGAGAGTGAGGCATGGAACTATTTTATATCCTCCCAAATAATTTCTATCCTAGTAGGATGGGTTGTCTATTGTGCTTCTTTTGTGTCCTAGAAGGCAGGACCTGAACCTTATCCACCGAGCTGGGTGATCCTTAACAAACATCAAATCCTGAAGATAGTTCTGGCTTTTTGTCTACACTTTTCTTCTCCCATTATCCCCCCTACCCCTTGCTGTACCCAACTCCACTTTATCTCCCAGACGTGAATAAAACAGCTACGGAGAAGCCGTGATATCACTGAGTATAAAAGGCTAACCAATGGCCAAAGGAAGGCTGGACTCTTCCATTAGCTCACTTTTGATAAGTCACTTCCTTTCTCTGGACGTCAGTTTTACCATTTGTCAAATGGGAATAAGACACTTCCCAGTTCTCACAGGGTCGCTGAGGAAATATGCAAAACAAGTTGTGCAAACTGAAAGCCTTCAGTATATGTAAGGCATAATAAAAACAACCAATACTTATTGACTCATTAAGTGCTTACTATGAACTAGGTACTCTTCTAAACTCTTTATTCACAATATTTTACTTAATCTTCCCAACATGAGGCAAATATGATTTCCATCTTAAATGTATGGAAGAATTAGGTGAGGCTGAGAGAGGTGAAGTCACTTGCCCAAAGTCATATGGTCTAGTAAGTGGGAGAGCTGAGTTTAAAGCCAGAAAATTGGACTGTCTCTACTCTTAACCAGCTTGCTATTCTGTCTCTTTGCTGTTATTACTACATTACTCATGCATTCTCATTTGCTAAATTTCAATTCAAGTCCCATCCCTTCAGAAAGACTTGTCTAACCATTCCAGCCATTAGCTAAATATCCCCTCCTGAGTTTTTTAATGATGCTGTGTTACTAATTTGATGCCTAGCACTATTGCCTTATCATTCCAAACATACTTCTGCTTGAGTTTTTCATAGATGTTAAGCTCATTTGTTCAGATATATTGTAAGCTTACTGTGAAAGCATATTATATCTCATACCTTGGTATCCCCCATAGTATTGAGGATAAGGTAGAATGAAGAACTCTCAGAAACAGAAGGGCTCTGAAAGATTTTTTAGCCAAGGCTCTCTTTAAATGATGGTCTGACTATAGCAAAATAAAAAAGTAATAGAAACAGGATGATCATCTTTCTTGCACCTAATGGTGTACATTTTTATTAGTGCAGCTCATGAGTGGTTGGTTCATTCATGCATTTCTTTGACTGACAATATTGTGGTATTATATGTTATGATAAGCAGTGAAACAAAACAGAGTGAAAACAGAAAAGGATCATAACAAAGTCCCTGCCCTCAAGGAGATTACAACTTAGTAAGGGAAGGTGGATATGTATATTAGTACATGGGACAACATATTTAAGAAAATATTTAAGTATTTAAGTAAATATGTGTAGGAAGAGTGGGGAAACACAAAACTGGAGCAAAAGGTAAAGGAGCCATGGAAATTTTCCTGGAAGAGGTGAATCTGGAGCTAAATGTTGGCCATTGAGTACATGCTTATTAGAAGGCCAAGGTGAGGGAGCATTTCCAGTAGAGAAAGTAGCATAAGCTATCTGACATGGAAGTGTGAAATCATTGAGGTCCTTACATATCACACTAAAGAATTTGGATTTTATTCTATAATCATTAAGAAGACAGTAGAAGACTATTCTAGCAGCAGTTAGAGAATGGACTAAAAGGGAACAAAGCTGCAGGAGACAGGGAGACCAATTAAAAGACCAGATATATGAAGGGAGAACTAATTAGAATACTATGTAGATGAAGGTCTTAACTAAGGCAGCAGCACAGAAGATTGGGAGGAAAACACAGGCAGGACATATATTAACAAGAGAGAAAAAGTAGGGCTTAGTTGCTAGCTGAACACGTGGAGGGTGAATAAAAGTGAGAGATCTAAGAGTATGAATGTGCAGGTTTATTACAGCTTAGGTGACTGGATAAATGGTGGTGTCATTCACCGAGATTGAGAACCCAGGATGAAAAACAAAATTGGAGGAAACAACCATGAGGGTAGGTTTGGACATAGTGAGTTTTAGATTTCTGAGGGTATGCAGGTAGATATTTTAAGTAGGCAGTCAGTTATATGGAACTGAAGTCAAGAGAAAAGACTGGGCACTATGTCATTTAACCCTCACAAAGACTTTATGATTTAGGAAGCAAATTTGACCCCTTTTTACTAATGAGGAAAACAAGGCTTAGAAGAGGTTAAGTAATTCACACAATTAGTAAGTGGCAGAGCCAGATTTAAACCCAGGTCAGTCCTGCTTTAACACCTGCATGCTTAATCATTGCTGTAAATAAAGTACTGGCAGTGGATGGGATTGTTGAAGGTACATGTATAGATTGCAAAAATAAGAGGGTCAATAGGTGAAACTTCTAGGCACAACAAACTTTTAGGTGTATGAAGAAGAAAAGACTACAGATGGGATTGAGAAGGAACTATCAAAGAGGTAAGAGGAGAAGCCGGCATGAGAAGTATGGCAGAAGCTGAAAGTAGACAACAGTCAAAGGCCATGGAGCAGGGGTCAAATAAGCAAGGTTGTTGCAAAGAGACCTCAGGATCCAGCAATAAGGAGGTTGTTGATACCTGCTAGAGCACTCTCAGAGGAGTGGTGAGAGTATAATCTGGAATGCAGCAGATTGTAAAGTGAGGGAATTGATAGACTGACGTGATACCCTTTTGAGGTGCTTATCAGTAATGAAGAAGGGAAAGACAGGGTGGCAGTCTGAGAAAGATGCAGAGTAGAGGGATATCTTTTTCCAACTGGGAAGTGGTTGGGTGGAGTGGGATACATGGTTTGAGGAGTGGGCAAAGATACAGAATATCGAATATGGGGAAAAAAACAAGGGACTGACCAAGGACGCATTAAAAATACTGCCAAGTGCAGCACTAAAGGCCTCACATGGATTTGTAGGTGCCCTAATGTGCCTTGTTCCATGATAGCTGTAACCTCACTTAACAGCTTTATTGTGGGAAGGACACCACACCAAATTTGTTCTCAAACTTTTTCCAGCCCAGTGCTCCTGAAGGGCATGACATGAATAACTAACAATTTCTGTGCACTTACCATCTCCAAAGCACTGTTTTAAATGTTTTACATATGTTAACTCATTTAATCCTTGCAACAACCATAGAGTTTAAGCGTCTATTTTCATTCCAATTTTACAAGTAAAGAAACTAGAATGCAGAGGATATGTATAATGCTAGCAAACTGAGGAGACAGGATTTATACAGAGGTGGTCTAAGTATGATTCCATGCTTATAACCACAATGCTGTGACTATGAGTCACTATAAGGCAGTGATTATCCACTCAGGCTAGAGTGGGTGTGGAGTTTAGCTCCCACTTACAAGTGAGAACATGCAGTATTTGGCTTTCTGTTCCTGTGTTAGCTTGCTGAGGATGATGGCTTCCGGCTTCATCCATGCCCCTGCAAAAGACATGATCTCATTCCTTTTTATGGCTCCATAGTATTCCATGGTGTTTATGTACATATTTTCTTCATCCAGCCTACAGTTGATGGGCATTTATGTTGATTCTATATATTTGCTATTGTGAATAGTGCTGAGATGAACATATGTGTGCTTGTGCATTTATGGTAAAACAATTTACATTCCTTTGGATACATACCCAACAATGGATTGCTGAGTCTATTGGTAATTCTGTTTTTAGTTCTTTGAGGAATTGCCACACTGCTTTCCATGATGGCTGAGCCAATTTATACTCCCACCAGCAGAGTATAAGCATGTTCTTTTCTTTGCAACCTCCTAAGCATCTGTTATTTTTTGACTTTCAATAATAGCCATTCTGACTGGTGTGAGATGGTATCTCATTGTGGTGTTGATTTGCATTTTTCTAATGATTAGTGATGTTGACCACTTTTTCATATGCTTGTTGGCTGCATGCATATCTTCTTTTGAAAAACGTCTGTTCATGTCCTTTGCCCACTTTTTAATGGAGTTGTTTGCTTCTTGCATGCAAATTTGTTTATGTTCTTTTAGATTCTGAATATTAGACTTTTTCAGAAGTACACTTTGCAAAAATTTTCTCCCATTCTGTGGGTTGTCTGTTTACTCTGTTTGATAGTTTATTTTGCTGTACAAAAGCTCTTTAGTTTAACTGTATCCCATTTATCAATTTTTGCTTTTGTTGCAATTGCTTTTGGCATCTTTGTCATAAAATCTTTGCCAGTTCAAATGTCCAAAATGGTATGTCCTGGCTCTTCTTCCAGGGTTTGTATAGATTTAGATTTTACATTTAAGTCTTTTATCCATCTTGATTTAATTTTTGTATATGGTATAAGGAAGGGGTTCACTTTCAATCTTCTGCCTACGGCTAGACAGTTATCTCAGCACCATTTATTGGGGAGTCCTTTCCCTATTGCTTGTTTTTGTCAGCTTTGTTGAAGGCCAGATGGCCGTAGGTGTGCAGAATTATTTCTGTGCTCTCTATTCTGTTCTATTGGTCTATTTGTCTGTTTTTGTATCAGTACCATGCTGTTAGATTACTGTAGCCCTGTAGTATAGTTTGAAGTTGAGTAATGTGATGCCTCCTGCTTGTTGTTTTTGCTTAGATCTGCCTTGTCTATTTGGGCTGTTTGTTTGTTCCATATGAATTTTAAAATAGTTTTTCTTCTAGTTCTGAGAGGAGTGTTATTTGTAGTTTGATTATTTGTAGTGTTATTTGTATCATTGAATCTTTAAATTGCTTTGGGCAGTATAGACATTTTAATGATATTGATTATTCCTATCCACAAGCATGGAATGTTTTTTCTATTTGTTTGTGTCATATCTGGTTTCTTTGAGCAGTGTTTGTAATTCTCATTATTGAGACAGTTTACTTCCCTAGTTAGCTTTATCCCTAGGTATTTTATTCTTTTTTGTGGGAATTGTGAATGGGTTTGCATTCCTAATTTGGCTCCTAGCTTGGATGTTTTTGGTATACAGAAATGCTACTGGTTTTTTTTTATGCTGACTTTGTATCCTGAAACTTTGTCGAAGTTGTTTTTCAGATCCAGGAGCTTTAGGGCAAAGACTATGGGGTTTTCTGGATACAGAATCATGTGGTCTGCAAACAGGGATACTTTGACTTCCTCTCTTCATATTTGGATGCCTTTTATTTCCTTTTCTTGCTTGATTTCCCTGGCCAGAACTTCCCATACTATGTTGAATAAGAGTGGTGAGAGAGGGCATCCTTGTCTTGTGCCAGTTTTCAAGGGGAATGCCTCCAGCTTTTGCCCATTAAGTATGATGTTGGCTGTGTGTTTATCATAGATGGCTCTTATTATTTTGAATTATGTTCCTTCAATGCCTAGTTTTTTGAGGGTTTTTAACATGTAGGGATGTTGGATTTTATCAAAATATAAATGCTGTTTTTGATGAGGTGTTCAGAGAAAGCCTCAAAGTAACATTTGAACAGAGGGTCAAATGATGTGAAGGAATCAGCCATGAGAATAAATCTACCAGAATAGAGTTCTTAGCAGACTAAATAGCAAGTGTAAAGTCCATGAAGTGGGAACATATTTGACTTGTCTGAGGAACAGCAAGAAAACCACTGTGGCTAGGGCAGAGTGAAGGAGGGGAAGAGTCATGCTAGATGAGACTTGTGATGTGAACAAAAACTAGTCTTTCCTCTTCTATAAACTGCAGATAATAATAGTACTTATAGAGCTGGAGTAAGGAATAAATGATATAATGCATGTAAAAATCCTGATACAATTCCGGCACATGGCAAGTGCTCAAAAACTAATATATGCTATCATTGTTATTATTATCAGGCTGATCATGCCTAATTTTGCCATGCAGGTGGCAGAGTTTGAATTAGAAGTGTAAGTCAGAGCAGGAGCCTCTTGGTGGAGCAGGCAGAGACAAGAGCATGAGCAGAAATGAAGTAGCCATAAATAGGAAGCAAGATCGACATACTTCACTGGCGCAAACAGACTAGAGTGGTGTCACACAGAATGACTAATATTTAATATGAGGGAGAAAGACTGGAACATTGACAACAGGGCTGAAAACCATTAAATCAAGATGGCTCACAAGGAGAAGGTCACTAGTCTGACAGTCAGGAGGCTTTGTCTTCACATCCATAAAATAGAAAAAGTAACTACTTCATAAAGTTGATAAGATTAATGAAAGCACCTAGCACAGTGCTGGGCATGTAAGAAGGGTAGAAAATATAGCCAGCTGAAAATTGTTAAGAACTAGGATGCATGAAGAGTCTTCTTGGGCTAGAGAATAGAGAACTCTGTTGTCCATGTCATATTTGCTCCACAGGTGCAAGTCTCATTTGCTAGATGGCATTCATGATGATTGCTTCACACTCCCTCTGTTTTCATCCTCATTTGTTTCTTAAATTCATGGCTTTATATTCTGACTGTAGTCCACTGACTCTGACCCCACCAGAACTCAGAATTATTCCACACTTTCTCTTCCTGTATTTGGACCCCTGGCATGCCATTTTGGTTTTGTATGCACCTCTGGTCTCCTGTGCAACTCTATTGTTTAAGGGAAATATGAGGATTCCCTGGCCTTGAAGAATCTACCCTCAATCCTACTCTCTTAATAAGAAAATGAAGAAAGAGAGTGCAATGTGGGCATCTGTCCATACAGGATCCCACCATCATCACAGGACCATCTCATTATCCCCAGATGCTCGCTGTTCCCGGATCCATTTAATAATGAGCTTGGCTCAATATTAAGCCTCTGCACTCCACCCCCACCCACTACACATAGATTTTTAACTGTTTTGTACTTAGGGTAGAAATGGGAAAAGGAAGATATTTATTTGGCACTTCTTGTCTCAGGCAAGAATTAGTCTGCACTACAGGGCAGATAAATTGGTTTAAAAATTAGTAGAGTCAGCTATCACCAAAGTCAATAGAGCAGAGCCAGGAGGAATGATGCAAGAGACAAGTCATTTTAACACTTTCTGGAGCTAAGTGGGGCATAAAAAATAGTTTGAAAGTACTTTGAATTAGGGGATTCAGTTTGTGCCTAACATCTGTCCAAACCTCCTTCTTGTCCTCTGAGTCAGAGTTAATCTGATCTTGGCTTAAAACCCCTGGAAAAAGAAATTAACCAGCTAGGTCACTGCTGCTTGGGAATATATTATGCCAGGAATCAGAATAATCAAGAAGAATGCATCAGCCACGTGATTCTGGAAGACTTGCTGTTTGAGGTTGGACAACTCTACAAAAACGTAACCATTAGACTCTGGGCTCTGGCAAACAGATTCCCAGTCCATTATACAACACTGAGGAAACTGTACAGCATTTTGAGTCTGAATAAAAAATATATTTTCTGTAAAATTATTTATTTTTCTGCACTCCATTTAGGCTATTTGTTTATGCGTGGGTTTGATGTGTGTAGCTATGGCTTGCTAAGATAGTTGAAAAGGTTTATAAGCAATGTTCACTTAGATATGGAACTCATATCAATATGATGGCAAAGGGTCTGGTATATGTTATGTTGTGAAGAGATGCAGGATTGGAATTTCAGGAAATGATGGAATTACCTAGGTCTTTAGAAGAGAGGGAAGATAGGAGTATAAACAACCTATTTTAAATTCCAGTAAAAAGTGAGAACTGGCTGAAGATCAAGGCACATTGGAAATTAACCACAGATCTGGGGAGTTACATATAACCTAAGCTGTCTGGCAACTTCAAAAAGCAACTATTCCTGGTGTAACCCTACTAGCTGACACTTGAGACAATATAAAATGCTGTCACCTTGCCCTTGCACTATTCCTGACAGAAAAGATCTAAGGTCCTTTGATAATAGTCACTTGCCAAGGTCCAAGAATAGATTGTCTTTCAGGTATCTATCTCACTTTGTTACAAGGCAATCATATAGACACACATTTTCTGGAAGGCATGTTCTGGAAGAAAATAAAAAATCTTAGAAATATTCATGGGTTTTGATCTAGCAATCCCCATTCTGAGACTCCAGTCTAAAGAAACATAAAAAAAAACCTATGTATTTGGGGAGTTTTGTCAGAAAACATTTTTAACTTGCAGTATTTAAAAGAATATTTACTGTTCCCAAAATGTCATTCAAATGCACGTATTGTCATTGTTTGGGGATGGGAACTAGTTTTGCAAAAAAACACCTAATGTTGTATAATAATGCCCCAATGATCTTGCTGGTTAAAAATACAGTATTTTTGGCCACAATAAAAAAGATAGTGGGAGGAAACTTTTGAAGGTGATGGGTGTATTTATGGCATTGATTGTGGTGATGATTTCATAGGTATATACTTATCTCCAAACTCATAAAGTTGTATACATTAAAAATGTACAGCTCTTTGTATGTCAATCATACCTGAGTAATGTGGTTCAAAAATGATATACATATACATTTATGCATAAGATTGTTTATTACAGTGGTGACGCTTTTCATAGTAACACATTTCAAACAATCTTAATGTCCAATAACAGGAAAAGACTAAATGAATCATGTTGTGATGCAATATTATGCAGCCAGTAAAATGATGTTTACATGGTGTTTTAAAAAATGAAATTAGACTATGTTTCTAATGTAAAGTTATATAAAAATTATACAATTGTACATATAGTATAAACTTAATTATGTAAACACATTATGTATTGTGCATTAATGTATGTATATATACATGGAAAACATATTAGAAGGAAATATACCTAAACATTAGCAATGATTATCATTGTTTAACAGGATTATAAGTGATTTGTATTTTCTTCTTTATTTTGTGCATTTTTCCTAGAAGCAGAGAGTAGAATGATTGTTAACAGGGTCTGGAGGTGGCAGGGAGATTGGGGACATGTTAGTCAAAGGATACAAAATTTCTATTAGACAGAAGTAATAAATTCAAGAGATTTACTGTAAAACATGGTGATTATAGTTAACAACAATATATTGTACACTAGAAAGTTATTTAAGACAGCAGGTTTTAAGTGTTCTCACCATGAATAACTGAAAAGTATATGAGGTAATGCACATGTTAATTAGCTTGACTTAGCCATTCCACAACGTGTATCTGTTTCAAAACATCATGTTATACACTGTAAATATATACATTTTTGTCAATTTGAAATAAATTTTAAAATAGATATTAAAATAAAGAATCATGTTACTAGCAATCTCATGACTATATTATGTTTTATGACCATAAGGATTTTGCAGATATAATAAAGGTCCCAATTTAGTTGATTTTGAGTTAATCAAAAGGGAGATCATTCTGTCTGGGCCTAACCTAAATAGACAAACCCTGTAAAAGCAGTAAGCATTCTCCTCTTGTCTTGAAGGAAGAAAACAGACATCTATGCTGTGAACTGCTTAAGGAAAGCAGTTGATTGAAAGAACTGAGAGAAATTCCTAGCAGACACTAGTAAGAAAACAAGGACCACAGTCATACAACTGCAAGGAACTGAATTCTGCCAACAACCTGAATAAGACTGGAAGAAGATCTTGAGACCTAAATGAGAAGCACAGGATTGGCCAAAACTTTACTGTAATCTAGTGAGACCTGAGCAGAGCAGAATATCCAATTAAGCTGACTCCTGACACATTGAAATGGTAACATAATAAATGAATATTGCTTTAAGTTGCTAGGTTTATGGTAATTTGTTTTGCAGAAAAGGATAACTAATGCAACAATAATCAAATGAACAGCTTTTTTTATTTTATTATTATTATACTTTAAGTTTTAGGGTACATGTGCACAATGTGCAGGTTAGTTACATATGTAAACATGTGCCATGCTGGTGCGCTGCACCCATTAACTCCTCATTTAGCATCAGTTATATCTCCTAATGCTATCCCTCCCCCCTCCCCCCACCACACAATAGTCCCCAGAGTGTGATGTTCCCCTTCCTGTGTCCATGTGTTCTCATTGTTCAATTCCCACCTATGAGTGAGAATATGTGGTGTTTGGTTTTTTGTTCTTGCGATAGTTTACTGAGAATGATGATTTCCAATTTCATCCATGTCCCCACAAAGGACATGAACTCATCATTTTTTATGGCTGCATAGTATTCCACGGTGTATATGTGCCACATTTTCTTAATCCAGTCTATCATTGTTGGACATTTGGGTTGGTTCCAAGTCTTTGCTATTGTGAATAGTGCCGCAATAAATACGTGTGCATGTGTCTTTATAGCAGCATGATTTATAGTCCTTTGGGTATATACCCAGTAATGGGATGACTGGGTCAAATGGTACTTCTAGTTCTAGATCTCTGAGAAATCACCACACTGACTTCCACAATGGTTGAACTAGTTTACAGTCCCACCAACAGTGTAAAAGTGTTCCAATTTCTTCACATCCTCTCCAGCACCTGTTGTTTCCTGACTTTTTAACGATTGCCATTCTAACTGGTGTGAGATGATATTTCATTGTGCTTTTGATTTGCATTTCTCTGATAGCCAGTGATGGTGAGCATTTTTTTCATGTGTTTTTTGGCTGCACAAATGTCTTCTTTTGAGAAGTGTCTGTTAATGTCCTTCGCCCACTTTTTGATGGGGTTGTTTGTTTTTTTCTTGTAAATTTGTTTGAGTTCATTATAGATTCTGGATATTAGCCCTTTGTCAGATGAGTAGGTTGCGAAAATTTTCTCCCATTTTGTGGGTTGCCTGTTCACTCGGATGGTAGTTTCTTTTGCTGTGCAGAAGCTCTTTAGTTTAATTAGATCCCATTTGTCAATTTTGGCTTTTGTTGCCGTTGCTTTTGGTGTTTTAGACATGAAGTCCTTGCCCATGCCTATGTCCTGAATGGTAATGCCTAGGTTTGCTTCTAGGGTTTTTATGGTTTTAGGTCTAATGTTTAAGTCTTTAATCCATCTTGAATTGATTTTTGTATAAGGTGTAAGGGAGGGATCCAGTTACAGCTTTCTACATATGGCAAGCCAGTTTTCCCAGCACCATTTATTAAATACGGAATTCTTTCCCCATTGCTTGTTTTTCTCAGGTTTGTCAAAGATCAGATAGTTGTAGATACGTGGCGTTATTTCTGAGGGCTCTGTTCTGTTCCATTGATCTATATCTCTGTTTTGGTACCAGTACCATGCTGTTTTGGTTACTGTAGCCTTGTAGTGTAGTTTGAAGTCAGGTAGTGTGATGCCTCCAGCTTTCTTCTTTTGGCTTAGGATTGACTTGGCAATGGGGGCTGTTTTTTGGTTCCATATGAACTTTAAAGTAGTTTTTTCCAATTCTGTGAAGAAAGTCATTGGTAACTTGATGGGGATGGCATTGAATCTATGAATTACCTTGGGCAGTATGGCCATTTTCACGATATTGATTCTTCCTACCCATGAGCATGGAATGTTCTTCCATTTCTTCATATCCTCTTTTATTTCATTGAGCAGTGGTTTGTAGTTCTCCTTGAAGAGGTCCTTCACGTCCCTTGTAAGTTGGGTTCCTAGGTAATTTATTCTCTTTGAAGCAATTGTGAATGGGAGTTCACTCATGATTTGGCTCTCTGATTGTCTGTTATTGGTGTATAAGAATGCTTGTGATTTTTGTACATTGATTTCGTATCCTGAGACTGCTGAAGTTGCTTATCAGCTTAAGGAGATTGTGGGCTGAGACAATGGGGTTTTCTAGATATACAATCATGTCATCTGCAAACAGGGACAATTTGACTTCCTCTTTTCCTAATTGAATATCCTTTATTTCCTTCCCCTGCCTAATTGCCCTGGCCAGAACTTCCAACAGTATGTTGAATAGGAGTGGTGAGAGAGGGCATCCCTGTCTTGTGCCAGTTTTCAAAGGGAATGCTTCCAGTTTTTGCCCATTCAGTATGATATTGGCTGTGGGTTTGTCATAGATAGCTCTTATTACTTTGAGATACGTCCCATCAATACCTAATTTATTGAGTTTTTAGCATGAAGGGTTGTTGAATTTTGTCAAAGGACTTTTCTGCATCTATTGAGATAATCATGTGGTTTTTGTCTTTGGTTCTGTTTTTCTGCTGGCTTACATTTATTGATTTGCATATATTGAACCAGCCTTGCATCCCAGGGATGAAGCCCACTTGATCATGGTGGATAAGCTTTTTGATGTGCTGCTGGATTTGGTTTGCCAGCATTTTATTGAGGATTTTTGCATCAATGTTCACCAAGGGTATTGGTCTAAAATTCTCTTTTTTGTTTGTGTCTCTGCCTGGCTTTGGTATCAGGATTATGCTGGCCTCATAAAAGGAGTTATGGAGGTTTCTATTGATTGGAATAGTTTCAGAAGGAATAGTACCAGTTCCTCCTTGTACCTCTGGTAGAATTTGGCTGTGAATCCATCTGGACCTGTACTCTTTTTGGTTGGTAAGCTATTGATTGATTATTGCCACAATTTCAGAGCCTGTTATTGGTCTATTCAGAGATTCAACTTCTTCCTGGTTCAGTGTTGGGAGGGTGTAGGTGTCGAGGAATTTATCCATTTCTTCTAGATTTTCTAGTTTATTTGAGTAGAGGTGTTTGTAGTATTCTGATAGTAGTTTGTATTTCTGTAGGATCGGTGGTGATATCCCCTTTATCATTTTTTACTGTGTCTACTTGATTCTTCTCCCTTTTCTTCTTTATTAGTCTTGCTAGTGGTCTGTCAATTTTGTTGATCCTCTCAAAAAAACAGCTCCTGGATTCATTAATTTTTTGAAGGGTTTTTTTGTGTCTCTATTTCCTTCAGTTCTGCTCTGATTTAAGTTATTTCTTGCCTTCTGCTGGCTTTTGAATGTGTTTGCTCTTGCTTTTCTAGTTCTCTTAATTGTGATGTTAGGGTGTCAATTTTGGATCTTTCCTGCTTTCTCTTGTGAGCATTTAGTGCTATAAATTTCCCTCTACACACTGCTTTGAATGTGTCTCAGAGATTCTGGTATGTTGTGTCTTTGTTATCATTGGTTTCAAAGAACATCTTTATTTCTGCCTTCATTTCGTTATGTACCCAGTAGTCATTCAGGAGCAGGTTGTTCAGTTTCCATGTAGTTGAGTGGTTTTGAGTGAGTTTCTTAATCCTGAGTTCTAGTTTGATTGCACTGTGGTCTGAGAGATAGTTTGTTATAATTTCTGTTCTTTCCTATTTGCTGAGGAGAGTTTTATTTCCACCTATGTGGTGAATTTTGGAATAGGTGTGGTGTGGTGCTGAAAAAAATGTATATTCTGTTGATTTGGGGTGGAGAGTTCTCTAGATGTCTATTTGGTCCACTTGGTGCAGAGCTGAGTTCATTTTCTGGGTATCCTTGTTAACTTTCTGTCTGGTTGATCTGTCTAATGTTGACAGTGGGGTGTTAAAGTCTCCCATTATTATTGTGTGGGTGTCTTAGTCTCTTTGTAGGTCACTCAGGACTTGCTTTATGAATCTGGGTACTCATGTATTGGGTGCATATATATTTAGGATAGTTAGCTCTTCTTGTTGAATTGATCCCTTTACCATTATGTAATGGCCTTCTTTGTCTCTTTTGATCTTTGTTGGTTTAAAGTCTGTTTTATCCGAGACTAGGATTGCAACCCCTCTTTTTTTTGTTTTCCGTTTGTTTGGTAGATCTTCCTCCATCCTTTTATTTTGAGCCTATGTGTGTCTCTGCACATGAGATGGGTTTCCTGAATACAGCACACTGATGGGTCTTGACTCTTTATCCAATTTGCCAGTCTGTGTCTTTTAATTGGAGCATTTAGTCCATTTACATTTAAAGTTAATATTGTTATGTGTGAATTTTATCCTGTCATTATGATGTTAGCTGTTTATTTTGCTCATTATTTGATGCAGTTTCTTCCTAGCCTCGATGGTCTTTACAATTTGGAATGATTTTGCAGTGGCTGGTACTGGTTGTTCCTTTCCATGTTTAGTGCTTCCTTCAGGAGCTCTTTTAGGGCAGGCCCAGTGGTGACAAAATCTCTCAGCATTTGCTTGTCTGTGAAGGATTTTATTTCTTCTTCACTTATGAATCTAGTTTGGCTGGATATGAAATTCTGGGTTGAAAATTCTTTTCTTTAAAAATGTTGAATATTGGCCCCCACTCTCTTCTGGCTTGTAGAGTTTCTGCCAAGAGATCAGCTGTTAGTCTGATGGGCTTCCCTTTGTGGGTAACCCGACCTTTCTTTCTGGCTGCCCTTAACATGTTTTCCTTCATTTCAACTTTGGTGAATGTGACAATTATGTGTCTTGGAGTTGCTCTTCTTGAGGAGTATCTTTGTGGCATTCTCTGTATTTCCTGCATCTGAATGTTGGCCTGCCTTGCTACATTGTGGAAGTACTCCTGGGTAATATCCTGTAGAGTGTTTTCCAACTTGGTTCCATTCTCCCCGTCACTTTTAGGTACACCAATCAGACGTAGATTTGTTCTTTTCTCATAGTCCCATATTTCTTGGAGGCTTTGTTCATTTCTTTTTATTCTTTTTTCTCTAAACTTCCCTTATCACTTCATTTCATTCATTTCATCTTCCATCGCTGACACCCTTTCTTCCAATTGATCACATCAGCTCCTGAGGCTTCTGCATTCTTCACATAGTTCTCAAGCCTTGGCTTTCAGCTCCATCAGCTCCTTTAAGCACTTCTCTGTATTGGTTATTCTAGTTATACTTTCATCTAAATTTTTTTCAAAGTTTTCAACTTCTTTGCCTTTGGTTTGAATTTCCTCCTGTAGCTCGGAGTAGTTTGATCATCTGAAGCCTTCTTCTCTCAACCCATCAAAGTCTTTCTCCATCCACCTTTGTTCCATTACTGGTGAGGTGCTGCATTCCTTTGGAGGAGGAAAGGCGCTCTGCTTTTTAGAGTTTCCGGTTTTTCTGCTCTGTTTTTTCCCCATGTTTGTCGTTTTATCTACTTTTGGTCTTTGATGATGGTGATGTACAGATGGGTTTTTGGTGTGGACGTCCTTTCTGTTTGTTAGTTTTCCTTCTAACACACAGGACCATCAGCTGCAGGTCTGTTGGAGTTTGCTAGAGGTCCACTCCAGACCCCGTTTGCCTGGGTATCAGCAGTGGTATCTGCAGAACAGCAGATTTTCGTGAACCGTGAATGCTGCTGTCTGATCGTTCCTCTGGAAGTTTTGTCTCGGAGGAGTACCCGGCCGTGTGAGGTGTCAGTCTGCCCCTACTGGGGAGTGCCTCCCAGTTAGGCTGCTCGGGGGTCAAGAGTCAGGGACCCACTTGAGGAGGCAGTCTTCCCATTCTCAGATCTCCAGCTGTGTGCTGGGAGAGCCACTGCTCTCTTCAAAGCTGTCAGACAGGGACATTTAAGTCTGCAGAGGTTACTGCTGTCTTTTTGTTTGTCTGTGCCCTGCCCCCAGAGGTGGAGCCTACAGAGGCAGGCAGGCCTCCTTGAGCTGTGGTGGGCTCCACCCATTTCGAGCTTCCTGCCTGCTTTGTTTACCTAAGCAAGCCTGGGCAATGGCAAGCGCCCTCCCCCAGCCTCGCTGCCTCCTTGCAGTTTGATCTCAGACTGCTGTTCTAGCAATCAGCGAGACTCCATGGGCGTAGGACCCTCCAAGCCAGGTGCGGGATATAATCTCCTGGTGTGCCATTTTTTAAGCCCATCAGAAAAGTGCAGTATTAGGGTGAGAGTGACCCGTTTTTCCAGGTGCCGTCTGTCACCCCTTTCTTTGACTAGGAAAGGGTACTCCCTGACCCCTTGCTCTTCCCAAGTGAGGCAATGCCTCACCCTGTTTCAGCTCACACACAGTGCGCTGCACCCACTGTCCTGTGCCCACTGTCTGGCACTCCCTAGTGAGATGAACCCAGTACCTCAGATGGAAATGCAGAAATCACCCGTCTTCTGTGTCGCTCCCACTAGGAGCTGTAGACCGGAGCTCTTCCTATTCGTCCATCTTGGCTGCCACTCTGATCAACCTTAATATTACCAATAATATGCCTCCTTATGTTATACACTGAAGAAAATACATTACCAACGCAGTATTTCTGTCAAAAATGTTTAACGAGGGACTAATCATTAGAAAACTATCAGACATATCTCAGTTGTGATGTATTCTGTCAAACAACTGGCCTGAATTTTTTTAAAATATCAGTGTCACAAATGACAAAAAAGGCCAGGATACTGCTTTGATTAAAGAAGATTAAAGAGACATGACAACTAAATGCAACAGACGATCCCTGACTGGATTTTAGATAAGAAAAAAAAGACAAGTGTAATAAAAATTATTAAGACAAATGAGGAAATTTGAATATAGGTAATGGTGTTATATCAATGTCATATTTCTTGATTATGATGATCATATTAAGGATATGTAAGGGAGTGCCCATATTCTTAGGATATACATGCTGAAGTACTTCATGAATACAGGTCAAGCATTATGATGTCTAAAATTAACTCTCAACTATCTCAGGAAAAAGTATAATAACCACTATAAAATACATACACATATACACACACACATACACACTAAGGCGGGAGGAAATTGGGAGACTACTTATGAGCATACATGAGGAAAAATGCTAACAATTAATGAATTTAGGTAAAAGATATATGGTGTTCATTGGACTGTTCTTTCAATCTTTCTGAAAGTTTGGAATTTTTCAGAATTATGTTACGAAAAGAAAATAAGAGATGAAATCATGTATGTAAAATGTGTCTACTAAAGCACCTGACAAATAGTACACATTCAATTAATGGAGATACTGTTGTCACTGAAATAAATACTCAGATAAAGTCACATACGCAGCTCTCTACCCTCTGAGGACCCAAAATTCAGAGCTGTTGAAACATGAGCCCATGATCTTCCAGTCCACTTACTGCAAGAGCCAAAGTATACATGCCTTCCATTCTAGGATGTGCATTGCCTGAACAGTCACTAGACATTTGCCATCCCAAGTCCACTCTGATGTACCTTCAAGCCCTGTGATAAATGAGACCCAGAGAAAGTGCCTCTGTGCTGATGATGGGACCAGGTCATTCTGCTGCTGCTTGGGACATATTACTGGGTCAGTCGCAGCAGCTGACTACTATCTACTCATATTGAAATCCAAGTCATGAGCCCTACAAGAGTTATTCATGGGATGAAGGTGATATACTTTCATCTGTCCCTCTTTGTCTACCAATGCCCTTGCCCTCTTCATAATGAAAATCAGAGAGCTAACCTTGACTGTAGTGCTTGGAGTATACGAGTCAGGCAGCAAAAAGGGGAAAGGAGTGTCAAGGAATTAAATAAGACACAGCCACATATCACAGAGGGCCCTGTCTGTCAAATTGAAAAATTTTGACTTTTTACTCTAGGTCATTCTTGTCAAATTAGGACATAAGTTTACCGAGCATGCATAGCAACTGTTAGGGAGTATTCTAATTTACTTGCCATATAATTTTGATATGACACTATTATTCAATAACAATAGAAACTACTTTAATATTTTAAAACATACAAGGAGATATTATAGATTAGAATATGAACTTTAATATTTATGATAAAACACAAAATTACAAAGAAATATCATGCCTTCAAGATGTCCACTTCAGGCCACATTTCTAGGTCTCTAGTGATAAAAGTTCACAATATTTTGCCATTAGAGGTATCATTGCAGATGTTTAGGCAACTCACATTGTAGAAGACAGGCGGAGCAGAAATATTTTAAGCAGGTGGACAAAATGACAAAATAAACATTTGGAAGATGACTCTGATAGCTACTGTGGAAGTAAAAGAGACCAGAAACCACGTAGGAGATTATTTGAATTGTCCAACAAAATAAAAAGGGAGCTAACCCCTAAAACAGTGTAGATGAACATCACAAATACTATACATACCTGAATATAAGATGACTCCTGAATTTAAGCAATCCATCATTCTCCTAAGAAGATCCCCTCCAAATATTTTTTGACAAACATGAATATGTACAAATATTTAGAGATAGAAATAAATTAAATATCTTTTATTATTTTTAATCTAGCTACATATATAACTTTAAAATTGTATAGTTTATTATCTGAAAAGAATCCACAGGCAGAATGAATGAATGAAAGGACAGGTGGGCATCTAGGGTGGATCTGGGGTAAGTCTAGAATTTCTAGTTTGGATCAGAGAATGATTGAAATGATAATGTTGCCAATCACTTAAAAGGGAAATATAGGGTATCTGACTTTTTTGAAGAAGTGGAGGGTGAATTTCTGAATATGATAAGTTTGGTTTTTAATATATTGAGGTTGAAGTGCCTGGAAAACATGAGGGGGAAATGTTCAGTTGGCAGTTGGCAATATAGGTATGGAACCTAGGAGGTATTGGGGGATAGAAATGTTGTATTTATTGATAAGTCTTCATGGAAATGGTTGATATTATTGAAGGAGTTTTTCAAGTGAGAAGAGGAGGGATCTACCCAGAATCCTAGAAAACCCCAACTCTGTGCAGGGGAAGGAGTGAAAGAAAGGAGTCAGTGAAGAAGCCTGAGATGAAGTGGCCAGAGAACCAGGAAAGGAGAAGAAGAACCACGAAAGACAACACAGAAGCAGAGAAAGGAGATTTTACAATGAGGTAATCATAGTGATGTTTAATTCATTGATCATAGCAAAAATAAAAACATTTCACAAAAGTGGTAAAAGCAGAAGCTAAACTAAAGCAAATATGGAATCACTGGAAAGGGAAAAAGTAGACACAATATATAGACTTTTTTTTTTTTCCTGTAAGCTTGGCAATGAAGGGAAGAAAAAAGAGAATATCAAGAAGAAAATGTACAGTCAGGGACAGTGCTTCTTTTTTGACAGGTAACATAATAATTTTTTAAAATATATTGTTAGTAAGAAAAATTTCAAATAAAAATCAAAAGAAATAGCATATTGAACTACCTTATAGCCATTACCCAGTTTCAACAGTTAGCAACTCATGGCTACTTCTGTTTCATCCGAGCCCACCATCCGTTTTCTCCCTTTTCCATTGTAATCTGAGGAAAATCCCCAAAATCAAATTATTTCATCTATAAAATATTTCAGTATGTATCTCTAAATAAGGTTTCCTTTTAAAAGCCTATCTACAATTATATCACACCTAAAATATTAATATTTCAAATATACGACAAGTGTCCAAATGTTGCTCATCTTCTAACTTCCATGTGTTTATTCAAATAAGGATCCAAATAAGGTCCATATGTTGCAAATAATGTATCTCATAAGTCTCTTTTTATATATAAATTATCAGAGAGTTTATTTTGTTTTATTAAATTTTAAAGATACCAGAACACATTTCTATGGGAAACAGGATAATCTCTATACAAAGGATGCTGAGGATATTGGATGTGGGATGGATATGGAATTACATAACTATTTCTTGAACACTTACGTGTCAGGCACTGTGCTAAGCACTTCATATACAAATATTATCTCACTTTAATTATCATGAACACCCTGAGAAGTTATTATTATCATTCTTGTATTGGTCTGGACTATTTCAGTTGATGTGAAAAAAAATCAAATTGATTTAAGCATTTAAGCAGAGAAATGAATTCACTGACCTTCATAGTCAAGTTATAGAAGAACATGATTGCCCTGTTTCCTGCAGTATCCCCATGCCTAAAATAGTTCCTGGACTAATACAGTCACTCAACAAAAATTTGTTGATTGAATAAACTGAAACAATGAAAAGGTATATGGCTTCAGGCATGACTGTAACTAGGGGTTCAAACTACATCATCAGGACCCAATATCTTGCAGTTGTGCTTTCCTCTGTGTGAATACCACTCTTATTAAGACTTCATCCATGGGGTGGCCCCTAGTAGCAAGATGTTTATATCAACCCAGATTCTGGTCCATAAACAAGAAGTCTCTTCCTGCATTGTTCAAAGAAAAGTCTTAAATTTTACTGGAACAAATTGAGTCTTGTGTCTATCTCTGAACCAATCCCTATGGTACACACCAATTGTTTAAAGAGAGATCCAGTGTCCGTGTAAGGAACAATCACTGTGGCTAAGAAGATAAATTTTTGAATGGTCATGCCTGGGGGACAAGCCCATTCCCACAGTCAAGAGTGAAATAAGCTTCCCCTCACCCAACCATGTAGGCTGGAAGTGGAGAAAAGGTCGTTCCTGGAGGAAAAAGACAGGTTCTGCTACCAGAAGGAGGAATAGAAGCTGAGTAGGCAGAAACAACAAATGTCCCAGTTTTACAGAAGAGGAGCTTGAGTAAACTGCCCAAAATAGCAGTAGAGAAGAATGGTTAGGAGCATACCTTACAGAGTGACCAATCTGTATTCAACCCCTCATTTTCCACTTCGTGGTCATGTAACCTTGAACAAGTCTATTATTACCCTCGTAATCCTCAGTTGATCATCTGTAAAATGAGGGTAAGGATAGAATCTACCTCATATGTTTGAGGTGAAAATTGAGTAGTAGTAATGTAGGAAAAGTACAATAATACAGTATAATAATACTATAATATAGTAAGCACTCAAGAATAATAGCTATCAATAGCACTCAAGAATAATAACTATTAATATTGCTCAGTCACACAACTAGTATGGGACAAAATAATGTACTAAGCTACAAAAAGAAATGAAAGCGTGCATGGGTACATGCCCTTTTATCATTTCTGTGCCATTTCTGAGAAGAGAACACCTGGCAGAGTGTGATTATAGACTGAGAAAAAGATACTACCACGATCAGTGCATGTTTAGAAATCTAGTGTTATTGTCTAAAGGGATAATCAGCACCCAGTGGCAGTTTTCACTGATCTTAAAACCTTCAATATCTCTCCCTCAAAGGCCTGGGACCTCACCTGTCACTGGCCACAGTCTAAGGCTTTTCATCCAAATCATTTATATCTGTAGATACCAGAACCACTGAAGTAATGTTTGGAAAACACAAGAACTGAGCCACCTTGACCTTGGAATCTACAAAGCTAGCCTACAGGAAAACAAATAGGTTATTTAGTCAAATAGTCATATAGATCTTGGTTAAAACTTTGGCTCTGCCCGTTTATAAAATTGTGAAATTCAATTTACTTCTGAGACTATCAGTTTTTTTCCATGTGTAATAATGGGGATAACAACTCTTGCCTCACAAAATTATTCTGAATATTGGATGATGTCAACATGTATAAAGCAGCTTAGTACATTACCTGCACAGAAACTGCCCAGTAAGTGAAATTTTCGTCTCTACTACCATCAAACCATTGGCCATCCCCTTAAGGGGTCATGTTTGTTGACTTTCTTACAGTCCTACCTTCACTTCAGTACTGCACATCCTTTTTCAGTCTTGAAAGATACACTCATCAAGATTACTCACTTGGGAAAAAAAAGATGAGATTTGCATAGCTTTGTTTGTTTTTTGTTTGGGTTTTTAATTTTTGTTTGACTCAGGATTTAAAAACTGAAACAGTGAAGATGACAGCAGTTGGTTGAAGCAACATTTCCTATAAGTCTACAATATGACCAAGGGCTTTGTACTTTTTTAAAATAGTCATTCCAAATATCATAAAATGCAGTGTTACAGAAAGTCCCTTGAACTCCAAAAAGCTGCCCCACTTCACCAGAAAGACAATGGCCCAGTTCTCACCTGAGTCCAAATAGAGAAAGTGACAAAATTGTTTTTGTGTAAATTATTTTCATCTTGGGCATTTTTTACACTTATGCCTTAATACTTTTATACTTTTTAAAAGTATTGTTTTATTTTGACTGATCAGCCATCATGGTCCTGTCAATGAAGGATTTTGGTTTCCCCTAGAGTAAGTAGAGGTGTGGAGGCAGTCAAGGCTTACCTGTACAGTGACAGGACCAGTTCAGTAAAAGTGTATGCCTTTTAAAAATTTCTCACTTGTTCCAGCCTACAATACACCAATAAAACTTTGACTTTTTCTGACATCTGACTTCATAGACCCTGGACCAGATAACTGCAGATGCTAAACCTCTTTTTGTGTCTTGATATCAGACAGGCCTCTTCTAGAGCTTTTTAAAAAAAAAAAAATTCTTTATTTTTATTTTTTATTTCCATAGCTTATTGAGGAACAGGTGGTGTTTTGTTACATGAGTAAGTTCTTTAGTGATGATTTGTGAGACTTTGGTGCACCCATCACCCAAGCAGTATACACTGCATCCTATTTGTAGACTTTTATCCCTCACCCCATTTCCATCCTTTCCCACTGAGTTCCCAAAGTCCATCATGTCATCCTTATGCTTTTGCATCCTCATAGCTTAGCTCCCACGTATAAACGAGAACATACAATGCTTGGTTTTCCATTCCTGAGTTACTTCACCTAGAAGAGTAGTCTCCAATTTCATCTAGGTCACTGCAAATGTCATTAATTTGTTCCTTTTTGAACAGAAAACCAAACACCGCATGTTCTCACTCATAAGTGGGAGTTGAACAATGAGAACACATGGACATGGGGAAGGGAACATCACACACCGGGACCTGTCAGGGGTTGGGGGACAAGAGGAGGGAGAGCATTAGGACAAATACCTAATGCATGTGGGGCTTAAAACTTAGATGATGGGTTGATAGGTGCATCAAACCACCATGGCACATGTATACCTATGTAACAAACCTGCACTTTCTGCACCAGTATCCTGGAACTTAAAGTAAAATTTTTATATGTATATAAATTTTATATATATTTTATATATAAAATATATGTATATATTTATATAAATATATATAAAAATATATTTATTTATATATATATTTATATATAAATATATAAATATATTTATTTATATATATTTATAAAAATATATTTATATATATTTATATATAAATATATTTATATATATTTATATATAATATATAAACATTATATTATATATAAATATAAATATATATATTCCTTCTTACGACTGAGTAGTATTCACGTGTGTATATCTCACAGTTTCTTTATCCACTCGTTGATTGATCGGCATTTGAGTTGGTTCCACCATTTTGCAATTCCAAATTGTGCAGCTATAAACATGCATGTGCAAGTATCTTTTTTGTATAATGACTTATTTTCCTCTGGAAAGATACCATGTAGTGGGATTGCTGGATTAACTGCTAGTTCTACTTTAGTTCTTTAAAGAATCTCCATAGTTTTTCATAGTGATTGTACTAGTTTACATACCCACTAGCAGTGTATCAGTGTTCTCCGTTCACTGCATTCGTGCCAACATCTATTTTTTTTTTATTTTTTGATTATGACGATTCTTGCAGGAGTAAGGTGGTATTGCATTATGGTTTTTATTTGCATTTCCCCGATCATTAGTGATGTTGAGCATTTTTTCATATGTTTGTTGGCCATTTGTATATCTTCTTTTGAGAATTGTCTATTCATGTCCATAGCCCACTTTTTGATGGAATTGTTTGTTTTCTCCTTGCTATTTGTTTGAGTTTGTTGTTGATTCTGGATATTAGTCCTTTTCCAGATGTATACATTGTGAAGACTTTCTCCCACTCTGTGGGTTGCCTGTTTCTTCTGCTGACTGTTCCTTTTGCTGTGCAAAATCTCTTTAGTTTAATTAAGTTTCAACTACTTCCCGTCGTTTTTATTATATTTGCTTTTGGTTTCTTGGTCATAAAATTATTGCCTAAGCCAATGTCTAGAAGGGTTTTTCCAATGTTATCTTCTAGAATTTTTACAGTTTCAGGTGTTAGATTTAAGTTCATGATCCATCTTTGGTTGATTTTTGTATAAGGTGAGAGATGAGAATCCAGTTTCATTTGCCTACATGTGGCTTGCCAATTATCCCAGCAGCATTTGTTAAATAGGATGTCCTTTTCCCACTTTATGTTTTTGTATGCTAAGTCAAAGATCATATAAGTATTTGGATTCATTTCTGAGTTCTCTATTCTGTTCCACTGGTCTATTTATTTTTATTTTTTTTATTTTTTTTTTGCCAGTACCATGCTGTTTTGGTGACTATGGCCTTATAGCATAGTTTAAATTCTGTCACCACACCTCTTCAACATAGTACTGAGAGTCCTAACCAGAGCCATCAGACAAGAGAAGAAATAAAGGGCATCCAAATTGGTAAAGAGAAAGTTAAACTGTCACTGTTTGCTGATGTTATAATTGTTTACCTAGAAAACCCTAAAGACTCCTCCAGAAAGCTCCTAGAACTGATAAAAGAATTCAGCAAAGTTTCTGGATACAAAATTAATGTACACAAATCAGTAGCTCTTCTATACACCAACAGCAGACAAGCTGAGAATCAAATCAAGAACCCAAACCCTTTTACAAAAAAAAAAAAAGAATGCTTAGAAATGTACCTAACCAAGGAGGTGAGAGACCTCTACAAGGAAAACTACAAAACACTGCTGAAAGAAATCATAGACAACACAAACAAATGAAAACACATCCCATGCTCATGGATGGGTAGAATCAATATTGTGAAAATGACCAGGCTGCCAAAAGCAATCTACAAATTCAGTGCAATTTCTATGAAAATACCACCATCATTTTTCACAGATTTAAAAAAAAATTCTGAAATTCATATGGAACTAAAAAAGAGTCAGCATAGTCAAAGCAAGACTAAGAAAAAGGACAAATCTGGAGACACCACATTACCTAATTTCAAGAGCCTTTAAACTCAAGTAAACCTATTGTCTTTAATCTACACTGCCAACTACAGAGCATAAATATGAAGTACCAGTAAAATGTCAGAGCAAGACCTCTTGTCCGCTTTTATATTAGTCACCTTGACATTCCCCACAGCATTGTGCTACAAAATGCCTCCCATCCCCTCACTCAGAGCTATGATTTGCTGTTTCCTTTTGCAGCAAAATGCCACTGTCCTCTCCCACATTTTCTCGTATGCTGATATTGGACATATGCTATAATCTGATGAGTTTATCCTATTGGCATCACAAAATCTTATCATTTCCTTATTAGAAAGGTATCATCTTTCTCACATAACATAATTCAGACAGCTTGCAGATTCTCAGAGAGTCTAGATCATCAAGATGGCTGACAACCCACAGTCATTACAAAGAAGGAACAAAACAGCAGCTAGATAAACAGACGTTGAATAGGCCATTTAGGGAAGAATGCTAGAATCCAGCAAGGAAGTTACAGAGACCCTCGGATGCACAGGAGCTCAAGATAGCAGCATGGAGAGGGTAAAAGGGCAGTGAGTGAATTAACTTGGAGCCATGAGCATTCCCCATTGTTGAAGAAAAGTTAAGAGACATCTACAGCAGTCCACATTCCTATGGAACATACCTGGAGTCCTACCTACAGGAGAGACCCTTGGCACTCATGGGCCCTGAGCCAAGTATAGGGAGCTACCTGAATTCTGTACAACTGTTCCAGAGAGGGAATTCGTGCCAGGTTCCACCCACCAGCCAGGTCCTAAGCTGCTGCAGCACAGTGCCATTTTGAGAGTGGAAACCACACCCAACTACATCGTGCCCAGAAGATACTTAATATCCCCTGCATTTTCACAACCCTTGGGCTCAACTGACATCCCCTACATCCACCCAGAGGACTGCAGCATCATGATGCCAGTAGGAACTAGCAGTCTGACGATGTTGCCAGCACCCAAGTGTCTTACCAAAAAAAAAAAAAAAAAAAAAGGTAGTCCAGCACATCAGAGAGGCTACCCTCAGAAACAGGGAATTGGAGCATGTGTTCCCCAGGACCTGAGAGCAATTTATTTGGGGCCACTGCCACCAGGAGTGATTCCTCCCTCCTCTGGCAGTGACACCAATAGGCACCCTTGAAACTTGCCCAGAAGCCTGGAAACTGGCCCACCTGACTTGCCACAGCCACTACCAGTGCCTATGCACATTGCCCAGGGATCTAGGACTAGAAAGTCCAGGGTAAGATGTCACTACCGACAATGCCCATGCACCCCATCCAGGGGTGAAAGAAGTGGCCTATGATGGCCAACGTCAATGCCTGTGTGCACCACTTGGAGGCACTAAGAGAAGCTTGACCAGCCTGCCATCCACACCACTGGTGTGTGTGCACTCCATTTGGAAACTCTAGGACTAGCCTGCCTGGGACCTGAGGCCATCACAGCTGGCACTCAAGCATGCCACCTGAGTGCCCCAAAACCAGCCTGACGAAGCCACTGTTCCCTGCTACCACTGCTGCTGGTGCCCACATACACAACCTAGGGGACTGAGGACTGGCCAGCTGACAACCAATAAATGAATGTAGTAGAGTTGCAGGCTACAAAATCCACACACAAAATCAGTAGCATTTCTATACCCCAATAATGAAAGAGTTGAAAAAGAAATCAAGAAAGCAATCCCATTTACAATAGCTACAAAGAAATTAAATATCTAGGAATAAGTCTAACCATGAAGGTGGAAGCTTTCTGTGATGAAAAATACAAAACATTATAAAATAAATAGAAGTGGACACAAAAAACAGAAAGACATCCCATGCTCATGAACTGTAAGAATTAATATTGTTAAAACGACCATACTATACAGTAATCTATAGATTCTATGCAATACCTATGAAAACACCAATGACATTCCTCACAAAAATAGAAAGAAAAGCTTCAAATTAATATGAAACCAGAAAAGACCCTGAATACACAAAGCAATCTTGGGCATAAAGAACAAAGCTGTAGGAATCTCACTACCTGACTTCAAAACATACTACAAAACTACAGTAACCAAAACAGCTTGGTACAGTTATAAGAACACAGAAAGATCAATGGAGCAGAACATAATCCAGAAATAAATTCACATATTTACAGCCAACTGATTTTCAAGAAATGTGGCAAGAACATACATTGGGAAATGGACACTTTCTTCAATATATGGTGCTGGGAAGTCTGGGATAGTCATATGCCTAAGAATTAAAGTAGACCCCTATCTTTCACCATATGCAAACATAAACTTAAAATAGACTAAAGACAAACATGTGATCCAAAACTATAAAACTCCTAGAAGAAACCACAGGAGGAATACCTCAGGATATCGTTTAGGAAAAGATATTATGGTAAAACTTCAAAAGCACAGGAAATACAAAATAAAAATAGGCAAATGATATTATATCAAACTAAAAAGTCTTTACACAGAAAAAGAAATAATTAGCAGAGCAAAGAGACAACCTGTAGAATGGGGGAAAACATATAAAAACTATACAGGCATGAATATCTAAAATACACAAGGATCTCAAATAATTCAACAATAACAACAGAAAAACAAATAAATCCAATTAAAAGTGGGCAAAGGATCCAAGTAAACATTTCTCAAAAGAAGACACACAAAGAGCAAATAAATATATTTTAAAATGCCAATGTCACTAATCATCAGGGAAATGCAAAGCAAAATTATAATGAGATATCACTTTTCTCCAGTTAGAATGCCTATCCCAGAAAAGACAAAAAAAATAAATAAATACTGGCATAGATTCAGAGAAAAGGGAACTCTTATATACCATTGGTGGGAATGTACATTAGTAAGCCATTATGGAAAATAGTATGAAGGATTCTCAAAAATCTAAAACTAGAACTACTATATAATCCAGCAATTCTAGCACTGAGGATCTATCCAAAGGACAAAATAATCAGTATATCAAAGAGACATCTGCATCCTCATGTTTATTGTAGCTCTATTAACAATAGTAAACATAAAGAATCAACCTAAGTTTCCACCAATAGATAAGTAGATAAGGAAAATGTGGCATATATGTATACAGTTGAATACTGTTCAGTAGTAGAAAAAATGAAAGACTGTCATTTGCGGCAACATGATTGATCCTGCAGGACATTATGTTAAGTGAAATAAGTCAGGCACAGAAAGATAAATACTGCATGTTCTCACTTATATGTGGGAGCAAAGAAAATTAAGTTCATAGAAGTAGAAAGTAGAATAGAGGTTATTAGAGGTTGGAAGTGTGGAGTGGAGGAGAAGATAAGGAGAGTTTGATTAACAGATTCAAAATTACAGCTAGATAGGGAGAACAAGTTCTAGTGTTGTGTAACAATGAAGGGTAAATATGGTTAACAACACTTACTGTGTATATTTAAAAAGCTAGAGGAGAGGATTTTGAATGTTCACAACAGAAAGATATAAATATTTAAGGTGATGGCTATGCTAACTATCCTGATTTGATCATTACACATTCTGTACATGTATCAAAATATCACTCTCTATCCCACAAATATATAAGTAATTATTACATGTGAACTGAAAATAATAGGAAAAAAATGTAGAGTCTTAAGTCCTTCTCTGACCTACTGAACCAGAATCTGAATTTTAATAGGATCTCCAGGTAATTAATTGGCATGAATGTCCTGCCAGGCAATAAACTCTCAACATTGGGGTTCGTTTTTTCTTACTGAACACAAACACACAAGTTAACATGTAATATTAGAGTATGTGCCCTTATTTAATAGTAACTAACACATCACAATTGTATATTATTACCAGTAAGCCTATTAAACAATACTTCCGGCATGTAGTTTTTATACTGGCCTCTTTTCTAGGTTTTTGCAATATTTCTTAAAGAGAGATACCCCTGGGAAAGTGGCTCTTGAGTGTTAACATTACTGGGACCAAATTTATTAGCTGCTATGTGTTTCTGTTAGAGAAAGTGCTGGAACCATGTAAAGCTTTCGGGGAAGGAAAAAATCAGAGGTGCATAAAAAAAGAGTAGAGGATGTGAAAAGTAGCTAAAATAAAAATATATACTAACAGTTCAAAACAGATAAAAAAGGTGGGTTTTCAGACTAGAAATAAATATTTAGAGGGCAAGCATTAGAGAAATGATAGGGAACTCCGGTTTCCTTCTGTTTTACATTCTCTTAGGAAAATATGGTAAATATATGGAATGCATATATCTACCATACTTCCTGTGCCCATGACAGACATCAGTAACTGACTGTGCTGGCATGTCCAGCTCAAATGACACAACCTAAGAATCCTTCTATATAGAGACTCCAATCTTCTACCACTAATCAAGAGGAGTTGGGAAACAAGTTTCTCAATGGATGTGTTGAGGCCTATTTGAAGGATGGGTGGGCAACACCCATCTCTAGGTATACGATATGATTGACTCAGGTACATCAGATTAGGATGTTTTTGTTTTTGTTTTTAGCTAAGTCTTGGTCAAGAGAATCCAGGTACTACTCATTGCAACTCCAAACTGCTTCCAAATCAGAGTTCTACCTGAATGTGAAGTAAGGGAATAACATGGAGATGAAGTTCCTCTACTACATTTTATCCATTCAGCATTTTATCATCATCAACATGATACATACGAGGCATCAGAAGTCCTAGATTAAGAGAATTCCAAGATGATGAAAGAAGTCTCATAATTCATATGGTTAACCTACAATTCTGCCCCTATTTTTCACATTGACTACATCAATAACTAATCTACCTAATAAAATTTTAACTGTGGCATTCTAGGATTTAAAATGCTATCTGATTCTACTTATCCTGTAATATCCCTACACAATCTAGTCTTATAATATCATGTGACAAGAAGATCGAAGCACAGGGGAACTGTATTTCTACCCAATTCTAAGGAAAGCTAGTTCCTGATAAAGCCAACTATCCCTGTAAGAAGTGGAACTACTAGCATCAGGCTTGCCTACATGGCTTGTGGCATTACCACACAGGAACTTGGCACTCCATGATGGTATGGTTCAACCACCATAAATGAGATTAGCTGAAGCAAACTGGAGTGGGGAGTAATTATTGGAACACTTCAAATTCCACATCACTTATGTAATGGGCAGCCAAAACTGCCAGTAGTCAATCCATAAGGCTAGAATATCTGGGGCATAAGAGTTCAGCCTATCCTGAGAGTCCCTCTAGGCAGAAAACTTTGTAGTGTTTGGTAACTCAGAAAAGGCAGTACTATATAACAGATATAGAACCACTCATGGACCACCACCCCAGAACGCATAGAATATATGAAGAGAGCTACTACCCAAATCGTCCACTCTACATCCAAGAAAAGAGAAACCTCTCTCAAATGTTGTGGCTCCACCATAGTGCCAAACCAGTATGCTACTATAATTCCTTCAAAAACCTGCAATACAGCCTGAAGACTTCTGGAGGCTCTGCATTCAATGTCTGTGCCACCTACCTTTGGACTAAATGAAGTAATTCAACTATCAATAACTATACCCAGTTTTTAGTCTTAATCCCTAAAAACTCCTGCAGCAGTATGATGATGAAATTTGGGTTGTGGCAGACGCAATCATCAAGGTGGAATACTTTGTCTCTTGCATTAGGCCTCCATTTCCACTGGAGCCCTTCTTCAAATAGTATTCCATATATAAAAGCTACTCAGTCTCTTGATATCTCTATACAGCCTCCAGTTTATAACTTAGCTCTGGTAACCACTTGTCCTACAACTATATTTTTAGGTTCACTTCCTTACCATCTAACACATGAAGATATTTGGCCAGATAGAGTATCTACACTGTTAAATCTCCAGCAGACAAGTTGAATGTCCTATCCACCTTTTCACTGTAATTTGTCTAGACTAATTGTATATTCTCCAACCAGAATACCCAGTTGCCCAGCAACCATGGTTTCTACCCTTCATTACTTATTTGTACCACTGAGCCTACCCACCACCACCACTAGCCTCAATACTATTATTAGCTATTCACTACCTAAAAAGTTACCAACAGGTTCTTTAAACATATCTGCCAGCTACCTTCCAACAATCTAAAAAACAATACAGGCATATGATGAGGTGGGAAATTATCCCAATAAGAAGTTTTGTCTAGCTTTCCACTTAACAGGAATAAGCCATCTGCTTTGCTGAATGCCAGAGATTCACTATTCAGGACAAAGAAGCCTTCAACCCTTTCACACTCTAGTTTCAATTATCTCTGTCCCCTTAGATCCAGCCTAGCTTCCATAACTTCCTGCTTTGCCTGACCCATCAATGCTTTGCCTTTTACCCCACAGTACTACGCCCATTCCCATTAACACAAAATGGGGCACTGAAGCACAAAGTACAAGTTGAGCCTCCCAAATCCCAAATCTAACATGCTCCCAAATCTGAAACTTTTTGGGCACCAATATAACACTAAATGCTCATTGGAACATTTTGGATTTCAGAACTTTGGGTTTGAGATCCAGTAAATATAATATAATACAAATATTTCAAAATCTGAGGGAAAAAAACAAATTTGCCAGACTGGTCCCAAGCATTTTGCATAAGGGATACTCAACCTATATACTCTTCTTCATTTCTGTCATCTTCTTGGCTTCTGACTCTTGGCCTCTATACACCAGTGCTGACACTAGAATTTGGCCTTCTTCAATTTTATATACCTCTAGGACCTTGGCATTCTTACAATGCTGGTGGCTTTGCTCACACATTCACTTGTTTCTAATTGTATTCATTTCATTTATGTGAGCAATATATGAATTATTTAAAATTCAAACACTTCAGATAAAATCCTCCTTGACCAACATCTCCAATCCCAATCCCTCCTCCAGAAATAACTACTGTTACATTTAAAAGGTATATAACTTTGCCAAGTATCCTTCCAAACCTTTCTTTATATACATACATACTTATATACATACTTACATATGTACCTCTATAAATTTGGTCAATGTGTGAGGTTATATTTATTTATTTTTATATAAATGGCAACATTCTGAACATACTGCTCTTCAATTTTTTAACCTCCTTATGGTGTCTTGGATATCTTTCTATACTACACAATAGCTTTACATTTTGCATATGACTCAGATTATGAAGGTACCAGTTTGTTTAACAATTTTCCTATCTATGGGCATTTACATTTTCTCTACTGTTTTCATTATTGCAGTGTAACAATAGTGAAAGAACATCCACATACATATCTTATTGTGAACATTTTAAATTTATTATCCAGTGCCAATATTAAAAACTGAAACCATTGTGTCATATAGAATATTATTTAAAATGTTAATAGGTATCTCACTCCCACTTATAAGTGATGGGATCATTGGGATCCCAAGCCTCAGTGTCACATAATATACACACTAACAAACCTTCATGTGTACCCTTTAATCTATGAAAAATAGTTGAAACTATAAAATAAAATAGACACTGCCAAAATGTACCACAAAATACAGCTGTAGTAATTCACACTCCTGCCAGTAGTATATCAGAATATCTGTTTTCCCAGACTCTCCCCATACATGGTATTGTCAAACTTTTTTTAATTCAAAAAGGTTTAATTATAAAATGTTGTTTTTTAAAATTTAATTTTTAAATTTTGAATAATTATACATATTCATAGCATACCTAATGAAGTTTCAATACATACAATGTATAGTGATTAGGTATAGGGTAATTATATTAGGGTAATTAGCATATCCATAATCTCAAACATTTATTTATTTCTGTGTTGGGGACATTCAATAATCTCCTTCTAGCTGTTTGAAACTATGTATTATTGTTAACTATAGTCATCCTACAATGGTATAGAGAACTAGGACTCATTCCTCCTATCTAGCTAGAATTTTGTATCTTTTTTCCTACCATTCTGGACATAGGCCCTGGCAAATATTTCATTATGAAAATGTCAAAAGCAATTGCAACAACAAAAATTGACAAATGGGACCCAATTAAATGAAAGTGCTGCAGTGAACATGTGATTGCATGTGTCCTTTTGTTAGAAACATTTATTTTCTTTTGGATCTATACCTAGCAATGGGATTGCTGAGTCAACTTGTAGTTCTTTTTTAAGTTATTTGAGAAATCTCCGAACTGCTTTCCACAATGGCTGAACTAATTTACATTCTCACCAAAAATATATAAGCATTCTCTTCTCTTTACAGCCTCTCAAGCATCTGTTGTTTTTTGACTTCGACAATAGCCATTCTGACTGCTGTGAGATAATATCTCACTCTGGTTTTGATCTGCATTTCTCTAATGATCAATGACAGTGAGTTTTTTTTCATATGCTTGTTGGCCATATGTATGTTTTCTTTTGAAAAGTGTCCATTCATCTATTTTACCCGTTTTTAATGGGGTCATTTATTTTTTGCTTGTTCAATTATTTAAGTTCCTTGTACATTCTAGATATTATACCTTTGTCGTATGCATAGTTTGTGAATATTTTCTCTCATTCTATAGGTTGTCTATTTACTCTGTTGATAGTTTCTCTTGCTGTGCAGAAGCTCTTTAGTTTAATTAGGCCCCACTTGTCGATTTTTGGTTTTGCAACTGCTTTTGAGGACTTACTCATAAATTGTTTCCCAAGGCCAATGTCCAGAATAATTCAACATCATTTTTAAATAGTCCATCGTTTTTTCATTGATTTGAACTGCCAACTTACAGTAAATTCCCATATAAACATGCATCTATTTCTGGACTTGCTGTTCTGTTCTCTAATAATATATATTTTTAATCCCCTTTGTATCTTTGGTCATGTCTACCATTTTATTCTTAAAGTTGTTTAGCTGTGTCCTCTATTTTTATTTTTCAAACACTCTTGTCAAAACCTTGTCTATTTTATTGGTGTGTTTATAAAAAGGCTAAGTCTGTTTTGTGCTGCCATAATACCACAAACTGGGGAGTTTATAATTAACAGAAATGTATTGGCTCACAGTTCTTGAGGCTGGGGAAGTTCAAAATTGAGAGCCAACATCTAAAAAGGGCCTTCTTGCTGTGTCTTCCCTTGGTGAAACATGGTAAATCAAGAGAATCAGAGAGAGAGAGAACCAAAATGGGGTTGGACTTGTCCTTTTAAAAGAAATCTACTCTTGCAAATAGTGACATTAATCCATTCATAAGGGCAGAGCTCTCATGGCCTAAAAACCCTTAAAGGTCCTCCTCTTAATACTATTACAATAGCAAGCAAATTCAAACATGGGTTTGGTTGGGGACAAACATTAAAACCATATAAATAGCTTTTGGTCTTATTGATCAACTCCATGGCTTATTTATGTTTTATATTTTATTAATCTCTACCAAATACAATAATTCCCTCTTCCTACTTCCTGTTCCTTCAATTTTAAAAATTCCTTGTTATGTATGGTGAAAAGTTCCACTCCAAACTCTGGGGCCACTGGAACCCCATCCCACAGACAACAGATTTCAAAAAAGACTATAACATTTTAGCAACATTAGCAAAATGTTACTGTTGTGTCATATATTCAACTCAAAGAGCCAGTTGCTATCCAGCACTATGCTTAGCCCATGAATAAGCAGGAGGTCGTACAGGAGACTCAAGAACAAAGATTATTTAGCAAAGAATCATGATTGGCATTATCCATTCCCTATAACAGCTAAGATATGAGTTAGTGAAGTCTGTATGCCCAGAAATCTCCCAATACTGTAGGTTATATGGTGGAAAATTATGTTGTTAGGAGAAAAGGAAAAATTCAAGGTGTGGTAGGTCATGAAGAATGCAATAGTAACATCGATTATTATGTAATTTTTCTGGGCCTCTTCTCCATCTGCTAAATGAGTTGATTCCTTCTATTCTCATCCGGATGTAAAACTGTAAGCTTTCTGGCCTGGGAAGAGGGATTATATGACTATTTTGATGATCCTTTATTTCTAGTATATTTCTTGGCATGCAATAGGTTTTCAATGATCATCCACAGAATAAATGAATGAATGAATAAATGAATAAAGTTTTCTAAGCCTTTGAGATACTTTTCAAGGCTGATAAATCATGGCATGTTGATGAAGGGAAATTATTGGACGTTGTATACCCTGTAAAACCTAGTACTGTGCCTGGCATATTAGAAGACCTTAATAAATTTGTTGATTAAATAAATGAATGAGTAAATTAATAATAACAGATTCAGGAATGTAACTCATTTTCCAGTTCTAGTACTTTAATGGCAACACACTTTAAAGAACTTAATATTGTCTCCCCTTCTCTCTCTCTCTTTCACACACACAGCATAATATTATCCTCTGTGGTCATTTTGGGTACAGTGCCCTGTGGAATGTAAATTGAGAATACAGCATGGGTTATTTAATTTGGACACTCATACTCCATATAAACATAATTACATTCAGAATGCAATAGAACTGAAAATGAAAATAAATACACACTGAAGTGTGGCCGTCTAAGGCCTCTTCCTCTTTAATTGTGATCCAGATTGTTTGGAAGCTAGAAATGAGTGAATCAAGGTAGACTTAGGGCAAACAAGAGGAAGTGGTTCTTGACACAGTAGGATGTAAATTCAGGTCCTTGTTCCCCCAGCAAGCTGAACAGGTGGTGAATATTAATTGTCTCAATAAGAACTAGGAAAAACTTCAGGATGACATTGTTTTCACAGGCGGTTAGGGAAGTTTTAGGTGTGGGAATTATAAAGCATTGGAGGTAGCACCTGTCTCTACTGGGGCAGTGAGGGAAATCATGAGGCTAATGAGAGGAAGGATGTGAAAAGGTGAAGACACTTCAGAAGTCTTGTCTGAGAAGGATATGGTATACAGTTTACCTCATTTCATTTTAGTATTGATATATTCAAATTTCTCAATCATTTTCTCTATGACTTTTTGTGGCTTTGTCTTGAAAAATGATTTTTTTTCTTGTTAGAGCACTTACTATGGGCTAGGGACAGTGTGTGGAACTGGGGATGGATAAAGAGGCAAAAGGCATGGCCAGTACCTTCACATACTCACAGTCTACTTGGGTGACAGACATGTCAACAAATTATTACAATATAGTGTGTTCATGTAAACATGGAAGTATGTACAAAACAGAAATAGTAGAGGAAAGTAATAAACTGTCTGAGGGGGTAAGAAAATATTTCAAAGAGTAAGTTATGGCATGAATAAGGACAAACAGGAATTTACTAGGCAAACCAGGTGAGGACAAGGCATTATAGAAAAGAGAAACAGTAGGGTCAAAGGAACAGAAACACAAAATAGCAGGTATCTTCAGGGAATTGCAAAGGTCAAGGGCAGGTATGATGCCAAGAGATGGTCAGGACGGGGATATTATCTCGTACCTATAGAACCATTCAAATATTTCAAGTAAGGGAGTTACGTTGTTAGATCCAGGTTTTGGAGAGACCATTCTGGCAGCAGTGTGGAGAATAGATCTGGAGGAGTAGGTCGACAGAATCCACTGAGAATGCCATTGTAATAGTTCAGGCAATAGTAATGAGGGCCTGAAACTAGGCTGTCACAATGGAGACTCAGAAAAAAAGGAAAAATTTAAGAGCTAACGGGAAAATAAAAACAGAATTCCACCCCCTCCTTTAAAATCTCCTCATTTTTCTCTGCCTTTCATAGACAGCTGGCAGGGCTTCTCCAACTTTCATATGCTTCTCAACCTACTCTAACAGGGCTTCTACCTCCTGGCACCATCCAACTTCAGTTTTTGCAAGGTACCCAATGATTTTCATGTCAATAAAGCCAGTTGACATGTTTTTCAGTCCTCTTTTACTTCAGCTCTTTCTTTTTTTTTTTATTATACTTTAAGTTTTAGGGTACATGTGCACATTGTGCAGGTTAGTTACATATGTATACATGTGCCATGCTGGTGCACTGCACCCACTAACTCATCATCTAGCATTAGGTATATCTCCCAGTGCTATCCCTCCGCCCTCTCCCCACCCCACAACAGTCCCCAGAGTGTGATATTCCCCTTCCTGTGTCCATGTGATCTCATTGTTCAATTCCCACCTATGAGTGAGAATATGCGGTGTTTGGTTTTTTCTTCTTGCGATAGTTTACTGAGAATGATGATTTCCAATTTCATCCATGTCCCTACAAAGGACATGAACTCATCATTTTTTATGGCTGCATAGTATTCCATGGTGTATATGTGCCACATTTTCTTAATCCAGTCTATCATTGTTGGACATTTGGGTTGGTTCCAAGTCTTTGCTATTGTGAATAATGCTGCAATAAACATATGTGTGCATGTGTCTTTATAGCAGCATGATTTGTAGTCCTTTGGGTATATACCCAGTAATGGGATGGCTGGGTCAAATGGTATTTCCAGTTCTAGATCCCTGAGGAATCGCCACACTGACTTCCACAATGGTTGAACTAGTTTACAGTCCCACCAACAGTGTAAAAGTGTTCCTATTTCTCCACATCCTCTCCAGCACCTGTTGTTTCCTGACTTTTTAATGATCACCATTCTAACTGGTGTGAGATGGTATCTCATTGTGGTTTTGATTTGAATTTCTCTGATGGCCAGTGATGATGAGCATTTTTTCATGTGTTTTTTGGCTGCATAAATGTCTTCTTTTGAGAAGTGTCTGTTCATGTCCTTCGCCCACTTTTTGATGGGGTTGTTTGTTTTTTTCTTGTAAATTTGTTTGAGTTCATTGTAGATTCTGGATATTAGCCCTTTGTCAGATGAGTAGGTTGCGAAAATTTTCTCCCATTCTGTAGGTTTCCTGTTCACTCTGATGGTAGTTTCTTTTGCTGTGCAGCTCTTTAGTTTAATTAGATCCCATTTATCAATTTTGTCTTTTGTTGCCATTGCTTTTGGTGTTTTAGACATGAAGTCCTTGCCCATGCCTACGTCCTGAATGGTAATGCCTAGGTTTTCTTCTAGGGTTTTATGGTTTTAGGTCTAACATTTAAGTCTTTAATCCATCTTGAATTGATTTTTGTATAAGGTGTAAGGAAGGGATCCAGTTTCAGCTTTCTACATATGGCTAGCCAGTTTTCCCAGCACCATTTATTAAACAGGGAATCCTTTCCCCATTGCTTGTTTTTGTCAGCTTTGTCAAAGATCAGTTGGTTGTAGATATGTGGCGTTATTTCTGAGGACTCTGTTCTGTTCCATTGATCTATATCTCTGTTTTGGTACCAGTACCATGCTGTTTTGGTTACTGTAGCCTTGTAGTATAGTTTGAAGTCAGGTAGTGTGATGCCTCCAGCTTTGTTCTTTTGGCTTAGGATTGACTTGGTGATGCGGGCTCTTTTTTGGTTCCATATGAACTTTAAAGTAGTTTTTTCCAATTCTGTGAAGAAAGTCATTGGTAGCTTGATGGGGATGGCATTGAATCTGTAAATTACCTTGGGCAGTATGGCCATTTTCACGATATTTATTCTTCCTAGCCATGAGCATGGAGTGTTCGTCCATTTGTTTGTATCCTCTTTTATTTCCTTGAGCAGTGGTTTGTAGTTCTCCTTGAAGAGGTCCTTCACATCCCTTGTAAGTTGGATTCCCAGGTATTTTATTCTCTTTGAAGCAATTGTGAATGGGAGTTCACTCATGATTTGGCTCTCTGTTTGTCTGTTGTTGGTGTATAAGAATGCTTGTGATTTTTGTACATTGATTTTGTATCCTGAGACTTTGCTGAAGTTGCTTATCAGCTTAAGGAGATTTTGGGCTGAGACAATGTGGTTTTCTAGATATACAATCATGTCATCTGCAAACAGGGACAATTTGACTTCCTCTTTTCCTAATTGAATACCCTTTATTTCCTTCTCCTGCCTAATTGCCCTGGCCAGAACTTCCAACACTATGTTGAATAGGAGTCGTGAGAGAGGGCATCCCTGTCTTGTGCCAGTTTTCAGAGGGAATGCTTCCAGTTTTTGCCCATTCAGTATGATATTGGCTGTGGGTTTGTCATAGATAGCTCTTATTATTTTGAAAAAACCACATGATTATCTCAATATATGCAGAAAAATCCTTTGACAAAATTCAACAACCCTTCATGCTAAAAACTCTCAATAAATTAGGTATTGATGGGACGTACTTCAGCTCTTTCTAGAGTACTCTCTTTACTTGGCTTTTGGGACACTGGGTATGCCTAAATTTCCTCCCATATTTCTGTCTGCTCTTTCTCAGTCTCCATTGCCAGTTCATATCCTCCTACTTCTACTGCATGTTTTAATGTTAGAAATCCTCAAGGCTCAGGCCTTGGCTCCCTTCTCTTCTGAAACTATATTATCTCCCTTGGTAATCTCATCTATGTTCCTGGTTGCAACAAGCAAGCTTAACTAAAATTAATATACCATCTATTTCAAAAAGCACCATTATTCTATGTACCTCTAAGAAAGCAAAAAATACATTCCTCCAATTGAACTATAGTATTTCATACTCCACTAATCATCTCACTGTACCCCAAACTTGCTCTTCCTTATAGTATTTCAAACTTAAAGATGGTCACCACCATTCATTTAGTTGCTCAAACTAGAAATCAGAAACCTCTCATGTCCTCTATGCTCTACCTCACCACTTCCTACCTTTCATTTATAATCAATCTCTATGTCCTATTGCTTGTACTTCCTAAATAATCCCTGTATATATCCATTTCTCTGATCTTCATTGCTATGAACCAAATTAAAGCTACAACTTTCCTTTCTTGATTTATCTCAAAAGCCTCCTTACTTGAGGTTTCCCCAATTCTCTGATATGCAGCAAATTGAGTGATCTTTCCAAAGCTCAAATTTGATCAAGTCACGCCCCTCATGAAAAACCTTCAGTAGCTTCACACTAGTCTTAGAAAGGAGTTCAAATTATTCCTGTGGCCTACATAGTCCCTGCCTTTCCTCATGTCACCTTGTCCTATGCTCCATAAGTGTTGACCACACACAGGCCTTTTTTGAACCTCAAATATGTTACCTTTCTCGCTACCTCAGGTCCTTCTGTACATGCTCTCTCCTCCGCCAGGACTCTCTTCTAATTATTTAATTAATTCCTATTTACTCCACAACATTCAACTCAAACATCACCTTTTCAGAGAAATCTTCCATGATTCCAGACTAAGTAATGTTCTATGCTACATGTTCTTATAGTGCAATAGTCTTCTAATTTCTAGAATTTAAAATTGTTAATATCTAATTAACATTAGAGAATTACAAATTAAAGCAACAATGAAATTCTACTGCACATCTATTAGAATGGCACAATACTGACAATGCCAAATGCTATTGAGAATGTAGAGCAACAGAAGCCTTCATTCATTCCTGGTGGGAATGCAAAATGACACAGCCACTGTGGAAGACAGTTTGGCAGTTTCTTACAAAACTAAACATAGTCTTATTGTATGATCCAGCAATCATACTACTAGATATTTACTGAAATGAATTAAAGATTTATGTCTACACAAAATCTGCATATGAATATTTGTTATAAATTTATTCATAATCGACAAAAGTTGGAAGCAACCAAGATATCCTTTCAATAAGTGAATGGGTAAACAAACTGATAAATCCATACAAGATAATATTATTCAACAATGAAAAGAAATGAACTATTAAGCCTCAAGAAGGCAAGGAGAAATCTTAAATGCATATCGGTAAGTGAAAGAACCTGGTCTGAAAATGCTACATGCTATATGATTCCAACTATGTGACATTCTCGATAAGACAAAACTATACTGACTGAAAATCAGTGGTCGTCATGGATAGTAGGAGGATTAAATAGGTGAAACACGGGATTTTTAGAGCAGTGAAACTGTGCTATACTATTATTGTAATAGTAGATACATGGCTTTATGTACTTGGCAAGCCTGGTAGAACTGCACAATACAAAGAATGAGCCATAATGTTAACTATGGGCTTAAGTTTAAATGATGTATCAATGTTGATTCATCAATTGTAACAAATATACCTCAATCAGGCAAGATGTTAATAATAGGGAAACCTGAGAGTGTGGGGCAAGACAATGAGTATATGGAAACTCTGTTCTTTTTGCTCAGTGTTTTGACAAACCTACAGCTCCTCTAAAAACATAAATCTAGTAGTTAAAAAATCATTTACAACTAAAAATGTAATTAATTTAGTGTATAAATCAAAGCTTAATACTGGGCTTGCTACTAGGATGAAAGCTTCATGAAAGTAGTTACTGTGGTAGGGACTGCACCTAGCATAATGCTGGGAACAAAATAGCATATCAGGTAGAATTTGTCAAATCAATAGATAAATTGAGGATTGATGGGATGTAAGAGTTAAGGGATAAGCAGGAATCAAGAATTACAGTCACGTTTTTGGCTTTGGTGACTAATTTGGTGACTAAGTTTATATCTGAGGAAAGGGGGAAATGATGAATTCAGTTTCAGAAGAAGTTTTGATGTGCCTGTGAAACATATGATAGGTATTTTGATATATAGGTCTGGTGTTGGAGAAGCAGCCTGGGCTGTGGACATAAATTTAGTAACCGTCAGCTTCAGGTCTTGGTTTAAGCTAAATAAGGGGATTAAATTAGTCAGGAAATAAGTGTAATATAAGAAGGAGAAGAGGGGTGGCTGGCAAGATGGCCGAATAGGAAGAGCTCCAATCTGCAGTTCCCAGAAAGATCAGCGCAGAAGGCGAGTGATTTCCGCATTTCCACCTGAAGTACCCAGCTCATAACATTGGAACTGGTTAGAAGGTGGGTGCAGCCCACAGAGGGTGAGTAGAAACAGGGTAAGGTGATGCCTCACCTGGGAAGTGCAAGAGGTCGGGGAACTCCCTCCCCTAGCCAAGGGAATTCGTGAAGGCCTGTGCCATGAGGAACGGTGCATTCTGGCCCAAATACTATGCGTTTCCCATGCTCTTCACAATCCACAGACCACAAGATTCCCTCAGGTGCCTACACCACCAGGGACCTGGGTTTCAACCACAAAACTGAGCAGCCATTTGGGCAGACCCTGAGCTAGTGGCAGGAGTTTTTTTCATACCCCAGTGGCGCCTGGAACAACAGCAAGACAGAACTGTTCACTCCCCTAGTAAAGGGTCTGAAGCCAGGGAGCCAAGTGGTCTAGCTCAGTGGAACCCACCCCCACGAAGCCCAGACAGCTAAGATACACTGGCTTGAAATTCTTGCTGCCAGCACAGCAGTCTGAAGTCTAAAGTTGACCTGAGATGCTTGAGCTTGGTGGGGGGAGGGGGCGTCCACCATTACTGAGGGTTGAGTAGGTGATTTCCCCCTCACAGTGTAAAAAAGCTTCCAGGAAATTCAAACTGGGCGGAGCCCACCACAGCTCAGCAAAGCCTCTGTAGCCAGACTGCCACTCTATATTCCTCTTCTCTGGGCAGGGCATCTCTGAAAGGTAGGCAGCAGCCCCTGTCAGGGGCTTATAGATGAAACTCCCATCTCCCTGGGACAGAGCACCTGTGAAAAGGGGTGGCTGTGAGTGCACCTTCAGCAAACTTAAACGTTTCTGCCTGCCAGCTCTGGAGAGAGCAGTGGATCTCAAAGCACAGTGCTCAAGCTCTGCTAAGGGACAGACTGCCTCCTCAAGTGGGTCCCTGACCCCTGTGACACCTGACTGGGAGACACCTCCCAGCAGGAGTCGACAGACACTTCATACAGGAGAGCTCCAGACGGCATTTGGTGGGTGCCCTTCTGGGACAAAGCCTCCAGAGGAAGGGATAGGCAGCAATCTTTGCTGTTCTGCAGCCTCCACTGGTGATACCCAGGCAAACAGGTTCTGGAGTGGACGTCCAGCAAACTCCAGCAGACCTGCAGCAGAGGGGCCTGACTGTTTAGAACGAAAACGAACAAATGGAAAAGATAGCATCAACATCAATGAAAAGGATGTCCACACAGAAACCCCATCCGAAGGTCATCAGCATCAAAGACCAAAGGTAGATAAATCCACGAAGATAAGGAAAAACCAGCACAAAAAGGCTGAAAATTTCAAAAATCAGAACACCTCTTCTCCTCCAAAGGATAGCAACTACTCAATAGCAAGGGAACAAAACTGGACAGAGAATAAGTTTGATGAATTGACAGAAGTAGGCTTCAGAGGTGGGTAATAACAAACTCCTCCGAGCTAAAGAATCATGTTCTAACCCAATGCAAGGAAGCTAAGAACCTTGAAAAAAGGTTAGAAGAATTGCTAACTACAGTAACCAGTTTAGAGAAAAACATAAATGACCTGATGGAGCTGAAAAACACAGCGTGAGAACTTCGTGAAGCATACAAAAGTATCATTAGCCAAACTGATTAAGCAGAAGAAAAGATATCAGAGATTGAAGATCAACTTAATGAAATAAAGCGTGACGACGAGATAAAAAAGAAAAAACAAAAACAACAACAAAAAAATGAACAAAGCCTACAAGAAATATGGGACTATGGGAAAAGACCAAACCTACGTTTGATTGGTACACTGGAAAGTGACAGGGATAATGGAATGAAGTTGGAAAACACTCTTCAGTATATTGCCCAGGAGAACATCCCCAACTTAGGAAGACAGGCCAAAATTTAAATTCAGGAAATACAGAGAACACCACAAAGATACTCCTAGAGAAGAGCAACCACAAGACACATAATCATTAGATTCGCCAAGGTCAAAATGAAGGAAAAAATGGTAAGGGCAGCCAGAGAGAAAGGTCGGGTTACCCACAAAGGGAAGCCCATCAGACTAACAACTGATCTCTCTGCAGAAACCCTACAACCCAGAAGAGAGTGGGGGCCAATATTCAACATTCTTAAAGAAAAGAATTTTCAACCCAGAATTTCATATCCTTCCAAACTAAGCTTTGTAAGTGAAAGAGAAATAAAATCCTTTACAGACAAGCAAATTCTAAGAGATTTTGTCACCACCAGGCCTGCCTTATAAGAGCTCCTGAAGGAAGCACTAAATATGGAAAGGAAAAATAGGTACCAGCCACTGCAAATACATATCAAATTGTAAAGACTATTGACACTGTGAAGAAACTGCATCAACTAACCGTCTTAATGACAGAATCAAATTCACAAATAACAATATTAACCTTAAATGTAAATGGGTTAAATGCCCCAATTAAAATACACAAATGGACAACTTGAATAAATATTCAAGACCCATCAGTGTGCTGTATTCAGGAGACCCATCTCATGTGCAAAGACACATATAGGCTCAAAATGAAGAGATGGAGGAATATTTACCAAGCAAATGGAAAGCAAAACAAAGCAAGGGTTGCAATCCTAGTCTCTGATAAAACAGACTTTAAACCAACCAAGATCAAAAACGACAAAGCAGGACATTACATAATGGTAATGGGACCAATGTCACAAGAAGAGCTAACTATCCTAAATATATATGCACCCAATACAGGAGCACCCAGATTCATAAAGCAAGTTCTTGGAAACCTACAAAGAGCCTTAGACTCCCACACAAAAATCATGAGAGACTTTAACACTGCACTGTCAATATTAGACAGATAAATGAGACAGAAAATTAACAAGGATATTCAGGACTTGAACTCAGCTCTGGACCAAGCGGACCTATAGACATCTACAGAACTCTCCACCCCGAATCAACCGAACATACATTCTTCTCAGAACCACATCCCACTTATTCTAAAATTGGTCACATTATTCAAAATAAAACACACCTCAGCAAATGCAAAAGAATGGAAATCATGACGAACAGTCTCTCAGATGACAGTGCAATCAAATTAGAACTCAAGATTAAGAAACTCACTCAAAACTTCACAACTACATGAAACTGAACAACCTTCTCCTGAATGACTACTGGGTAAATAAAGTAATTAAGGCAGAAATCAGTAAGTTATTCGAAAGCAATGAGAACAAAGACACAACATACCAGAAATTCTGGGACACAGCTAAAGCAATGTTTAGAGGGAAATTTATAGCACTACAGGCCCATAGGAGAAAGCAGGAAAGATCTAAAATTGACACCTTAAAATCACAATTTTAAAAAACTAGAGAAGCAAGAACAAACAAATTCAAAAGCTAGCAGAAGACAAGAAATAACTAAGATCAGAGCAGAACTGAAGGAGATAGAAACACGAAAAACCCATCAAAAAATCAATGACTCTAGGAGCTGGTTTTATGAAAAGTTTAATAAAATAGCCAGACTAATAAAGAAGAAAACAGAAAGGAATCAAATAGACACAATAATAAGTGATAAAGGGGATATCACCACTGATTCCACAGAAACACAAAACTACCATTAGAGAATACTATAAATACCTCTATTCAAATATACTAGAAAATCTAGAAGAAATGGATCAATTCCTGGACACACACACCCTTTCAAGACTAAACCAGGAAGAAGTCCAATCCCTGAATAGAACAATAGCAAGTACTAAAATTGAGGCAGTAATTAATAGCCTACCAACCAAAAAAAGCCCAGGACCAGATGGATTCACAGCCAAAGTCTACCGGAAGTAGAAACAGGAGCTGGTACCATTCCTTCCAAAACTATTCCAAACAATAGAAAAAGAGGGACTCCTCCCTAACTCATTTCATGAGGCCAGCATCATCCTAATACCAAAGCCCAGCAGAGACACAACAAAAAAACAAAATTTCGGGCCAATATCCCTGATGAACATCAATGTGAAAATCCTCAATGAAATACAGGCAAACCGAATCCAGCAGCACATCAAAAAGCTTATCCACCACGATCAAGTCGGCTTCATCCCTGGGATGCAAGGCTAATTCAACATATGCAATTCAATAAATGTAATCCATCACATAAACAGAACCAATGACAAAAACCATATGATTATTTCAATAGATGTAGAAAAGGCCTTTGTGAAAATTCAACACTCCTTCATGCTAAAAATTCTCAACAAACTAGGTATTGATGGAATGTATTTCAAAATAATAAGAGCTATTTATGACAAACCCACAGCCAATATCATACTGAATGGGCAAAAGCTGGAAGCATTCTCTTTGAAAATCGGCACAAGACAAGAATGCCCTCTCTCACCACTCCTATTCAACATAGTATTGGAAATTCTGGCCAGGGAAATCAGGCAAGAGAATGAAATAAAGGGCATTCAAATAGAAAAAGAGGAAGTTGAATTCTCCCTGTTTGCAGATGACATGACTATTTAGAAAACCCAATCGTCTCAGCCCCAAATCTCCTTAAGCTGATAAGCAAATTCAGCAAAGTCTCAGGATACAAAATCAATGTGCAAAAATCACAAGCATTCCTATACACCAATAATAGATAAACAGAGAGCCAAATCAGGAATGAACTTCCATTCACAATTGCTACAAAGATAATAAGATGTCTAGGAATACAACTTACAAGGGATGTGATAGACCTCTTCTAGGAGAACTACAAACCACAGCTCAAGGAAATAAGAGAGGACACAAATAAATGCTAAAAAATTCCAAGCTCATGGGTAGGAAGAATTAATATCATGAATATGGCCATACTTCCTAAAGTAATTTATAGATTCAACGCTATCCTCATCAAGATAACATTGAATTTCTTCATAGAATTAGATAAAACTACTTTAAATTTCATATGGAACCAAGAAACAGACCGTATAGCCAAGACAATCCTTAGCAAAAGAACAAAGCTGGAGGCATCATGCTACCTGACTTCAAACTATGCTACAAGGCTACAGTAACCAAAACAGCATGGTACTGGTACCAAAACAGATATATAGGCCAATAGAACAGAACAGAGGCCTCAGAAATAACACCACACATCTACAACCATCTGATCTTTGACAAAGCTGACAAGAACAAGCAATGGGGAATGGATTCCCTATTTAATAAATAGTGTTGGGAAAACTGTCTAGTCATATACAGAAAACTGAAACTGGACCCCTTCCTTACACCTTATACAAAAATTAACTCAAGATTGATTAAAGACTTACATGTGAGACCTGAAATTATAAAAAACCCTAGAAGAAAACCTAGGCAATACCATTCAGGACATAGGCATGGGCAAAGTCTTCATGACTAAAATACCCAAAGCAATGGCAACAAAAGACAAAATTGACAAATCAGACCTAATTCAACTAAAGAGCTTCTGCACAGCAAAAGAAGCTGTCATCAGAGTGAACAGGCAACCTACAGAACAGGAGAAAATTTTGGCAATCTCTCCATCTGACAATGGGCTAATAGCCAGAATCTTCAAAGAAAAAAAATTTACAGGAAACAAACAAACAGCCCCATAAAAAGTGGGTGAAGGATATGAAAGACACTTCTCAAAAGAAGACATTTATGCAGCCAATAAACATATGAAAAAAAGCTCATCATCACTGGTCATTAGAGAAATGCAAATCAAAACTACAATGAGAAGATACCATCTCACACCAGTTAGAATGGTGATCATTAAAAAGTCAGGAAACAACAGATGCTGGAGAAGATGTGGAGAAACAGGAACACTTTCACGCTTTTGGTAGGAGTGTAAATTACTTCAACCAATGTGAAAGACTGTGTGGCGATTCCTCAAGGATCTAGAACCAGAAATAACATTTGACCCAGCAATCCCATTACTGGTATATACCCAAAGGATTATAAATCATTCTACTATAAAGACACATGCACATGTATGTTTATTGCAGCACTATTCACAATAGCAAAGACTTGGAACCAACCCAAATGCCCATCAATGATAGGCTGGATAAAGAAAATGTGGTACGTGGAATACCATGCAGCCATACAAAGGAATGAGTTCATGTCCTTTGCAGGGACATGGATGAAACTGGAAACCATCATTCTCAGCAAACTAACACAGGAAGGGAAAACCAAACACCACATGTTCTCCCTCATAAGTGGGAGTTGAACAGTGAGAATACATGGAAACAGGGAGGGGAAACATCACATACTGGAGCCTGTCAGTTGTGGGGGGCAAGGGGAGGGAGAGCATTAGGACAAATACCTAATGCATGAGGGGCTTAAAACCTAGATGATGGGTTGATGGGTGCAGCAAACCACCATGGCACATGTATACCTGTGTAACAAACCTGCACATTCTGCACATGTATCCCAGAACTTAAAGCAAAATAAAAAAGGAAAACATGCTCAACATCACTAATCATTAGAGAAAAGCAAATGAGAACAACAATGAGGTACCATCTTATGCCAGTCAGAATGGCTATTAAAAAGTCAAAAAAACGACAGATATTGGCAAGGATGCAGAGAAAAAGGAATGCTTATACACTGGTGGAAATGTAAATTCGCAAAACCTGAACAAAAAACATTATGGAAATTTCTCAAAGTACTAAATATACAACTACCTATTACTCAGCAATCCCATTACTTGGTATCTTCCAAAAAGAAAATACATCATTGCATTAAAAAGATACCTGCACTTGCATGTCTATTGCAGCACTATTAAATAGTAAAGACATGGAATCAACCTAAGTGTCCATCAACAGAAGATTGAATAAAGAATGTATGGTATTTATATGCCATGGAATACTACTCAGCCATGAAAAAGAATAAAATCATGTCTTTTGCAACAACATGGATGAGACTGGAGGCCATTATCTTAAATAAAATAACTCTGAAAGAGAAAGTCAAATACCACATGTTCTCACTTATAAGTGGGAGCTAAATATTGTGTACACATGGGCACAGAGAGTGGAATAATAGACAGTGGAGACTCCAAAAAGTGGGAGGGTGGGAGACGGGTGAGGGATGAGAAATTATCTGTTGGGTACAATGTAAGCCATGCAGCCTTTCAAGTGATGGACACACTAAAAGCCCATACTCTACCATTTCTCAATATACCCATGTAACAAAATGCACTTGTGCCCCCTAAATCTACAAAAAAGCTTTTAAAAAGAAAACGGTAAAAAATAATTTAAAAAAAAACAATGTACATACATTAAAAAGAAACAACTTTGTGGGATTTCTATATTGGGGATGGCAAAGACAATAAAGAAAGGGGCTATGATGTTTCACAAAAAGAAATAGAGAATCAGAAATAAGCAGTGTCATGGCAGCCAAGAAAGGGATCTAGTAAAGTACCGTAGTAATTTAAACTAGGGACAGTGTACCTGGGTGGAGTCTTAGCTCTGCTATTTTTACTGGTTATTTGACATTAAACAAGTTACTTAATCTTAAATCTGCCTGTCTTATATGTAAAGAGAGGACACTAAGAGTACCTACCCCAAAGGCTATTGTGAAGATTAAATGCATTAATACATACAAAGCACTTAGTACAATATTTTGCACACAAGAAGCACCTAATAATTATTTACTAGTATTGTTCCCGGAATGAGGGGAAGGATTCTTTGAAAAAGTTTGGCAGTTACTGCAAAGCGAAGGAGACAGAAAAGGTAGGTACATTTTCTGTGTAAATTTATTGAAATCCATCCCCTTGTCCTCCCCATTGCCCCAGCTAGGCTCACTCAGGTCCTTATTATCTCTCTCCTGGGCTTGTTGGACATGGAGTGAAGCAAGTAAGACATGGGTTGAGGAATAGGAAGTAATTGTGTTTACCTGGAGAATTAGGCTAATTAGGGGTCAGGTTGAAGAGGAGTCTTGATTGCCTGGTGGGTCAGTTAAGACTTGATCCCATAAGCAATAGAGAGTTCTGTAGAATTTTGGAACAAAAAATAGTATTACAGAATTGTGTTTTAAGGAAAATTATCTTAGTGAAAGAAAGACTAGGCATGGGAAACTAATTAAGGGGCTTCCCAATAATCCAGGTAGAGATGAATAGTGCCTGACTAAATACTGAAGAAGGAAGAAAATGAAGCAAGAGATGTTGGGGAAATTGATGAGGTTTTGCAAAATCGTTTTTTTTTGTTTTTTTTTTTCTTTTTTTGAGACGAAGTTTCACTCTTGTTGCCCAGGCTGGAGCGAAATGGTACAATCTCGGCTCACTGCAACATCTGCCTCCTGGGTTCAAGTGATTCTCCTGCCTCAGCCTCCCAAGTACAGGCACCCGCCACCACGCCCGGCTGATTTTTTGTATATTTAGTAAAGACAGGGTTTCACCATGTTGACCAGGCTGGTCTTAAACTTTTTTTTTTTTTTTTTTTGAGATGGAGTCTCGCTCTGTCGCCCAGGCTGGAGTGCAGTGGCGCAATCTCGGCTCACTGCAAGCTCCACCTCCTGGGTTCACACCATTCTCCTGCCTCAGCCTCCTGAGTAGCTGGGACTACAGGCGCCTGCCACAGCGCCCGGCTAATTTTTTGTATTTTTAGTAGAGACCGGGTTTCTCCATTCACAGGATGGTCTCGATCTCCTGACCTTGTGATCCGCCCGCCTTGGCCTCCAAAAGTGCTGGGATTACAGGCACGAGGCAAATTCATTTATTATTCAATATCATTGGACACGTATTATATGCCAGGCATATTGAAAGGCACTGGGAAAGCAACACTCATTTAAGAAATATTTGTTGTGTATTTATTTGGGTATGAATAAATAAAGTTGGGGTGGACTCTATTGTAAGTACAGTATTAAGAACAGAGAATACTTTTAGAATCCTAGCAGACCAAAACAGAAAAGGCTCATGGAGATCCTCCCATATTAACCAATCTCCTTCCAATTTCATAAACTGAGACCACAGAGAGGTCAAGTGACTTGTCACAGAACTAATACAAAGGCAAAGCTTTAAATGTGAAACAGGTCTGATCTGATTTCCAGTCCAGTGCTCGGATTACTACTTCCAGATCTGAAGCTGGAAGGTGTTAATCAGGAAGACTACAGAGATGGAGATGGCAAGTATGAACAGCAAGAAACTGAGGGATCGGAAGAGGACGTCTTAAACTGGGGTTGTGTTTTTCTACATTCAGAACCCCAGAGTTTTGCAAACATTACAGCTAAAAAAAAAAAAAAAAAAGAAAAGAAAAAGGCAACATGAAAAAGACAACATTAGAAGGTCAAGGAATGGTGAATTGTAAGATGTGCATGCTAAAGCAGTGTATCCAGTCTTCGAAGGAAGTAGGTCAGGTTAGAAAGTTGTGATTTCTCCAGTGATTCTTTGCTTAACGACAGAGATACATTCTGAGAAGTGCACTGTTAGGTAATTTTGTCACTGTACTAACATCACAGCATGTACTATGATACAAACTTAGATGTCATAACCTAGGCTACATGGTATAGCCTATTGCTCCCAGGCTACAAACCTGTAAAGCATGTCATTGTACTGAATACTCTAGGCAATTGTAACACAATGGTAAGTATTTGTGTATCTAAACGTAGAAAAGGTACAGTAAAAATATGGTATGAATGATAAAAAAAGATACACTTCTATAGGGCATTTACTAATGAGTGGTGCTTACAGGACTAGACACAATTCTAGGTGAGTCAGTGAGTGGTGGGTGAAATGTGAGAGCCTGGGACATTACACTACTGTTGACTTCATAAACACTATAAACTTGAGCTAGGCTAAATTTTTTTTAAAAAGTTATTTCTTCAATAATAAATTTACCTTAGCTTACTGTAACTTTTTTTACTTTTTTAAAAACTTTTTGATTCATTTGTAATGAACACTTAGCTTAAAAGGGAAGCATATTGTATAGCTGTACACAATTTTTTCTTTATATCCTTATTTTTATAAGCTTTTTTTCTATTTCTTAAATTATCTTTTTCTTTCTTTCATTTTTCTTTCCTTTTTTTTTTTTTCACTTTTTAACTTTTTTGTTAAAAACCGAGACAGAAATATGCACATTAGCCTAGCCCTACACTGGATCAGGATCATCAAGATATCATTAGGCAGCCAGACGCGGTGGCTCATGCCTGTAATCCCAGCACTTTGGGAGGCCGAGGCAGGCGAATCACCTGAGGTCAAGAGTTCGAGACCAGCCTGGCCAACATGGTGAAAAACCATCTCTACTAAAGATACACACAAAAAAATTAGCCAGACGTGGTAGCGGGCGCCTGTAATCCCAGCTACACAGGAGGCTAAGGCAGGAGAATTGCTTGAACCTGGGAGGCAGAGGTTGCAGTGAGCCGAGATCGTGCCATTGCACTCCAATCTGGGGGACAAGAACAAAACTCTTTCTTAAAAACAAACAAAAAAAGATATAATTAGATTATAGAAATTTTTCAGCTCCAGTTCCATGGTAATCTTATGGGACTATCATCATATATGTGGTCCATCATTGACATCATTGATCCAAACGTCCTTATGCGGCTCATGATTATTTCCCTAGGACCACAGTCAGGGAGGAAAAAGATGTACTCCAGCGACCTCTGCTGAATTCCAAAGGCTGCGGCCATAGTTCCTGGTGACGCAGACAGTCTGATAAAAAACTAAAATGGCGGTGTCGCCCGTACACGTCGTGCAGCAGAGCATGACGGAAAGGACTCTGCTGGAACGACTGGCGGCACAGACTTAAGGCCGGACTCCACTCCCCACCCTCTGTAGTTGGGGCTTCATACCCCTGAGCTATGATGGCACCTTATTGTGAAAACGCCCTGAAAGTGCGAAGAGGTCTCTAAGCCACAGGTGTGGCGATGTTGTTGTCATTACCAGGGACATTCCAGTAGGCGGCGATAGAGGGCAGTATGAGTGCCGCAACCACGCCCTACTTTTTCTAGAGCTGGGTTGTTAAATGATAGGGTTTGATAGGGTTTGAGGCCGAGTCAGAGTTTAAGAATGGTGGAATTTAAACTTTAAAGCTAGGAGTTTTCATCTGAGATTCCTACCGGAAATACACAAGGGTTTGTAGCAGTGGTGAAGGTCAGGAAGTGAATTCCTTGAAATAGTATATAAAAATAAAAACGTAAATTTCTCTGCACTTGTAGGGAGAGAAGGTCCATAGCTTTCATCAAAGAATTTGGTGAATCCTTGCCTTAGGGGTTGGGGCTCCGGGCCAGGGACAACATAGTATAACAATAATGCAGAACTGTAGAGCCAGACTTTCTGGTTTCACATCTTTACCTCTCTAAATCCTTCCTATGTCATCTTAGGCAATGCACTTAACCTGTTTCAGACTCAGTTTCTTTATCTATAAAATGAAGATAACAGCTGTGCTGACTTTTTAATAGACATTCTGACTGGCATAAGATGGTACCTCGTTGTTTTCATTTGCTCTTCTCTGATGATTAGTGATGTTGAGCATGTTTTCCTTTTTTAATTTTACTTTAAGTTCTGGGATACATGTGCAGAATGTGCAGGTTTGTTACACAGGTATACATGTGCCATGGTGGTTTGCTGCACCCATCAACCCATCATCTAGGTTTTAAGCCCCTCATGCATTAGGTATTTGTCCTAATGCTCTCCCTCCTCTTCCCCCACCCCGACAGGCTCCAGTGTGTGATGTTTCCCTCCCTGTTTTCATGTGTTCTCACTGTTCAACTCCCACTTATGAGGGAGAACATGTGGTGTTTGGTTTTCTGCTCCTGTGTTAGTTTGCTGAGAATGATGGTTTCCAGTTTCATCCATGTCCCTGCAAAGGACATGGACTCATCCTTTTTTATGGCTGCATAGTATTGCATGGTGTGTATGTGCCACATTTTCTTTATCCAGTCTATCATTGATGGACATTTGGCTTGGTTCCAAGTCTTTGCTATTGTAAATAGTGTTGCAATAAACATACATGTGCATGTGTCTTTATAGTAGAATGATTTATAATCCTTTGAGTATATACCCAGTAATGGAATTGCTGGGTCAAATGTTATTTCTGGTTCTAGATACTTGAGGAATCACCACACTGTCTTCCACAATGGTTGAATTAATTTACACTCCCGATAACAGTGTAAAAGCGTTCATCCCATTCAAGACATAGGCATGGGCAAAGACTTCATGACTAAAACACCAAAAGCAATAGCAACAAAAGCCAGAATTTACAAATTGGATCTAATTAAACTAAAGAGCTTCTGCACAACAAAAGAAACTATCGTCAGAGTGAACAGGTAACCTACAGAATGGGATAAAATTTTTCCTATGTTTATGTTGGCCACTTATGTGCTTTCTTTTGAAAAATGTCTGTTCATGTATTTTGCCCACTTTTTAATTGGTTATTTGTGTTTGTTTCTTGTTCAGTTGTTTGAGCTCCTTGTAGATTCTGGATATTAGTCTTTTGTTGGATGCCTAATTTGCAAATATGTTATTCTATTCTGTAGGTTGTCTGTTTACTTCATTGATTAAGAAATTCCACAAAGTTTTGCTCTTCGTCTCTCTTTATGTACTTGAATAGACAACATCTATTAGCAGAGTGTGTGTCAGAGACAGCCCTTAGCACACTTATAAGGTTTATCTCATTGACTCTTTTCAGCATCTCTCTGAAGCATGTACTATTATTATCTCTATTTTACAGGTGAGAAAACCGATGGACAGAGAAATGAGGTAACTTGACTAACATCACACAGCTGGCAAAGAGCAGAGCTTCAATAGGAACTCAGGCAGTCTAATTCCAGAGGCCATACTCTTTTAGCCCATACATTTGTGTTGTTTTGCTTTGTGACTAAAAGCCAGACTCTAGATCTAGTTTTTCTGCTGAGTTCAAATTCCAGCATTACCACTTTCTAGTTGTGTGACTTTGGGCAAGTGACTTCACCTCTCTAAGCCTCAGTTTCCTCATTTGTGAAATGGAAGAACAATAGTAAGGCTGATGTGAAGATTAAATGAGTTATTTATGTAAAATACTTACAATAATGTTTGAAACCAGGTAAGTAGTATGTAAATGTCTCAGTTCCCCAGGCAAGATTGGTGGGAAATCAAAAGTCAGTCTTTTTTTTTTTTTTTTTCCTTGCAGCTTTCTAACATTACACAGAACTGCCAGGCTTAAACCAGGTTTAAGTAGTCCAGAAAAAAAAAATGGGTTATGTAGTCTTCAGCAGTCCCTCATGGCTGCCTTCTGGTGCTCACTGGTCATGTCCCAAGTGGTCCATTTCAAGGCTTTGTAATCCTTCAGTGCCAAGTCTCTAACAGGAGCTCACAATCTGATTTATTATGCTATACTGCCCCCTTCTGTGGATTATAGGTAATCAGTAACTATAGGGCTTACAGGCTGAGTTTCTCACATGCTTAATAAATGGTAGTGATTTTGTTTTATTAGCTTTAACGCTCACTCCTATTAGCGTGACTCCCAACCCTTAATGTTACCATGAGCAAACTAAAACAGGGAATAAGGGCATCTATCAAGGGCACATAAATAGTAAGTGATGGAAGTCTGGATTTGAATTCAAGCTTTGATAATTCTCACATTCCCAACTTTTAATTTTTATTGTATGTCTCTTTTTTAAATATTTCTGAATATGATCACATATAAGGACTGTCTATTTCCTACTTTAAAATCTTTTTCTCCTTTAGGAAGTCTTCCTGTATTCTGGCATATTATATTGTACTTCTATGTTGACTATTTTTAAGTTGTTTATGGAGGCGTGTATTATCCTCTATTTTTAGGTAGCTGAATAAAAAGAATGAGTTTTCCAATTCCTTGTTGAATTGGTTTCTAGAAAAAATGCCATTTAGTGAGAATATACTAAAATTCAAGAAACTCAGTTAAAAGGAGACTGGAGAAGAGCACTGAGATAAGTAACTCATGGACCCTGGTAAAGTATACTTGATAATAATAGGTGTTTAAAAAAGTCAACATCTCAAGAGCATGATTTATTTCTTATAAAAGATTACATCCCTCACAATCTAGCTCAATGCCTTATTTATAGTAAGAACTCAGGAAATATTTGTTGAATTGCCATTTAGAGTTTGCTGATAGGCTTCAGTCAATTTCAATCAAGTAATAATATATTTCCTCTGGATAGCTAGAAATGAAAATATTCTAATAAGAAAGATTTGCAGGTCATGAAAAATTTAACCTTTTACATGCAGACTTGTATCTTCATATTTTTAATAATAAGAATCACTGCAAAGTTAATAAGACAGTTCTGGGTTTTAATGTAGTAATAATAAATATGTAATGTTATTTGATTTTTCTTATTAAAGTGAGAGTCTTCTATAAGAATAATCATGAGGCATTGATAGAGGTGGAGTCAAAGATGTACATATAGCTTTGTGTGTCACAGCACTGATCAAATAATGAGTCTGAAGCTCATTATTATCATATATCATAACTTATTTTATTTATTAATGGTTTTGCCTCTCTTCTCTAAAAATTGAGAGAGATGTGGTTAAGTATAATATGGAAGACAGTAGCATAATTGTTTTCTATTTTGTAAACTTAATGGGTAAATCAAAAGCCAAGCAGCTGTTTAAAAAGTAATAATTTTATCTTTTAGAAAATCCTTATCAATATCAGATGTAAAGCAGTGTAATGAGAAGACCACTAAACTGGGAGTCAAAAGCATTTTATTCTGGTCCCAGCTCAACTTCTTGTTTGTGTGATCCCCTACTAGTTCCATGCTCTCCTCTCTGACCTTCAGTTTTCTCGTTTGTAAAATGAAGATTACAATGCCCATAAGGTTTTAGTGAGATTCAGTGAAACTGCTTTGTCAAAGTGTTGTACAAATTAGAAATAGTGTTATAGTAAGGCATCGGTAATGTTTTCTTTTTCTTGTCAAGAGTCTTCTAATGCTATCAGTTATTTTAACATCTGTAACATAAGACACCACATCAGTATCATTGTAAGCTTTAATCTACACTTGAATCACACCGGTATTAAGTCAATTGATGATATACAAAGGAGCAGTATCCATCATCACTCCAAAAAATTGTGCTGGTACATATTGGAGAGTGCTTGCTCTTAGCGTCCAAATTTATTTTTGTAAAAAAAAAAAAAACAGACATGCCTATAAACACAACACTAAGTTAAAAATTTCTATACGCCCTAGGTTTAATATGAAAGTCTACAGCCCTTTGCCTGTTTACTTCACTACAATGTAACAGCCTTTTTTCATTTCATAAATATCCTCTCATCTAATTCCACTCTAAATAACAGTGAGTTAGAACTATAATAATTCAAAACAGATTGCAAAGATAAATGCTTGAGAGGATGGAAACCCCATTCTCCATGATGTGCTTAGTTCACACTGTATGCCTGTATCAAAATATCACATTGCCCCATAAATACAAACACCTATTATGTACCCACAAAAATTTAAACAAATACTTAAGAAAACAGATTGCAAAACTAACAGGTGTACACAAGGAATACTAACATTACTATGTAACCATCATACCTTCTGATATCCACAGTATCCTTCCTATACTAACAATTTTGTACAGCTGTCTCTATAATACAAATAATTATAGAAATACAAGTTAATTGTACTTTAACACTGCAATCATGTAGAAAAGAATAAGTCTTTTGGATATTTTGTAGTTCTTTTTTCCTCCAGATGGAGATAGTCTGGTAAGACTCCTTGCTTCATGGTAGTAATCAAGGAAGGAAGTGTAAGAACTAAGACTTAAAGGATTAATTAAACATACATAATTGGAAGAAAAGACACTTCAGGCTGAGAGAGCAGTATATGCAAATGGCAATTTGGAGGGACAAGTAGGAGGGCAGGAAGGGGATTACCAACTCTAAGTTATAGGGGAACTGTGTGATATGAAGTTGAAGAGGTGGAATGGGACAAGGCCATGAGGGCCTCATACGCTATCCAAGGAGTTTGAATTTTATCTTTAAGGTAATGCGGAATCACTAATGTATTTTGAGTTATTAGTGTGTAAAAAAGGTCACTCTGGCTTCTTTGTAGAGATTGGTTAAGGAAAATTGAGAGCAGAGACAGGAAAACAAGATAAAAGGTTGTTGCAGTAACCCAGGCAAGAGATGTCATGTACCTCTACTAACAAAGTGGCAGGATAGGACTGACCAGACTTGGCAACAGTTCAGATGTGGGGGCAGCTCCCAGGTTTGTGACTTCAATGCCATGCCTTTTATCCAGTACTCATCACCTTTATGCAAATGATCTCCAACTATGTTTCCTGTAGCTTGGTCAAAATAATAGAACAGTCAACTTCAGTCAGCAGATGGCACATTAATCACTTGATTATTTCGGGTGGTTTCTCCATTGAACAACCTCTACCTCAGTGGATTGGCATTTTTTACTTAGCATAATTCCCTGTAGATTCATCAAAATTATCTTATGTAACTATAGTTCATTCCCTCTTATTGCTGAATAGTACTCCATAATTTATGTGTGCAGCACGGTTTGTTTAACCAGTTTGGGGTTATTACCAATGTAGCTAATATGAACCTTTATGTACAGTTTTCTATGTAGATATAAAGTTTCATTTATCTGGGGTAAATATTCAGGAGTCCAAATGCTATGTCATTTGGTAAATATATGCATAGGTTTTCTTTAAGTTTGTTTAACTGCCAGTCAGAGTTGGTTTATTTTTTTATATTCTCACAAGCCATATGGGAAAGATTCAATTTGTATCTTCACCAGCATCTGGTATTGTCATTATGTTTTTACTTTACCTTTACTGTTAGGTGTGTAGTGATATCACAGTAGAATTTTAATTTGCATTTACCTATTGCCCAATTATGCTAAACATATTTTTATGTGTGCATTTTAAAATATTTATTTATTTATTTACTTATTTATTTATTTTATAGAGACAGGGTCTAGCTGTGTCACCCAGGTTGGAGTGCACTGACATGATCATAGCTCACTGCAGCCTCAAATACCTGGGCACAAGCAATCCTTCCACTTCAGCCTCCTAAGTAACTAGTTCTACAGATGCACGCCATCACACCTGGTTAATTTTTTTTAAAAAATGTAGAGATAGGGTCTCTCTTTTTTGCCCAGGCTGGTCTTGAACTCCTGTCCTCAAGTGATCCTCCAACCTCAGCCTCTCAAAGTGCTGGAATTACAGGCATGAGCCACTGCATCTGGCTCATATATTCACTTTTTATCTGTTTATCCTCTTCAATAAAATGTCTCATCATGACTGTTACTCATTTTCTTTAAAATAATATTTTATATATTTTAAATGACATAAATTATACATATTAATGGGGTACATAGTGCCTTTCAGTAGATACAATGTATAGTGATCAAATCAGGATAATTAACATACCCATCACCTCAAGCATTTATCATTGATTTTGGTTGAAAACTTTCAAAATTCTCTCTTCTAGCCATTTAAAAATATGTAATAAATTATTCTTGGCTACAGACACCCTACAGTGCTATAGAACACTAGAATTTATTTCTACTTCTAGGTTAAATTTTGTATCCTTTAATCAATTGCTTCCTATCCCCTCTTCTCACTACACTTTCAGCTTCCAGTAACCACTATTCTACTCTTTACTTCTATGAGATCAACTTTTTTCGGTTCTGCATATGAGAGAAAACATGTATTATTTGTATTTCCCTCCCTGGCTTATTTCATTTAATGTAATGTCCTCCAGGCTCATCCATGTGGTCACCAATGAGAGGATTTCATTCTTTTTAAATGGCTGAATAGTATTCCATTCTGTATATATACCACATTTTTTTCTCTATGCATGTTGATGAATACTTACATTGATTCCATACCTTGGCTTCTATGAACAGTACTGCAGTAAACATGGTGGCATAATATCTCCTTCATATACTGATTTCCTTTACTTTGGGTATATACCCAGTAATGGGATGACTGGATCATATTTTATTTCTATTTTTAGTTTTTTTGAGGAATGGCCATACTGTTACCTATAATTCCTGTTCTAGTTTACATTCCCATGAACAGTATATAAAAGTTCCCTTTTCCTCATATACTCACCAGGAATTGTTAATTTTGGAATTTTTGACAATAGGCATTCTGACTGGAAAAATAAGATATCTCATTGTGGTTTTGACATACATTTCCCTGATGATTAATGATGTTGAAGAGGTTTTTTTTTTTTTCATATATTTGTTGTCCATTTGGATGTCTTCTTTAGAGAAATGTCCATTCAGATTACTTGCCCATTTTAAATTGAATTATTATTATTATTTGCTTTGGAATTGTTTGAGTTCCTTCTATATTCTGGATATGACTACCTTGTTGAATGAATAGTTTGCAAACATTTTCTTTCATTCTTCTCCACTCTAATGATTGTTTTCTTTGTAGTGAAGAAAACTTATAGTTTGATAGAATTCTATTTGTCTATTCTTGTTTTTGTTGCCTGTGCTTTGAGGTCATATTTATAAAATATTCAGGCACGGTGGCTCATACCTGTAATCTCAGCACTATGGGAGACTGAGGCAGGTGGATCACTTGACGTCAGGAGATCGAGACCAGCCTGGCCAATACAGTGACATCCCGTCTTTACTAAAAAATAAAAAATAAAAACAATTAGCTAGGTGTGATGGTACATGCCTGTAAACCCAGCTACTAGGGAGGCTGAGGTAGGAGAATCTCTTGAACCAGGGAGGTTGCAGTGAGCTGAGATTGTGCCTCTGCACTCCAGCCCGGGTGACAGAGTGAGACTCCATCTCAAAAAAAAAAAAAAAAAAAAAATCCCCAGACAAATGACCTGAAGATTTTTGAATTGATTTTTTATAAGGTAAAAGGTAGGTCTAGTTTCATTTTTTCTATGTGTGGATAACCAATTTTTCAGCACCATTTATTGAAGAGACTGTCTTTTTCCTAATGAAGGTTCTTGACACCTTTTTCGAAAGTCATTTAGTAGTAACTACATGGGTTTATTTCTGGGTTCTGTATTTTATTTTGTTGGCCTATGTCTGGTTTTTTTATGACAGTGCTGTGCTGTTGTAGTTACTATAGCTTTATAATATATTTTGATACCTGGTAATGCGATGCCTCCACCTTTGTTTTGTTTTTGTTTGTTTGTTTTTTGTTCAGGATTTCTAAGGCTATTCAGTGTCTTTTGTAGTTTCAAGAAATTTAGAAATGTTTTTCTTCTATTTCTGTGAAGAATGTTATTGGTAGTTTGATAGCGATTGCATTGAATCTGTAGATTGTTTTGGGTAGTATGGTTATTTTAATATGTTATTTCTTCAAGTCCATGAACATAGACTATATTTTCATTTTTTTTCGTACCCTTCAATTTCTTTCATCAGTATTTTACAGTTTGTCTTGTAGAGACCTTTCACCTCCTCAATTAAATTTATTCCTAGGTAATTTTTTTCTAGCTAGTATACATTGAATTGTTTTCCTGATTTCTTTTTCAGTTAATTCCTTTTTGGTGTATAAAATTGATACTGATTTCTGTATGATGATTTTCTATTCTGCAAATTTACTGAATTTGTTTATCAGTTTTAAGAGTTTTTTGGTGTAGTGTTTAGGTTTTCTATATATAAAATTATGCTATCTGCAATGAGTGACAATTTGACTTCCTCCTTTTTCAATTGGATTACCTTTATTTATTTATTTTGCTTAATTGCTCTGGCTAAGACTTTCAATATGATGATTCATAAGAGTAGTAAAAGTTGGCATCCTTGTCTTCCTCCAGTTCTTAGAAGAAAATCTTTGTGGCCTTTACTATGTTGAGATATATTTCTTTTACAACTAATTTGTGAAGTTTTTATAATGAAGGAATGTTGCATTTTATCTATTTTTCTTCATCTATTGAGGTGATCATATGGTTTTTATCCTTCATTCTGTTGATGTTATGTAACATGTTTGTTGATTTGTATATATTGAACTACCTTTACATCACTTGGGTAAATACAACTTGATCATGGTGTATTATCTTTTTGATGTGCTCTTGGATTTGGTTTGCTAGTGTTTTGTTGAGGATTGTTGCATCTATGTTCATCTGAGATATTGGTCTGTAGTTTTTGTTGTTGTTGTTGGGTTCTATCTGGTTCTGGTATAAGGGTTATGCTGGTTTCATAGAATGAGTTTAGAAGTATTTCCCCTTCAATTCTTTGGAACAGTTTAAGAAGAAGTGGTATTCATTCTTCTTTAAAAGTTTGGTGGAATTCAACAATTAAGTAATCTGTCCCTGGGCATTCCTTTCTTGGGAGACCTTTTGTTAATGATTAAATGTCATTAATCATTATGGGACTGTTCAGGTTTTATATCTTTTCTTTGTTCTAACTGGTAAGTTGTATGTATCCAAGAATTTATGCATTTTCTAATTTGTTGGTATATAGTTGTTCATAATAGACTCTAATGATCCTTTGCATTTCTTTCATATCTGTTGGGATGTTTTCTTTTTCATTTCTGATTTTATTTATCTGGGTCTTACCTCTTTTTTCTTAGTCTAGCTAATGGTTTGTTAATTTTGTTTATGCTTTCAAAAACCACAGCTTTTCATTTTGTTGATCTTTTGCATTTTTTAGCCTCAATTTTGTTTATTTCTACTCTGTTTGTAATTGTTTCTTTTCCTCCATTATCTTTTGGTTTGATTTGTTTTTTCTTTCCTAGTTTTTGAGGTGAATTTTTATGTTACTTATTTTAAATCTTTCTACTTTTTTTTTCAACTTTTATTTTAGATTCAGGAAGTACATGTGCAGGTTTGGTACCTGGGTGTATTGTGTGGTGCTGAGTTTTGGAGTAAGAATGGCCCAGTCACCCAGGTAATGAGCATAGTACGCAACAGTTAGTTTTTCAACTCTTGCCCATCTCCCTCCCTCCCACTTCCAGTAGTCTCCATTGTTTATTGTTGCCATCATTACGTTCATCAGTATCCATCGTTTAGCACCCACTTATAAGTGAGAACATGGTTTTATGTTTCTATGCTAATTTGCTTATGATAATGGTCTCCAACTTCATCCATGCTTTGGATGCAGCAAAGGACATGATTTCATCTATTTTTATGGTCCACCTTTGATGAGCACCTAGGGTGATTCTGTGTCTTTTCTGTCATGAATAGTACTGTGATGTACATGAGAATGCATGTGTTTTTTTGGTAAAATTATTTGTTTTCTTTTGGATATATACCCAGTAATGGGAGTGCTGGGTTGAATGGTAGTTCTAAGTTCTTTGAGAAATCTCCAAACTGCTTTTCACGAGGGCTGAACTAATTCATATTCCAACTAACAGTGTGTAATTGTTTCCTTTTCACCACAGCCTCGCCAGCATCTTTTTTTTTTTTACTTTTAAATAATAGCCCCTCTGACTGATGTGAGATGGTATCTCTTTGTGATTTTCATTTGCATTTCTCTGATGATTAGTGATGTGGAGCATTTTTTCATATGTTTGATGGCTACTTGTATATCTTCTTTTGAGAATTGTCCATTCCTGTCTTTGCCCATTTTTTGACAGTGTTATTTAGTTTTTGCTTGTTCAATTGCTTATGTTTCTTATAGATTCTGGATATTAGAACTTTGTCAGATGAAGTTTGTGTCTTTCTACTTTTTTATGTAGGGATTTATTACTGTAAATTTGCCTCTTAATGCTGTTTTTGCTGAATTGTGTAGGATTTGGTATGTTGTGTTTCTATTTTCATTTGTTTCAAATTATTTTTAACTTAAAAATATTTCTTGGCCAGGTACAGTGGCTCACATCTGTAATCCCAGCAAGTTGGGAGCCCAAGGCGGGTGGATCACCTGAGGTCAGGAGTTCAAGACCAGCCTGGCCAACATGGTAAAACCCCATCTCCTGTAATCCCAGCTACTCAGGAGGCTGAGGCAGGAGAATCGCTTGAATCCAGGAGGTGGAGGTTGCAGTGAGCAGAGATTGCGCCATTGCACTACAGCCTTGGTGACAAAAGGGAAACTCTGTCTCAAAAAAAAAAAAATTCTTCCATGACCCATTGCTCATTCAGGAGCATGTTGTTTAATTTCCATGTATTTGTACCGTTTTGAATATTCCTTTTTACTGATTTCTACTTTTATTCAGTTATGTTCAAACAATATACTTGATATGATTCCAATTTTTAAAATACTGGAGTTTTTTTATTATACTTTAACTTTTAGGGTACATGTGCACAACATGCAGTTTTGTTACATATGTATACATGTGCCTTGTTGGTGTGCTACACCCATTAACTCTTCATTTAACATTAGGTACATCTCCTAGTGCTATCCCTCCCCCCTCCCCCCACCCCGCAATAGGCCCCAGTGTGTGATGTTCCCCTTCCTGTGTCCATGTGTTCTCATTGTTCAATTCCCACCTGTGAGTGAGAACATGCGGTGTTTGGTTTTTTGTCCTTGTGATAGTTTGCTGAGAATGATGGTTTCCAGCTTCATCCATGTCCCTGCAAAGGACATGAACCCATCAATTTTATGGCTGCATAGTATTCCATAATGTATATGTGCCACATTTTCTTAATACAGTCTATCATTGATAGACATTTGGGTTGGTTCCAAGTCTTTGCTATTGTGAATAGTGCCACAATAAACATACGTGTGCATGTGTCTTTATAGCAGCATGATTTATAATCCTTTGGGTATATACCCAGTAATGGGATGGCTGGGTCAAATGGTATTTCCAGTTCTAGATCCCTGAGGAATCACCACACTGACTTCCACAATGGTTGAACTAGTTTACAGTCCCACCAACAGTGTAAAAGTGTTCCTATTTCTCCACATCCTCTCCAGCACCTGTTGTTTCCTGACTTTTTAATGATCGCCATTCTAACTGGTGTGAGATGGTATCTCACTGTGGTTTTGATTTGCATTTCTCTGATGGCCAGTGATGATGAGCTTTTATTCATGTGTCTGTTGGCTGCATAAATGTCTTCTTTTGAGAAGTTTCTGTTCATATCCTTCTCTCACTTTTTGATGGGGTTGTTTGTTTTTTTCTTGTAAATTTGTGGGAGTTCATTGTAGATTCTGGATATCAACCCTTTGTCAGATGAGTAGACTGCGAAAATTTTCTCGCATTCTGTAGGTTTCCTGTTCACTCTGATGGTAGTTTCTTTTGCTGTGCAGAAGCTCTTTAGTTTAATTAGATCCCATTTGTCAATTTTGGCTTTTGTTGCCATTGCTTTTGGTGTTTTAGACATGAAGTCATTGCCCATGCCTATGTCCTGCATGGTATTGCCTAGGTTTTCTTCTAGGGTTTTTATGGTTTTAGGTCTAACATTTAAGTCTTTAACCCATCTTGAATTAATTTTTGTATAAGGTGTAAGGAAGGGATCCAGTTTCAGCTTTCTACATATGGCTAGCCAGTTTTCCCAGCACCATTTATTAAATAGGGAATCCTTTCCCCGTTGCTTGTTTTTGTCAGGTTTGTCAAAGATCAGATAGTTGTAGACATGTGGCATTATTTCTGAGGGTTCTGTTCTGTTCCATTGGTCTTTATCTCTGTTTTGGTACCAGTACCATTTTTTTTTTTGTTTACTGTAGCCTAGTAGTATAGCTTGAAGTCAGGTAGCGTGATGCCTCCAGTTTTGTTCTTTTGGCTTAGGATTGACTTGGCAATGCAGGCTCTTTTTTGATTCCATATGAAATTTAAAGTAGTTTTTTTCCAATTCTTTGAAGAAAGTCATTGCTGGCTTGATGGGGATGGCATTGAATCTATGAATTACCTTGGGCAGTATGGCCATTTTCATGATATTGATTCTTCCTAGCCATGAGCATGGAATGTTCTTCCATTTGTTTGTATCCTCTTTTATTTCATTGAGCAGTGGTTTGTAGTTCTCCTTGAAGAGGTCCTTCACATCCCTTGTAAGTTGGATTCCTAGGTATTTTATTCTCTCTGAAGCAATTGTGAATGGGAGTTCACTCATGATTTGGCTCTGTTTTCTGTTATTGGTGTATAAGAATGCTTGTGATTTTTGCACATTGATTTTGTATCCTGAGACTTTGCTGAAGTTGCTTATCAGCTTAAGGAGATTGTGGGCTGAGACAATGGGGTTTTCTAGATATACAGTCATATCATCTGCAAACAGGGACAATTTGACTTCCTCTTTTCCTAATTGAATACCCTTTATTTCCTTCTCCTGCCTGATTGCCCTGGCCAGAACTTCCAACACTATGTTGAATAGGAGTGATGAGAGAGGGCATCCCTGTCTTGTGCCAGTTTTCAAAGGGAATGCTTCCAGTTTTTGCCCATTCAGTATGATATTGGCTGTGGGTTTGTCATAGATAGCTCTTACTATTTTGAGGTACATCTCATCAATACCGAATTTATTGAGAATTTTTAGCATGAGGGGCTGTTGAATTTTGTCAAAGGCCTTTTCTGCATCTATTGAGATAATCATATGTTTTTTGTCATTGGTTCTGTTTATATGCTGGATTATGTTTATTGATTTGCGTATGTTGAACCAGCCTTGCATCCCAGGGATGAAGCCCACTTGATCATGGTGGATAAGCTTTTTCATGTGCTGCTGGATTCAGTTTGCCAGTATTTTATTGAGGATTTTTTCATTGATGTCCATCAGGGATATTGGTCTAAAATTCTCTTTTTTTGTTGTTTCTCTTCCAGGCTTTGGTGTCAGGATGATGCTGGCCTCATAAAATGAGTTAGGGAGTATTCCCTCTTTTTCTATTGATTGGAATAGTTTCAGAAGGTATGGTACCAGCTCCTCCTTGTACCTCTGGTAGAATTCGGCTGTGAATCTATCTGGTCCTGGACTTTTTTTGGTGGGCAAGCTATTAATGATTGCCTCAATTTCAGAGCCTGTTATTGGTCTATTTAGAGATTCAACTTCTTCCTGGTTTAGTCTTGGGAGGGTGTATGTGTCAAGGAATTTATCCATTTCTTCTAGATTTTCTAGTTTATTTGCATAGAGGTGGTTATAGTATTCTCTGATGGTAGTTTTTACTTCTGTGGGATCGGTGGTGATATCCCCTTTATCATTTTTTATTGTGTCTATTATTTTGGGGGTCTCACATATGGTTAATCCTGGAGAATGTTCCATATATTAACAATAAATATAAATATATTTTTCAGAGGTTGGGTTAAACCTTCTGTAAAGGTCTGTTAGGTCCATTTGGTCTGTGATGCGTTTTAAATCTGATGTTTCTTTTTTTAATTTTTTTTGTGTAGATAATCTGTCCAATGTTGATAGTGGGGTGTTACCTTTTCCCAGTATTATTGTACTGAAATATATATCTCTCTTTAGATGTAATAATATTTGTCTTATGTATCCAGTTGCCCTGGTGTTGCACGTACATATGTTTACAATTGTTTTCACCTCTTGCTTGATTCCTTTAGTGTTGTATAATATTCTTAATATCCTTTTTCTTTACAGTTTTTGACTTAAATTCAGTTTTATCTGATATAAGTTTAGCTACACCTGCTTACTTATGATTTACATTTGCACAGAATATCATTTTCATCCCTTCACTTTCAGTTTATATGTGTCTTTACAGGTGAGGTGAATTTTTTATAGGCAGCATGTAGTTCCTTCTTTTTTTATCCATTTGGCCAGACTATATATTTTAATTGGAAAATTTAATCCATTTACATTCAAGGTTATTATTGATAGGTGAAGATTTGCTCTTGTCATTTTTAATGGTTTTATGGTTGTTTTATATTTTATCTACTATTTTCTTCCTTCTTATTGCATATCCTTTTGGTATCAAGGTTTTTTGTAGTAGTAACTTTTGATTCCATTCTTTTTCTCATTTGTGTATCAGTTCTACCACTAAGTTTTATAATTTTGGTTGTTTTCATGATGAATGTTATTGTCCTTTTGCTTCCAGATATAAGACTTCTTTGAGCATATCTTTTAAGACCAATTTAATACTGATAAATTCTCTCAGTTTTTGCTTATCTGGTAAAGATGTTATTTATCCATTTCTGTAGGGTAGGTTTGCTGGGTGTAGTATTCCTAGCCAGTAGTATTTTCTTTCAGCTCTTTGAATATATCATTCCATACTCAACTTGCCTGTAAGGTTTCTCCTAAGAAATCTACTTTTAGTTTAAATGAAGGATTTTCATATATGTGATTTGATGCTTTTCTCTTCTGTTTTTTAGAATGTTCTCTTTGTCTTTAACTTTTTTTTCTGTAAGTTATTTGAGTACAGGTGGTATTTAGTCACATGAGTAAATTCTTTAATGGTGATTTGTGGGATTTTGGTGTACCCCATCACCTGAGCAGTATACACTGCACCATATTTGTAATCTTCTGTCCCTCACCCCATTCCCACTCTTCTCTCCAAGTCTCCAAAGTCCATTGCATCATTCTTATGTCTTTGCATCCTCATAGCTTAGCTCCCACATAACAGTGAGAACATATGATGTTTGGTTTTCCATTTCTGAGTTACTTCACTTAGAATAATAATCTCCAATCTCATCCAGTTCACTGCAAATGAATTAAATTCATTCTTTTTTCTGGCTGCATAGTATTCCATCTTATATACATACCACAGTTATTTTTTTTTATCCACTTGATGACTGATGGACATTTGAGTTGGTTCCACGATTTTGCAATTGTGAATTGTGCTGCCATAAACATGCATGTACAAGTATCTTTTTCAAATAAGGACTTCTTTTCCTCTGAGTAGATACCAAGTAATGGGACAGCTGCATCAAATGGTAGTTCTACTTTTAGTTCTTTTCTCAGTAGATACCCAGTAGTGGGATTGCTGAATCAAATGTTACTTCTACTTTTAGTTCTTTTAGGAATCTCCACACTGTTTTCCACAGCAGCTGTACTAGTTTAAGTTCCCACCAGCAGGGTAGAAGCATTCCCTGTTCACTCTATCCACACCAGCATGTACTGTTTTTTATTTTTGGATAATAGCCATTTTTGCAGGAGTGAGGCGGTATCGCATTGTGGTTTTGATTTGCATTTCCCCAATCATTAGTGATGTACAGCATTTTAAAATATGTTTGCTGGCCATTTGTGTATCTTCTTTTGAGAATTTTCTATTCATGTTCTTATCCCACTTTTTGATGGAATTGTTTGTTTGTTTTTTTCTTCCTGATTTGTTTGAGCTCATTGTACATTGTGGATATTAGTTGTTTGTCAGATGTGTAGACTGCGAAGATTTTCTCCCACACTGTGGGTTGTCTGTTTACTCTGCTGACTGTTCTTTTTGCCATGCAAAAGCTTTTTAGTTTAATTAGGTCCCAGCTATTTATCTTTGTTTTTATTGCATTTGTCTTGGGTTCTTGGTCATGAAATCCTTGCCTAAGCCAATGTCTAGAGGAGTTTCCTGAATGTTATCTTCTAGAACTTTTATCGATTCTGGTCTTAGGTTTAAGTCCTTAAGCCATCTTGAGTTGATTTTTATATAAGATGAGAGATCATGACTCAGTTTCATTGTCCTACATGTGGCTAGCCAATTATCTCGGCACCATTTGTTGAAAATGGTGTCCTTTCCCCACTTTATGTTATTTGTTTGCTTTGTCGAAGTTCAGTTGGCTGTGTTTGGGTTTATTTCTGGGTATCTATTCTGTTCCATTGGTCTATGTGCCTATTTTTGTACTAGTACCTTGGTGTTTTGGTGACTATGGTCTTATAGTATAGTTTGAAATCAGGTAGTGTGATGCCTCCACATTTCTTCTTTTTTGCTTAGTCTTGCTTTGCCTATGCGGGCTCTTTTTTTGGTTCCATATAAATTTTAGAATTGTTTATTCTAATTCTGTGAAGAATGATGGTGGTGTTTTGATGGGGATTGCATTGAATTTGTAGTTGTAGATTGCCTGGCAGTATGGTCATTTTCTTTCTTTTAAATGCAATAATGAATAGTGTTTATTGTGTCTAAAAATATCAGATTATAATTCTAATAAATGAAACTGACAAAAATACAAAGTACATGGGAAACAAAAGTGAAACTCTAGAAAATAAAAAACATCTGGATATATTAGAGCTTTGGAGGAAATGAGCAATTCACATGTCCTGAAGTTTTCAGATTGTGCTGAAGAATGAGATTACCCATTCTTTTTATATATAATTTATTGTTTTATTTCCCCACTGATCTATTTGCTATAATCATCACTCTCAAATTGTCTCCCTCAGTTTATTTCACTCCAGGCTTTTTGTCTCAATGTCAAGCTATGGACACTGCCACTGACCTTCATGGGATGATGGGTGCCCTACTGAGCCCCTCTCTGCTCCGTGGTAATGGTCCCATTCTGACCATGGAGAAGAAGCAGTGATCTTAAGGTTTCCCAGAATATAACTCAGACCAAAGGAAGAATGTAAACAAGGCTTGCTTCAGGCTTGTGAAAAAGGATAATACACCAAATATCTTAAAACTGCTTTAAGTTGTGTCTCTTCTTAGGGCTCCCATATTGAAAGCAAAAATCAGAGCCCTTGTGTTACACAGACAGTCTTTACACAGCAGTAATCAGCTGCTCTCCGACCACCAGGTTCTCCAGTTATCTCCAAACTGTAACATGCAGGCCCAATCTCTTTCGGCCTACAGAAAAATGGAGATTTATTTCAGATCCTTGACACAAATGAAAATGTTCCACAGTTGTCCTGGGGCAGTATGGTCATTTTCACAGTATTGATGAGTATCCATGGGCATGGATGTGTTTCCATTTGTTTGGTCTTTCGACTCATTGGTTAGGTACATTCCTAAGTATTTTTTTTTCAGCTATTGTAAAAGGGGTTGAGTTATTGATTTAGTTCTCCACTTGGTCGCTGTCGTTGTATAGAAGGCTACTGATTTGTGTACATTACTCTTATATCCAGAAACTTTGCTGAATTCTTTTATCACTTCTGGGAGGTTTCTGGAGGAGTCCTTAGGGTTTTCAAGGTAAACAATCATATCGCCAGCAAACAGTGACAATTTGACCTCCTCTTTATCAATTTGGATGCACTTTATTTCTTTCTGTTGTCTGATTGCTCTGGATAAGACTTCCATTACTATGTTGAAGGGGAGGGGTGAGAGCTGACATCCTTATCTTGTTCCAGTTCTCAGAGGGAATGCTTTCAACTTTTCCCCATTCAGTATTATGTTGGCTGTGGGTTTGTCATAGATGGCTTTTATTACATAAACGTATGTCTCTTTTTTTTTTTTTTTTTTTTTTTTTTTTTTTTTTTTTTTTTTTTTTTTGAGACGGAGTCTCGCTCTGTCGCCCAGGCTGGAGTGCAGTGGCGGGATCTCGGCTCACTGCAAGCTCCGCCTCCCGGGTTCACGCCATTCTCCCGCCTCAGCCTCCCAAGTAGCTGGGACTACAGGCGCCCGCCACTACGCCCGGCTAATTTTTTGTATTTTTAGTAGAGACGGGGTTTCACCGTTTTAGCCGGGATGGTCTCGATCTCCTGACCTCGTGATCCGCCCGCCTCGGCCTCCCAAAGTGCTGGGATTACAGGCGTGAGCCACCGCGCCCGGCCAAACGTATGTCTCTTGTATGCCAATTTTGCTGAGAGCTTCAATCATAAAGGGATGCTGGATTTTGTCAATTTTTTTCTGCATCTATTGAAATGATCATGTGATTTTTGTTTTTAATTCTGTTTATGTGGTGTATCACATTTATTGACTTGCACATATTAAAGCATCCCAGCATTCCTGGTTTGAAACCCACTTGATCATGGTGGATTATCTTTTGGATATGTTCTTGGATTCCGTTAGCAAGTATTTTGTTAAGGAATATAGCACCTGTGTTCATCAAGGTTATCAGTCTGTAGTTTTCTTTCTTGATTATGTCCTTTCCTGATTTTGGTATTAGGATGATGCTAGCTTCATAGAATGAATTTGTGAGGTCATTTGGATTTTCTCTCTTCTTTTCTTGATTAATTTTGCCAATGGTTTATCAATTTTATCTTTTCAAAGAAACAGGTTTTTGTTTCATTTATCTTTTAATTTTTTTTTCAGTTTCATTCAGTTCTACTCTGATCTTGGTTATTTTCTTTTTCCTGCTTGGTTTGGGTTTGTTTTACTCTTGTTTCTCTAGTTCCTGGAAGTGTGACCTTAGAGTGTCAGTTTGTGCTCTTTCAGTCTTTTTGATGTAGGCATTTATGGCTATGAACTTTTCTCTTAGCACCACCTTTGCTGTATCCCAGAGGTTTTGATAGGTTATTTCATTATTGTCGTTCAGTTCAAAGAATTGTTTAATGTCCATCTTGATTTCACTTTTGATCCAATGCTCATTCAGGAGCAAGCTGTTTAATTTCCATTTATTTGCATGGTTTTGACGGTCCTTTTTAGGGTTATTTCCAGTTTATTCCACCGTGGTCTGACAGAGTGCTTAATATAATTTCAATTTTCTTAAACTTATTGAGGCTCATTTTATGGCCTATCATATGGTCTATCTTGGAGAAAGTTCCATGCATTGTTGAATAGAATGTGTATTCTGCAGTTGTTGGTTGAAATGTTCTGTATGTATCTGTTAAATCCATTTGTTCCAAGAAGTTTAAATCCATTGTTTATTGGTTGACATTCTGTCTTGATTATCTGTCTAGTGCTGTCAGTGGAGTATTGAAGTCCCCCACTATGATTGTGTCACTGTCTATCTCATATGTCTATTAGTAATTGTTTTATAAATTTGGGAGCTCCAGTGTTAGATGTACATATGTTTAGGATTGTGATATTATCCTGTTGGACAAGGCCTTTTACCATTATATGGTGTCCCTCTTTGTCTCTTAGCTGCCGTCGCTTTAACGTTTGTTTTGTCTAATATAAGAATAGCTACCCTCTGCATGCTTTTTGTGTCCATTGCAATGACATGCCTTTTTCCACCTCTTTACTTTAGGTTTATGTGAGTTGAGTCTCCTGGAGTCAGCAGATAGTTGATTGGTGAGATCTTATCTATTCTGCAGTTTGGTATCATTTAAGTGGAACATTTAGGCCATTTACATTGAGTGTTAGTATTGAAATGTGAGGTGCTGTTGCATTCATTATGCTTTCTTTTCGCCTGTATACTTTGGCTTTTTTTTTCTTTTTAACTTTTAGTTGTGTTTTATAGGTCCTGTGTGATTTATGCTTTAAAGATATTTTGTTTTAATGTGTTTCCAGGATTTGTTTCAAGATTTAGAGCCCCTTTTAACAGTTATTGTAGTGGTGGCTTGGTAATGGGGAATTCTCTCAGCATTTGTTTGTCTGAAAAAGATTGTATCTTTCCTTCATATATGATACTTAGTTTCAATAGATACAAAGTTCTTGGCTGATAATTGTTTTGTTTATGGAGGCTGAAGACAGGGCCCCAATTCCTTGTAGCTTGTAGGGTTTCTGCTTATAAATCTGCTGTTAATCTGATAGGTTTTCCTTTGTAGGTTACCTGGTGCTGTTGTCTCACAGCTCTTAAGATTCTTTCTTTCATCTTAACTTTGGATAACCTGATGACAATGTGACTAGGTGAAGATCTTTTTGTGTTGAATTTCCTGGGTGTTCTTTATGCTTCATCTATTTGGATGTCTAGGTCTCTAACAAGGCCAGGGAAGTTTTCCTTGATTATTATACCAAATATGTTTTTCAAGCTTTTAGAATTCTCTTCTTCCTCAGGAACACTGATTATTCTTAGGTTTGGTCATCTAACATAATCCCAGACTTCTTGGAGGTTTTGTTCATACTTTCTTATTGTTTTTTATTTGTCTTTGTTGGATTGGGTTAATTCGAAGACCTTGTTTTCAAGCTCTGAATTTCTTTCTTCTGCTTGTTGAATTCTATTGCTGAGATTTTCCAGGACATTTCACATTTCTAAAAGTGTGTCCAGTGTTTCCTGAATTTTTTATTGTTTTTTCTTTAAGCTACCTATTTCCTTGAATATTTCTTCCTTCACTTCTTGTATCATATTTTGGATTTCCTTGCATTGGGCATTGCCTTTCTCTGGTCCCTCCCTGATTAGCTTAATAACTAACCTCCTGAATTCTTTTTTCAGATTAATCAGGGACTTATTTTTGCTTTGGATCCATTGCTGGTTAACTAGTGTGTTTTTTGGGAGGTGCTAAAGAGCCTTCTTTTGTCATATTACCCGGGTTGGTTTTCTTCCTCCGTTTCATTTGGGTAGGCTCTGTCAGAGGGAAGGTCTAGGGCTGAAAGCTGTTGTTCAGATTATTTTGTCCTACAGGGTGTTCCCTTGATGTAGACTCTCCCTCCTTTTCCTATGGATGTGGCTGCCTATGAGCCAAACTGCAGTCATTGTTTTATCTCTTCTGGGTCTATCCACCCAGTGAGTCTACCTGACTCTGGGCTGGTACTGGGAGTTGTTTGCACAGAGTCCTGTGATGTGAACTGTCTATGGGTCTCTCAGCTGTGGATACCAGTGCCCCTTCTGATGGAGGTGGGAGGGGGTTCAATGGACTCCCTGAGGGTTCTTAGCTTCAGTAGTTTAATGTTCTATTTTTGTGCTGGTTGGCCTCCTGCCAGGACATTGCGCTTTCCAGGAGTATCAGCTGTGTTATTATGGGGAGGAACTGGAGGTGGGCAAAGTTTTAGAACTCCCAAAATTATATGCCCTTTATTATCCACCACCAGGGTGGGTAGAGAAGAACCATCAGGTGGTAGTAGGGCTAGGTGTGTCTGAGCTCAGGTTCTTCTTGGGTGGGTCTTGCTGTGGCTGCTGTGGTGGATGGGGGTGAGATTCCCAGGTCACTGGAGGTGTGCACCTAGGGGCATTATGGCTGCCTCTGCTGAGTCATGTGAGTTGTCAGGGAAGTGGGGCAAAGCCAGCAGTCACACGCCTCACCCAGTTCCCACACAAACTGAAGGGCTGGTTTCACTCCCACTGTGTCCCCTGCAACAGCACCCAGACCGTTTTCAGGTGTAGAGCAATACGGGCTTGAACACCTGCCCCAGGCTAAGAAAGCAAAGGGCTTGGTTCTTCTCCCACCTGTGGAGTCTGCCCACCCAATTTATGCCTTCCCCTGAGTTCTGGCCAAGAGGCTTCTCACCCAGTTCAAATTGTTATGAGATTCAACTAGAGATCTGCTTCTCCCTGTGTAATTTTATCCCCTGCTACTCTCTCATTGGATCCCTGTGTTGCCAGGCAGGAATGACCTGTTAGGGGACCCAGAGAGCTCCCAGGGCCTTTCTGCTTCTTCCTCTACCCCTGTATTTCACTTGGCTCTCCAAATTGACTCAGCTCCAGGTAAAGTCAGAAACTTCTGCCAGAAATGAACCTTCACCTTCTCCAGTGTGTGTGTGTTTGGGAGAGGAGGGTCTCCCTTTCCCACTTCCACAGTTTGGGCACTCACAATTTTGGCTGGGTCTCCTGGGTCCTGCAGGAGCAGTCTGCTTCCTTCAGTGCGTCTGTTGGTCCTCTTGGGGTTGCTGGTTTGTTGATCTGGAGATAAAATTTACAGTGTGAGTCACCGCCCACTGCTCTGTGCAGAGTTGCAATCTGGTCCTGCCTCCTGTCTGCTGTGAACTGTTTTTCACTTTTGATAATTTGATTATATGTGCCTCAGAGAGGACCTTTTTGGGTTGAATCTATTTGGAGATTTCTGAGCTTCTTGGATCTGGATGTCCATCTCTCTCCCAAGACTTAGAAAATGTTCATCTATTATTTTATTAAATAGTTTTTCTATATTATTTTTCCTTTTTTGGAACTTTTGTAATGCAGACATTTGCTAATTTAGTGGTGTCCCATGAGTTCTGTAGGCTTTTATTTCTTTTAATTTTTCCAGTCTGCCCAGATTATTCCAGAAAACTTGTCTTTAAATTCAGAAATTTTGTCTTCTCCTTGATCTAGTTTGTTGTTCAAATCCTTTAATGTAGCTTTTATTTTATTCATTGATTATTTCAGCTATAAGATGTTCATTTGCTTTTTTTGACATCTTTTTTTGTTCAATTTCTCATTCACATCATGATATTTTTCCAATTTTGTTGAATTGTTAATGTATATTCTATTGTATCTCATTGAATTCCATTTTTTAGGAAAAAAGTCATTATTTTGAATTCCCTTTCTGGCATTCTGTGTATTTCCTTTTCTGGGGGGCCTGCTACTGGAGAATTATTTCATTCCTTTGGTGGTGTCATGTTTTCTTTCTTTTTCATATTTCTTTTGTGCCTACATTTATATACATCTAGTGGAGTGGTAGCCTCTTTCAATTTTATGGATTAGGTTTTTTATGAAAATATATTCCTGTAGTTGGATCCTGAGTGTCTATTGAGTGAGACATGTTGCCATTAATTCTAATAGTGTAAACCCAGTGCAGCTTCTTCAAGTTTTATTCATGTTAGTGATGTTTATGAGTGCCTTAGGCTGCAGGAATTGGCAACAGCAATGGCATATATTTGCTGGGGGTGGCCCCATGAGGTTTTTCTCCTTGCTGGGGGTGAATGCATGCACAGGTGGTAAACTAGCTCAGGGACTGGTTTGCTGGTATCAAGGTTTTTTGTGCTGTTTCTCAGGCCAGAAATGTGGGTACATTGAGTGAGTTGACCAAGTCAGGGAACGGCTTGCTAGGGTCAGGGCTGCCAGGCTGTTATGCTGGCTGGGGGCACGGACCATGGCTGATCAACTGGCTCAGGGGCTAGTCCTTTTTGGTTGGGTCCACTGGACCTTTTTTCTGGTTGGAGGCATTGGCCTGTAGCTTCTGAGTTGGCTTGGGGTTTATCTACTGGGTGCTGGTCCACTAGTCTGTTTCTCTGGCCAGGCGAATATTTTGCCCATAATTTCCACCTTAAAGATTTTATATTCAAAAACAGTCACATTCTGAGTTACTGAGGGTTAGTACTTCAACATAAAGATTTGAGGGTAGGCATTTCTGGCCATAACCATTGGCATCTGTATTAGTCCGTTCTCACATTGCTATGAAGAAATACCCAAAACTGGGTAATTTATAAAGGAAAGAGGTGTAACTGGCTCACAGTTCCACATTGTTGGGGAAGCCTCAGAAAACTTGCAATCATAATGGAAGACAAAGGAGAAGCATGCACCTTCTTTACAGGGTGTCAGGACAGAGTGAGTGCAAGCAGGGGAAATGACAGATGCTTATAAAACCATCAGACCTTGTGAGACTCACTCACTATCATGAGAACAGCATGGCGGAAATCGCCCCCATGATTCAATTATCTTCACCTGGCCCCCCTTGATACATGGGGATTATGGGGATTACAATTCAAGGTGAGATTTGGGTGGGGACACAGAGCCAAGTCATATCAGCATCATTTGGTTGTCTTTTCTCATTCATTTTGAGATTTTTTTTTTGCCTTTTCCAACAACTTTAATTCTTTATACTCGATATTTGCATTCTGAATCAGATATATTATACATATCATCTAATTTACCCATTTAAAGTATACAGTTTAATTGATTTTAGTAAATTCATGAACTTGTCCCTCCATCATCACGATCAACATTATAACATTTTTGTTACCACTAAAAGAGACCCTACAGTTCTCAGCAAGCATTCCTGAATCCCTGAGTGTCCCTAGCTGAAGGCAACCATTAACTTACTTTCCATCTCTATAGATTTGCCTAATCTGGACATTTCATGCATATGGAATTATACAATATGTAGTCTTTTGTGACTAGTTTCTTTCACTTAGCATAATGTTTTCAAAGTTTATCCATGTTGTAGATCTATCAATACTTCATTCATTTCAATGCTGAATGGTATTCTATCGCATGTATATACCAGATTTTATTTTATTTTTATATCCATTTTTTGGGGGGAACAGGTTGTATTTGGTTATATGGGCAAGTTCTTTACTGGTGATTTACGAGATTTTGTTGGATCCATAACCCGAGCAGTATACACTGAAACCAATTTGTAGTCTTTCATCCTTCACCCCCTTCCCACCCTTCCCCTTGAGTCCCCAAAGTCCATTGTATCATTCTTATGCCCTTGCATCCTCATAGCTTAGCTCCCACTTATGAGTAAGAACATACAATGTTTGTTTTTTTTATTCCTGAGTTACTTGACTTAGAATAATAGTCTCCAATCACATCCAGGTTTCTGTAAATGCCATTGACTTATTCCTTGTATGGTTGAGTAGTATTCCATCATATATATATATATGTATGTATGTGTGTGTGTATATATATATATATATATACACACACACATACATACATATATATATATATATTTATACATACATACATATGTCTCACAGTTTCTTTATCCACTCGTTGATTGATGGGCATTTGGGCTGATTCCACATTTTTGCAATTGCGAATTGTGCTACGATAAACATGTGTGTGCAAGTATCTTTTTTGTATAATGACTTATTTTGCTCTGAGTAGCTACCCAGTAATGGGGCTGCTGGATCAAATGGTAGTTCTACTTTTAGTTATTTAAGGAATCTCCACACTGTTTTCCAGAGTGGCCATACTCGTTTATGTTCCCACAAGCAGTGTAGAAGTGTTTCCTTTTCACCGCATCCACACCAACATTATTTATTTATTTATTTATTTAATTATGGTCCTTCTTGCAAGAGTAAGGTGATATTGCATTGTGCTTTTGATTTGCATTTCTGCAATCATTAGTAATATTGAGCATTTCTTCATATGTTTCTTTGCCATTTGTATATCTTCTGATAATTGTCTATTCATGTCCTTAGCATGCTTTTTGATGGCATCATTTGTTTTTTTTCTTGCTAATATGTTTGAATTCCTTGTAGATTCTGGTTATTAGTCCTTTGTCAGATGAATAGATTGTGAAGGATTGTGAAAAATTTCTCCCACTCTGTGGGTTGTTCTATTTACTCTGCTGACTGTTCCTTCTGCCATGCAGAAGCTCTTTAGTTTAATTAAGTCCCACCTATTTATCTTTGTTTTTATTGCATTTGCTTTTGGGTTCTTGGTCATAAAATCCTCGCCTAAGCCAATGTCTAGAAGGGTTTTTCTAATGTTATTTTCTAGAATTTCTATAGTTTCAGGTCTTAGATTTAAGTCCTTGATCCATCTGGAATTGATTTCTGTATGAGATTTTATTTATGAACTCATCAGTTGATAAACATTTGGATAGTTTCCGCGTTTTTACTATTATGGATAATGCTGCTGTGAGCATTCACATACATGTCGCTGTGTGAATAAACCTGTGTTTTTAATTTTCTTCAACACATACCAAGAAATGGAATTGCTAAGTCACAAGGTAACTCTGTATTTAACCTTGTAAAAAATTAACACAGTGTTTCACAAAGGGGCTGCACCATTTTACATTCCCAGCAGTAGTGTATGAGCGTTCTAATTTTCTTTATACCCAACACCTTTTTTTTATTTTTATTATAGTCATTCTACACGGTATGAAGCGATGGCTAATGATGTTGAGCATCTTTTTATATGCTTATTGGGCATTTAAATATGTTCCATAGATAATTGTCTACTCAAAGTGTTTTCCTATTAAAAAAAAATTCTAATGACACAGTAATTGTATATACTTATGGAATATAGTGTGATGTTTCATTACTTGTATACATTGTGTGATAATCAAATCAGAGTATTTAACATATTCATCACCTCATACATTTGTTATCTTTGCCCATTTGTATTGAATTATTTGTCTTTTTATTGTTGAATTTTCAAAGTTCTTTATGTATTTAGTTACAAGTTTTTTTATCAGATGTATGATTTTCAAAATTTTCTGCATTCTGTGGGTTACCTTTACACTTTCTTGATGGTGCCCTTTTAAACACAAACATCTTTAATTTTGATTATATAAAGTTTATCTGTTTACTTTTCAGTTGTGCTGTTGGTGTCATATTTAAGAAACTATTCCTTAATGTAAGGACACAAATATTTACACCTATATTTTCTTCTAAGAGTTTATTGTTTTATTTTCTATCACTGAAGTCTTTTGCATTTAGGTATTTGATCCATTTTGAGTTAATTTTTGTGTATGGTGTAAGGTATAGATCCAAATTTATTATTTTGCAAGTAAATATCCAGTTGTCCCAGCACACATATCAAAAGACTATTCTTTTTACCTTCAATAGTCTTTGCACCTTTGCTGAAAGTCAACTGTTCTTAAGTGTAAGAGCTTACTTTTGGACTCTGTCAACTGTGTTCCACTGATTTATATGTCAAATCTTAAACCAGAATCACAACGTTTTGATTACTTTAACCTTGTAGCATGTTTTGAGATCAAGAAGTGTGAGTCCTCAAAAATTTTTTCTTTTTTAAAGTTGTTTTTGCTATGCTGGCTCTTTTGAATTCTCACATGAATACTATTTTTAAGCTTTATCAAGGTATAATGGATGCATAAAAGTTGAACATATTCAATTTCCTTTTTTTCCTTGTCTGATTTTGAAATCTGGGTAATATTAGACTCATGGAAATAGTTAGGAAGTGCTCTGAAGTTGAGATTTTCTATGTTCTTGGTTTGACAAGTGATATTTTATTGTATCCTGACCTTTTGGATTATTATGATGTGAGACTCTGTATTGTATTTAATTATTGCTTTTTATTTCAGTCATTTACCTTGATAATGTATATCACACAAGTCGAAGTGAAAGCGGATGTTTAGTTTTCTGCTGGGCCTCACTGCTACCATCCTAACAAATGCAGAGCTTGAACTTCCACCATCTTGCCCTGTCTCATTGTCAAGCAGTGGTGGTTGAAATTCAGTTTCCTTCTTGGCCCTGCTTACACCTCTAAGCAAAATTAGATCACTGACTCATATGTTTCTGTTTGAGAACTTACTGTTTCTGTTTGAGAGCATGAAATTCAGCTCCACATTCTGCTCCCTCTGATAGGAGGGAAGAGGAGAGTAGGAGGGAGGTGAAAGGTGAACTACCACAAACTTGCATGGCTTCTTTCTGCAGCAATGACACTCGCTAAGTTGGTTGGAGTTAAATATTAGCTCTCTGCTACACCCTACTAACACTATGTGGGGTGGGCAGGAAGTAAAAGTATTGATGAATGTTGCCTAGCCCTACCTTATTGTGTCTTGTTGTTGGCAGCTGGGAGTGGAAGTTCAGCTTTTCCTTGGTCCTTGCTGATATGGATATTGGGGGAGGCAGAGTATCATTGAATAGAGTGTCATGTCATATTGCCTCATTCTGCCCTGTTGCTGCATGGTGGAAGCAGAAGACAGAAAATCAAGATTCCCCTTGGTCCCGCTGATACGGGGGTAAGGATGGGGAGAGAGTGCTGACTAGTACTATCCCACACAACTTTGCTCTGTTTCATTGCTGCTGAGTGGGGATTGAAATTCAGCACCACCAACATCTGGACCCTCCTGATACAACCCCTGCAAAAGCAGAGAGCTAACTCACACTACCTTTCAGTGGTTATAAGTAGAATTTTAGCTCCTTGCTAAGCTCTGCTCATAATACATTGGCAAGGAAAGTGCAATGCTAACAAGCACTATCTTGTACCACCTTGTTTTGTCTCTTTGCCACCTGGTGGGTACAGGAGTTCAGCTCCCTGCTAGGGCCTGCTGAAAATGGCAGGGATGAGGGTGGGGGAGTGGGTGGAAGAAAATTTTCTTCTGTTATTTGGCTGGAGAGGCAAATTATCTATCTATCTATCTATCTATCTATCTCTCTCTCTCTATATATATATATATATATATATATTTATATGTATATATTTAAGTTGTCTGTTCTGTTATGCCGCCCTTATCCCAATCCTTTGGCTACAAGAGCAGGATTTTCCTGAGGCTTATTTTGTATGTGTCTATTGTATGATTTAGGTTGCAGGCTTACAATGCCCCATCTGGGATATACGAGAGCCTAAAAGGAAACTCAGGGAGCTCTCACTGCATTGTTCCTCAAGTCCTGAAGACCCTGGGCAGCTTGCCTTTTTTCACACTTTAGAGTCTTTTTGTTTGTTGGTTGGTTATATTATATCCAGGTTTTTGTTGTTGTTGTTGTTGAGGGAGAACAGCGAGAAATGAGATGACTACTCCATCTTGGCCAGAAATGGAAGTCAGAAATCTGTGTTTTAGCAAGCCCTGCAGGTGATTCTGATGTGTGCCTCAGTTTGGAAACCATGGGTTTTGCATAGTCTCCTGACCTGTCATTTTTCACATGATGCCAATTGCAGTTTGATTTAGAACCATGGAATATCAGTGTTGGGTGAAACTGTGAAAGACCTCACTCTGCAAACTAAACAGGTGTTCCTGAAGACACAGCTTAAATATATCTAGTAATAGAAATCTCACTTGCTACCAAGTGAGCCTATTCCATCTTTGGCCAGTTCTTTTAGCAAGTTCTGCTTAGTTATGAGCTGAAAACTGTGTCTGTGCAGTTTATATCCATTCATCCCTGCTTTGACCGTCTGTCAGGCTTGAGATCTTCAGAGCTCTGAAGACAGAGACTAAATTCCCCTAAGTCTCCTCCAAGCCAAACTTCCCCAGCTCAAGGGAACTGGTTTCTGACTTCCTCCTCAGCTCAGTAACCTCCCTGTGGATATATTTCTGTTTCTCTGTACCCCTCATTAATTATGGGACCTAGGTTGAGTCTGAAAAAACAGAGTATCACCTTTTTGGTTCTGGGTAAATATTCTCTGAGGTGTACTTCACTGAATACTGGTCATGTAAAATATTCTGTAAAGAAAAATTTCTATGTTCAAATAAGTTTGGGAAACACTACCTGCCTTAATTCCCTCTTGGAGAGCCACAATAAACATTAGTGTTTTAGAGAATTGAGAAGTCCTTCAGTAAACAAAGCGTTTCCCAAATGTATTTAAATACAGAGCTTTTTTCACATAAACTCTTATTAATGCATGTAAAAGACTTTGAGTATTTTTTTAATATACACAGTATGTGGTTTTAAAAATTATTTATTCTTTAAAATAAATATGCACCATTTTACTATATTTAGACTACTATGAATATTTAAACATTATTTAGTTATGTTTCTATTTATACAGTTTAAAACACATTTCTTTCATTAGCCACATTTTTCCACTGACTCATACTAAATTTGCAGGTAAGTAAATTCCCTAACCTTTGAGTATAGAGGCCAATACTAAGCGCATTTCCTTTCTTTGCTGCCATCGTTTTGTTATAATTGTTGTTTGTTTGTTTCTGTGTTTAGAAACAAGTGCATAACCTTACATGTATATTCCAATTAAACTTCTTCTTGGTTTTGGCCCATCATCCCAGCATCTCCATTCCTTTTTGTCTGCTTAATCCTATTCAAAGTCCTGGTTCCACAATGAATTCTGCAAAGTGGGTGCTTAATAAATGTGGCTTAACTGACTGAGCTGAGATAATCTGTGGAAGAGTTTCATGCCCATCACAGCTGAGATGAGTTCAGCAAGCTCCTTTATTGGGTATATCAAGTCTTTGCTGATAATGGCCTTCAAGTATAGATCTCTAGCTGGTTAGGGACAGCCTCTCTGGAGCCTGGAAGGTGTAATGAGCAAACCGCTTAAGACCCATGCGAAGCCAAAGATTCTGCAAGAATGAAACCAAAATATAGAATAATGATAACAGCAATAACATTCTAAGCCCTTACATTTGCATGGCATTTTATAACTTTCAAAGCATCTTCACCTTACTCTTTAATTTGATCCTAATAACAACCAGCACAACAGACAGGATAGGTTACGATTGGAGTGAACACTGACTGGTACCACTTCTTGAATACTCAGATTAGAGAAGTCCACTGTGGATAATTTGGATTAATCCCCTACCTTTGTCTAGGAACCCCTCAACCATACAACATATAGGCATAGTGTAGCAGTTGCTAACATCAAATCTGTTTCAATTAAGCATTTTTATTTTACCAAATAGTGACTATTTAGTACTACCTTTGAGACTGACTGCATCTATTTGCATCACCCCTTCCAGTCCATATTTGTGATCTGAGCCCTTCCCCTTTCTCTGATCTTAGATTGCAAATTCATCTTTAATGTGAATTCTAGACTAACTCCATATATAACTCAGAGTTATATAGGTATATTGAGTATATAAATACCTTTTTGAACTTTTATTTCTTCATTTCTAATGTCACTGGCATTTTGAGCAGGAAGAGTTGACCTATCCCTAGGACCATGGATTTTCATGCTGGGAGTCTCAGGGAGAGAGAGGGGCTGACAAGGCAAGAGTCTGAGCATTTCCCTGACCTACTTAAACCAGAGTAGCAATGAATTTTCTACCTAGTTTAAAAGCAAGGGTTCTACTTCTTGAAAATAATGATCAACAAAACTCCTCAAAATCTGGACTAGATAATTTTAGAAGTCCTTTTTAACTTTGATCTTTTACGGTTTTGTGAGCTAGAATCCAAGGTGGGCAGTAGCAGAGTAGAAGTAAAATAGGCTTGCTAATAGATAAATAAATAAATAAACTTGTATTCTAGGTTCAGGGGGTACACGTGCATGTTTGTTTCAAGGGTATACTGCATGATGCTGAGGTTTGGAGCATGAATGAATCTGGCTTAAAATGGGCTTTCTTATCTATGGAGCCTAGATTTGTACACTGTCGTTAGAACTCTGGATATGTCTGTCTAGTAACAAAGCCCTCTCTTCTTTTTCTCCTATGCCTGTTGCTGTGTTGTCTACTTGTGATTCCTTTTTCCCTTCTAGAATATCACTGTAACCTGAAGGCACCTGCTCACACAAGTTGGTAAAGCTTTGGGGGCATTAAGGAAGAATGATTTCAGTAATAAAAATAGTCCAAATGGCGGCCTTAAAGATTTTGGCTGGGGCACATGGAATTTACATTTATTCCACTGGGTGGGGACATTTAACTACTTTTCATGTGACATAGAGTATCACTGGTGGTATTTCCCCTAGCATACAACCTAAATAAATTGTAGATGACAGGAGAAAGGCTGGAAGGAGGGAAGAATAAGGTTGATGAGACCTAAGCAGGCTCTCCTTAGTACCAGTGAGGCCTGAATCATCAGCAAATTTAATAAAATAGAGATTTTTAAAATTACTTTAAGTTCTGAAATACATGTACAGAATGTGCAGGTTTGTTACATAGGCATACATGTGCCATAGTGGTTTGCTGCTGGTATCAACCCGTCACCTAGGTTTTAAGCCCTGAATGCATTAGGTATTTGTCTTAATGCTCTCCCTTCCCTTGCCCCACAACCCCCAACAGGCCCCGGTGTGTGATGTTTCCCTCCCTGCATCCATGTGTTCTCATTAGTCAACTCCCACTTATAAGGGAGCACATGTGGTGTTTGGCTTTCTGTTCCTGTGTAATTTTATTGAGAATGATAGCTTCCAGCTACATCCAGGTCCTTGCAAAGGACATGAACTCATTCTTTTTTATGGCTGCATAGTATTCCATAGTGTATATGTGCCACATTTTCTTTATCCAGTCTATCATTGATGGGCATTTGGGTTGGTTCCAAGTCTTTGCTAGTGTGAATAGTGCTGCAATAAACATATATGTGCATATGTCTTTATAATAGAATGATTTATAATACTTTGGCTATATACCCAATAATGGATTACTGGGTCAAATGGTATTTCTGGTTCTGGATCCCTGAGGGATCACCACACTGTCCACAATGGTTGAACTAATTTACACTCCCACCACCAGTGTAAAAGCGTTCCTATTTCTCCACAGCCTTGCCAGCTCTGTTGTTTCTTGACTTTTTAATGACTGCCATTCTAACTGGAGTGACATGTTATCTCATTGTGGTGTCAATTTGCATGTCTCTGATGACCAGTGATTATGAGCTTTTTTTCATATGTTTGTTGGCTGTATAAATGTCTTCTTTTGAGAAGTGTCTGTTCATATCTTTCATCCACTTTTTGATGGGGTTGTTTGTCTTTTTCTTGTAAATTTGTTTAAATTCCATGTAGATTCTGGATATTAGACTTTTGTCAGATGGATAGATTGTCATTTTTTTTTCCATTTTGTAGGTTACCTGTTCACTCTGATGATAGTTTCTTTTGCTGTGCAGCTCTTTAGTTTGATTAGATCCCATTTTTCAATTTTGGCTTCTGTTGCAATTGCTTTTGGTGTTTTAGTCATGAAGTCTGCCTGTGCCTATGTCCTGAATGAAATTGCCTAGGTTTTCTTCTAAGGTTTCTATGGTTTTGGGTTTTATATTTACAAGTGGCTTATGGTTTGGGGCTTTACATTTACAAGTCTTTAATACATCTTGAGTCGATTTTTGTATCAGGTATAAGGAAGTGGTCCAGTTTCAGTTTTCTGCATATGGCTAGCCAGTTTTCCCAGCACCACTTGTTAACTGTGGAATCTTTTCCCCATTGATTGTTTTTGTCAGGTTTGTTAAAGATCAGATGGTTGTAGATGTGTGGTGTTATTACTGGGGTCTCTGTTCTGTTTCATTTGGTGTATATATCTGTTTTGGTATCAATAACATGCTCTTTTGGTTACTGTAGCCTTTTAGTATAGTTTGAAGTCAGGTACCATGGTGCTTCCAGCTTTGTTCTATTTGCTTAGGATTGTCTTGGGTATACGGGCTCTTTTTTGGTTCCATATGAAATTTAAAGTAGTTTTTTCTAATTATGTGAAGAAAGTCAATGGTAGCTTGATGGGGATAGATTTGAATCTAAAAATTACTTTAGGCAGTATGACTACTTTCATGAAATTGATTCTTCCTATCCATGAGCATGAAAAACGTTTTTTTCCATTTGTTTGTGTCCTCTCTTATTTTATTGATAAGTGGTTTGAGGTTCTCCTTGAAGAGGTCCTTGAAGTCCCCTGTAAGTTGTGTTCCTAGATATTTTATTCTCTTTGTAGCAATTGTGAATGGGAGTTAAGTCATGATTTGGCTCTCTGCTTGTCTATTTTTGGGGTATAGGAATGCTTGTAATTTTTGCACATTGATTTTGTATCCTGAGACTTTGCTGAAGTTGCTTATCAGCTTAAGGAGTTTTTGAGCTGAGATAATGGGGTTTTCTAAATATACGATTATGTCATCTGCAAACAGAGACAATCTGACTTTCTCTCTTCCTATTTGAATACCCTTTATTTCTTTTTCTTGCCTGATTGCCCTAGCCGAACTTCCAATGCAACTTTGAATAGGAGTGGTGAGAGAGGGTAACCTTGTCTTGTGCCAGTTTTCAAAGGGATGTCTTCCCGCTTTTCCCCATTTAGTATGGTATAAGCTATGGGTTTGCCATAAATAGTCCTTATTATTTTGAGATATGTTCAATCAATACCTAGTTTATAGAGAGTTTTTAGCATGAAGAGGTGTTGAATTTTATCAAAGGCCTTCTCTGCATCTACTGAGATAATCATGTGGGTTTTGTCATTGGTCTTGTTTATGTGATGGATTACGTTTATTGATTTGTATATGTTGAACCAGCCTTGCATCCCAGGGATGAAGTGTACTTAATCGTGGTGCATAAGTTTTGGATGTGCTGCTGGATTTGGTTTGCCAGCATTTTATTGAGATTATTTGCATCGATGTTCATCAGGGATATTGGCCTGAAATTTTCTTTTTTTGTTGTGTCTCAGCCAGGTTTTGGTATCAGGATGATGCTGGCCTCAGAAAATGAGTTAGGGCAGATGCCTTCTTTTTCTATTGTTTGGAATCATTTCAGAAGGAAAGATACCAACTCCTCTTTGTACCTCTGGTATAATTCAGCTGTGAATATGTCTAGTCCTGGGGTTTTTTTTTTTTTTTTTTTTGGTTGGTACGCTATCAATTACTGCCTCAATTTCAGAACTTGTTAGTGCTCTATTCAGGGCTTTGACTTCTTTCTGGTTTAGTCTTTGGAAGGTGTATGTGTCCGGTAATTTATCCATTTCTTCTATATTTTCTACTTTATTGGTGTAGAGGTGTTTATAGTATTCTCTGATGGTAGTTTGCATTTCTTGGGATCAGTGGTGATATTCCCTCATCATTTTTTATTGCATCTATTTGATTGTTCTCTGTTTTCTTATTTATTAGTCCATCTAGTGGTCCATCTATTTTGTTAATCTTTTAAAAAATCCAGCTCCTAGATTCATTGATTTTTGAAGGGATTTTAGTGTCCCTATCTCCTTCAGTACTGCTCTGATCTTCATTATATTTTTATCTTCTACTAGCTTTTGAATTTGTTTGCTCTTCCTTCTCTAGCACTTTTAATTGTGATGTTAGGGTGTCGATTTTTGATCTTTCCTGGTTTCTGTTGCAGGCATTTAGTGCTATAAATTTCCCTCTTAACACTGCTTTAGCTGTGTCCCAGAGATTCTGGTACATTGTCTCTTTGTTCTCATTGATTTCAAAGAAATTATTTATTTATGCCTTAATTTCATTGTTTACCCAGTAGTCATTCAGGAGCAGGTTGTTCAATTTACATGTAGTTGTGTGGTTTTGAGTAAGTTTCTTAATCCTGCATTCTAATTTCATTGCACTGTGGTCTGAGAGACTGTTTGTTATGATTTCGGTTCTTTTGCATTTGCTGAGAAGTGTTTTATTTTCAATTATGTGGTCAATTTTAGAATACGTGCCATGTGGCATTGAGAAGAATGTATATTCTGTTGATTTGGGGTGGAGAGTTCTGTAGATGTCTATTAGTTCCACTTACTCCAGAATTGAGTTCAAGCCCTGAATATCTTTGCTGATTTTCTGTCTCATTAATCTGTCTAATATTGACAGTGGGATGTTAAAGTCTCCCACTATTATTGTGTGGGAGTTTAAGTCTCTTTGTAGGTCTCTAAGAACTTGTTTTATGAATCTGGGTGCTTCTGCTTTGGGTGCATATATATTTAGGATAGTTAGCTCTTCTCGTTGCATTGATCCCTTTACCATTATGTAATGCTCTGCTTTGTCTTTTTTGATCTTTGTTGGTTTAAAGTCTGTTTTACCAGGGATTAGGATTGTAACACCTGCTTTTTTTTCTTTTCATTTGCTTTGTAAATATTCCTCCATCCCTTTATTTTGAGCCTATGTGTGTCTTTGCATGTGAGATGGGTCTCCTGAATACTGCACACCAATGGGTCTTGACTCTCTATCCAATTTGCCAGTCTGTGTCTTTAATTGGAGCATTTACCCCATTTAAATTGAAGGTCAATATTGTTATCTGTGAATTTGATTCTGTCATCATCATGCTAGCTGGTTGTTTTGCATATTAGTAGATGCAGTTTCTTTATAGTGTCATTGGTCTTTATATTTTGGTGTGTTTTTGCAGTTACTGGTACTGGTTTTTCCTTTCCATATTTAGTGCTTCCTTCAGGAGCTCTTGTAAGGCAGGCCTGGTGGTGACAAAATTGCTCAGCATTTGTTTGTCTGGAAAGAATTTTATTTCCCCTTCTCTTATGAAGCTTAGTTTGGCTGCATATGAAATTCTGGATTGAAAATTCTTTTCTTCAAGAATGTTGAATATTGGCCCCCACTCTCCTCTGGCTTGTAGGGTTTCTGCAGAGAGGTCTGCTGTTAGTCTGATGGACTTCCCTTTGTAGGTAACCTGACCTTTCTCTCTGGCTGCCTTTAACATTTTTTTCTTCATTTCAACCTGGAGAATCTGACGATTATGTTTCTTGGTGTTGCTCTTCTCGAGGAGTACCTTAGTAGTGTTCTCTATATTTCCTGAATTTGAATGTTGGCCTGTGTTGCTAGATTGGGGAAGTTCTCCTACATAAAATCCTGAAGTGTGTTTTCCAACTTGGTTCCATTCTTCTTGTCACTTTCAGGTACACCAAACAATTTTAAGTTTGGTCTTTTCACACAGTCCCATATTTCTTGGAAGCTTTGTTTGTTCCTTTTCATTCTTTTTTCTTTAATCTTGTCTTCACACTTTATTTCAGTAAGTTGATTTTCAATTTCTGATATCCTTTCTTCTGCTTGATCGTTTCAGCCATTGATACTTGTGTATGCTTCACGAAGTTCTCATGCTGTGTTTTTCAGCTCCATCAGTTCGTTTATGTTTCTCTCTAAACTCTTTATTCTGGTTAGCAGTTCCTGTTACCTTTTGTCAAGGTTCTTAGCTTCTTTGCATTGGGTTCCAACATACTCCTTTAGCTCAGAAGAGTTTGTTATTACCCACCTTCTGAAGCCTGTGTCTGTCAATTCATCAATCTCATTCTACATCCAGGTTTTTTTTTTCCTTTTTTTGGAGAGGAGTTTTGATCATTTGGAGGAGAGGAAGCATTCCGGTTTTTGGAATTTTCAGCATTTTTGCACTGTTTTTTTTTTCCTCATCTTCATGGATTTATCTACCTTTGGTCTTTGAGGGTGATGGCCTTTGCATGGGGTTTTTGTTTGGATGTCCTTTTTGTTGATGTTGATGTTGTTGCTTACTGGTTGTTAGTTTTCCTTCTAACAGGCCCTTCTTCTGCAGGTCTGCTGCAGTTTGCTGGAGGACCACTCCAGACCCTTTTCGCCTGGGTATCACAAATGGGAGCTGCAGAACAAAAAAGATTGCTTCCTGCTACTTCCTCTGGAAGCTTTGTCCCAGAGGGGCACTGGCTTGATGCCAGCTGGAGCTCTCTGGTATGAGGTGTATGAGGTGTCTGTCGACCCCTGTTGGGAAGTGCCTCACAGTCAGGAGGCATGGGTGTCAGGGACCCACTTGAGGAGGCCCTCTTTCCCTTAGCAGAGCTGGTGTGCTCTGCTGGGAGAATCTCTCTTGTCAGTATCAGCTGCTTTCTTCAGAGCCGGCAGACAGGAATGATTAAATTTACTGAAGCTGTGACCACAGCCGCCCCTTCCCCGAGGTTCTCTATCCCAGGGAGATTGGGGTTTTGTCTGTAAGCCCCTGACCAGGGCTGTTACCTTTCCTTCAGAGATGCCCTGCCTAGTTAGGAGGAATCTAGAGAAACAATCTAGCCACAGTCACTTTGCTGCACCTAGCCCAGACTTCCCAGCCTCCTTAGCACTGTCAGGGGAAAACCACCTACTAAAGCCTCAGTAATGGCGGACAACCTGAGACTTTTTTATTGTTGTTCTCTTGATTCTGCCTAGAAATAGAACCTCACTTAGATCTTAGAAGTCAGAAGGAAATACAGTCTAATAGAAATGGGCCAACAGGGCTTGAACCAGGATACAACAGGAAATATATTGCTTTTATAATTTGCTGAAGGGAAGACAACGTTAGGAATGGGTCTGGCTTTAGGGTGTTTAGTGAATGTAAGTTTATCCTGGCTTAAAATTGTTAAGGGAAAATTCCTAAATGCCTGTTACTGAGATGAGGAACATATGTCCTCTCTAGCATGGTACAAAAGATACTGGGAAGCTGTAGGCTCCTAACACTTTCCTAAACTTCTCACACCCTAACTACTATGCCTAAAATTCATACAGTTTGTCTTATCACCATAACTCCACAAGGTCCCTCTTAAGGGCACTGAATATAAGAGGCACTATCTAGAAACATTTTAAGGGATATCTTGGAGGGAATGAGTAAGGTCTGTTAGCTAGCCAGTAAGGAGTAGGCACTGGATCTTGGATAACATAATGGTTTTAGGAGAATAATTTTCTTCCTGGGGTGCAAAAACTTTACTTTCCCTGCATCTGATTTGAATGTAGATAGATGTTTGCTCCTGGAAGTTCAGGGAGACAGATTTTAGCTTGATATAATAAATAACTTTCAATGTGGGGTGTCATATTAAAGAAGGCCACAATTTCTTTTATATTCCTTCCATTGAGAGATGTTGCCTATGTCCCCTTTCTTTGGCTCTGGTTAGGCTCTGTGGCTGCTTTAATCAGTAGAATATGGTGACAGTGGCCCTATGCCAATTTCAGGGCCTAGGCTCTAATAGATTAACAGTTTCCATTTCGTGTCCCTCGAACACTTTCTGGAGACCCTGGGATGTCATGTAAGAAGTCTTAGTAGTCTGAGATCACCATGCTGAAAATAACATATATAGGCAACCTCACTTTTAGTGCCAGCTGATGCCAGCCTTTCAGCATTCTCTGCAAAAGAATCAGGAATATGAATAAAGCCATCTCGGCCCCTTCAGACCAACCAATTTCTCAGCTGAATACCATCAAGTGACATCAGTTAGTATCAGGTGGAGCAGAAAATTCAGCCAGCCAGATCTTACCTGAATTCCTAACCAACCAAAATAATAAGGTATAATAAAGTGGTTGTGTTTTAAGTTACAAAAGCATTGGAGAATAGTTTGATACACAATAATACATAGCCAGAACAGTCAGAGATATGCAAAGATAAACTGGGCTGCTTCTGATCTGCCTTTGGTCCTTGGAGGTAATGAGATTCCTGTCACTAGAAATGTATAGGCAGGGCCTGAATAGCTACTGGAGAGAAAGTTTTATAGGAGATCTCAGTAACAGAAAAAAAAAAATACTATTTGAATCATTAGTTTCTAAATATAGCTTCCCCCTCAGAATCTTCTGGAATGATTGTATAGAACACATATTCTTGTCTCCTCTATTAGCCAAGATTCTCCATAGATACAGAATCAATATAATTGTTTGTTTGCTTGCTTGCCTGCTTGTTTTGAGGAACTGGCTCATGTGATTGTGGAGGCTTGGCCAGTCTAAAATCTAATGGGGGATGCTGGAAGGCTGGAGACTCAGGAAAGATTTGCAGTTTAAGGCCAAAGACAGTCTGCTAGGGAACCTGGAAGAACTGATGAAATCCCAGGACTGATGTAGCAGATGACATCTGAAAGGAATCTGCTAGAAAATTCCTTCTTGCTGGAAGGAGGTCAGCCTTTTGTTCTATTCAGGCCTTCAACTGATTGAATGAGGCACACCGCATTATGGACAGCAAACTGCTTTACTCAAAGTTCACCAATTTAATGTAAAGCTCATAGAAAACACTCTCCCAGAAACATCCAGAATAATGTATAACCAAATATCTGGGTACTGGGACCCAATCAAAGTCAACACATAAAATTAACCATCACAACCTCTCCCCATCCTCCACCACAGATTCCAATTTAGTAGGTCTGGAATGGGCTTTGGGAATATTTATTTTTAGCAAGCTCCTTAGCTGATTCTGATCTTCAGCCAGGTTAGGCACTCACTGTACAAATGTAACTATAAGTTATTTTGTAGCCCAGAGTCTAGGTATGTGTAAGAAGTTGGTGCTAAAGTAATCTAGTTCAACTTATTTACACAAGCCCACTTACCAGGCCATTTCTTGGCACTGGACTGGTGTAGCAGAAGGTTGATCCCTGCTGAACCCTGCAGAAAATCCTCCAGCTGCCACTACTAATTCAGTCCTTGTGACTTCACTTTTTAGAGTCAACATTTCAGATGGACATTTAGGCCAGCTGATCCTTTCTCTAGCTTGTTCTCCAGACCTAGGACCCAGGCTGGGGCATCTGAAATCTTTACCGTGAAAAGAAAAAAGTCATTTCATACACCCCTCTGTTTATACACAAGAATTCATTTTAGTTCTCAGAGAAAGACAAAGATGTGGCCTCCATCCAAAGAGAAAAGTGACTTTCTTCTGCTAACTAAAGCTATCATGGCCCATGTAATCAGTCTTTTATTCTGAACTCTAGCTGACTTTTCTTTGATGAGCTTTGTTATTTGAGAAATTGAACAGAATAATTATAATAATAGTAATTACAATGGCTAACCCTTGTTATGCATTCGGTATATGGTAGGCAGTCTTCTGAATGCTTAAAAATGGCAATAGTTACAACAGTCCTACGACACATAGTGTGTTTTCTTATCATGCTCATTTTTCTCTCTAGGGAACTGACACACAGGGAAGTGCTTTTTACATAGTTACAGAGCTGGTAAATGGCAAAATTGGAATTTGAATTTAGACACCTAGGTTCACAAGCCTGCACTTGTAATTATTATGTTAAGCCGTTTCTGGTTTCAGAAGCCCACTGATCCTGGAGGAAGATCTCCATAAAGAGCTAGCCAGGCGTCACTGATTTCCATCAGCATTCTTTTCTTTGAATTTTTCTTTTATTTTTATTATTTTAATTTTTGTGGGTACAAAATAGGTGTATATATTTATGGGGTACTTGAGATGTTTTGATATAGGCATGCAATGTGAAATAGCACATCATGGAGAATGGGGTATCTACCCTCTCAAGCATTTATCCTTTGAGTTACAAACAATGCAATTACACTCCAAGTTATCTAAAAATTTGGAAGTAAGTTATTGTTGATATTAGTCACCCTGTTATGTTATCAAACAGTAGGTCTTATTCATTCTTCCTATTTGTTTGTACCCATTATCCATCCCCACCTCCTGCACAGCTCCCCAGTACCCTTCCCAGTCTCTGGTAACTATCCTGCTCTCTATCCTCATGAGTACAATTGCCTTGATTTTTAGATTCCACACATAAACCAGAACATGCAATTGTCTTTCTGTGCCTGGCATATTTCACATAACATAATAATCTCCAGTTCCATCCATGTTGTTATAAATGACTGGATCTTATTCTTTGTTATGGCTAAATAGTACTCCATTATGTATATGTACTACATTTTCTTTATCCATTCATCTGCTGATAGACACTTATGATGCTTTCAAATCTTAGCTATTGTAAACAGTCCTGAAACAAACGTAGGAGTTCAGATATCTCTTCAATATACTCATTTCCATTTTGAGGGGCATATACCCAGTAGTAGGATTGCTGAATCATATGGTAGCTTTATTTTTAGTTTCCTGAGAAACCTCAAAGCTCCATAGTCATCGTATTAATTTACATTCCCACTAACAGTGTACAAGGGTTCCCTTTTCTCCACATCCTCACCAGCATTTATTATTGCCTGCTTTTTGGATATAAGACATTTTAATTGGAGTGATATGATATTTCAGTAGTTTTGATTTGCATTTCTCTGATGATCAACTATGTTGAGCACGTTTTCATATGCCTGTTTTACATTTGTGTGTTTTCTTTTGAGAAATTTCTTTTCAAATCTTTTGCCCATTTTTTGAGTGTATTATTAGATTTTTTCCTATAGATTGGTTTGAGCTCGTTATATATTATGTTAATTAATCCCTTGTCAGATGGGTAGTTTAGAAATAATTTCTCCCATTCTGTATGCTGTATGTTGTCTCTTCGCTTCTTTCCTTTGGTGTGCAGAAGCGTTTTAACTTAATGTGATCCCATTTGTTCATTTTTGCTTTGGTTGCCTTGATTGTGGGTATTGCTGAAGAAATTTTTGCACAGTCTAATTTCCTGCAGAGTTTCCCAAATATTTTCTTGTAGTAGTTTTATAGTTTGAAGACTTAGACTTAGGTCTTTAATCCATTTTCATTTCAGTTTTGTATATGGTGAGAGATAGGGGACTAGTTTCATTGTTCTGCATATTTATATCCAGTTTCCCCAGCAACATTTATTGAGGATACTGTATCTTCCCCAGTGTATGTTTTTGAAACCTTTGTTGAAAATGAGTTCATGGTCAGTGTGTAGATTTGCTTCTGAGACTTTGATTCTGTTCCAGTGGACTACGTGTCTGTTTTCGTGCCAGTACTATGCTGTTTTTTTACTAGAGCTCTGTAGTATAATTTGACATCAAGTAATGTGATTCTTCCAGTTTTGTTATTTTTTATTATACTTTTTATTTTTATTTTTTTCAGACGAAGTCTCACTCTGTCACCCAAACTGGAATGCAGTGGTGCTATCTCTGCTCACTGCAACCTCTCCCTCCCGGGTTCAAGTAATTCTTCTGCCTCAGCTTCCTGAGTAGCTGGGACTACAGGTGCATGGCACCATGCCTGGCTAATTTTGGTATTTTTAGTAGAGACAGGGTTTCACCATGTTGCCCAGGCTGATCTTGAACTCCTGACCTCAAATGATCCACCTGCCTCCTCGGCCTCTCAAGGTGTTGGGATTACAGGCATGAGGCACTGCACCCAGCCCCAGTTTTTTTTTTTTTTCTTTAGGATATCTTTGCCTGTTCTGGGCCTTTTGGGCTTTCATATACGTTTTAGGATTTTATTTCCATTTCTATGAAGAATGTCATTGGTATGTTGATAGGGATTGTATTGAATCTGTAGATTTCTTTGAGGAATATGGACACTCTAACAATATTATTTCAATCCAAGAACAATGGAATATATTTCCATTTTTTGTGTCCTCTTCAATTGCTTTTATCAGTGTTTTATACTTTTTACTATAGAGTTCTTTCACTTCTTTGGTTAAGTTAATTGTTGGTATTTAATTTTATGTGTGCTTGTTGTAAATGGGATTAATTTTTAAATTACTTTTTCACATTGTTCACTGTTGGCATATGGAAATGCTACTGATTTTTGTATGCTGCTTTTGCATCCTGCAACCTTACTGTATTTGTTTCTCAGTTCTACAGTTTTCTTGTGGAGTCTTTTTTTCCATATCTAAGAACACATCATCTGCAAACAAGGATAATTTTAATTCTTCCTTTCCAATTTGGATGCTCTTTATTCCTTTCTTTTGTCAGATTGTTCTGGCTAGGTCTTCCAGTACTATATTAAATAACAGTGGTGAAAGTGGGCATCCTTGTCATGTTACAGATCTTGGAGGAAAGGCTTTCAGTTTTTCCCCATTCAATATGATACTAGCTGTGAGTCTTTCATATAGGCTTATATTGTGTTGAGGTATATTCCTTCTATTCCCAATTCTTTGAAGGTTTTTATCATGAAGGGATGTTGAATTTTATCAAATACTTTTTCAGCATCAATTGAAATTACCATATGGTTTTTATTCTTCATTTTGTTGACAGGATGTATCACATTGACTAATTTGCATAGATTGAACCATCCTTACATCCCAGGGATAAATCCCACTTGGTCATGATGAATGTTCTTTTAAAAGTATTGTTGGAAATAGTTTGCTAGTATTTTTTTGAGAATTTTTGCATCACTATTCATCAGAGATATTGGCCTGTAGTTTTCTTTTCTTTCTTTCTTTCTTTCTTTTTTTTTTTTTTGAAGTGTTTTCATCTGGTTTTCATGTGACAGTAATACTGGCCTCATAGAATGAGTTTGGAATCATCCCCTCCTCCTCTATCATTTGGAATAGTTTTAGTAGAATTGGTATTCTTTAAATGTTTGGTAGAATTCTGCAATGAGGCCATCAAATCCCAGGTGTTTCTTTACTGGGAGTCCTTTTATTATGGCTTTGATCTTGTTACTTGTTACTGATCTTTTCAGGTTTTGAATGTATCCTGGTTCATTCTTGGTAGGATGTACGTGTCTAGAACTTTGTCCATTTCTTCTAGGGTTTTCAATTTATTGGCATATAGTTGCTCATAGTAGCCATTAATGGTATTTTTAATTTATGCAGTATCAGTTGTGATGTCTCTTTTTTTTCATTTCTCATTTTAGGTATTAGGATCTTCTCTCTTTTTTTCTTAATTTGTTAAAAGGTTTTTCAATTTTGTTTAACTTTTCAAAAAACAACTTTTCAAATTAATCTTTTGTATTGTCTTTTTCATTTCAATTTCATTTACTTCTGCTCTGATATTTATTATTTCATTTCTTCTACTAACTTTGGCTTTCATTTCCTCTTGCTTTTCTAGTTCTTTAAGATACATAGTAAGATTGTTTATTTGAAGTTTTTCCTCTTTATTGATGTAGGCACTGGTAACTGTAAACTTTCTTCTTAGTATTGCTTTTGCTGTACCCTATAAATTTTTGTATGTTGTGTTTACATTGTCATTTGTTTAAGTAAATTTTTCAATTTTCTTTTTGATTTCTTGATTATATCCCTGGTCATTCAGGAGCATATTGTTTCATTTTTACATACTTTTGTAGTTTCCAAAATTTTCTTGTTATTAATTTCTAATTTTATTCCATTGTGGGCAGAGAAGATGCTTAATATTATTTTATTTTGTAAAAAATGTTTAAGACTTTTTGTGACCTAACATATGGTGTGTCCCTGAGAATGATCCATGTGTTGAGGAAAAGATTGTGTATTTTTCAGCTCTTGGATAAAATGTTCTGTAAAATGTATTAGATCCTTTTGGTCTATAGTGCAGATTACATATGAAGTTTTTTTGTTTATTTTCTCTCTAGAAGATCTGTCCAATGCTGAAATTGGGGTCTTAAAGCCTCCATTTATTTTGGTACTGGGACCTATGTCTCTCTTTAGTTCTAATAATATTTTCTTTTTATATCAGGGTGCTCCAGTGTTGTGTGCATATATACTTAAAGTTGTTAAATCCTTTTGCTGACTTGAACCCTTTATCATTACATAGTGATCTCCTTTGTCTCTTCTTACAGTTTTTCTTTCAAATCTATTTTGTCAGATATAAATATAGCTACTCCAACTCTTTTTGGGTTTCCATTGGCATAGAGTATCTTTTTCCATGCCTTTATTTTCAGTCTGTGTGTGTCTTTATAGGTGAAGTTTGTTTCTTGTGGGGTCTTGATTTTTCACCTGTTCAGCCAGTTCATCAATGGGTCTTGTCTTTTCACGTGTTAAGCCAGTCTATGTCTTTTGATTAGAGAGTTTAGTCCATTTACATTGAATGTTATAATTTATATGTAAGAACTCACTCCTGTCATTTTGTTATTTGTTTTCCTCTAGTTCTATCCCTCCTTCCCTCCCTCTCTCCCTCCCTCCCTCCCTTCCTTCCCTCCCTCCTTCCTTTTCTTCCTTTCTTTCTCTTCCTATAGTGAAGGTGATTTTCTCTGGTGATGTGATTTATTTTCTTGCTTTTTATTTTTTGTGTATCAATTGTATATTTTTTGGTTTGAAGTTACCACGATGCTCACAAATACTATCTTATAACCTGTTATTTTAACCTGATAACAACTTAACACTATTTACATAAACAAACAAAGGAGCAAAAAGAAAATTGATAAAAACTCACCTTAACTTCTTACCATCACTTTTTAACTTTTCATTGTTTGTATAATATTGATATCTTATTGTACTATCTATATCTTGAAAAGCTGTTGTAGTTATTATTTTTGATTGGTTCATCATTTAATCTTTCTGCTTAGAATAAGACTAGTTTATACACCACAATTACAGTGTTACAATAAGTGTATGTTTTCCTGTGCACTTGCTATTGTCAGTAAGTTTGGTACCTTCAGGTGATTATTTATTGCTCATTAGTATCTTTTCCTTTCTGAATGAAGTACTCCGTTTAGCATTTCTTGTAGGACAGGTCTGGTATTAACACAATCCTTCAACTTGGGTTTGTCTGAGAAAGTCTTTTTTTTTCTCCTTTATGTTTAGAGGATATTTCCACTTGATATACTATGTTAGGGTAAATGTTTACTTTTCTTTCCTTTGGCACTTCAAATGTCATGGCACTGTCTCCTGACCTATAGGGTTTCCACTGAAAAGTCTGCTGCCAGATGTATTTCAGCTCCATTGTATGCTATTTGTTTCTTTTCTCTTGTTGATTTTAGGATCCTTTCTTTATCTTTAACCTTTGGGAGTTTGATTATTAAATGCCTTGAGGTAGTCCTCTTTGGGTTAAATTTGCTTGGTATTCTACAACCTTCTTCTACTTGGATATTGATATCTTTCTCTAGGTTTGGGAAGTTCCCTGTTATTATCCCTTTGAATAAACTTTCTACCTTATCTCTTTTCCTACTTTCTCTTTAAGGCCAATAACTCTTAGATTTGCCCTTTTGAAGATATTTTATAGATCCTGTAAGCATGCTTCATCTTTTTATTCTTTTCTCTTTTGTGTCCTCTGTGTATTTTCAAATAGTCTGTCTTCAAGCTGACTAAATCTTTCTTCTTCTTGATCAATTCTGCTATTAAAGGGCTCTGATTCTTTCTTCGGTATGCCAGTTGCTTTGTTCAGGTCCAAAATTTCTGCTTGATCATTTTTAATTGGTTTAATATATTTGTTAAATTTATCTTATAGAATTCTGAATTAGTTCTCTGTGTTATATTGAATTTCTTTGAGTTTCCTCAACACAGCTATTTTGAATTCTCTGTGTGAAGAGTCCCATATCTTTATTTCTCGAGGATTGGTCCCTGGTGCCTTACTTAGTTCAATTTGTAAGTTCATGTTTTCCTGCATAGTGTTGATGCTAGTAGATGTCCTTCAGTGTTTGGGCATTAAACAGTTAGGTATTTATTATAGTCTTCACTCTCTGGGGTTTTTGTAGCCATATTTCTTGGGAAAGTTTTTCAGGTATTTGAAAGAACTTTGATATTGTTATCTAAATGGTATATGCTTTACAGGGTACCCCAAGCCCAATAATACTGTGATTCTTGCAGACTTGTAGAAGTACTGCCTTGATGGTCTTGGACAAGATCTGGGATAATTCTCTGGATTACCAGGCAGAGGCGGTTGTTCTCTTCCCTTACTTTCTCCCAAACATAGAGTCTGTCTGTGTTCTGAGCCACCTAAAACTGGGATGGAGTGAAACAGATAGCCCTGTGGCCACCACATCTATGACTGCACTGGGTCAGACCTGAAGCCAGCACAGCACTGGGTCTTGTCCAAGTCCTGCTGTTACCATTCCCTGGCTACTGCCTATGTTCACTCAGTTCCCAGGTTCTCTACCCCCACTATGGCTGTGCTCGTGCCTAAGGTGCAAAACAAAGCCCCCTTTACATTTTCCTCTCTTTTTCTCTAACAGAAGGAGTTTCACCCCATAGCCACAACAGCTAGTAATGTTCTGAGTTTCACCTGAAGCCAGCAAGTCTCAGAGGCTCACCCAAGACCCTGGATGTAGGACCTGGGTATCGGTTCTGATTAAGACCGAAGAGTTCTTCAGTTAGCAGGTGATGAATGCTGTCATGACTGGGCCCTTTTCTTCAAGGCAGCAAGTTTCCTTATGGCCCAAGGTGTGTCTCAAAATGTTGTCATGGAGCTAGATCCTGGAACAGGGACCTCATGACTCTGGCCAGTGCCCTATCCTGCTGTGGCTGAGCTGGTATCCAGTATCCTAGATGCAAGACAAAGTCCTCTGCACATTTCCCTTTCCTCTCCTCAAGCAGAATGAAGGAGTCTCTTTTGGAACTGAGCTGTGAAGCCTAGGGTTGAGGATGGGTGATGCCAGCACTCCCTTGGCTGCCCCAGCTAGTGTCTCAGTATGTCGCATGTCCTCTTAGTCCACAGTCTCTTGGCCTAGTTCAGCACTGTCTCCTCCCACATTCTGGACATTCTATACTTATTAACACAGCTTAAGGTGGTGTTAATATTTGGGGCACCCCATTATTCTCTGTACTCACAAGGTCTTGCAAACATCTAACCCTTCCTTTAAGCATTTTTTCACTTTAGGCACTGAGCTTCATCTTATGAAAATATGCTGTGGTAAGATGAATAAAGACCCCCAAGATGTTCACATCCTGATTCCCTGGACCTGTGAACATGTTACCTTATGTGGCAAAAAGCACTTTATAAATGTGATTAATTTAAGGATCTTAAAATGGGAAGATTTTCCTGGAATGTCCGAATAGCCTCAGTGTAATCACAATGGTCCTTATAAGAGGGAGATAAGAATGTCAGAGTGGGAGAGAGATTTGAACATTCCATGCTGCTGGCTTTGAAGATGAAGGAAAGGGGCCATGAGCCAAGAAATGTAGATGACCTCCTGAAGCTGCAAAATAAAAAAAAAAATTATTCACCCCTAGAACCTCCAGAAAATAACTGAGCCCTACCAACACCTTGATTTTAGTCCAGTGAGATCTCTGTTGGACTTCTGCCCTCTAGAACTATAAGGTAATCTATTGTTATTGCTTGTTTTATTATTTACTAAGTTAATGATTATTTGCTACAGCAGGAAGACACAAATAATAAAAATCAACAGTTTTGTAGAAACTTTAAAATGACAAAGCATTCTAGAATGGAAGACTAGAGCATCTAGTTTAACCAGTGAGGACACAAAGATTCAGAGAGGGAAACGTACTTATCCAGAGTCACATAGCAAGTTACTGGTAAGACTGGGACTGGAATCTAGGTTTCTTACGTTTTGGGGTAGGGTGATTTTCCCCACCTGTTAGCTACCTCTCATAGAATAAGACATAACTTTCAGAGAATGAACTGTGGTAAAGAGAAGGGAAAGAAGTAGTCTGAGGTGCCAGAGTAAGTCAGTGTCAGAGCCAAACCTCTGATCCAAGTCTCCAGATTCTTGTGTTTCTCCATTTTACCACATAGTCTGTTGCCTGTCTTTGGTTCAAGCATATGTCTAATTTCCTTTCATTATTTGCAGCCATTTTTTTTTTTCTCCTCTAGCTTCATTTACCTATGTAGTTCTGAAATAGTGACAGGAGTTGAGAAGGAGTGAGGGTAAAAATCCCTCATCTGGTTAATGTGCCAGCACAGCTTTTCATGGTGGCAGAGCACTTGACACTTGGAAACATTTCACTTTGCAGCCAACCTTTGTAAAAGCCTATTTTGTGTTGGTTTTGTTTAATAGGAAATTAAAAAAAAAAACAAATTCCAAAGTTTTCCTTAGCACATTTTGTCTGTAGGGAATTAATGCAAATTATTGTGCTCTTTGCTCTTGTTCTAAGCTACTAGCTTTTTTGAAACTCGGGGATGGGAACCTGAGATGGGATGATGAGCATGTTTAAATAGTGCAGAGATTGTGAAAGACTACAGGACTAGCAAGCTTTCTTTGGAGGATTCTGTCACAGACCCAGGAGTCAGATAGACCTAAGTTCAAATCCTAATTTCATGACTCATTAGGTGTGTCAATTTTAGCAAGTCTCTTCACTCATTTGTAAAGTAGGGATAGCAATGGCATTGACTTTTTATAATTGTTAAAATGATTAAATAAGATGTTGAACATAAAAAACGTAGTAGAATATTTGACACAGAGGAAGCTCTCAATAAATGGTACCTACTGTTTTGCTCTTGTTGTTTTCACATTGCAAAAATGACAAAGTCTGAGATATGCAGAGCAAGCTGACATGGCAAAGCCACCCAGTTCTTTTCCAGATCCAGCAAGTTCTCAGTGCTCTAGGCTTGGTAAGGCTCTGGGCTCAGTAGATATTCATTCCCAAGGGCAGCCCAGAGCCAGAAGTTAAAGTAGGTAGGTAGAACTCAGGAATCATAGGATCTAATCTGATATTTTCCCTGACTTCCTCAGTGACCATGACCAAAAGACTGCCTTCCCAAGGCTTCAATAGCCTCATCTACAAAAGAGGAGGAGGACAGATTAGATTATTAATTCATTCACTCATTTATTCACTCTAGCACATCTAACCACTGATACTTATATCCTGGCTTAAAACATATAGGCAATGAAAAACACTTTGTCAGGTCAGTGAAATGGTCTAATTTATATTTCCCAGATACAGCATGCTTGGAAATGTGGAAAATGATCTGGAAGGGGAGAAAAGAGGGCAGAGAGACCTTTTCAGAAGTTGGTGTGATGTTCCATGCAAGTAATGGTGAGGACTTGAATTGGGGTAGAAGCACGACCACAAAATAGCCTGCTAACAACTGTGTAAACACTGAACCACAACAGCACTGGACCATGTGGTTGATTCCCCAAGAGGTATTTTCAGATGGGTTGACTTTATTGTGTCTCTTTTTATATACTACAATGTCACTTTTACACATTTCAAAAATCATGTCAGTGGTGTGGCACACATTGGAAGGTCTGGTCTCAGAAGTGTAAAAAGCATGGAGCACTTCAGCTTGCAACCAGCTGTCATCCTGGATTCTCCTCAGAGGAAGCCAAAAGTACTACACTTCAAACAAGCTTTTTGAAAAAAGGCCAATGTATGCATTGTGCTTGGTATGGCTACGGGAGAGTAGTGAGTTAGACTTCGAAAACTACTGCAAGTAGTGTCTATGCTAATAGATACCTAGACCCCTTTGTCACCAGCATTTAGGGTTGATCGTGATCTATTTCAATGCTATGATGTAATAATACATTTTGAAAATTATTCTTAAGATTTAAACATTTTTCTGATCATTAAAGATGTATTTGTGTTGTGGAAAATGTATAACAAATGCTAATCATACATAACAATATTTACTGAATGCTAACACCATGTGAAAGACACTGTGCTATGCACATTGCATACATTATTTAATGTATCCTCATAGTAGTCCCGTGAGATAGATACTTTTACATTCTCCATTTTTAGGTAAGAAAACAGACTCAAAGTGACTTGCTCAAGTTTACATAGCTAGTACATGGTAGAGCTAGAATTTGTGGCCCATTCTGTCCAGCTCTAAAGTTTGCATCTGTTTTTAACTTTTTTCTTAATTAAAAAGAGATAAATATGCACATAGAGAAAAACCTACTTTTTATTTCACCATCCAGAGGCAAACACTACTAATATTCTGGCACATTTTCTTCCTGCCTTTCTTGGATATTTTTTAAAATTTTATATTTGAGAGATAACAGACTTTAAAGGAAATGTGAAACTCTTCCCTCACCATTCGGTGAATGGAATGATATAAGGAGGTAAGTGGAATTACTCTAGTAGGTAAATAAATAATAAATGAATAAATAAATAAGAGGCTTGGTGCAGTGGCTCCTCCCTTTAATCTCAGCACTTTGAGAGGCCAAGGTGGGTTGATTTCTTGAGCTCAGGAGTTGGAAACCAGCCTGGGAAACATGAAAAAACTCCTGCTCTACAAAAAAATAAACTATCCGTGTGTGGTGGCACATGCCTGTGGTCCCAGCTACTCCAGAGGCTGAGGTGGGAGGATCGCATAAGCCCAGGAGGTCGAGGCTGCAGTGAGCCATGATGATGCCTCTGCACTCCAGCCTGTGTGACAGAATAAGGCCCTGTCTCTCTCTCTCTCTCTCTCTCTCTATATATATATATATATATATATATGAAAATAGAAGTAAAATGTCTCAAATTGCATCATTCACACACAACCACTATTAGTATTTGGGCTCACCTACTACCTTTATAACAACATGCACTTGTTAACATATTTACAATCAGGGTCTTACTTATCTTATAAGCATCTCCTTAAACCATAAATTTTGTTTTAAATTACATCGTAATATTCTATTATGTATGTATACTATTGTTTGACATTTTTTTTTTGTTTGTTTTTTGAAACAGGGTCTCACTCTGTCACCTAGGTAGAAGTGCAGTGGTGTCATCATGGCTCACTGCAGCCTTGATCTCCTGGGATCAAGCAATTCTCCCACTTCAGCCTCCCATGTAGCTGGGACTACAGGCACATGCCACCACACCCATATAATTATTATTATTATTTTTTGTATACACAGGGTCCCACTGAGTTGCCCAAGGCTAGTCTCAAACTTGTGCACTCAAGGGATCCTCCTGCCTCAGCCTCCCAAAGAGCTGGGATTACAAGCATAATCCACTGTACCCAGCCTGTAATCCACTGTATTTCTTTTTTTCAGCATCCTAAATAATACTGTAGTGGATATCTTTTTGCAGTAACTTATTAAATCTATAGAACTTTGCACATATTAATAATTAATGAGACATTAATTGCTATGAAAGTCTCATGCAATTAAAGATGACAAAACACAGAAAGATATTTAGTGTTACAGTTCCAATAGTTAATCTTGTGTGTTTGAGATGACTGTGTTAAGGGGGTCATAACTGCAAAATGTCTTCAATATGTTGTAACTGATATCTCAATTGCTACTGATAAGAACTTATTTCTAAAACGTAGAAATTTAAAGAAACTATCTTTCGGCAATCTGCCAAAAACTTTTTAATATGTTCAGAACAAATTAAATGGAAGAATATTTGCAAGGATCCAAAACACTCCCATTATTCATAAAATGATGGAAATATGATAAACACATTTTAGAAATATAAAATTAATCCCTGTGGCAGAGCTTAATTAGTGGACAACTATTCAGTAAAATCTCAGTTATTCTCTTCTTTCTGAGCACTTCTCTAGGCTATATTCACAAGCTTTCCTTGCAGTTTAATGTGGCCAAAAGATTGAGCTCTAACAGAATTAAAGTGAAAGTGATTTCTGCCCTGTCTAGGGATTACCCCAGATATCTTTCACACATGACCTTCTACAATCTGTGTCTTTCCACTGTCTTGATAAGGATGATCACAATAACCTGGGAAGCTATTTGTTGAAGATAGAAGAGCCAGATATGGAGGAGTTTATTTCTCTAAATTGTCACTTAGAGGAGATCTTTATAACAACATTAATTTTGAATGTTTTGCAAATAAGAAATAAACTTCTATATGTTTGAGACATATCACATTTGGGGGTTTATTCATTACAGTTGCTATTTGTTATAGTTTTGCCTTAAATAATGCCCTTCAATGAAACGCATTAAAAATACTTATAATGCCAAAAAAAGTTAAAAAAAAAAGCCACCTTAAGTGATTAAAAAATATTCAAATTATGATACAATTTTAGATGAAAGGATCATCAAAAAATATAAGCCTGTCTACTACTAGAACCAAAGATGGTGAGAAACTAGGAGGAGAGTTATAAAAAAGAGTTGAGATTTCTATGGGAAACTTTCACTTTTACAACTGGAGAAAATCACTTGAAATATAGTTAAATTATATATTAAGGACTACTAAAAGGGAATAAGAAGGAAGGAAGGAAGAAATTGAGGAAGTTGGGGGGCATGACAGAGAAGCACAAAGAAATTGGAATGGAGACACAAGCAATGAATGAAACGTCTATTCTAATGACTATGCCCCTTTAGTACTGCTTTGACCATAAGCAGGCATCATCTAAGAAGAGTTTACTTGGTCACAACTTTCTTTTTTGAAAAAGCAGCCAGAAGTCTTCATACTTTGCTCCCACAAGATCCTGGTGTCACAGCCACAGCTAATTAAATCCAGAATTGGTGTCACCTAAAGCAAAGGCAGTCATTCATATACTATTCATGGGCAATGACATAACCTGACAGGAGAATTTCATCTAATTCAGGTATTTTAAACCTGGTTTGGAGCTGCCACACCATGAGATCCCATTCCTGGCATGTCTAACTCCAAGGCATATGGAAAGTCAGTTAGACAATTTTATCAAGATCAGTAGAAGTAGAAACAAAGAGTCACCATGGGACAAAATACAAGACTGGTAAAAATGTAGTGGTTCCTATTCTACTTCTCCATATATCCTTAAAATAACTTTTCATTACCTGAAATAAGGCAAGTTTGTATTTATGCCTTACTAACCAAAACAAATACTAAAACATACATCAGACCTTTAAAAAAGCAACAAGATCTTTACAGAGAAAGCTGAGATTTTTAACTTGAACTCTAATTAAGCAGTGGAAAGAAAATGATTTCCATGAAACACTTCCCTGAAAATGTAATGGATGTTAGTGAGAAAAAATAAGAGAGGACAGAAGCAAATGGAAACACATTCCATGCTTATTGATAGGAACAATCAATATCATGAAAATGGCCATACTGCTCAAAGTAATTTATAGATTCAATGTGATCCCCATCAAGCTACAATTGACTTTCTTCACAGAATTAGGAAAAAAAAACACTTTAAATTTCATACAGAACCAAAAAAAGAGCCCATATAACCAAGACAATCCTAAGGAAAAATAACAAAGCTGGAGGCATCACACTACCTGACTTCAAACTATACTACAAGGCTATAGTAACCAAAGCAGCATGGTACTGGAACCAAAACAGATATATAGACCAATGGAACAGAACGAGGGCTCAGAAATAACACCACACTTCTACAACCATCTGATCTTTGACAAACCTGACAAGAAAGGGCAATGGGGAAAGGATTCCCTATTTAATAAATGGTGTTGGGAAAACTGTCTAGCTATATGCAGAAAACTGAAACTGGACCCCTTCCTTACACCTTATACAAAAATTAACTCAAGGTGGATTAAAGACTTAAAGTAAGACCTAAAATCATAAAAACCCTAGAAGAAAACCTAGGCAATACCATTCAGGACATAGGCATGGAAAAGACTTCATGACTAAAACACAAAAAGTGATGGCGATAAAAGCCAGAATTGACAAATGGGATCTATTAAACTAAAGAGCTTCTGCACAGCAAAAGAAACTATCATCAGAGTGAACAGGCAATCTACAGAATGGGAGAAAATGTTTGCAATCTATCCATCTGACAAAGGGCTAATATTCAGAATCTACAAGGAACTTAAACAAATTTACAAGAAAAAAACAAACAACCTCATCAAAAATGGGCAGATGATATGAACAGACACTTCTCAAAAGAAGACATTTATGCAGCCAACAAACACATGAAAAAAAGCTCATCATCACTGGTCATTAGAGAAATGCAAATCAAAACCACAATGAGATGCCATCTCACGCCAGTTAGAATGGTGATCATTAAAAAGTCAGGAAACAACAGATGCTGGAGAGGATGTGGAGAAATAGGACTGCTTTTACACTGTTGGTGGGAGTGTAAATTAGTTCAACTATTGTGGAAGATGGTGTGGCTATTCCTCAAGGATCTAGAACCAGAAATACCATTTTACTCAGCAATCTCATTACTGGGTATATACCCAAAGGATTATAAATCATTCTACTATAAAGACACATGCACACATATGTTTATTGTGGCACTGTTAACAATAGCAAAGACTTGGAACCAACCCAAATGCCTATCAGTGATAGACTGGATAGAGAAAATGTAGCAGATATACACCATGGGATACTATGCAGCCATACAAAAGGATGAGTTCATATCCTTTGCAGGGACATGGATGAAGCTGGAAACCATCATTCTCAGCAAACTAACACAAGATCAGAAAACCAAACACCCCATGTTCTCACTCATAAATGGGAGTTGAACAATGAGAACAATCAAATAACCTGATTTAAAAATAGGCAAAGGGACTTACCTTCTGAGCACAGTTAGCAGCACTTCAGTCTCATGAAAAATGGGCAAAGGATCTGAACAGACATTTCTTTGAAGAATACATAAAAAGGGCCAATATTTATATGAAAAGTGCTCAACACTAATCAACTGGAAAATGCAAGTTAAAACCACTATGTGATATTACCTCACACCTGTTAGGATGGCTATTATCAAAAAGACAAGAGACAACAAATGTTGGCAAGGGTGTGGAGAAAAGGGAACCCTAGTACACTGTTAGTGGGAATGTAGATTTTTGCAGTCATTATGGAAAACAGCATGGAGGTTTCTAAAGAAATTAAACATAGAACTACCATAAAAAATGTTGTATATGTTTTATGTATGGCACATGCAATATGCTAACAACTCCCCAAAGTTATCCCCAGGCAGCACCTTTTACCCAAATGTTAGACTTGTATATACAACCACCTACTTCACAACTTGACTCATATGTAAAAGCATCTCCAATTTACTCCAAATACAAACTGCAAGCCAAACTCCAAATTGTCTCCACTCAAAATTGTTTCTATCCCAACCTTCCCCTTCTCTATCAATGGAATCATTTCTCTAGCTCCTTAGGGGAAATATCTTGAAGTCATGACTCTTCTCACACCACCACATACCATCTACCAGCAAGTCCTATTTGCTTTACTTCTGAAATGTATCCAGAATATGACTACTTCTCACCACCTCCAGTGCTACCACACTGGTTCAAACCACCATTGTCTTATACTTGAATTTTAGGCTCTTTATTAATTTCCTTAATTCTACACTTGTCCTTTTTTGGTTTTGTTCTTCAAACAGCACCCAGAAGACAAAAAAATTACTTAGAACTATTTACCTTGCTTCTCCCAGCTAAGTACAATTATAAATTCTGGAAATAATGCAAGAGGCAGCCAAAGCAGAATTCTGAAAAGTGCAAAGAGGAAGGCAAACAGGCTAAGCACCCTAGGACTACTGGGGAACAGCATAGAAGCATGACGTCTTATTACCCTCCCCTGATCTAATAGAAAAAGGTAACCCAAGCCAGGTGTTTCCCACCCCAATCTAGCAAGAGAAGGCAACACAGGTAGTCTCATTTTTTTCCCATATCAAACAGGAACTCTAACAAAGACACATAAGGAGACTGTCATCACCAGTAAGGGGGGTTAATAAAAAATACCACTGACAATAATTGGCCAGGTGGGAGAGCTTTTCCGCCTTAGCAAGGTTGAACTTTCCTTTCTCCATCAAGAGATACCACGCAAATGGAGGACACTGACCAAACACCTCAAAACAAGTAGTTCAGCCTTGGAAGTGCTCTTCCTCCCTATAGGCCAGAAACTTCCTGGGCATCTTCTGCCTGTCTGGTAGCACCAACAGGAATCACTGAGAGTTTCTACAGCACCAAAATCAAGCAGAACAAAATAAAAACACAGAGTTCCCCCAAATTGAATTGTCATTGGAAGCAAGGCACACAAAAGTAGGCCAGGACCTGTGAGCTAAACCTAAGCAGAGTGACTGCCTGGTAAAATAAAAGATTTATGGCTGGGCATGGTGCCTCACGCCTGTAGTCCCGGCACTTTGGGAGGCCGAGGCGGGCGGATCACGAGGTCAGGAGATCAAGACCATCCTGGCTAACACGGTGAAAACCCGTCTCTACTAAAAATACAAAAAGTTAGCCAGCTGTGGTGGCGAGCTCCTGTAGTCCCAGCTACTCAGGAGGCTGATGCAGGAGAATTGCATTAACCCTGGAGGCGGAGCTTGCAGTAAGCCAAGATCGCATCACTGCACTCCAGTCTGGGCGACAAAGCAAGACTCCGTCTCAAAATAAATAAATAAATAAATAAATAAATAAGTAAATAAATAAATAAAAGATTCATATAGAACCCAGAGGTTTTGCGCGTGTAATCCCAGCTACTCAGAAGGCTGAGGCAGGAGAATTGCTTGAATCTGGGAGGTGGAGGTTCCAGTGAGCCGAGATTGCACCATTGCACTCCAGCCTGGCGACAGAGCAAGACTCCATCTCAAACAAACAAAAACAAAAACTAAAACAAAAGAAAGCAAAACCAAAAAACCCAGATGTTTCTAACATAGTAGACAAAACATACAGGATACAATTGAAAACCACGCTTCATACCAAGGACTAGCAAAACTACAATTTAAGTTAGAAAAGAATCAATGGACAACAGTAACAGATGAATCAGATGTTGGAATTATTCAACAAATATTTTATATTAGCTCTCATAAAAAATGCTCCGATGATCAACTACAAAATTTCTTGAAATGCGTAAAACATTCTGTAGGATTTCTGCTTACTCTGTTGATAAGGAACTTAAACAAATTTACAAACAACCCCATAAAAAAGTGGGCAAAGAACGTGAACATTTTTCAAAAGAAGACATCCATGTGGCCAACAATCGTATGTAAAAAAAGCTCAACATCACTTATCAGTAGAGAAATGCAAGTCAAAACCACAATAAGATATCATCTTATACCAATCAGAATGGCCATTATTAAAAAGTCAAAAATAACAGATGCTGATGAGGTTCTGGAGAAAAAGGAACTCTGATAAACTGTTAGTGGGAGTGTAAATTAGTTCAACCATTGTGGGAGACTGTGTGGCAGTTTTTCAAAGACCTAAAGATAGAAATACCATTTTACCCAGCAATCTCATTACTGGGTATATCCAAAAGAATATATATCATTCTATTATAAAAACACATGCATGCATATGTTCGTTGCGGCACTATTGACAATAGCAAACACATGGAATCAACCTAAATGCCTATCAATGATAGACTGGATAAAATATATGGTAAATCTACACCATGGAATAGCATGCAGCCATAAAAAAAAATGAGATTAGGTCCTTTGCAGAGACACGGATGAAGCTGGAGACCATTATCCTTAGCAAACTAAAACAGAAACCGAAAACCAAATACTGCATGTTCTTTCCTATAAGTGAGAGTTAATGATGAGAACACATGGACATATAGAGGGGAACAACCACACACTGGGGCCTATTAGAGAGTGGAGGGTGGGAGGAGGGAGAAGATCAAAAGAAATATCTAATTGGTACTAGGATTAATACCCAGGTGATGAAATAATCTGTACAACAAACCCCCTTGACACAAGTTTACCTATATAGCAAACATGCACATGTACCCCTGAACTTAAAATAAAAGTTAAAAAATAGAAATGCATGAAATAATAGAAGGTCTCAGCAAAAAATAGAAGTTACAAAAATGAATGAAATGAAAATTGTAAGAAAAAAGTAAAATAACAAATGCCCAATGGATGAACTTATAGTAAAATGAAGATAACAAGAGAATAGAATCAGTGAACTTTGGGGTAGATCAATAGAACGTACCAAATCTGATCAACAGAGAGAAAAAAAAGAGTGAAAAATATTGAATAGAGAGTAAGGAAACTGTGGGACAATAACAAAAGGTCCAACATTTGTATTATAATCTAAGAAAGAGTGGAAAAAGAGAGTGGGACTGAAAAAGTATTTAAATAAATAATGGCTAAATGTTGGTGAAAAGGCCATCAGATTTCAGAAGCTCAGCCAACCCCAAACAAATGTACACCAAAGCACACTATAATTAAATTTCTTAAAATAAAGGGAAAAAACTATTAATGGTAATGAGAGAAGCAACACCTGACATACAGAGAAACGCCAATTAGAATGAAAAGACTTCCCCTTAGAAATCATGGAAACCAAAAGGATGTGACACAACAAATTCTGATAAGAAAGAAACCTTCTATAGCAAATTCTGTAACTGACAAAGCTATCCTTCAGGAATAAAGGGGAAGTAAAGACATTTTCAGACAAGAGAAAACTAAGAAAGTTTATTGTTAGTAGACTTACCCTTAAAAAAATGGCTGAAGGAAGTTCTCCAAACAGAAAGGAAGTTTTAACCATAAATACAGCTACAGACCATAGACTACATTTCTCCTTATAAATTTTATAAATCACATTTGATGATTGCAACAAAAATTGTAACATCACCTGGTTCTCAAGGCTTCACACAACCTTGGACCGCTGCCGCATTTCCTCTCTGGCCTCATTTCCTACTGTCACTTACTTTGCTCCAGACACACTGGCCCCTGCTGTTCCTTGAATACATCAGGCATAATCTTGCCGTCAGGCTTCGGTATTCACAGGTAAATTTTTTTTTCTTTTCTTTTTTTCTGGTTGGAATGTTCTTCCTTCAAGCATCCATGTGGTCTTTGCTCAAAAGTCACCTACTCAGTAAGGCTTTCCCTGATAGTTTTCTTTAAAATTGACCCCCGAACCCCAGGATTTCTTATCCCCATTTTTTGTTTTATTAATTCACTTGCAAGAATGTTGGCTCCACGAACACAAATATTATTTTCTGTTTTCGTTTTTTTATAATTTACGCTTCTTTTTTATTATACTTTAAGTTTTAGGGTACATGTGCACAACGTGCAGGTTTGTTACATATGTATACATGTGCCATGTTGGTGTGCTGCACCCATTAACTAGTCATTTACATTAGGTATATCTCCTAATGCTATCCCTCCCTGCTCCCCGCAACCCACAACAGGCCCCAGTGTGTGATGTTCCCTTCCTGTGTCCATTTGTTCTCATTGTTCAATTCCCACCTATGAATGAGAACATGCAGTGTTTGGTTTTTGTCCTTGTGACAGTTTGCTGAGGATGATGGTTTCCAGCTTCATCCATGTCCCTATGAAGAACATGAACTCACAATGTTTTATGGCTGCATAGTATTCCATGGTGTATATGTGCCAAACTTTCTTAATCCAATCTGTCATTGTTGGACATTTGGGTTGGTTTCAAGTCTTTGCTATTGTGGATAGTGCCCCAATAAACACACATGTGCTTGTGTCTTTATACCAGAATGATTTATAATCCTTTGGGTATATAACCAGTAATGGGATGGCTGGGTCAAATGGTAATTCTAGTTCTAGATCCCTGAGAAATCGCCACACTGACTTCCACAATGGTTGAACTAGTTTACAGTCCCACCAACAGTGTAAAAGTATTCCTATTTCTCCACATCCTCTCCAGCACCTGTTGTTTCCTGACTTTTTAATGATCGCCATTTTAACTGGTGTGAGATGGTATCTCATTGTGGTTTTGATTTGCATTTCTCTGATGGCCAGTGATGATGAGCATTTTTTCGTGTGTCTGTTGGCTGAATAAATGTCTTCTTTGGAGAAGTGTCTGTTTATATCCTTCACCCACTTGTTGATGGGGTTGTTTGTTTATTTATCGTAAATTTGTTTGAGTTCTTTGTAGATTCTGGCTATTAACCCTTTGTCAGATGAGTAGATTGCAAAAATTTTCCCCCATTTTATAGGTTGCCTGATCAATCTGATGGTAGTCGCTTTTGCTGTGCAGAAGCTCCTGAGTTTAGATCCCATTCATCAATTTTGGCTTTTGTTGCCATTGCTTTTGGTGTTTTAGACATGAAGTCCTTGCACATGCCTATGTCCTGAATGGTATTGCCTAGGTTTTCTTCTAGGGTTTTTATGGTTTTAGTTCTAACATTTAAGTCTTTAATCCATCTTGAATTAATTTTTGTATCAGGTGTAAGGAAGGGATCCAGTTTCAGCTTTCTACATATGGCTAGCCACTTTTCCCAGCACCATTTATTAAATAGGGAATCCTTTCCCCATTGTTTGTTTTTGTCAGGTTTGTCAAAGATCAGATAGTTGTAGATATGTAGCATTATTTCTGAGGGTTCTGTTCTGTTCCATTGATCTATATCTCTGTTTTGGTAACAGTACCATGCTCTTTTGGTTACTGTAGCCTTGTAGTATAGTTTAAAGTCAAGTAGTGTGATGCCTCCAGCTTTGTTCTTTTGGCTTAGGATTGACTTGGCAATGTGGGCTCTTTTTTGGTTCCATATGAACTTTAAAGTAGTTTTTTCCAATTCTGTGAAGAAAGTCATCAGTAGCTTGATGGGGATGGCATTGAATCTATAAATTACCTTGGACAGTATGGCCATTTTCATGATATTGATTCTTCCTATCCATGAGCATGGAATGTTCTTCCATTTGTTTGTATCTTCTTTTATTTCCTTGAGCAGTGGTTTGTAGTTCTCCTTGAAGAGGTCCTTCGCATCCCGTGTAAGTTGGATTCCTAGGTATTTTATTCTCTGTGAAGCAATTGTGAATGGGAGTTCACTCATGATTTGGCTCTCTGTTTGTCTGTTATTGGTGTATAAGAATGCTTGTGATTTTTGCACATTGATTTTGTATCCTGAGACTTTGCTGAAGTTGCCTATCAGTTTAAGGAGATTTTGGGCTGAGACCATGGGATTTTGTAGATATATAATCATGTCATCTGCAAACAGGGACAATTTGACTTCCTCTTTTCCTAATTGAATACCCTTTATTTCCTTCTCCTGCCTGATTGCCCTGACCAGAACTTCCAATACTATGTTGAATAGGAGTAGTGAGAGAGGGCATCCCTGTCTTGTGCCGGTTTTCAAAGGGAATGCTTCCAGTTTTTGCCCATTCAGTATGATATTGGCTGTGGGTTTGTCTTAGAGAGCTCTTATTATTTTGAGATACGTCCCGTCCCATCAATACCTAATTTATTGAGAGGTTTTAGCATGAAGAGTTGTTGAATTTTGTCAAAGGCCTTTTCTGCATCTATTGAGATAAACATATGTTTTTTGTCCTTGGTTCTGTTTATATGCTGGATTACGTTTATTGATTTGCGTATGTTGAACCAGCCTTGCATCCCAGGGATGAAGCTCTCTTGATCATGGTGGATAGGCTTTTTGATGTGCTGCTGGATTCCATTTGCCAGTATTTTAGTGAGGATTTTTGTATCAATGTTCATCAAGGATATTGGTCTAAAATTCCCTTTTTTTGTTGTCTCTGCCAGGCTTTGGTGTCAGGATGATGCTGGCCTCATAAAATGAGTTAGGGAAGATACCCTCTTTTTCTATTGATTGGAATAATTTCAGAAGGAATGGCACCAGCTCCTTCTTTTACCTCTGGTAGAATTCGGCTTTGAATCCGTCTGGTCTTGGCCTTTTTTTGGTTGGTAAGCTATTAATTATTGCCTCAATTTCAGATCCTGTTATTGGTCTATTCAGAGATTCAACTTCTTCCTGGTTTAGTCTTGGAAGGGTGTATGTGTCAAGGAACTTATCCATTTCTTCTAAATTTTCTAGTTTATTTGTGTAAAGGTGTTTATAGTATTCTCTGACGGTCGTTTGTATTTCTGTGGGATTGGTGGTGATATCCCCTTTGTCTTTTTTACTGCGTCTATTTGATTCTTCTCTCTTTTCTTCTTTATTAGTCTTGCTAGCAGTCTATCAATTTTGTTGATCTTTTGAAAAAAACAGCTCCTGGATTTATTGATTTTTTGAAGGGTTTTTTATGTCTCTATCTCCTTCAGTTCTGCTCTGATCTTAGTTATTTCTTGCCTTCTGCTATCTTTTGAATGTGTTTGCTCTTGCTTCTCTAGTTCTTTATTGTGATGTTAGGGTGTCAATTTTAGATCTTTCCTGCTTTCTCTTGTGGGCATTTAGTGCTATCAATTTCCCTCTACACACTGCTTTATATGAGTCCCAGAGATTCTGGTATGTTGTGTCTTTGTTCTCTTTGGTTTCAAAGAATATCTTTATTTCTGCCTTCGTTTCGTTATGTACCCAGTAGTCATTCAGGAGCAGCTTGTTCAGTTTCCATGTAGTTGAGCAGTTTTGAGTGAGTTTCTTAATCCTGAGTTCTAGTTTGATTGCACTGTGGTCTGAGAGACAGTTGGTTATAATTTCTTTTCTTTTATATTTGCTGAGGAGTGCTTTACTTCCATCTATGTGGTCAATTTTGGAGTAGGTGTGGTGTGGTGCTGAAAAGAATGTATATTCTGTTGATTTGGGGTGGAGAGTTCTGTAGATGTCTATGAGGTCTACTTGGTGCAGAGCTGAGTTCAATTCCTGGATATCCTTGTTAACTTTCTGTCTGGTTGATCTGTCTAATGTTGACAGTAGGGTGTTAAAGTCTCCCATTATTTTGTGTGGGAGTCTAAGTCTCCTTGTAGGTCACTCAGGACTTGCTTTATGAATCTGGGTGCTCCTGTATTGGGTGCATATATACTTAGGATAGTTAGCTCTTCTTGTTGAATTGATCCCTTTACCATTATGTAATGGTCTTCTTTGTCTCTTTTGATCTTTGTTGGTTTAAAGTCTGCTTTATCTGAGACTAGGATTGCAACCCCTGCCTTTTTTTGTTTTCCATTTGCTTGGTAGTTCTTCCTTCATCCTTTTATTTTGAGCCTATGTGTGTCTCTGCACGTGAGATGGGTTTCCTGAATACAACACACTGCTGGGTCTTGACTCTTTATCCAATTTGCCAGTCTGTGTCTTTTAATTGGAGGATTTAGCCCATTTACGTTTAAGGTTAATATTTTTATGTGTGAATTTGATCCTGTTATTATGATGTTAGCTGGTTATTCTGTTCGTTAGTTGATGCAGTTCCTTCCTAGCCTCGAAGGTCTTTACAATTTGGCATGTTTTTGCAGTGGCTGGTACCGGTTGTTCCTTTCCATGTTTAGTGCCTCCTTCAGGAGCTCTTGTAGGGCAGGCCTGGTGATGACAAAATCTCTCAGCATTTGCTTATCTGTAAAGTATTTTATTTCTCCTTCACTTATGAAGCTTAGTTTGGCTGGATGTGAAATTCTGGTTTGAAAATTCCTTTCTTTAAGAATGTTGAATATTGGCCCCCACTCTCTTCTGGCTTGTAGAGTTTCTGCGGAGAGATCAGTTGTTAGTCTGATGAGCTTCCCTTTGTGGGTAACCCTTTCTCTCTGGCTGCCCTTAACATTTTTTCCTTCGTTTCAACTTTAGTGAATCCAAGAGTTATGTGTCTTGGAGTTGCTCTTCTCGAGGAGTATATTTGTGGTGGTTTCTGTATTTTCTGAATTTTAATGTTTGCCTGCCTTGCTAGATTGGGGAAGTTCTCCTGTATAATATCCTGCAGAGTGTTTTCCAACTTCATTCCATTCTCCCCGTCGCTTTCAGGTACACCAATCAGATGTAGACTTGGTCTTTTCACACAGTCCCATATTTCTTGGAGGCCTTGCTCGTTTCTTTTTATTCTTTTTCCTCTAAACTTATCTTCTCATTTCATTTCATTAATTTCATCTTCCATCACTGAAACCCTTTCTTCCAGTTTATTGAATTGGCTACTGAGCCTTGTGCATTCATCACGTAGTTCTCATGCCATGGTTTTCAGCTTCATCAGGTCCTTTAAGGACTTCTCTGCATTGGTTATTCTAGTTAGCCATTCATCTAATTTTTTTTCACGGTTTTTAACTTCTTTGCCATGGGTTTGAACTTCCTCCTTTAGCTCGGAGTAGTTTGATCTTCTGAAGCCTTCTTCTCTCAACTCATCAAAGTCATTCTCTGTCCAGCTTTGTTCCATTGCTGATGAGGAGCTGTGTTCCTTTGGAGAAGGAGAGGTGCTCTGATTTTTAGAATTTTCAGCTTTTCTGCTCTGTTTTTTCCCCATCTTTGTGGTTTTATCTACCTTTGGTTTTTGATGGTGGTGACGTACAGATGGGGTTTTGGTGTGGATATCCTTTCTGTTTGTTAGTTTTCCTTCTAATAGTCAGGACCCTCAGCTGCAGGTCTGTTGGAGTTTGCCAAAGTTCCACTCCAGACCCTGTTTGCCTGGGTATCAGCAGCGGAGGCTGCAGAACAGTGTATATTGGTGAACAGAAAATGTTGCTGCCTGATTTTTCCTCTGGAAGTTTTGTCTCAGAGGAGTACCTGGCCATGTGAGGTGTCAGTCTGCCCCTACTGGGGGTTGCCTCCCAGTTAGGCTACTTGGGGGTCAGGGACCCACTTGAGGAGGCAGTCTGTCTATTCTCAGATCTCAAGCTGCGTGTTGGGAGAACCACTACTCTCTTCAAAGCTGTCAGACAGGGACATTTAAGTCTGCAGAGGTTTCTGCTGCCTTTTCTTTGGCTCTGCCCTGCCCCCGGAGGTGGAGTCTACAGAGGCAGGCAGGCCTCCTTGAGCTGCAGTGGGCTCCACCCAGTTCAATCTACCTGGCCCCTTTGTTTACCTACTCAAGCCTTGGCAATGGCAGGAACCACTCCCCCAGCCTCGCTGCTGCCTTGCAGTTTGATCTCAGACTGCTGTGCTAGCAATGAGTGAGGCTCCGTGGGCATAGGGCCCTCCAAGCTAGGCATGGGATATAATCTCCTGGTGTGCTGTTTGCTAAGACCATTGGAAAAGTGCAGTGTTAAGGTGGGAGTGACCCGATTTTCCAGGTGCCATCTGTCACCCCTTTCTTTGACTAGGAACAGGAATTCCCTTACCCCTTGGGCTTCCCAGGTGAGGCGATGCCTTGCCCTGCTTTGGCTCACGCTCAGTGCACTGCACCCACTGTCCAACAATCCCCAGTGAGATGAACCCGGTACCTCAGTTGGAAATGCAGAAATCACCTGTCTTCTGCATCGCTCACGCTGGGAGCCCTAGACTGGAGCTGTTCCTATTCGGCCATCTTGGCTCCACCCTATTTTCTGTTTTCTTTAATTTGTGTCCCTAGTGCCTAAAAGAATGTTTGACATATAGTAGAGGCTCATCTGCTTGAATGAATGAAAACAAAATCAAGACTTTTCTCTCTTGGAGGCTTTATAAATGACAATGCCACATTTGGAACAGAACACATATCACTCCTTTTCCTAGGCTGAGAGAAAAGTTGTCATAATTTAGAGGGAATAAAGGATAAACAGCATTTATAAATATAAATATTTTTCAATTGATGAACATTTCATATTCTATCCTATGGATTTTATTGTCTCTTGTTTATTGAACACCTACTATGTGTTGACCTTTATATAAAAAGCTCATTTAATATTCACAACAAACTTATGAAGTAGGCTTTGCCATTTTTCATTCTAACATGCTGCAGTTTTTTTTTAAATGCACCATTTGTTTCCTAGTAGACTTTTAGGAGAAGAAAATAAAAAAGGCAGGCAGGTAGGACTCCCATAGTAAATATACATATGGATTATAGGATGCCCGAGCATTTCAGAAACTTTAAAATGTTCCAACATTTGAGGCAGTATGTTATTAGACCCCTTACACAAATGAATACATAGAAGCTTAGAGAGGTTAAATAAATTGGCTTTCATTCACATAACCAAGTGAATAGCAGAATTCAAATACAGATCTACTTAATTACAAAGCCTGTGATATATCCACTACACTTCCCTGGTTTCTAAGATGATATCCCCATTCTTTTAGCCAGGGTTGTTACCACCCCATAAAGGGCATCTAGAGATGTCTAGAGATGTTGGGAGGCAGGGGAGTTTATGTCCTAATAACATGGGAATACCTGTGGCGTTTAGAAAATGGGAGCCAGGAAGCCTACATATTCATACAATGCATAGGACCAGTTCCGTCCAACAAAGAACTGTCCCACAAATAGGTAACATGGCTGAAAAATCAACATTAACTGACAGCTCACTCTATGCCAGTGCTGGGGTAAGTGATAGGGATATAAAGATGAAAAAGACTTGGTTCTTAATTTCAGGAAACCTATTTTCGAGTGAGACAAACAAACAAACAGCCATCTCATACATCACAATAAGTAATTTATCAAAATTATGGACAAAGGAATATAGGAGTCAGAGAAAGAGGAAGAATAAGTCAGAAAAGGTTTCATGGAGGGAGTAGCCTCTGAGTTGGATCTTCAAAAGTAAGTATAAGTTTTTTTAACTAGATAAAGAGGGTTAGTATTTCAGGACTAGGTGACAGCATATGTGAAGGCATAAAATGTAAAAGGACATGTCAGGAAAGGTAGTTATATGTACTGGCTGAAACTGCAGCTCTAGAGCTTAGCTGCATTCATAGTCTGCCTTTGCTACTTCCTAGCTATGAATCTGACAAGCTACTTAACCTCCTTGTGCTTGTTTTTCCTGTATAAAATGGGGATAATAATAATGGAATTATTTCATAGGACTGATGGAAGAGTAAATTAGTTATATATGAAATATTTCTAATGGTATCTAGCACATAGTAATCTTTCAGTTAATGTTAGCTGTTATTTTAAAAACAAGAGATTCATTTGTTCTACTATTTGTACTCTGTTTCAGCAAGTATCTAAGACAGATGACAGATAGGTAGGTAGATAGATACAGAGAGATAAATATTGGAATTGAGGGAAACTGCGAAATGTCCATTTTTACTAAAGCATCAGTTGGGATGCATAAAATGGAAAGGTGGAACAAAGTTCACATCACTGTATTTATATCAGACATAAGGAGTTTAGATTTTATCCTATAGTAAATGGGGAGCCATAGATGGATCTTAGGCAGAGGAGTGGCATGATCAGATTTGTGTTCTGATTCTACTGTGGAAGATGGACTGAAGAGGAGAGACTGAAGATAGGGAGACCAATAGGAAGTAGCTGAAGAGATCCAGGATACAAGTGATAATATCTATCCTCAGGCAAGGGTAGTTAGAGTGTTAAGGAAGGGATGGATTTATGACTGAATCACAATACACTTGGTTATTGATCAATTGGATATAAATGAGATTGAGAAATGTGAGGAAAGAGTGGAAGTTAAGAACCCAGATATAGAAGTCTCTTGACTCTTGTCCAATGCTCTTACATTTCTTTAAGTTGTTTAATTTTCTCTGATGCTGCCCTTAGTTTGTGCTGGACCTCTTCCATGGCACAGAGGCCTGCTCTTTTAGTGACGTATCCTGTGTCTCCTCGTTTTCTCCATTATTTTACTAAGGGGCTCTAAGCTGGGAGTACAACTTCTCTCTTTCCTTTATGTCCAGAGGTGCTCATTTATAGAAGTACTCCTGGCGGTTGGCCATCACTTACCCAGGAACTCCTAAGGCCCTTGGGTGGCCTGGGCATGGGCACAGGAATTGAGGAAGGTGCCAAGACCCCATTGCTGTCTAATGGCACAGTTCTCTGGGATCCAATTCTGTGTCTCTGTGGGAAATCTCTGCAAATACTGTGATTCCAGCCACCCTGTGGGCTTTGCCCAAACAGAGAGTGCTTTTGGCTGAGCCACCACTCCTTCCATTTCTAAACTTTGTGTATTTCAAGGGAAATCTGATCTGGACCTTTCTGATTCATTTACACTTAAATAACCCAAGGACTCTGTTGTAAGAGTAAACTCAGCTCCAAAAATGTCTTATAAGATTTAGTTATAAAACTCCCTAAGATTTTGTGAGCTAGAATTTTTTTTACCCCCCCTTCTCTTTGAAACAAGATGTTGTGACTTTGCCAAGAGTAAATGGATTTGCAACCTCAAAGGGGTCGTGTTTGGTTCAAGAGTCAGAAATCATGAAGTTCAAAGGCCCAAATGCATTCTTCAAGAATTGGCAAAAAAGAACCCAAGTGGATGGGATAAATGATAAATCTAGGAGGAACTTGGTGAGGGGGTGACAGGAAGCATTCATTCTACTCTTTTGGTTCCGTGTCCCAAAGCCTCATGACTTTTGTCTCTTAACTGAGAAAATGGAGTCATGAGAAAGCACACTCCTACAAGGGACCAGGAAAATCAGGCAGAGAGACAACTCCCATTTTGAGTAAGTTCCTGACTGTTTACAGAATGCTTTTCACAGTGTTTTCTCTCACTTAGTTAATCCTCCAACAGCCCTGTGGGCTAGCAATAATCATCCCCATTTTCCAGAGGAAGAGAATGAGGTTTAGAAGAGAGGAAGTGACATATCCAATGCTACAGAACTGTTTTACAACAAAGTCAGGAATTCTCTTTAATGAAATTCAGACTATATTAGGCTAGGGAGAAGTAAGATGTGGAAACTTACCTTGGGCTGCTGACAGCCAAGAAGGTGACTATAACGGAGTTTCTATTTATGAAACTCTCCTTGATGAACCCCAGCTAAGAGTTGTCCCTTGCTTCATTGAAACCCCATGAGAAGTTTGATCATGCATCTCATAGAACATATATAACATTTTCCCTTTGTTTTATAGTTATCTGTGTATTTATTTTATAACCTTCATTCTCATTTTTCTTCATATTTCACTAGACTATGAGCATCTCAAAGACTGAAATGTGTCCTGCTCATCTTTCTGCCCAGTGTCTAGTTCAGTGTCTAGCACAAGATAGAGTAATCTGTCAGTAAATGTTGAAAAGATAAATGTGCAGAGGGTGGATATGTGAGCATGTCCAGACACCAATGTATGTGTATGTTGATTTGTGTTTGTGTGGGTGTGGAGATAAATGCATTTTATAGAAATATAGATTTTGGTGGGGATGAGTATGTATTCATGTGCATTAAAAAAGTGGGGTATGGGGGCTTGAGGAGGTGGCTGGCAAGAAGCCATGAGGGACTGTGCCATGAGGAACAGTGCATCCCAGCCCAGATACTACACTTTTCCCACAATCTTTGCAATCCACAGACAAAGAGATTCTCTTGGTTGCCTACACCATCAGGGCCCTGGGTTTCAAGAACAAAATTGGGCAGCTGTTTGGGCAGACACCAAGATAGGTGCAGGTTTTTTTCCCCCCAGTGGTGCCTGGAATACCAGCAAGACAAAACCATTTACTCCCCTGGAAAGAGGGTTGAAGCCAGGGAGCCAAGTGGTCTAGCTCAGTGGATGTCACTCCCTAGAAGCCCTGCAAGCTAAGATCCACTGGCTTGAAATACTCGCTGCCAGCACAGCAGTCAGCAGTCGACCAGGGATGCTGGAGCTTGGTGGGGGTAGGGGCACCCGCCATTACTGAGGATTAAGTAGGCAGTTTTCCCCTCACACTGTAAACAAAGTCGCCTGGAAGTTTAAACTGGGCGGAGCCCATCACAGCTCCACAACACCGCTGTAGCCAGACTGCCTCTCTAGATTCCTCCTCCCTGGGCAGAACATCTCTGAAAGAAAGGCAGCAACCCCATTCAGGGGCTTGTAGATAAAACCTCCATCTCCCTGGGACAGAGTACCTGTGAAAAGGGGTGGCTGTGGGCACAGCTTCAGCAGACTTAAACTAAACATTCCTGCCTGCTGGCTCTGAAGAGAGCAGTGGATTTAAAAGCAAGGCGCTCAAGCTCTGCTAAGGGACAAGCTGCCTCCTCAAGTGGGTCCCTGACCCCCGTGACTCCTGACTGGGAGATACCTCCCAGCAGGTGTCAACAGACAACTCATACCAGAAAGCTCTGGCTGACATCTGGTGGTGCCCCTCTGGGATGAAGCTTCCAGAGGAAGGAGCAGGCAGCAATCTTTGCTGCTCTGAAGGCTCTGCTGGTGATACCCAGGAAAACAGGTCCTGGAGTGGACCTCCAGCAAACTCCAGCAGACCTGCAGCAGAGGAGCCTAACTGTTAAAAGAAAAATGAACAAACAAAAAGGGATAGCATCAATATCAATATAAAGGATGTCCACTGAAAAACCTCATTCAAAAGTCGCCAACATCAAAAATGAAAGTTAGATAAATACACAAAGATGAGAAAAACCAGTGCAAAAACACAGAAAATTTCAAAAACTAGAATGCCTCTTCTTTGCTAAAGGATCACAACTCCTCACCAGCAAGGGAACAAAACTGAATGAAGAATGAGTTTGACGAATTGACAGAAGTAGGCTTCAGAAGGTGGGTAATAACAAACTCCTCTGAGCTAAAGAAGCATGTTCTAACCTAATGCAAGGAAGCAAATAATCTTGCTGACGGAGCTGGAAAACACAGCATGAGAACTTCGTGAAGCATACACAAGTATCAATAGCCAAATCAATCAAGTGGAAAAAAGATATCAGAGATTGAAGATCAACTTAATGAAATAAAGCATGAAGAAAATATTAGACAAAAATGACCGAAAAAGAAGGAACAAAGCCTCCAAGAAATATGGGACTATGTGGAAAGACCAACCCTGTGTTTGATTGGTGTACATGAAACTGATGGGGATAATGAAACTAAATCAGAAAATGCTCCTCAGCTTTTTATCCAGAAGAACTTCCCCAACCTACCAAGACAGGCCAACATTCAAATTCAGGATACATAGAACACCATGAAGGTACTCCTTGAGAAGAGCAACCCTAAGACACATAAACATCAGATTCACCAAGGTTGAAATGAAAGAGAAAATGTTAAGGGCAGCCAGAGAGAAAGGTCAGGATATGCACCATAAAAAGCCCATCAGTCTAACAGTGGATCTCTCTGCAGAAACTCTACATGCCAGAAGAGACTGGGGGCCAATATTTAACATTCTTAAAGAAAATAATTTTCAACCCAGAATTACATATCCAGCCAAACTAAGCTTCATAAGCAAAGGAGAAATAAAATTCTTTCTACAAAAGCTCCTGAAGGAAGCACTGAATATGAAAAAAAAAAGGTCCCAGTCACTGGAAAAACATACCAAATTGTAAAGACCATTGGCACTATGAAAAAACTACATCAACTAACAGGCAAAATAACCTGCTAGCATCATAATGACAGGATTAAATTCACACATAACAATATTAATCTTAAATGTCAACAGACTAAATGCCCCAATTCAAAGGCACAGACTGGCAAATTGAATAAAGAGCCAAGACCCATTAGTGTGCTGTATTCAGGAGACCCATCTCACGTGCAAAGGCACACATGGGCTCAAAATAAAGGGATGAAGGAATATTTACCAAGTAATTGAAAAGCAAAACAAAGCAGGGGTTGCAATTCTAGTCTCTGATAAAACAAACTTTAAAACAACACAGATCAAAATGACAAAAAGGGCATTATATAATGGTAAATGGATCAATGCAACAAGAAGAGCTAACTATCCTAAATATATATATACATGCATCCAATAGAGAAGCACTCAGATTCATAAAGCAAGTTCTTAGAAAACTGCAAGAGACTAGACTTCCACACAATAATAGTGGGAGACTTTAACACCCCACTGTCAATATTAGACAGAGCAATGAGACAGAAAATTAACAAAAATATTCAGGACTTGAACTCAGCTCTGGACCAAGCAGCCCTAATAGACATCTATGGAACTCTTCACCCTAAATCAGCAAAACAATCTCTCCAACCATAGTGCAATCAAATTAGAATACAGGATTAAGAAACTCACTGAAAACTGCAGAACTTCATGGACACTGAACAACCTGCTACTGAATGACTACCAGGTGAAGACACAATAAACCAGAATCTCTGGGACACAGATAAAGCAGTGTTTAGAGGGAAATTTATAGCACTAAGTGCCCACAAGAGAAAGTGTAAAAGATTGAAAATCGACACAAAAACATCAAAATGAAAATAACTAGAGAAGAAAGAGCAAATAAATTTAAAAGCTAGCAGAAGACAAGAAATAACTAAGATCAGAGCAGAACTTAAGGAGACAGAGACAAGAAAAACCCTTCAAAAATCAGTGAATCCAGGAGCTCATTTTTTGAAAAGATTAACAAAATAGATAGACCACTAGCGAAACTAATAAAGAAGAAAAGAGAGAATAATCAAATAGACACAATAAAAAAATGATATAGGTGATATTACCACTGATCCCACAGAAATACAAACTATCATCAGAGAATACTATAACCACCTCAATGAAAATAAACTAGAAAATCTAGAAGAAATGGATAAATTCCTGGACACATACAACCTTGCAATGCTGAACAAGGAAGAAGTCAAATCCATGAATAGGCCAATAACAAGTTCTGAAATTGAGGAAGTAATTAATAGCCTATCAACCAAAAAAAGCCCAGGACCAGACAAATTCACAGCTGAATTCTACCAGGGGTACAAAGAGGAGCTGGTACTATTCCTTTTGAAACTATCCCAAACAATAAAAAAAGAGGTACCACTCCCTAACTAATTTTATGAGGCCAACATCATCCTGATACCAAAACCTGGCAGAGACCCAACAACAACAACAAAAAAAAAAGAAAGAAAGATAAGAAAGAAGAAAGAAAGAAAGAAAGAAAGAAAGAAAGAAAGAAAGAAAGAAAGAAAGAAAGAGAAAGAAAGAAAAAGAGAAAGAAAAAATAAAATTTTAGGCCAATATCCCTGATGAACATCGATGCAAAAATCCTCAACAAAATACTAGCAAACTGAATCCAGCAGCACATCAAAAAGCCTATCCATCATGATCAAGTCAGCTTCATCCCTGGGATGGAAGGCTGTTTCAGCCTATGAAAATCTATATACATAATCCATCACATAAACAGAACCAGTGACAAACACCACATAATTACCTCAATAGATGCAGAAAAGGCCTTTGATAAAATTCAACACTCCTTCATGCCAAAAACTCTTAATAAACTAGGTATTGATGGAACGTATCTCAAAATAATAAGAGCTATTTATGACAAACCCAAAGCCAATATCATACTGAATGGGCAAAAGCTGGAAGGCTTTTCTTTGAAAACTGGCACAAACAAGGATGCCTTCTCTCAACACTATTAAACATAGTATTGGAAATTTTGGCCTGGGCAATGAGGTAAGAGTAATAAATAAAGTGTATTCAAATAGTAAGAGAGGAAGTCAAATTGTTTCTGTTTTCAGATGACATGATTGCATATTTAGATAACCCCATAGTCTCAGACCAAAATCTCCTTAAGCTGATAAGCAATTTCAGCAAAGTGTGAGAATACAAAATCAATGTGCAAAGTTTCCAAGCATTCCTATACACAAATAATAGACAAACAGAGAGCCAAATCAAGCGTCAATTCTCACTCACAGTTGCTACAAAGAGAATAAAATACCTAGGAATATAAGTTACAAGGGACTTGAAGGACCTCTTTAAGGAGAACTGCAAACCACTGCTCAAGAAAATAGGAGAGGACACAAACAAATGGAAACACATTCCATGCTCATGGACAGGAAGACTCAATATCATGAAAACGGCAATACTGACCCAATTAATTTATAGATTCAATGCTATCCCCACCAAGCTACCATAGACTTTCTTCAAAGAATTAGAAAAAACTACTTTAAATTTCTTATGGAAGCAAAAAGGATCCCATATAGCCAAAACAATCCTAAGCAAAAAGAGCAAAGCTGGAGGCATCATGCTACGTGACTTCAATCTATACTACAAGATGACATTAACCAAAATAGCATGGTACTGGTATCAAAACAGATATATAGACCAATGGAACAGAACAGACGCCTCAGAAATAACACCACACATCTACAATCATCTGATCTTTGACAAACCTGACAAGAACAAGTGATGGGGAAATAATTTCCTATTTAATAAATGTTGGGTTGGGAAAACTGGGTAGCCATATGCAGAAAATTGAAACTGGACCCCTTCCTTACACCTCATACAAAAATTAACTCAAGATGGATTAAAGACTTAAATGTAAAACCTAAAACTGTAGAAACCCTAGAAGAAACCTAGGCAATACCATTCAGGACATAGGCATGGGCAAAGACTTCATGACTAAAACACAAAAAGCAATGGCAACAAAAGCCAGAATTGACAAATGAGATCAAATTGAACTAAAGAACTTCGGCACAGCAAAAGAAACTATCATCAGAGTGAACAGGCAACCTACAGAATGGAAGAAAATTTTTGCAATTTATCCATCTGACAAAAGTCTAATATCCAGAATCTACAAGGAACTTAAACAAATTTACAAGAATAAAACAAAAAACCGTATCAAAAAGTGGGTGAAGGATATGAACAGACATTTCTCAAAATAGGACATTTATGCAGCCAAGAAACATATGAAAAAAGCTCATCATCACTGGTCATTAGAGAAATGCAAATCAACACCACAATAAAATACCATCTCATGCCAGTTAGAATGGTGAACATTAAAAAGTCAGGAAACAACAGATGCTGAAGGGGATGTGGAGAAATAGGAACAATTTTACACTGTTGATGAGAATATAAATTAGTTCAACTATTGTGGAAGACAGTGTGGTGATTTCTCAAGGATCTAGAACCAGAAATACCATTTGACCCAGAATCCCATTACTGGGTATATACACAAAGGAATATATATCATTCTACTATAAAGACACATGCACACATATGTTTATTGCAGCACTATTCACAATAGCAAAGACTTGGAACCAACCCAAATGCCCATCAATGATAGACTGGATGAAGAAAATGTGGCACATATACACCATGAAATACTATGGAACCATAAAAAAGTATGAGTTCATGTCCTTTGCAGGGACATGGATGAAACTGGAAACCATCATTCTCAGCAAAGTAACACAGGAACAGAAAACCAAACACTGCATGTTCTCACTCATAATTGGGAGTTGAACAAATAGAACACATACAGTGAGAGGAACATGACACAACTGTGCTTGTCAGGGGGTGGGGTCTAGAGGAGGGATAGCATTGGGAGAAATGCTTAATGTAGATGACAGGTTGATGGGTGCAGCAAACCACGTGGCACGTGTATACCTATGTAACAAGCCTGCACGTTGTGCACGTGTCCCAGAACTTAAAGTATGATAACATAATTAATAAATAAAAAAATAAAAATTAGAAAGTTTGAAGCTGTGTATGTGTGTGTCTTTCCACGTGTATTAGGAAAATGTAATTCTGTGAGTATGCTTAGAGTTGAGGCCTGTTTAAATTTCATCCTGGGACTGAATATGAAAGGAGACTTTGTACTTGCCTAAATAATTATTTGAGAAAACCAAAGGCTTTCATAACTACTACTCAGCCCTGAAAATTCCAAAGTCTAGCTCTAAAGACAATTCCAAAGTCTTTGCTGATGCTCTCTCACAGAGTAATGAGTCACAGAGCTAGGGATTGACAAAAATGATGTCAGCAAAGTTCATACATGAAGTCCTCATTTCACATTTATGTGGCCTTTTGTGCCTTCCCTTTCCACACCCACCCCCTAGAGCCCTCAAGTTAGATGAAATCCCCTTGGAACAAGGAAAATGTCTGATAAGTAGGGTTGGACAAATAGAGAGACCCAAGGCCTTGTTTTCAAAACTGAAGATTCTGAGGTTCTTCTTGGCTGCTACTAGCTTTCTGCTGCTACCACTCATGTACTAGAGGAGCATTTAAAGATTTTTCTAAAACCTCTGACTTCTGGGGTATAGAGCAATTGGACTGGGAAAATGGGACACATCAGATGGGAACTCCCTTTTTTGCATCACTAAATCTATTTATAACTATACCTATTCTTTCTACTTTTTTTTCTGTTACAATGGAGGAACGGTTTATACTCCTTTCTAAGACCAAAATTTTTACCTGTATTTTGGATCCCAATCCCTCTCACCTTATCAAAGTCTTCACTTCTTCGGTTTCCACTCACACTCCCCTCACATCTTTTTCCTTATTGGATCATCATCATCATCCTACACACATATTCTAGTATCTCACACTTACAAATACATTATTCCTTCATCTCACATTTCCTTTTAGCTACTCTCTCTAGCTATTTATCTGTTCCACTTAGCAAAACTTCTCAAAAGAGTCATTTGGAAGTATTGTCTCTATTTCTTTACCTGTAAGTCATTCGTTACTTGATTCTAATGAAAATTCTCTGGTTCAGCTCGCCAATGATCTTCATGTTGCCAAATCCGAAGGATATTTTTCTGACTTTAAATTACTGAACCTCTCAACAACTTTTAAATACTGCTCACTTCACTCCTTTAAAAAATTAATGGGATAAGAACACTTACCAGTATATTTACCTTCTTAACAATTTTTAAGTGTATGTACATTGTTGCCTACTATAAGTGCAATGTTTTACAGCAGATCTCCAGAGCTTATTCATCTTATTCAACTGAAAGTTATGCTCATTGACTAGTAACTCCCCATTTCTCTTTCCCCCATTCTCTGGCAATCCCCATTCCATTCTTTGATTCTATGACTATTTTAGATACCTCTGATAAGTGAAAATATGGAGTATTTGAATCTCTGAGACTGGCTTATTTCAGTTAGTATAATGTTCTCAAGGTTCATCCATGTTGTCTTATATTTCAGGTTTTTAAAAGCTGAATAGTCCTCCATTGTGTGTATATACCACCTTTATTTATCCATTCATTTGTCAATGGACATTTAGATTGCTTGTCTATCTTGGCTATTGTGAATAGTGCTGAAGTGAAATAGGAGTGCTGATATATTTTCAAAATCCTGATTTTAATTCTTTTGGATAAATACCAGGAAGGGGATTGTTGGATCATATGATAGTTCTATTTTTAATGTTTAGAAGTATTTTCAAACTGTTTTTCATAGTGGTTGCAAGATTTTGCATTCCCACCAACAGTGTTTAAGGGTTCCAATTTTTCCACATCCTTTCCAAAATTTCTTATTTTTTGTGATTTTTATTTTAAATAACAGCCATCCTGACAGGTGTGAGGTAATATCTCATTGTGCCTTTGATTTGCATTTTCGTGATTACTAGTGGCATTAAGCATTTTGGGGACATTTGCATGTCTTCTTAGGACAGATGCCTATTAAAATATTTAGCCCATTTTAAAATTGGGTTATTATTATTATTATTTTACTATTGATTCGTAGGAGTTCCTTATGTATATTGGAGATTAACCCCTTATCAAATATTTAGTTTGGAAATATCTTTCTCTGTAAATTGGCTTTTTACTCTGTTGAGTGTTTTCTTTGCTGTGCAGAAGCTTTTTAGTTTGATGTAGTTTTACTTGTTTATTTTTATTTTTGTTGCCTGTGCTTCTTGTGTCATATCCATAAAATCATTGCTAAGACCAATGTCATGAAGACTTGCCCCTGTTTTCTTCTGGGAGTTTTGCAGTATCAGATCCAATGTTTAAGTCACTAATCCACTTTGAGTTGATTTTTGTTTATAGTGCAAGATAAGGGTCTAAATTTCTTCTTTTTAAAGGCCTAATTGACAAAGTTGTGTATATTTACAGTGCATAACATGATGTTTTGATATGTGTATACATTTTGAAATCATTAAATCAAGTTAATTAACAGATTCATCTTCTCACCTACTTTTTTGTGCTAAGAATATTTAATATCTAATCTCTTAGTTATTCCCAAATACTATATACAACACATTATTTATTATTTGCTACAGTCTCCATGCTGTACAATAGATCTCCAGAACTTATTCTTTCCATCTAACTGAAACTTTTTACTCTTTAATCAACATCTCCCCATTACCCTCCCATGCTCCAACCCCTGAAAACCACCATTCTACTCTCTGCTTCTGAGTTTGACTTTTTTAGTTTCCACGTATAAATGAGATCATGAGATATTTGTCTTTCTGTGCCTGGCTTATTTCACTTAGTGTAGTGTCCTCCAGGTTTATCCATATTGTCACAAATGACAGGATTTCTTTCTTTTTTAGTCTGCAAAATATTCTATATTCCATATTTCCATATATATATAAAGCACTTTATCAATTAATGAACACTTAAGTTGATTCCATATCTTGACTATTGTGAATAATGCTGCAGCAAACGTAGAATTGCAAATAGCTCTCCAACATACTGCTCTTGTTTACTTTGGATATATACCCAGTAGTAGGATAGCTGGATCATATTGTAGTTCCATTTTTGATTTCTTGGGGAACCTCCATACTATCTTTCATAATGGCTATACTATCTAGTTTTATGGTTTTGAATTTGTATATCCAGTTTTTTTATATGCCAATTGTTGAAGTGACTATCCTTTCCCCATTGTGTATTCTTAGCACTTTTGTTGAAGATTAGTTGACCATATATATAGGGATTTATTTCTGGGCACTCTGTTTTTTTTCTATTGAACTATATACTTGTCTTTATGCCAGTACCATACTGTTTTGATTACTGTTGATTTGTAATATATTTTGATATCAGTAGTAAACATTTCCAAACTCACTTTATGAGGCCATTACTCTGATACCAAATACAGCTAAAACATCACAAGAAAAAAAACTATATTTCAATATCCCTGATGAATTTAGACGTAAGAATCCTCAAGAAAACACTAGCAAATCAAATGTAATGACACAGTAAAAGAATCATATGCCATGGCCAAGTATGATTGATTTCTAGGATGCAAGAATGGTTCAACATAGAAAAATCAATTAATGTAATATGCCACATTAACAGAATAAAGGTTAAAAATTACATGATCATCTCAATAGATGCAGAAAAAACATTTGACAAAATTCAACATCATTTTATGATAGAAACTCTAAACAAAATAGAAATATAAATAAATTACCTCAACATAATAGAAACAATATATTTAAAGCCCATAGTTAGCATCATATTCAATGATGAAAAACTGAAAGCTCTTCCTCTAAGATCAGGAATAAGACAGGAATGTCCACTCTCACCAATTCTATTCAACATAGTACTGAAAGTCCTTGCCAGAGCAATTCAGCAATAAAAACAAAGCCATCCAAGTAAGAAAGGAAGAGGTAGTATTATCTCCACTGATGACATAACTTTATATGTAAAATACCCTAAAGACTCTACAAACTATTTGGGCTAATAAACAAGTTCAGTAAAGTTGCAGGACACAAAATCAACATACAAAAGTCAATTGTGTTTCTACACAATAATGACAAACTATCTAACAAGGAAATTAGGAAAACAATCCCATTTATAATAGCACTAAAATAATAAAATATTTGATAATAAAATTAAATAAGAAGGTGAAATACTTGTTTACTAAGAACTACAAAATATTAATAAAGAATTGAAGAGGACACAAACAGAAAGACATTCATGTTTATGTATTGGAAGACTTAATTTTTAAATGTCCAAACTACCTACAGAGATCTACCGATTCAATGGCATTTCTATCAAAATTCTAATAGTATTTTTTTTTACAGAAATAGAAAAAAATTATAGAATTCATACATAGCTACCAAAGATCATAAATAGCAAAAATCAGTCTTGAGAAAGAACAACGCTACTCGTTTTAAAATCGGGACATGGATGAAATTGGAAATCATCATTCTCAGTAAACTATCGCAAGAACAAAAAACCAAACACCGCATATTCTCACTCATAGGTAGGAATTGAACAATGAGAACACATGGACACAGGAAGGGGAACATCACACTCTGGGGACTGTTGTGGGGTCGGGGGAGGGGGGAGGGATAGCTTTAGGAGCTATACCTAATGCTAAATGATGAGTTAATGGGTGCAGCACACCAGCATGGCACATGTATACATATGTAACTAACCTGCAAATTGTGCACATGTACCCTAAAACTTAAAGTATAATAATAATAATAAAATAAATAAATAAATAAATAAATAAATAAATAAATAAAATAATTTATTCTTTTAGCTTCCATGATGCCACACTTCCTTGGCTTTTTTCTTACCTTCACTTAGGCAGTGGGGTAGTTTCCTTGCTTCATCTCCTTAAACTCAGGGCTTGTTTAGGGCACTCATTTGAGTCCACATCTCCCTTCACCATCTCTCTCTAGTTGATGCTGTGTAGCCCCATGGTTTTAAATTTCATTTATATTCACAGCTTACAAATATGTATCCCCAGGTTTGACCTTTACCTTGAGTTTCAGATTTGTGTATCTAAATGCCCACACGTCGTCCTAATATAGATGTCTCACAGATATGTCAAACACAAACATGACCAACTTAGAACTCTTAAGTCTTACCTTAAAACCTCTTCCTCACAGTATTAATCATCACAGTAAAGACAGTATTCACCCGTTCGCTCAAGCCAAAAAATAAATGCGGTCCTTGAATGCTCTCTTCCTCATCTCCCACATCCAGCCCATTAGAAGTTCCTGTCAATTCTACCTCCAAATATAAAGTTCAAAGAGAAAGAAATAAAGGACATTATGATTGGCAAGGAAGACATCAAATTTTCTTTTCATATGGATAATATGATCTTATGTTTTTTATTATTTATCTATTTAGTGATTTGATTTTGCATGAACATTATTAGTGCATTTTTTATTTTACCATCTACATCAATTGTTAAATTTATTAAAAATTGGGTACAAGGTACACATGAACTAAGGGAGTTTACCTAATAGATTATCCAAGATTATTTTTTGTTTGTTTCTCTGTTTGTTTTTGCTTTGTTTTATGCCTTTTTAATTTTTAAAAATTATTTTTATATTTCAATAGGTTTTTGGGAAACAGGTGATGTTTGGTTACATGAATAAGTTATTTAGTGGTGATTTCTGAGATTTTGGTGCACTTATCACCCAAGCAGTGTATACTGTACCCAATGTGTAGTCTTTTACCCCTCACCACCCTCCTACCCTTTCTCTAGAGTCCTCAAAGTCCATTGTAACATTATTAGTGCCTTTGCATCCTCATCGCTTAGCTCCCACTATAAGTGAGAACATATGATGTTTATTTTTCCATTTCTGAGTTACTTCACTTAGAACTATTGTCTCCAAATCCATCCAGGTTGCAGCAAATACCATTATTTCATTTCTTTTTATGGCTGAGTAGTATTTCATGGTATGTATGTGTCTGTGTGTGTGTGTATATATATATATATGTGTGTGTGTGTGTGTGTGTGTGTGTGTATATATATATATATATTTCCTGTATCACTGACTGATCAATGGGCATTTGGGCTTGCTCTAAATTTTTGCAATTGTGAGTTGTGCTATTAGAAACATGCATGTGCAAGTATATTTTTCAAATAATGACTTTTTTTCCCCTGGGTAGATACCCAGTAATGGAATTACTTTTAGTTCTTTAAGAAATCTCCACATTGTTTTCCATAGCGTTTGTACTAGTTTACATTGTCAACAGTGCCACAGTATTCCCATTTCACCACATCCACGACAACATCTATTTTTTTTAATTTTTTTAAATTATGGCCATTCTTGGGGGAGTAAGGTGGTATTGCATTGTGGTTTTGCTTTGCAGTTCCCTGATTATTAGTGATGCTGAGCATTGTTTCATATGTTTCTTGACCATTTGTAAATCTTCTTTTGAGAATTGTCTATTTATATTCCTAACCCACTTTTTTATGGAATTGTTTGTTTGTTTTTCTTGCTAATTTGTTTGAGTTCTTAGTAGACTCTGGACATTAGTCCTTTGATGGATGTATAGATTGCAAAGATTTACTCCCACTCTGTGGTTTGTCTGTTTACTCTGCTGATTATCTTTTTTGCTGTGGAAAAGCTTTTTCATGTAATTAAGTCCCATCTATTCATCATTGTTTTGTTGCATTTGCTTTCGGGTTCTTGGTCATAAAGTTTTTGCCTATACCAATGTCTAAAAGGGTTTTTCTGGTGTTATCTTATGGAATTTTTATGGTTTCAGGTCTTAAAATTAAGTCTTTGATCCACCTTGAGTTAATTTTTGTATAAGGTGAGAGATGAGGATCCAATTTTTTTCTTCTACATGTGGTTTGCCAATTATCCCAGCAGTATTTGTTGAATAGGGTGCCCTTTCCCAACTTCATTGTTGCTGCTTTTTCAAAGTCCAGTTGATCGTATTTGAGTTTATTTCTGGGTTCTCTATTCTGCTCTATTGGTTGATGTGCCTATTTTTATACCACTACCATGCTGTTTTGGTGACTATGGCCTTATGGTATAATTTGAAGTCAGGTAATGTGATGCCTCCAGATTTGTTCTTTTTGCTTCATCTTGTTTTGGCTATGCAGGCTCTTTTTTGGTTCCATATGAATTTTAGGATTATTTTTTTCTAGTTCTGTAAAAAATAATCGTTGTATTTTGATGGGAATTGCATTAAATTTGTAGATTGCTTTTGGCAGTACAGTCATTTTCACAATATTGATTCTATGCATCCATGAACATAAGATGTGTTTTCAGTTGCTTGTGTCATCTGTGGTTTCTTTGAGCAATGTTTTATAGTTTTCTTTGTAGAGGTCTTTCGACTCATTGGTTAGGGATATTCCTAAGTATTATTTTTCCAGCTATTGTAAAAAGGGTTGAGTTATTGATTTAATTCTCCACTTGGTCGCTGTCAGTGTATAGAAGAGCTACTGATTTGTGTGCATCAATCTTTTGTATTTCTGTGGTATCAGTTGTAATGTCTCCTGTTGCATTTCAAATTGAGCTTATTTGGATCATCTCTTGGTTCATCTTGCTATTGGTCTATCAACTTCATTTATCTTTCCACAGAACCAGCTTTCTGTTTTATTCTTTTTTGTATTTTTATTTTGTTTGTCTCAATTTTATTTAGTTCTGCTCTTATCTTTGTTATGTTTTTTCTTCTGCTGTGTTTGGGTTTGGTTTGTTCTTGATTCTCTGGTTCCTTGAGGGGCAACCTTACATTGTCTATTTGTGCTCTTTCAGATTTTTTGATGTAGGTATTTAATGCTATGAACTTTCCTCTTAGCACTGTCTTTGCTGCATCTCAGAGGTTTTGATAAGTTGTGTCAGTATTATTGTTCAGTTCAGATAACTTTTAAATTTTCATATTGATTTCACTGTTGACCCAGTAATTATTCAAGGACAAGTTATTTAATTTCCGTGTATTTGCATGGTTATGAGGGTTCATTCTGGAGTTGATTTCCAATTTTATTCCACTGTGGTCTGAGAGAGTACTTCATATAATTTTGATTTACTACTGTTTATTGAGACTTTTTTTGTGGCCTATCATATATTCCGTCCTGGAGAATATTTTGTGTGCTGATGAATAGAATGTATATTTTTCAGTTTTGGGGTAGAATGTTCTGTAAATATCTGTTAAGTCCATTTGTTCTAGGGTATAGTTTAAGTTCATTGTTTCTTGGTTGACTTTCTGTCCTGATGACCTGTCTAGTGCTGTCAGTGAAGTAATGAAGTCCCCCACTATTATTGTGTTGCTGTCTATCTCATATCTTAGGTCTAGTAGTAATTGTTTTATAAATTTGGAAGCTCCAGTGTTAGGTGCATATATATTTGGAATTGGGACTTTTTTTATTGGAAAAATTCTTTCATTATTATATAATGTTTCTCTTTGTCTTTTTTCACTGTTGTTACTTTAAGGTTTGCTTTGTCAGATATAAGAATAGCTACTCTTGCTCTCTTTTGGTGTCCATTTGCATGAAATATATTTTCCACCCCTTTACCTTAATTTTATGTAATTCCTTATTTTTGTATCTTTTAAGTGGAACATTTAGGCTATTTACATTTGAGGTTAGTTTGAGATGTGAGGTACTATTTTATTCATCATTCTATTTTTTTGTCTGAATACCTTGTTTTTTTTTCATTATGTTATTGTTTTATAAGTCCCGTGAGATTTCTGCTTTAAGGTGGTTCTATTTTGTTGTATTTTGAAGATTTGTTTCAAGATTTAGAGCTTTTTAAGCAGTTCCTGTATTGCTGGTTTGCTAGTGGCAAATTCTCTTAGCATTTGTTTGTCTGAAAAAGGCTATCTTTCCTTCATTTATGAAGCTTAGTTTCACTGGATACAAAATTCTTAGCTGATAATTTTTTTTTTAAGCAGGCTAAAGATAGAATCCCAATCGCTTCTGGCTTATAGGATTTCTGCTGAGAAATCTGCTGTTAATCTGATAGATTTTCCTTTATAGGTTACCTGATGCTTTTGCCTCACAACTCCTAAGATTCTTTCCTTTGTCTTGACTTTAGATAATATGAAGACTGTGTGCCTAGGTGATAATCTTTTTGTGATAAATTTCCCAGGTGTTCTTTGAGTGCCTTGTATTTAAATATCTAGATCTCTAGCAAAGCTGGGAAAGTTTTCCTTAATTATTCCCTCAAATATGTTTTCCAGACTTTTAAATTTCTCTTCTACTTCAGGAACACCAAGTACTCTTAAGTTTGGTCATTTAACATAAATCCCAAACTTCTTAAAAGGTTTGTTCATTAGTTGTTTTTTTTTATTTGTCTTTATTGGATTGGGTAATTCAAAAGCCTTGTCTTTGAGCTCTGAAGTTCTTTCTTCTACATCTTCAATTCTATTGCTGAGACTTTCCAGTGTATTTCTCATTTCTCTAAGTGTGTTCTTCATTTCCAGAAGTTGTAATTGTATTTATAGCATGTATTTCTCTGGAGATTTTTTTTTTTTTTGAGATGGAGTCTTGCTCTGTCACCCAGTCTGGAGAGCAGTGGCATGATCTCGGCTCACTGCAAGCTCTGTCTCCCAGGTTCATGCCATTCTCCTGCCTCAGCCTCCCAAGTAGTTGGTACTATGGGCACCCACCACCACACCCAGCTAATTTTTTGTATTTTTTAGTAGAGATGGGGTTTCACCATGTTAGCCAGGATGGCCTCGATCTCCTGACCTTGTGATCCACCTGCCTCGGCCTCCCAAAGTGCTGGGATTACATGCATGAGCCACTGCTCCCGGCCTCTCTGGAGAATTTTATATCCATATCCTGTAACTTTTAAAAAATCCTTAAGTTGGTATTCACCTTTCTCTAGTGCCTTTTTGAGCAGCTTAATAATCAACCTTCTGAATTCTTTTTCTGGCAATACAGAGATTTCTTCTTGGTTTGAATCCATTGCTGGTGAGCTAATGTGATCTTTTGGGGGTGTTAAATAACCTTGTTTTGTCATACTATCAGAATTGTTTTCTGTTTTTTTTTCTAATTTGAGCAGACTATGTCAGAGGGAAGATCTGGTGCTCAAAGACTGCTGATCAGATTATTTTGTCCCACAGGGTGCTCCCATGATGTGGTGCTCTCCCTCTTCCCCTAGGAATGTGGCTTCCTAAGAGCCGAACTGCAGTGACTGTTATGTATTTTCTGGAACTAGACACCTAGCAGAGCTCCAGAGCTCCAGGCTGGTACTGGGGAGTGTCTGCAAAAAGTCCTGTGATGTAATCTATCTTTAGTTCTCTCAGCAGTGGATACCAGCACCTGCCCCAGTGGAGGTAATGGGGAGTGAGGTGGACCCTGTGAGGTTCCTTGGTTGTATTTTTGTTTAGTGTGCTAGTTCTGTGTTGGTTTGACTCCAGCCAGGTGGTGGTGCTCTCAAGACAGCATTAGCTGTGGTAGTAAAGGGAGGATTAAATCTTGCCCTAGGGTCACCTGGATAAGTATTCTGATTTCTCAGGTGGTGGGTGGAGCCACAGAGATCACAAGAGTTTATGCCCTTTGTCTTCGACTACCAGGGCAGGTAGAGAAAGACCTGGGCAGGGTTAGGTGTGTCTGAGTTCAGATACTCCTTGAGTGCAAGACTCTCTTTGCTGCAGCTGCTGTGGAGGATGGGGATGTGGTTCTCAAGCCAATGGAGTTATCTTCCTGAGGGGATTATGGCTGCCCCTACAGTGTCATGCAGGTTGCCAGGGAAGTGGGGAAAATCCAGCAGTTACAGGCCTCACCCAACTCCTACATAGCCCATCTCCTACTGTGCCCCCCACTCCAACAGCACTGAGTTTATTTCCAGGCAGTGGGTGAGCAGAGCTGAAAACTTGCCCCATGCTACAAGCCTCCCCACTGAGAAAGCAGGCAAGGCTTTCAGGTTTGATGCCTCCTCACCTGCCATGGCTTCTGTGCTCATGTCTGCACTTCTAGTTTTCCCCCTCCCCCAGTTTCTGTCGAGGAAACTTCACATTCAGTTGAAACTATTACAAAGTTCAGCTGGAGGTTTTCTTTTCCCTGTGGTATTGCCCCAATTTCATTGGCAGCCCTCCTCACGGACCCCTGTGAGACAAATTCAGAAATGGCTGCTTCCTCTAGCACTGTATTTTGTTTAGTTTTTTTTTTTTTTTTTTTTTTTCCGTGCTCAAATTTCATTTATTGGCTAAAGGCTGGGGAAATACAGACATTAAACCGACATACATACATGAAGACGTTGTTTCAGAAAATAAGTGCAATGAAGAAAACAAAACAGGATGACGTGATAGAAAGTGCCTGGAGGGCTACTTTGGTCAGTCAATTTATTTACTCATTTGCTTAATCCTATAACACATCCAAAATAGTTTGGAATTAATTCACCAATGCTACTACCAGTAACAAACCTACTAAATAAACTTCAAGATTTTTTTCCACCCAGTTCTGATTTGAAAAATTTTCAATCCTAAGGAAAAGTTGCAAGAATAACACAGTGATCACTTACATATGGTTTACCAATTGCTAACACTTTATCACATTTACTTAATATCTATAACTCCATCTATTTATCTGCATATCTATCTCTTTATTTTTCACTGAGCCACTTGAACGTTTGTTGCAGACATCATGACATGTCACACATAAGTATTTCAGCATGTATCTCATAAAGAGCAAGGACATTCTCCTTCATACACAATGGTCACACTTATGAAAATTAACAATGATACATTAATATTATCTAGAATACAATGCATATTTGAATTTCTCAAATTGTCCAAATGATGCTCTATATAGCTTTTTTTTTTTGTAAATATAAGGTCAAATCATAGATTGCATTTAGTTCTATCTCTTTAGGCTCCTTTAATCTAGATTAACCCCAGCTTTCATTTGTCTTTCATGACATTGACACTTTTGAAGAGTACAGACCAGTTGACTTTAGACTGGAATTAAATTTCAATTTGGGTTTGCCTGATTGTTTGAGATTGGATTGTCATGGAAGGCTTCTCTGAAGAGGCAACTTTCAGTTGAGTCTTGTGAACAGAAGGAGGCAGCTGTGAAAATATCTGGGGAAAGGGATTCCAGGCAGAGGGAATGGCAAGTACAAACTCCTGGAGATGGAGACAAGCTTGTGTTTGGGGATAAAAAGCAGGCCAGAGTGACTGGAGCCTAGAGATCAAGGGGGAGAGTCGTATGAAATGAAATAAGATAGGTGGGATTCAGATCATGATGAAGCATGTAAGTCATGGGAAAGAGAAGATTTTGTTCTAATTGCAATGGTAAGCCACTAAGGGTTTTATGTAATTTGGTGACATGATCTGATTTAAATTTGCTTTTAAAAATAGTTTTTACACTGCATGTTCTCATTCATAAGTGGGAGGTGAACAATGAGAACACATGAACACAGGGAGGGTAACAACACACACTGGGACCTGGGGTTGGGCGGGGGAGGGAGAGCATCAGAATAAATAACTAATGCATTTGAGGCTTAATACCTAGGTGATAGGTTGATCTGTGCAGCAAACCACCATGGCGCACGTCTACCTATGCAACAAACCTTTATAAGCATGCTATTTAGCTAAAGGAGCTCCAAGTAGTTCCCCCTAGGGAGTAGATAATGGGAGAGGGGGGCAGGCTGACAGCTGTGACAAGTACCTATTTGTTTCTTTAAACTGCATACAAAGCAAAATTCTTTAGAAAATAAAAACTATTTTTATTTTTTAATTTTTTATTATTTTTTTATTTTTCCTTCTCAACTTTATTGTATTTATTTCGAGTTCCAGGATACGTGTGCAGGACATGCAGATTTGTAGCATAGGTAGACATATGCCACGGTGGTTTGTTTAGGTCTTTAGATTCATCGCAGCTCTAGGTAAGGTCAAATCCTTCTCCTGTGATCTGGACCTTCAGGTTCCCCAATGAAGATGTGTGTTTGGGGGTGGACAATCCCACTTTCATACTTTCACACTTTGGGAACTCAGAGTTGTTTTTATTTTTTTTCTGTTTCCCAGAGCCTGGTTGGAAAAACCTAGAGACTGCACAAGCAATCTATTAGAACTGATGTGTAAGTTCAGTAAACTTGTTTTAGGAAACAAAATCTACATACAAAAATATGTAGCATTTCTGTATGCCAACAGTGAACAATCCAAACAAGAAATCAAAAAGCAATCCCATTTACAATAGCTACACATAAAATTAAATATCTAGTAATTACCTTAACCAAATAAATTAAAGATTCTTGTAATGAAAACTGTAAAACACTGATGAAAGAAACTGAGAAGGACACAAATAAATGGAAAGATACTCCATGTTCCTAGATTAGAAAAATCGATATTGTTAAAATGTCCGTACTACTCAAAGCAATCTACAGATTCAATGCAATCCTTATCAAAATATCAGTGACATTCTTCACAGAAATAAAATAAAACAGTTCTAAAAATTATATGTAATCACAAAAGACCCAGAATGGCCAAAGCTATCCTTGGCAAAAAGAACAAAACTGAAAGAATCACTTTATCTGACTTCAAATTATATTACAGAGCTGTAGTAACCAAAACCAGCAAGACAGTGACATAAGAATAGACACATAGATGAATAAAACAGAATAGAGAACCCAGAAACAAATGAATACACCTACGGTGAACTCATTTTCAAAAAAGGTGCCAACAACGTACACTGGGGAAAACACAGTCTTCTCAATAAATGGTGCTAGGAAAACTGTACATCCATACAGAGAAGCATGAAATGAGACCACTATCTCTTACCATATAAAAAAATCAAATCAAAATGGATTAAATACTTAAATCTAAGGTGCAAACTATGAAACTGCTACAAGAAAACATTGGGAAAACTCTCCAGGACATTGATTGGTCTGGACAAAAATTTCTCAAGTATAGGCAACCAAAGCAAAAATGGACAAATGGGATCACCTCAACTCAAAAAGCTTCTGGGCAGCAAAGAAAACAATCCAAAAAGTGAAGAAACAACCCAAAAAAATGTGAGAAAATGTTTGTAAACTACTCATCTGATAATGGATTAATAAACAGAATATATAAAAATCTCAAACTACTCTGTGGAAATAAATCTATTAATCTGATCAAAAAATGAGCAAGTAATGTGAATAGATATTTCTCAAAAGAAGACATACAAATAGCAAATAGGCACATGAAAAGGGGCTTAGCATCACTGATTATAAGAGAAATGCAAATAGAAACTACAATGAGATATTATCTCATCCCAGTGAAAATGGCTTTATCCAAAAGCCAGGCAATAACAAATTCTGATGAGGATTTAGAGAAAATGGAACGCTTGGTGGGTATATAAATTAGTACAGCCACTATGGAGAACACTTTGGAGGTTCCAAAAACAAAAAAAATAGAGCTACCATGTGATTCAGCAAGCCCACTGCTCAGTATATATCCATAATAAAGGACATCACTATATCAAAGAGATATCTGCACTCCTGTGTTTGTTGCAGCACTGTTCACAATAGCCAAGATTTGAAAGCAACATAAGTGCCCTTCAGCAGTTGAATGGATAAAGCAAATGTGGAACACATACACAATGGAGTACTATTCATCCTTAAAAAAGACTAAGATCCTCTTGTTTGCAACAACATGGATGGAACTGAAGGTTCTTATGTTAAGTGAAATAAGCCAGGCACAGAAAGACAAACATCACAGGTTCTCACTTATTTGTGAGATCTAAAAATCAAAACAATTTAACCCTTGGAGATAGAGAATGCAAGAATAGTTACCATAGACTGAGAAGGGTAGTGGGGGGTTCCAGAGGGAGGAGGGGATGGTTGATGGACATAAAAAACTAGTTGGAAACAATGAATAAAGCCTAGTATTTGGTAGCATGACAGGGTGGCTATAATTATAATTTAATTGTTTTTTTTTTTTTTTTTTTTTTTTTTTTTTGAGACGGAGTCTCACTCCACTGCCCGGCTGGAGTGCAGTGGTTCTATCTTGGCTTACTGCGACCTCTGCCTCCTGGGTTCAAGCAATTCTCCTGCCTCAGCCTACCAAGTAGCTGGGATTACAGGTGCATACCACTGTGCTTGGCTAATTTTTGTATTTTTTAGTAGAGACGTGGTTTCACCCTGGTGGCGAGGTTGGTCTCAAACTCCTGACCTCAAATTATTCACCCACCTCAGACTCCCAAAGTACTGAGATTACAGGCATGAGCCACTGCTCTCGGCCTAATTGTATATTTTAATATAACCCAAAATGTATTACTAGATTGTAACACAAAGGATAAAAGCTTGGGAGGATAGAGAAGCCATTTTAGTGATGTGATTAGTATGCATTACATGCCTGTATCAACATATCCCTTGTGTCCCACAAATAAATACACCTATGACTCCACAAAAATTAAAAATTAAAAAAATTATTATTTACATAATTCAACAGAGTCCCCAAGGTAAGTAATTTTCCAACTTCTGGACTCTGTAAATGTGAAGTACATTTTACATCTGACCTTTACATTTTACACACACACATAGAACTGAAACAGAAATTTATACTTACCTATTTCCTATCTGCTGTATTCTGATATTTCATTTTATTTCATTCTATTGTATTAAAATACTGATCTTGAGCCAGACAGTTATTTTAAGCCTACGATTGGGCTGCAAACCACAAAGCTCTGGCTTTATGGTCTGCTGGTGGCAACTGGATAGAGTAGGCTCTGAATTCTTCATCTCACTTTGATCAGAACTGTTTTTCTTTTAGACTTCAGGGTTCCAGGTAAGGTATTGTTTAAACACCAAGTACCAATAGTAAAAGAGAAAAAATATCACTAGATTTCAACCCCCTTGAAAGCTGCTGAAGGCCAGGGACTTAGAGTCAGTCTTCACCACTTTCTAATTGACTAAATCCTGCTTATTTGTTTTGTACCTTGTGCTTTTTGTAAGGTATATGTATGTTTTTTCTTCCTTGACCCTAAGGTTACAGCAACCCATTTAAGTAGATATTATCATTTTCAACTTTTAGATGAGGAAAATGATGTTTGGAATGTTGAAATGACTTTTCCAAGGTCACACAGCAAAACTAGTACTGGAGTCCAGAATTCCTAACCCACATTTTGCTACGGTGCATATTTACATAACTGTAGCTTGTGATATAAAGTGTATGGGCTTTAAAAGTAATTTAAATTATGTTTAAATCCTGTTTTAGGTTTCTACCTGGGGGAACTTGGAAATATCACCTTATCTAACTGAATCTCAGTTTGCACATCTATAAAATAGTTAATAATATTTACTCCACATGAATTTTTGTGGATATTAATGTGGCAATGTATGTAAAGCATCTAGCACATAATTAGACTATAGTAAGTGCTTAATGATTTTCAACAGATATTAATTTATTAGCGCTTTTGCCAATATATGACATATAAATTATGCCCAAACTGAAATGAGAGTGGAAGGAAGCTCAGGTGATACGATCCATAGAAGTAAAATTCCCAGGATGCAGAGCAAGGTAGAGGAGGGCAGAGTAGACATAGGAGAACCAATGGAGAATAATCAGCACAACTTGGGTGCATGCCCTTTCTTTCCTGAAACTTCTGATCTATTTCCCTAAAGGTCTGAAAATAGTGGAGAGCACACACTGTACAAATAAAAAAGATGATTGCAAGAACAGAGGCTTTGAAGACTTCAACTGTTCTTGCCTCATGGTATTAATCTTCAATCTATTATTCAAACCTGAGTTTTTGTTCAATCTTAATGGAATCCACAGCTCTGTCTCACAAACCCACCAATTTATCTCCGTTCTCTGAAAATTGCCTGGTCAAATCCACCAACATTACCACTGCCTCCTATTGATCAACCTGCTTCCAGTCTCCCTCCAATGCAACCTTCATCTTGTTACCAGGGAGAACTATAAAAATGTTAATTCATTCTAATTCAATTAAGTATTTAACACTCTCAGTGGCTCCTCTTACTCACAGTAAAGTCCAAATACTTATCGTCTATTAAAGACATGCACTCTTGAACCAACCTCCTTAGTTCAGATTCTAGCTTCACCACTCTTTAGCTGTGAGACCTCTAGTAAATTACTTATCCACTCTGAGCCTTAATTTTCTTATTTGTAAAATGGAAGCAATGACCGTATCTATCTCAAAGGGTTGTTATGAAAACTAAATGAACTGATATGTAGATATTAGCTACTAATTTTTTGTATTCTTAGTCCATGCTTCAGCCAAGTTAAACTGCTTTATGTTTCAAATACATACTCCATTTTCTTCCTTGATTTTGTTAATGTTGTTTTCTCTGCCTGGAATGTTCTTTCCTATATTTACATGTGTCAAAACCCTACTCACCCATTAAAACCCAACTCGGCCACACGTGGTGGCTCATGCCTGTAATCTCAGCACTTTGGGAGGCTGAGGTGGGTGGATCATGAGTTCAGGAGTTCAAGACCAAGATGAACCAAGATGGTGAAACCACGTCTGTACTAAAATTACAAAAATTAGCCAAGCTTGGTGGCACATGCCTGTAATCCCAGCTACTCAGGAGGCTGAAGCAGAGAATTGCTTAAACCTGGGAGGCAGAGGTTGCAGTGAGACAAGATCACGCCCCTGCACTACAGCCTGGGTGACAGAGTGAGACTCCATAAAAAAACAAACAAAACAAACAAACAAAAAAAGCCAACTCAAATGACATCTCCACTCAAAAGACTTTTCTGACCACCGATGTCTGTGTTATCGCTTACTTCTCTATAATATCATTGTCGTGTCCACGTTTTATATTTTCTGATAGATTATGAGTACCAAGGGCCAGAAGTTGTGTCTGGTTTGTGTCTGTGTTTCACATAACACAACATAATGTTGGCATAGAGTTAGATTTTCAGTGAATTCTTGTTGAATATATGAAGGGTTGAATGAATAAGTTATATGTTTTATTTGACTCTGCCCATCTAGGCAGCAGTAGTTATATTAATAAGCCAAACTCTGGTGTTGGCCACCTTCAGGCCCAATGGCACTGTGCCCCTGACCCCAACTTAAACCTAGCTCTTGCAAGCAGTAGGTCTCTTTTAGTACTCAACTACCACAGACAGTCTTTCTGTGCTTCCACTAACTCCTTGCATGCCTTTATTCTATAGCATAGGAGACAAGAGCATGGGCTTTGGAGCCAAAGTGCTAGGATTTACCAGCTTTTACCTATGACCTTGGGCAAGTTACTCACCACTTTTATGCCTCTTATTTTTTTCTCATCCGTAAAATTAGGATGATAATAATAATAGTGTCTGTTGCATGGGATTGATATAAGGATAAAATAATATGACCTACCTAAAGTTCTCAGAACACCACTAGGCACATGATAGATCTCAATAAATATTAGCCACTGTTACTATTATCTTCTTTAACTTACTTTCTTCAGCTTCCTGTATTCCATATGCCAACTTTCTAGCTGGTGCTTCTCCTAGGCCCTCAGCCAATGTGCCCTTTATTATTAGCCAATACAAGACTGGCCAATTAATCCAAGTGCAGGAAATGAAGAAATCTGTTACTTCCTATGAACTTCAGAGATGGGATGGGCTAGGGTGCTGAGCAGATACAGCCCTCAATTCAAAAAAAAATTCTCCCAAGATTTATGAGCTGCAGCTATTTTATTGACAAAATAACATTTATTTGGCTCTCACAAGGTTCTCATTCACAAATATTTCAAACCTACAAGAGTGCTGATCTAAAAGAAAGAAGGCCTGATTCTAGTCCTGACACTGACACTGATTCCCAGAATAAACTTGAACAAAGCATTTTTATAACTTTGGCTTCATATCTTTTATACAACAAGGGCACTGATTCGATGGTCTCTAAAGGCCTCTATCTTTGGGAGATTGTGATTCTGTGAGTCTGCTCCTCCCACACAGGGATGCTGGAGAAGCAATAGAGATTTCTCTTTATCATCCAGAAAGAGTTTATCCTTCTCACAATACCAAGGCATAATATTTGATTCCCTAGTAGGTCAGGTGTAGTACTCAACAAGAAAGAATTCAGTCTTTAGAGTAAGACCTATGAAGGAAACAAAAAGTAAGATTCTTTCTGGAAGAAATTGAGCAAATGCCTATGGAACCTGTCACAGTTTATTTGGGCTATTAAAACAAAATACCATAGACTAGATGATTTTAAACCACAAAAATTTATTTATTGCAGCTCTGCTGGCTGGTAAGTCCAAGATAAGAGCACCAGAAGATGTGATGCCTGGTGAGGGCCCACTTGGTTGTCTTTTTACTGTGTCCTCCCATAGTGTGTGAGGTGAGCTAGCTCTCTGGAGTTTCTTTTTATATGGACACTAATTCAAATCATGAGAGCTCATGATTTTTATATGGACACTAACCCAAATCATGAGAGCTCAAAACATTTTAACTACAGAATTCCAGTTCTAGACCTCCAAACTTTATGTTTTTATCATAGGCAAAATACATTAATTCCAATCCAATAACTCCAAAAGTGTTAACTCATTTCAGCATCAACTCAAAAGTCTAAAGTTTAAGGTTTCATCTAAATATTATCTAAATCAGATACGTGTGAGATTCAAGGCATGATTTGTATTGAGGCAAATGTTCCTCCAGATGTTAGCCTGTGGAATCAAACAAAATATGTGCTTTCAAAATACAGTGGTAGAGAAGGCACAGGACAGACATTCCATTCCAAAAATGAGAACTGGAAAAGAAGGAAGCAGTGAAAGGTGCCAAATGAGTCCAAAATTCAGCATGGCAAGTAATATTAAATCTTAAGGCTCAAGAATAGTCTTCATTGACTCAATGTGCTGCCCTCCATGCCCACAAGGGTGGGCGTTCCACCTTTTAGACACACTGGAGTGAAGGTCCCACATCTACAGATTTGGGCGGCCTTACCCACTTGGCTTTACTAGATGCAGTCCATGTTACAGCTCTTGCAGGTTTGAGTCTCATGCCTGTGGCTCTCTCAATCTGGAATCAAACGGCACTGACTATACTAGTCTGGAGTCTTGGGGGCAGCCCCACTCCATGGCTCCACTGGGCCTTACCCTGGTGTGGGTTCTCTCTGGTGGCCTCAACTCCACAATGGTTTCCTACAGGAGCTCCACAGCTCTCTGGGGGCATCCTTTAAAATCTATGTGGAGGCAGCCATGACCACAGCTTTGCCGGGCACAGTGCATGCTGCTCTGAGGCCTGTCAGAACTGCACCTAAGGCAGCTGGGGAGCACAGTGATGGTGTATGAAGTGTGAAGTCCATGATTTGAGGTAGAGCCAGGCATCAGTGGCCTCTCCTTTAAAATTGGTCTACCTTCCACCCAGGCTCTTGAAGTCTGGATCTGTGATGGGAAAGGCAGTCCCAATGATCTTTGAAATATTTTTAGGGCCGAATGTGGTGGCTCATGACTGTAATCTCAGCATTTTGGGAGGCTGAGGTAGGTGGATCATTAGAACCCATGAGTTCAAGAGCAGCCTGGACAACATGGTAAAACCCCATCCCTACAAAAATACAAAAATTGGCTGGATGTGGTGGTGTGTGCCTGTAGTTCTAGCTACTCAGAAGAATGAGGTGGGAGGATTGATTGAGCCTGGAGGTTGAGTCTGCAGTGAGCCATGATTGTTCCACTGCATACCAGCCTAAGCAACAGAGTGAGACCTTTTCAAAAAAACCTTTAGGATTATTCTTCCTTTGTCTTTGACTATAGGTTCTGCCTTTTCTTTAGGTGGCTGACTAATCTCCCCATTGTCTTAATGAATAGCTTCTAACTTCCGTTGAGATGGCTGATCCATACTAATCTCATTATCAAATTTGGCCACATACTTAATGTTCTCTCCCAAACAGAATTTCTAACAGACTATATATCTATATATATAGATATATATTATAATATATATTATATATTGTATATATATTATAATCTGGATAGGCTACACATTTTTCAAAATTTTAATTTCTGCTTTCCTTCTGCTCAACATTTCCATCTTTAAGTCATTTTTATCTTCTCACATTTTGCTATAAGCAGTTGAGGAAGACCAGGCTACTCCTTCATCATTTTGTTAGATATATCCTCAGCCAAATATCCAATTTCATTGCTCACAAGTTCTACCTCCTGCAAAATACTAGAACATAAACATAATTCAGACACATTCTTTACCATTTCCACAATTGTTCAATAACTTGTAACTCGTTTCCATCTGAGACCTCTTCAGAATAGCCTTTACCATCAATATTTTTGCCAACATTCATTAACACCTGATATGCCTTGGATATTTATCTTCTCCAAATCTCATGTTGAAATGTGACCCCTAATATTGGAGGTGAGGCCTAGTGGGAATTGTTTGGGTCATGGGAGTGGATTCCTCATGAATGGGTTGATGCTCTCCCCATGGTAATGAGTGAGTTCTCACTCTATTAGTTCACACAAGATCTGGTGGACTAAAAGATTCTGGCACCTCCTCCCCTCTCTGTTGTTCCATCCCCTGTCATGTGACACACTTGCTCCCCACTTGCCTTCTGCCAGGAGTAAAAGCTTCTTGAGGCCTTCATTTGAAGCAAATGCTGATGCCATGCTTACTATACAGTCTGTAGAATGGTGAGCTAAATAAACCTCTTTTCTTTATAAGTTACCCAACATCAGGTGTTCCTTTTTAGCAATGCAAAACAGACTAACACAACAACCACTTAGATATTCTCTACAAAAATTGAGACTTTATTTACAGCTCTCCTCCTCTTCTCTCAGGCTCTCACCAGAATCACCCTTAACAGTGTATTGAAAGCAATGTAAGCTTATTCTAGCATGCATCTCTACCCATTACTCAACCTCTACTCAATGCCCAGTTCCAAAGCCATTTTCACGTTTTTAGAGATTTGTTATAGCAGTACTCTATTATTGGTACCAATTTTCTGTTTCAGTCCATTCGGGCTACTATAACAAAATACCATGGACTGGGTGGCTTGTAAACAACAGAAACTGATGTCTCAGAATTTAGGAGGCTGGGAAGTTCAGGGTCAAAGCATCAGAAGATTTAGTATCCTGTGATAATACATTTAGTAATTCACGGAAGGCCACCTTTTCATTGTGTTCTCACATGGCAGAAAGGAAAGCTAGTACTCTGGGCTCTTTTTCATAAGGACACTAATCTCATTCATGAGGGTTTTGCTTTTATTATCTAATCACTTCACAAAGTCCCCCACCTCCTAATGCCATCACCTTGGGGGTTAGAATTTCAACATATAAATTTTGGAGGGACACGTTCAGATCATAGCAGAACCCAAGAGGTAGGAAGACCATAACCCAACCTCTGTCTATACATATGGGTCCCGTTTTTGGCAGGTGTGAAAGAAAAGCTGAGTGATTTGTTGTGATTCATCTGAGCTGGTATGGTTATGGCAGGGCTGAGGCTCAAGCCAGATTCCTGAGCAGGGTGCCTACAAGGACAAACCTAATAACATTTACATATGCTCTGATTTTCACAGATTCCCACTTGTCTACATTATACTTCGGAGGTAATGGATACTCAGAATATTTAGAGTCCCAGATCAGTGACCCAGGTACACTGAAGCACAGCCCTGCCTCAACTAGGAGATAACTTATTCCACCAGAACCCTACACACAGATATTGGGGGAACCAGCCCCTGACATTTCAATGTAGGTTCTTTTCTATTTTCCCTAAGTGTTGTCCGGTCTGAGAAATAAAGGGAAAGAGTACAAAAGAGAGAAAGTTTAAAGCTGGGTATCTGGGGGAGACATCACATGTTGGCAGGTTCCATGATGCCCCCCAAGCTGCAAAATCAGCAAGTTTTTATTAGTGATTTTCAAAGGAGAGGGAGTGTATGAATAGGGTGTGGGTCACAGAGATCACATGCTTCACAAGGCAATAAAATATCACAAGGCAAATGAGGGCAGAGCGAGATCACAGGATTGGGGCAAAATTAAAATTGCTAATGAAGTTTCATGTCCCACTGGGCACACATTGTCACTGATAGCATCTTATCAGGAGACAGGGTTTGAGAGCAGACAACCGGTCCGACTAAAATTTACTAGGCAGGAATTTTCTTATCCTAATAGGCCTGGGAGTGCTATGGCCGACCAGGGCTTATTTCATCCCTTATCAACAACCATAGAAGACAGACGTTCCTAGAGTGGCCATTTTAGAGACCTCTCCCTAGGAATGCATTCTCTTTCTCAGGGCTGTTCCTTGCTGAGAAAAAGAATTTGGTGATGTTTCTCATATTCACTTTTGTAAGAAGTGAAATATGGCTCTGTTCTGCCTGGCTCCCAGGCAGTCAGACCTAATGGTTATCTCCCTTGTTCCCTGAACATTGCTGTTATCCTGCTCTTTTTTCAAGGTGCCCAGATTTCATAATGTTTAAACACACATGCTTTACGAACAATTTGTGCAGTTAACTCAATCATCACAGGGTCCTGAGGAGACATACATCCTCAGTTTACAAAGATGACGGGATTAAGAGATTAAAGTAAAGACAGGCATAGGAAATCACAAGAGTATTGACTGGGGAAGTGATAAATGTCCATGAAATCTTCACAATTTATGTTCAGAGATTGCAGTAAAGACAGGAATAAGAAATTATAAAAGTATTAATTTGAGGAACTAATAAATGTCCATGAAATCTTCACAATTTATGTTCTTCTGCCATGGCTTCTGCCGGTTCCTCCATTCAGGGTCCCTGACTTCCCACAACATACAGACATAGGAGAAGGAAGAAAATGACAGATAGAAGAATAGAGAAGGTTCCTGAATTCAGAACATTGGACTGTCACCATTAGAGTGTTTAAAATTAGAAAAACTGATTATCAAGTGTTTTTATGATTTGGAACAACTACAACTCTAACACATTGCTGATGGGAATGTAAACACTTAAGAAAACAGTTTGGACACTTTTTAATAAGTTAAACATATGCCTACCACAGTATCTAGCCATTCCACTACTAATTATTTAATTAAGAGAAATACAAGCATATGACCATGCAAAGACTTGTACAAAAATGTACACAGCAGTTATAGTAGCCAACAACTGGAAGCAAATGTTTCCAGTTGAATGAATAAAGAAACTGTAGACAGTCCATACAATGAAATATTACTGACAGTTAAAATGAATGAGCTACTTATATAAACCACAACATAGATTAATCTCAAAATAATTTTGCTGACTGAATGAAGCTGGGTAAAAAAGTACATACTATGATGATTCCACTGATATAAAATTTTAGAAAATGCAAACATTTGTAATAATAGCAAGCATATTAGTATTGCCTGGGGACAAGTATGGGGTGAGAAATGAGGCTGGGGGAAGGAAAAGACAGAGGCATTACAAAGGAGTAGACTGCACTAATCATACCCATTTCCCCTTACAGATTAGCATGTGGTCCTACACTGACTAGCCATTAACTGGGAGGCCAATACTTTAGTTTCACCTGAAGGCTAATCACCAAATGAGTTAGGGGAAAATTAGAACTCCAGGCAGATTATTCAAAAATAGAGCAATTATTCTTTTCAACCTCCTTCCAGGGTGTTTGAGAGGAACCCATGAGTCTGTGTACATGACGAGTATCAGAACATGCACAATTCTCTCCCAACCAGTCTCCTTTTTTCCATATTCTACCATGGGAAACTTGCCACCTACTAATTCCCTCCCACCCATCCTCCCTGGGCTAAAACTGCAGAGTTTCCCAGTCCACTACTAAATTACTCTGATTCATTGGTTGACAAAATACAGCCAGGGAAACTAATTGTCCAACCTCTTCTCCTAGACAGCAACACAGCAACCTGTTCTGCTCTTCTCTCTTTCTACTCATTTTATTTATCTCCTATTTCTGTGTTGTGGTAAATAGCTACTTTCTAATCACCCTGCCATATATGTGCTTACTCTGAATGCTTTATCCCACCACCAACTGATGTCTTGTTAATTCATCAGTTAGATGAACTTCAGAAACGCTCATCTCTGGGTAATGTGGCAGGTGAAGAGTTAAAGACTGCCTAGAAAACAGAAAGAGATAGGTGTAACATTTCTTACAGCTTGAATAGCTTGTGTTGGGTAATCAGTTTATCTTCCCAGAAAGCGGAATGGTTATACTGAAGGAGATGTTGTAGGGCTTGTATAGTTAAAAAGGTCTCCCAGACAGAAAATCAACAAAAACATTAAACTTAACCTGCACTGTAGACCAAATGAACCTTAAGAGATATTTACAAAACACTTTATCCAAAAGCTGCAGAATACACACTTTTTCCCTCAGCATGTGGATTGTTCTCAAGGATAGACTGTGTGTTAGGTCACAAAAGAAGACTTCAAATATTCAAAAAAATGAATATGAAATACTATCAAGCATCTTCTCTGACTACATGGAATAAAGCTAGAAATCAACAACTAGAGGAATTTTGAAAACTATACAAACAAATGGAAATTAAACAATGTGCTCCTAAATGAACAGAAAGTCAATTAAGTAATTAAGAAGTAAATTGAAAAATTTATTGGAACTATATGGAAACACATTATACCAAAGCTAATGAAATACAGTGATAGCAGTACTAAGCAAGAAATGTATAAGTACCAAAATATATAAGGAACTCAAACAACTCTACAGGAAAACATGTAATAATTCTATCAAAAATGCTCATCTCTGGGTAATGTGGCAGGGGAAGAGTTAAAGACTGCCTAGAAAACAGAAAGAGATAGGTGTAACATTTCTACAGCTTGAATAGCTTGTGTTGGGTAATCAGTTTATCTTCCCAGAAAGCGGAATGGTTATACTGAAGGAGATGTTGTAGGGCTTGTATAGACCTTTCCAATGCTGAAAGTGGAGTGTTGAAGTCTTCAGCTTTTATTGAAGTGAGGTCTATCTCTCTCTTTTGCTCTATTTATATTTGCTTTCTATATCTGTGTGTTTCAGTGTTTGGTGCATATATATTTACAATAGGTATATCTTCTTGCTGAATTAGCCCCTTTATCATTATGTAATAACATTTTCATTTTATCTTAACTATTTGCCTTTAAATCTAGTTTGCCTGATATAAGTATAGTGACTGCTGTGCAATTTGGTTTCCATTTGCATGGAATATCTTTTTCCATCCTTTTACTTTCAGCCTATGTGTATCTTTATAGTGGAAATATGTTTCTTGTAGTCAGCAGATCATTGGGTCTTCCTTTTTCATCCATTTAGTGACTCCATGTATTTTATTAGAGAGTTAATTCATTCACATTCAATGTTATTACTGATAAGTAGAGACTTACTCCTGCCACTTTGTCATTCGTTTTCTGGTTGTGCTGTGGTCTTTTTTCTTCTTTTCTTCCTTCTTGTTTTGCTTTAAGTGAAGGTGAATTTCTCTGGTATGATTTAATTTTGTGCTTGTTCTTTCTATATCCCTTGTTTTCTTTTTTTTCTTTGAGGTTACCATGAGGCTTGCAAATACTATCATATAATCAATTATTTTAATCTGATTATAACTGAAGAGTGATTGCAAAAACAAACAAGCAAAAAGAAAACTAATAAAAAATTCTACACTTTAACTTCTTCCCTCTACTTTTAACTTTTTGCTGTTCCTCTTTATGTCTTATTGTAGTGTGTAAGTCTTGAAAATTGTTATAGTGGTTATTTTTATTAGTTCATCTTTTAGGTTTTCCACCAAAGATAAGAGTAGAAAGAAGGTGGTGGAATATAACACTCCACTTATTGTCCCCCCTCCACCCGCCCCACATACACAAGGACACCAAGTTAACAACTATCTACACGGAAAAAAGAAGAAAACCTTCATGGGAATCAAAAATCAGGAGAGTACTCATAGTATCTACTCTTACCTTCATATCATTGAAAGGGGCACTGAATAGATTTGAAAGAACAGTTCAGAATTGCCTATGCTACCACTCCCACAACACCTGGCAGCAGTGGCATGATGAGGAGAACCTCCCTGTGAGCTTGAAGAGAGAGAACACAGGAATTGTGAAGCATCGAACTCATTTATGTTCTGTTAGAGCAGAAAGAAAAACAGAGCCAAACTCAGCAGATACCTGCCCACGTAGGGCACATTTAAACCAGCTCTAACCAGGGGAGGAATTGCAGATAACAGAAGTCCAAACTTGAGATCTTCCAAAACCTCACCACCAAGGGCTTCAGCACTCTATTACTTTTTGTAAATTTTAAATTAAAGGCAGTCTAGGCCAAAAAGATTGCAACTCTTAGGCAAGTCCTAGTGTTGAATTAGGCCCAGAGATAGTGGACTTGGGGAAGAGGGGATGTGTGACATACTGAGACATCAGATGAGGCAGCCAAATGAGTGCTGGCATCAACCTTTCCTTAAAGCCAGGCTACATGGCTCAGGCTCCAAAAGAGACCACCTTCTTTCTGCTTCAGAAGACGAGAGGAAAAAGTGAGGAGAACTTCTTGCATCTATGATACCAGCTCAGCCACAACAGGATAGAACACCAGCCAGAGTTCTGAGGCCTCTGATCCAGGCTTAGCTCCAAGATGACAATTCTAGGCACACCCAGTGCCAGAAGGGACCCTGCTCTTTTGAAGGCAAGGACCCAGTCTAGGCAGCATTTATCACCTGCTAACTGAAGAGCCCTTGGTCCTTAAGTAACCAGCAGTGATGTCCATTGATATGGTGTGGCTGTGTCCTCACCTAAACATTATCTTGAACTGTAGTTTCCATAATCCCCAGGTGTCATGGGAGGGGCCCAGTGGGAGTTAATTGAATCATAGGGGCAGTTAACCTCCATGCTGTTCTCATGATAGTGGGTGAGTTATCACAAGATCTGATGGTTTTATAAGGGGCTTCTCCCCTGCTTTACTCTGCACTTTCTGGATTCTGCCACGTGAAAAAGGATGTATTTGCTTCCCCTTCTTCCATGATTGTAAGTTTCATGAGGTCTTCCCAGCCATCCTGAACTATGAGTCAATTAAACCAATTTTCTTTATAAATTACCCAGTCTTGGATATATCTTTATTAGCAGCATGAGAACAGACTAATACACCCAGGCACTACATCGAGGGCCTTGGGTGAGCCTCTGAGACTTGCTAGCTTCAGGTGAGACTCAGCACATTACCAGCTGTGGTGGATCGGGGACAAAGCTCTTTCTGCATGAGAAACACAGAGAAAAAGTAAAGGAGACTTTGTCTTTCACCTTATGTACCAGCACAGCCACGGCATATGTCAAGCACCAAGAGGACACTTCAGGTCCTTGATTCCAGGACTTGAATTTAGGACAGAATTTCTGGACCTTCCTTGTGCCAGATGGGAGCACACTACCCCGAAGTGTGAATCTGAGGCCAGACAGCATTCATGACAAGCTGACCTAGGAGACCTTGGGAACATCGGTGACAGTCTAGCAGTACTCCCTGTCACCTGGAGTGGTGGTAGCTATGGAGTGAGGCTCCTCTGCCTTTGGAAAGGGGAGGAAAAATGGGAAGGACTGAACCTTGTGGTTTGAGTGCCAGCACAGCCTCAATACAATAGAACACCAAGTAGACTTCTAAGGTTTTCTACTCTAGTCCCTGAGTGTCATAAGGCACTTTTAGATACACCCAGGGCCTGGGGACTTGGCTGCCCTGGAGGAAAAAATCACAAGCCTAGCTGGTTTTGCTACTGGCTGATTGTAGAGGCCCAGGGCCTAGAGCTAACATAAGCAGTAGCCAGGAAGTGGTTATAGTAGGCCTTGGGTGAAACCCCCATAGTGGCTTCGGATTTGACTCAGTACAGTCACAGTGGTGGTGGTCACAGGGGTGCTTGTGTCACTCTATTCTCAGCTTTAGGTGGCTCAGGAGAGAGGAGAGAGAGAGAGAGAGAAACTCTGTTCAAGAGAGAGTAAGGGAAGAAAACAAGAGTCTCTGCCTGGTAATCCAGAGAATTCTATCAAACCTTGTGTAAGATCATCAAGGCAGTAACTGTATGAATCTGCAAGAATTACACTATTACTGGGATAGGGGTGCCTTCTAAAGTGAATACAGCTTAGATCATAGTACCGAAGTCCTTTCAAATATCTGAAAAGCCTTCTCAAGAAGTAAAAAAAAAAAGCCCAGACAGTGAAGACTACAAGAAATACCTAACTCTTCAATGCCCAGAAACCAAAGAATATCTACTAGCATCAACATCATTCAAGAAAACATGACCTAACCAAATGAAACAAATAAGGCAAAAGGGATCAATTATGGAGAAACAGAGATATGTAAACTTTCAGACAGAGAATTTGAAATAGCTGTGTTGAGGAAACTCAAAGAAATATAAGATAACACAGAGAAGGAATTCCGTATTCTATCTGATAAATCAAACAAAGAGACTGAAATAATTAAAAAGAAACAAGCAGGAATTCTGAAGCTGAGAAATGCATTTGGCATACTGAAGAACACATCAGAGTATTTTAATAGCAGAACTGATCAAGCAGAAGAAAGAATTAGTGAATTTGGAAACAGGCTATTTGAAAATAAACAGTCAAAAAAGACAAAAGGAAAAAAAAGTGTGCTTACAGCATCTAGAAAATACCCGGAAAGGGGCAAATCTAACAGTTGATAGCCTCAAAGAGGAGGCTGAGAAAAAGATAGGGGTAGAAAGTTTATTCAAAGGGATAACAGAGAACATCCCAAAACTAGAAAAAGATGTCAATGCTCAAAAATAAGACTGTTATAGAATACCAAGCATATTTTACCTAAAGAAGACTATCTCAAGGCATTTAATAAACTTCCAAAGTTCGAGGATAAAGAATAAATCCTAAAAGCAGCAAAAGGAAAGAAAAAAATAACATACAATGGAGCTCCAATAAGTCTGGCAGCACACTTCTCAGTGGAGATAGTACAGGCCAGGTGAGAGTGGCATGACATATTTAAAGTACTGAAGGAAGGAAACCTTTTATCCTAAAATAGTATATCTGATAAAAAATATTATTTAAACATGAAAGAAAAATAAAGGCTTTCCCAGACAAACAAAAGCTGAGGGTTTTTTTTATCAATACTAGACCTACATGAAATGCTAAAAAGAGTACTTCAATCAGAAAGAAAATGACATGAATGATCTCAAAGCAAAACCATACAAGCAATACACAAAAAATTAAAAACAACAAACTAAATCATATCACCAGAGAAAATCACCTTCACTAGAGGAAGATATAAAGGAAAAAAGAAGGAAGAGAAGACCATAAAACTACCAGAAAACAAATAATAAAATGACAAGAGTGAGTCCTTCTATATCAATAATAACATTGAATGTAAATTGACTAAACTCTCAAATTGAAAGACACAGACTGAATGGATAAGAAAGCAAGAACCATTGATCCCAGAAGAAACACTTTTCACCTACAAGGACATACATTGTCTGAAAATAAAAGGATGGGAATACATATTCTATTTCAATGGGAGCCAAAATAGAGCAATAACTGCTATACTTAATATCAGAAAAAATAGATTTCAAGACAAAAACTGTGAGAAAAAGAAGGTCAGTATGATAAATGGGTCAATACTGCAAGAGGATATGAAACTTTTAAATATATATGCACCCAACACCAGAGCACCCAGATATATGAAGGAAATGTTAGAGATAAAGAGAGAGATAGACTCCAATACAATAACAAGTGGAGGTGAAGCATTTTCTGTGACAACAGTGAAATAAAATTAGATAATAATAAAAAGAGAAAATTTGTAAACTATACTCTTACATGAAAATTAAACAATATACTCCTGAATGACCAGTGGGTCAATGAAGAAGTTAAGAATAAAATTGAAAATTTTTCTCAAACAATGTGGAAACATAACATGCAAACAACCATAGAATACAGCAAAAGAATTACTAAAAGGGAAGATTATAGCTGTTAGTGCCTATACTGAAAAAGAGGAAAAACTTAAAATGAAAAATCTAACAATGTATCTTAAAGAACCAGAAAAGCGGAAGCTAACCAATACCAAAATTAGGTAAAGAAAAAATAATAATAAAAATCAAGTCAGAAATAAATGAAATTGAAATTAAAAAACATACAAAAGATTAATAAAGCCAAAAATTTTGTTTTTAAAAAGTTAAACAAAATTGGCCAAACTTTAGTCAGACTAAGTAAGAAAAAAAGAGGAAATACAAATAAATAAAATCAGAAATGAAAAATTCAACATTACAACTGATACTGCAGAAATGCAAATGATCATTAGTTCCTGCTATGAAAAACTATATGCCAATAAATTGTAAAATGTAGAAGAAATGGACAAATTTCTAGATATATACAAGTGACCAGCATTGAACTAGAAAGAAATCAAAACTGGAACACATTAATAACAAGTAATGAGATTAAAACCTTAATAAAGTCTCCCAGCAAAGAAAAGCCTGGGACCCAGTGGTTTCATTGCTGAATTCTACCAAATATTGAAAAAATAACTAAAACCATTCCTATTCAAACTATTCTGAAAAATAGAGGATGAAAGAATATGTCCAAACTCATTCTATGGTGCCAGTATTATGCTAATACCAAAAGCAGACAAAGATACATCAAAAGATGAAAACCACAGGCCATACATCTGATAAATATTTATGCAAAAATTCTCAACAAAATAGTAGCAAACTGAATTCAACAATACATTAGAAAGATCATTCATCATGAACAAGTGGGAATTATTCCTGAGGTGCAAAGTGTGTTCAATATACACAAATAAATCTATGTGATACATCATATCAGCAGAATGAAGAATGAAAACCATAAGATCATTTCAATTAATGCTGTAAAAACATTTGATAAAATTTAACATCCCTTTATGATAAAAACCCTCAAAGAACTGGTGATAGAAGAACCATACATGTACATAATAAGAGTTATATTGGACAGACCCACAAGTAGTATCATACCGAATGGGGTAAAAATGAAAGCCTTTTCTCTAAGATCTGGAGCAAGACAAGGATGCCCACTGTCATGACTGTTATTCAGTATAGTACTGGAAATCCCAGCTAGAGCAATTAGACAAGAGAAATATATAAAGTGCATTCAAATTGAAAAATAAAAGAAATCAAATTATTCTTGTTTGCAGATGATGTGATCTTAGATTTGTAAAAACCTAAAGATGCCAAAAGAAAATGGTTGGAACTGATAAACAAATTTAGTACAATTGAAGAATAAAAAATTAACATACGAAAATTGGCTGCATTTCTATATGCCAGCCGTGAACAATGTTAAAAAGAAATTTAAAAAGTAATTTTATTTACAACAGCCACACATAAAATTAAATACCAGCAAATAACCAAAGAAGTGAAAGATCTCTATACTGAAAACTATAAAAGACTAATGAAAGAAATTGAAGAGAGCACCAAAAAATATTTCATGTTAATGGATTGGAAGAATCAATATTGTTAAAATATCCATACTATACAAAGCAATCTACAGATTCAATGCAGTCTCTATCAAAATCCCAAAGGGCTTCCTCAGAGAAACAGAAAAAAAAAATCCTAATATTTGTATAACACCACAAAAGAACCAGAATAGCCAAGACAATCCTAAACAAAAATAAAAAAAGAACTGGAGGAATCATATACCTGACTTAAAATTATACCACTGAGCTCTAGTAACCAAAAGAGCATGGCACTGGCATAAAAACAGACTCATAGACCAATGGCACAGAATAGAGAACCCAGAAACAAATCCACACACCTACAGTGAATTCATTTTCAACAAAGGTTCCAGGAACATACACTGGGGAAGACAGTCTCTTCAATAAATGCTGGGAAAACTGGATATCCATATGGAGAAGAATGAAACCATCACTTGCCATATGCAAAAGCAAAATTAAAATGGATTAAATAGATTAGAGTCAGAGAGAGATTTGCCGATACTGCTGACCTTGGAGATGGAGGAAGAAGCCACAAGCCAAGGAATGCAGTGTTATTTTAAGATTCCTCCTTTTCAATCCATGTTGGGCAAGATGGCCCAATAGAAAATGGTCCAGTCTTGCAGCTCCAAGCAAGACCAATGCAGAAGGGGGTGATTTCTGCATTTCCAACTGAGATCAGGAGATTCCCTCATGTGCCTACACCTCCAGAGCCCTGGGTTTCAAGTACAAAACTGGGCCACTGTTTCGGCAGACATCGAGCTAACTGGAGCAGTTTTTTTCATACCCCAGTGGTGCCTGGAACTCCAGCAAAATAAAACTGTCCACTCCCCTTGAAAGGGGGCTGAAGCCTCGGAGCCAAGTGGTCTTGATCAGTGGGTCCCACTCCCACGGAGCCCAGCTAGAAGCACTGGCTTGAAATTCTCACTGTCAGCACAGCAGTCGGAAGTCAACCTGGGATGATCAATCTTGGTGGGGGGAGGGGCTTCCGCCATTACTGAGGCTTGTGTAGACTGTTTCCCCCTGACAGTGCTAAGGAGGCTGGGAGGTTTTGACTGGGCAGAAATCACCACAGTGTGGAAAAGTTCCTGTGGCTAGAATGCCTCTCTAGATTTCTCCTCACTGGGCAGGGCATTTCTGAAAGAAAGGCAGCAGCCCCAGTCAGAGGTTTATGGATATAACTCCCGTCTCTCTGAGACAGAGCACCTGGGAAAAGGGGACGCTGTGGGCACAACTTCAGCGGACTTAAACTTTTCTGCCTCGCAGCTCTGAAGACAGCAGCAGCTGACCCTGACAAGGAGATTCTCCCAGCACAACACTTGAGCTCTGCTAAAATACAGAAGGCCTCCTAGCGTGGACCCCTGACCACTGTCCCTCCTAACTGGGAGACACTTCCCAACAGGAGTTGACAGACACCTCATATAGGAGAGCTCTGGCTGGCATCAGGCTGGTACCCCTCTGGGATAAACCTTCCAGGGGAAGGAGCAGGCAGGAATCTTTGCTGTTCTGCAGCCTCCACTGGTGACACACAGGCAAAAAAGGATCTGGAGTGGACCTCCAGCAAACTGCAGCAGACCTGCAGAATAGGGACTTGACTGTTAGAAGAAAAATTAACTAACAGAAAGCAACAACATTAACAAAAAGGACTCCCACACAATAACTTCATCCAAAGGTCATCAGCCTCAAAGATCAAAGGTAGATAAATACATGAAGATGAGGAAAAGCCAGCACAAAAATGCTGAAAATTTCCAAAACCAGAATGCCTCTTCTCCTCCAAATGATCCCAACTCCTCTGCAGCAAGAGCCCAAAACTCGGTGGAAAATGAGATTGGCAAATTGACAGAAGGTGGGTAATAACAAACTACACTGAGCTAAAGGAACATGTTCTAACCCAATGCAAGGAAGCTAAGAAGCTTGATAAAAGGTTACAGGAACCGCTAACTAGAATAACCAGTTTAGATAGGAGCATGACCTCATGGAGCTGAAAAACACAGCACGAGAACTTTGTGAAGCATCCTGAAGTATCAATAGCCAAATCAATCAAGTGGAAGAAAGGATATAGGAGATTGAAAACCAAGTAACTGAAATAAGGCATGCAGACAAGATTAGAGAAAAAAGAATGAAAAGAACAAAGCGTCCAAGAAATATGGGACTATGTGAAAAGACCAAACCTACAATTGCTTTGTGTGCCTGAAAGCGGACCTCTCTGAAGAAATCATACAATCCAGAAGGTAGTGGGGGCCAATATGCAACATTCTTAAAGAAAAGAATTTTCAACCCAGAATTTTATATGCAGCAAACTAAGCTTCATAAGTGAAGGAGAAATAAAATCCTTTCCAGACAAGCAACTGCTGAGAGATTTTGTCACCATCAGGCCTGTCTTACAAAAGGTCCTAAAGGAAGCACTGAATATGGAAAGGAAAAACTGGTACCAGTCACTGCAAAAGCACACCAAAATATAAAGATGAGTGACGCTATAAAGAAACTGCTTCAACTAATGTGCAAAAGAATCAGCTAGCATCATGATGACGGAATCAAATTCACACATAACAATATAAACCTTAAATGTAAATGGGCTAAATGCTCCAATTAAAAGACATGGGGTTGGGCGCACTGGCTGATACCTGTAATCCTAGCACTTTGGGAGGCTGAGACAGGCAGATCACCTGAGGTCAGGAGTTTGAGACCAGCATGGCCAACATGGTGAAACCACGTCTCTACTAAAAATACAAAAAATTAGCTAGGTGTGGTGGTGGGCACCTGTAATCCCAGCTACTCAGGAAGCTGAGGCACTAGAATTGCTTGAACCCAGGAGGCAGAGGTTGCAGTGAGCCAAGATCACGCCACTGCACTCCAACCTGGGCGAGAGAGCAAGACTCTATCTCAAAAAATAATAATAATAAATAATAAAATAAAATAAAAATAAAGACAAGAGACACAGACTGACAAATTAGATAAAGAATCAAGACCCATCGGTGTACTGTATTCAGGAGACCCAACTCATGTGCAAAGACACACATAGGCTCAAAATAAACAGATGGAAGAATATTTGCCAAACAAATGGAAAGCAAAAAACAAACAAACAAAAAAGCAAAACAAAGCAGGGGTTACAATCCTAATCTGTAATAAAACAGACTTTAAACCATCAAAAATCAGAAAGGACAAAGACGAGCATTACATAATGGTAAAGGGATCAGTGCAACAAGAAGACTAACTACACTAAATATATATGCACCCATACAGGAGCACCCAGATTCATAAAGCAAGTTCTTAAAGACCTACAAAGAGATTTAGACTCCTAAACAATAAGCATGGGAGACTTTAACACCCCACTGTCAATGTTAGACAGATCAATGAGACAGAAAATTAAAAAGGACATTTAGTACTTCAACTCAACTTTGGACCAAGTGGACCTATTAAAAATCTGCAGAACTCTCCACCCAAAATCAACAAAATATACATTCTTCTCAGCACCACGTAATTGAAAGTAAAAGACTCCTCAGCAAATGCAAAAGAATGGAATTCATAACAAACAGTCTCTCAGACCACAGTGCAATCAAATTAGAACTCAGGATTAAGACACTCACTCAAAACCACACAACTACATGGAAATTGAACAACCTGCTCCTGAATGACTACTGTGTAAATAATAAAATTAAGACAGAAATAAAGAAGTTATTTGAAACCCATGAGAACAAAGAAACAACATACCAGAATCTCTGGTACACAGCTAAAGCAGTGTAATGAGGGAAATTTACAGCACTAAATGCCCACATCAGAAAGCTGGAAAGATCTAAAATCGACACCTGAGCATCAAAATTAAAAGAACTAGAGAAGCAAGAGCAAGCAAATTCAAAAGCTAGCAGAAGACAAGAAATAACTAAGATTAGAGCAGAACAGAAGGATATAGAGACATGAAAAACCCTTCAAAAATCAATAAATTCAGAAGCTGGTTTTTAAAAAGATTAACAAAATGGATAGACAGCTAGCTATACTAATAAAGAAGAAGACAAAAGTAACAAACAGATACAATAAAAATGATAAAAGGGGATAGCTCCACTGATCCCACAGAAATACAAACTAACATCAAATAATCCTATAAACACCTCTATGCAAATAAACTAGAAAATCTAGAAGAAATTGACAAATTCCTAGAAAAATACACCCTCCAAAGACTAAACCAGGAGGAAGATGAATCCCTGAATAGAAAAATAACAAGTTTTAAAATTGAGGCAGTAATTAATAGGCTACCAACCAAAAAAAGCCCAGGACCAGATGGATTCAGGACCGAATTCTATCAGAGGTACAAAGAAGATCTGGTACCATTCTTTCTGAAACTATTCCAAGGCCAATATCCCTGATGAACTTCGATGTGAATATCCTTAATAAAATACTGGAAAACCAAGTCCAGCAGCACATCAAAAAGCATATCCGCCACAATCAAGTTGGCTTCATCCCTGGGATGCAAGGCTGATTCAACATACACAAATCAATAAATGTAATCTGTCACATAAACAGAACGAATGACAAAAACCACATGATTATCTCAACAGTTGCAGAAATGACCTTCGATAAAATTAAACATCCCTTCATACTAAAAACTCAATAAATTAGGTATTGATGGAACATATCTCAAAATAATAAGAGCTAATTATGAAAAACCCACAGCCAATATCATACAGAATGGGCAAAAGCTGGAAGTATTCCCTTTGAAAGCTGACACAAGACAAGGATGCCCTCTCTCACCACTCCTATTCAACATACTATTGGAAGTTCTGGCCAGGGCAATCAGACAAGAGAAAGAAATAAAGCATATTCAAATAGGAAGAGAGGAAGTCAAATTGTCTGTTTGCAGATGATATGATTGTATATTTAGAAAACCCCATCATCTCAGCCCCAAAATTCCTTAAGCTGATAAGCAACTTCAGCAAAGTCTCAGGATACAAAATCAATGTGCAAAAATCACAAGAATTCCTATATACCAACAATATAGAAGCAAAGAGCCAAATCCTAAGTGAACTCCCATTCACAATTGCTACAAAGGGAATAAAATACCTAGGAATACAACTTACAGGGATGTGAAGGACCTCTTCAAGGAGATCTACAAACCAGTGCTCAAAAATAAAAAATAACAGAGGATAAAGGTAATTTATAGATTCAATGCCATCCCCATCAAGCTACCAATGACTTTCTTCACATCATTGGAAAAAACTACTTTAAAGTTCATATGGAACCAAAAAAGAGCCCACATCACCAAGTCAATCCTAAGCCAAAAGAACAAAGCTGGAGGCATCACACTACCTGACTTCAAACTATACTACAAGGCTACAGTAACCAAAACAGCATGGTACCGGTACCAAAACAGAGATATAGATTAATGGAACAGAACAGAGCCCTCAGAAATAACGCCACATATCTACAACTATCTGATCTTTGACAAACCTGAGAAAAACAAGCAATGGGGAAAGGATTCCCTATTTAATAAATGGTGCTGGGAAAACTGGCTAGCCATATGTAGAGAGCTGAAACTGGATCCCTTCCTTACACCTTATACAAAAACTAACTCAAGATGGATTAAAGACTTAAACGTTAGACCTAAAACCATAAAAACCCTAGAAGAAAACCTAGGCACTACCATTCAGGACATAGGCATGGGCAAGGACTTCATGTCTAAAACACCAAAAGCAATGGGAACAAAAGCCAAAATTGACAAATGGGACCTAATTAAACTAAAGAGCTTCTGCACAGCAAAAGAAACTACCATCAGAGTGAACAGGCAACCTACAACATGGGAGAAAATTTTCGCAACCTACTCATCTGACAAAGGGCTAATATCCAGAATCTACAATTAACTCCCACAAATTTACAAGAAAAAAACAAACAACCCCATCAAAAAGTGGGTGAAGGACATGAACAGACACTTCTCAAAAGAAGACAATTATGCAGCCAAAAAACATATGAAAAAATGCTCACCATCACTGGCCATCAGAGAAATGCAAATCAAAACCATAATGACATACCATCTCACACCAGTTAGAATGGCAATCATTAAAAAGTCAGGAAACAACAGGTGCTGGAGAGGATGTGGAGAAATAGGAACAGTTTTACACTGTTGGTGGGACTGTAAACTAGTTCAACCATTGTGGAAGTCAGTGTGGCGATTCCTCAGGGATCTAGAACTAGAAATACCATTTGACCCAACCATCCCATTACTGGGTATATACCCAAAGGACTATAAATCATGCTGCTATAAAGCCACATGCACACGTATGTTTATTGCAGCACTATTCACAATAGCAAAGACTTGGAACCAACCCAAATGTCCAACAATGATAGACTGGATTAAGAAAATGTAGCACATATACACCACGGAATACTATGCAGCCATAAAAAAGGATGAGTTCATGTCCTTTGTAGGGACATGGATGAAATTGGAAATCATCATTCTCAGTAAACTATTGCAAGGACAAAAAACCAAACACCGCATGTTCTCACTCATAGGTGGGAATTGAACAATGAGAACACATGGACACAAGAAGGGGAACATCACACTCTGGGGACTGTTGTGGGGTGGAAGGAGGGGGAAGGATAGCATTAGGAGATATACCTAATGCTAAATGAGGAGTTAATGGGTTCAGCACACCAGCATGGCACATGTACACATATGTAACTAACCTGCACATTGTGCACTTGTACCCTAAAACTTAAAGTATAATAGTAAAATAAAAATGAAAAAAAAAATCCATTCTCATGGATAGGAAGAATCAGTATTGTAAAAATGCCCATAATACCCAAAGTAATTTATAGATTCAATGCTATCCCCATCAAACTACCATTGATGTTCTTCACAGAATTTGATACAACTACTTTAAATTTTATATGGAACAAAAAAGAGATAATCCTAAGCAAAAAGAACAAAGTTGGAGGCATGAGGCAACCTGACTTCAAACTATACTACAAGCCTACAGTGACCAAAACAGCATGATAGTGATACCAGAAAAGATATATAGACCAAATGAAACAGAAGAGAGACCTTATAAATAACATCACACAACTACAACCAAATGATGCTCAACAAACCTGACAAAAACAAGCAATCGGGAAAGGATTTCCTATTTAGTAAATAGTGCTGGGAATACTGGCTAGCCATATGAAGAAAATAGAAACTGGACTCTTTCCTTACATCTTATACAAAAATTAACTCAAGACAAATTAAAGACTTAAATGTAAAATCAAAACCATAAAAACCATAGAAGAAAACCTGGGAATACCATTTAGGATATAGGCATGGGCAAGGACTTCATGTCTAAAATACCAAAAGCAATGGCAACAAAAGCCAAAATTGACAAATGGGATCTAATTAAACTAAAGAGCTTCTGCACTACAAAAGAAACTATCATCAGAGTGAACAGCAACCTACAAATGGGAGAAATTTTTTGCAATCTATCCATCTGACAAAGGTCTAATATCCAGAATCTACAAGGAACTTAAACAAATATACAAGAAAAAAACAAGCCCATCAGAAAATGGGCAAAGGATATGAACAGACGTTTCTCAAAAGAAGACATTTATGTGGCCAACAAACAGATGAAAAAATGCTCATCATCACTGGTCATCAGAGATATGCAAATCAAAACCACAATGAGATACCATATCACGCTAGTTAGAATGGCAATCATTAATAAGTCAGGAAACAACAGGTGCCGGTAAGGATGTGGAGAAATAGGAATACTTTTACACTGTTGGTGGGAGTGTAAATTACTTCAACCATTGTGGAAGACAGTGTGGTAATTCCTCAAGTATCTAGAAACAGAAATACCATTACACTCATTAAACCCATTACTAGGTATATACCCAAAGTATTATAAATCATGCTACTATAAAGACACATGCACACATATGTTTATTGCAGCACTATTTGCAATTGCAAAGACTTGGAACCAACTCGAATGCCCATCATTGATAGACTGGATAAAGAAAATGTGGCACATATACACCATAGAATACTCTGCAGCCATAAAAAAGAATGAGTTCAAGTCCTTTGCAGGGATATGGATGAAGCTGGAAAAAAATCATTCTCATCAAACTAACACAGGAAGAGAAAATCAAACACCGTATGTTCTCACTCATAAGTGGGAGTCGAACAATGAGAACACATGGGCACAGGAAGGGGAACATCACACACTGGGGCCTGTCGGGGGGTGGGAGGGAGAGCGTTAGGACAAATGATGCATATAGGGCTTAAAATCTAGATGACAGTTTGATAGGCGCAGCAAACCATTATGACACATGTATACGTATGTAACAAACCTGCAGGTTCATCCCAGAACTTAAAGCAAAATTACAATAAAATAAAATAAAACAAAATAAAATAAAATAAAATGGATTAAATACTTAAATTTAAGGTCTCAAGCTATGAAACTACTACCAGAAAACATTGGGGAAAAACTTCACCACATTGGTCTGGGCAAAGATTTCTTGAGCAATGCACATAAGCACATGAAACCAATGCAAAAATTGACAAATGGGACGAAATCAAGTTAAAAAAAAAAAGAAACTTTTGCACACCAAAGGATGGAGTAAACAACATGAAGAGAAAACCTACAAAATGTAAAAAAAAAAAAAAAAAAAAAAAATTTGCAAACAACCCATCTGGCAAAAGCTTAAACACCAAAATATATAAGGAGCTCAAACAGCTTTATAAGCAAAAATCTAACAACCCAACCAAAAATGAGCAAAATATCTAAATAGACATTTTTTAAAGTAAGACATACAAATGGCAAACAGGCTTATGAAAAGGTGCTCAACATCAGTGATCATCAGTGAAATGGAAATGAAAATTACAAAGAGATATCATCTCACCTTAGCTAAAATTACCTATATCCAAAAGACAGGCAATAACAAATGCTGGTAAGGATGTGGAGAAAAGGGAACACTTGTACACTGTGGGTGGAACTGTAAATTAGTATAATCACTATGGAGAACAGTTTGCAGGGTTCCTTACAATACTAAAAACAGAGCTACCATATAATCCAGCAATCCCACTGTTGAGCACATACCAAAAAGAGAGGAAATCAGTATATCAAAGAGGTATCTACACTCCTTTGTTTGTTGCAGCCCTGTTTACAGAAGCTAAGATTTGGAAGCAACCTAAGTGTCCATTAACAGATAAATAGATAAATAAAATATGGTACCTATACCCAATAGATACTATTCAGTCATAAAAAAGAATGAGATCCAGTCATTTGCAACAATACGAATAGAACTGGAGATTATTATATTAAGTGAAATACACAAGACACAAAAAGACAACTCATGTTCTCACTTATTTGTGGGATCTAAAAATTAAATAAACTGAATTCATGGAGATAGAGAGTAGGAAGATGGTTACCAGAAGATGGGAGGGGTAGTGAGGGCCTAGGGTGTGTTGCAGATGGTTAATTGTTACAAAAGCAATTAGTTAAAAAGAATGAATGAGACCTACTATTTGATAACACAAGGTGACGATAATCAATAACTTAACTGTACATCTTTACATAGCTTTAAGAGTTTAATTGGATTATTTGCAAGTCAATGGATAAAAGCTAGAGGGGATGTATACCCCATTCTTAATGATGTGCTTATTTCACACTGCATGTCTGTATCAAAACCTCTCATGTAACCTGTAAATATATACACCTACTATATACCCACAAAATTAAAATTAAATAATTAATTTTAAAAATAATGATAAACAAGTGATCTAATGGAACATAATAAAGATCACAGAAACAAATCTCCACCCCTACACTAAACTCATTTTTGACAAAAGAGCCAAGAACATACACTAGGGAATCAACATTCTCTTCAATAAATGGTGCTGAGAAAACTGGATATCCATATGAAGAAGAATGAAACTAGACCCCTGTCTCTTACCATATACAAAAATCAAACTAAAATGGATTAAATACTCACATCTAAGACCTCAATCTATGAAACTACTACAATAAAACTTTGGCAAAAATCTCCAGGACATTGGTTTAGACAATGATTTCTTGAGCAATACTCCATAAGCACAGGCAACCAAATCAAAAGTGGACAAATGAGAGCACATCAAGTTAAAACGTTTCTGCACAGTAAAATATACTATCAACAAAGTGACAAGACAACACCCAGAATGGGAGAAGATATGTAAAAACTACTCAGCTGACTGGAACATATAAGGAGCTCAAACAACTCTATAGGAAAAATAAGATCAAAAATTTGGCAAAAGATTTGCATAGATGTTTCATAAAAATGGCAAACAGGCACATGAAAAGGTGTTCAACATCACTGATCATCAGAGAAATGCAAACCAAAACTACATTGAGATATAATCCCATTCCAGGTACGACGTCTTCTATTCAAACAGGCAATAACAAATGCTGATTATCATGTGTGTGGAGAAAAAGGAACTCTTGTACACTATTAATGGGAATGTAAATTAGTACAGCCCACTAAGGACAATAGTTTGGATGTTCCTCACAAAACTAAATATTGAGCTGCCATATGATTCAGCAATTGCCCTGCTGGATACATACCCCAAAGAAAGGAAATTAGTACATCAAAAAGATATCCTCACTCCTATGTTTGTTGAGGCACTGTTTACAATAGCTAAGATATGGAAGCAACCTAAGTGCTCATCCACAGATGAATAGATTTAAAAATGTGGTTTATATACAAGATAGAGTACTATTAAGCCATAAAAAGAATGAGATTCAGTCACTTACAACAACATGGGTGGAACTGGAGATCATAATGTTAAGTTAAATAAGCCAGGCACAGAAAGACAAACACCACATGTTCTCACATATTTGTAGAATCTAAAAAACCAAATAATTGAACTCATGGACATAGATACTAGAAGAATGGTTTACCAGAGGCTGGGAAGGGTAATAGAAAATGGGGGGAGGTGGACATGGTTAATGGGGACAAAAATAATGAGAAAGAATGAATAAGACCTTCTATTTTGTAGCTCAACAGAGTGACTATAGTCATTAATAATTTAATTGTACATTTAGAAATAACCTAAAGGGTAATTGGATTGATTTTAATACAAAAGATAAATGTTTGAGGATTTGGATACCCCATTCTCCAAGATGTGCTTATTTCAAATTACATACCTGTATAAAATATCTCATGTACCTTATAAATATATACACTTAGTGTGTACCCACAAAAATTTAAAAATGTAAAAACCTTTAAAAAGATACAAGTAGTTTATGTACTGCAACTACAGTGTTATAACATTCTGTGTACTTGCTGTTACCACTGAGTTTTGTACCTTCTGATGGTTTATTCTTGCTCATTAACATCTTTTTCTTTTAGATTAAAGAACTTTCTTTAGCATTTCTTGTAGCACAAGCTTAGTGTTGATGAAATTCTTCAACTTTGGTTTGTCTGAGCAAGTCTTTATTTCTCCTTTCTACTTGAATGTTATTTTGCTGGATATGCTATTCAAGAATACATGTATTTTTTTCCTTCCACACATTGAATATGTCATGTAATTCTCTCCTTGCCTGTATGGTTTTCACTGAAAAGTTCACTGCTGGATGTATCGGAGTTCCATTGTATGTTATTTATTTTGTTTCTCATGCTGCTTTTAGGAAACTTTTTTTTAACATATAATGCAATTTCACACTTAATAGGATATGGTATAGTGTAAACATAACTTTCATATGCACCAGGAAACAAAAAATATGTGTGATTCTCTCTTTTTTTTATTATACTTTAAGTTCTAGGGTACATGTGCACAACATGCAGGTTTGTTACATATGTATACATGCGCCATGTTGGTTTGCTGCACCCATTAACTCGTCATTTACATTAGGTATTTCTCCTAATGCTATACCTCCCCCCTCCCCCCACCCCATGACAGGCCCCTGTGTGTGATGTACCCCGCCCTGTGTCCAAGTGTTCTCATTGTTCAATTCCCACCTATGAGTGAGAACATGTGGTGTTTGGTTTTCTGCCCTTGTGATAGTTTGCTCAGAATGATGGTTTCCAGCTTCATCCATGCCCCTGCAAAGGACATGAACTCATCCTTTTTTATGGCTGCATAGTATTCCATGGTGTATATGTGCCACACTTTCTTAATCCAGTCTACCATTGATGGACATTTGGGTTGGTTCCAAGTCTTTGCTATTGTGAATAGTGCCACAATAAACATATGTGTGCATGTGTCTTTAAAGTAGCATGGTTTATAATCCTTTGGGTATATACCCAGTAATGGGATCACTGGGTCAAATGGTATTTCTAGTTCTTGATCCTTGAGGAAGCACCACACTGTCTTTCACAATGGTTGAACTAGTTTACAGTCCCACCAACAGTGTAAAAGTGTTCCTATTTCTCCACATCCTCTCTAGCACCTGTTGTTTCCTGACTTTTTAATGATTGCCATTCTAACTGGTGTGAGATGGTATCTCATTGTGGTTTTGATTTGCATTTCTCTGATGACCAGTGATGATGAGCATTTTTTCATGTGTCTTTTGGCTGCATAAATGTCTTCTTTTGAGAAGTGTCTGTTCATATCATTCACCCACTTTTTGATGGGGTTTTTTGATTTTTTCTTGTAAATTTGTTTGAGTTCTTTGTGGATTCTGGGTATTAGTCCTTTATCAGATGGGTAGATTGCAAAAATTTTCTCCTTTCTTTATCCTTGACCTTTGGGAGTTTGATTATTAAATGCCTTGAGGTAGTCTTCTTTGGGTTAAATTTGCTTGGTGTTCTATAACCTTCTTGTACTTAACTATCGATATCTTCATCTAGGCTTCAGAAGTTATCTGATATTATTCATTTGAATAAACTTTCCACCCATGTCTTTTTCTCTACCTCCTCTTTAAGGCCAATAACTCTTAGATTTACCATTTTGGGTCTATTTTCCAGATCTTGTAGACATACTTTATTCTATTTTATGGTTTTGCTTTTCATTTGTCTTCTCTTATTGTGTGTTTTCAAGCTCACAAATTCTTCTGCTTGATCAATTCTGCATAAAGAGACTGATGCATGCTTCTGTATGTCAATTGTACTATTCAACTCTAGAATTTCTGATTGATTCTTTTTAATTATTTCAGTCTCTTTGTTCAATTAATATGTTAGAATTCTGAATAGTTTCATTTTGTTATCTTGCATTTCTTTGAGTTTTCTCAACACAGGTATTTTGAATTATCTGTCTGTAGGGTCACATATCTCTGTTTTTTGAGGATTGGTCCCTGGCGCCTTATTTGTTTCATTTAGTGAGGTCATGTATTCCTGGATTGTCTTGATGCTTGTAGATGTTCACTGGTGTCAGAGCATTAATGAGTTAGGCATTTATTATAATATTTGCAGTCTGACCTGTTTGTGCTCATCTTTCTGGGGAAGACTTTACAGGTATTTAAAAAAAATTGAGCCCCAAGCTCAATAACTCTGTGTTTTTTTTGCAGACTCATAGCGGTACCACCATGGTGGCCTTGGAAAAGATCCAGAACATTTCTCTGAATTACCAGTAAGAGACCCTTCTTATTTTCTCTTACTGTCTCTCAAATAAATGGAGTCTCTCTCTCTCTCTCTCTGTGCTGAGCCATCTTGAATGTTGCATGTTGATGCAAGTACCTCTGTGGTCACCACCACTGGAACTGTGCTGCATCTAACCTGAAGACAGCAAAACACTGGGGCTTGCCTAAGGTCTGCTGTAAGCACTACCAGGCTACCATCTATGTTCACTCAAAGCCCTAGGACTTTTCAATCAGCAAGTGTGTTCTTCCCTTCAGAGTGGCTAGTTTCCTAAGGTCCTGGGCAGGTCCAGAGATGTTGTCTGGGAGCCAGTTATTGGAGTCAAAAGCCTTAAAAATTTATCTTATGTTCTATTCTATTGTAGTAAGCTGGCACTCAAACCACGATACAAAGTCCTTCCCACTCTTCTCTTCCCTTTCCAAAGGCAAAGATGCCTCTCACTGTGGCCACCACCACCACCATTCCATGGGGAGTTCTGCCAGGCTACTGTCAATGTTCACTTAAAGCTTTGAAAGGTCACTTCAGTCAGCTTGTGGTGAATGCTGCCAGGACTGGGACTCACCCTTCAGAAAAGTGAGCTCCCCTCTGGCCCAGGACAGGTCCAGAAATGCTGTCCAAGAACCTAGGTCTGGACTCGGGAACCCTAGGAGGCTGCTTGTTGCTCTACCTCACTTTGGACATACCTAAAGTGCAAGACAAAGTCCCCTTTACTCTTCCCTCTGCTTTTCTCAAACAGGAGTCTTTCACCAGAGCCACCACAGCTGGCTATGTGCTGAGGTACACCTGAAGTCAGCATGTCTCAGAGCTCAAGTCCTATCGTGTACTACCTGTGTATCAACGCTGGTTATGCAGAGCCCAAAAGCTCTTTAGTCAGGAGGTGATAAATCTGGTCAGGACTGGGTCCTTCCCTTCAAGGTGTTCAGTTTCCCTTTTATCCAGGGTTGTCTAAAACTGTCATCTATGAGCTAGGGCCTGGAATGGGGGCCTTTTGACTGCCCAGTGCCCTTTCCTACTTTGGCTGAGTTGGTATCCAAGAGGCAAGATGAAGTCCTTCTTACTCTTTGCTCTCCTTTTCTTAACCAGAATGAAGAAGTCACTTTTATTGCTATGAGCTGTACTGCATAGAGCTTTGGGAGGTGTGGCATAAGCACCCCCTTAGCCACTTAACTGGTGTCTCCCTAGGCCGCATGCCACCCTAGTCTACTGCTTCTGAGCCCAGCCCAGCACTAGGAGTTGTGTAGGAATTATAGTCCTTGTGTCCTAGACTAGGGCCTGTCAAGTTTACCTAGAACCCCAGAGTGCTATGGCCCATGAAGGTGAGGCTTGCTGAGAAACTTAAGTTCCAACCACTGGGATGGGCAAATCTTTTCTGACTAGGGCTGATCCAAACGTTCCTTCCATGGGTGGATGCCGACTGAGCCCAGCATGACTTTGCTCTCCACTGAGACAGGGCAGCACAGAGTTCAATGTAAAGTTCCCTAGTCTCTGCACTCTCCCTCCTCCACACATTCTCTCTTCATGCCATGTGGCCACAGCCAGAGCAGGGCAGAGGGGTGGCATCAGCAATTCAAGACTGTCTCTTCCACCCTCTTCAATGCCTCTTTCAGCAATATGACATTAAAACCACATACTGTGATTGCTCACCTGATTTTTGGTTCTTGTGACAGTACTTTTCTGTGTGTAGATAATTGTTAAAATTTAGTGTTCTTATGAAGGAGATGAATGGTGTAGCCTTCTATTCTGCCATATTGCTACACTTCCTTAAAATTTCAATAGGATTTTCATTTAACCTATAGATCAATTTATAGAGAATTGACATCTTTATGATGTTGAGTCATCCAACTCATGAACACAGTATGCCTCTCTCCATTTATTTACATTGATTTTTTTCAGGCCTTTGTGTTTTCAGCATACATATACTGTACACATTTTGTTAAGTATATGTCTAAGGAGTTCATTTTATTGGAGTGAATGTAAATACTTTAAATTAAGATTTCCTCATTATCATTCCTAATATCTAGAAATGTATCTGATTTCTGTGTGTTCATCTAGTATCCTAAGACCTTGCTGAAGTCACTTACTATTTTTAGAAGTTGTTTTGTAGATTTATTAGGATTTTCTAGGAAACAATTATGTCATCTATAAATAAGGACAGTTTTATTTCTCCCTTCCCAATCTATATATCTTTTATTTGTTTTTCTTGCCTTATTGCAGTGGCCAGAATTTCAACTACTATGTTGAATGACTGATAAGAGCAGAATTCTTGCCTTGTTGTCAATCATAGGAAAAGGAATTCAGTCTTTCATCATCAATTATATTAGCTGTAGGATTTTGGAGATGCACTTTGTCAAGTTCTAACTATTCCTATCCTTAACTTGTTGAAACTTTTTAAAATTTTATTTAATCACGACTGGGTGTTGAATTACATCAAACATCTTTATTAATTAATATCATCATATTTTTCTTATTTTTGGTGTGTTGATATTAGTGGATTACATTGATTTTTTTTCTTTTTGAGATGGAGTCTCACTCTGTCACTCAGGCTGGAGTACAGTGGCATGATCTTGGCTCAATGCAACCTCAGCCTCCCAGGTTCAAGCAATCCTGCCTCAGCCTCCCGAGTAGCTGGGATTACAGGTGTGCACCACCATGCCTGCCTAATTTTTGTATTTTTAGTAGAGACAGGATTTCAGCATGCTGGCCAGGCTGGTCTCAAACACCTGATTTAATGATCCACCTGCCTCAGCCTCCCAAAGTGCTGGGATTGCAGGCATGAGCCACTGCACCCAGTCCTCTGATTCATTTTCAAAATCTGAATGAGCATTGCATACCAGGAATGAATCTCACTTTGTCACATTGTTGAACGTGGTTTGCTCATATTTAAATGTACACTTTTGTGTCTACATTTATGAGAGATATGGCTATGTGTTTTTTTTCCTTTGTTTTGTACTTGTCTGGTTTTGGTAGTAGAATAATACTAGCCTCACAAAATCAGTTGAAAGGTCTTCCTCTCTCTTTTATTTTCTTCAGGAGAAAGTGGAAAATTGGTGTTAGTTCTTTTTCAATGTTTGGTAACCATTGTGCAGTGAAACTATCTGTGCCAGACTATTTTTTCTTCAGGTCTTTTAAATTATGAATTCAACCTTTTAAATAGTTATAAGGCTATTGAGAATACCCATTTAATCTAGGTAGAGTTTTGATAGTTTTTGATTTTCAAGGAATTGGTTCATTTATTATAAGCTATCTAATTTATGAGTATTACATTGTTCATTGCATTCTCGTATTATACTTTTTATGACTACATAATCTCTAGTGATATTTTCTGTTTCATTCTCAAGATTGATGATTTGATCCTCTCTCATGTTTATCCATCTTGTTCAGGGTTTATTGAATTTTTTTCCAAAAAAACCCACAACTATTTGTATTATTGATTTCCTCCATTATTTTCCTAACTTTTAATTTTATTGGTGTCTGCTCTTCATTATTTTCTTTCGTATACTTGCTTTCCTTTTTTTGTCTTAGTTTCTTGAGTTAGGAACTTAAAATATCATTTTGAGACTGTATCTTATTTCCAATATAAGCATTTAGTATTATACATTTCCCTCTCAGCACTACTTTAGGTGCATCACATACATTTGGTATGTCATATTTTCATTTTTAATTAATTCAATGTATTTTTACTTCTTCTGAGACTTCCTCTGTTACCTAATGATTGTGCAGAAGTGTGTTCTTTAATTTCCATGGGTTTAGGTATTTTTCAGTCATCTTTCTGTTATTGAGTTCTAGTTTGATTTAATACTGTTTGAATGATAATTCTGAAAGACAATCCAGAACTCTACAATCCCAAATGTTGATAATCCTCAAAGATCAGAATTTCTATCTAAAATCCTAAAAAATCACAATTCTGAAAGACTAAATTTCTAAATATTGAAATTCTGAAAGGTGAATTCTGGAGAAGAGATTAGTACATTTTTGGTTGTATACAGGATAGTTACAAGATGTTAATTGCATCATATTGGGCACTATTACCTTGTTATTGTCCTTATCTGCATTTGCTGGAAAATTCAGATGAGTGAATCGGTCATGTAATATAGCAGTGACTAGAAAATCAGTTAAAAAATACATTGTTTGCCTGCATTGGTATTCCTTCCAGCTGATGATGTTCCAGGAGCTTTTAACAAATTAAAGCCTAATTTGTCTGAAGAAGCCAGTGAAGTTACTGGCTGGTTGAAAAAACAATTATGTGCATGATAAGATAAGGAGACATGCAAGTGTTTCTGTCTGATTACCATTATAATTTCCACCAAATTTGTGGTGGGTATATCAGTGCATGCATAATGGATTTCCATGTTCCCCAAACAACATAGAAGCATGGCACAGAAGATAGGAAAAATTAATAGGGAATGCTCATGTTGGTGTGTATCAAATTAGAAGAATTTCAAAAACAGCAGTGCATTCACAAAAAATATATGTGAATGTATTCTTCAAGGAGAGTCATGTTTCAAAAAAAAGCACCTCTTCATTATGGTGCAAGACTTCAAAATATAGTCAATGCTTGTGAAAGTTGATCAGCACTTACAAATTATCTCTGCACAATTGCCCATCATCTATTTTTGTAATACACTTTTTCATGTCAAATTTCCTTCTTGTTTTTTTTTTTAGGTTTTCTCTTTTCTTTTGTTTAGTTTTTTCCCCACTATTTTATATTGTCAGCATTATTTTTTATAATTTATTACACTGTGTTTTTTATCTTTACATCGTTTCTTATACTGGAGGTATAAATTGTGTGCAGACCTTTAGAGAGTTGTAATTCTTTTTATGCATTTTTTTTTGCAAATTTGACTTCTTTAAAGTGCCTTATCACAACATTGACTTTGTGTGTAAGCATTGTGCGTGCACATGCAAGTGTTAACACTTTCTCAATAAATGAAGAGCTGTCTTTGTTGTACATCTACATTTGTGAAAGACAAAATTTCTGGATATGCCAAGTCTTTGGGTGACTGCATATGCAGTGCTAAACCACCATGGTTTTCAATCAATCTCAGCAAAATAGTTAGGTTACTCATCACAGTATTTTAGGTAACTTCAATTATAAAGCTGGGTGTACACCATTACTAACCATGGTGATATATATTTTATGCATTTTCCTTTTTGGCTTGTTTCTTTATTAATTTGGTTCATCTGCTCATAACTGTATGCTCGTGTGACTTCTGTTAGTATACCTGAGTGTTTATGCTTGCAAAAATATGTATGTTATTATTGCCTATTTTTTTGTGTAACATGGCCTATAAAGTTTAGATTTTTGGGATTTTGATGTTTTCAGATTTTAACATTTGAGATTATGGCATTCAGAATGGTGTCTTTCAGGATTATGGTTGGCTTCTGATTACATAATGGTCAGATACATTTTGTATGATATCAATTCTTTTAAGTTTTCGAGAATTTTTTATGGTGCAAGATGTGGTCTACCTCAGTGAATGTTCCATAGGAGCTTGATAAAAGGTATATTCTGCTGTTGCTGAGTGGATTGATCTAAGTAGCTTAGTAATATACTGTTGGTTGACTGTGTTGTTCAGATCTATGTCCTTGACAGTTTTTAGTCTAGCAGTTCTACCAGTTGCTGAGAGAAGTCTTTAAGTTCTCAACTACAATTGTAGATTTTTCTATTTTTTCTTTCAGCTCCATCAGATGTTACACACATTTATGATTATTATGTCTGCCTGATGACCAATCCTTTTTATCTGTTTTATCATTATATAATGTCCCTTTTCATTTCTAGTAATTTTCTTTTCTCTGAAGAAAAAATATTACCAGATATTGTCAGATATTAATTCAGCCATTTGTTTATTTTTAATGATTCATGTCTCTTTGGCATATTTTCTTTCATCTTTTTACACTCAACCCACCTATGTCTTTGTTTTCAAGTGTATTTCCCATAAATAGCATATAGTTAGTTTATGCTCTTGACACTCTGTCAGTATTTGTCTTTTGATTGCTGTATTTAGAACATTTGTATTTAAGGTAATTATTTATATATTTAAGAATAAGTCTGTCTTTTTATTATTTCCACCTTTGTTTTCTCTATTTCTCATTTCTTTCTCTTTTCTTGATTTCCTGAGGGTTATTTGAATAATTTTATAATTCTATAATAGTGTGATTTTAGTGTAATGATTTTTATTTTTTGTAATGGTTGCTGTATGCATTACTATATATCTTATCAGTCTACTGATATTAACCAGTATTAACAGTTTACCACTTCAAGTGAAATGTAGAAGTCTTCCGTAGAGCTTTACCATTTCTCTTTACCTTTCCCACTATTATCATTATCAGATAGTAGTACAATTTTTCTTACAATCATCAGTTATGAGTTAAAAACTCATAAGGTGAAGGATAATCTTTTGTTGGTCCCATGTGCTCTTTCTGTGTTGTTTCTTCTTTCCTGATGCTTAGGATTCCTTTTTAAAAATTATTTCCATTGTGTTTAAAGAACTTCCTTTAGCTAATATTTAAAGGTAGGTCTTATAGTGCCAAATTATTTTTGTTTTCCTTTGTCTGAATATATCTTTATTTTTCTTTTGTTCCTGAAGTATAGCTTTGTCAATGGTAGAATTCACAGTAGATAGTTTTTTTTTTTCTTTCACCACTTGAAAAATATGTCTTTTGTCTCTTGCCTTCATGACTTCAGATGAGAAATCTGCTACTTTTTAAATTGCCCATTCCTGGTAGGTAATTCTTGGTTTCTCTCTGGCTGCTTTCAAGATTTTGGTTTTCTTTATCTTCAGCTTTCAGAAGTTTAATTATGATGTATCTTGTCAGAGATTTCTTTGGGTTGTTTCCTGCTTGGGCTCCTCATCATCTTGCATCTGTAAGTTTCTTTCTTTAGTCAAATTTGGGAGGTTTTCAGCCACTATTTTTGTAATACTCTTTTAGACTCATTATCTTTTTCTTCTCTTTCTAGGACTCCAATGATAAAAATGTTGTACCTTTCATTATTGTTTCAAAGATATCTTTTGTTCTTTTCATTCTTTTTCAGTCTATTTTCTCTCTGTTTTTAAGATTAGGTTCTTTCAATTTATATTTTCTCAAGTTCACTTCAATGCTTTGCCAAGTCCACCTCATCATTAAGCCAATTCAGCAAGCTTTTACTTCTTTTATTGTTTTTGTTTAGCTCTTTAATTTCATTTTGTTCTGGAACATAAGTCTTTCATTTTATGTTTTCCTATATCTGTATTGAGATGTTCTATATTGCCATTGTCTGGGGGAAGGAGTGGCTGTGGGTGCAGCTTCAGTTGACTTAAACGTTTCTGTCCGAAGAGAGCAGCAGATCTCTGAGCTCTGTTAAGTGCCAGACTGCCTCCTCAAGTGGGTCCCTGACCCCTGTGCCTCCTGGCTGAGAGATACCTCCCAGCAGGGGTCGACAGACACCTCATACCGGAGAGCTTTGGCTGGCATCTGGTGGGTGCCCCTCTGGGATGAAGCTTCCAGAGGAAGGGACAGGCAGCAATTTTTGCTGTGCTGCAGCCTCTGCTGCTGATACCCAGGCAAACAGGGTCTGGAGCGGACGTCCAGCAAACACCAGCAGACCTGCAGCAGAGGGGCCTGACTGTTAGAACAAAAAATAGCAAACAGAAAGGAATAGTATCAACATCAACAAAAAGGACATCCACACAAAAACTCCATCTGAAGGTCACCAACATTGAAGACCAAAGGTAGGCCAGGTTCAGTGGCTTACACCTGTAATCCCAGCACTTTGGGATGCCAAGGAAGGTGGATAACGAGGTCAGGAGATCGAGACCATCCTGGCAAACACAGTGAAACCCTGTCTCTACTAAAAATACAAAATATTAACAGGGCGTGCTGGCAGGTGCCTTTAGTCCCAGCTACTTGGGAGGCTGAGGCAGGAGAATGACGTGAACCCAGGAGAGGGAGCTTGCAGTGAGCTGAGATCATGCCACTGCACTCCAGCCTGGGCAACAGAGCAAGACTCCGTCTGAAAAAAAAAAAAAAAGACCAAAGGTAGAGACATCCACGAAGATGAAGTAAAACCAACGCAAAAATGCTGAAAATTCCAAAAACCAGAATGCCTCTTCTCCAAAGGATCACAACTCCTCACCAGGAAGGGAACAAAACTGGACAGAGATTGAGTCTGATGAATTGACAGAAGTAGGCTTCAGAAGATGGGTAATAACAAACTCCTCCAAGCTAAAGGGACATGTTCTAACCCAATGCAAGGAAGCTAAAACCTTGATAAAAAGTGAGAGGAATTGCTAACTAGAATAACTAGTTTAGAAAAGAACACAAAAGACCTGATGGAGCTGAAAAACACAACACTAGGACTTCATGAAGCATATACAAATATCAATAGCCTAATCAATCAAGCAGAAGAAAGGATATCAGAGACTGAAGATCAACTTAATGAAATAAAGCAAGACAACCACAATAGAGAAGATAGAATGAAAAGGAACGAACAAAGCCTCCAGGAAATATGAGTCTACGTGAAAAGAACAAAGCTACATTTGATTGGTATACCTGAAAGTGACAGGGAGAATGGAACCAAGTTGTAAAACACTCTTCAGGATATTATCCAGGAAAACTTCCACAACATAGCAAGACAAGCCAACATTCAAATTCAGGAAATACAGAGAACATCACAGAGATGCTCCTCAAGAAGAGTAGCCCCAAGACACATAATCATCAGATTCACCAAGGTTGAGATGAAGGAAAAAATGTTAAGGCAGCCAGAGAGAAAGATCAGGTTACCCACAAAGGGAAGCCCATCAGACTAACAGCGGATCTCTATGCAGAAACCCTACAAGCCAGAAGAAAGTGGGGGCCAATATGCAACATTCTTAAATAATTTTCATCCCAGAATTTCATATCCAACCAAACTAAGCTTCATAAACGAAGGAGAAATAAAATCCTTTACCAACAAGCACATGCTGAGAGATTTTGCCACTGCCAGGCCTGCCTTCCTGAAGGAAGCACTACATAAGCAAAGGAAAAACAAGTGCCAGCCACTGCAAAAACATGCCAAATTGTAAAGACCATGGGCACTATGAAGAAACTGCATCAACTAATGGGCAAAATAACTAGCTAGCATTATAATGACAGGATCCAATTCACACATAATAATATTAACCTTAAATGTAAATGGGCTAAATGCCCCCAATTAAAAGACACAGACTGGAACATTGGATAAAGAGTCAAGACCCATTGGTATGCTGTATTCAGGAGACACATCTGACATGTAAAGACACACATAGGCTCAAAATAATGAGATGGCAGAATATTTACCAAGCAAATGAAAAGTGAAAACAAAGCAGGGGTTGCAATCCTAGTTTCTGATAAAGCAGACTTTAAGCTAACAAAGATCAAAAAAGAAAAAGAAGGGCATTACATAGTGGTAAAGGGATCAATGCAACAAGAAAAGCTAACTATCCTAAATATATAGGCACCCAATACAGGAGCACTCAGATTCATAAAACAAGTTCTTAGAGACCTATAAAGAGACTTAGACTCCCACACAATAATAGTGGGAGAATTAAACACCCCACCGTCAATATTAGACAAATCAATGAGACAGAAAATTAACAAGGATATTCAGGACTTGAACTCAGCTATGGACCAAGCGGACCTAACAGACATCTACAGAAGTCTCCACCCCAAATCAACAGAATGTACATTCATCTCAGCACCACATCGCACTTATTCTAAAATTGACTACATAATTGGAAGTAAAACACTCCTCAGCAAATGCAAAAGAATGGAAATCATAATAAACAGTCTTTCTGACCACAGTGTAATTAAATTAGAACACAGGATTAAGAAACTCACTCAAAACCTCACAACTACATGAAAACTGAACAACCTGCTCCTGAATGACTACTGGGTAAACAATGAAATTAAGGCAGAAATAAATAAGTTCTTTGACACCAATGAGAACAAAGACACAACATACCAGAATCTCTGGGGCACAGGTAAAGTAGCATTTAGAGGGAAATTTATAGCACTAAATGCCCACAGGGAAACATGGAAAAGATGTTGAAGCATTCTTTAATGATGGGTACTTTATAATCCTTGTCAGATAATTTCAACAACTGAGTCATTTTTGTGTTAGCATTAGTTGGGTGTATTTTCTCATTTAAGTTGTGATTTTCTTGGTTGTGTTGTGTTATTGAAATGGGAGGAGTTTTCCCTTATCCCCCTTGCAGGGCTTACAACGGGGGTGTGACTAGCTTCTTTGGTGCCTCTCTACTCAAACCCTTAGGGGGAGCATGCAGATGGACAGGTCGTGGGGATCATGGGCTCTGACTTCTCAGCAGTGTCTAGGGTTGAGTTTTTACAGCTCTCGAAGCCCCAGTGTGCTCTTTCAGCTTAGCCAGCTGCATGTGGCTTGGGTTAATCAGTTCAATTAGACTCTCTGCTTTATTATAAGGACAGAGGGCTTTCTATATTCTGGGGTTCTTGCCCTAGTGTGCCAGAAAAGCTGGATCACACATGGGCTTGGAAAAGGAGTGCAAGGTTTTATTGAGTGGTGGAAGTAGCTCTCAGCAGATGGATGGGGAGCCAGAAGGGGGATGGAGTGAGAAGGTGGTTTTCCCCTGGAGTCAGGCTACTCAACATCTGGGCTCTCCTCCCACCGCCCTTGGCTGGATTTCCATTGACGACCACGTCGTTCTGCCGTCAATGGCCTTCTGGGGTCTTTCGGTGTGTTCTTCTACAGGTGTGTTCCTCTTGACGTCCAGGCACTTGCGTGTGTGCCTGCTAGGGTCTCGGGGTTTTTATAGGCACAGGTTGGTGGGTGTGGTGGCCCAGAGTGGTCTTGGAAAATGCAACATTTGGGCACAAAAATAGGAGTGCCTGTCCTCACTCAGGTCCATGTGCACAAGCTTGAGAGTGGAGCCTTCACCAGGGACCCTGCCCTTCTCTACCCAGCACATCCCTGCCTGCTCCCATATCATTATTTCAGGTGATTTTTGTATCATATTGTAGGCATTTTTGACTATTATTTTAGGGTTCTCTTGGTCCTATTTAAATCTTTTGTTTTAGCAGACAGTCATCCTGTTTAAATTTAACACGCAGGTCCTGGCCTAATTTTGTGTATGTGGTATTAAGGACAGCTTAATTTTTAGAGTTTTTGCAGTGCTATTTTGGTTCTGCTGAGCCTTGATTTGGTCCCTGCTTTTGCTGCCCAATGTGACAGAATGTGTTTTCCAAGCAAAGTCATTTGGTGTCTCTCTTTGGAGGAAGAAAGTCTCAGAAACAGGAAGTTTCAGGAACAAAAAGGCTCTCCTGGCTGCTGGGCCCTTGTTTTGTAAGAAATTCCTGCCTGTGGATCTTGGATAGTATTTTCCAGGCTGAGTGTTTGTTATGGCAGGGTCCCTCTCGTTAGTTCTTCCTGGCTGCCCTGGTAAAGGCTATGGCAAAACTAAACTTCCTGAACTGGCTGTGCTTATGGCAGAGTGGGGGTGAAGGACTTGCCAGTTCCCACCCCTTATCCCATCCTCAGGAGGTTTTGATATGCAATCACGGATAATGACCCTTGGGGTATAATCCCTGAAGCCCTTCCATTCGTGATTCTATGAAAAATTTGTGAGGAGAATCCTAGTGGTTCTAAGGGGTTGAAAGATGGCTTTGAATGGATCCCCTTCTTTCTCTGTTTCTCTGTGCTTAGAAGCAAACAGGAGAAATACACAGACTCACATATGATGAAAGCTGTCACTTTGTGATCTGTAGTGCAGACTGCGAAGGAGCCTACACAGATCACAAGACATAATATTTATACTGCTTTAAGGACTGGTATGAGGTTAAATTGAAATCAAGGGATATGAAAATGCTCTGTAAATGATCACAGCTGAAGAAGTAGCAACTTGTAAAACAGGAATATTAAATTCTGCATCACAGGGTGGTGATGAGGATGGGGTTGAGTCATTGAAAATTAGTCGGTAGGAATTGAATCATGTAGACAGCATGACTAGGGTGTGGGCATATATCACACAATAGTGAGTGAGTCTAGTTATCTACCATACATGTACACCCTGATTAGTAGTGTCCTCAGATTTGGGGATTTTTTAAAGTCTCTGGACATATTACCTTGGAATGCCGAATGGATACTTTATGGTCACAAGTGTGCCCACTGAATATGGAATCAAAGCTAGGAAAATTAATACATTTATGAAAAGTTTCTGAAGAAGCTGAGGACATAATTAGAATAGTTTTAAAAATTAAATTATATCATATGACATTCTTGAGCCTGTGAATCCTTTCCCCATTCGGTGCACATATCAGAGTCTATGTTTCTTCTTTGTTTCTGTAGCAGATAATGTCCTCCTTGCACAGGCACTCCCCATCTCAAATTCTATGCCCCTTTCTAATGGAGACATTCTCAGGTATATACACACTTTCAGTTATTTTACTGCCCTTTAAAGCAGTATATTTAAATAGCAGTACATGATGAAACTGTATGCACAATTTTTGTGAATCCACATTTTTCTAGGAAGTAGGACCATAGCTTTTGCCCAACTCCCAAAGGGGTTTGTGATTGAGAAGGTTTAAGAACTAATTTTTATTTTCCCAATAAGATCATATTTTTATTTTCAAATGTTAGCAGTATCTCACTCTCACACAGCTAATATATGTTGACTCTAAATATAATGAAAGGGCTTTACTAGAAGATATCTAACTTAGGTCTGGAAACACTCTTTTCTGACCTCCCCACTATTCTCCCCTGTAATCGGTCACTTCCTCCTTCTTGACCTGCAGTTGATCACTTCCTCTTCCCTGAGCACACTTTTCTTTGGCTTACAGGACACCAGGTATTCTCGATCTTGCTCCTGCTTCCCTCGCCATTCACTCTGTTTCTCTTGCTGGTTCCTTCTAGTTGCCACAACCTCTGAATGGTAAAGTGCCCCAGGACTCAGTTATTACACCTTGTTCTATTTGTCTATGTTCCTTTCATTGAACAACCACCAGTTTTAAGATGACAATCTTACTTCCTTCAACTCAGGGTTTTCAGAGAGTTTCTCACCAATGCCTAAGATCACACAGCTAGGACATGAAGCTTCTGAGGTTTAAATCCTAATGTCGTGGGGTTAAATTAAGTTCAGGAACCATTCTTGGGCAAAAGCCCAGGTCACTTTCACAAACACTGTTCCAGAATGAGGCATGGGCATCTTGCCAGTTCCTGGTTCAGCCTCACACCTCCTGATCTGGGGCTAGGCCTGGGCAGCCCTAGGTTTCCCAGAATGCTTATCAGACCTCTATCTTTCGCAAACTGAAATGCTTTCATCACTTTGAGTTATGGATCCCAGCATTTTCAATAGCATTTTTAAGTCTATTTCCCCTGCCCCCAGAATCATATAAAATATTTGTGTGCTTATTGGAATTTCAGATACCTTCCAAAAGTTTCTCTAGAATTAACCAATATCAGACGCTCCTATTTTAAGTTGTTTTCCTATGAGTCCAGCTCTTTTTCAGATTTGTAGAATGTCAGAGCCAGAAGGATCCTGAGCCAAAGAAACCATTACACAGGCAAAGGTGGGAAGAGACTTTTCAAGGGTTATGGAGTGAGTTAGTGGCAGACCAAATAAGAAACCAAAATCCTTAACTCTCAGTCAAATGCTTATACCCAGTTAAATGCTCCTTAATAAATGAGTGGTACAACCCCTTACCAACTTTTCCTGTATACCCAACCCCTCCCAATTCCCCAGGATTCTGTGACTATATCCCTTACCAACTTCCCCTCTATCCTGTGCCCTCTCCCAGGATTCTGTGACTTCTGCAAGATGTTAGTTTTAGGAGGGGTATGTGAAGGGCAAAAGGATAAATAATTAGTACACAAGATATATGTCAAGGTAGGAGCCACACTCAGGCCAGTGGGCTTTTTCAGGTTGCCAGACCCTTTCCTGCCTCCCTAGTGTCCCTGGGACAGCCTAACTTCATTGTGACCAGGCTTAGCTCAGTAGGGCATAAGGTTGGCAACTAAGAGTAGGGGGAATGCATTCTCTCTACCTATCTGTCTGTGAAAACCCTTGAGGGCCAACAAGTGAGCAAGGGACTGAATAAGACTTCATAACTATTGGCAAAGAAATCCCCATGTATTAAATATCTACTATGTGTCAGACCATGTGAGAGTTGTATTAAACATATTTAGCTCATTTATGTCCACCTACACCCTAGAATTTTAGTACTGTTAGTATCTCAATTAGGAAATTGAGCTCCTAATTAATGACCTGACTTGCTGAAGGTTATACAGCCAGTGAATGTCAATGTTGGGACTAAAAGTCAAAGGACTGACTGCGAAGAGCATGCACTTTCCAATGATAAGAACAATCACTGATTAAATTTTGTACTATGTGCCAGGCACTATGCTAAGCTTTTGGATGTAGTATTAAAATAATTACAATAAATCTACCCATTAGATATCATAGAAATCTATGCATTAGATATCTCCCCTATTTTACAGGGGAGAAAGTGAAGGCTCAGAAAGCAAATCATATAGCCATCAAGTAGTTGGGTCAGAATTTCAAGCCAAGTGTGTCTGATTTTAAAGCCTATATCCTCTACCATGCTGCCTCTTTCAGAGATTTGGGAGAATGGTACAGAGAGGATGAATGAGGCTTTCAAAGGAGTGGGTCCTCTTAATGGCTTTAGGAACAGCTTACAGACTTTACCTACTCAATCTAAGATATTATATTCCTAGGAGGCAATGACAAATTCATGGTATGAAATTAGGTGGTTGCGATGTTTGAATCTCAGAGGACGGATTAGTCCTTCATGCCTACCCTACTTTCTAGAAATATTTGAGTACAATGAAATTGAGACAGACTGGTAAACTGAAGGGCCTCTCGCTGGGGTCAAACTAAGCTGGAATCTCTTTGGGGACTGAAGATCGTTTCCTCCCCTAGAGAGGTTTGCTCCATTGTGCTTCCAGGGGATGCTGCCCTGGAGTGAATTGTTATAAATAAGGACACATGTTACTGGTTTTCTACTACTTCTATTAAACTGGTTATTTTCCATCTGTAAAGCATTATCTATTGTCCCAGCTTGCATAGGAACAGTTCAAATCAGAATCATGTCAACTGTGGCCTATCTCTCTTGAACTTAACCTGTGGAAGAGAGAGCTGAGGCCTTGCTTCTAGCTAAGAAATTTCCATATTTCTGGTAAATCTACCGCTTTCAAATTCTGTAGTAACTTCTGGGTTTCAGTATAATTCTCTATAAAATTATGAATGATGAGTTCATGATCTTGTTATTAGCTTGGGGGCTTTGAATTTGCACTTATGTGCCATGGTAACTTTGCCTAGTGCCCAGCTCCAAATCACACTTAGGAGGTGCTACATAAATTAATAAAATCAACTTCATGAAGTAGTTCCATGTCTGTTGTCTAGTAGGTAAAGGGAGGCAAAGCAGAAGCTCAGGGCTTGACAAAATCCTCAAAGTCAGTTCATCCAATTCCTACCTTATTTCTTCTAATCATCTTACTCAATCAGTCTTTCAAGCTCTGCTTGCATACTTCTAGTTACGGGAGCTTATGAGTAGGCAGCTCACTTAAAAATGTTCTCTTTGTGCTGAGTGAACTCTGTTTCTTTGTGGTTTCTACCTATGGGTAGTAGCTGTATTCCCTGGATTCACACAGACCGTGTCTTCTCCTCCATCTACCCTGTTGCAAAGCCCAAGCTCCAGTTCATTCAATGACTCCACACAGAACCTGGGCTGTTGCCTCTTCTCTGTACCCACACTAGTTTTTCCATGTTATTTGAAGAATGAGGACAAATCTGAAAACCTACTGGGCAGTAAAGAATAGAGAAGAATGTCAACTTCTCTGTTCTGATAAATAATAGCTCTATTAATACTCTAGTGAAACTAGTTTATTTGTTTGCTTGTTTGTTTTGGAAGCCACTTACCCTCTTGATCAGAGATTTCCAAACTATGGCCTATGCACCAAATATAACCAATTGCCTGTTTTTGTAAATATGGTTATGTTGGAACACAGCCATGCTGATTTATTTACATATAGTCTGTGCCTGCCTTCATACTACAAGGGCAAAATTGAGTAGTTGCTACAGAGACTATATGCCTCACAAAATCTAAAATATTTACTATTTGGTGTCTTAGAAAAATTTGCAGATCCCTATTCTTAATTTATACTAGGATTATTGGTAAAAACTCTGTTATTCATACCACAGTTGCTAGTAAAAAAAAGATGAAATTCCAAACTGAGACTCAGAGAGATGAAATGACTTGCTCAAATTCACACAGCATGAGTATGGCCAGAGATAGATTTTTTAACACATTTCTGTTTGGTTCACAGTCATTGTTCCTTCACCACGTGTTTTCCTCAGTGTTCACTGTAGCCACTTCAGGCTGGGACATGCTACGGTGCTGGGGCTCCATGGTTTCTTGCTGTTCTATTTGGGTTTGTACTATCAGCCAGTGCCTGCCCAGGTCAATTCCATCTGGTTCAGGTCAGCTCAGCTCAGCTGCCCCCTTGATTCTTTCCTCTTCACTTTGCCCATGGTTGCTAGAGTCTCAGTTTCCCTGCCCAGTGATCAGGATAGGGCCCTCTAGATAATAAACCATTCAGGAGCCTTTGTCTATAGTAGTAGGAAAACCAGGCTGGTTGAGCCTCAGAGAACACTAGGGCAAGAAGAAAGCCCCACCAAAACTGTGCCATGTTCCAGGAGAAGTAACTGGTTGGCTGACAAATAGGGTGATCTCTCAGTTACCATCCCTCATGTCCTTAAATCTGGCAATCTTTCTATGGCGATATATATATATATATTCTCACTCTCTGTCACATACATATATTTATATGATATATATATATTTATATGAGAGATATATATCTCATATACATGAGATGAAATGTTTATATATTATATATATCTATATATCTCATATACACCTCATATATATCACAAAAATAAATGTCTATTCCTCATATATGAGAGGGAGAAAGAGAGAAAGAGAGAGAAGAAATAGACATGATCAGGAAGAACAAACGTCCTTTGATTTATCCATTTCCTTATCAATTAACCCTGCTTTTCGTAGCTGAGGACTGATTTAGAACTTTAAAACTTTTACTGGCCTCCAGAAAGACTGGGCACAGCTGACTAGGCATTTCTGCCCATTCTCTGAGAGGACCTGGCTGGGCTTTAAAAAGGGGGCCCAGCTCTAGCCAGTCCTACTTGAGGACACACAGGCAAGTGGAAGGGTCAGGATTAAAGCAGCAGTGTAGGCTGCTATGAGGCTGTCCCTGAGCCCTAAAACTCTCTCTTCAACCTCATGTTCATCTGCAACAGACCTCAACAGTGAAAGGCAAGGATGAGCAGAAAGACTAGGCACAGGGTATTATAGGTAAACACGTACCATCTGAACTATAGTCCAAAGAATAACAGAAATCGAGGGGCCCTTAAAGAACACCTTGTTCAACCATCTAATTTTACAAATTGGGAAACTCATGCTCAGAGAAGGGAAATGATCCACCTAAGGTCATATCAATTCACATGCATAGAGATATTATACTCTTCAAGCTGAACAAACTTTTATATGTAATTTGTCTAAATTTTCATTTTACATATGGGGAAACTGATGCACAATCTCAAGTACAGAAAAAATGAATGATTCATTTATGTATCCTCATACCTAATCCAGTACCTTGCATAAAGCAAGCATTAACCAAGTGTTTGTTGAAATAAAGAAGCATCAAATCATAACAAAGTATCTTTGGCACTGTCTTGTTTTCCTATTTCCCATTTTATATGTGAGTAAATCAAAGTCCTAAGAGGGAAATAGTGTGCCCTATATCCAGGAAAGATCAGAACTGAGACTAGAATTCAGTCATCCTAAGGTTAAGTAATGTGTCCAAAGTCCCACAGTTAATATATGGCATTTCAAAATGAGTTCATATTTTTGCTGAAATTTTGCCCACTTTCCTCCCTCCCTCCTATTCTCCCTCCCCTCTCCTACCCCCTCCCCTCCCCCTCCCTGCCTTGCCCTCCCCTCCCCTCCCCTTCCCTTCCTTTCCCTTCCCTTCCCCTTCCTTCCTTCCTTCCTTCCTTCCTTCCTTCCTTCCTTCCTTCCTTCCTTCCTTATCTTTCCTACCTTATTTCTTACCTTATTTCCTTTATTCTTCCTTCCTTTCTTTCTTCTTTCCTTCCTCAAGCATTTTCTGAGCAACTGCCATACATGGGGGAATACAGTAATGCATAAGAGCCAGTTCCTGAAAGCAAGAGGCTTACATCCGTTGGAAAATACAGATATGTAAACAGATATTTACAAAATGTACTCCTATAAAGGTTTGAAGGTAGGAGTGCCTAAATCAGAACTGAAGAGCAGTGGAAGATTTTTCAGGATTGACATTTGAGCTGGCACTAGTGAGACCGTAGGAGTTTACTAGAAATGTAAGGTGGGAAAGGATATTTTAGGTAAAAAGCATAGCATGTGCAAAGCCATGGCATGCTTGGAGAAGGCTGCATGGTAAAGTATTACTGTGACATAAGATACCATAGTCAAACGTGGAGGAAGCTTTTAAGGGATAGAAAAATTAGAAAGCCAAATTATTATGGACCTTTAATAACAGATTAACAAACATAAAATTTATCCTGAAGGTCAACAGAAGATCTTTTAAAATAGGGGATTGATGTAGTCAGTTTTGTGGTATACACCAATTGTTATGCAGGAGTATAGGCATCTCTTACCTCTGTCACCAGATACCCTTGACCCCACTTTATGTAATCTGCCATGGTGACAGATCCTTAGGGTACCCTGAGCTTAGTAGGCATCGAGTCCAAGATTCTCACTCCACTTTTAAAGACTTCACTGGCCACCCAGAAACTTATCTCCTCTATGCTCTCCTCATCTGATTGTTTTTTCCACTCTTCTCAGACTCAAAGGCTTGGTGTAGTGAAACATGGTACACAGAATATGCACTGGAAAAAAATAGAAGACCCAGTTTCTAGTGCTATTTAACTCATTAGAAAAGTGGCCATGGAGGTTCAAAGGCAAAGAATAACCTTGCAGAGGGCAAAGTCAGGGGTGTTAAAAAATAGTGGACAAAATAATTTCTTTCAAAGAAGAGAAACAGTGTCTAACCAAGGAAGTAACACCACTTCCAGAAGAGTTTTTGCAGTTCCTGCCCAAGATTCACCTATCATTATGTATGGACCAATGACTGTCATACTTTCATATGCTTTCTTTTCACGAAAGAAAAATTTTATTGTGGTTATTCTGTTCTTATTTCCCTATTGTCTTTAGCAGATAGGTAAAGGACAGATAACTTATCATTTAGTTTATAGATGACTGAGTCATTGAGAGTCATATCTGGAATTGATGCAGATGACTACAAGTTATTAGAGATCCTGGACTTTGATATGGATGCAGTAACTGGATGGACCTTTGGGTTATCTTTCTTGGAGAGGAGGTAAATATGTTCCATGTGAGTGAAGAAGTGTATAGGAGTGGGCTGAGAGAGAGGACTATGGCAGAATATACTGGTTGTCCAACAATCTTCATTTCCCCCTTCATCCTTTACAGAAAGAAACCCTAAATTTTAGATGGGCACATGGCCACACACTGAGAGACTACATTTCCTAGTTTGCCTGTGAAACTATTATCTCTATTTTGTAGAAGAGAATAAATGGTTTAACAAAAGCAATTTAGGTATTAAGTGGCTGACGTGGGATTCAAGTGAATATTTACCTAATTGCTTCTCTTATTCTTACCAGTTTATATTCACAAGTGCGAGCTAATTTGAGGTACTTTGGGATGGGGTAGGTACAGTTAATCAAAGACTAAAGGTGACTTCTCATTTGTGATAATGTTAATATTCCTTCCAAGTCCAAATTGCTTACCTGCTTTCTTTCATTCCCAATGGTGATTCCAAGCTACACGCTCTGAGTCCCAGAATATAAGGGCCCTTAAATCTCATATAATTTTTTTCTGCTTAGATGAAAACTCTGTGGCTGAGAGAGGAGGAGTGACTTGCCCAAGGTCATAAGGCAGTTTTGGTAGAGTTCTCAAGGCAGTTTTGGTAGTTCCAGGACCATAGTAAGGTCTGATTCCCTAGCTTGGTCCTCTTTCCTCTCCAGTTGAGTTGTCACTCTTAACAATCATTAGAACTGAAAGGGCCTTCAAACCATTGAGTTCAGCATTTTCAAAACTTTGTTACATAGACCTGGTAGGTGTCATACAAAACAAAAAATTTCTTTGCTCAGATAAGTTTTTGAAATTCTAGGTTAAACAAGCATCTAGCCAAGATTAAACAGGTTTTCTTCTAGATTCTGCTATGTTGTTTTAGGCAAGTGGCTTAAACTCTCTGTGCTCCCTCAATTCTAAAATGAGGTTACCTTGTTTAGTTGTTGGTAAGATTAAATGTGTTAATATTTGAAAATTTCTTATTAAATTCAAAATATATATATATCGGTATAATGGTTAAATAAATTGCAGTATTTTCATACAAAGAAATACTACATGGCAATGAAGATGAACAAGTACTGCTATGCACAATAACATGGATGACTCTCACACACAAAATGTGACTGTGAATGTGAATGAGGCCAGACACAAACGAGTACAAACTATATAATTCCATTTGTAAAAAGTTATAAAACAGACAAAACTAAACTATAGCGAGAGAAGCTGAGATAGTGGTTACCTCTGGAGAGGTATAGGAGTTATGACTGAAAGGGTGCTTGAAGAGAGCTTCCAGAATGCTGATAATGTTCTGTTTCTTGATATAGGTGCTGATGACATGAATGTGTTCACTTAGTGAGCATTTTTAAAGCTGTACTCTCATGGCTTGTGCACGCTTTGTATGTGTGTCATACTTTAATAAAAAGCTTATTTAAAAATTATACTTTCAGATTCTTTAATATATTAATATGCACTGGAATTATTTAATGGAGAAATATGGTGCCCCAAACATGACCACAGGGTCACTTTTTATTTATACATAATACTTGTACATATATATGGGTGTGATATTTTGATACATACATACAAGGTGTAATGATCAAATTAAAGTAATTGGAATATGCATCACTTCCAACATTTAGCATTTCTCTGTGGCAGGAACACTTCAAATCTTCAAATCTATTATTTCAGCTATTTTGAAATAAACAATAAATTATTGTTAACTATAGTCATTCTATTGTGCTATTAAACACTAGAACTTAATTCTTCTAACTGCATTTTCTGTATCCATTAACCAACATCTCTTTATCACACCCCCACCCTACCCTTCACAGATCCTGGTAACCACCATTCTACTCCCTACCTCCATGGGATCAATTATTTTAGCTCCCACATATGAGTAAGAACATAAAATATTTGTCTTTCTGTGCCTGGCTTATTTCACGTAACATAATGACTTGCAGTTCCATAACTGTTGTTGAAAATGACAGGATCTCATTCTTTTTATGGCTGAATAATATTCCATTGTGTATACCACATTGTTAAAATCCATTCATCCATTGATAAACACCTAGGATGATTCCATATCTTTGTTATTGTGAATAGTGCTGTAATAAACATGAAGGTGTTCCATTCATGTTGTTGTGAATGACAGAATCTCATTTTTTATGGCCAAATAGTACTCCATTGTATTTAAGTACATTTTCTTTATTCATTCATCTGTTGGTGGATATTTAAGTTACTTCCAGAACTTGAATATTGTGAACAGCACTGCAACAAACATGGGTGTGCAGATATCTCTTCAATATACTGATTTCCTTTCTTTGGGGGTATATACCCAGCAGTGAGATTGCTGGATCATATGATAGTTCTATTTTCAGTTTTTTGAGGAACTTCTCTACCATATTCCATAGTGGCTGTACAAATCTACATTTTCACCAACAGTGTACAGGCATTACCCTTTCTCTGCATTCTCACAAGCATCTGTTATTTTCTTTTTGATAAGACCATAGAATATTTTTGAAGGGGTACCTAAGCACCTAAGATTAGACAAACACCAGATAAAATAGCATTTCTGCCTTGAAAAAGGTCACAGTCCAGTATAGGAGACAGACACATACTGCATACTACATGTTGGACATGCATGAAAGTACTACCAAACAAACCTTAAACCAAGTGCTATGGGCACATGCTGGAGTACAGGAGCAATGAACTCTAAGCATTGGCAGGATCATGGAAGTCATCAAGCCAAAGAAAGCATTAAAGATGGGTTTAGAAGGATGATGAGAGTTTTATCCTATAAAGGGTTGGGTGTCAGAATGGAGGGACTTGGGTGAATCAGGACCCAGAACCATTGCTATTGCTACAGAGGCTGGTGGGATGACTGCTTGGCTCTGTACTCTCAGCCAATGATGATGGAAAGCAGATTTAACCTACATTCCACCCTTTTAAAATGCTTCTGTCTCTACTGCTTATTTTGGTTGTTAATTTAGTCATTTATTAATACTTACTGATACTTTTCTGAGTCACACTATATGTTCCTTACTGAAGAGAAATTGGTGATAAGTGAACAAAAAGCTAATAAAATCCAGGCTGGGCGCAGTGGCTCACACCTATAATCCCAGCAATTTAGGAGGCAGAGGCGGGTGGATTGTTTGAGTCCAGGAGTTTGAGACCAGCCTAGATAACATGGCAAAAACCTGTCTCTACAAAAAATACAAAAATTATCCGGGCATGGTGGTGCATGTGCCTGTAGTCTTAGCTACTCAGGGTGCTGAGGTGGGAGGATCTTTTGAGCCCAGGAAGTCAAGGCTGCAGTAAGCCATGCACTGCTGCACTCCAGCCTGGGCAACAGAGTAAGACTCTATCTCAGAAAAACAAAACAAATAAACAAACAAACAAAAAAGTTAAAATCCCAGTCACTGACCCCAAGGATCTCATATAATAGAGGATGGACTTGAATAAAGGGAAAGACCCTATAAGCCTGGTGATTTGAGAAAAATAAGATAGATGCCTGTGGGAAACCAGTATTGGGGAGCATCTACTCCAGCCTTGGGGGTCATAGAAGTCTGCCTGCTTTCCAGAAGAGGTGATATCTAATCTGACCACTTCTTACTGCCACCACTGCTACCATCTGGATCCTGTGAGTCCTGTCTGGTTTTCTCTCTTCTACCTTCATCACCCAGTAAGTTAATTCTCAATGCAGCAGGCAGAAGAATCTTATTAAACTGTGAGATCATGTTAGTTCTCTGCTTTAAACCCAGAAATGGTTTATCACCTTATACAGAGTAAAAGCCCCAATCCTTAGAATCTCACAGCCCTGCTTGATCTTAGCTGCCTGTTTCAAGTTCATCAACTACCAATCTTCTACATTAGATCCTAACTGTTCCTCCAACTCATACGTTGCATTAAGACTTTTGCAGTTGGCTGTTCCCTCTACCTGAAATGATCCTTACTCATATAGCTTTAAGAAGTTTTTACTTTGATTTCCTCATTTGCTACTAAAATGGCATTTTATCAAGTAAGGCCTTTCCTTATTCCTCCACTAAAGTCACAACTTTACCCCATATGCAATATTTCTAGTATATATTTAATATATAGTATGCATTGCTAACTTACTGTATTTAACTTTTTAAATATTTTGGAGGTATGTTTCTTCCTATACAGAATGTGAGCTCTGTGACAGATGTTTCTCTCTAGTTCACCATTGTATCCCTAGAGCCTGACACAGAGTAGGTATTCAGTAATTATCTTTCAAATGAATGAATGAATTTGAGGCATGGTGGAGCTGGTGAAAATGGTCACGTATGAGACCACCAGAAAAAGCATCCCAAGCAATAGAAGCAGCATCTACAAAAGCCATAAGGTTGAAGAGAACACTGGGAGAACTACAGATAGTTTAGTTAGGCTATGACATTTTAATGTGAAAACAAGAGAAAGGAGCAATGAATTAGAAGCCAAATCTTGAATAGCATTGCAAACCAAACTAAGGAGTATAGTCGTCATCCTAAGGACAATGTTGAATCACTGAAAAGTTGTAAGCAAGGGAGAAGCAAGGTGAGATTGGCCCTTGGCAATACCTCTAACCCCTTGACTAGTTTACGTCTTTATCAAATGAGAGCATTACTTTTTAGTAGTCATGTCTATAAGTTAATTGTTGTGACTGGAAAAAACAAAATTATAGACTCAATTTCCTTACCTGTTAGAGGATAACAATGAGAATACTTACCTTATGAGGTTTTCATGAGCATTAAAAACATGCTTATGGATAGAAAGAATCAATATCATGAAAATGGCCATACTGCCGAAAGTAATTTATAGATTCAGTGGTATCCCCATCAAGTTACCATTGACTTTCTTCACAGTATTTCCTCTCCCCTGATCATCTCCCCCACTAATGAGTCTAACATCATGTAGGGTGAAGAACCAATGTTTAAAGACCTGTGCTGAACCACACGTGACCTTACTGAATTTTTTACAACAGACTTGAAATGTAAGTATTATGTACCCCATTTTACAGATGAGTAAACTAGGGCTTAAAGAGCTAATATGACTTATCCAATATCATTCAGATAGTGGATGTCAGAGCCAGAATCCTAACTCAGTTTTATCTGAGTTCAAAACCCTCCACATGCCTAACATAAAGCCTTAGGAGCGCAGCTGGTGGAGGATTTAGGGGCCATGGAGAGTTACATGAAGCAGGCTTCATAGACTGTGTAAGAAGTTCCCTGCATCACAAAGTCTTCTTGGAAGCAATATAGCATAGTGACTGAGAAGATAGCTACAGAAGCCAATAATTTCCTGGGTTCAGTTCTTATCTCAGCCATTTTGTACTTACGTGGACATGCTAATTAACTTGTTTCAGTCTTGTCAGCTCTTACAATTGGAATAATAATAATATCTACCTCACAGGCTTGTGATGAGAGTTAAATGACTTAATCTTTTTAATGGATTTTGAACAGTGTCTGGTGTAGAATAAGTGTCATATACATTTTTGGAAAACAACTAAAATTAAAAATATATATTGCAAAGTCACCTCATACCCTTGCTGTTGCTACTTATAAAAACATGGTTTTTATCAGTCTAAGCAATTTAAAACTGGAGAGATTCCATTTCAATACATACTGCCACAATAAAATATCAGATCTGGTGAGGTAACTAAAAAAGCAATGGCACTTGAGCAATCCCAAAATTTCCAAAAGCAGACAGGAAAAGTGGAAAGGCTCTACATGAGAGAGAAGGCAGAAAGCAGAAACACTGGTCTTGGAAAGATTCAAGTCTGACTCTGTCACTCAGATTAAAAAATGAGATTACTGAGATTACTTACCCCAAAGCCTTGGTTATCAAAGGGAAGAAAGTGAGGTAAAATAATTGGAACCAGAAATAAAAACCATTCGCATTGTTTGTAACAACAATTGACCTTTGTATGAAGTTTTATAGCTCAAGAGTTACCTAGCATATAGTGAGCCCTAATTAAATGATAATTTCATTGTTGCTTTTGTTAATATTTCTTTGTCACTTTTACAGATGGGGGGAAATCTCAGAGATGTAGAGGAAGTTGTTCAAGGCCAAACAAGTATAAGCCAAACAAGTGGGTTGGGTAACAAAGGCTGGAAACCAGGCCACTCCAAATCTCCATTCTTTCCACCATACCATTTCCTTATGGTGTTTTAAAAGATGCTGAATTGATCCAAATGTAAAACTGGTATTTCCAAAACTATAATATACTACACTATTTTCATAGGTATTCTGTGAGAAATGAAATGTTTCCTTATGCAACTAAGCTTAGAAGAACTGGGTTAAACATTAAACATTTCTTTACAAAGAGGTTCCTCAGAGCCATTAAAATGTGTTGGTTGTTCTAAGTCTCCACAGGAGGACTAGAAAAATCAGGCTTCTCCAGACATATTTGATTGCAGATCCTTCTGTTCATAGAACAACTTTTGACACTTTCCAAAATGCCAGTGTTCTACTGAGTGTGATTTAGGAAACATAGTTCCAAATAAATGCCTTCAGATTTGCTGAGGGAAATTCTACCAGGCTTCTCCAAGAGAACAATCTCACTCGTCTACTAGTGGGCATGATGGGAGTGGGCAGGAAAAAAAGTGCCAGAAGCTTCAGAATTAGACTAGATCAATAAATCCAAAGAAGGGTCAGGTCAATCAGGCTCAAAAACCGATGACCATTTGAGAAACTGAATCACCAGAGCCAACAAAGGGTGATCAGGAAATAATGCCAAGTCAAAACAAGTAGGGAATCCAAAATCCAGGGCAGTCGTGGGTAGCAGAGCTTAACAAGAGCAGGCCCCAGGATGCATCAGGAATGTTTCTGGAGCCAACACAAGCCAGCTTTATGTAATTGTTTTAATTCAGTTTTACAGTCAAGCTTGGTGGAAGCACAAGTGACTCAACTAAAAGGAACATCTGAGATTGAGGGAATATTGGCATTTGATTCCTGTAATGGGGAAAGTTCCAGAAACCTTTGACTGGTGGGTAATATAAGAACACAAAATGAAAAAACTGAACAGGTAGACTTATAAAATTGCCTTACATAATATCTATAACATCTGAAATGCCATGTGCACAGTAAGTGTTTCAGTAACCCTGTGCCCATATAATCTATCAGCCAAATTTTTGGCTTCAGATAGTACAGGAAACAACTACAAATACTTCAGCCTCTTCTGCTATGGATTGGTTCAGGCCCACATGGTTTCTTACCTTGATGCCTAACTAATCTCCTTGCTGTCTACTTACCTCTCACAAATGTATGCATTATAATTCTACCAGGTTATGTTCATTCACCATAGCTCTGACTACATCATTTCCCTGTTTGTGTGTCTCCTCATTTCTCTCTGTTATTTTTCACATTTTACATGTATCTCCTTTATCCAGATATTGCCTTCTTTTAGGTCTCTTCTTATTTCATCCTCTCACAACTTTTAACTCGAGTATATCTATTTGATTTGTGCCTTTGCTTAGGATGCCCCAAAGCCTGAGATGCCCCTACCTCATCCTAGACTGAATCACCTCTTGTAACTTGATAACCTTGGTCATCTTTTAAGTGGTCTTCATGTCCTTCCTGAAACTTTTACTCATTACCCCTCCTCTCCCTTCTCCCACTCCCTCTGGGCTGAATTCCCTTAAATGTGGCCCCATATTACCCCATGCTTATCTTCATCTATGCACTTATCATACGGTATGGAATATGTTTTCTTTGTGTATCTGTTTCAATTACTATAATTTCTGCTTCACTAGACTGAGAGTAGGGACATAGGTTGATGGATGAGTGGCTTGAGCTGCAGCTGCAGGGAAGCTCTCTGTTCATCTCTCTTGGCACCAGCAGGTCCCTAGCCTATCATCACTTCATCTTAATTAAATCAACACACTGTACGCCTCAGAGACTATCAACTTTCTCTTTGTTAGAGGGAGAGAGGGTGATAAATTTTGAAGTGAGTAGTAGAACACTATGTTCACCAGAATTCAAAGGAGGTTAGAGAAGGCAGGCTGGCCTAGCAGGGCTGCATCCAGAGACAGAAAAAATCAGAGTGAGGATACAGAAGTAGGTCTCTCAGGATGCTGTGTGTGGTAGAGAAGGTCACATTTCAGATCTACAGATCTGCTGGAATAAAGCTAAACCAATATGGCATGCATAGTGTAGGGATGGAGATAAGAGTGAATTTCAGGTACATCTGAAACATTCTATGGTGTCCCCCATTTCCCTGTTAGGTTAGGTAGGCTTGCTTCATGTAAATAACATTAGGTTGGCATCTACCTTTGGGACACTAGTCCTAACTATTTTAGACTTTTTTAGAAGGCTGGACCCTAAGAAGAGATTCTGCCTGCCCCTTTCAATGTGAAATGTGTCACATTTAGTCTTTAGGGTATTCACAGACTATTTGTTCCTCCCTTCCCAAACTCTAACTCGGTCTTTGCCCCACCCTAATACTTACCTCCATCTTCTTCCACACCCTCAATTATTATAGAATAGTCTGAGACACAGCAAGTTTAGTTCACACTTCTGAGCATGCGAGGCCTTTCATAATTCAGTCCAAGCTTCTCTGTCTAGCCTCATCTCCCATCACTCATTCCCTCCACACACCCTACCCTCCAGCTATACTGAACTTATCACTCTTCTCATAAAGCACTAAGCCTTTTCATGCCTCTGCCAGGAATTCTGTTCCTTTCTTTCTCATATGAACTTGTACTCATCATTAAAAACTCAGCTTAAAGATGGGTTCCTCTGCCTCCAGTGTCTCCCCTTGCACTTCATCATGTAATGTAGGTCTGCAGTCTCCTATATGCCACCATGGGGACCAAAGTGTTTCAAAAGTTAGAGTGTTTGGGATTTTAGAAATGTAACATGCTGTCTTCATTGTTTATTATACAACTCTCCAACTGTGGCCTGGGAAACATCACATATTCAAACATTTTAATATTTCAGTGGCAAACATATGCAGAGTAACAGTAATTAGGATAAATAATCTTGCAACAGGTCAGATCAACTTTTGCTGCCAGATAAACTATTTTTCACTTTCAAAGAGCTTTTAAATGTTGTAATTGTGAATAAAGGAGTGTACACTAGTATTGCTGGATTAATTATACCATGACAAAATAGAGTTCATCCCACATATGCATGATTTTTTGTTGTTGTTGTGACAGGGTTTCATCCTGTCACCCTGTGCAGTGTGGTGATCTCTGCTCACTGCAACCTCTGCCTCCAGGTTCAAGTGATTCTCCTGCCTCAGTCACCCCTGAGTAACTGAGACTTACAGACACAGGTTGCCACACTCAGCTATTTTTTTTTTGTACTTTTAGTAGAGACAGGGTTTCGCTATGTTGCACAGGCTAGTCTTGAACTCCTGGGCTCAAGCAATCTGCAAGCCTCAGCCTCTCAAATGCTGGGATTACAGGCATGAGCCACCATGCCTGACCAAGGATGTTTTATTATTAAGAAATTCATTATTAAAACATGACATATTAAGAGCTCAAATGAGAACAACTGTTTTATGTCTCAATAGTTAAAAAAAAAAAATTTGACAAACTCCAACATGCATTATTAACTTCTAAGAAAGGAAATATGTGGATCCATACCATATATATACTTGTATTATTCTTAATGTAGTAACACTAGAAGTAGTTCCATCAAATGGAGCAAGACATGAATGCAGCTTATCTCTGTTATTATTTAATAGTGTTCTGAAGCACTAGCCAATGCAATTAGAGAAGAGAAAGTTGTAAATATTAGAAAATAATTGTTATTTGCTTTCCAGATATATATGCTTGTATACCCAATGATGATAAATTGCTAAAAACTCTTCAAAGCAATAAGATAATTCAGTAAGATGGAGAGTTACAAATTTATTACATATAATCAATAGCTTTCCTATATACAATCAGATAGAAAATATAATAAAATAATATTTATAATGGCAACCAAAAGAGATAAACTTTTCAGGAATAAACAAAACATATGCATAACCTATACAAAGAAAAAAAGGTACTTAAAATAAGCTATACATGAATGAAAATATATTGCTACATCATCTCTAAAATTTTAATAACATTAAGAGTGATTTACTGATAAAGATGTTGGAGGAAATTTAGAAAAAAAATGCTACTACATTGTATGTGAAAATAGAAAAATTCTGAACTAGAAGAGAGTAATATGATGATAGATATGAGCAGTGAGGGAGGGAGAACAGGATTTATATATGTATACATTAGGTAGGTCTGACTCCATCCTGTTCTCCCTCTCTCACTGCCGTATATCATATATATATATATACACACACACACATATATGATGCCATAAATATTAAATAAATATTAAACCAGTTTGGTACTGGAAAAGAAACAGGAATCAATGTAACAAGAGAGTCCTGAAATATACCCAAATATTTTTGGAAATTTAGCATATTATAAAGGTCACATTTCTGATCAGTGGTGGAGTGTTTATTTGATCAATGGTTTGGAAAAACTGACTATTCAGAAAATAACAATCATCACTCACACTAAAATAAATCATAGATGTATCAAAGATATGAACATAAAAAGTCATAAAAATTATTTAAGGAAACATTTGTAATGTATTTATAATCTTGTAATGGTGAAGACCTTTCTAGCAAGACATAAAATCCAGAACCCATAAAAGAAACAATGAATATATTTCACCACATAAAAAAAATTTAAAAACCTCATTCTGTATAACAAGAAACAATCGAGAACCAAAGTTAAGAATACAAATGATGAGCAAGGGAAATAGAAATGGTGAAGAAGGAAGCATATTCGCTGCTATGCATACCAGATAAATGGCTAATTCTTATAGTCTACAAAGAACTCATACATTAATAAGAAAATGGCAATCAATCACACAAAAAAAATGGATAAAAAGTAAGAACAGAAGATTTATGACAAAGATAATTTAAATGGTCAGCAAACATTGGAAAAGATGCTGTAATATGTATAATTGAAAACATGCACATTGAAAGAAGAAAATATTATTTTCATCTCCCATATTGATAAAAACAAAGAAGTTAATAATATTCAGTGCTGGCAAGGGTATGAAGAAACATGTACCCTCCTGCCCCTGGAGCTTTTTAGAGTTGGGTAATCTCTTGTTAGGGAGGGCCACAGAGGTTTTATGTAAGAATGGAATCTATCATTTATCTAGAGTTTCATGATTTCCAGGTGTTCTTTTATTTGGTCATTATAACAATCACTATATCAACATGAGAAAACCGAGATTCATAAAAATTGTAATGATTTATTCATATTAGCTAGTGAATGATAGAGACAAAATTTGAACTCATACCTTCCGACACTCAATCTAGAGGGTGCATCAGGTAGATATCTGCATGTCTTTCAAACCTAAATCCATTCATTCAACAAGTTTGTACTGAGCATGTACTATATGTCAGGCACTATTTTAGGTACTGGGGATAGAACAGTGACCAAAACAAATTATCTGCCTTCACAGGACCTACATTCTAGTAGAAGGAGAGAGACAATAAATAAATTAATATAAAGTATGTCAACTGGTGACAAATGTGATAAAGAAAAGTAAAGTGGAAAAAGATAAAAAGTACTAGTGGGGGTGATGTGTTTCAATATTAAGTAGAATGGTCAAAAAGATATAACCTGGAAAGCAACATTTGAGCAAATAACTGAAGGAAGTGAGGTAATGAGCCATGTGGATTTCTCAGGGAATGGCCTGACCCTTGCTGATGTGGGAGCATTTCTGATGTGTTTGAGGAACAGCAAGAAAACCAGTAGCTGAAGAGGAGTGAATAAGAGAGAAATAAGCTGGAGACATGGTCAGAGAGGTAAGGGGGTGAGGGAGGCAGATAGTGTAGGACCTTTGGTTTTTGCTCTGAGTGAAATGTGAGATTGGCATGTCCTCCTAAGAGAATAGTTAGGCAGGAAGAATCACCATGTTGATTACCCTTGGGGTGTCTATGCAGTCACCAGAACCAACTATAACCTACCTTCTGACTAACCAGCGTGCCTCATCACCTATCTTTCAGCACTAGCTGGGCCTTGCCTTTCATGAACAGCCAGTTTGGCATTTTTTGTTCCCACTACCCAGAGCTCCCCACATCATGAGACTGGAAGCAGTCTGCTTGGCAGGCAGAGTGGCTCAAGCAGATGGCAGCAATCTGATAGCATGCGGAGGATTCCAGATAAATTAGCTGATGAATGGAAAAGATGGTTGTTATCCTCATAAAGTGGGGGAACTTTATGAGGAAAGAGGTGCTAATCTTCATCCCAGCTGGTGTTCAATGGCTGAAGATGAAGATATTACTCTGGCCAGAGAGCCTTCAGTGTAGAGGAAAGAGAAAGCGAATGTGTCCATTGCAGAGGCTGGGGTCTTTATGTGAGCATCTTGCTTTAAGGGAAGACTCACAGGATCAGAACAAAGAAACCCTTGGAGTCTGTGGGCATCATTATCACTTGGGCACTATTAACATATATTTGCATTTCATTTGCATCTATCCACTTAGCAAGTCCCAGTATTGATGATGATTACTTGGTCTGAGATAAGAACTGAACCCATTGCTTGGCAGAGTGAGAGTTAGCTTTTATTATTGCTGTTACTGCTTCTGTTGTTAGTGCTAAAAGTAAGCAGTAAGAAATTAAGAAAGCCTACAGATTTTCAAGTTTTGGTTTTTTTGTTTGTTTTATTTTATTTTTGTCTTTTGGCAGTGAAACTCTTTTTTGTGAAGTTACTATTATGATAAGCCCTAATATATACTTTAAAACATAAAAGTAATATTTTATTATCACAAACTTATTTTGTAAGTTCAAATATATAACATTTATTTATTATAAAGTCAATGAGAATAAGGCTGCCTTGATGATGAAAAAAGTGAACATATAACAATTTGTTCATGTGTGGTGTTGTTATTACTATTTCTAATAACTGAATGAAAACAGTTTTTTTATAGAGATGGGGGTATTGTTATGTTGCCCAAACTAGTCTCGAACTCCTGGACTCAAGCAATCCTCCCACCTCGGCCTCTCAAATTGCTGGGATTATAGGGATGAACCACCACACCCAGCTTGAAAACAGTTTTTTTTTTTTAATACAAACTAAGTATTTGTAAAGCTTTTGAAATATCTCTCTTGCAAATAAACTTTAAGAAACACAACTTGGAAACCACAGAAGTGGGACAAGACTTAAAACTGTACTTCTCACATCTTAGGGTTTTGGAGAAATACCCTCAGGGCATCTCTGGGATGTAGGCGGGTAATATTCTACTTCCAGTACTTCACCTTGCTTCAACCAAAGCAGTTTAACTTTTATCTACTTCATATGCTAGACTTTCACTAAAAGTTTTACTTGATAGATACATTCAATCATTGTTAATAGCAGCATAGTATTCTATTGTGTTGGGGTAGAAAAATAATGTAGAGAGACTCTATTGTAAAACGAGATTCCTGTTCTTGAAAGAGTTTTTAAAAATACTGTTTTTGTCTATCACACTCATTATACAAATCAGGAATCTGAGTCTTATTTATGAGACAGGTCTGGCCTAAGGTCATATAGTACTTCAGTGGCAGAACCTATATTAGAGCAGTCCTCTCCTCACAATTCTGCAAATGCTCCCATCTCACACAGAAAAAAAAGTCAAAATCCATCCCCTTTGTTTTCTCATTACTTCTCTGACACCTTCTCTTACTATTCTCTCCTTATATCTTGCCACTTTAGCCACATTGGCCTACTTGCTGTTCCTTGAAGTCAGTAGACATGCTCGTAACTTAGCTAGGAAAGCTCTTTCTGTCTGAAATGCTCTCAGTCCCTGCCCCTGACAGCTTTATTGCTCACTCCTTCCTCTCCTTCAAATATTTGTTCAAGTAAAACCTACTGAGACTTAACCACCCTATTTAATATTGCAAACTGCCTCCACCTCTAGAACTCCTGATACCCTTTGCCCTGCTCTTCCCTACATTTTCCCATTTCCATGTAATTTATCATCTCAAATTGTGCGATATACTTTATTTATTTTTTAGGGGTTACAGCTTATTGTCTTTCTCACTTCTTAGGGTACTAGTACTCTAGGTATGTTGATACAGAAAATGAGCCTATCGCTGGGATACAAACTTCAGAAAGGCAGATATTTTTGTCTATTTTGCTCTCTTCTGTATTCTAAGCACCTAGAACAGTGCTTGGTACATAGTAGGTACTCTATAAGTATTTGTATTTGAATGAAGACTTATTCTATTTATTCATGATGTCTCTTAAAATATCTCTCCTTGCCTGTGTTTCTCTTATCCCTGATTAATGTCTCTCCATTTTCTGGCACTTAATCTGAGCTTTGAGCATGCAAAGGACTTAGCCTTCACCTATGCTGACAGGCCATGGTATCCCTGTGCCATTTTGTGCTTTATTCATTCTGGCCTTCACATATAGCTTGGACGAAGAGTTCTAAATAGCTAAAAATGACAGAATATGAAGTTTGTCATGCTCTTTCTGTTTAAAATCAACCAAAAGATCTCCCTTTCTTTCTTCAGCAGGCAGAAGAAGTGGATTTGACTAAGCAAATTGGTAGGAGTAATTGGCATCCTTCATCAAAGAGAGACCTCCCCACCCACCAATGTAGCCGTTAAAGACATGATTCTGTCTATTAATTCTGTAGATTTATTTTTATTATTTATTAATTCTGTAGACTCTAAGGGTGAATTATGAAAGAACAAAAAACTCCTCCTCTGCATAATAATCAAGACCTACTAATTTCAAGGGCAAGTCTGGTTCCATGCTCTATGTTCCTCAATCTGAGTTTATAACGTATTAGGTCTGAGAAAACAAAATTTATATCTGTCTTTTGGAGATGTGCTTACTTTATGATAGACAGATAAAGAAACCAGCAGACCCACATCTTTCACAGCTAGGAAAATAAAGAAGAAACTTAACTCAGAAGATCCATGCTCACCCTCCTTCTTTTATGGTAAATCAATTTTGTAGGAGAGATGAACAAATCTGAAGAAGTAATCAGGAGAAAATAAGGCAAGAGAGGAATGACTGAAATCAAACCAGATTACCAGATTAAACCTGATCATCCAGAAGGTAGCAAATGGGAAGAAGTGAGGGGCCTGTAGATTTCTCTAGTAATACAGGGATGAGATTGGAGTTGGGGTTAGACAGTGTTAGACTGTGGAGGAGAATAATTTATTCTGTCTTTTTAAGTTGAAAGTAATGGAGGGAACCCTATCAGAAATTGGAAGGCAAATGGGGTAACACTGTTCCTAGGATTTTCCAAAGTCTTGGAAATATCCATAGAACATGATCACAGGGTCACTGTATCAGCGAAATAAATGGCTGAAATAACTCTGGTGCCCCTTATGCTTTTATTCTTTGGTCAGAGGTCCCTTCTTATCTCCATCACACAAATAAATGAAAAGTTTTATATTATAGTCTTTACGGCCCCATGAAACACATCAGCTGCATGTGCCATTCCTAGCCCACTGGAGGTCTATGCCTGTGGATGTCAAAACTGGCTTTATTTGAGATTTATGACCAATTGTTAGTTTCAAGTTAGAACCATTCCCCAACCATGGTTACTCTTGAATGGCTTCAGGGCAGAAACCAAACCTGAGTTGATAAGTGACTAATACAGGAATATTCCTCTAATGAAGAACAAGGGTGTGTGTGTGGAGGAGGCGGGAGCAGGGAACAAACTCTTCTGGTTAACTAAATATTCTGGTCAATAGAGAGGTTTCTAAGCAGTTTACCACCATTCTTGTTCTCGAGTCACTGACACTTAGAATCTTACTTCTCCTAGAACACTATGAGGGAATATTATTACCTCTTTTCTATAGACAGAAAAACTGATGTTCAGAGAGACTAAATGACTTGCTGAAGGTAACATAACTAATAACTGAACTGAGACTCAAAGCCCATCTTTTGATTCCAAATCCAGTTGTTATTGTTTTTTTCTAAATCAGCTATATTACTGCTCCTATAGGACATGTTTGCTCTAGAAGAAATAGAAAAATTCAGAGTTTACAAAAATGCCTTTAAATTCATCAAAACCATAGTGTAATCATGGACTCATAATAATGTCTACCATTTACTGACTTCCTATGTTCTAGGCCTTTTACGTTTGTGATTATGAATACTCCTATTTTTTGCAGGGGATAAATTGGTGATTCAGAAAAGTTGATATGCTGTATAATTTATTTTTATGTCTTTTTTGTATTTTTATAATATGTCATAGTTGTACATATTTTGGGGGTACATGTGATATTTTGAAACATGTATAAAATGAGTTTTATGTTTATTTTTTAATTGTCTGTCTCCAAACAGTAGATTGTAAACTCCTTGAGGACATGGATTCCCAGTTCCTAGAACAGTCCCCAGTGTAAAGTAAGTCCTTTATTAAAAAAAAAAAAAAGTCTGTATTATGAGTGCTTGTATCAGACAATGTTCCCCAGAGAAACAACCAATAAGAGATTCTATGATTTATTTTAAGGAATTGGCTTACTTGATTCTAAGAATTGGGAGGTCCAAAGTTTCTAGGGCAAGCTGGAAACTCAGTTGATACTGTAGTTTTGACACAGAATTTCTTCTTATTCAGGAAACCTCAGTTTTTTTTCTCCTTGTCTCTCCTTAGCTTTTATTGTTTTTTTATTTTATTATTATTATTATTTATACTTTAAGTTCTAGGGTACATGTGCACAACGTGCAGGTTTGATACGTAGGTATACATGTGCCATGTTGGTTTGCTGCACCCATTAACTCGTCATTTACATTAGGTATTTCTTCTAATGCTATCCCTCCCCCAGACCCCCACCCCATCACAGACCCAGGTGTGTGATGTTCCCCTTCCTGTGTCCACGTATTCTCATTGTTCAATTCCCACCTAAGAGTGAGAACATGCGGTGTTGGGATTTCTGTCGTTGTGATAGTTTGCCCAGAATGATGGTTTCCAGCTTCATCCATGTACCTGCAAAGGACATGAACTCATCCTTTTTATGGCTGCATAGTATTGCATGCTCTATATGTGCCACATTTTCTTAATCCAGTGTATCACTGATGGACATTTGGGTAGGTTCCAAGTCTTTGCTATTGTGAATAGTGCCTCAATAAACATACGTGTGCATGTGTCTTTATGGTAACATGATTTATAATCCTTTGGGTATATACCCAGTAATGGGATCACTGGGTCAAATGGTATTTCTTGTTCTAGATCCTTGAGGAATTGCCACATTGTCTTCCACAATGGTTGAACTAGCTTACACTCACCAACAGTGTAAAAGCATTCCTATTTCTCCACATCCTCTCCAGCATCTGTTGTTTCCTGACTTTTTAATGATTGCCATTCTAACTGCTGTGAGATGGTATCTCATTGTGGTTTGATTTGCATTTCTCTAATGACCAGCAATGATGAGTATTTTTTCATGTGTCTGTTGGCTGCATAAACGTCTTCTTTTGTGATGTGACTGTTCATATCCTTTGCCTGCTTTTTGATGGGGTTGTTTGTTTTTTTTTCTTGTAAATTTGTTTAAGTTCTTTGTAGATTCTGGATATTAGCCCTTTGTCTGATGGGTAGATTGTAAAAATTTTCTCCCATTCTGTAGGTTGCCTGTTCACTCTGATGGTAGTTTCTTTTGCTGTGCAGAAGTTCTTTAGTTTAATTAGATCGCATTTGTCTATTTTGGCTTCTGTTGCCATTGCTTTTGGTGTTTTAGTCATGAAGTCTTTGCCCATGCCTATGTCCTGAATGGTATTGCCTAGGTTTTCTTCTAGGGTCTTTATGGTTTTAGGTCTAACATTTAAGTCTTTAATCCATCTTGAATTAATTTTTGTATGAGGTGTAAGGAAGGGATTTTTTACCTTAAGGCCTTCAACTGATTGGATGAGGCTCACTCACATTATTGAGGATAATCTCTGTTAGTTAAAGTCAACTGATTGTGGATGTTAACCACTTGTACAAAATACTTCCAGAAAACACCTAAATTAGTGTTTAAATAAATAACTGAGTACTATATCCTAGGTATGTTGACATAGAAAATGAGCCTTTGCAGTGTTCAAGGCCATGCAGTTAAGCAGATGGTAGTCCTGGGACTTGAATCCACGTCCCTGTGATTCTAGAGTCTATCATATTTCTGGTATATCAACAAGAATGTCTAATCTGGGAGAAATTTTATTGATCATGTAGACCAATCTTACTATAATATATAAGGGAATACTGAAGATGGGTTGAGGAAAGAAGGGGTAAGTCACAGGAGCTTGCCCAAATTCAAGTTCAGATTCCCAGACCAGTGCTCCTTCTGTGATGACTGGGATTTTGCAGGGCCTCTTCTGAATCCCTGATGTTATGACCCAGGACTGGGTAAGGCACTGGAAACAGTGTCATTGACTGAGCTGAATATGTGCTAAGAATAATTCAGGCCATATTCTGGAAATGTATTTTGTAAAAAGTCACTGAGCTTTTTTTGTTGCCAATTTTCAGTGTCTTCTAAAAGTTTATCACAGACACTTAATACCAATGAATTTTACCCTGTAAAATGGTTAAAATGCTAAGTTTTATGTTATGTGTGTTTTTATACAATTAAAAAATAGTTTTTAAAAAGTTGATAATGGAATGGGGATATAAACCTGGAATCAGAATCTGGTTATTTCATTAGGAGATTTTTGTATTGGGTGCCTAATATATTTGAGGAATTTTACATACAATGTGAGGTATGTACAACTGAGGCCTAGAAAAGTTAAACAACTTGTCCCAGCTGACATAGTTAGGAGAGAGGAGAGCCAAGACTTGAACCCCAGTATCTTGACTCCCTTCCCAGCACTATTTCAGTAGAAGCATAAAGATTAATAATGATGATAATTATAAGGCATTATATATGGAGACTTTCTGTTCAAAGGCCTCTTGGGAAGGCTAAAGTCACCTTTTGTGATTTATTTATTTATAATTAGTTATGTATAATTAGTTATAGCATTTATTATATTTATTATTAATATTTCAACATAAATTGGTTCCTCAGACCTATTAAATTATTTGGCAAGACCCTGAAAAGATGGAACATAGCAGGTAAGGGAAGAAAGAACACCGAATTGTAGAATGATGAAGGGCAGGCCTGATAGCGCTGCCTGGAGGAAGGCTGCAAAATTTCAGCTAAATATAACATTTTAGGGTTCACAGAGTGAAGGCGTTAGGCTCACTCTCATAGCAAAAAGGAAAGCACACTGGTTTACTGTTCAAAAGGCCTAATTGCTAGTTGTCATTCTGTCTCTAATAATCAGGTGACTTTAGGTAAATTTTTCTTTCCCCAGAACTGTTTTCCTGTTAAAAGAAAAGCAGAAATAGAACTAGTGATTCTTAACTTTTTGGATCATGGATCTTATTGAGGATTTGTTAAATTCCATGAACTGTCTACTTGGAAAAATTCACTTACATGCCAAGTGTTACTTCATAGACTCCACTACGCTATTGCATCACATCCGCAGACACCCACTTCCATACACACACAGGTTGAGAGCCTTGCACAACTGACATTTTGTGCCCTAAGTTCTAACCTGAGAATGAGTGTGCAGGGTGAATGTACTGGCTCAAGGAAACTGGAGACTCTGTGCTTAGGAGTAAACCACCCTGATAATCAGCCTTGTTGCTTTATTCATTTAGAAACCTGGGCTTGTCTTCCAGACATGCCCTTAGCTATACCTTTAATTAAACTCAGTTGCCTCCTTTAGAATGGAACCATGTCAACAAGTTCCTTTCATCATTTTGGCCAAGTAAAAAGATAAGCTAATAAGCTAATGGTACTGAGGGTTGCCTCCTTTCCACAGGTATTACTCAGTTGTTACAGTGGCTTTTTGTTTTCTGTTGTGTCTGATGGACACACATAAGGACACAGAAGTGCTTCACAGGGAACTGGTAGAGGTGAATGAGTAAGAAATCAATTCAGCTTACTGGCTAACAATGACTCAGATGGTTTAACTGGGACTGTGGTAGATGGGATGGTATGAATAGGGGCATGGGCTCATGAAGTCGTGGCAAAATAAGGAAGAGGTCCTTGAGTGTAAGTTCAGAGTCTTTTGATTGCTGATTGATTCAGATCTGCTCTATATCTTTCAATAGCTATTTTGACTTCTCTGGCTTACATTTCCACAGTAATGCAATTTGTCCTAACTCTGCTATTGTTGGCTATATAGCCATGGCTAAGGCTCCACCTTTCTCTGAGCCTCGGCAGCCCTCTTAGTTCACTCAGATAATTTGAGACTAACTAATCATTAAATACCCCTTCAGCATTGACAATATAGCATATTAGAACTTGCTGAGCGCTCTGCCTTCTTCATTCTCACTTTGAGATCCAGGAGCCACAGAAATACAGTCTGGAATACAGTGGGCATCAATGAATGCTTCTTGAATGAGTGAAACAAAAATAATTGTTATTTTATGATTGAGCACTTACTATGTGTGAGGCTGGAGTTGCAATTTTCTTTTCTTTTTTTCTTTTTTCTTTCTTTCTTGTTCTTCTTTTTTCTTTTTTTAGACAGAGTCTCACTCTGTTGCCCAGACTGGAGTGCGGTGGTGTGATCTCAGCTTACTGTGACCTCTGCCTCCCATGTTCAAGTGATTCTCCTGGCTCAGCCTCCCGAGTAGCTGGGATTACAGGTGCATGCCACCACGCCCGGCTAATTTTTTTAAAAAAATGTTGTATTTTTAGTAGAGATGGGGTTTTGCCATGTTGGCTAGGCTGGTCTTGAACTCCTCCTGACCTCAGGTTATCTGCCCGCCTCGGCCTCACAAAGTGCTGGGATTACAGGTGTGAGCCACCAGGCCTGGCCAGAAGCTGCAGTTTTCATTGAGAGACCTGGAGAGCAAGGTCCCTGTCTGATTCATGTTTATGTCCTTGAGGTCATTATCAATGTCATACAGCAAATAATTGATGGAGCTTGGACTCAAACCCAGGATGTCTGGCTCCAGAACCCATACTTTTAAATAGCGACAATTGATTGCTGTTCACAAAGGGCTGCTACTCAGTAGATGTATCATAAATATTTGCAGAATTAAACAGATTTGCATTGATAAGTAGGCTAAGGCATTATGTGCCCTGGTCATGTTAATGCTTCATTAACTAAGGTAGTGAGTGGTTTTATGTCACTGGAAGACAAAGCGAAAGAATGAGCCATATGTGTAGAAGAAATGAGTTTAACTCTCAGTTTTCAAGTGCACTAGCTTTGTTAGGCTTGGATAAGTACTTACTCTCTCTGAACTTACATTTCCTCATCTATCTAGTGGAGTAAGTAACTGCAACCTCAAGGGGTTGTGGTGCACATAGTGAAATGGCAAAAATGAAAACAAACACTGGGCTTGACACACCAGAAGCCTAATACAGAGCCATACATTTTATTTTTCTTCCCCGAGGATTCGAAGGGCAAGACTCTCAGAAAGTGGGAGTCAACATATGTAAATTGGGAAGGAGATAAAAGTGTAGTATGAAGCAAGAAAGCCAAGAAAACATGGGCTGTGGACCTGGGGGATGAAGAAAGGAAGGGGAAGTATTGCTTTCTAGTATTGCATGCTCTGAGTTTCTCAGATTCAGAAGCTGGTCTTCAGCATGTTAAACAGCTCATTAATTTTATGATTTCTTCTCAAAGCTTTTTTTGTTCCATGGAGTATCACGTAGCCAAATGATAAAAAAGGTTTTTTCTTGTCTGAAATATCTGTGTTGGCATCATATAAAGCCAGAGACCCCGTAAGTTTCCTGCTGGGAGAAGTTACAAGAAGCCAAAGGTCTCCCCCTTGGGCAGGGAAGGTTCAGTACTAGATCAGTTTTTGCTCACCATTACAGTGTCTGGCACACAGTGCCCACTAATTATTTATTGAATGAATCAAAGTATTACTTTTCTTTTCAGAAGGGGTGACTTGCCAGAGCAACATTTATCTTTTTTTAAACTGTTTTGGCTGGTATTGTATAGTTATAGCCATCAACTTTGCCCTCTAGGATCCAGCAACAGAAGGCAGACAGATTGCCAAAAGAAAAAGCATTGAGCAAACACACATATTAAAGGCCCTCTTCAAGCCAAGGAGTAAGTGCCTTTTTCTTAGTCTTCACGCTCTCACTCTTTTTGTGCACTTAGTACAGAGAGGCTGGAATTTCGTAATCCAAATTCCTGGCAAATTTTCCACAATTCTGCCTTCACAGAGATGTGCAAATTAATTTAGTGAAAATGTAGCCATTGATTCACAGGCCCAAAGAACATAAGGTCTGTGAGGGCTTTTGACTTAAACTCCTTCATTGTGCGAGCAAGAGAGAAGAAGATAATTGTCCAAAGTCACAGAGTCAGAGAGTAAGCTGGGACTTCAACTTACAGCTTCAGAACCAGTGCAGTTTCTCTTCTATCTCATTGCCCATTGATATATAAATCACTGACGTGGGGAATATATAGTCAATCCATGTCTATATCTTAAGGCAGAACTACAGAGACCTTGATTTGCTACTACTTTACTAAGCAGGTTTGTTACATTTGCCATATTCTCCTTCTATCTTGATAATATCCTGTAAAAACAGACTTCTCCTTAATTTCTCTAGACCAGAAATGTCTAGTAGACCTTTCTGTGAGTTTTATATTTGCACTATCTAATGTGATAATATTAGCCACAAAAAAACAGGGTTTATTCACTTCATCAGTAACAAATGACTCTCCATGAGAACACAAGTTTTGATCAATAGGAGCTATGTTACTTCATACAAGTAAGGAGGACACTGGGAGTATTCTCTAAAGCAATGTCTTCCTGAGGGAAAGTAACAGGATGGTTTTATGGGGTGATGGAGGGAGGAGAGGGCCCATCATTACAGGTAGAGGAAGGGTCCCAGTTGCACAGATGCAGTAAATCATTATACCAACACGTAGGTCACATGTTATGGTAATGAAACTATAGCTTCATCCAGGGTAGAGGTTTTAGCACAGTAATGAGGAAAGTTCATTGTGATTCATCTGTAAGTTGTTGGGGTCTGTCAGAAGCTGGTTTTAACCAATGAAGTGACTGCATTCCACACAAAACTTAGGAAGAAACAGGCTACAGGGAAGGAGGCTGTAAAGTAGGCTGATCACTCAAGTTGATTAAATCTCTGGAGACCCTCCCTGTCTGCTTATACTAGCCACTAGCCACATGTGGTTTCTGAGCACTTGAACTGTGGCTAGAACTACTGAGGAAGTAAAGTTTAAATTGCATTTAATTTTGGTTCATTTAAATTCAAATAGCTACATGTGGATGATAGTGCCTACCATGTTGAACAACACAGCTGTGAAATCTAAATGAGAATTCCTGTTTTGCTTTTCTTCTATGACTTATGAGAATGGAGGGGGCAGAATTCTGTCAGTGTAGAATGGTAGAAAGAACTTCAAGATGAGACATACTTGAGTTCAAATCTTGGCTATATTACTCAATAACTCTCTGCCCTTAAGCAAGTCCCTTTTTAACTTGGAAACTTAGTTTCTCATCTATGAAATGTGGAGAGTAGTTCCTAACCTCACAGAGTTTTGAGGACAAACCATACGAGATTGTCTAGCACAGGACCTTGCATGAGACAGGGCTTAGGGTCTGTGAATTCTACTTTTTTTCTCTCCTTTTATTGAAGGCTACTAGTGAGCCAGGGAAGGCAGTACCAGTGGGTGTAAGAGTGGTTTTGAAGATAAGCACTTCCCAGGAAAGAAAAGGGCCCATGGTTATAGGCAGGGTGGAGAAGGAGGGTTACAGGTGGAAGCCCAGTCAACAAGGCAGGCTAGAGGAAAGCCCTATAGCGAAGGGAAGCCAAGAGTTGAGGCAAGTGAAGAACCTAGGGTTAGGAGTCCAGAGACATGAGTTTTAGATCCTACTCTACCAGTCCCTGACCTTCTCTAAGCTTCAGTGTTATCATTCATAGAATGAGGTGGTAGTGTGTCGTGGTAGTTGGGGAGAAGTACTCACTAAACTGTAAAATCTCTAAATTTCTTTCATCCTTCCATGTAACCCAGCCTGTTGTATCTATTACATTAGCAGTGTGCTTGACCCTTAGGGACCAGCCTTATCACCTGGCTCCAGAGTGGATGTTACCAGCCTCCCATAGCAGCAAATTCTCCTCTCCAATCTTCTTAAGGCTCAATTATTAATATTCACAAAGCTCTTCCCCCAGTATCTTCTTGTAGAAATCCTCCTCACCCTGTCAGACCTCCTTAAAAGTGACCTCCTTTATAAAGCCCTGTCTGATCTGCTAAACTAAACTGACAGCTTTCTTTTTTAAGGAAGACAGTGGGCCATGGCAGGTGCACAAAATTTAGAGTTGGAAAAAACAGAATTTTAGGTAAATTACTTCATTTCTCAAGGCCTCAGTCTTCTCAACAGTAAAACAAGGGTGGTAGCACTTATATTCCAGGGTTAGTGTGAGCATTTAATTCATTTAATATGAGAAAATAAATGTGTCAGCAATTTGTAATCTGTGAAGGGCAGTACACACAGGAGAAATTAGCTAATGAAGTTTTATTCTACTTTTCCTATACCTCTAGGGAGAAATTACTTGTCTGCTGTGTTTTAGAGTCAGATATTGACCTGTCTGTCTGCCTCCCCACATTGTGACCTCCTGAAGGGTTCAGACTGTATCTTTGTTGTGTCAGTATCCTCAGCCCCAAGGGTAGTATCTGGCACAGAGCAGATACAAAGTCAGCCTACAACAACACATTTAACCCATACAGAGATGGACCTCAGAACCAACAACATTTTATTTCATTTTATAATTCAGTCCTAAATAAACCTTTTTTCTGCACAGAAAGTACTGTTACTGTTTTGTCTTGGCTTCCAGGGAGCTCAAGATACAGCAATTATGTTTGCCATGCTAGTCTGGCTCACTCCCTCTTGGGTCTTTATTTTCTCTCTTTCATGATTCACCACGTATTGCAGGTGCTTTTGTATGTAAAATATAGCAAAACCTTTGTGGAACTGAATAGTAACTATGTCCATGAGTACTTGGGTCAGACACCCCAGATTCAAATTCTGGCTCTACTATTTTCTGGCTGAGTGACTTTGGACAAGTTATTTTATTTTTTTGATCATCATTTTCTCCCATCATAAAATGGTGGTAAAAATTTCTAACTCAAAGTGATGTAAAATTGAATGAGGCAAGACACAGCACAATATTCTCCTCTGTTCTCCAGATTAGGACACTGAGGCTCTGAAAAGTTCTATCACAGTTAGTAATTGATTCAAGCCCAAGATTCTCTATGTCCTATTTCTTCTGTATATTGTCCTTCAGGCCACTTGGGGAAGTAAGGTTGGGGTAAAAGAACAATAGACCCAGAGTTCTATAACCTTCACCCCCAGGATAAATTGAACTGGAGAATTTGGGGATGTCAGGCCAAAAAGCCTTCTGGAAACTGAGATAGTTGTTGTTTTTCAGTGATGGGGGAAATGGGGAGGGCTATGGATCCTAAGAACCATGTGGATAAAGAATATAAGGCTCCTTACATTTACAATTCCTCTCCAGTTATATTATCTAATTTTAATGCTCAACACAGATTTTTGAAGAATGCAGAGCAGATTCAAATCATACAGATGAGAGCCACATTATAGAAAGGATACTGAAGCCCAGAAAGGGGAAAGGCCTGGTTTTAGCTTATGCAATGAATCTCTGCCAGAGTCATGCCTTTTTCCCCTATCTACTTTCCTCTAAGCCAAGCACTCCTTCCAGTACCCCCACAGAAAACTTTACAACAAATGGCCTTAGAGTGTTAGGTGAGAGAAGAAAGGTGGAGGCAGACAGCCTGAATAGAAAGGATAAGTACTTCACCCCCTTTCCAAGAGAAGAACATCAGCCCAGCAAGTAGCTTCCTATGTCATTCTGACTAACCCTCCATAGACTTTCCACACATGCCTTCCATTATGGACCTAGGCAAGAGGACTGCTTAGGAGGTGGAGGAGAGCAAGGCATGCCAGCAGTAAAAGGAAGCTTTTGGACTGTGTCTGAAAAACCATGGCTGCCATTCAGGTCAACTTGGCAAATACACCCTAAGAATCTTCTCTGGGTCAGACCTTGTATGGGTCCAGTGATAACCATGAACTAGCCCTGTCCTCAGGGAGCTCCCAGTCTGGTGAGCATGACCTCCAAGATCAGCTACAGCTTTAACACTACACAGAGTGTCTAAGTGCAACAGAAGCAATGTGATAGGGCAGGAGAGAGAGGAAAACCTATAAGTACAACTGCCACCCCATCCCTTTTCCCAGGGACTACCCTAACCAAGATCGGCACAGTTCGAGGGTCCTACCCCCATCAGCAGGTCTGGAAGCCATAATAGTAATAATAATTATTATTATTACATTTGTGCAATGCACTAACCCAAGTATTTTTCATGTATAACTTATTCAATCCTCACAGCAATTCTATGTAAAAAGCATGTTTTATCATTTTTTTCAGATAAGGAAGCTAATATGTAAGGAAGGCCTCAGGAGACTGCAAGGGAACTAAGTCAGCTTAATTCTGCAAACGTGCTAAATTCTGTGCTGGTGCTAGGAATACAGAGGACCATGGGAATACATAACCCCAGTAATGTGGGAGAGCAGAAAGATAAACAATCAGACAATCACCAGTTTTATATACAGTTATATATATAGTGTCTACTATATACCAGGCACTGTGCTAAGTACTTAAGTTAGATGATAAACAGTGTTATAGTGCAGAGTGACCAATGCCGTGGCAAAAGTAAGCATGGGGGCTATGATATCGCAACTGGGAGAGTGGCATGGGGAGTCATTTAAGGGATCCTAGAGAAAATGATCTCTGGACAATTGCTACTCTTCAGATACTTACAAAAGACTAGCCAAAGCTTGCCTTTCTTAACTAAAAAGCCAGATCACTCACCCATCCCCTCTGGCCCAAGAAAGCCCACAGTTACAGGATTTTTAGGCTTAGGCTAAGGTTGAGGGGCTTTATGCTCACAGGTAGGTCAAAGTATTAAGTTCCAGAAACCTCCCTCTCAATTCCCCTCTCCCAGGCAATATGTACAATTGGTCTATCTAGCTTGTGTTAAAAAACATTCTGCTCAATGCCTAAATAGGAAAGAAAGACCTGGCATCTCACTGCAGTGCCTGTCTCATTGTCTCCATAGGGAGTACCTTCAGACAGCTCTTGCCTGGAAGTTTTGTCTGCAGCATTTTTCTATCCTTTCATTATATTCATATTTATTATAAGGGCATAGGCAGTGTCTGAGAGTCTGTCTGCTTAGCACAGCAATGAGATTTTTTTTACAGTCATAGCAGTTTTTTGGAACAAATATTGCAACCCTCAACAAGAATATGTGTCGGTGTATATATACACGGGCATGTGGGGAAGGGGAGAATTTTGTAAATGAATATATGCAAGAAATTGTGAGTGCTTGTAAGCATTTCTGTGTGTGTGTATGTATATGTGTGTGTATGAACATGAGCTTGCTTAGATGTCTGCAAGACTTCTTGCAAATTTCCCAAAATGATGCACTCCATAAAATTGTCTTTCCTTCAACTTCATGGATAAAGAGATATTAAGTGATTGTTGCTAGCTGAGATGATTGCCTTCATGGGAATTATTTTCTGACAACTGGATTAATAATAAAATAAGTGAAAATAATCACTCAATATAATTGAACCAGGTGCTGTGGCAAACACTACGGATTACTTTGTTTCATTCTCAGAACCATCCTGTAAAGGAGGCACTATTTTACCCTCATTTTATGTATGAGGAAACTGAGGGCCAGAGAGATTGACTCATTTGTTCAAGGTTATGCAGCTCGGAAGTGGCAACGCTAGGATTCCAATGCAGGATTCTGATGTCAGGGATCCCACTTGTAACCATTACACTAGTCTAGACTCAAACAAAGCTACTGTCTCAAGTTCGGTGAAACTAGAGCATCTTATTCAGGATGTCAAAGACCAGAACGTGGAGTTTAGAATTAATATGGAAAGCACTGGGAGCCACTGACATTTCTTGAACAGGGAAGTTCATAGAAAGTGATACTTTAGGAAAATGGATTTCTAAAGAGTGGAAGCAGCACCTTTAGACTAAGCATTTTTGTCTTTGCTGCACTGATTTGTGTGATCCAACCAAGATCACAGGGAGTAAGTTGAGCTCTCTTGTGGCCCATGGCCTTTTTTGAGATTATGGCAGCCAACCTTGGGTAGGCGCTGACATGGGAGAAAGACATAAGGCTTTGACTTTTGGAAAAAGTACCAGGTGAACTTGTAGTTGCCTGGAGGCTGATTGCCAACTCATTTGGCCTTTAAGAGCTTCCAGAGGTTCTGACCTTATTTCTTGATTTTGTTCAAGTCTATTCAGATCTCACTCTACTGCTATATAGTAGATGTGCAAGTCCTTTCACTTCTCTGAACTTCTGAAAGCCAGTTTTTCCTCTTCAGCTCTCTACTCTCAACCTCCCTCATTCTCACAAAATTCAAGTCTAAAATACCTCAAAGGAAGTGCAGATGGGTAGATTGTACGTTTTTTTTTTTCAACTCATTCTAGCTCACTGTAACTAGTCAAACAACATAGAGATACATAAAGAAAAGGTTCATCATTTCTCTCAAGTCCTCTGTCATCCCATTCAGCAGGTAACTGATGTTATCTATCAGTTTGGCATAATTCCTTCCACATTTTTCTCCATGCTCCCGAAAAGATGTTTAGACAAATATACATATACATAGAATTGGTTTTTGTAGACAAAAGGGGTCATATTATGCACATGTTTTTACAACATCACCTCATTACATTCTCAGATGGAAAAAAGCAACTTATTTTGCTCATTTAACATTAACAAGATTATGGATTTTGATCTAGGTCAATAACCATTGGGAAAAGACTAACAGACTTGACTACAAAAGAATAAAAATCTTCTGGATGAAGAAAAAAGTTAAGTTTAATAAGGACACTAACTCTTTATCTTTCATATGAGTTGAAAATATTTTTCCCAGTTTATTCTTTGCCTTTTGACTTATTTTGCTGTCTTTTGTCAGAGAAAATATTTGCTTCATCTTGAAATGAAGGAGATCTTCTTAAACAAGACAGAAAAAGAAGGTGGCACGAGAGAGAAGATAGGCATAAATTGAATACATTGACAAAAAGAAAGCTAAGACTTTTAAAGGGGCCCTCTCCAGACACAGGAAGGGTTTAGGTGTGGAAGCATGTTGAAGAAGGCCAGAATCCAGGGGAAGAAACAAAAGTATCAGATAAGCATTCAGGTAGCTCCAGTGAGGGCAGTTTGATCTGAAACTGAGGGTTTGTACCTATAACTAGCAAGAAATAAAAGAGAGCTTGTCTGGGGGGCAGTGGTGATAACGACTCATTGTTTAAATGAGAGTAAAGGGGTAAACAATGACCCTCCCCAGAGAAACTCAAGTCTTCATCTAGTCGACTGAAGCACTGACAGTGGTGGGAGAAGGGTAAAAGACAGAATCCAGACAATCAGATGGTCCCGAGGACACAAACTGTCTAAAAAGATTGCATCTAGGGTGGAGGGTCTCTGAGAGTTTCTTCTAACTGTAATCAGAAGCTTTACAACCCCAAGTGCTTTGTGGAATCCATAAAAGACCTCTGCCATCACCCTTCATCTCAAGTCTTGGTCAGTTGCCCTCAATCCAGGTAATTTTTGTGATTATTTTGGCAGTGGCATGAGCAGAAGCTTTTGGACCCTTACAGTGAGATTGTGCAGTGAGTTCCTGGTACTTGCTAGCTAAGTGACCTTAGGCAAGTAACTTTCTGTCTCTGAGTTTCACTTTCCTTATTTGAAGAAAAAAAGGTTAATACTGACATCAAAGGGTTTTCAGGAAGAATAAATCAGATAACAGATGCATATCAAAAGGCTTCAGGGAATGTAAGGGCCAATAAAAATATAAATTCTTACTATGATGCCAGCTTAGGCAGATAAATAACCTGAAGTAAGACAGGCATGCCAAGAGTAGCTTTCCCTTACTGTTGGCATCTGCAAAGCATTTTGGGCAAGAGGGGAGAGATTATGTGTATGTGACTAGATGGGCTCAGAGAAGATCCTGAAGCTCCCAGAACCCACCTGCTACTACAACTATGGCCCTCCATTCATGCAACTCATGGAGTGAATGGCACAGAGTTTGATGAGACATAATGAGGTGATGTCTAGTATTTACTCAGAACAATCAGTCAGTTTTTAATTCCACTCAGAAAGCCAAGCAGAAAGTGTGTCATCTTATCATCACCAAAGCTGAGGAAGAGCCCAAACTCTGGAATTCCAGGAAGTACCAATAGATACCATTGAAAGAGTCTGAACTCTGAGGGGCAGATGGACAGGCAAGTTTACGTAAAGCAAGGCCACATAAATATGCAATTTCAGAACTGGCTGAGAGTGGGGACTGAGTGGCCTAGGTATGGGGTTTAATAAAGGGATTATTAATCCTATCTTTGTATCAACTCTGGAACCAGACATCCTGGGTAGGTACCCTGGCTCTTCTGCTTACTATCTGTAAAATGTCAAGCAAATCAATTAATCTTTGTGAGCATCAGTAATAGTATTTATGTCACAGGGTTCTTTTGATGATTAAATGAATTAATATTTGTAAAGTATTTACAATATTGGCTGGTGCATAGTAAATATTACATAAGTGCTATTTAAAAAATAATTAAAAGCAATTTTCTTAGTAGGGCATGTAAGGTTTTCTTCTTAATCAGTCCCTGTCTCTCCAGCTTCATTTCTCACTGCCTTCTTTTAAAATTGCATTCCTCAAGAATGGAATAAGTAGAACACTGCCCAATCATACTAGGTGATTGTATGTCTGTGTGCCTTAGCTTTGGCCTGGAATGTTCTCCCTATCATGTTTAGTCACAAAAATATTCCCCTTCTAAAGCTATCTCAGGCTTCATCTCCTCCAGAAGGCCTTTCCTTACTACTTCCACCATGCTTCCCCACCCCCTTGAACTAGGCATTATAATCTTTGGACCTTGCACACATTTCTGTAGAGATGGCTTAAACTTTGTACTTCAATTATTTGTTTATGGGACTATTTGTTGCAGTTAGACCATGAGATCTTGAATGCAGAGGCCATAATCTTATTCACTGATTTCTTCCCCACCCCAAGCTCATAGCTTGGCACACAGTGGGAGCTATAAGAATGTTGGCTGACAAGATTTGAATGCAAAATATTTTTAATAACTACTAAACTTGTGCCATCTTTGCAACAACTCAATATAATAAATACTACAATTATCCTCATTTTATGGATGAGGAACCTGAGATTGAAAGAGGTTAAGGGTGTATTAAGGTCCCACCCAGCTAATGAGTAAAGATTGCTGGGACTTAATTCCAGGCCTTCTTGTTCTAAACACAGTGCTTTTTCCATGGCAAATGTTTTGTTGTCTGCTCTTTTTTATTAATAATAATGGTTAACATTTATTGAGCACTTTCTTTTCTCCAGGCACTGAGTTAATGCCTAACACAGATTATCTCATTTGATCCTCTCAACAATCCTGCAAGGCTTACCCCATTACGGTACCTATTTATGGAAGAGGAAATTGAAGCATAGAAAGGTGGAACAATTTGCTCAAAACTCACACAGAATTTCAACCCAGTGTAACTTTACAACAGGAGCTTTTAGCTATAGTCCTCTATAGATTCTCAGCTGGGACTTACAGAAAAGTTACTTCCTCAAGAATGCTACTACTAGCAAATGGGTTTTTGAACCTAGGTGTTGGTGCCACTGAGGATTTTCTTTTTCCATCACAACAGGTAGCTGTATCAGTGGTCAAAAAAGGAAGAATTCTGTTTGTGGTGGGTACTTCTGGGGAGTGGAGAGTTTAGCCGCTCAGCTTTTGTATTGGGAATGTGGCTTGTGGATTTTTGAGAGTGTAAAGGGGAAATATCGGCTGAAGTTTATGTCCTGTCTTCTTTTCTCAGGGATTTGCAGTGAGCACATGTTACCTACCCAGATGAGAAAAAAACAGGCAGACACAAAGGACAATGGGGTTGGAGGGAAATCAGTTACTGAAATGAGGCCCCAGACAGGCAAGCTTTCAGCAAGACAGTGTTTTCATCTTCTGCTTATCCGGCTATAATCTCCCTAGACAAGTATTTATTTAACAGGAGAGGACGAGGGAGTTCATCATTTTGATTTTATTTATTTGCTACAGTCATTGGAAGTTGCCCATTTTTGAGTCTGCACTGATAAATAAGATATATTATCTGATCTCCTGGATTTATGAGCAAAGATGTGCAATTGCAATTGCCTCCGGGTGTCTAAGAACTATGAATAAACATAGGAAGGGAGCAAGGCAAAGAGCAGGATTTAGGAGCTTCCTGGTTGGGAGAGCACTCGCTGAGTAAGCAAAGGGACCCACTTTGATAGAAGTGTGTGCTGGAGTTCACACACCAAAGCCAGCCAAGCATGGCGGCTCAAGGGGCATCACTCAATCATTAAAAACACTGTCATGAACCTAGGTGTCCAAGGCTCCACCTGACAAGTTGATCTATCTTACTGTGAGACAGCAGAATAGGTTGAAATAATCAGGCTACAGAAGCATTGCAATCCTGGGCTTTTTAGCAAGCTAGGGAGATAGATGCATGCTTCTTGGCCTGATAGCATGGGTCATACAGGAAGGCTTTCCAGGGAGCCTAATTTACAGATTGGAAAACTGAGGCTATGGTAGAATTCAGACTAGAAACCTTTAACTCCATTCCTACCACTTTTCCTTAGCTAGTTTTACTTACGAATAATCTCTGTAGTTGACTGCAGAGGGAATTTAGGTATTTGGGGAGGTTCCTAGCACTGCTGTGACTAGACAGTGCACAGAGAAGAATGGGAAGTGGCTGTTAGCACCAGTGTTTCCAAATAGACCAGAGGTACAGGAAGTATAATGCATTTGCAATAAGAAGCCCCAGGTTTCAGTCCCATCTTGCCATTACCTAGGTGACCTTGGGCATACCCCATTTCTTTTCTGAATCTTAGTTATGCTATCTGTAAAATGAGGCTAATAAAACCTGTCAATGGGCAGGGGGATTGCCTGAGGTATGAAAAAGCTCTAGAGAGATGGTAGGGTCTGTGGATCACAGACCCCTCCTTGCAGATTTCCTCCGTTTATCAGCCACCAAAGGCTTTAGCTTTTGCATTTAAATGGCTTTCATTTTTGTCCAAAATCTTTTATTGAACATTTAATATATGTAGAATGTCACATTAGGTGCTTTGAGAGATAGAGAGATGGGCCTTAACCAGGCCAAAAAGCATTTGACTAAATAACAAGCCAACAATAAGGAAAGACAAATAAGTAATGATTAGACCTGTAATCACTGAGCTGAAGGCCAATGGTGAGGGGGTCTCTGCCTCCAAAGCAACCTTTGAATGAGCTCCACTTTAATCACTGTTTAAATCCCCTCAGTTAGTGCTACCTCCCTTCAGCAGCCCCTTTTACACCCTATCCATAATGTACATGATCAGAAGATACTTGCTTGACATTCCAGTATATCCCCATTTTGGCTCCAATAACATTTTCTCTTATTAGTCCCCAGAATCAATGGCCCATGCTCCTTAGGCCTTGGTTCCTTACATAGCCTCCCTCCCCCATAATCTCTCCCACTTCCAACATCATCCTTACTCCTTTCTCTGCATCTATACTTATCTCTATTTATTTGCCTGTAGTAATTCTGCTTTATCATCCTTTGGGTCCCAGCTACAATTCCACCTCTTTTTCCTCCAGGTCTATCTCCCTCTGAGCTCCTAAAATTAGAACCACATAGTTTTGCTCTGAACTATTAAAGGCTGAAGTGATTCCAGTCTGTTTGTCCTGCCTTCTTAATCTGAACATCAGCTCCTTGGAGGCAGGAATTAAATCACTATTCCTTCATGTATCATAATTATTTTTTTTCTTTTTGTCTCAAAAGTCAGGACTTGTTGTTTGACACTAGTTTGGGTGCAATGCAAACATATGTCCTTTGGTTGCCAACATATTGACATTTCTGGAATGTTGAAACAATTTCAGCAGTTTATGGTAGGAGTTTTTCAACCTGTTTTTTAAAATAGAACCTTTTACTGCAGGTGAAATTCAACAGGGACTCATAGCATAGAAAACAGATAAAAGTAGAGCTATTTTGGGTAATATGGAAGGCCATCCTTTCTTGGTAATTCCTAGGCTATCTCTGTAGAATACTCTTGGATTCTATGAGGCACAGTTTTATAACAATGCTCTCAAAAGACCAATAGGCCAGAATATGTTTAAATTAAGATACATACTTGGTGACTTGACTTGACTGGCAAATGTCATAACTCAGAGACCCGGGGGACCTGATGGGGGCTGTAGGTCCATGGCTTAGGCAACTTGTTTAAAGTTTTCCTCACAATAGCAGGTAAGAGTTATAATAACCACCCACAGAAAAAAGTAAAAAAAAAAAAAATGCTCACAAGGCCCTAGATGCCTGATGAGCGGCCTCTTCTGCCTAGGGAAGGGCAGAACCCCAGGACTGGCCTTCAGTAACTTTCCAGTACTCTAGTTAATCCTCTCCACTGCCAAGGATAACGAATCCCCTTGTCTGAGAATCGGCTTCTCTCAGGGTCCATTTCTCACTCTTCAAAACTATTTTCAATAATCATCTTACTGTGTTTTTCTTTGTGTCTGGCATCTAAAGAGTCAGAAGTTTTCTCTGTGGAAATCCAGCATTTTTAAAGAAAATATGAGAACATATTTTAGTATCCATGTAAGACAACACTTTGGCCCTTTCAGGGAACTTACACAAGGGCAACATCTATTTGGATGGTAAGATAGCCTGCATGATTTTTATTTTCTGAAAGCTTCTAAGCTTGTCATACATCTCAGTTCCAACAAACCAGATCTGGACCACCTTTGGGATGACCTGCAGGTTATAAACTATACTTTCTACACTTGAAGTCCACAGAAAGATGCCAAGATGCACCTGTGCTGTAAGTGTAGCCCTGTGTGTTCCAAGTTTTAACAGAAATAACTAGATAATTAGCACTCTTTTAAGTGTTTTGCCTGTATTAACTCATTTAATTTTTAAAACATGTTGTGCACATGTACCCTAAAACTTAAAGTATAATAAAAAAAGAAAAAAAAACAACCTTATGAGATAGGTACTATTATAACTCAATTTTCACATGAGATTGAGACACACAGAAGTCAAGAAGCTTGACCAAGATCAGATATCTAGACAGTCACAAAGCTAGGATCCTAACCTAGGCATTCTCTGAATCCAGAGCCCAACTCATTATCTACACATTGTACTCTCGTATCAGTTTCTTTTGGATGAAGAAACTGAAGCCTTGAGAAGCAAAGCAATTTGTCCACATTAGTGAGGTACTTCTCCACCCAACAAGAAATTATTTTAATCCCCTCTTTGGTTCTCTCTTGCCTTCCAGGGTGTGAGCCAACAGGAGTTGCTAGACGGTGGAAAGCACGATTGTCTGAGAGGCCAGTGGTTTTGATTCAAGTTCTTTCTTTCTTTCTTATTAAGTGTCTCTGTAATCCTGTGGAGGAAGATTCTTCCTTTCTCTGGATCTGCTTCCCCAATGGCCATATGGTGATTTAGGACTACATTTTATACCTTTTTCAGTCCAAGTCAGAGTACAAATTATTTGTAGACTTTTGATTTACTTTAAAAAGCTCATCTGTATTTTCTGTATTCCACTCCATAACAAATATATCTTCATTTAATATAATTATTACAAATCTTCTAGTAAAGTCAACTCTCTCAAGGAGAGTGCCCTTATAGTTCATGTACCTACAATGCACTGGGGAGGACCCCTGAGGAGTACTCATTTCAATTTCAGGGCCACTGAAGTAAAAGATGTCTCCAAAGTCCCTCTCTGCTTTGACATTTTACAATCTAAGTCATTACCTTCAATGCAGAAGAGCCAGTGTCCTGTCCTAGTTACTGCTTAACCCCACGGTATTGTGTAAGGGAAAAGAGAGCAAGGATAGAAGGGCAAGCCAACTGAATATATCCTTCGAACTCTCCAAGGCTCTGTACTCATTGGTATAAAACAATTCAAGGAATAGCTTAGCGAAAAGTCAGTTCCCACTCTATTACAAACAAGTTGTGTGACCTTTGAATCATCTGCTACTTCTAAGATCATCTTAGAAGTAACACCTCCTTGAATGGATGAGGAAATTGAGGCACAAAGATAGGATGGCCTTTGCCTGAGGTCACAGGAGGTGGCAAGGTTTGAACTAGAATCACGGCACTCTGTTAAATCTAGAGAATTTGGCATACCAATTATACCAGTCATATTGAGCTCCTAGGCCTCAGTTTCCCAATTCCCAAAATGTGAAGAGAAGTCATCAGTCTATCTCTGAGTTGTTATGCTGATGTTACGCTGATGTGACGAGGCAATTAATGCAAGGAGTTTTTTGATTGAATACTTCTTGTGAAAGCCTCAGAAAGGAGAGATGGAGATCTCTTAAGACAGACTTTCTCTTGCTACTGGTTGGTTTGGCCTATTGGGTTTTTTTATAATTAAGTTAAAACTGTGTTTATTTTATTTAACAAATACTTATATAGTGTTTATTTTATGACAAGCATTGTTCCAAGTGTTTTACAAATATTAACTCAGTTAATCCTTCTGATAACCTTATGAGGAGAGTTATAGCATCATCTCCATTTTACAGATGAAAGAATGGAGATGCAGACAGGTAACATAACTTAGTCAGAATCACACAGCTATTAAATGGCAGAGAATAAACTTGAACTCAGGTCATCTGCCTCAAAAGTTTATGCTGCTAATGGCTAGATATGATTTAGTCAGTTGAAATTGTTTGTGTGCAGGGTGGTGTCACAAAAAACAGCTTTGGTTTTCTTCTCTCAACCCTACACCCAGCCCAACCTAACTTATCATGTTTAGGGAAGAGTGCTCTCTCAGCCTGGAGAGAACTCAACTAGAGCAAATGATCTTTTACTTTTAGAGCCCCTAGATGCCTCAACAAAAATAGAGATCCAGGAAAGTTCACTTTGCTTTTGTTCGTTTATATTAATAAAATAATTATTGTCTGTTATTTAAATATTATTGGGCTATTAAAAGTATTAAACATTTATTTTCTTTTCATTCTGTTTGTTTACTGTCTATTTGGGAACAGAGTGTGATTAAGCAAGCATTATTGAACACATTTTTTTTCTTCGTACTATAAATGTTAATTTGAGAGGTAACTTAGGACACTGTCACCATTTACCCACATGAACCCTGGGCTCATCACTTAACCTTGGTGACCCTGAGTAACCAACCATCCAGAAAGCAGCCCCTCTTAGTCGCTCAAACACAAGGCTTGCCTTTTTACAAAAGTGCAGTGTTGTGGAGCTGAAACTGACTTCTTATGTCTACCAGCTGCCACTCATTGAGATGAAGAAACAGGTCATAGGAGAGAATTGCTCATGAGCCCCCTGCAAGTGGCCAATACAGGAGTATACCTAGCATAATGGAAGTCTTGTGAGGTCAGGCACTGGATCTTATTTGTTTGCAATTGTCTCCTCATTATTGAACATAATGCTAAGCCCAAATATGGCAGTTAAAAATTATTGTGGATTGAATGACTGACATAATCCAGTTCTCCTGACTTCCAGGTGAGAATTCTTATTGCTCAACCATGATTTTTTTTCAAATATAATTTTAAGCAGCTTTGCAAATTGGCATGGTCATAGAGGTCCAGGGTATGAAAGAAATCAGACTGTGAATAAGACATTTTTTTCTTTTAGCTAAAAATACCAAAGTCTTCTACCTACCACAAGCTCCAGCTCCTTCTTGCCCCAAATAGGTTATTGTACCTAACATGTTGGGTGGCAGAAAGGCTTTGGGAGTGAAGACGAGGGAGGGAGGTGTGGTAATTGAGGCATCTGAGCCAGTATTGTGTAAGCAATTTTGTGTTTCTGGTTTTGTTAGTTATCTATTGCTATACAACAAATTATTCACAACTTAGCACCTTAAAAACAATGCACATTTATTTTTCACAATTTCTGTGGGTCAGGAAACCAGGCATGACTTAGTTGGATGCCTCTGGGTCAACATCTCTCATAGGCTACAGTCAAGGTGTCATCTGTGATTGCAGTCATCACAATGCTTGATTGGGGTATAATCAGTTTCTAAGCTTACTCAAGTGGCCATTGGCATGATTTAGTTCTTTGTGGGCAGCTGGATTGAGAGCCCCAGTTCCTTGCTAGAGACCTCTATCAGTTCCTTGCCATGTGGGCTTCTCTATAGGGCAGCTCACAAAATAGCAGCTTGCTTCATCAGAGCAAGCAAGTGAAATTGCAAGAGAGAGTGAGCAGGGTAGCAGTTAACAGTCTTTCATAACCTAATCTCAGAGTGACATCCTATCACTTTTGCCGTATTTTATTCTTTAGAAGCAAGTCACTAGGCTCAGTCTATACTCAAAGGGAGGGAATTACACAGGGGTATGAATACCAGGAGGTGGTGATCAATGTGCGCCCTCTTAGAAGCTGTCTACCACATTGGATATTCCCAGCTGAAGTTCCTTAGCCTTGCACAACGTAAGCACACCATGTGCCTCGAGGCAGCAAATGGCAGTGATAAGAACATTGGAGAGTTTGGTTGTAATCCCTGCTCCACCACTTACTGCATGGTCTTTGGTGACTTAACCTCTATTACCTTCACTGCCCTCACAAACAAAATAGAGATATGATACCTATCCTACAGAGTTGTGAAAATGCAATGAGATTTTGGATTCAAAAGAGCTAATAATCTAGCAAGGAGGAAAGGTACAGTAATAATGGCAGTGGCAACTATGGCAGTGATAACTCATTTTCCACCAGGCCAGGAGGTATTACCTGTATAGAGACTTTTACAGTTACTTTCTAGAGACATTATTCCACTTTTGTTATATAAATAATGGCTGTATCAGACTAGAGAGGGAGAAGGAAAGTAAACAGGCTGGTGCCTGAAATTCCATTATTAGTGCATTTTTTGTTTGTTTGTTTAAGGCAGCACTGCAAGTGGAAGCCCAGGAAGTATATCTGGTCTGCAGGGATATTTTCTTTAGCTTACTGAGTGTTTTAAAGGAATATTAAAATTGAGAGATTCGGATAGAAACTGTGATTTTCAGCCTCTCTGGAAAAATTGGGCAATCTGGCAACCTTGAGCTCTCATTCTGCATAGTAGCAATGGCTGGAGCTGGGTAGGCATTAGATAAGTCATATGCTCACCATAGTTCCTGCCACTCATAACACATAAGTATATGTATGTTCTCTTATCCAGCCTGCTGTCATCACTAACCTTACTCACCTGGTCCCTATAGCCATTTGAGTTTGTATCCGCTTGTCTAATACTTCACTCCCCACTATCTCCCCAGGAAAAAGCAGCATATCTCAGAACCTTTCCTATGGAAAGCATATGATGCAGAGTGGGGAGGGGGAACAAGATAGATGACATGTAGGGGACAGGCAAAAAGATACAAAGAAGAGAGAGTGAGAGATGGCCTTCGTAGTTCTGTCATCCACAGCCTATTGTGTCATTTACTAGAGGACAAGCCAGGAGGGTTTAAATGGCATGCCTTGTGAATTTGGTGTGATTTTGATAATGTTGGATTTCTAAAAGTAGTGACTTTTTTTTCCTTTCTTTATGTTAACTGCCTATTCAGTAACAAGGTGTTTTTAAAACCTGTACAAAATCAGGCTGTGGATTTGTAAGGCCTCCTTCCTTCCATAGAAAATTGTCTCTTCTCTGCTGAATCTTTCACTACTTAAGACTGAGATTAACACCTTGCTCTGTTCTGGGCCCTTGTTTTTCTTAGTCATAAATTTAGAGACTTGTGCAAAGTCAGATATTCTTAAGCTGAGAGTTCATGGCTGGGGTATTCAGAGGCAAGAGAATCCCATTGCATCTTATGCACAGTTACATTCATTATTTTGCAGACAAGGTCCATATCTTTAATCAGTCTCAAAGGGGCCCAGACTCCTTACAGTGTAGTAAATGATATATTCATGGATTCATTCCACATTTAGTAAACATTCTCTATTCACTCATTCACTCAAAAAGTATTCGTTGAGAACCAACTGTGTACAGGATACTGTCTTAGCCACTGGGGATATGTTTGTTGGAGAAATTAGAAAATAATCCCTGGTGCTTACATTTTAGTGAGGAAGGCAGAAACAAGGAGAATAAGTAAAATACATATTTTGTTAGAGAGTGGTAAGTGCTAAGCAGGAGAAAAATAAAACAGAGCAGACTGGTAGACGTAATTTTAGGTAGGATGGCCAAGGAAGACCAGAAGTCAGTGAGATGAAGCCATGTGAATATATGAGGGAAGAAGGAATGGCAAGTGCAAAGGTCATACTGTATCTGGATTATCACAGGAATAACAAAGAAGCCAGAGTGGCTGGAGTGACTGAGCAAGGCACAGAGCAGTAGGAGATGTGGCCGGGGAGGCGGTGGGGGAAATCATGAAAGGTCTTATGGACCATTGCAATGAGTTCTCAGTGCCATTGTTTCTGCTGCTCTTAAAACCACCCCCTGGCTTCTGGCAGTCACTTTTGATACCTCTTCAAGCTTTCTTAACTCTCTCCCCCAGGGCTCTGATTCAGTCACTGCCTTCTCAAGGTGAGATTAGGGTTGCTGTTGGTGCTTTTCTCTCGTGTCCTATTCTTAGGCCTTCTGCTCATCCTGATTTTCTTCGAAACTCCTAAGAGTTTCTACACAGCAAGGCCCACATTATGTATTGTTGCAATCCCAACATCTGACCCAGTGTTAACAAAATGTATGACTGAGAAGAAGCGTTCAACTAAAGCTTGTTAAAGGAACTGAATTTGTTACCTTGAAGTTGTCTCTCTGGACCTTGCAAGTCCCAGCCCATCCTTCTCCTAAGCTACCACCAATTAAACTCCTATGATATGCCAAGCATGGTGCTAAGTGATCTCATTTAGCCTTCACCACAACTGCTTTTACAGATGAGATGAGAAAACTGAGGCCAAGAGAATGGGAAAAGATTTGCTTAACACCACACAGTAAGTCAATGACAGGGTGATAGGTGTTGTTGATGCTGTGGGCCACATTAGTGGGGATGGATGTCACTCTCCTGCTAGACTAGCATTAATTCCCATGCCTAATAGCACACCTCAGCAAGATGGCTTTCAGATGTGAGGGGTGGAGCCTAAGGCCATTGAATAGACTTAAGAGAAGTTTACTGCTTCAAAAACAGAAGGCAATCCCCTCTAGAGTCAGATATTCTTGGGACTGAATACCATCTCTGTCACTGATAACCATGTGAACTTGAGCAAGTCACTTCTACTTCTCCATTTTCATCTCTGTGAATTAGGATGATAATACCTACCTTGGACAGGGGGCAGTGAAGGAGTGGCCAGTGGATTGTGAGGATTAAGTAAGATATATGTATATAAAATCATTTAATACCATATCTGGCACACAGTTTAGGTACTCAAAGAATGATAGTTTTCTTACGTATCAACCTTTGATTGGCCCAACTTCATTCCTGCTGGAGTTGATGGATCCTGATATTTTCATGAACATTCTCAACTTTTTGATCAGTCTTTTTGGCTTGTGCACAAGAAGTGGGATAGTCTTGGTGACACCAACCAAACTCCAAACTTCCTCACAGCCTCATATTATCTCTTGCACCACGAAACTTTGACAACTAGGCACAGCTGACAAAACTGCCATTGTCTTTTTTTTTTCTCAACTCCATGTTCCATGTTCCTGAAGATAGGGCCCCTTTAAGAGTTCCTGAAAGACTCTTTAGGCTCCTTGTAACCTGACTATCCTCGTCGTTGGCAGACTGTGAATTTGGATTGGTGATGATGGTCATCATTAATTCAATTATTTATATTTATGTAAAATTTTATACTTGGCTGAACACTTTTCCATACTTTATCTATTTTCACCTTTTTGATAGGCCTGGGATAGGCAGGGAGAATTATTTCCATTTTGCAGATGAGGTAACCAAGACTCAGCTGAAGCCTATTTCATCTCTTTATTTCCTCACCAACACCAATGTATTGATAGCATGTATATACCCAGAGCTCTAAAGAGAGATAAATCTGAGCCAAAGGAGTGGTAGGTTTGAGGAGGCCCTTAATCCCCCTTCATAATCTCCATCAGCCTTCCAAAGACACCCCAAATACACGTAAATTGTACATAAAATCGATGTACTTCTCCAGGTAAATGCAGCTTAAAGATAAACCTCTTAGTTCCACTTCTTCTTGCCTTCCCTAAGCCCCCTTATATGGAGATTCTGGAAACACTACTGTCAGGAAAGAATGGATAAGACTCAAAAGTTACCCTCTTTTCACCTCTTTCACTATAGCTGGCACCCTGACACTATACATTGGCTCTGACATTGTTCCTGGCAGAAAGACAGCTTCTAAGTAAACTCAGAGCACCAGCTGCAGAGGAACTCAGATAGGAATTTTTGGGCCTGCCCCGGGCAAGGGGGAGGCTCTGGTTGTGAGCAGAATACATTAGGGCCCTAGGAGGATAAAGGCCCTGCTATCAGTGAGAACAATATTTCTGGGGAGTTGCCATGGAGGCTACCTATGTACATCCATACCCAGGTGCCAATTATGCTAGGGGTGAGGCACTGGCAGGCATATAATCGTGGGAAAGCAGTTGCTATGAAGCAGAGGGCTGCAGGTTAGACTTAGAATGGCAGTTCAAAGCATTTAATGCCCAGTTTTCAGGGTTAGGGAGACTCAGCCTGAAAAAGTAGTACAGAAGAGACCCCTTTCCCTTTTTATACTTCATTCTTCTTCCCACTCTCGACTGCAGTGACATTCCTAGAATTTATGACATGGTTAATTGTCAGACATCACCTAGAAGACTGTGTCAAGCTCTGAGTTCCACATTTTAATGCAGACACAGAAAATTAGGAACTCACACAAAGGGGAATAGGCATGCTGAAGAGTGAGATCCCAAAGACCCGTGAGGAACAATTGAAGGAAATGAGGCTGTTTGGCTGGAGGAAGAGAAGACTAATGGAGATATGGCATCTGGAAGGTATCTGAAGTACTTCTCGTCAGATAAAGAGAACAGCTAGGGGCTGGGGAACCCCAGGAGACAGAACAAAGATCTGTGGATAGACTCCACAGGGAGCAAAAATGTCACTCAATACAAAGAATAATTTTATCTCAGAGCAGTCCATGGATTAAATGGGCCATGTTCATAGGCAAAGATCTCCCCATCATTCTCAAGTGTTCTGAGAGTGATCTCCCCCATCAAGTGTTTGACAAGGGGATTGAAACATGACTGTTCAGGCATGAAACCCTGTGTTTCTGTTAATTATGATCATACAGCTGCTAAGAGATTGATTAAGGGCTTAAAATCTATGCATCCTGATGACTGATGTTGCACTTTTGATCTCAAATCTTACCTTTCGATGAGGGTGGCACACAGTTCAGCCCCAAGCTCTGGAAAAAGTAGAGATCCTGCCAAAGGAAGATTTCATCCCCATTTTCCCAAACCTCATTTTCTCAACTCAGAAACATTTTCTATCATCATCTCCACCATGATGCTACTGCCCTAGGACTCCTAAAAACTGTTCAAAGAAATAATCTCATATGTATACATGTGCCATGCTGGTGTGCTGCACCCATTGACTCGTCATTTAGCATTAGGTAACTAATCTGCACATTGTGCACGTGTACCCTAAAACTTAAAGTATAATAATAAAAAAAGATGATTATCAAAAAAAAAAAAAGAAATAAGCTCATAGGAGACTGAATTTTCAACGTTTCTCTTGGACCCTCTGCCTGCTTTCTCTTCAGCCCATCTGATTTCATTTCAACAGTAGCTACTACAGGGTATATGTGTCTGTGGGTTGTAGTACAGTTGTGGGAAACAATAATTTCCCTAGTGTAAGCCGGCATGTAGGTAAGCTGAGAACCTACACTGCTCCTCAGCAGATGTGTCTCACATGTGCCCATTGCTTGAAGAGCTTTGGTTTCCACTTATTTTACTCAACAATTAATTTTCCTAATTTGGACTGGAAAGAAAAATAGGAGGAGGGGGACAAAAAGAGAAAACAATCAAGAAAGGGCTGAAGAGGAGGGGTGGTGGGGGCACTAAAACCACTGCTATGTAACCAGCCAACAATGATACTACATGTTTATGGGCTTTGGTTGCCATGGAGACAGTTACGTAACTCCAACTGGTGGTGAAATTTCATACTGCTTGTGGTGGTGAGCGATATTTCAGTCACTTAGGGCTACTTTTAAAGAGAACAAATAAAGTAGCTGAGGGGCCCTTTGTCTTGCTCACTACAACCCGAACTAAGTTTCGGCCCTGCACGCCAGTCATTTTCCAGTTTCCCGTGTGTAGCAAAATGTTCCCAATTATTCTCTGAGTAGAACTAGGCACTAACTCCTCTCCTCAGCCCAGAATGGCTAGGCGTAAGGCTCAAAGCAAAAAGAGAAAATAAATAAATAAAAAGGCCCCCTTTTGGGGTGGAAAGCCCGAGTGGAAAATTTCTGCTTGGAAAGCTTGTTTTTGGGAAAATTATGAGTTGAGGGGAGGGCATTTATTTTTCACTAGCACAGAGTCCAAAAGCTTGGTATGTTCTCTGTGTTCAATCTCTCTCTCTCTCTTGCTCACTATTGCTCTCTTTCTCTCACACACACACATGTACACACACTTGAATTTGCACTCAATCTCATTCTTTCTTCTAAATACTTATATTCACTTGCATGCTCATGTAGATTCATGTCCACACATGTTCTACGAAAAACATACATATTTGATTCCACATACAATTCACACAAAAATACACATGTGCTTGAACACATAATTAATTTACTCATAATATGTACCTTGGCTTGTTCACATACAACTCACTCATATATTCTCACTCTTACACACTTACATAGTAGACTGAACCTTGTGAAACTGCCATTGTTATAGTTTTGTTTACACACAGGGACATGCTGAAATCTCTCACCCATACACATTACATCACTCACTCTTGCATATATCACTCACTCAGTATGGAGACACTCTGGACCCAGAATTTTATAGTGTGTAAGCTGCTGGTTTTCCATCCATGATCTCACTGGGTCCTCAGAAGCCACCTTGGGAATGGAGGCAGGAATAAGGCTATTATTTCTATTACTCTGTCTATTAAAAGACAGAGTGTAAAGAATGGCCCGAGTTCACACAAGTACTAATCAGAGACTGGAACCCAGATCTTTATTTTGATGCCAAATTCAGTGTTATTGCCCCTGTGGCACCTGCCTGTCATGGGAAAAGTGGAGACATTTTGGTGAAAATACTCTGCATGAGGAATTGAGAATGTAAACTTTTGCCTCTGGTGAGCCATATCGGAGGTCGAGGCAAGGCTTTAGATGGTGTCTGTGGCCCCTTTCCTATGTCATCTAGCACTCGGGTAGAGGTCACTCCATTTAGCCAGATCAGCATTTCCCTCTGCTTCTCTAATCTCCTCTGCCTCCCACTCTGCCTTGCTTGTCTGGTCAGTGAGAAATGGCAGTCTCTATGACACATCTTTCATTATTGCTTATAGAGTGACAACAGCTTGCCTGCATGGTGTACATAGGAGCAGGAGACTCAACGCCTTCCTGGAAGCTGAAGCAGCTCATCTATGCTGCCTATACTCTGGATAAATTGATAAGGAAAGAGTATTTCAGGGTCAGTTGGGTTCTCAGGACAAAGATATCTAAAAGGATTCTGGAGCAGTAGAATTCTAGAGTCAAAGTTGTCTGGAAATTTCTAATCTTAGAAGCTTCTGAGAGCCAAAGGTTTTAGGTTGAATGTTAGAGCTGAAAGTCTCTGGAGTTAGAGATTTGGATCTAAAATATCGGAATAGAGATGAGAGAATTATGATGTATTTTGTTGTAGAGGAAAGGTGGTGTGAGGAGCTGCATTAAGTAGCCAAACTAAGCTAGCTAGATTCTTTTTGCTTCTTCAGATCTACTGTTCACCCTCCTCCAACCTGCTCTCTGACTCAGGAGGCTGACTTGTACTTTAACAGGTTCCAGTGCCCTCTGGCTTCCAGTTTGGTTTGCTCATGGAAAGCCCTGGCAGGAAATAGGAGGATGGGAGGAGAGTAAAGTCGGGGTCTTTACTCTCCCAGCTCCCTCCCTGTGGTGTTACCTTGAGCTGGCTGATCCTTTCAACCAAAGATTACAGTGTCTTTCAAGGCAGCCTGTTCCACAGGAATCTTGCTTTCTAAATTTCAGTAACTGCTTCTTCCCAGCCCTCCAGGCTTAAGAGTGGTGACAAAGCCCACTGTGAGTACTTCACCATGCCTTGTGGTTCTTTTACACACCACTCACAACTTTGTAATTAGTCTCCTTATGAAACCCTTCTTTAATTCTCCTAATTTGCATGTGCTGTTTCCTTGTGGGACCAACGTGTAAGGGAAATCTGTTGGAAACAGATTTGTTATTGCCCCTCTGAGTTCTAGATCTAAGTTAGGGTAAAGAGGAACCTGGTTTGATTTTCCTGCATTGGCCAAGGTGCCTTAAAATGCCCTACCCTTGTTATCCTGGGGACCTTCTCACAGTGGCCCTTTGGCAATACTCAAGATGTTTAGCTGATTGCCTTTCTAAGTCACAAGCTCATTCATTTTGAGGGCTTTGCCTCACCTATTGTGGAAACGTGTCCTTTCTATTATTTCAGCTTGCTTTCTACTTCATGTCTCTAATGAACAGGGTCTAGGGCCTGTTCATATGTTTTCCCTATGAGCTCTGGAAAGGGCCCAGAGAAAAATAATTGATGAAACTGCACAGGGATGTTTGAGGGAGGCAAGATGCTAAGGGGTTCAAACATGGGTCAGGAAACAAAGAAAAAGGAAAGCCTTTCTGCTGCAACTGTCAGCATTTTCATCCGAGTTGCCTGAGCCTGCCCATGAAGTTAATCAGTTTTTCCCTTCTAGTGTCAGAAAGGCAGAAACAGGTCCAGAGAAGGAGAGATATTTACTTGACAAAGGTTGCACAGCAAGTCAGGGCTGGAATCAGATGAGGACTTGAGAACCTTTGGTTCCTGCTGCTGGCTACACCATTTCCACTTAGAGCTCATGCCCTCCAACTCCTTCCTTTCATCCTTATTCTTAAAGGTAGGGTTTGAGGGAGGAGGACCACTTTCTTGACTTCACTCATCTCCTAGAAATCCACCAATGTCCTTGGATTATCTTTTTTTTTTTTTTTTTCTGTGAAAGACTGAAGAGGGCGATCTTAGACACCCTTAGCCTGGGCCTCTTTCTTCTTCCCTATTCCCAAGCACCCAATTTTCCCCACCACTGTTCACTATAATAACATCTTATTTGTATAGGAACTTCAGGGCTATTTAGATCAGAAGTTTCCAAATTTTGTTCTCCCAAGGTGCTTTAGGGCTACCATGGGGTTGATTGTGCTTGTGAATATAGTAATCGAGTAGGGCTCCAGGGTAGAATCCCCTCCCGTTAACAGCTACTATCCCTGCCATCATTTCCTCTGTTTTTTGTTGTTTGTTTTTGTTTGTTTGTTTGTTTTTTGGGTCTGTATATTGGGCATTTTTTTAAAGGAATTGTTTTTTTAAAGGAATTGTTGTCTAAAACAAACCTAAATCAGTGGTTTTTATTTACTCCAACTGCTTTGTTTTTCAGGAAACTGAGGCCCAGAGAAGGAAAATAATTTGTTCACAATCACACAGTAAATCAGTCAGTATCAGGTTCAGTCAGGCCAAGGCTAATCAAGATTCTCTCTACATGACCTTAATAAACTATCATTTAGCATCAACCTCATAGCCTTCCCCGTAAGCAGCCTTTGGATGAATAGGGACTGGGACCAATACATTATGACCTAGAACCCTAGAACCCTAGAGGATATGGCTGTGAAAAGGGAGCTACCATCTTGGTGCTCATGGTGCCTGCAGGGAGAGGCCCATCCTGGGTAACTGCTTGGCATGCCTAGGTTTGAACTGCACAAGGTTGCCACCTCTGGCCTGGCAGTCTTCCCTTCTGCATCCAAAGTTCTCAGTCTACCATGGAGGTTTCCATCCAATCAAATACATTTTCTACTTGGAACACAAGCTTCAGCCATCCTAGCCACCACATGGTGACAGTTAGGCAAGGGTAAGAGGGATGTGTGTGTGTGGTGGTTGGGGGTGGATACTGTCTTCTAGGCCACAAAAATACCTTGGCTATTGCAGTAGCAAAGTGGTAGCAGAAGCTGTGTTTGGGACAAAGTATATTTGGGGAAATCTTACAGGTCACTGTCCACTGCCAGAGAATTACAAAATGTTGCTCTCTTCTCAGGCCTAAATCATCGGACAAAATGGTGAGCTGGGAGGGTTACAGCAGTGGGAAATAGGAATCTCTTGCATCCTGTTGTAGCGTGTAAACTGCCCTGGCCTTCCCCCAATGGGGTCTCACGTCCATGTCCTGTACCTCCTTTTCTCTCTCCTGGGTATTCTGGAAAGAAGACTCTGGGGCAGTCAATCATTTATGACTCATCTCCTAAGTGTGCTTGCATGCTGTGGGCTGAGGACATTCTCAACTGTCAGAGTTGATTTTTCTGAAACATCACTGGGCACTTGGATGCCCAACAAAACAATCAGGATAGAACTAGGGAAAATATTGCTGGATACTGTCTGAAATCCCCAGAGCTAAAGTAGTGAGAGAGTAAAGTCCAAAGTTTCATCCATTTCTTGCCCATTCTACCCTGGAGCACTACTGCTGGGCGAGGGATAACCTAAGGCTGGCTATAAAGCTTTGCCTGCTCTCTGAAAAGTGGATTCTGATTCTAAGGGTGAAAAAAGTGAGGTCAAGACAAGCAAATACACTACTCTTTGTATATCAGGTTCAGCTCTCCTCAAGGATAGGAGAGGAAATTGTGAAATGAATGGTGGAGGCAATTGAGACCTGGAGAAACAGTAATCTACCCTGAGAAAGGGCAGACAAAGACATGGGTAATGAAGGCACTTGTCACACAAACAGGAAGACTTTGGCCAGCTCACCAAGGAATTAAATTAAACTTATAGTAGACACTAACTTACATATAAAATAGCAAAAATTGCTATGTATTAGGAAAGTAGGAAAGTAAGTTTGGAAATGCAAAGAGAGAATCTCAGCTGGCTGATAAAGCAATTTGAATGAACTTCCTACAAACATGGAAATCGTAGACTTTGTGTGGATTGTTAGGTGTGAGTGGAAGTTGTTTATGGTCTTCATAAGGGTCAAAACTCAGGATAAAAAAAGATGGCACTGGACTCAAGCTATACCTCCTTCACCAGCTTCCAAGTCCTAAGTGCCTTACAATGTCCAGCCTGCTGTTGGCATTCAGCAAAGGAGATTTATTATTATGCTCATTGGATGAGACAGGCAGGAGTCATGAGTCTTGGCAGGAAAACAAGGCCAAAAGATTTGCTTTAACTAAAAGTCGTATAACTTGAAAGGTTTATTGCTGAACTGATTATGTAATGTAGCTTCGAAAGAGCACTATTTAAGATAAAGATTTGAAGCCCTCAGGCAGGTTTGGAAAGAGAGTTGGGAAAAGGCCGGAACGCATTAATGGGCCATTTAAGAACTGCCTGCCTCCTAAACCTATTTTCAGACTGTGAAGCAGGAAGGCAGTGAGGCATGGTAAAGGGCACTAATTTGAAGTCAGAAGACCTGGGCTGTGCCAATGACTCATTGTAATCTTGGGAAAGTCCTTTCCCTTCTCTAGACATCAGGGTCTCATTCACACTGGGTAAAGGGGTGGGGGTGGAAAGCAGGAATTAGACTTGATAACTACTAAAGGCCCTTTTAGATTTGACATTTTAGGCTTAATTATAACTCCACCTTCCACACCCAGGTGTGGAATTATAACTCCACCTCCCACAATCTCCAGGATGCACCAAAGGACCTAACTGGACCAAACCTCCGGTGAGCAATCCTCTCTTGGTCCCTTCTCTTTTAGTCATATCCAGTTTTTCTTGGCCTACTCCAGTAGTTTTCTACTCTGGCAGTCCATTAGACTCACACAGGAAACTTTAAAAATGCCAAGACTCAGGATCCACCTCCAGAGATTCTGACATAAAAACTCCCCTGGTAATTCCAATGGGCAGCCAGGGTAAAAACCACTGGCTTAAAATTTTGTGCTATTTGGTGAGGGGTTGAACTTATGTTCATCTCCAAGTATCTTCATTTACTCAGTTATTCAGTCATTCTTTCTGTCTTTTTAAAATCATCTTTATAAAAAATATAGTTTATGTACTATACAATTCACCCATTTAAAATGTACAGTTAAACAATTTTAGTGTATTCACAGATATGTACAACCATCGCCACAGCCAAATTTAGAACATTTTCATCATGTCAAAAAGAAACCACATACCCTTTAACTATTGTCTACCTATCAACTGCATCCCACTTCACATCTCTAAGCAATCATTAATCTACTCTCTGTCTCCATAGAGTTCTTGACTACAGCATTCCACATGAATGGGATCATATAACAGGTAATCTTTTTTGACTGACTTATTTCACTTAGCATAATGTTTTCAAGGTTTGTTCATGCTGAACAGTATTTCATTTCTTTTTATGGTTGAATAATATTACATAGTATGAATATACCACCTTTTCTTATCTGTTGAGCTGATGGACATTTGAGTTGCTTCTACCTTTCAACTATCATGAATAATGCTGCTGTAGCATTTGTGTACAAGTTTCTGTCTGGGTACATATTTTTATTTCTTTTGGCTATGTACCTAGGACTGGAATTAGTGAGTCATCTGATAACTTTATCTTTAATTATTTGAGAAGCTGTCAGACTGTTCTCCAAGGTGGCTGCACCATTTTGCATTCCTACCAGCAATGTAAAAAAGTTCTAATTTCTCTATATCCTTGCTGACACTTCTTTGTTATCTGAGTTTTTCATTCTATACATCCTAGTAGGCAGGAAGTGATATCTCATTGTGGTTTTGATTTGCATTTCCCAGGTGACTAACAATGTTTAGTATCTTTTCATGTGTTTATTGACCATTTATATATCTGTAGAGAAATGTCTACTCAGGTACTTTGCCCATTTTAATTGGCTTATTTGTCCTTTTATTGTTGATTTGTAAGAGTTCCTTATATATTCTAGATACATGTCGCTTATCAGATATATGGTTCAAAATTGTTTTTCATTCTTTGCTTTGTCTTTCCACTTTCTTAGTGATGTCCTTTGAAACACAAAATCTTAAATTTTGATAAAGTCCAGTTTATCCATTTGGCAAATCCTTTGCCAAATCCAAGGTCATGAAGATTTACTCCTATGTTTTCTTCTAAGAGTTTTATAGATTTGTCTCTTGCATTTAGGCCTTTGATCCATTTTGAGTTCCAACCTAATTCTTTTGCATATGGCTATCCATTTGTTCCAACACCACTTGTTGAAAAGATTATTCTTTCTCCATTAAATGGTCTTGGCACTCTTGTCAAAAATTAGTTGACCATAGATGTACCAGTTTATTCCTTTTCTCTCAATTATATAATATTCCATTGATCTATATGCCTATCTTTCTACTACTACCATACTGTCTTGATTACAGTTGTTTTGTAGTAAGCTGAGAAATTGGGAAGTGTGAGTCCTCCTACTTCCTTTTTCACTTTAAAATTGTTTTGGCTATCTTGAGTCTATACAATTCCATATGAATTTTAGAACCACCTTGTCAATTTCTAAACATAACTCAGTTGGAATTCTGATAAGGATTATGTTGAAATTGTAGATCAGTATAAGGAATATTGCCATTTTAACAATGTTAAGTCTTCTGAGAAATGAATGTAGGATGCTTTTTCAATATTTAGATCTTCTTTAAATTTTTTCAAAGTTTTGTAATTTTGAAAGTATAAGTTTTGTTGAATTTTGTCAAATTCATTTTCTGTGTCTATTGATGTGATCATGTTGTTTTTGGTTTTTATTCTATTGGTATGATTATTACATTAATTAATCTTCAGATACTAAAGCAGCCTCACATCCCTGGAATAAATCCAACTTGGTTATGGTATTTATTTCTTTTTACATGTTGCCAACTGTATTGGGTACTACATTGTTGAAAATTTTTGAGCCTATATTCAACAAGAGATATTGGTCTGTAGTGTTTTGTTTTGTTTCTGTTTTTTCCTTGTGTCGTCCTAGGCTGCTTTTGGTATCACGGTAATACTGGTCTCATAGAATGAGTTGGGAAGTGACCCCTCATTTTCCATTTTTGCAAGAACTTCTGAAGATTTATATTAGTTCTTCTTTGATTATTAATAGAATTCAGAGGTGAGGCAATCTGGGCCTTAGCTTTTTTGTGTGAGTAGTTCTTTTGATTACTGTTTCAATTTCTTCAGATGTATACACCTATTCAGATTGTCTGTTTCTTCTTGTGTCAGTTTGCAGAAAGTAGCTTGAGTGTTTTTAGGAATTTGCCCATTTCATCTAAGTTATCTAATTTGTTGACAGGCAGTTTTTTATAACGTTCTTTTATAATACTTTTTATTTTTAATGTTGGTAATAAAGTTCTTTTTTATATCTGATTCTAGCAATTTGAACCTTTTATGTTTTTGCTTGATCAAACTAGCTAAAGGTTTGTCAGTTTTGTTGATCTTCTTAAAGAACTAGATTTTGATTTAATTAATTTTCTTTAATGTTTTCTATTCTCTATTTCATTTATTTCCATTTTAATAATTACTCCTTTTTTTGGGTGCTTTTAGTTTTCTCTTCTTTTACAAATGTCTAAAAGTAGAAGTTTAGATTATTGGTTTGAGATCTTTATTTTTTCTTAATTTAGGATTTGCAGCCATAAATTCCCCTGTAAGCCCTGCTTTGGCTATGTCCCATAAGTTTTAATAGGTAGCACTTTCATTTTCATATATCTAAAAGTATTTTCTGATTTTAATTTTCATTTATTTTTTAACCCACTTGTTTATGAATGTGTTGTTTAATTTCTGCATAGTTAAATTTCCCCAAGTTTTCTCATTAAAAAAATTAATCCCATTCTATTTTGATCAAAGAACATACTTTGTATTATTTTATGCTTTTACACTTATTGAAGTTTGTTTAATGACTTACCATATGGTTTATCCTGGAGAATGTTCCATGTGCACACAAGAATAATGCATATTTTGCTATTGTTGGGTGGGTTGTTCCAGAGATGTTTGTTAGGTCTACTTGTTTTGTAGCATTTTTCAAGTCTTCTGTTTCCTTGTTGACCTTATGTCTAGATGTTTCCTCTATTATTAAAAGTAGGATATTGAAGTCTTCAAATATTCTTATTATATTGTCTTCCCCTACCTTCATTTTTATGTTTTTGCTTCATGTATTTTGGTGTTGTGGGAAGTCAGGGACCCCAAATGGAGGGACCGGCTGAAACCATGGCAGAAGAACATGGATTGCGAAGATTTCATGGACATTTATTTGATCCCCAAATTAATACTTTTATAATTTCTTACGCCTGTCTTTACTGCAATCTCTGAACATAAATTGTGAAGATTTCATGGACACTTATCACCTCCGCAATCAATACCCTTGTGATTTCCTATGCCTGTCTTTACTTTAATCTCTTAATCCCATCATCTTCGTAAGCTGAGGAGGATGTATGTCGCCTCAGGACTCTGTGATGATTGCATTAACTGCACAAATTGTTTGTAGAGCATGTGTGTTTGAACAATATGAAATCTGGGCACCTTGAAAAAAGAACAGGATAACAACAATGTTCAGGGAATAAGAGAGAGATAACCTTAAACTCTGACCGCTGGTGAGCCAGGCGGAAGAGAGCCATATTTCTCTTCTTTCAAAAGCAAATGGGAGAAATATCGCTGAATTCTTTTTCTCAGCAAGGAACATCCCTGAGAAAAAGAATGTGTCCCTGAGGGTAGGCCTCTAAAATGGCCCCCCTTGGGTGCGGCCATCTTCTATGGTCGAGCTGTAGGGACGAAATAAGCCCCAGTCACCCATAGTGTTCCCAGGCTTATTAGGATGAGGAAATTCCTGCCTAAAAAATTTTGGTCAGACTGGTCATCTGCTCTCAAACCCTGTCTCCTGATAAGATGTTATCAATGACAATGCATGCCGAAACTTCACTGGCAATTCTAATTTCACCCCGGTCCTGTGGTCCTGTGATCTTGCCCTGCCTCCATTTGCCTTGTGATATTCCATTACCTTGTGAAGCACGTGATCTCTGTGACCCACACCCTATTTGTACACTCCCTCCCCTTTTGAAAATCACTAATAAAAACTTGCTGGTTTTACGGCTCAGGGGGCATCACGGAACCTACTGACATGTGATGTCTCCCCCGGATGCCCAGCTTTAAAATATCTCTCTTTTGCACTCTGTCCCTTTATTTCTCAAACTGGTTGACACTTAGGGAAAATAGAAAAGAACCTACATGAAATCGGGGGCAGGTTCCCCCAATATCTTGGTGCTCTGTTATGAAGTGCATGTAAGTTTATAATTGTTACATATTCCTGATGGGCTAAAAGTTTTATTATAAAATGTCATTCTTTATCTCTAGAAACAGATTTTGTGGTTATTTTCAAGTTAGTTTTGCCTGATATCAGTATAAATGCTTCAGCTTTCCAATGGTTGCTATTTGCATGATACATGTTTTTCCACTGTTTCGATTTTAGTCTATTTGTGTCTGGAAATCTAAAGTGTGTCTCACATAAAACACACATTTGGAACTTCTTTTTTGATACAGTCTGAAAATCTTTGCCTTTTGTTTGAATTTGTCTAACATTTACATTTATTGTTAATATATTTATAATTATGTCTGACATTTTACTTTTTTTTCTTTTTTTATTATTACTATTATTATTATTATTATTATTTTTTTAATTATACTTTAAGTTTTAGGGTACATGTGCACATTGTGCAGGTTAGTTACATATGTATACATGTGCCATGCTGGTGTGCTGCACCCACTAACTCATCATCTAGCATTAGGTATATCTCCCAATGCTATCCCTCCCCCCTCCCCCATCCCCACCACAGTCCCCAGAGTGTGATATTCCCCTTCCTGTGTCCATGTGATCTCATTGTTCAATTCCCACCTATGAGTGAGAATATGCGGTGTTTGGTTTTTTCTTCTTGCGATAGTTTACTGAGAATGATGGTTTCCAATTTCATCCATGTCCCTACAAAGGACATGAACTCATCATTTTTTATGGCTGCATAGTATTCCATGGTGTATATGTGCCACATTTTCTTAATCCAGTCTATCATTGTTGGACATTTGGGTTGGTTCCAAGTCTTTGCTATTGTGAATAATGCTGCAATAAACAAACGTGTGCATGTGTCTTCATAGCAGAATGATTTATAGTCATTTGGGTATATACCCAGTAATGGGATGGTTGGGTCAAATGGTATTTCTAGTTGTAGATCCCTGAGGAATCGCCACACTGACTTCCACAATCGTTGAACTAGTTTACAGTCCCACCAACAGTGTAAAAGTGTTCCTATTTCTCCACATCCTCTCCAGCACCTGTTGTTTCCTGACTTTTTAATGATTGCCATTCTAACTGGTGTGAGATGATATCTCATAGTGGTTTTGATTTGCATTTCTCTGATGGCCAGTGATGATGAGCATTTTTTCATGTGTTTTTTGGCTGCATAAATGTCTCCTTTTGAGAAGTGTCTGTTCATGTCCCTCGCCCACTTTTTGATGGGGTTGTTTGTTTTTTTCTTGTAAATTTGTTTGAGTTCATTGTAGATTCTGGATATTAGCCCTTTGTCAGATGAGTAGGTTGCGAAAATTTTCTCCCATTCTGTAGGTTGCCTGTTCACTCTGATGGTAGTTTCTTTTGCTGTGCAGAAGCTCTTGAGTTTAATTAGATCCCATTTGTCAATTTTGGCTTTGGTTGCCATTGCTTTTGGTGTTTTGGACATGAAGTCCTTGCATGTGCCTATGTCCTGAATGGTAATGCCTAGGTTTTCTTCTAGGGTTTTTATGGTTTTAGGTCTAAGGTTTAAATCTGTAATCCATCTTGAATTGATTTTTGTATAAGGTGTAAGGAAGGGATCCAGTTTCAGCTTTCTACATATGGCTAGCCAGTTTTCCCAGCACCATTTATTAAATAGGGAATCCTTTCCCCATTTCTTGTTTTTGTCAGGTTTGTCAAAGATCAGATAGTTGTAGGTATGTGGCGTTATTTCTGAGTGCTCTGTTCTGTTCCATTGATCTATATCTCTGTTTTGGTACCAGTACCATGCTGTTTTGGTTACTGTAGCCTTGTAGTATAGTTTGAAGTCAGGTAGTGTGATGCCTCCAGCTTTGTTCTTTTGGCTTAGGATTGACTTGGCGATGCGGGCTCTTTTTTGGTTCCATATGAACTTTAAAGTAGATTTTTCCAATTCTGTGAAGAAAGTCATTGGTAGCTTGATGGGGATGGCAGTGAATCTGTAAATTTACTTGGGCAGTATGGCCATTTTCACGATATTGATTCTTCCTACTCATGAGCATGGAATGTTCTTCCATTTGTTTGTATCCTCTTTTATTTCCTTGAGCAGTGGTTTGTAGTTCTCCTTGAAGAGGTCCTTCACATCCCTTGTAAGTTGGATTCCTAGGTATTTTATTCTCTTTGAAGCAATTGTGAATGGGAGTTCACTCATGATTTGGCTCTCTGTTTGTCTGTTGTTGGTGTATAGGAATGCTTGTGATTTTTGCACATTGATTTTGTATCCTGAGACTTTGCTGAAGTTGCTTATCAGCTTAAGGAGATTTTGGGCTGAGACGATGGGGTTTTCCAGATAAACAATCATGTCGTCTGCAAACAGGGACAATTTGACTTCCTCTTTTCCTAATTGAATACCCTTTATTTCCTTCTCCTGCCTGATTGCCCTGGCCAGAACTTCCAACACTATGTTGAATAGGAGCGGTGAGAGAGGGCATCCGTGTCTTGTGCCAGTTTTCAAAGGGAATGTTTCCAGTTTTTGCCCATTCAGTATGATATTGGCTGTGGGTTTGTCATAGATAGCTCTTATTATTTTGAAATACGTCCCATCAATACCTAATTTATTGAGAGTTTTTAGCATGAAGGGCTGTTGAATTTTGTCAAAGGCTTTTTCTGCATCTATTGAGATAATCATGTGGTTTTTGTCTTTGGCTCTGTTTATATGCTGGATTACATTTATTGATTTGCGTATATTGAACCAGCCTTGCATCCCAGGGATGAAGCCCACTTGATCGTGGTGGATAAGCTTTTTGATGTGCTGCTGGATTCGGTTTGCCAGTATTTTATTGAGGAGTTTTGCATCAATGTTCATCAAGGATATTGATCTAAAATTCTCTTTTTTGGTTGTGTCTCTGCCCGGCTTTGGTATCAGGATGATGCTGGCCTCATAAAATGAGTTAGGGAGGATTCCCTCTTTTTCTATTGATTGGAATAGTTTCAGAAGGAATGGTACCAGTTCCTCCTTGTACCTCTGGTAGAATTCGGCTGTGAATCCATCTGGCCCTGGACTCTTTTTGGTTGGTAAACTATTGATTATTGCCACAATTTCAGCTCCTGTTATTGGTCTATTCAGAGATTCAACTTCTTCCTGGTTTAGTCTTGGGAGAGTGTATGTGTCGAGGAATGTATCCATTTCTTCTAGATTTTCTAGTTTATTTGCATAGAGTTGTTTGCAGTATTCTCTGATGGTAGTTTGTATTTCTGTGGGATCGGTGGTGATATCCCCTTTATCATTTTTTATTGTGTCTATTTGATTCCTCTCTTTTTTTCTTTATTAGTCTTGCTAGTGGTCTATCAATTTTGTTGATTCTTTCAAAAAACCAGCTCCTGGATTCATTGATTTTTTGAAGGGTTTTTTGTGTCTCTATTTCCTTTAGTTCTGCTCTGATTTTAGTTATTTCTTGCCTTCTGCTAGCTTTTGAATGTGTTTGCTCTTGCTTTTCTAGTTCTTTTAATTGTGATGTTAGGGTGTCAATTTTGGATCTTTCCTGCTTTCTCTTGTGGGCATTTAGTGCTATAAATTTCCCTCTACACACTGCTTTGAATGTGTCCCAGAGATTCTGGTATGTTGTGTCTTTGTTCTCGTTGGTTTGAAAGAACATCTTTATTTCTGCCTTCATTTCGTTATGTACCCAGTAGTCATTCAGGAGCAGGTTGTTCAGTTTCCATGTAGTTGAGTGGCTTTGAGTGAGATTCTTAATCCTGAGTTCTAGTTTGATTGCACTGTGGTCTGAGAGATAGTTTGTTATAATTTCTATTCTTTTACATTTGCTGAGGAGAGCTTTACTTCCAAGTATGTGGTCAATTTTGGAATAGGTGTGGTGTGGTCCTGAAAAAAATGTATATTCTGTTGATTTGGGGTGGAGAGTTCTGTAGATGTCTATGAGGTCTACTTGGTGCAGAGCTGAGTTCAATTCCTGGGTATCCTTGTTGACTTTCTGTCTCGTTGATCTGTCTAATGTTGACAGTGGGGTGTTAAAGTCTCCCATTATTAATGTGTGGGAGTCTAAGTCTCTTTGTAGGTCACTCAGGACTTGCTTTATGAATCTGGGTGCTCCTGTATTGGGTGCATATATATTTAGGATAATTAGCTCCTCTTGTTGAATTGATCCCTTTACCATTATGTAATGGCCTTCTTTGTCTCTTTTGATCTCTGTTGGTTTAAAGTCTGTTTTATCTGAGACTAGGATTGCAACCCCTGCCTTTTTTGTTTTCCATTTGCTTGGTAGATCTTCCTCCATCCTTTTATTTTGAGCCTATGTTTGTCTCTGCACGTGAGATGGGTTTCCTGAATACAGCACACTGATGGGTCTTGACTCTTTTCCCAACTTGCCAGTCTGTGTCTTTAATTGGAGAATTTAGTCCATTTACATTTAAAGTTAATATTGTTATGTGTGAATTTGATCCTGTCATTATGATGTTAGCTGTTTATTTTGCTCGTTAGTTGATGCAGTTTCTTCCTAGTCTCGATGGTCTTTACATTTTGGCATGATTTTGCAGCGGCTGGTACCGGTTGTTCCTTTCCATGTTTAGTGCTTCCTTCAGGAGTTCTTTTAGGGTAGGCCTGGTGGTGACAAAATCTCTCAGCATTTGCTTGTCTGTAAAGTATTTTATTTCTCCTTCACTTATGAAGCTTAGTTTGGCTGGATATGAAATTCTGGGTTGAAAATTCTTTTCTTTAAGAATGTTGAATATTGGCCCCCACTCTCTTCTGGCTTGTAGGGTTTCTGCCGAGAGATCCGCTGTTAGTCTGATGGGCTTCCCTTTGAGGGTAACCCGACCTTTCTCTCTGGCTGCCCTTAACATGTTTTCCTTCATTTCAACTTTGGTGAATCTGACAATTATGTGTCTTGTAGTTGCTCTTCTCGAGGAGTATCTTTGTGGCGTTCTCTGTATTTCCTGAATCTGAACGTTGGCCTGCCTTGCTAGATTGGGGAAGTTCTCCTGGGGAATATCCTGCAGTGTTTTCCAACTTGGTTCCATTCTCCCCATCACTTTCAGGTACACCAATCAGACGTAGATTTGGTCTTTTCACATAGTCCCATATTTCTTGGAGGCTTTGCTCATTTCTTTTTATTCTTTTTTCTCTAAACTTCCCTTCTCGCTTCATTTCATTCATTTCATCTTCCATCGCTGATACCCTTTCTTCCAGTTGATCACATCGGCTCCTGAGGCTTCTGCATTCTTCACGTAGTTCTCCAGCCTTGGTTTTCAGCTCCATCAGCTCCTTTAAGCACTTCTCTGTATTGGTTATTCTAGTTATATATTCTTCTAAATTTTTTTCAAAATTTTCAACTTCTTTGCCTTTGGTTTGAATGTCCTCCCGTAGCTCAGAGTAATTTGATCGTCTGAAGCCTTCCTCTCTCAGCTCGTCAAAATCATTCTCCATCCAGCTTTGTTCCGTTGCTGGTGAGGAACTGTGCTCCTTTGGAGGAGGAGAGGCGCTCTGCTTTTTAGAGTTTCCAGTTTTTCTGTTCTGTTTTTTCCCCATCTTTGTGGTTTTATCTACTTTTGGTCTTTGATGATGGTGATGTACAGATGGGTTTTCGGTGTGGATGTCCTTTCTGTTTGTTAGTTTTCCTTCTAACAGACAGGACCCTCAGCTGCAGGTCTGTTGGAATACCCTGTGGTGTGAGGTGTCAGTGTGCCCCTGCTGGGGGGTGCCTCCCAGTTAGGCTGCTCAGGAGTCAGGGGTCAGGGACCCACTTGAGGAGGCAGTGTGCCTGTTCTCAGATCTCCAGCTGCGTGCTGGGAGAACCACTGCTCTCTTAAAAGCTGTCAGACAGGGACATTTAAGTCTGCAGAGGTTACTGCTGTCTTTTTGTTTGTCTGTGCCCTGCCCCCAGAGGTGGAGCCTACAGAGGCAGGCAGGCCTCCTTGAGCTGTGGTGGGCTCCACCCATTTCGAGCTTCCCAACTGCTTTGTTTACCTAAGCAAGCCTGAGCAATGGCAGGCGCCCCTCCCCCAGCCTCGCTGCCGCCTTGTAGTTTGATCTCAGACTGCTGTGCTAGCAATCAGCGAGATTCCGTGGGCGTAGGACCCTCCGAGCCAGGTGTGGGATATAGTCTCGTGGTGCGCCATTTTTTAAGCCGGTCTGAAAAGCGCAATATTCGGGTGGAAGTGACCCAATTTTCCAGGTGCATCCGTCACCCCTTTCTTTGACTCAGAAAGGGAACTCCCTGACCCCTGCGCTTCCCAGGGGAGGCAATGCCTCGCCCTGCTTTGGCTCACGCACGGTGCACGCACCCACTGGCCTGCGCCCACTGTGTGGCACTCCCTAGTGAGATGAACCCGGTACCTCAGATGGAAATGCAGAAATCACCAGTCTTCTGCGTCGCTCACGCTGGGAGCTGTAGACCAGAGCTGTTCCTATTCGGCCACCTTGGCTCCTCCCCCTACTTTTTCTTTTCTATATGCCTTCTGTTTCTTTTTTATTGTTAACTTTCTATTTCTTCTTTATTGCTTTCTAGCATTTTAATTTCACTAATAATTTTGCACGGTATTTTCCAGTTTACTTTTACTGGTTGCTCTAGAGTTTACTATATAGAGTAGTTCTCCCTTATCCACAGTTTCTCTTTCTGCAGTTTTAGTTACCTGTGGTCAACCATTGTTCAAAAATAGGTAAAGCAAAATAAGATACTTTGAGAAAGAGAGAGAACACATTCACATAACTTTTATTACAGTATATTGTTATAATTATTCTATTTTATTATTAGTTGTTAATTTCTTACTTTGATTTATAAATTAAATTTTATCTTTGGTAAGTATGTATAGGAAAAAATTATAGTATATATAGGGTTTGGTGTTAGATTCAGTTTCAAGTATGCACTGGGGGTCTTGAAACATATTGCCCACAGATAATGGGAAACTACACTACATCTTAACTTATCAGAATCAGCTTTAGATTTATACTTTCCTAAATCTCTTAATATGTAGAAATATTACTCCTGTATAGCTCTGTTACCTTTTACCCTTTTCATGGTATTATTATTGTACATATTACATCTATTAATGTTATGAATGCAACAGTGTATTTTTTAAATTATCACTTTATCATCTCTTTTTCTTTTCTTAGCTCATTAAAGTTGTGCTTTTATTTACCTCTTTAGTACTGTTATAGGCAAATATATTATATACATATATTACCTTTATATTTTATAGGCCCAACAATATGTACTATGCACATTATTTTATATAATTGTGTTTTAAATTCATGAAAATAAAAAAGAAGGAAATAGTATACATTTATAGCATCTTTTACAATGATGTAATTACCTTTACCTGTGTTGTTTGTTTGTTCATGCGAATTTAAATTACCATCTTGAATCACTTGCTTTCAGCCTTGGGAATTTTCTTTGGTATTTCTTGTAAGGTAAGCCTACTAGCAACAATTTCTCTGTTTTTGTTTATCTGGGGCAGTCTTTATTTCTTTTTATTATAGCTTTGCTGGATATGAAATATTTGGTTGACAGCTTTTTTTCTTCAAGTGCTTTGAATATGTTATCTCATGGCCTTCATTGTTTCTGTTGAGAAGTCAGCTTTTAATCTTATTGGGGTTCCCTTGGAAGGGATGTGTCCTTTTAATCCTGCTTCTTCCAAAAATTGTTTTTTTCATCTTTGACTTCCTGCACTGTGCTACATTATGTCTACTTGAGAGTTTCTGAAATTTCCTACTTGGAGTTTCTTGAGCTTCCTGAATGGGTAGGTTATTGTTTTTAAATAAATCTGAAAATAATTCAGCTATTATAGCTTCAAATATTTGTGTTTTCTTCTTTATATACTTCTTCCTTTTCTGGTACCCCCATTATATTTCTGTTGGTACCCTAATGGTGCCCCCACATATTTTTAAAGTTCTATTTAGTTTTCTTTATCCTTTACCTCTCTGTTGTTTTTGTTTATAATCTCTATTGATCTATTCTCAAGTTTGCGTATTATTTCATCTTTTTATTGAATTTATTGTTTAGCTCCTCTAATGAATATTTACTCTAGTTATAATATTGTAACTGTACAATTTTCATAGTGTTCTTTGTAAAATTTTTATCTCTTTTTTTATTATACTTTAAGTTTTAGGGTACATGTGCACAACATGCAGCTCTCTTACATATGTATACATGTGACATGTTGGTGTGCTGCACCCATTAACTCTTCATTTAACATTAGGTATATCTCCTAATGCTATTCCTCCCAACTATCCCCACCCCACAACAGGCCCCAGCGTGTGATGTTCCCCTTCCTGTGGCCATGTGTTCTCATTGTTCAATTCCCACCTATGAGTGAGAACATGCAGTGTTTGGTTTTTTGTCATTGCGATAGTTTGCTGAGAATGATGGTTTCCAGCTTCATCCATGTACCTACAAAGGATATGAAATCATCCTTTTTTATGGTTGCATAGTATTCCATGGTGCATATGTGCCACATTTTCTTAATCCAGTCTATCAATAATGGATATTTGGGTTGGTTCCAAGTCTTTGCTATTGTGAATAGTGCCACAATAAGCATATGTCTGCATGCGTCTTTATAGAGGATGATTTATAATCCTTTGGGTATATACCCAGTAATGGGATGGCTGGGTCAAATGGTATTTCTAGTTCTAGATCCCTGAGGAATCGCCACACTTACTTCCACAATGGTCGAAATAGTTTACAGTCCCACCAATAGTGTAAAAGTGTTCCTATTTCTCCACATCCTCTCCAGCACCTGTTGTTTCCTGACTTTTTAATGATTGCCATTCTAACTGGTGTGAGATGGTATCTCATTGTGGTTTTGATTTGCATTTCTCTGATGGCCAGTGATGGTGAGCATTTTTTCATGTGTTTTTTGGCTGCATAAATGTCTTCTTTTGAGAAGTGTCTGTTCATGTCCTTCACCCACTTTTTGATGGGGTTGTTTTCTTTCTTGTAAATTTGTTTGAGTTCATTGTAGATTCTGGATATTAGCCCTTTGTCAGATGAGTAGGTTGCGAAAATTTTCTCCCATTTTGGAGGCTGCCTGTTCACTCTGATGGTAGTTTCTTTTGCTGTGCAGAAGCTCTTTAGTTTAATTAGATCTCATTTGTTAATTTTGGCTTTTGTTGCCATTGCTTTTGGTGTTTTAGACATGAAGTCCTTGCCCATGCCTATGTCCTGAATGGTAATCCCTAGGTTTTCTTCTAGGGTTTTTATGGTTTTAGGTCTAACGTTTAAGTCTTTAATCCATCTTGAATTAATTTTTGTATAAGGTGTAAGGAAGGGATCCAGTTTCAGCTTTCTACATATGGCTAGCCAGTTTTCCCAGCACCATTTATTAAATAGGGAATCCTTTCCCCATTGCTTGTTTTCCTCAGGTTTATCAAAGATCAGATAGTTGTAGCGATATGGGGTTATTTCTGAGGGCTCTGTTCTGTTCCATTGATCTATATATCTGTTTTGGTACCAGTACCATGCTGTTTTGGTTACTGTAGCCTTGTAGTATAGTTTGAAGTCAGGTAGTGTGATGCCTCCAGGTTTGTTCTTTTGGCTTAGGATTGACTTGCCGATGCGGGCTCTTTTTTGGTTCCATGTGAACTTTAAAGTAGTTTTTTCCAATTCTGTGAAGAAAGTCATTGGTAGCTTGATGGGGATGGCATTGAATCTATAAATTACCTTGGGCAATATGGCCATTTTCATGATGTTGATTCTTCCTACCCATGAGCATGGAATGTTCTTCCATTTGTTTGTATCCTCTTTTATTTCCTTGAGCAGTGGTTTGTAGTTATACTTGAAGAGTTCCTTCACATCCCTTGTAAGTTGGATTCCTAGGTATTTTATTCTCTTTGAAGCAATTGTGAATGGGAGTTCACTCATGATTTGGCTCTCTGTTTGTCTGTTGTTGGTGTATAAGAATGCTTGTGATTTTTGCACATTTATTTTGTATCCTGAGACTTTGCTGAAGTTGCTTATCAGCTTAAGGAGATTTTGGGCTGAGACAGTGGGGTTTTCTAGCTATACAATCATGTCATCTGCAAACAGGGACAATTTGACTTCCTCTTTTCCTAATTGAATACCTTTTATATCCTTCTCCTGCCTAATTGCCCTGGCCAGAACTTCCAACACTATGTTGTGTAGGAGTGGTGAGAGAGGGCGTCCCTGTCTTGTGCCAGTTTTCAAAGGGAATGCTTCCAGTTTTTTCCCATTCAGTATGATATTAGCTGTGGGTTTGTCATAGATAACTCTTACTATTTTGAGATACGTCCCATCAATACCTAACTTATTGAGAGTTTTTAGCATGAAGGGCTGTTGAATTTTGTCAAAGGCCTTTTCTGCATCTATTGATATAATCATGTGTTTTTTTTCTTTGGTTCTGTTTATATGCTGGATTACATTTATTGATTTGCATATATTGAACCAGCCTTGCATCCCAGAGATGAAGCCCACTTGTTCATGGTGGATAGGCTTTTTGATATGCTGCTGGGTTCGGTTTGCCAGTATTTTATTGAGGATTTTTGCATCAATGTTCATCAAGGATATTGTTCTAAAGTTCTCTTTTTTGGTTGTGTCTCTGCCTGGCTTTGGTATCAGAATGATGCTGGCCTCATAAAATGAGTTAGGGAGGATTCTCTCTTTTTCTATTCATTGGAATAGTTTCAGAAGGAATGGTACCAGTTCCTCCTTGTACCTCTGGTAGAATTCGGCTGTGAATCCATCTGGTCCTGGACTCTTTTTCATTGGTAAGTTATTGATTATTGCCACAATTTCAGAAGCTGTTATTGGTCTATTCAGAGATTCAACTTCTTCCTGGTTTAGTCTTGGGAGAGTGTATGTGTCGAGGAATTTATCCATTTCTTCTAGATTTTCTAGCTTATTTGCATAGAGGTGTTTGTAGTATTCTCTGATGGTAGTTTATATTTCTGTGGGATCGGTGGTGATATCCCCTTTATCATTTTTTATTGCATCTATTTGATTCTTCTCTCTTTTCTTCTTTATTAGTCTTGTTAGCGGTCTATCAATTTTGTTGATCCTTTCAAAAAACGAGCTCCTGGATTCATTAATCTTTTGAAGGGTTTTTTGTGTCTCTATTTCCTTCAGTTCTGCTCTGGTTTTAGTTATTTCTTGCCATCTGCTAGCTTTTGAATGTGTTTGCTCTTGCTTTTCTAGTTCTTTTAATTGTGATGTTACGATGTCAATTTTGGATCTTTTCTACTTTCTCTTGTGGGCATTTAGTGCTACAAATTTCCCTCTACACACTGCTTTGAATGTGTCCCAGAGATTCTGGTATGTTGTGTCTTTGTTCTCATTGGTTTCAAAGAACATCTTTATTTCTGCCTTCATTTCGTTATGTACCCAGTAGTCTTTCAGGAGCAGGTTGTTCAGTTTCCATGTAGTTGAGTGGTTTTGAGTGAGTTTCTTAATCCTGAGTTCTAGTTTGATTGCACTGTGGTCTGAGAGACAGTTTGTTATAATTTCTGTTCTTTTACATTTGCTGAGGAGAGCTTTACTTCCAACTCTGTGGTCAATTTTGGAATAAGTGTGGTGTGGTGCTGAAAAAAATGTATATTCTGTTGATTTGGGGTGGAGAGTTCTGTAGATGTCTATTTGGTCCGCTTGGTGCAGAGCTGAGTTCAATTCTTGGGTATCCTTGTTAACTTTCTGTCTCGTTGATCTGTCTAATTTGACAGTGGGGTGTTAAAGTCTCCCATTATTATTGTGTGGGAGTCTAAGTCTCTTTGTAGGTCTCTAAGGACTTGCTTTATGAATCTGGGTGCTCCTGTATTGGGTGCATATATGTTTAGTATACTTAGTTCTTCTTGTTGAATTGATCCCTTTATCGTTATGTAATGGCCTTCTTTGTCTCTTTTGATCTTTGTTGGTTTAAAGTCTGTTTTATCAGAGACTGGGATTGCAACCCCTGCCTTTTTTTATTTTCCATTTGCTTGGTAGATCTTCCTCCATCCTTTTATTTTGAGCCTATGTGTGTCTGAGCACGTGAGATGGGTTTCCTGAATACAGCACACTGATGGGTCTTGACTCTTTATCCAATTTGCCAGTCTGTGTCTTTTAATTGGAGCATTTAGTCCATTTACATTTAAAGTTAATATTGTTATGTGTGAATTTGATCCTGTCATTATGATATTAGCTGGTTATTTTGCTCATTAGTTGATGCAATTTCTTCCTAGCCTCGATGGTCTTTACAATTTGGCATGATTTTGCAGTGGCTGGTACCGGTTATCCCTTTCCATGTTAAGTGCTTCCTTCAGGAGCTCTTTTAGGGCAGGCCTGGTGGTGACAAAATCTCTCAGCATTTGCTTGTCTGTAAAGTATTTTATTTCTCCTTCACTTATGAAGCTTAGTTTGGCTGGATATGAAATTCTGGGTTGAAAATTCTTTTCTTTAGGAATGTTGAATATTGGCCCCCACTCTCTTCTGGCTTCTAGAGTTGCTGCCATGAGATCTGCTGTTAGTCTGATGGGCTTCCCTTTGTGGGTAACCTGACCTTTCTCTCTGGCTGCCCTTAACATGTTTTCCTTCATTTCAACTTTGGTGAATGTGACAATTATCTGTCTTGGAGTTGCTCTTCTTGAGGAGTATCTTTGTGGCGTTCTCTGTAATTCCTGAATCTGAACGTTGGCCTGCCTTGCTAGATTGGGGAAGTTCTCCTGGATAATATCCTGCTGAGTGTTTTCCAACTTGTTTCCATTCTCCCCGTCACTTTCAGGTACACCAATCAGACATAGATTTGGTCTTTTCACGTAGTCCCATATTTCTTGGAGGCTTTGTTCATTTCTTTTTATTCTTTTTTCTCTAAACTTCCCTTCTCACTTCATTTCATTCATTTCATCTTCCATCACTGATACCGTTTCTTCCAGTTGATTGCATCGGCTCCCGAGGCTTCTGCATTCTTCATGTAGTTCTCAAGCCTTGGCTTTCAGCTCCATCAGCTGCTTTAAGCACTTCTCTGTATTGGTTATTCTAGTTATACATTCGTCAAAATTTTTTTCAAAATTTTCAGCTTCTTTGCCTTTGGTTTGAATTTCCTCCTGTAGCTCGCAGTAGTTTGATTGTCTGAAGCCTTCTTCTCTCACTCATCAAAGTCATTCTCCATCCAGCTTTGTTCCATTGCTGGTGAGGAGCTGCGTTCCTTTGAAGGAGAAGAGGTGCTCTGCTTTTTCAAAGACCAAATGTAGATAAAACCACAAAGATGGGGAAAAAACAGAGCAGAAAAACATAAATTTAGTTTTTGACAATCTATCTTGCTAAATGTGTAGTTCAGGTTAGGTTGCAGTAAAACTGTAAGAATTTTTTAACCACTTAGCGGAGATTTATTTAACAGTAAATTTATATACAATTTAATTAATTTGATTAATTAATTAGTTAATTTGAATTCACTTATTTCTGGCTATTAAGAGCTAATCCATAAAATCTACATTTGGCAGCTCTTCACTCAGCTCTTTAACTTTTCTGTACATACAAGCATAAATGTTATAGCAAAGGAGATCATTATTTTTGAAATCAATCAGAACCTTTGGGGACACTTAACCTGAGAATAATAATTGTCCTAGAGAATCCAGGATGTGTGGTTTCTACAGGTATGGCAAATTTTAGTTCTGGTCCAAGAGTCAGAAGACCTAAGTTATATTGGCAGTTCTACTGTAAACTGACTTGTGAAATCTTGAGCTAGTCCCTCTTTTGCAAGACTCTGTAGCTTTATCTTTATAAAGGTCCACTGACCAATAGTTGTTTACAGAGATCTATCAGGTAGTCCGCAGGTGGTGTGATGGTTTCAGAGGAAAAAGCAATGAAAAAATTTGTGTATATAACTTTCATAAATTTACATTTTAACTATTAGTTTTTACAGAAATTTCATTTTTTTCTTAATATAGATTACATTCTTAAAATTATACAGTTGCTAATGTCATATAACAAGGGTGGTAATGGCTAGGTTACATTTCTTCTCTGAAATATTTTTACATTATCTGATTATTATTGCTTGTCCCAATTATCTATTGCTGCATAACAAACTACCCCAATACTTAGTGGCTTAAAGCAAAACTTATTTTATTATATCTCATAATTTGGGGGGTCAAGAATTTGGGCAGGGCTCAGCTGAAAAATTCGGTTTCACACTGTATAGACTGGAGTCACCTGGTGTTATTCAGCTGACATCTGGGTTAGTCTGGAGATTCCAAATAGCTTCATTCACATGCCTGAAGTGTTGATGAGAACAACTACAAAGCTGAGATTAAATAACACACTCTTCCTTTCCATAGTGTCTTGTGGCCTTTCTGCATAATCTCTATAGCAGAATAGTTAAACCTCTTACATGGTGTTATAGGTTGAATTGTTTTCCCATAAAAGTTACATTGAAGTCCTAATCCCAGGACCCTCAAAATGTGACCTCATTTGAAAATAGGATTCTTGCAGATATTTAAGATAGTTAAGATAAAGTCATACTGGAGTAGGGTGAGCCTTATTCTAATATGACTCGCATCCCTATACAAAGAGGAGAAGAGACTCAGAAATAGAGACACACCAGCAGAACTCCATGGATAAAGAAGACAAACATGGGAGTGATGTATCTGCAAGCCAAGAAATGCTAAGAATTACTGGCAGCACCAGAAGCTAAGAGAAACTTGTGGAGTAGATTCTGCCCTAGGACTTTAAGAGGGAAAGCATGGTCCTTTCAACACCTCAATTGAGGATTTCTAGCCTCCAGAATTGTGAGAGAATAACTTTATGTTTTATTAAACCCAAACAGTTTGTACTACTTTGTTATAGCAGCCCTAGGAAACTAATACATATGGCATCTCAGTGTTCCAAGACCAAGTGATCTAAGAGACAGTAAGTGGAATCTGACAGTCTCTTAAGGACTGGGACTGGATACTTGAAGAGTGACATTCCCAGTATATTCAACTGGTCAGTAGCTACAGAGCTTTTTTCCAGATTCAAGGGAGAAGACCTAGACCCAATCTCCTCACAGGAGGAATATTTTAAAAATTGCAGATATTTTCAACTACGATGGAGTTTGTTTTTTAAATTTACATTTGTTTGCTGCTATCTTTCTGTTTCATGATAGCCACAATTCACAAAAAGGTCTGTCATATGAGACAAGTGGTACTCCCACAGTGCAATCAGAAAACAATCCAATTTTTTTCCCCTGTGTCAAAAGGAACCTATTGTGTCAAGGTAGTTCTTTCCTTGGTATTGCAATAAGTATTGAGCAGGTGTCAGCTTATTTGCTGACCCTTAGATTATAAAAAGCCTTGCTCGCTTTCAGTTACAAGAATAGTCTCATTTAATAATTAATATGCCCATTCCAGCATAATAATTAAAAAATCTGACTTTATTCAAAATTAACATTCTCCCTTCACTCAGGTCTTGTGTGCTTTAGGCTGGCTGCTTATAGTGGTAAAAGAGAGCCATGACTATCATCTCTGGGTTTCCATCATGTCCTTATAACCCATCTCTTCCATCACTAAATTACCTCCAGTTTCTCCAGGGTTGGGAGACAAGGTAGACAGGAAAGAAAAATAAAAAGAAGAATGCTATATATGGCTTTGTAGGTGCTGCATTGTACATCTTGCCCTATCATTCAAGATTACCCTGGTATGGGGCAGGAAAGACCCAACTGAAAGATCCATCTTCATTGACACAGGCTTAATCTGGCATTTATTTTCTCTTCTGAGGGCAAATATTTAAGATTGACTCTCTTGGATTGCACCCACTACCCTTTCTCACCTCAGGCCTCTAAGGTTATTCATAAAAGTAATCCTTTTTGAGAGAATTTTTGCTAGAGAAAAAGGCAAGAGGAGAAAGAAGCTGAAGATGTATCACTGAATGAGAGAGGTTTGAAAGTGCCCGACAAGCTAGATACACCACTGCATGAGAAGCCCATCAAAGTGCCTATGAGAGAAAAATGGTTGCACAAACATGGTCAAAGAAAATCAATAACAGACTGATGGATGGATCAAGTTGTCAGGTAAGACCTTTCTTACCACTTCTCCCTTCTGCCATCAGAGAAAAAATGAATCAATGTTTCAAAATATTTCAGTAAAATGCAAAATTGCATAGTAGATAGAGTAATGATCCTTCAAAGATGCCTACTCTCTAATCTCTGGAAAAAATGACTGGATTATGTTAAATGGTGAGGGAGGGGTTACGGTTGCAGATGAAATTAAAGTTATTAATCAATTGACATGGAGACATAGAAAGTGTCCTGTATTATTTCAGAGGGCCCAGTGTAATAATAAGGGTTCTTATAAGTGGAAGAGGGAGGCAGAAAGGAGAGAACTAGAAAGATGGCAGCTTAAGAAGGACTAGGTCTGATGTTATTGGCTGTGAAGATGGAGAAAGAGGGCTAAGTGACAACAAATGTGGGCAGCCTCTGGAAGATGGAGTGGGTAGGAAAAAAGATTCTTCCCTAGAGGCTACAGGACTACAGAAAAGGACTCAGCCATGCTGACATCTTAATTTTATCCTGGCAAGACACATTTCAGATTTCTGACCTCCAGAACTGTAACATAATAAATTTGTATTGTTTGAACCCACCAAGTGTGTAATACCTTGTTATAGCAGTAATGGGAAACTAATACAGGTACTAATGCAAGTAGTATTACAAATTTTTCAGTTCAGTATAATGCCACTGTCCTGCAGACCCCAGAAATGTAGATCCAGCGACAGCTTGCACTGTGCACGTGGAAAAGCCACAGGCACTCAATGCCAGCCTGTGAAATGAGCTATGAGGGCTTTACCCTGCAGAGCCACAGATTTGGAGGTGCCCAAAACCTTGGGAGGTCATCCCTTGTGTCACTGTGGATGGATTTGAGACACAGAGTCAAAAAAGATTAGGAGCTTTAAGATTTAATAACTGCCCTGATGGGTTTCAGAATTGCATGGGGCCTGTAGCCCCTTTGTTTTGGTCCATTTCTCCTTTTGGAAATGGAGTATTTGCCCAATGTGTATACCCCCATTGTATCTTGGAAGAAACTCGTTTCTTATTTTACAGGCTCATAGGCAGAAGGGACTTGCCTTATCTCAGATGAGACTTTGGACTTGAACTTTTGAGTTAATGCTGGAAAGAGTTAAGACTTTGGGAGACTTTTGGGAAGGCATGATTGTGTTTTGGAATGTGAGAAGGGCTTTAGATTTGGGAGGTGCCAGGGGTAGGATGATATAATTTGGTTCTGTGTCCTCATCTAAATCTTATGTTGAATTATGATCCTGAGTGTTGGAGGTGAGGCCTGGTAGAAGGTGACTCGATCATGGGGGTGGTTTCTAATGGTTTAGCATCATCTCCCTAGGTGCTGTCTTGTGAAAGAGTTCTCATCAGATCTGGTTGTTTGAAAGTGTGTAGCACTTCCCCCTTCACTCTATATCTCTCCTGTTCTCCCATGGTAAGTTGTGCTTGCTTCCCCTTCACCTTCCACCATGATTGTAAGTTTCCTGAGGCCTCCCGCCATGTTTCCTATAAAGCCTGTGGAACTGTGAGTCAATTAAACCTCTTTTCTTCATAAATTACCCAGTCTCAGGTAGTTCTTTATAGCAATGTGAAAAAGGACTAATACAATTAAGAATGATAAACTGATATATAAGTAGCTCCATCATCTAGATATTTACTTTTACATAATATTCAATGGTTTTTACTACTTATTAGAGAAAGAAGAACATGAACAATTGTTTTCAGAAATGAATGAACTACTCAATTCATCTCAATACCCCTTGTTAAAACATTCAGCTTTCATCTGATGCCACCCTGACAGTGAGAAATCTCTGCATAAAATTTGGGTTTATGTTCATTAAAATCTTCAGAAATGTCTAAAATAATGACTAAATAATTGGTGCTGCTTTCTTGTTAATTACGTAATTAACAAGAATACATAACATTCTTGTTAACATAATTAACATAATTAACAAGAATATTACCAAGAATAATAATACATACTCATAATTACAATGAGTTTGTATTTTCTAATTTGGCAGAAATAAATAATAATGTGTATTCATAAAGCTATTTATTATCAAACCAGATATACTTTGGTTTAAAACTGTGAACAATTTCACCTTTCTCATTTATGTTAAATACTCATTCTTAATTTTAAAATTGAATTTTACTTTAATTTCTAAAACCTGTAATCGACTGAAAAGTGGAAGTCAATGTGGCGATTCCTCAGGGATCTAGAACTAGAAATACTATTTCACCCAGCAATCCCATTACTGGGTATATATCCAAAGGATTATAAAACATGCTGCTATAAAGACACATGTGCGTGTATGTTTATTGTGGCACTATTCACAATAGCAAAGACTTGGAATCAACCCAAATGTCCATCAATGACAGACTGGACTAAGAAAATGTGGCACACAGGGGAGGAGCCAACATGGCCGAATAGGAACAGCTCTGGTCTACAGCTCCCAGCGTGAGCAACGCAGAAGACGGTGATTTCTGCATTTCCATCTGAGATACTGGGTTCATCTCACTAGGGAGTGCCAGACAGTGGGCACAGGTCAGTGGGTGCGCGCACAATGCGCGAGCCCAAGCAGGGCGAGGCATTGCCTCACTTGGGAAGTGCAAGGGGTCAGGGAGTTCCCTTTCTGAGTCAAAGAAAGGGGTGACGGACGGCACCTGGAAAATCGGGTCACTCCCACCTGAATACTGCGCTTTTCTGATGGGCTTAAAAAACGTCTCACCACGAGATTATATCCCGCACCTGGCTCGGAGGGTCCTACGCCCATGGAGTCTCACTGATTGCTAGCACAGCAGTCTGAGATCAAACTGCAAGGCGGCAGCGAGGCTGGGGGAGGGGCGCCCGCCATTGCCCAGGCTTGCTTAGGTAAACAAAGCAGCTGGGAAGCTCGAACTGGGCGGAGCCCACCACAGCTCAGGGAGGCCTGCCTGCCTCTGTAGGCTCCACCTCTGGGGGCAGGGCACAGACAAACAAAAAGACAGCAGTAACCTCTGCAGACTTAAATGTCCCTGTCTGACAGCTTTTAAGAGAACAGTGGTTCTCCCAGCACACAGCTGGAGATCTGAGAACGGGCAGACTGCCTCCTCAAGGGGGTCCCTGACCACTGACCCCTGAGCAGCCTAACTGGGAGGCACCCCCCAGCAGGGGCACACTGACACCTCACACCACAGGGTATTCCAACAGACCTGCAGCTGAGGGTCCTGTCTGTTAGAAGGAAAACTAACAAACAGAAAGGACATCCACACCGAAAACCCATCTGTACATCACCATCATCAAAGACCAAAAGTAGATAAAACCACAAAGATGGGGAAAAAACAGAACAGAAAAACTGGAAACTCTAAAAAGCAGAGCGCCTCTCCTCCTCCAAAGGAGCGCAGTTCCTCACCAGCAACTGAACAAAGCTGGATGGAGAATGACTTTGACGAGCTGAGAGAAGAAGGCTTCAGACGATCAAATTACTCTGAGCTACGGGAGGACATTCAAACCAAAGGCAAAGAAGTTGAAAACTTTGAAAAAAATTTAGAAGAATGTATAACTAGAATAACCAATACAGAGAAGTGCTTAAAGGAGCTGATGGAGCTGAAAACCAAGGCTGGAGAACTACGTGAAGAATGCAGAAGCCTCAGGAGCCGATGTGATCAACTGGAAGAAAGGGTATCAGCGATGGAAGATGAAATGAATGAAATGAAGTGAGAAGGGAAGTTTAGAGAAAAAAGAATAAAAAGAAATGAGCAAAGCCTCCAAGAAATGTGGGACTATGTGAGAAGACCAAATCTATGTCCGATTGGTGTACCTGAAAGTGATGGAGAGAATGGAACCAAGTTGGAAAACACTCTGCAGGATATTCCCCAGGAGAACTTCCCCAATCTAGAAAGGCAGGACAACGTTCAGATTCAGAAAATACAGAGAACGCCACAAAGATACTCCTCGAGAAGAGCAACTCCAAGACACATAATTGTCAGATTCACCAAAGTTGAAATGAAGGAAAACATGTTAAGGGCAGCCAGAGAGAAAGGTTGGGTTACCCTCAAAGGGAAGCCCATCAGACTAATAGCGGATCTCTCAGCAGAAACCCTACAAGCCAGAAGAGAGTGGGGGCCAATATTCAACATTCTTAAAGAAAAGAATTTTCAACCCAGAATTTCATATCCAGCCAAACTAAGCTTCATAAGTGAAGGAGAAATAAAATCCTTTACAGACAAGCAAATGCTGAGAGATTTTGTCACCACCAGGCCTGCCCTAAAAGAGCTCCTGAAGGAAGCACTAAACATGGAAAGGAACAACTGGTACCAGCCACTGCAAAATCATGCCAAAATGTAAAGACCATCAAGACTAGGAAGAAACTGCATCAACTAACGAGCAAAATAAACAGCTAACATCATAATGACAGGATCAAATTCACACATAACAATATTAACTTTAAATGTAAATGGACTAAATGCTCCAATTAAAAGACACAGACTGGCAAATTGGATAAAGAGTCAAGACCCATCAGTGTGCTGTATTCAGGAAACCCATCTCACGTCCTCAGACACACATAGGCTCAAAACAAAAGGATGGAGGAAGATCTACCAAGCAAATGGAAAACAAAAAAAGGCAGGGGTTGCAATCCCAGTCTCTGATAAAACAGACTTTAAACCAAGAAAGATCAAAAGAGACAAAGAAGGTCATTACATAATGATAAAAGGATCAATTCAACAAGAAGAGCTAACTATCCTAAATATATATGCACCCAATACAGGAGCACCCAGATTCATAAAGCAAGTCCTGAGTGACCTACAAAGATACTTGGACTCCCACACATTAATAATGGGAGACTTTAACACCCCGCTGTCAACATTAGACAGATCAACGAGACAGAAAGTCAACAAGGATACCCAGGAATTGAACTCAGCTCTGCTCCAAGCGGACCTAATAGACATCTACAGAACTCTCCACCCAAATCAACAGAATATACATTTTTTTTCAGCACCACACTACACTTATTCCAAAATTGACCACAGAGATGGAAGTAAAGCTCTCCTCAGCAAATGTAAAATAACAGAAATTATAACAAACTATCTCTCAGACCACAGTGCAATCAAACTAGAACTCAGGATTAAGAATCTCACTCAAAACCACTCAACTACATGGAAACTGAACAACCTGCTCCTGAATGACTACTGGGTACATAACGAAATAAAGGCAGAAATAAAGATGCTCTTTGAAACCAATGAGAACAAAGACACAACATACCAGAATCTCTGGGACACATTCAAAGCAGTGTGTAGAGGGAAATTTATAGCACTAAATGCCCACAAGAGAAAGCAGGAAAGATCCAAAATTGACACCCTAACATCACAATTAAAAGAACTAGAAAAGCAAGAGCAAACACATTCAAAAGCTAGCAGAAGGCAAGAAATAACTAAAACCAGAGCAGAACTGAAGGACATAGAGACACAAAAAACCCTTCAAAAAATTAATGAATACAGGAGCTCGTTTTTGAAAGGATCAACAAAATTGATAGACCACTGGCAAGACTAATAAAGAAAAAAAGAGAGAAGAATCAAATAGATGCAATAAAAAATGATAAAGGGGATATCACCACCGATCCCACAGAAATACAAACGACCATCAGAGAATACTACAAACACCTCTACGCAAATAAACTAGAAAATCTAGAAGAAATGGATAAATTCCTTGACACATACACCCTCCCAAGACTAAACCAGGAAGAAGTTGAATCTCTGAATAGACCAATAACAGGATCTGAAATTGTGGTAATAATCAATAGTTTACCAACCAAAAAGAGTCCAGGACCAGATGGATTCACAGCTGAATTGTACCAGAGGTACAAGGAAGAACTGGTACCATTCCTTCTGAAACTATTCCAATCAGCAGAAAAAGAGGGAATCCTACCTAACTCATTTTATAAGGCCAGCATCATTCTGATATCAAAGCCAGCCAGAGACACAACAAAAAAAAAGAGAATTTTAGACCAATATCCTTGATGAACATTGATGCAAAAATCCTCGATAAAATACTGGCAAACCGAATCCAGCAGCACATCAAAAAGCTTATCCACCATGATCAAGTGGGCTTCATCCCTGGGATGCAAGGCTGGTTCAATATACGCAAATCAATAAATGTAATCCAGCATATAACTGAGCCAAAGACAAAAACCACATGATTATCTCAATAGATGCAGAAAAAGCCTTTGACAAAATTCAAAAACGCTTCATGCTAAAAACTCTCAATAAATTAGGTATTGATGGGACATATTTCAAAATAATAAGAGCTATCTATGACAAACCCACAGCCAATATCATACTGAATGGGAAAAAACTGGAAGCATTCCCTTTGAAAACTGGCACAAGACACGGATGCCCTCTTTCACCACTCCTATTCAACATAGTGTTGGAAGTTCTGGTCAGGGCAATTAGGCAGGAGAAGGAAATAAAGGGTATTCAATTAGGAAAAAAGGAGGTCAAATTGTCCCTGTTTGCAGACGACATGGTTGTATATCTAGAAAACCCCATTGTCGCAGCCCAAAATCTCCTTAACCTGATAAGCAACTTCAGCAAAGTCTCAGGACACAAAATCAACGTACAAAAATCACAAGCATTCTTATACACCAGCAACAGACAAACAGAGAGCCAAATCATGAGTGAACTCCCATTCACAATTGCTTCAAAGAGAATAAAATACCTAGGAATCCAACTTACAAGGCATATGAAGGACCTCTTCAAGGAGAACTACAAACCACTGCTCAAGGAAATAAAAGAGGATACAAATGGAAGAACATTCCATTCTCATGGGTAGGAAGAATCAATATCGTGAAAATGGCCATACTGCCCAAGTAAATTTACAGATTCAATGCCATCCCCATCAAGCTACAAATGCCTTTCTTCACAGGATTGGAAAAACTATTTTAAAGTTCATATGGAACCAAAAAAGAGCCTGCATTGCCAAGTCAATCCTAAGCCAAAAGAACAAAGCTGGAGGCATCACACTACCTGACTTCAAACTATACTACTAGGCTACAGTAAACAAAAAAAAATGGTACTGGTACCAAAACAGAGATATAGATCAATGGAACAGAACAGAGCCCTCAGAAACAATGCCGCATATCTACAACTATCTTATCTTTGACAAACCTGACAAAAACAATCAATAGGGAAATGATTCCCTATTTAATAAATGGTGCTGGGAAAACTGGCTAGCCATATGTAGAAAGCTGAAACTGGATCCCTTCCTTACACCTTATACAAAAATCAATTCAAGATGGATTAAAGACTTAAACGTTAGACCTAAAACCATAAAAACCCTAGAAGAAAACCTAGGCATTACCATTCAGGACATAGGCACGTGCAAGGACTTCATGTCTAAAACACCAAAAGCAATGGCAACAAAAGCCAAAATTGACAAATGGGGTCTAATTAAACTAAAGAGCTTCTGCACAGCAAAAGAAACTACCATCAGAGTGAACAGGCAACCTACAAAATTGGAGAAAATTTTCACAACCTACTCATCTGACAAAGGGCTAATATACAGAATCTACAATGAGCTCAAACAAATTTACAAGAAAAAAACAAACAACCCCATCAAAAAGTGGGCGAAGGACATGAACAGACACTTCTCAAAAGAAGACATTTACGCAGCCAAAAAACACATGAAAAAATGCTCGCCATCACTGGCCATCAGAGAAATGCAAATCAAAACCACAATGAGATACCATCTCACACCTGTTAGAATGGCAGTCATTAAAAAGTCAGGAAACAATAGGTGCTGGAGAGGATGTGGAAAAATAGGAACACTTTTACACTGTTGGTGGGACTGTAAACTAGTTCAACCATTGTGGAAGTCAGTGTGGCGATTCCTCAGGGATCTAGAACTAGAAATACCATTTGACCCAGCCATCCCATTACTGGGTATATACCCAAAGGACTATAAATCATGCTGCTATAAAGACACGTGCACACTTATGTTTATTGTGGCATTATTCACAATAGCAAAGACTTGGAACCAACCCAAATGTCCAACAATGATAGACTGGATTAAGCAATTGTGGCACATATACATCATGGAATACTATGCAGCCATAAAAAATGATGAGTTCATGTCCTTTGTAGGGACATGGATGAAATTGGAAAACATCATTCTCAGTAAACTATCGCAAGAACAACAAACCAAACACCACATATTCTCACTCATAGGTGGGATTTGAACAATGAGATCACATGGACACAGGAAGGGGAATATCACACTCTGGGGACTGTTGTGGGGTGGGAGGAGGGGGGAGGGATAGCATTGGGAGATATACCTAATGCTAGATGACGAGTTAGTGGGTGCAGTGCACCAGCATGGCACATGTATACATATGTAACTAACCTGCACAATGTGCACATGTACCCTAAAACTTGAAGTATAATTAAAAAAAAAAAGATGGGGAAAAAAAAAAGAAATCAACTGAATAATAAAAAAAAAAAAGAAAAGAAAAAAAAGAAAATGTGGCACATATACACCATGGAATACTATGCAGCCATAAAAAATGATGAGGTCATGTTCTTTGTAGGGACATGGGTGAAGCTGGAAACCATCATTCTCAGCTAACTATCGCAAGGACAAAAAACCAAACACTGCATGTTCTCACTCATAGGTGGGAATTGAACAATGAGAACACATGGACACAGGAAGGGGAACATCACACATCGGGTCCTGTTGTGGGGTGGGGGGGGGTGGGGAGGGATAGCATTAGGAGATATACCTAATGTTAAATGAAGAATTAATGTGTGCAGCACACCAACATGGCACATGTATACATATGTAACAAACCTGCACATTGTGCACATGTACCCTAAAACTTAAAGTATAATTTAAAAAATTAAAAAAGAGATAAAAACGAAAAGTGTCTGTTCATGTCCTTTTCCTGCTTTTTAATGAAGCTGATTGTTTTTTGCTTGTAAATTTGTTTAAGTTTCTTATAGATTCTGGATATTAGACCTTTGCCGGAAACGTAGTTTACAAATATTTTCTCACATTCTGTAGATATAGATGTGGCCAAGAAGTATATGAAAAAATGCTGAACATCTCTAATCATTAGAGAAATGTAAATCAAAACCACAATGAGTTACCATCTCACACAAGACAGAATGGCTATTATTTAAAAATAAAAAAAAAATAACAGATGCTGGCGAGGTTATAGAGAAAAGGGATCACTTGTACTCTGCTAATTGGAGTGTAAATTACTTCAGCCATTTGGGAAAACAGTGTGTTAATACCTCGAATAACAGAATTACTGAAAATAGAATTACTATTCGACCTAGCAATCCCGTTATTTCATATATACCCAAACGAATATAAACTTGTCTGCCATAAGGACACTTGCATGGCTATGCTTATTGAAGCACTATTCACAATAACAAATACATGGAATCAACCTAAATGCCCATCAGTAGAAGAGTGGATAAAGAAAATGCGGTCCATATATACCATAGAATACTGTGGGGATCGTAAAGAAGAATTAGATCATGTTTTCTTGTTGTTGTTTTTGTTTTTTATTCAGCAACGTGAATGGAGCTGGAGACCAATATTCTTAGCAAACTAATTCAGGAAGAGAAAACTAAGTAATGCATGTTATCACTTATAAGTGGGAGCTAAGTAACGAGAGCACGTGGACACAAAGAAGGGCTCAACAGACACTGAGACCTACCTGAAGGTGGATGGTGGGATGAGGAAGAGGATCAGAAAAATACCTATTGGGTACTATGCTTAGTAACTGGGTGACAAAATAATCTGTACACCAAACCCCCATAACACAAGTTTACCTATATAGCAAACCTACACATGTACCCCTGAACCTAAAATTTATGTTAAAAGAAAAAATAATAAAAAATAAAATTTTGTGATCGGTCTTTTAAAAACAACATCTATGGATACCAACCGCACATCAGTGTGCTGAAAATTTCATAAACACTAGACTACATGATTGCTAAAGTATTTTTGCACTTCTAATTCTAATATTTCTTCCAAAAATATTCTAACTGTATTAGAGCCAGTCAGTTTTAACTACTAAAACAAATTCTAAAATATGTAACAAATTTTCCTTGCCTTTTAGAATTTCAATCTACAGAACAAAGCAGGTCAAGTTACAATTTTATATTTTTATGACATTAAAGAAAGTTTCTAATATAGGCTAAACATGTACCTTTGTCTAACTCAAAAAGTGAATCCTTCTCTATCTTTTCGACATCATGGATTTATAGAAATTATAACATCTGGGTGGCACATCGAGGTAAAGAAAATACGTTGTCTGAAGCTAGAGACAATCAGCCCAGAGGGATCGGTTTGCCACAGGACCCCTCTAAGCCTTCTCAAGAGCTAAGTCTTCTTAGCTATACATAGCAATATCTTAGTAAAACTGAAAACCATCTATGGCACTCCTGTTAGGAAACTCTCATGTATGGATTAAGCATGCATTTGATTTCTAGAATCAGAAAGATTGGGTTTGAGGCTGTTCACACTTGGCCTTTATTGTAAGAACAGTAGAGAGCAGCTTTTGAAATTTAAACAATGAAGTAATAAGATGTAAATTATGCTTAAAAACAAAAAAGTATATATATGAACACAATGTGGAAGATGAACTACTTAATTTATATTGAGTTATTTAATTTATCTAACTTTCAGTTTTCTCACCTACAAAGTGGAATAATAATTACCTCATAGGATCTTAAAGAAATAATGCATGCATTTATTAAATTGTGTAACACATATGCATTAAAAGACAAGGCACTGAGCTAGGCATTGGGAATAAAGTAGTAATAAGGCAGACATGGTTTATATAATTTATAATTATCAGAAAAGATAGATATTAAACAAATAATTACAAATGCACTGAATAGTACAAAAAGGTACAGATTGAGTTTACTATAGTTGGTATGTGTTGAGGATGGGTGCAAAAATCAGGACACATCCTGAATAAATAATATACTTACTAATTCTCAGAATTCACAAGTTATTTGAACTTTGGAAATTTATGTCTTTTCCAATAGCTCAAGAATTTTCTTGTATGTCATGTTGAAAACCTTTGGCATTATTCTAAGAATAATACAGAGCAAGTTGGCATCCTGGGAAAGAGAGAAAAAAAATTGAGGAAGATAATAAGAATTATAATAATAATGAACATGAGGTGGAAGATACTGTTCCCAAGTGTCATATCGTCTGGGAAATAATATTCAAAATCCAAAACAGTAGTTTTCTAACTTCATTTCTAATATGTATCAACTGGTGTAGGTACACTTATCACTTCTTTTTTGTAACACTCAGTGCACTTTTATTTATTTCCCCAATGTCTATCTTCTCCTGATAGACTGTTGCATTTGTTAAGTCATGGTACATCAGGATAATCTTCTTTATGCTCAAGATATAATACCCTCAGAGATTTTCATAGAGTAAATATTAGATGAGGGCAAGGGCATTTGTATTTTGAACAAGACTTTTAGATTATTCTAATATAGCACCAGTCCATAGACAGATTTTTAAAAAATGTAGTCAAAATAATAACAAAAAGGACACCCATTATCCCACAATCCAAACCAAAAATTATGACATAAGTGAAAAATTGATGTAATCCTCTCCTATCTCATCCTTCTATTTTCCTTCAGGTCTAACGATTAGCCTGAATTTTACATTTATCATTTCCATGATAATTGAGTGTTTTATCAGTTCTTTTTTTCATTTATTTATTATTATACTTTAAGTTTCAGGGTACATGTGCACAATGTGCAGGATAGTTACATATGTATACATGTGCCATGCTGGTGCGCTGCACCCACTAACTCGTCATCTAGCATTAGGTATATCTCCCAATGCTATCCCTCCCCCCTCCCCCCACCCCACAACAGTCTCCAGAGTGTGATGTTCCCCTTCCTGTGTCCATGTGCTCTCATTGTTCAATTCCCACCTATGAGTGAGAATATGTGGTGTTTGGTTTTTTGTTCTTGTGATTGTTTACTGAGAATGATGATTTCCAATTTCATCCATGTCCCTACAAAGGACATGAACTCATCATTTTTTATGGCTGCATAATATTCCATGGTGTATATGTGCCACAATTTCTTAATCCAGTCTATCATTGTTGGACATTTGAGTTGGTTCCAAGCCTTTGCTATAGTGAATAGTGCCGCAATAAACATACATGTGCATGTGTCTTTATAGCAGCATGATTTATAGTCCTTTGGGTATATACCCAGTAATGGGATGGCTGGGTCAAATGGTATTTCTAGTTCTAGATCCCAGAGGAATCGCCACACTGACTTCCACAATGGTTGAACTAGTTTACAGTCCCACCAATAGTGTAAAAGTGTTCCTATATCTCCACATCCTCTCCAGCACCTGTTTCCTGACTTTTTAATGATTGCCATTCTAACTGGTGTGACGTGGTATCTCATTGTGGTTTTGATTTGCGTTTCTCTGATGGCTAGTGATGGTGAGCAATCCAGGAGCTGGTTTTTTGAAAGGATCAACAAAATTGATAGACTGCTAACAAGACTAATAAAGAAAAAGAGAAGAATCAAATAGATGCAATAAAAAATAATGAAGGGGATATCACCACCAATTCCACAGAAATACAAACTACCATCAGAGAATGCTGCAAACCCCTCAATGCAAATAAACTAGAAAATCTAGAAGAAATGGGTAAATTCCTCGACACATACACTCTCCCAAGACTAAACCAGGAAGAAGTTGAATCTCTGAATAGACCAATAACAGGAGCTGAGATTGTGGCAATAATCAATAGCTTACCAACGAAAAAGAGTCCAGGACCAGATGGATTCACAGCTGAATTCTACCAGAGGTACAAGGAGGAACTGGTACCGTTCCTTCTGAAACTATTGTAATCAATAGAAAAAGAGGGAATCCTCCCTAACTCATTTTATGAGGCCAGCATCATCCTGATACCAAAGCCGGGCAGAGACACAACAAAAAAGAGAATTTTAGACCAACATCCTTGATGAACACTGATGCAAAAATCCTCAATAAAATACTGGCAAACCGAATCCAGCAGCACATCAAAAAGCTTATCCACCATGATCAAGTGGGCTTCATCCCTGGGATGCAAGGCTGGTTCAATATATGCAAATCAATAAATGTAATCCAGCATATAAACAGAACCAAAGACAAAAACCACATGATTATCTCAATAGATGCAGAAAAGGCCTTTGACAAAATTCAACAACCCTTCATGCTAAAAACTCTCAATAAATTAGGTATTGATGGGACATATTTCAAAATAATAAGAGCTATCTATGACAAACCCACAGCCAATATCATACTGAATGGGCAAAAACTGGAAGCATTCCCTTTGAAAACTGGCACAAGACAGGGATGCCCTCTCTCACCACTCCTATTCAACATAGTGTTGGAAGTTCTGGCCAGGGCAATTAGGCAGGAGAAGGAAATAAAGGGTATTCAATTAGGAAAAGAGGAAGTCAAGTTGTGCCTGTTTGCAGACGACATGATTGTCTCTAGAAAACCCCATCATCTCAGCCCAAAATCTCCTTAAGCTGATAAGCAACTTCAGCAAAGTCTCAGGATACAAAATCAATGTGCAAAAATCACAAGCATTCCTATACACCAACAACAGACAAACAGAGAGCCAAATCATGAGTGAACTCCCATTCACAATTGCTTCAAAGAGAATAAAATACCTAGGAATCCAACTTACAAGGGATGTGAAGGACCTCTTCAAGGAGAACTACAAACCACTGCTCAAGGAAATAAAAGATGATACAAACAAATGGAAGAACATTTCATGCTCATGGGTAGGAAGAATCAATATCGTGAAAATGGCCATACTGCCCAAGGTAATTTACAGATTCAATGCCATCCCCATCAAGCTACCAATGACTTTCTTCACAGAATTGGAAAAACTACTTTCAATTTCATATGGAACCAAAAAAGAGCCTGCATTGCCAAGTCAATCCTGAGCCAAAAGAACAAAGCTGGAGGCATCACAGCACCTGAGTTCTAACTATACTACAAGACTACAGCAACCAAAACAGCATGGTACTGGTACCAAAACAGAGATATAGATCAATGAAACAGAACAGAGCCCTCAGAAATAACGCCACATATCTACAACTATCTGATCTTTGACAAACCTGACAAAAACAAGAAATGGGGAAAGGATTCCTTATTTAATAAAAGGTGCTGGGAAAACTGGCTAGCAATATGTAGAAAGCTGAAACTGGATCCCTTCCTTACACCTTATACAAAAATCAATTCAAAATGGATTAAAGACTTAAACGTTAGACCTAAAACCATAAAAACCCTAGAAGAAAACCTAGGCATTACCATTCAGGACATAGGCATGGGCAAGGACTTCATGTCTAAAACACCAAAAGCAAGGGCAACAAAAGCCAAAATTGACAAATGGGATCTAATTAAACTAAAGAGCTTCTGCACAGCAAAAGAAACTACCATCAGAGTGAACAGGCAACCTACAAAATGGGAGAAAATTTTTGCAATCTACTCATCTGACAAAGGACTAATATCCAGAATCTATAATGAACTCAAACAAATTTACAAGAAAAAACAAACAACCCCATCAAAAAGTGGGCGAAGGACATGAACAGACACTTCTCAAAAGAAGACATTTATGCAGCCAAAAAACACATCAGTCTTATATTTTAGTCTTAACGACGTATTCTTTACTTTCTTGAGATACCATCACACAGTATAAAATCCACTCATTGAAAGTATGTGATCATAAATTCCATGGTTTTTAGCATATTCAGAGTTGTGCAACCATCATCTCAATATAAAAGTATTTTGATCTCCCCTTAAACACACACACACACACACACACACACACACACACACACACTAGTAGTCAATCATTATCCCAGGCCCAGCCTAAAGTCACCAGTAAGCTATGCTATACCTCTATAAATGTATCTATTTGGAACATTTCATATAAATGGAATTATACCATTTGCAATCATTTGTGATTGGCTTCTTTCATTTTAGCATATGTATTTTTAAAAAGACATTTATTCAGAGTCATGATCAGACTATTACATTTAGCAATCAACAGCATTAGTGAAAAACAAAATTCACTACATTAAAACCCTTTGTTGGAATGCTTTACACTTTCTACAGAACAAAAACTAAAACAACCTGTTATACAATTAGGCACAAATACAACCTTTGAGTTTTTTGCCCATACACCTTACTGTTGTCTAAAACATGTCTTCTTTGTAGCCTCTAGACCCTGCCACCGCTGTGCTTGACTGAAAATAATTTTTTATTGATACATATTTTATATAGTAATACTTGTGAGTATTTCTTACATGCATTGAATGTGCAATTATCACATTAGTGTATTTGGGGTATCTATCCACTGGAGTATTGATCATTTCTATGTATTGGAAATATTTTAAGTTATCTCTTCTAGCTACTTTGAAATATATAATATATCGTTACTAACTGTAGTCAGCCTACTCTGCTGTTTAACATTAGAACTTATTTCTTTTATGTAAGTGTGTGTTTTTACCCATTAACAAACTTCTCTTCATCTCTCCTCCCATCCATACATCCTTCCCAGGATCTAGTGTCTATCATTTTATTCTCCACCTCCATGAGATCAACAATTTTAGCTTCTGCCTATGAATATAACATGAAGTCAGGTAGTATTATACTTCCAAGCTTTGTCCTTTTTGTTCAGGATTGCTTTGGCTATTTGGGCTCTTTTTTGAATTCCTGCAAATTTTATGATATCTTTTTCTCACTACATAAAAAATGACCTTGGCATTTTGCTACAGATTGTATTGAATCTGTAGATTTCTTTGGGCAGTATGGTCACTTAACAATATTAATTCTCCAGATTCAGAAGCATGGAATATCTTTTTATTTGTTAGTGTCCTCTTCAGTTTGTCTCATCAATGCTTTCTAGTAGTTTTCCTTGTAGATATGTTTGACCTCTTTGGTTAAATATATTTGTAGGTTTTTTTTTTTTTTTTTTTTTTTTTGTAGCTATTGTAAATGGGATTGCGTTCTGGAATTCTTTTTTGGCTAATCCATTACTGGTGTATAGAAATGCTACTGACTTTTTATGTTTATGTTGTATCCTGCATTATTACTGAATTCATTTATCAGATCTAAGATTTTGAGGTGGGGTCTTTAGGCAAACACACACACACACACACACACATACACACACACACACACATATATATGATCATGTCATTGGCCGAAACAGTTTGACTTCCCCATTTCCAGTTTGAATGCCTTTTAATTTTTTCTCCTGCCTGTTTTTTTCTGGCTGGGACTTCCAGTGCTTTGTGGAATAAGAGTGGTGACAGTGGGCATTCTTGCCTTATTCCAGTTGTTAGAAGAAAGGCTTTCAGCTTTTCCCCATTTAGAATGGTCTTAGCTGTGGGTTTGTTATACATAGGCTTTATTGTTGACGTACACTCCTTCTATGCCTAGTTTGTTGAGCGTTTTTAATCATGAGGGGATGCTGAATTTCATCAAATGCTTTTTCTACATTGGTTGAGGTGATCATAAGGTTTTTGTCTTTAATTATGTTAATGTGATGTATCATACTTACTGATTTGTGTATGTTGAGCTATCTTGGCATCCCTGAGATAAATCCCACTTGATCATGATATATTATGTTTTGATGCGCTGTTGAATTCGGTTTGTCAGTATTTTGTTGAGAATTTTTGCATTTGTGTTTCTTAGAGATACCGGTCTCTAGTTTTCTTTTTTGATTGTTGCATCTTTGCCTGGTTTTGATATCAGAGTAATGCTGGCCTTTTAGAATGAGTTAGAGAAAATTTCTTCCTCTTCAATTATTTTGGAATAGTTTGAGAATTGTGTTACTTCTTCTTTGAAAATTTGGTAGACTTTGGCAGTGAAGTCATTCAGTTTCTGCTTTGAGCTCATTACTTGTTATTAGTCTGTTCAGGTTTTCAATTTCTTCTTGATCCAATCTTAATAGATCGCATGTTTCCAGGAATTTATCAATTTTCTCTATATTTTACTGTTTGTTAGTGTACAGTTGTTTATAGTAGTTTCACTGAACTTTTGTATTTCTTCCGTATCAGTTGTGAAGTTTCTGTTTTCATTTCTGATTTGTTTATTTGGGTCTTCTCTTTTTTCTTTTTGGTTAATCTAGCAAGTGGTGCATTATATTATTTTTTAACACACACAAAAAACAGTTTTTCATTTTGTTAATCTTTTTATTGTTTTTCTTTTCTTTATTTTGTTTAGTTATGCTCTGATCTATATTTCTTTCCATCTACTAATTTGGGGTTTTGTTTGTCTTGTTTCTTCTTTTAATTTTTTTAATTTTTAATATTTGTGGTGTATACATTTATGGTATACATGAGATGTTTTGATGTAGGCATGCAATGTGAAATAAGTGCCACTCTCTCCTGGTCTGTAAGGTTTCCACTGAGAAGTCTGCAGCCACACTTACTGGAGCTTCATTGTATGTTATTTGTTTCTTTTCTCTTGTTGCTTTTAAAATCCTTTCTTTATTCTTGACCTTTGGGAGTTTGGTTATTGAATGTCTTGAGGTAATCTTCTTTGGGTTAAATCTGCTTGATTTTCTATAGCCTTTCTATACTTGGATATTGATATCTTTCTCTAGGTTTGCGAACTTCTCTGTTATTAGTCTGTTAAACTTTCTACTCCTATTTCTTTCTCTGCCTCCTCTTAAGGCCTATAACCCTGTTATATTTGTCCTTTTGAGGCTATTTTCTAGAGCTTGTAGGCAAGCTTCATTGTTTTCTTTTCTTGCTTTTTTTTGTCTCCTCTGATTGTGTATTTTCTTATTTATTTATTTATTTGTTTATTTATTTATTGGTGGAGTTTTGCTCTTTTCCCCAGGCTGGAGAGCAATGGTGCAATTTCAGCTCACTGCAACCTCCCCCTGCTGGGTTCAAGTAATTCTCCTGCCTCAGCCTCCTGAGTAGCTGGGATTAGAGGTGCCAACCACCACGCCCAGCTAATTTTTTTTCATATTTTTAGTAGAGAAGGGATTTCACCATGTTGCCCAGACTGATCTTGAACTCCTGACCTCAAGTTATTCACCCTTCCTCGACCTCCCAAAGTGCTGGGATTATAGGTGTAAGCCACCATGCCTGGGCAAACTGTGTATATTGAAATAACCTGTCCTCAAGCTCACTAATTCTTTTCTCTGCTTGATCAGTTCTACTCTTAAAATATCATGATGCATTCCTCAGTAAACCAATTGCATTTTTCAGCTTCAGAATTTCTGCTTGATTCTTTTTAATTATTTCAGTCTTTTTGTTCATTTGATCATGTTAGAATTCTGATTTACTTCTGTGTTATCTTGAATTTATTTGAGTTTCCTCAACAATGTTGTATTCTGTCTCTGAAAGGTCATATATCTCTGTTTCTCCATGATTAGTCCCTGGTGCCTTATTTGTTTCATTTGGTGAGGTCATGTCTTCCTGAATGGTTTTGATGCTAGTAGATTTTGTTGTTGTTTTTTCTGGACATTTAAGAGTTAGGTATTCATTGCATTCTTTATTGTCAGGGCTTATTTGTACTCATCCTTCATGAGAAGGCTTTCCAGATATTCAAAGTCCTTGGATATTGTGATCTGAGCTGTGTCTACTTTAGGGGGCACCCCAAGCCCAGTAAGTCTGTGGTTCTTGCAGACTCATAGAGGTACTGCCTTCATGGTTCTGAATAAGATCCACAATTCTCTGCATTACCAGGCAGAGACTCTTGTTCTCTTTCCTTACTCTCTTCAAAACAAACAAAGTATCTCTATCTCTGTTCGGAGCATGTATAGCTGGGGATCTAGTGGCACAAGCACCCTTGGGGGCACCACTACTATGATTGTGTTGCGTCCGACCCGAAGCTAACACAGCACTGAGTCTTGCACAAGACCTGCTGTAAACACTCCCTGCCTACTGCCTATCTTCACTCTTGGCCCTGGGGTTCTACAATCAGCCTGTGGCAAAGCCATCCAGGCCTGTGTTCTTCCCTTTAAGGTGACAAGGTCCCTCATGCCCCAGGTGGGTCCAGAGGTGCTGTCCAGGAGTCAGGGACTAGAGTAAAAACCCTTAGAAGTCTGCTTATTGCTCTATTATACTATGGCTGAGCTGGCACTCAAACCATAAGGTGCAGTTCTTCCCACTCTTCATTATTGTTTCCAAAGGCAGAGGAGACTTACCCCATAATCTTTACCACCACAGACCACAGTGAATACTACCAGAATACCACCAATGTTCCCTTAAAGCCCAAGGGCTCTTAAGGCAGCCTTTGGTAAATGCTGCCTTGCCTGGAAATCACCCTTCACAGAGGTGGGCTCCTCTCTGACTCAGAGCAGGACTAGAAATGCTATCCTACAGTCAATTTATGGAAGTGGGGACTCCAAGAGTCCACCTGGTGCTCTACTTCCCTGTGGCCATGCTGGCATCTAAGGTGCCAGACAAAGTCCCATTTACTTTACACTCCACTTTTCTCAAGAAGATGGAGTTTTGCTCTGTAGTCATCAGAGCTGGTTATGTGCTGAGTCTCACCTGAAGCCAGCAAGTCTCAGAGGCTCACCCAAGACCCTCAACATAGTACCTGGGTATTGTGGCTGGTTATGCAGGGCCCAAGGAGTCTTCAGCTAGCAGGTGATGAATGCTGCCAGGACTGGGTCCTTTTTATTTTTGGTCAATATTATCATTATTATTATTTATTATTATTATTATTATACTTTAAGTTTTAGGGTACATGAGCACAATGTGCAGTTTTGTTACATATGTATACATGTGCCATGTTGGTATGCCGCACCCATTAACTCATCATTTAGCATTAGGTAGATCACCTAATGCTATCCCTCCCCCCTCCTCCCACCCCACAACAGTCCCCGGTGTGTGATGTTCCCCTTCCTGTGTCCATGTGTTCTCATTGTTCAATTCCCACCTATGAGTGAGAACATGCAGTGTTTGGTTTTTTGTCATTGCGATAGTTTGCTGAGAATGATGGTTTCCAGTTTCATCCATGTCCCTACAAAGGACATGAACTCATCATTTTTTATGGCTGCATAGTATTCCATGGTGTATATGTGCCACATTTTCTTAATCCAGTCTGTCGTTGTTGGACATTTGGCTTGGTTCCAAGTCTTTGCTATTGTGAATAGTGCCGCAATAAACTTACGTGTGCATGTGTCTTTATAGCAGCATGATTTATAATCCTTTGGGTATATACCCAGTAATGGGATGGTTGGGTCAAATGGTATTTCTAGTTCTAGATCCCTGAGGAATAGCCACACTGACTTCCACAATGGTTGAACTAGTTTACAGTCCCACCAACAGTGTAAAAGTGTTCCTATTTCTCCACATCCTCTCCAGCACCTATTGTTTCCTGACTTTTTAATGATCACCATTCTAACTAGTGTGAGATGGTATCTCATGGCGGTTTTGATTTGCATTTCTCTGATGGCCAGTGATGATGAGCATTTTTTCATGTGTTTTTTGGCTACTTAAAAGTCTTCTTTTGAGAAGTGTCTGTTCATATCCTTCGCCCACTTTTTGATAGGGTTGTTTCTTTTTTTCTTGTAAATTTGTTTGAGTTCATTGTAGATTCTGGATATTAGCCCTTTGTCAGATGAGTAGATTGCAAAAAATTTCTCCCATTCTGTAGGTTGCCTGTTCACTCTGATGGTAGTTTCTTTTGCTGTACAGAAGCCCTTTAGTTTAATTAGATCCCATTTGTCAATTTTGGCTTTTGTTGCCATTGCTTTTGGTGTTTTAGACATGAAGTCCTTGCCCATGCCTATGTCCTGAATGGTATTGCCTAGGTTTTCTTCTAGGGTTTTTATGGTTTTAGGTCTAACGTTTAAGTCTTTAATCCATCTTGAATTGATTTTTGTATAAGGTGTAAGGAAGGGATCCAGTTTCAGCTTTCTACATATGTCTAGCCAGTTTTCCCATCACCATTTATTAAATAAGGAATCCTTTCCCCATTTCTTGTTTTTGTCAGGTTTGTCAAAGAACAGATAGTTGTAAGTATGTGGCATTATTTCTGAGGACTCTGTTCTGTTCCATTGGTCTATATCTCTGTTTTAGTACCAGTACCATGCTGTTTTGGTTACTGTAGCCTTGTAGTATAGTTTGAAGTCAGGTAGCATGATGCCTCCAGCTTTGTTCTTTTGGCTTAAGATTGACTGCAAGGCATACTGTTTTCTTCCAGACCATGATGTGTCTAGAAATATTTTCTGGGAGATAGATCTTAAAACGGGATCCTCATGACTCTGAAAGTTTCCCTATCCTGGTGTAGGTGAGCTGGTATCTTAGATGCAAAACGTAGTCATCCTCACTCTTCCCTCTCCTCTTCTGAAGTGGAAGAAAGAACTCTCTTTTGGAGCCTCAAGTTGTGCAGTCTGTGGTTAGGGAAGGGGTGATACCAGCACTACCTTAGCTGCCCCAGTTGGTGTCTCAGTATGTCACGTGACCCCCGTCCACTATCTTGCCTAGTTCAGCACTAGAATTTGCCTAAGAGTTGCAGTTCTTATGGGTTACACTGCCTTTCAAATTTACTTTGGAGACACAGAGTGCTGTAGACCCCTGTGGCAAGATTCACAGGCACTCATTTTCAAGCCTCTAGAATCATTTGTTCCCCTCTGGCTAGGACTGCTTTAAACACTTCCTCTGTAGGCAAGTGTCAGCTGAGTGTGGTTGACTTTCTTTTCTGCTATAACAGAATAGCACTGAGATTTATGCCTCACAATTGTTGTGTTCTCTCCTGCAGGGCCCAGAGATGCTTTCTGCATTACTCTGCTGCTCCTGGGCAGTGGGGTGGAGGAGGGGTGATATCAGCAATTCAAAATTTTTTTTTTACTTCTTCAGTGACTCTTTCAGTAAAACGAGGTTAAAAGTAGGTACTATGAGTGCTTACCTGATTTTTGGTTCTTATGAACTGTTTGTTTTTCTCCTTTTTTTTTTCTGTGTAAATAGTTGTTAAATTGGTGTCCTTGCAGGGGGTACAATCATCCACAGAACATTTCATTCCATCACCTTGCTCTGCTTCCTGTCTTGTTTTTCTTGTTCCTTGAGGTGCATCATTAGATTTTTTACTTAAAATCATCTACTTTTCTATGTATGCACTTACTGCTATATACTTTCCTCTAAGCAGTACTTTTTCTGTATCTCATATGTTCTGGTATGCTGCTTCAATTTTTGTTTGTTTCAAAAAATGTTTTGATATATTTCTCAATTCTTTTATTAATCTAATGATTGTTCAGCATCATACTGTTTAATTTCTATGTATTGTGTAATTTTTAATGTTTCTCTTGTTTTGAATTTCTACTTTTATTCCATTGTGATCTGAGAAGAAACTTAATATGACTTCAATTTTTAAAAAGTTTTCAATATTTGTTTTGCATTCTAACATATAGCCTGTCCTGAAGAATATTCCATGTGCTGAGGAGGAGAAACTTTATTCTGTAACTGTAGGATTAACTGCTCCATAAATGTCTGTTAGGTCTGTTTGGTTTAATGTGTAGTTAAAATCCAATGTTTCTTTGTTAATATTCTATGTTAATTTTTTTGTCTAATTTTTCTTTGTTAATATGTCTAATGTTGAGTGTGGAGTGTTGAAGTATGAAACTGTTATTAAATTGTAGTCTATTGCTCCCTTTAAATCTAATAGAATTTGGTTTATATATCTGGGTGCTTCAGTATTGGGTGCATATATGTTTATAATTGTTATATCCTCTTGATGAAATAGTCCCTTTGTCAATATATAATGAACTTCTTTGTCTCTTGTTACAGTTTTTGACTTAATGTCTGTTTTATCTAAGTGTAGGTACTTCTGCTTATTTTTGCATGGAATACTTTTTACATTTTTTTTCTTTTCAATCTGTATTTCATTACAGGGAAGTTGATTTTCTTGTAGGCAGCCTATGGTTAAGTGATTTAAAAAAATATTTCAGTCAGTCTTTATCTTTTAAGTGGAAACTATAAGCCATTTACATTCAAGTTACTCTAGGCATGTGAGAGTATATTCCTGTCAATTTATTAAATAATTGTTTGCTGCTTTGAATATTTTCTGTTCTTTTCTTTCTCTCTTATTGTTTATCATTGTGATTTGGTAGTTTTCTCTAGTGGTAACATTTGAGTCTTTTCTCTTTTGTTTGTGTATTTTCTCTACCTGTGTTTTTTTTATACTTCCATAAAAGTAGATAAGGTTCTTTCACATCTGGTGGTAGGACTCCTTCAAGAATTTCTTGTAGGTCCAGTCTAGTGGCTATGAATTTCATCAGCTTTTGCTTGTATGAGAAAGACTGTTTCTCCTTCATTTAGGAAGTATAGTTTTGCTGGATATAGTATCTTTGACTGGCAGGTTTTTTTTTTTTCTTTCAACACTTTGAATACATCATTCCATTCTGTCCTGTTTTGTAAGGTTTCCACTAAGAAATCCACTGTTACTCTGATGCGGGTGACTTTATAGATGAATAGACGCTCTTTTCTTGCTGCTTTTAGAATTCTCTTTTTATCTTTGACTTTTGAATATTATATGATGTATAGAAGACCCTTTTGCATTGTATCTATTTGGGAATCTCTGAAACTCCTGTATCTGGATGTCTACATGTCTTGCTAGACTTTGGAAATTTTCATCTTTTAGTTTTTTTGTTAAGTAAGTTTTCTGGTTTTGTTCTATTTTCATCTATTAATTTTCATTTTGCCTTTCAGGACTCTGGAAATTTGAATATTTGTTCACTTTATGATGTCCCATATGTCACAGAGGCTTTGATGCTATTTTTATACTTTAACTTCTGGGATACTTGAGCAGGATGTCTCTGTTTGCAGATGACATGATTGTATATTTAGAAAACCCCATCATCTAAGCTCAAAATCTCCTTAAGCTGATAAGCAACTTAAGCAAAGTGTCAGAATACAAAATCAATATTCAAAAATCACAAGTTTTCCTATAAACCAATAATAGACAAATGGAGAGCCAAATCATGAGTGAACTCCCATTTAAAATTGCTACAAAGAGAATGAAATACCTAGGAATCTAACTTACAAGGGAAGTGAAGGACCTCTTCAAAGAGAACTACAAATCACTGCTCAAGGAAATAAGAGAGGATGCAAACAAATGGAAAAACATTCCATGCTCATGTATAGGAAGAATCAATATCGTGAAAATGGCCATACTGTTGATTTGGGGTGGAGAGTTCTGCAGATGTCTATTAGGTCTGCTTGGTGCAGAGCTGAGTTCAATTCCTGGATATCCTTGTTAACTTTCTGTCTCGTTGATATGTCTAATGTTGACAATGGGGTGTTAAAGTCTCCCATTATTATTGTGTGGGAGTCTAAGTCTCTTTGTAGGTCACTCAGGACTTGCTTTATGAATCTGGGTGCTCCTGTATTGGGTGCATATATATTAGGGTTAGTTAGTTCTTCTTGTTGAATTGATCCCTTTACCATTATGTAATGGCCTTCTTTGTCTCTTTTGATTTTTGTTGGTTTAAAATCTGTTTTATCCGAGACTAGGATTGCAACCCCTGCCTTTTTTTGTTTTCCATTTCCTTGGTAGATCTTCCTCCATCCCTTTATTTTGAGCCTATGTGTGTCTCTGCACGTGAGATGGGGTTCCTGAATACAGCACACTGATGGCTCTTGAATCTTTATCCAATTTCCCAGTCTGTGTCTTTTAATTGGAGTATTTCACCCATTTACATTTAAGGTTAATATTGTTATGTGTGAATTTGATCCTGTCATTATGATGTTAGCTGTTTATTTTGCTCGTTAGTTGATGCAGTTTCTTCCTAGCCTCGATGGTCTTTACAATTTGGCATGTTTTTGCAGTGGCTGGTACTGGTTGTTCCTTTGCATGTTTAGTGCTTCCTTCAGGAGCTCTTTTAGGGCAGGCCTGGTGGTGACAAAATCTCTCAGCATTTGCTTGTCTGTAAAGGATTTTATTTCTCCTTCACTTATGAAGCTTAGTTTGGCTGGATATGAAATTCTGGGTTGAAAATTCTTGTCTTTAAGAATGTTGAATATTGGCCCCCACTCTCTTCTGGCTTGTAGGGTTTCTGCTGAGAGATGAGCTGTTAGTCTGATGGGCTTCCCTTTATGGGTAACCTGACCTTTCTCTCTGGCTGCCCTTAACATGTTTTCCTTCATTTCAACTTTGGTGAATCTGACAATTATGTGTCTTGGAGTTGCTCTTCTCGAGGAGTATCTTTGTGGCATTCTCTGTATTTCCTGAATTTGAATGTTGGCCTCCCTTGTTAGATTGGGTAATCCAGATATTTCTCCTGGATAATGTCCTGCAGAGTGTTTTCCAACTTGGTTCCATTCTCCCAGTCACTTTCAGGTATACCAATCAGATGTAGATTTGGTCTTTTCCCATAGTCCCATATTTCTTGGAGGCTTTGTTCGTTTCTTTTTATTCTTTTTTCTCTAAACTTCTCTTCTCACTTCTTTCATTCATTTCGTCTTCCATTGCTGATACCCCTTCTTCCAGTTGATCGTGTTGGCTACGGAGGCTTGTGCATTCGTCACGTAGTTCTAGTGCCATGGTTTTCAGCTCTATCAAGTCCTTTAAGGACTTCTCTGCATTGGTTATTCTAGTTATCCATTCGTCTATTTTTTTTTCGAAGTTTTTAACTTCTTTGCTATTGGTTCAAGCTTCCTGCTTTAGCTCGCAGTAGTTTGATCTTCTGAAGCCTTCTTCTCTCAACTCGTCAGTCATTCTCCGTCCAGCTTTGTTCCGTTGCTGGCGAGGAGCTGCGTTGCTTTAGAGGAGGAGAGGCGCTCTGATTTTTAGAGTTTCCGTTTTTTCTGCTCCTTTTCCCCATCTTTGCGGTTTTATCTACCTTTGGTCTTTGATAATGGTGACATACAGATGGGTTTTTGTTGTGGATGTCCTTTCTGTTTGTTAGTTTTCCTTCTAATAGTCAGGACCCTCAGCTGCAGGTCTGTTGGAGTTTGCTGGAATCTTTAGACTTCTTTGAGTAGTATGCATATTTTAACAATATTAGTTCTTCAAATTCATAAACATGGAATTTCTTTCCATTTTTCCGTGCTTTCTTCAATTTTTTGCATCACTATTTCATAGTTTTCATTATAGAGATCTTATGTTTATTTCATTAAGTTAATACATAGATATTTTATATATGTACCTATTGTAAATGAGATTATTTTTGGTTTCTTTTTCAGATTTTTCACTGTTGGCATATAAAAATGCTACTGATTATTGTATGTTGATTTTATATTCTGAAAATTTACTAAATTTGTTTATTTGTTCTAAAAGTTTTTTGGTGGAGTCATTAAATTTCTCCCAATATAAGATTATATCATCCACAGGCATGAATAATTTGACTTCTTCCTTTTCAGTTTATTTGTCCTTTATTTCTTTATCTTGTTTAATTCACAAGTGAAGTCTACCATTACTATATTGAATAACAGTAGTGAAAGTGGGCATCCTTGCTATTTTCTCAATCTTAGAAAAAAGGCGTTCAGTTGTTTTGCCATTCAGTATGATACTAGCTCTGGGCCTGTCGTAAATGGCTTTTATTATGTTGAGGTAAGTTCCCTCTATACCCTGCTTTTTGAGGGATTTTATTATAAATGAATGTTGAATTTTATCAAATAACTTTTCAGCATCAGTTGAAATAATCGTATATTTTTTCCCTTTATTCTTCCAATAAGATGTATCACCTTAATTTATTTGTGTATGTTGAACTATCCTTGCTTCCCAGGGATAAATCCCACTTGGTAATGATGAATAATCTTTTTAAGATGTTTTTAAAACAGATTTTCTTGTATTTTCTAAAGGATTTTTGCATCTATACCTATCAGTTATATTGGCTTATAGTTTTGTTTTTTTTTAATGTGTCTTTGTCTGGTTTGGTATCACAGTAATACTGGCTGTATAGAGTGAGCTTGGAAGTGTTCCTTTATTTTCTATGTTTCAGAATAATTTGAGTAGAATTGGTATTAGTTTAAATGTTTTTCAAAATTCAGCAGGCCAGGCACGGTGGCTCACATCTGTAATCCTAGCACTTTGCGGGGCTGAGGCGGGAGGATCATGAGGTAAAGAGATCAAAACCATGCTGGCCAACATGATGAAACCCCATCTGTACTAAAAATACAAAAATTAGCTGGGCATGGTGGCATGCACCTGTAGTCTCAGCTACTCGAGAGGCTCACTCAGGGGAATCATTTGAACCCGGGATGCAGAAGTTGCAGTGAGCGGAGATCATGCCACTGCACTCCAGACTGGTGACAGAGTGAGACTCCATCTAAAAAAATAATCAGCTGTAAAACCATCAGGTTCCAGGTTTTTATTTCCTCAGAGCCTTTATATTATGGCTTTAATATTATTACTTGTTACTCGTCTGTTCAGGTTTTGGATTTCTTCATTGTTCAGTTTTGTAGGTTGTATATGTCTAGGAAGTTGTCCATATCTTCTAGATTTTTGAATGTATTGATATATAGTTGATCATAATAGCCAATAATGAGCCTTTGGATTTTTGCAATACATGTTGTAATGTCTGCTTTTTCATTTCTGATTTTATTTATTTTGGTTTTCTCTCTTTTTTTCTTAGTCTGGCTAAAAGTTTGTCAATTTTATTTGCTTTTTTAAAAAGCCAACTTTTTATTTTATTGCTCTTTTTAATTGTTTTCTGTATTTTAAATTTATTTCTGCTCTGATCCTTGGAATTTCTTTTATTCCACTAATTTTATGTTAAGATTGATTTTTCTGTTTTAGTGTATTAGATGCATTATTGGGACTGCTGGCAATATGTCCGAATAAAAACTGCACCAGTCTGCAGCTCCCAGTGATATTGATGAAAAAGGTAGGTGATTTCTGCATTTCTAACTGTGGTCTGCAGTTCATTTCACTGGGAATGGTTGCACAGTGGGTGCAGCCCACGGAGGGTGAACCAAAGCAGGGTGGGACGTTGCCTCACTCGGGAAGTGCAAGTAGTGGGGAATTTTCTCCCCTACCCAAGGGAAGCCATTAGGGAATGAGCCTAAGGAACAGTGCATTCCAGCCAAGATACTGCACTTTCCCCATGGTCTTCGCGACCCACAAACCAGGAGATTCCCTCCAGTGCCTACCCCACCAAGGCCTTGGGCTTCAAGCACAAAACTGGATGGCCATTTGCGCAGACACCAAACTAGCTGCAAGAGAGTTTTCTTTTTCTTTTTCTTTTTCTTTTTCTTTTCATAGTCCAGTGGTGCTTGCAATGCCAGTGAAACAGAACTGTTCACTTTCCTAGGAAGGGGGCTGAAGCCAGGGAGCCATGTAGTCTGGCTCAGTGGGTCCCACACCCACGGAGCCCAGCAAACTAAGATCTACAGCCTTGAAATTCTTGCCGCCAGCACAGCAGCAGTCTGAGATCAACCTGGGACACTCCAGCTTGGTGGGAGGAGGGGTGTCTGCCATTGCTGGGGCTTGAGTAAGCGGTTTTACCATCACAGTGTAAATAAAGTCACTGGGAAATTTGAACTAGGTGGAGCCCATGGCAGCTCAGCAAGGCCGCTGTGGCCAGACTCCCCAATTTCTCCTCTCTGGGCAGGGCATCTCTGAAAAAGAGGCAACAGCCCCAGTCAGGGACTTAAGATAAAACCCCCATCTCCCTGGGACAGAGCACCTGGAGGAAGGGGCAGCTGTGGGTGCAGCTTCAGCAGACTTAAACATGCCTGCCTGACAGCTCTGAAGAGAGCAACAGATCTCCCAGCACAGCATTCGAGCTCTGCTTAGGGTCAGACTGCCTCCTCAAGTGGTTCGCTGAACCCCATGTATCCTGACTGGGAGACACCTCCCAGTAGGGGCTGATAGACACGTCATACAGGAGAGCTCTGGCTGACATCTGGCAGATGCCCCTCTGGGACAAATCTTCCAGACAAAAGAACAGGCAGTAATCTTTGCTGTTCTGCAGCCTCCACTGGTGATACCAGAGAAACAGGGTCTGGAGTAGGGGTCCAGCAAGCTCTAGCAGACCTGCAGCAGAGGGGACTTACAGTTAGAATGAAAACTAACAAACAGAAAGGAAGGGCACATACACTCAAAGATCTCATCTGAAGGTCATGAACATCAAAGAACAAATGTAGATAAATCCAAAAAGATGGGGAGAAACCAGTGCAAAAAGGCTGAAAATTTCAAAAACAAAAATGCCTCTTCTCCTCCAAAGGATAACAACTTGTCACCAGCAAGGGAACAAAACTGGACAGGGAATGAGTTTGATGAACTGACAGAAGTAGGCTTCAGAAGGTGGGTAATAACAAACTCCTCTGGGCTAAAGAAGCATGTTCTAACCCAATGCAAGGAAGCTAAGAACCTTGAAAAAAGGTGAGATGAATTGCTAACTAGAATAATCAGTTTAGAGAAGAACACAAATGACCTGACAGAGCTGAAAAACACAGCACACGAATTTTGTGAAGCATACACAAGTATGAACAGCTGAATCAGTCAAGTGGAAGAAAGGATATAAGAGATTGAAGATCAACTTAATGAAATAATATGAGAAGGCAAGATTAGAGAATAAAGAATAAAAAGGAATGAACAAAGCCTCCGAGAAATATGGGACTATGTGAAAAGACCAAACCTACATTTGACTGATGTACCTGAAAGTGACGGTGAGAATGGAACAAAGTTGGAAAACACTCTTCAGGATGTTATCCAGGAGAACTTCCCCAACCTAGCAAGACAGGCTGACATTCACATTCAGGAAATATAGAAAACACCACAAAGATACTCCTCGAGAAGAACAACCCCTAGACACATAATAGTCAGATTCAGCAAGGCTGAAATGAAGAAAAAAATGTTAAGGGCAGCCAGAGAGAAAGGTCAGGTTACTCACAAAGGGAAGCCCATCAGGCTAATGGTGGATGTCACTGCAGAAACCCTACAAGCCAGAAGAGAGTGGGGGCCAATATTCTACATTCTTAAACAGAATAATTTTCTTTTATTATTATTATTATTATGATTATACTTTAAGTTTTAGGGTACATGTGCACAATGGGCAGGTTAGTTACATATGTATACATGTGACATGCTGGTGCACTGCACCCACTAACTTGTCATCTAGCATTAAGTATATCTCCCAATGCTATCCCTCCCCCCTCCTCCCCACCCCACAATAGTCCCCTGAGTGTGATGTCCCCTTCCTGTGTTCATGTGTTCTCATTGTTCAATTCCCACCTATGAGTGAGAATATGCGGTGTTTGGTTTTTTGTTCTTGTGATAGTTTACTGAGAATGATGATTTCCAACTTCATCCATGTCCCTACAAAGGACATGAACTCATCATTTTTTATGGCTGCATAGTATTCCATGGTGCATATGTGCCTCATTTTCTTCATCCAGTCTATCATTGTTGGATATTTGGGTTGGTTCCAAGTCTTTGCTATTGTGAATAGTGCTGCAGTAACATACGTGTGCATGTGTCTTTACAGCAGCATGATTTATAATCCTTTGGGTATATACCCAGTAATGGGATGTCTGGGTCAAATGGTAATTCTAGTTCTAGATCCCTGAGGAATCGCCACACTGACTTCCACAATGGTTGAACTAGTTTACAGGCCCACCAACAGTGTAAAAGTGTTCCTATTTCTCCACATCCTCTCCAGCACCTGTTGTTTCCTGACTTTTTAATGATTGCCATTCTAACTGGTGTGAGATGGTATCTCATTGTGGTTTTGATTTGCATTTCTCTGATGGCCAGTGATGGTGAGCATTTTTTCATGTGTCTTTTGGCTGCATAAATGTCTTATTTTGAGAAGTGTCTGTTCATGTCCTTCACCCACTTTTTGTTGGGGTTGTTTGTTTTTCCCTTGTAAATTTGTTCGAGTTCATTGTAGATTCTGGATATTAGCCCTTTGTCAGATGAGTAGGTTGTGAAAATTTTCTCCCATTCTGTAGGTTGCCTGTTCACTCTGATGGTAGTTTCTTTTGCTGTGCAGAAGCTCTTTAGTTTAATTAGATCCCATTTGTCAATTTTGGCTTTTGTTGCCATTGCTTTTGGTGTTTTAGACATGAAGTCCTTGCACGTGCCTATGTCCTGAATGGTAATGCCTAGGTTTTCTTCTAGGGTTTTTATGGTTTTAGGTCTAACGTTTAAGTCTTTAATCCATCTTGAATTGATTTTTGTATAAGGTGTAAGGAAGGGATCCAGTTTCAGCTTTCTACATATTGCTAGCCAGTTTTCCCAGCACCATTTATTAAATAGAGAATTCTTTCCCCATTGCTTGTTTTTCTCAGGTTTGTCAAAGATCAGATAGTTGTAGATATGTGGTGTTATTTCTGAGCTCTCTGTTCTGTTCCATTGATCTATATCTCTGTTTTGGTACCAGTACCATGCTGTTTTGGTTAGTGTAGCCTTGTAGTATAGTTTGAAGTCAGGTAGTGTGATGCCTCCAGCTTTGTTCTTTTGGCTTGGGATTGACTTGGCAATGTGGGCTCTTTTTTGGTTCCATATGAACTTTAAAGTAGTTTTTTCCAATTCTGTGAAGAAAGTCTTTGGTAGCTTGATGGGGATGGCATTGAATCTATAAATTACTTTGGGCAGTATGGCCATTTTCATGATATTGATTCTTCCTACCCATGAGCATGGAATGTTCTTCCATTTGTTTGTATCCTCTTTTATTTCATTGAGCAGTGGTTTGTAGTTCTCCTTGAAGAGGTCCTTCACATCCCTTGTAAGTTGGATTCCTAGTTATTTTATTCTCTTTGAAGCAATTGCGAATGGGAGTTCACTCCTGATTTGGCTCTCTGTTTGTCTGTTATTGGTGTATAAGAATGCTTGTGTTTTTTGTACATTCATTTTGTATCCTGAGACTTTGCTGAAGTTGCTTATCAGCTTAAGGAGATTGTGGGCTGAGACAATGGGATTTTCTAGATATACAATCATGTCATCTGCAAACAGGGACAATTTGACGTCCTCTTTTCCTAATTGAATACCCTTTATTTCCTTCTCCTGCCTAATTGCCCTGGCCAGAACTTCCAACACTATGTTGTGTAGGAGTGGTGAGAGAGGGCATCCCTGTCTTGTGCCAGTTTTCAAAGGGAATACTTCCAGTTTTTTCCCATTCAGTATGATATTGGCTGTGGGTTTGTCGTAGATAGCTCTTATTATTTTGAGATACGTCCCATCAATACCTAATTTATTGAGAGTTTTTAGCATGAAGTGTTGTTGAATTTTGTCAAAGGCCTTTTCTGCATCTATTGAGATAATCATGTGGTTTTTGTCTTTGGTTCTGTTTATATGCTGGTTTACATTTATTGATTTGCATATATGGAACCAGCCTTGCATCCCAGGGATGAAGCCCACTTGATCATGGTGGATAAGCTTTTTGATGTGCTGCTGGATTCGGTTTGCCAGTATTTTATCGAGGATTTTTGCATCAATGTTCATCAAGGATATTGTTCTAAAATTCTCTTTTTTTGTTGTGTCTCTGCCCAGCTCTGGTATCAGGATGATGCTGGCCTCAAAATAATTTTCAACCCAGAATTTTATATGCAACCAAACTAAGTTTCATAAGCAAAGGAGAAATAAAATTCTTTACAGAGAAGGAAATGCTGAGAGATTTTGTCACCACCAGGCCTGTCTCACAAGAGTCCCTGAAGGAAGCAGTAAACATGGAAAGTAAAAACCATTACCAGCCACTGCAAAAACAAAACAAATCGTAAAGATCATCAACACTATGAAGAAACTGCATCAACTATTGGGCAAAATAACGAGCTTGTATCATAGTCACAGGATCAAATTCACACATAATTATATTCACCTGAAATGTAAATGAGCTAAATTCACCAATAAAAAGTCACAGACTGGCAAATTGGATAAAGAGTCAAAACCCATTGGTCTGCTGTATTCAGGAGGCCCATGTCATGTGTAAAGACACACATAGGCTCAAAATAAAGGGATGGAGGAATATTTACCAAGCAAATGGAAAGCAAAAAAAAAAAAAGCAGGAGTTGCAATCCTAATCTCTGGTAAAAGACTGTAAACCAACAAAGATCAAAAGAACAAAGAAGTGCATTATATAATGGTAAAGGGATCAATGCAACAAGAAGAGCTAACTTTCCTAAATATATATACACTCAATAAAGGGGCACCCAGATTCATAAAGCAAGTTCTTAGAGACCTACAAAGAGACTTAGACTCCAACACAATAATAGTGGGAGATTTCAACACCCCACTGGCAATATTAGAAAGATCAAAGAGACAAACTTAGCAAAGATATTCAGAACTTGAACTCAGCTCTCGACCAAGCTGACCTGATAGACATTTACAGAACTCTCCAAGCCAAATAAACAGAGTATACATTCTTCTCAGCACCTCATCGCTCTTATTCTAAAATTGACCACATAATTGGAAGTGAAACACTCCTCAGCAAATGCAAAATAATGGAAATAATAACAAACAGCCTCTCAGACCACAGTGTAATCAAATTAGAACTCAGCATTAAGAAACTGAGTAAAAACCACACAACTACATGAAAACTGAACAACCTGCTCCTGAATGACTACTGGATAAATATTGAAATGAAAGCAGAAATAAAGATGGTCTTTCAAACCAATGAGAACAAAGACCCAATGTACCAGAATCTCTGGGACACATTTAAAGCAGAGTGGAGAGGGAATTTTTTTTTATAAGACAGATTTTTTAAAATTATACTTTAAGTTCTGGGGCACATGTGCACAACATGCAGGTTTGATACCTAGGTATACGTGTGCCATGTTGGTGTGCTGCACCCATTAACTTGTCATTTACATTAGGTATTTCTCCTAATGCTATACCTCCCACAGACTCCCAACCCCTGACAGGCCCTGGTGTGTGATGTTTCCCACCATGTGTCCAGGTGTTCTCATTGTTCTATTCCCACCTATGAGTGAGAACCTGAGGTGTTTGGTTTTCTAATCTTGTGATAGTTGGCTGACAAATGATGGTTTCCAGCTTCATCCATGTACCTGCAAAGGACATGAACTTATCCTTTTTATGGCTGCATAGTATTCCATGGTGTATACGTGCCACATTTTCTTAATCCAGTCTATCTTTGATGGACATTTGGGTTGGTTCCAAGTCTTTGCTATTGTCAATAGTGCCACAATAAACATACGTATGCATGTGTCTTTATAGTAGCATAAGTTATAATCCTTTGGGTATATACTCAGTAATGGGATTGCAGGGTCAAATGGTATTTCATGTTCTAGATCTTTGAGAAATTGCCACACTGTCTTCCACAATGGTTAAACTAGTTTACACTCCCACCAACAGTGTAAAAGCATTCTTATTTCTCCACATCTCTCCAGCATCTGTTGTTTCCTGACTTTTTAATTATCTCCATTCTAACTGGTGTGAGATGGTATCTCATTGTGGTTTTGATTTGCATTTCTCAGATGACCAGTGATGATGAGTATTTTTTCATGTGTCTGTTGGCTGCATAGATGTCTTATTTTGAGAAGTGTCTGTTCATACCCTTTGCCCACTTTTGTTTGTTTTTTCTTGTAAACTTGTTTGCATTCTTTGTAGATTCTGGATATTAGCCTTTGTCAGATGGGTAGATTGCAAAAATGTTCTCCCATTCTGTAGGTTGCCTGTTCACTCTGATGGTAGTTTCTTTTGAAGTACAGAAGTGCTTTAGTTTAATTAGATCCCATTTGTCAATTTTGGATTTGGTTGCCATTGCTTTTGGCTTTTTAGACATGAAGTTCTTGTGCGCATGCCTGTGTCCTGAATGGTATTGCCTAGGTTTCCTTCTAGGGTTTTTGTGGTTTTAGGTCTAACATTTCAGTCTTCAATCCACCTTGAATTAATTTTTGTGTAAGTTGTAAGGAGGAAATCCAGTTTCAGCTTTCTACATACGGCTAGCCAGTTTTCCCAGCACCATTTATTAAATAGGGAATCCTTTCCCCCCTTGCTTGTTTTTGTCAGGTTTCCAAAGATCAGATGGTTGTAGATGTGTGGTGTTATTTGTGAGGTCTCGCTTCCATTCCATTGGTCTATATATTTGTTGAGATACCAATACCATGCTGTTTTTGTTACTGTAGCCTTGTAGTATAGTTTGAAGTCAGGTAGAGTGATGCCTCCAGCTTTGTTCTTTTTGCTTAGGATTGTCTTTGCAATGTGGGCTCTTTTTTGGTTCCATATGAACTTTAAAGTAGTTTTTTCCAATTCTGTGAAGAAAGTCATTGGTAGCTTGATGGGGATGGCATTGAATCTATAAATTACCTTGAGCAGTATGGCCATTTTCATAATATTAATTCTTTCTATCCATGAGCATGGAATGTCCTTCCATTTGTTTGTGTCTCTTTTATTTTGTTGAGCAGTGGTTTGTGGTTCACCTTGAAGAGGTCCTTCACTTCCCTTGTAAGTTGGATTCCTAGGTATTTTATTCTCTCTGTAGCAACTGTGAATGGAAGCTCGCTCATGATTTAGCTCTCTGCTGTCTGTTATTGGTGTATAGGAATCATTGTGATTTTTGCACATTGATTTTGTATCCTGAGACTTCGCTGAATTTGCTTCTCAGCTTAAGGAGAGTTTTGGCTGAGATGATGGGGTTTTCTAAATATACAATCATGTCATCTGCAAACAGGAACAATTTGACTTCCTCGTTTCCTAATTGAATACACTTTATTTCTTTCTCTTGCCTGATTACCCTGGCCAGAACTTCCAACACTTTGTTGAATAGCAGTGGTGAGAGAGGCCATCCTTGTCTTGTGCCGGTTTTCAAAGGGAATGCCTCCGGTTTTTACCCATTCAGTATGATATTGGCTGTGGGTTTGTAATAAATAGCTCTTCTTATTTTGAGATACAGTCCATCAATACCTAGTTTATTGAGAGTTTTTAGCATAAAAGCTGTTGAATTTTGTCCAAGGTCTTTTCTACATGTATTGAGATAATCATGTGTTTTTTGCTGTTGGTCCTGTTTATGTGATGGGTTATGTTTATTGCTTTGCATATGTTGAAGCAGCCTTGTTTCCCAGGGATGAAGCCGACTTGACCGTGGTGGATAAGCTTTTTGATGTGCTGCTGGATTCAGTTTGCCAGTATTGTATTGAGGATTTTCACATCTACGTTCATCAGGGATATTGGTCTAAAATTCTCTTTTTTAGTTGTGTCTTTGCCAGGCTTTGGTATCAGGATGATTCTGGCCTCATAAAATGAGTTAAGGAGGATTCCTTCTTTTTCTATTGATTTGAATAATTTCAGAAGGAATGGTACCAGCTCCTCTTTGTATCTCTGATAGAATTTGGCTGTGAATCCGTCTGGTCCTGACTTTTTTGGTTGGTAGGCTATTAATTATTGCCTCAATTTCAGAGCCGGTTATTGGTCTACTCAGTGATTTAACTTCTTCCTGGTTTAGACTTGGGAGCGTGTATGTGTCCAGGAATTTATCCACTTCTTCTAGATTTTCTAGTTTATTTGCATAGAGGCGTTTATAGTATTCTCTGATGGTAGTTTGCATTTCTGTGGGATTGGTGGTGATATCTCCTTTGTCATTTTTTTGTGTCTATTTGATTCTTCTTTATTCGACAAAAACCACATGATTATCTCAATAGATGCAGAAAAGGCCTTTGACAAAATTCAACAGCCCTTCATGCTAAAAACTCTCAATAAACTAGGCATTGATGGAACGTATCTCAAAATAATAAGAGGCATTTATGACAAACCCACAGCCAATATTATACTGAATGTGCAGAAACGGGAAGCATTCCCTTTGAAAACTAGCACAAGACAAGGATGCTCTCTCTCTCCACTCGTATTCTACATAGTACTGGAATTTTCTACCCAGGGCAATCAGCAAGACAAAGAAATAAAGGGTATTCAAATAGGAAAAAAGAAAGTCAAATTGTTTCTGTTTGCAGATGACATGATTGTATATTTAGAAAACCTCATCGTCTCAGTCCAAAATTTCCTTAAGCTGATAAGAAACTTCAGCAAAGTCTCAGGATACAAAATCAATGTGCAAAAATCACAAGCATTCTTATACACCAATAACAGACAGAGAGCCAAATCATGAGTGAACTTCCATTTGCAATTGCTACTAAGAGAACAAAATATCCAGGAATACAACCTACAAGGGAAGTGAAAGATCTCTTCATGAAGAACTACAAACCATTGCTCAAGGAAATAAGAGAGGACGCAAATGGAAAACATTTCATGCTCATAGATAGGAAGAATCAATATCTTGAAAATGGCCATACTGCCCAAGATAATTTATAAATTCAAAGCTATCCCCATCAAGCTACCATTGACTTTCTTCACAGAATTTGAAAAAAACTATTTTAAATTTCATATGGAACTAAAAAAGAGCTTGCATAGTCAAGAGAATTCTAAGCACAAAGAACAATGCTGGAGGCATCACACTACCTGACCTCAAACTATACTACAAGGCCACTGTAACCAAAACAGCATGGTACTTGTACCAAAACAGATATATAGAACAGTGGAACAGAACACAGACCTCAGAAGTGACACCACACTTCTACAACCATCTGATCTTTGACAAACCTGACAAAAACAAGCAAGGGGGAAATGATTTACTATTTAATAAGTGGTGTTATGAAAACTTTGTGGCCATATGCAGAAAACTGAAACTGGAACCCTTCTTTATACCTTATACAAAAGTTAACACAAGATGGATTAAAGGCTTAAACATAAGACCTAAATCCATAAAAATCCTAGAAGAAAACATAGGCAATACCATTCAGGACATAGGCACGGGCAAAAACATCGTGACTAAAACACCAAAAACAATGACAACAAAAACCAAAATTGACAAGTGTGGTCTAATTAAGCTAACGAGCTTCTGCACAGCAAAAGAAACTATCATCAGAGTGTACAGGAAACCTACAGAATGGGAGAAAAATTTTGCAATCTATCCTTTTGACAAGGTACTAATATCCAGAATCTACAAAGAACTTAAACAAATTTACAAGAAAAAATAAACAAAACAAACAGCCCCCTCAAAAATTGGGTAAAGGATATGAAAAGACACTTCTCAAAAGAAGACATTTATGCAGCCAACAAATGTATAAAAAAATGCTCATCATCACTTGTCGTTAGAGAAATGCAAATCAAAACCACAATGAGATACCATTTCTCACCACTTAGAATGGCTACCATTAAAAAGTCAGGAAACCCTGCAATCCCATTAGTAGATATATACCCCAAGGATTATAAATCATTTTCTGATAAAGACACATGCACACGTATGTTTGCTGCAGCACCATTCACAATAGCAAAGACTTGGAACAAACCCAAATGTCCCTCAATGATAGAGTGGATTAAGAAAATGTGGCACATATACACCACAGAATGCCATGCAGCCATAAAAAAGGATGAGTTCATGTCCTTTGCAGGGACACGGATGAAGCTGGAAACCATCATTCTCAGCAAACTAACACAGGATCAGAAAACCAAACACTGCATATGCTCACTCACAATTGGGAGTTGAACAATGAGAACACACGGACACAGGGAGGGGAACATCACACACCGGAGCCTGTCACTGGGTGGGGGACTAGGGGAGGGATAGCATTAGGAGAAATACCTAATGCAGGTGAGGGGTTGATGGGTGCAGCAAACCACCATGACACGTGTATACCTATGTAACAAAACTGCAGGTTCTGCACATGTACTCCAGAACTTAAAGTATAATAAAAAAACAGAAAAAAAGATGCATTATTATGTTGTTTGATAAATGTATTTTTTGAAATAGGCACTTACAGCTATAAGCTTTCCTCTCAGTACTGCTTTCTCTGTATCCCTTAGTATGCTGCATTTTCATTATCTTTTTTTCAAGAAATTTTCAAATTTTCTTCTAGTTTCTTCATTAAGAAGAACATGTGTCATTCAGGAACATATTGTTTAATTTCTTTTTTTTTTTTAGTTTCTAAAATTTCTATTGTTTTGTATTTCTAATTTTATACCATTGTGGTCAGAGAAGATGCTTGATATTATTTCATCTTTTTAAAATGTTTTGAGACTTTTTTGTGACTTAAAATAGGTTCTATCCTTGAGAATAAGCTATGTGTTGCTGAGCAAAGGTATATGAAATTTGCAACTGTTGGACAAAATATTCTGTAAATTTTTGTTAAGTCCATTTCGTTTATAGTAGAAATTAAGTCCAATATTTCTTTGTTGATTTTCTATCAGCAAGATGTGTTCAGTGCTGAGAATGGGGTATAAAATCACCAGCTTTTTTTTTTTTTTATTGGAGCCTTTGTCTCTCTTTAGCTATAATAGTATTTGCTTTACATATCTCTGTTTTCTGGTGTTAGGTGCACATATGTATACAGTTTTTATATTCTCTTGCTAATTGACATCTTTATCTTTATATAGTAACCTTCTTTGTCTCTTCTTTCATTTTTCATATTAAAATCTATTTTGGCTGTTACAACTATAGCTATTCCTGTTCTTTCTTGTTTTTATTGATAGAAAACTTTTTTTGCATCCGTTTATTTTCAGTTGATGTCTTTTTTTTTAGCATCACATTCTAATCTTTTATTTTTAATTCCTTTCATTTTTTGCACGATAACTTTCTTTAACCCTTTCTCTCTTTTTTAATTTTATTATTATTATACTTTAAGTTTTAGGGTACATGTGCACCACGTGCAGGTTTGTTACATATGTATACATGTGCCATGTTGGTGTGCTGTACCCATTAACTCGTCATTTAGCATTAGGTATATCTCCTAATGTTATCCCTCCCCACTGCCCCCACCCCACAACAGTCCCCGGTGTGTGATGTTCCCCTTCCTGTGTCCATGTGTACTCATTGTTCAACAGAGAAATGCAAATCAAAACCACAATAAGATAACATCTGACACCAGTTAGAATGGCAATCATTAAAAAGTCAGGAAACAACAGGTGCTGGAGAGGATGTGGAGATATAGGAACACTTTTACACTGTTGGTGGGACTGTAAACTAGTTCAAACATTGTGGAAGACAGTGTGGCAATTCCTCGGGGATCTAGAACTAGAGATACCATTTGACCCAGCAATCCCATTACTGGGTATATACCCAAAGGATTATAAATCATGCTACTATAAAGGCACACGCACATGTATGTTTATTGTGGCACTATTCACAATAGCAAAGACTTGGAACCAGCCCAAATTTTCAACAATGATAGACTGGATTAAGAAAATGTGGCACATATACACCATGGAATACTATGCAGCCATAAAAAATGATGAGTTCATGTCCTTTGTAGGGACATGGATGAAGCTGGAAACAATCACTCTCAGCAAACTATTGCAAGGACAAAAAACCAAACACCGCATGTTCTCACTCACAGTTGATGTCTTTATAGATGAAGTGCATTTCTTGTAGGCAACAGATTATTGTATTTCATTTTTGTTAATTTATTTAGCCAGCCTATGCCTTTTGATCAGATAGTTTACTTCATTTACATTCAATGTTATTATTAAGAAATTACTCCTGCCATTTTTTTACCTGTTTTCTTGTTGTTTTGTCACCTTGCTTTTCTCCTTTTTATCCTTGCTTTCTTCCTTCTAGTAAAGGTAATTTTTTTCTGATGGTATGATTTAATTTTTTGCTTTTTTTTATTCCATTGTATGTTTTTTGATTTGAGGTTACCATGAGACTTGCAAGTACTATTGTATAACCATATATTTTAAGCTTTTAGCAACACTGGTTGCATCAACGAACAAGCTAAAATGAAATGTATAAAAATGCTACACATTAAAAATATTCCCCCACTTTTTCACTTTGTTGTTTCTATTCATACTTTATTGTACTGCTTATGCCTTCAAAAGTTGTTGTAGTTATTATTTTTTATTTATTCATTATTTAGTCTTTCTACTTAAGGTAAGAGTAATTTATGAACCACAGTTAGTGTTATAATATTCTGTGTTTTTCTGTGTGCTAACTATTATCCAGTGAGTTTTATACCTTCAGATGATCTTTTATTGCTCATTAACATCTTTTTCTTTTTTATTTACATACTTGCTTTAGCATTTCTTGTAGTCTGGTGTTGATGGGATCCCTCAGGTTTTGTCTGTCTGGGAAAGTCTATTTCTCCTTTATGTTTGAAGGATATTGTATTGGTCCATTTTCACATTGCTATAAAAATACTACCTGAGACTGGTTAATTTATAACAAAAAGAGGTTTAATTGACTCACAGTTTCACATGACTGGGGAGGCCTCAGGAAACTTAGAATTATGGCAGAAGGTAAAGAGGAAGCAAAGACCTTTTTCATATGGTGGCAGGAGAGAGAAGTGCAAGCATGGGAAATGCAGGATGCTTATAAAACCATCAGATCTTGTGAGAACTCACTCACTATCATGAGAACAACATAGAGCAAACTGTACCCATGATCCAATCACCTCCAACCAGGTCTTTTTCTCAACATTTGGGTATTACATTTCAAGGTGAGATTTGGGTGGGGACACAAAGTCTAACAATATCATTCTGCCTCTGGACCCTCCCGAATCTCATGTCCATTTCACACTTCAAAACCAATCATGCCTTCCCAACAGTACACCAAAATCTTAATTCATTCCAGCATTAACCCAAAAGTCCAATTCTAAAGTTTCATCTGAGACAAGGCAAGTTTCTCCTACCTAGGAGCTTGCAAAATCAAAAGCAAGTTAGTTACTTTCAAGATACAATGGGGGTAGAGGGATGATATAAATGCTCCTGTTCCAAATGGGAGACACTAGCGAAAACAAAGAGGCTACAGAATGCACACAACTCCAAAATCCAGTGGGGCAGTCATTACATCTTAAAGCTCCAGAATAATCTGCTTTGACTTCATGTTTCACACCCAGGTAATACTGACACAAGAGGTTGGCCCCCACGGCCTTGGGCAGCTCTGCTCCTGTGGCTTTGGAGGGCGCAGCCCCCCTTCCCTGGCTGCTTTCATGGCTGGCATTGAGTGTCTGTGGCTTTTCTAGGTGCATGGTGCAAACTATCAGTGGATATACCATTACAGGGTCTGGAGAATGGTGACCCTCTTCTCACAGCTCCACTAGGTCATGCCCTATTGTGGACTTGATGTGGGGCCCCCAATCTCACATTTCTCCTTTGCACTTCCCTAGCAGAGTTTATTCTTGAAGGCTCTGCCCCTGAAGCACACCTCCACCTGGACATTCAGGCATTTCCATCCATCCTCTGAAATCTAGTTAGAGATTCCCAAAACTCAATACTTGAATTTTGTGCACCCCCACAGGCACAACACCACACAGAAGCTGCCAAGGCTTGGGACTTGCACCCTCTGAAGCAATGGCCTGAGCTGGAGTGGCTTGAAGGGCATTAAGTCCCAAGACTGCACACAGCAGTGTCCCCTGAACCCAGCCCATGAAATCAATTTTCCCTCCTGGGTCTCTGGGCCTGTGATGGGAGGGGCTGCTGTGAAGATCTCTGACATGCCCTGGAGACATTTTTTTCACTGCCTTGGCAATAACATTTAGCTCTTCATTACTTATGCAAATTTCTGCAGCTAGCTTAAATTTTACCCAAGAAAATGGGTTCTTCTTTTCTATCACATTATCGGGCTGCAAATTTTCCAGTTTCATGCTCTGCTTCATTTATAAACATAAGTTCCAATTTCAAACCACCTCTTTTTGAACATATGTATGTGAATGCTTTTGGAATAATCCAGGTCATGTCTTGAATACTTTGCTGCATAGAAATTTCTCCTGCCAGATACCCTAAATTATCCCTCTCAAGTTCAAATTTCCATAGATCTCTAGTGCAAGAGCAAAATGCCACCAGTCATTTTTCTTAAACATAGCATGAGTGACCTTTACTCTAGTTCTCAATAAATTTCTCATCTCCATATGAGACCACCTCAGCCTGGACTTCATTGTTCACATCACTATCAGCATTTTGGTCCAAACCATTCAACAAGTCTCTAGGAAGCTCCAAACCTTCTCACGTCTTCCTGTCTTCCTCTGAGCTCTCTAAACTGTTCCAGACTCTGTCTGTTACCCAGTTCCAAAGTCTCTTCCACATTTTCAAGTATCTTAATGGCAGTACCCCACTCTCTGTTGCGACAATTTACTGTTTTAGTCTGTTTTCACACTGCTATAAATATATTATCTGAGACTGGGTAATTTATAAAGAAAAGAGGTTTAATAGACTAACAGTTCTGCATGACTGGGGAGGCCTCAGAAATGTTACAATTATGGTGGAAGGTGAAGGGGAAGCAAGGACCTTTTTCACATGGTGGCAGGAGAGAGAAGTACAAGCAGAGGAGATGCCAGATGCTTATAAAACCATCAGATTTCCTGAAAACTCACTCATTATCATGAGAACAGCATGGGGGAAACTGCCTCCATGATCCAATCCCCTACCAACAGGTCTTTCTCTCAACACTTCTGGATTACAATTCAAGATGAGATTTGGGTGAGAACACAAAGCCTACCATATCAGATATTATCACTAGATATACTATTCTCAGGTAAAAATTATTTTTTTCAGTACTTTAAATATGTCCTGCCAGTGTTTCCTAACCTGTAAGTTTTCCACTGAGAAGTCTGTTGTCAGATGTATTTTACCTCCATTGTATGTTATTGTTTATTGCATTTTGCTGCTTTTAAAATCTTTTCCTTATTCTTGACTTTTAGGAGTTCAATTATTAAATGCTTTGAGGTAGTCTTTTTGTGTTAAATCTACTTGATGTTCTATAACCTTATACTTGGATGTTTATATCTTTATTAAGACTTGGGACATTCTCTGTTGTTATCCCTTTAACTAAACTTTTTACCCCCATTTCTCTCTCTATGTTATCTTTAAATCCAATAAATTTCAGATTTGTCCTTTTCAGGCTATTTTCTAGATTCTGTAGGAAAGCTTCATTTTTTTAATTGTATTTTTTGTCTTTTCTGACTGCCTTTTCAAATAGCCTGTCTTTAAGCTCACTAATTCTGTCTTATGCTTGATCAATTCCACTATTACGAGACTCTTATGCATTCTTTCTATATGTGAGTAGCCTATTTCAACCCTAGGATTTCTGCTTGATTAGTTATTTCATTTTCTTTGTTAAATTTATCTGATATAATTCTGAATTTCTTCTCTGTTACCTTAAAATTCTTTGTATTTTCTCAACACAACAATTTTGAGTTTTCTTTCTGAAAAGTCACATATCTCCCTTTCTCCAGGATTGGTATCTTCTTTCTTATTCAGTTCATTTTGTAAGGTCACGTTTTCATGGATGTTTATAATATTTGGGGATGTTTATTTTCTTCTGGATATTGAAGAGAGGTGTTTATCTTACTCTTTCCATTCTGGGATTACTTGTACTCATTTTTCTTGGAAAGGCTTTCCAGGTATTCAAAATGACTTGGATGTTGTGATCTTAGCTCTGGTTAAATTAGGAGACACTCCAAGCACACTAACACTGTGGTTCTTGCGGACTTGTAGAGGTACCACCTTGGTGGTCTTGGATGAGTTCTGGAAGTGTTCTATGGATTACCAGGCAGAGACTTGTTTTCTTTCCTTACTTTCTTCCAAACAAATGGAGTCTCTCTCTTTATACTGAGCTACTTGGAGCTGGGGATGCTAAATCCAATAAAGTCCAATAACACAAGTGGCCTTGCGGCCACCACACTAGGACTGTTCTATCAGACCTGAATCCAGAACAGCACTGGGTCACACCCAAGGTCCTCTTTGACTGCTATCGAGCTACTGCCTATGTCTGCTCAAGGTCCTGGGGCTGTACAATCAGCAGGTGGTAAAATCAGCCAAGTTTGTTTTTCCCTTCAGGGCAGCAAGTTCTCTCAGGCTCCAAGTGAGCCTAGAGATACTATCTGGGAGCCAGAGATTGGAGTCAAATCTCTTGGTGCTCTACTGTATTGCAGCTGTGCTAGCACTCAAATTATGAGTTGCAGTCCTTCCCACTCTTATTTTCTCTTCCAACATGCAGAGGAACCTCACTTCATGGCCACCACCACCACAGGCCCATGGGTAGTACTGCCAGGCTGCTGCAGATGTTCACTTAGGGCCTAAGGGCTCTTAAGTCAACTTGAGTTGAATGTTTTTTGGCCTGAGTCCTGCACTCCAGGGCAGTGGGCTCCCCTCTGGCCCAGGGAAGGTCCAGGAATGCCATCTAAGACCCAAGGCCTGGAATTGGGACCACAAGAGCCCCCTTGATTCTCTACACTCCTGTGGTCAACCTGGTACATAAGATGCCCTACAAAGACTCCTTTACTTTCCCATCTGCTTTCCTCAAAGCCCACAGTATACTATTTGGGTATTACTACTGATTATTCAGGGTCCTAGCATGATGAGTCATCAGGTGATGAGTCCTGCCAGGACTGGGTCTTTTCCTTCAAGGCAATAGGTTTACTTCTGTCCCAGATTGCCTTAAGAAAGGTCATCTGAGATATATGGCCTGAAAGAGTAACCCTCATGGTTCTGACTGGGGTCATATTCTATTGAGCCTTAGCTGGTATTGAATATGCAAGACCAAGTCCTCCCCACTCTTCCCTCTCCTCTTCTCAGGTGGAAGTAAGGGGTCTCTTTTGGAGCCATGAACTGTGCAGCATGAAGTTTGGGGAGGGATGATGCAAGCACCCCCTTAGTCACCCAGGCTGTTTTCTCAGTAGGTCACATGCCTTTCAACTCCATTTGCTCTGAGCTCAGTTCATCACTAGGACTCACCTATGAGTTGCCGCCCTGGTTGCCTGGACTGCCTTTCAAGCTTATTTTTGTTAAAAGAGTGCTTTATTCTATGGTATAAGGCTTGCCAGAACTCAAGTTCTGACCACTGGGATGGGCAATTTCCCTCTGGCTCTAAATGCTCCATTGGTGGGTGGGTTTCAGCGAGTTCAACCCAGTTTTGCTTTCTGCTGTGACAGGGTTGCACTGATTTTACTCAAATGTCTCACAATTGTTGTGCTCTCCCTCTCCTGAGAACACAGATTTATTCTCCACTCCACGTGGCCACTGTCAGAGGATAGAGGAGGTGTGGCATCAGTGATTCAAGACTGTATTTTCTGCCATCTTTCAGTGCCTCTTTCAGCAATATGGAGCTAAAGCCATGTACCGTGATTGCTCACCTGATTTTTAGTTCCTATGAAGATGCTTTGTGTGTAAGTATGTGCAGACAGAGTTATTAAATTGGTGTTCTTGCAGGGGGGACAATCGGTGGAGCCTTCTATTTGGCCATCTTGTTCCACTCATCTTGTTTTTATTTCTTGTGGGTACATACCTAGTAGTAAAATTGATGGACCATATGTAACTTTATATTAAATATTTGAGGAAGTGCCAGACTGTTTTTTATAGTGGCTCTGCTATTTTACATTTCTTCCAGCAGTGTATGTGTGCTCCAAACTTTCCACGTTGTTGACAACACTTATTATTGTTTTCTTTTTTTATTATTGTTTTCCCTTTTTTTATTATAGCCATGTGCTATAAATATGCTCATTGACTATGTTAATTTTTTTGATAAATATTTATTTAATTCCTTTGTCTATTTAAAAATACTGTGTTATTTGGCTTTTTACTGTCAAGTGTTAAGAGGCTTTTATGTATTTTATATACAAATTCCTTACCAAAATTATGCTTTCAAAACATTTTCTCTCATTCTTTGGGTTGTTTTTCACTTTTATTATGATATTTTTGAAGCATATAAACTTTTTATTTCTGATAAAGTCCAATTTATTAATAGTTTGCTGTGTGTGCTTTGAAGTCATACTGCATTTTCACTAAAGGTCATAAAGATTTATTCCTGTGTTGCTGTTTTCTAAAAATTTTGTATATTTAACTTTAACATTTAATTTAAATATTAAGTTTAAATTAAATTAAATTTAATTTAAATTTGAATTCTGAATTATGTAAATTATGTATTTAAATATGTATTTTGATCTAAGAACATAAAATGTGGTTGTGTTTTTATCTTTAAGTTTTTGATGTTTTGTAACTTTTAGTCTGTAAGTCTTACACATGTAAATTCATTTCTATGTAGTTTATTACATTTTATGCTATTTTTAAAAATTGTTATTTTATTCTAATTTTTGGATTGTTCATGATTCAATTATCTCCAACCAAGTACCTCTCAGAACACGTGAAAATTATGGGAGCTACAATTAAAGAAGAAATCTGGGTGGGGACACAGCCAAACCATATAATTCCACCCCTGGCCCATCCCAAATCTCATGTCCTCCCATTTTCAAACCAATCATGCCTTCCCAACAGTCCCCCAAGACTTAACTCATTTTAATATTAACTCATAGCCCACAGTCCAAAGTCTCACCTGAGACAAGGCAAGTTCCTTCAACCTAGGAGCCTGTAAAATCAAAAGTAAGTTAGTTGCTTCCAAGATACAATGGGGGATGGGGGTACAGGCATTGGATAAATGCTCCCATTCCAAATGGAAGAAATTTGCCAAAACAAAGGGGCTACAGGCCCCATGCAATCCAAAATCCAGAAGGGCAGTCAAATCTTAAAACTCCAAAAAGATCTACTTTGACTCTATGTTTCCTATCTAGGTCACACTAATGCAAGATGGGGGTTCCCACAGTATTGGACAGCTCTGCCCCTGTAGCTTTACAGGGTACAGCCTCCCTTCCAGCTGCTTTCACAAGCTGGTGTTGATTGTCTACAGCTTTTCCAGGTGCACAGTGCAAGCTGGTCAATGTATCTATCATTCTTGGAGGGTACAGCCCCATTCCCTGGCTGCTTTCACAGCTGGCATTGAGTGTCTGTGGCTTTTCTAAGTGCATGGTGCAAACTGTCAGTGGATCTACCATTCTGGAGTCTGGAGAATGTTTGCCCTCTTCTCACAGCTCCACTAGGCAGTGTCCCAGTGGGGACTCTGTGTGGGGCCTCCAGTCTCACATTTCCCCTTTGCACTGCCCTAGCAGATGTTCTCCATGAGGGTCCCACCCCTGCACAAAACACCTGTCTGGACATCCAGGCAATTTCATACATCCTCTGAAATCTAGGCAAAGGTTCCCAAACCTCAATTCTTGACTTCTGTGCACTGGCAGTCTCAAAACCATGTGGAAGCTTCCAAGGTTTGGGGCTTGCACCCTCTGAAGCCACAACCTGAGTTGCATCTTGGCCTCAAGTTGCTGGGACTCAAGGCATCAAGTCCCTAGGCTGCACACAACAGGAGAGTTCTTCCCCTGCCCACAAAACCTTTTTTTTTTCTCCCAGACCTTTGGGCCTGTGATGGGAGGGGCTATTGAAAAGGTCTCTGACATGCCCTGGAGATATTTTCACCATTGTCTTGGCGATTAGCATTTGGCTCCTCATTACTTATGCAAATTTCTGCAGCCTACTTGAATTTCTCCTCAGAAAATGGGTATTTCTTTTCTATCACATCACCAGGCTGCAAATTTTCTGAAATTTTATGCTCTGTTTCCTTTTTAAAGCTGAATGCTTTTAACAGCACCAAAGTTACCCTTTGAATGCTTTGATGCTTAGAAATTTCTTTTGCAAAATACCCTAAATCATCTCCCTCAAGTTCAAAGTGTCCCAAATTTCTAGGGCAAGGGCAAAATGCCACCAATATCTTTGCTAAAATATAGCAAGAATCTCCTTTACTCCAGTTCTTAACAAGTTCCTCATCTCCATCAAAGACAACCTCAGCCTGGATTTTATTGTTTATATCACTATCAGCATTTTTGTCAAAGCCATTCAACAAGTCTCTAGGAAGTTCCAAACTTTCGCACATTTTCCTGTCTTCTTCTGAGTTCTCCAAACGGTTCCAACCTCTGCCTGTTACCTGGTTCCAAAGTCGCTTCCACATTTTCAGGTATCTTTACAGTAGTGCCCCACTCCTGGTACCAGTTGACTGAATAAGTCTGTTTTCATGCTGCTAATAAATTCATATATGAGACTGTGTAATTTATAAAGAAAAAGGTTAAATGGACTCACAATTTCATGCAGTTGGGGAGACCTCACAATCATGGCAGAAGGTGAAAGGGACATCTTACATGGCAGCAGGCAAGAGAGAGAATGAGAGGCAAGTGAAAGGGGTTTCTATTTATAAAACCATCAGATCTCATGAAACTTATTCACTACCACGAGATCAGCATGGGGAAACTGGCCCCATGATTCAATTATTTTTCACCAGGTCCCTTCCACAGCATGTGGGAATTATGAGACCTACAATTGAAGATGAGATTTGAGTGGGAACACAGCCAAATCATATTATATGGCATATTATGCTAACTGATTTTCAAATGTTTAACCAACTTTGCGTTTGTGGGATAAATTCTGGTTTGTCATGGCATGAGATCCTTTTTATATGTTGCAGGATTCATTTATCTAGTATGAAGTTCAGCATTTTAATGTCTATATTAAGAGGAGATATTGTTCTGTAGTTTTTTAGTAATGTTTTTGTGTGGTTTTTGTTTCCAGGTAATACTGGTCTCACAGATAGGCTAAGAAGTATTTTTTGATTCTCTATTTTTTGAAATTTTGTGAAAGATTGGTATGCAATATTTAATGTTTTGTAGAATTTACCAGTAATGTCATCTGATTTGGCTTTTAATTGTGAGTTTTTTCTTATACTAATTCACTCCCTTTACTTGTTATAGATTTACTGAGATTTTCTATTAATTCTTGGGTCAATTTTGGTAGTTTGTACCTTTCTAACAACTGTCAGTTCCAGGTAATTTATCTAACTTTTTTGCAAGCCATTGTTTATACTATTCTCTTATAGTTCTTTTTATTTCTGTTTGGTTATTGGTGATGTTTCTTATTTTATTCCTTATTTTAGTAGTTTTTTTATCCATTTTTTTCCTCAGTCTAACAAAGATTGTGTCAATTTTGTTGTCTTTTTTCAAAGATAATGCTTTTGATTTTATTAACCTTCTCTTTTTTTGTATTATCCATTTTATTTGTTCCCATTCTAATCTTCTGCTTTTTAAATTTGGTTTGATATCTTTTGAGTTTCTTAAGACGAAAGGTTAAATTGTTCATTTCAAACATTTACTCTTTTAAAATATAGATGTAGCTATAAATTTTCCTCTAAGGATTACTTTTTTTCTTTCTGGTCTTCAGATTGCATAATATATATCTTCAAGTTAGATAATTCTTTTATTCTGCTTACTCCAATCTACTGTTGAGCACTGCTAGTGAATTTTTTTATTTTGGTTACTGTGTTTATCAATTCTAGAGTTTTATTCAGTTCATTTTAAAAAGTGTTTTATATGGCTTTATTAAGATACAATTCACATTTCATGCAATTCGCCAATTAAAATGAGTAGTTATGTGTGTATTCACGGATGTGTGAAACCATCAACACCATCAATTTAAAAAGAATTTTATTGTTTCACAGCATGATTCACCCTCTTTATACACAATCCTAAGAAGCCACTAACCTACTTTCTTTCTATGAATTGTCTGTTTTGGATAGTTAATGTAAATAGAATCATAATATGAGATCTTTCCTGACTAGCTTTTTTCACTTAACATTTTTTTTTCAAGGTTTATCCATATTGTAGCATATATTAGCACTTTATTTGTTGCTATGGCTAAATAATATTCCACTGTATGGATATCTTACAATTTTTAATCCATTCATTTATTGATGGGCACCTGTTTTTTTCCACTTTTTGGCTATTATGAAGAATATTGCTATAAACATTCATGTACAAGTATCATGGACCTTTTTTTTACATTTCTCTTTGGTATATACCTAGAAGTGAAATTGGTGGGTCTTATGGCATGTGTATAAGTGTTAAATAAACTGCCAGACTGTTTTCCAAAGTAGCTCCACCATTTTACTTTCTCCCCAGAAGTGTATGAGAGATTGAATTTGTCCACATTCTCACCAACATTTATTACTGTTTCTCATTTTGATTGTAGCCATCTTAGTGGATGTGAAATGGCATTTCATTGTGGCTTTGAATTATATTTCCCTGATGACTAATAATGTTGAACATGTTTTCATGCACTTGTTGGATATGTGTATATCTCACTTGAAGAAATGCTTGTTCAGATTATTTTTCCAGATTAATAGGATATTTGTCTTTCTATTAATTGATTTGCAAGAGATCTTCATAAACCTTAGATACAGGTTTCTTATAAGATTTATAATTAGCAAATATGTTTGCCATCCCATGGGTTGTGTTTTCACTTTCTTGATGGTGTTCTTTTAAACGCAAAATTTTTAATTTTTATGAATTTTAACTAATTTGTTTATTGCTCTTGTTATTCACACTTCTGGTGTAATAGCTAATAATTGTTTTACAAATCTAAAGTCATAAATATTTGCCCCTATTTTTTCTTCTCAGAGATTGATAGTTTTAGCTCTTTCATTTAGGTAGCTTGTTCATCAATTTTGAGTTAATTTTTCATGTAAAATGTGAGGTAAGAGTTCAAATTCATTCTTTTAGATGTGGCTATGCCGTTCTCCCAGCACATTTTGTTGAAAGAACAATGTTTTCCCCATTGCATAGTCTTGACAACTTTGTTGAAAATTAGTTTGCCATAGATGTATGGGATTTATCAGACTCTTAATTATATTTCATTAATCTTTATGTTTAATTTTGTACAAGCACCACACTGTCTTGATTATCATTGCGTTGTAGTAAGATTTCAAATCAAAAAGTGCAAGTCCTTCAACTTGGTCCTTTATTTTCTTTTTTTTTCTTATACTATAAGTTCTTGGTTACATGTACAGAAATGTAGTTTTGTTACATAGGTATACATGTGCCCTGGTGGTTTGCTGTACCCATCAACCCGTCACCCACATTATGTATTTCTCCTAATGTTATCCCTCTCCTAGCCCCTCACCCTCTAAGAGGCCCTGGTGTGTGATGTTCTTATCCCTGTGTCCATGTGTTCTCATTGTTCAACTCCCACTTGTGAGTGAGAACATGCGGTGTTTGGTTTTCTAATCTTGTGATAGTTGGCTAACAAATGATGGTTTCCAGCTTCATCCATGTCCCTGCAAAGGACATGAACTTATCCTTTTTTATGGCTGCATAGTATTCCATGGTGTATATGTGCCACATTTTCTTAATCCAGTCCATCATTGATGGACATTTGGGTTCGTTCCAAGTCTTTGCTCTTGGGAATAGTGCTGCAATAAACATATGTGTGCATGTGTCTTTATAGTAGCAGGATTTATAATCCTTTGGGTATATACCCAGTAATTGGATTGCTGGGTCAAATGGTATTTCCAGTTCTAGATCCTTGAGGAATTGCCACACTGTCTTCCACAATGGTTGAACTAATTTACACTCCCACCAACAGTGTAAAAGCATTCCTATTTTTCCACAACCTCTGCAGCATCTCTTGTTTCCTGACTTTTTAATGGTCGCCATTCTAACTGGCATGAGATGGTATCTCATTGTGGTTTTGATTTGCATCTATCTAATGACCAGTGATAATGAGTATTTTTTCATGTGCCTGTTAGCTACATAAATATCTTCTTTGGTGAAGTGTCTGTTCATATCCTTTGCCCAGTTTTTGATAGGGTTTTTTGCTTTTTTCTAGTAAATTTTTTTAAGTTCTTTGTAGATTCTGGATATTAGCACTTTGTCAGTTGGACAAATTGCAAAAATTTTCTCCCATTCTGTAAGTTGCCTGTTCACTCTGATGATAGTTTCTTTTGCTGAGCAGAAGCTCTTCAGCTTAATTAGATTCCATTTGTCAATTTTGGCTTTTGTTGCCATTGCTTTTGGTGTTTTAGTCATGAAAGCTTTGCCCATGCCTATGTCCTGAATGGTATTGCCCAGGTTTTCTTCCAGGGTTTTTATGGCCCTAGGTCTTATGTTTAAGTCTTTGATCCATCTTGAGTTGATTTTTGTAAAAGGTGTAAGAAAGGGGCCTCATTTCAGTTTTCTGCATATGGCTAGCCAGTTTTCCCAACACCATTTATTAAATAGGGAATTTTTTCCCCATTGCTTGTTATTGCCAGGTTTGTCAAAGATCAGATGATTGTAGCTGTGTGGTGTTATTTCTGAGACCTCTGTTCTGTTCCATTGGTCTATATATCAGTTTTGGTACCAATACCATGCTGTTTTGGTTACTGTAGCCTGTAGTATAGTTTGAAGTCAGGTAGAGTGATGCCTCCAGCTTTGTACTTCTTGCCCAGGATTGTCTTGGCTATGTGGGCTCTTTTTTGGTTCCATATGAAGTTTAAAGTCGTTTTTTTCCAATTCTGTGAATAAAGTCAGTGGTAGCTTGATGGGGATAGCATTGAACCTGTAAATTACTTTGGGCAGTATGGCCATTTTCATGATATTGATTCTTCCTATCCATGAGCGTGGAATGTTTTTCCATTTGTTTGTGTCCTCTCTTATTTCCTTGAGCCGTGGTGTGTAGTTCTCCTTGAAGTGGTCCTTCACATCCCTTCTAATTTGGATTCCTAGGTATTTTATTCTCTTTGTAGCAATTGTGAATGGGAGTTCACTCATGATTTGGCTCTGTTTGTCTGTTATTGGTGTATAGGAATGCTTGTGATTTTTGCACATTGATTTTGTATCTCGAGACTTTGCTGAAGTTGCTTATCAATCAGTTTAAGGAGATTTTGGGCTGAGAGGATGAGATTTTCTAAATATACAATATTCTTTTTTCTCTAATCTTGTCTTTTCTCTTTATTTCATTAAGCTGATCTTCAATCTCTGATACACTTTCTTTCACTTGATTGATTCAGCTATTCATACTTGTGTATTCACAAAGTTCTTGTGCTGTGTTTTTCAGCTCCATCAGGTCATTTATGTTCTTCTCTACATTGGTTATTCTAGTTAGCAATTCAACTAACCATTTTTCAAGGTTCTTAGCTTCCTTGCATTGGTTTAGAACAAGCTTCTTTAGCTTGGGGTTGTTTATTACCCACCTTCTGAAGCCTACTTCTGTCAGTTGGTCAAACTCATTCTCCAGCCTGTTTTGTTCCCTTGCTGGTGAGGAATTGTGATCCTTTGGAGGAGGAGAGTCATTCTGATTTTTGGAATTTTCAGCCTTTTTACACTGGCTTTTCCCCATCTTTGTGGATTTACCTATCTTTGGTCTTTGACGTTGATGACCTTCGGATGAGGTCTTTGAGTGGAAGTGCTAATCCTGTTTTTTTTTTTTTTTTAACAGTCAGGGCCCTCTGCTGCCAGTCTGCTGGAGTTTGCTGGAGGTCCACTCCAGACCTTGTTTGCCTAGGTATCATCAGTGGAGGCCGCAGAGCAGTAAAGATTGCTGCCTTTTTTTTCTCCTGGAAGCTTCAACCCAGAGAGGCACCTGCCACATGCCAGACATAGCTCTCCTATATGAGGTGTCTGTTGGCCCCAACTGGGAGGTGTCTCCCTGTCAGTATACACAGGGTTCAGTGACCCACTTGAGGAGGCAGACTGACCCTTAGCAGAGTTCTAACCCTGTGCTGGGAGGTCCACTGCTCTCTTCAGAACCATCAGGCAAGGACGTTTAAGTCTGCTATAAGCCCCTGACATGGGCAGCTGCCTTTTTTACAGATATGCCCTGTCCATAGAAGAACAATCTGGCAGTCTGGCCACAGCAGCCATGCTGAGCTGCAGTGGGCTTCACCCACTTCTAACTTCCCAGCAACTTCCTTTACACTGTGTGGTAAAACCAGCTACTCAAGCCTCAGTAATGGTGGATGCCCCTCCCCCCACCATGCTCGACCATTCCAGGTGGATCTCAGATTGCTGCTGTGCTGGCAGTGAGAATTTCAAGCCAGTGGATTTTAGTTTCCTGGGCTCTGCTGGGGTGGAACCCTCTGAGCCAGACCACTTGGCTTCCTGGCTTCAAACCCTTTTTCAAGGGAGTGAATGGTTCTGTCTCGCTGGCACCAGTGTGGTAAAAAAAAAAATGGTTCTGTCTCCAGGCACCAGTGTGGTAAAAAAAAAAAAAAAAAAAAAAAAAAAAAAAAAAAAAAAAAAAAAAAAAAAACTCCTGAAGCTAGTTCAGTGTCTGCCCAATTGGCCACCCAGTTTTGTGCTTGAAACCCAGGGCCCTGATGGGGTAGTCACCGGAGGGAATCTCCTGGTTTGCAGGTTGTGAAGACCATGGGACAAGCGCAGTATCTGTGCCATAGCTCCTCAGGCTCAGACCCTCATGGCTTCCCTTTGGTAGGGGAACAAATTCTCCGACCCCTTGTGCTTCCCAGGTGAGGTGATGCCCCACCCTGCTTCTGCTCACCCTCCATGGGCTGCACCCACAGTCCAACCAGTCCCAGTGAGATGAACTGGATACCTCAGTTGGAAATGCAGAAATTACCCACCTTCTGTGTTGATATTGCTAGGAGCTGCAGACTGGTGCTGTTTATATTCAGCCAGTCTGAATCTCCTTTACCTGGTTCTTTATTTTCAAGATTGTTTCAGCTATTTTGAGTCCCTTGCAATTTTTTACATAAAATTTAGACTCAGCTTTTCCATTTTTACATGTAAATAAGCTGGAATTTTGATACTGATTGTAGATCAGAGTGGCAAATAATGGCATCACAACAATGTTACATCTTTCAATTTATAAACATATATATTTTTTCATTTATTTTGGTGTTCTTTAATTTATTTTAACATTTTGTAGTTTTTACAAATTCAAATTTTTCATTTGATTTGTTAGGTTTATTGCCAAGAAGTCTATATTTTTTTGCTGTTACAAATGGAGTTGTTCTGTTTATTTTATTCTTGAAATGTTCATTGCAAGTGTATAGAATTACAATTGACATTTGCATATTTATCTTGTATTCTGCAATTTTGCTAAAGTATTTTTATTAGTACTAATAGTTTTTAGTGGATTCCTTAGAATTTTTGTAAAAAAAATTACATTGTCTCTTAGTAGAGATTGTTTTATTTCTTTCTTTTCAATTTGAATGCTTTTTATTTAGTTATCTTGCTTAATTGCCCTGGATGAAACACATTCAGTACAATATTAAATTAGAAGTAGTAAGACAATGCACCCTGGTGTTGTTACTGGTCTTAAGGGTAAGATATCTAGTCACCATGGAATATAATGTTACCTGTGGATTTTTCATAGATGCCTGTTATCAGGTTGAGAAAATTTTCTTCTGTTCCTAGTTTATTGAATGTTTCTATCACAAAAGTGTTGGATTTTTCTCTGAATGCTGTTCTGCCTCTACTGAGATTATCATGTAATTTTGGTTTTTATTCTACTAATATAATGCATTACATTAGGTGGTTTACAGATGTTAAAACAACTGTGCATTTCTGAGATAAATTTCATTAGGTTATGCTGCCTAATTCCTTTTATGTGTTTCTGAATTCAGTTTGCTAGTGAATTTTGTATTCTATTTATTCTACTTCTAAACTATATAAATCTTTAAATAAAACATTTAAATATTTTTTGTGTTGATATTTTCTACATGAGACATTGTCACCATAATTTCCTTTCATTTTAAGCATATTTTTAGTGAGTTATTTAGATACACTTATTACAGCTTTTTTGATTTTTTAATCTACTATGTCTGTCATCTAAGCACATTCAAAGAAAATTATATTGCTTTCGTTTTTGTGTACAAGACGCTATTTTTAACAATGTTTTTGTGTGTCATTGTTTTTTGTTGTTTAGACATGGACATATGAGATAGTATATTTAACCGGTTCTAGACACTAACCCTATTTTCTCTTTCCCTCAACCTCAGTGGTTGGTGGTGTTGTGTGTTTGTTTAGTGACTTAGCTTTTGAGCCAGTCACATGTATATTTTTTCCGTTGGATGTGTGTTGTTGCCCAGAGTCCTCTATTACAGTTCACAAAGTAAGCAAAGTAATGTAGGAGAAATATTTTGGGTCCCAATGTTTGCAGCCTACTTGCTACAGTTTGGATTTTTGTCACACTAAACTTCATATTAAAATTTGATCCCTAACATTGAGGGTGGAGTCTAATGAGAGGTGCTTGGGTGATGGGAGTGGATCCCTCATTAATAGATTAAGGCCCTCCCTAGGGGGGTATGAGTAAGTTCTCACTCTATGATTTTCTTATTTTTTTATTATTATACTTTAAGTTCTAGGGTACATGTGCACAACATGCAGGTTTGTTACATATGTATACATGTGCCATGCTGGTGTGCTGCACCCATTAACTCGTCTTTTACATTAGGTATATCTCCTAATGCTGTGCCTTCCCCCTCCCTGCACCCCACGACAAGCCCCAGTGTGTGATGTTCCCCTTCCTGTGTCCAAGTATTCTCATTGTTCAATTCCCACCTATGAGTGAGAACATGCAGTATTTGGTTTTCTGTCCTTGCGATAGTTTGCTGATAATGATGGTTTCCAGCTTCATCCATGTCCCTATAAGAGCTGGTTGTTAAAATGAGCTTTGAATTTTCTCCTCCACTTGCTTCCTCTCTTACCATGAGTTCTATGCGCGTGCCAGCTCTGTTTTACCTTTCAGCATAAGTGAAAGAAACCTGAGGCCCTCACCAGATGCCCAATCTTTTATACAGCAGAATTATATAAAAATATAAATATTTTTTCTCTATAAATTCCCCAGCTTCAGGTATTTCTTTATGGCAACACTAACTGGACTAAGACACTACTGCACCAAGGATAGATGTTTCATTTTATAAGTAAAGACTGGATGGGAGAAGAGAGACCTGATTCCCTTAACCACGTTTAACAGATTATTGGTGACACAGGGCTTCGGGGAGGCTGAGAAATGCTAATGATGGCCTGCCCCTTCCAGTGTGAAACTACAGTCTCATACTGGAAACTCAGAAGAGAGAGAAGTCCCACCTTCTTGACAGCACATACTCAGAGTAGAGTGACCAAGGTATATCTTCTGTAAAACACAGATAGGATGGAGAAATGGAGGTGGATGGGTTAATAACAGGTTTTTGATCAAATGCTAGATGTTTGGTCTTAGGAAATTTAGTAAATTTCTTTGAATGCACATTTCTCCATTTCCTTTTTGTTCTCAGGACTATTTCCAAAGACTTTATATGATAGATTTTTAAAAAAGTATTTTCACTTGTTAAATTATTGTTTTGCTGGGGAGAGGGCATACAACTCCTCACTACATCATTCCAGAAGCCCTCTTAAACAATATACAAACAGTTTATTTTGTAAAATATATTTTTATACTTTTCTACGGGCATTTCTGCAAACCTCTCTTGAACACCCTAATGCTGATTTTACTATACAAGTAAAATAGCTTGTTAAACTTTATATAAAGTCAATACATACACAATATATTATTTTAATGGACTTGCTTTTTTTACACAACGTTGTTATTATTATTTGTTCATGTTGTTGCACATAACTAGTACATTAATTTTCAGAGTTGTTCATGTAAAAATCAAATACATATCTCTGATATTTAGTGCAATTAAACTCCTTAATATTTGCCACCTGAAACAATTGAAAATAAACAATATGTCCTTTCTTTGTGTTCTTTATTTGATGGACAAGCCTTTACCACAACATGAATGAGATGACTTCTGAAGAACCCTGAGTTATTTACATAATCTATTGAACTTAGAAGATAAGTCTAAAATTTGTTGCATAATTTCTACTTTTTAGTGCCACATGAGCAATTTTCCACTCCATGCCCGCTTCCTTTTGTAAAATGTCTGCTGTCTACAACCATTACTTAAGCAAACCACTACTGTGAGATATTGACATATAAGACTTTTTGCCTTCTTGTGGAAAATAACTTACTAGTGCTTCCTCCTTGCTTCCTATTTCCAACAGAACCTAGCTCTTTGAAAGCTGACCAATAATCGTTTTAGGCTGGGATTTACCAGTACATCCTGGCATTTCTGCAGACTTCTCTCAAACACCCTAATGTTGATTTTTATTTGAGTTCCTAATTCTAATTTTACAGTTTGTAAGAAAGAACTTAGAAGTGTACTTGTTGATTTTTTTTTAAGTTAAGATACCATATAAACTGATTTTGAGCATATTCCTCCAATTTCTCCAATTTTCTTCTTTTAAATGTGAATTACAATCCTCACTTAAAACAACAGTGAGCAATACAACAAAACTAAACCTTTCAATACTCCTCTTCCCACATAGATATCAATTCAAACAACTATTCACACGTGAAAATACCTCCACAAGAACTAAGAAAACCAGGTGAAAGAATATAGTATCTATGTATAGCACAGAAATAAGAAAAGATGCATTGAAGAAGGTATGAATCTTAGTTTTACACTGCACACATCATCCTTCTGCAAATTCCAGGCAACACAACATTGAGAGAGACACCATTTGCTTAGGAGGACTGCCTCAAACCTGCAAACTCAGTATAACCTGGGACTATGCATACCTATACAGCCCCAGACTCGGGGCTGTCACCATCTACATTAGTGCATTCTCCTGGTGCTGTTAAGAAATACCTAAGACTGGGTAATTTATAAAGAAAAGAGATTTAATTGTCTCATAGTGCTTTATGGCTTGGGAGGCTTCAGGAAATTTACAACAGAAGGCACCTTCTGTTGTAAATTTATGGCAGAAGGCACCTCTTAACATGGCAGCAGCATGACAGCAGGAGGGAGAATGAGAATGAGAATGAGAGTGCCAGCAGGGAAATGTCAGACACTTATAAAACTATCAGATTTCATGAGGACTAATTCATTATTAATAGAACAGCATGGGGGAAACTTCCCCCATGATTCAATTACCTCCCACTGGGTTACTCCCACAGCATGTGGGGATTATGAGATTACAATTTAAAATGAGAGTTTGGTGGGAACACGAAGCCTAACTGTACGATTTCACTCCTAGCCCCTCCCAAATCTCATGTCCTCCCATTTCAAAACCAATCATACCTTCTCAACAGTCCTCCAAAAACTTAACTCATTTCAGCATTAACTCAAAGTCCACAGTCAAAAGTCTCATCTGAGACAAAGCCAGTCTCTTCTATCTATGAGCCTGTAAAATCCTAAGCAAGTTAGTTACTTCCTAGATACAATGGGGTACAGGCATTGGGTAAATACATTTACTCCAAATGGGAGAAATTGGCCAAAAAGAAAAAAAAATGGTGCTACAGGCTCCATGCAAATCTGAAATCCAATAGGGCCGTCATTGAACATCAAAGTTCTTATATAATCTCTTTTGACTCCATGTCTCACTTCCAGATCATGTTGATGAAAATAGTGGGCTTCCATGTCCTTGGGCAGCTCCACCCCTGTGGCTTTGCAGAGTACAGCCTCCCTCTCAGTTGCTTTTCTGTGCTGGCATTGAGTTTCTGTGGCTTTTTCAGGCGCATAGTGCAAGCTGTCAGTGGATCTATCATTCCAGGGTCTGGAGGACAGTGGCCCTCTCCTCACATCTCCACTAGGCAGTGCCCCAGTGGAGGCTCTGTGTGGGGTTCCAATCCTACATTTCCCTTCTGCACTGCCCTAGCAGAGGTTCTTCATGGAGGCTCCACATCTGCAGCAAATATCTGCCTGGACATCTAGGCATTTGAGGACACAGGTCTCCTTGAGGAAGGACAGGAGAAAGATTATCAGACTAGGCCTTCAGGCCTGCCCTGAAACTAGGCTGCATTCTGCAGCCCCATGTTCCAGGCCTGCTTGGCAGACTTGATTTCTGGGTTGCCCCACCTAATATCAGCTGATACAAGCATCACTGCCTGGCTGACCTAAGTGGCCCTGTGCTCTGGACTGCTTCCAAAACCAGGCTGCTTCTCACAAAACTGGACATCATGCATGCCCAACACCAAGATGGTAGCATCATCCCAAGTCATCAGGATGGCACTCAAGGATCCAGCCTCTAGTCAAGCCCCTAAAATGCAAACTCCATGTCTGCAGAGCTTCAAGCCAGCCCCTGTGGTACCAGACTTCAGACCCACCACTGTGCTAGGTTGGCATTTTGACCTCAAGCACCAGACAGGCATCTATGGAAACAGCCCTGGCCTATCCAGTGTCAGACTGATTCTTGCAGTTGTATCTTCCAGGCTGGCCCCTGTAGCCCCATGCTCCAGTAGACTCAATGTTCAACTCTGCTTCAGCAGACCCAAGTTCTGGTTCTGTTAGTAGACCCCATCACTAGACTGGCCTCCACAAATCCAGGCTTCAAGACTACCTTAGTGTACCCAGCACCCATGCTAGCACCAGAGGCTCTCTGACCCAGGTCAGATCTCATGAAGCTAGCCTCTAGGCCAGCATCTGCACAGCCAGGCTCCAGGCTGACACTAGTGGACAAGACTCCAGGCTAAACCCCAAAGTCTTGGGCTCCAGGCTATCTCCAGTAGCTCAAGGCACCAGGTCACCACCCATGATCCTAGGTGCCAGAGTAGCCCCCATGGACCCAGGCTCCATGCTGGCCATAGCATCAGGCTGGCCACAGGCTCCAAGGTGGTCCCTGTGGCCCCAGACTTTAGGGACTCCGAGTCTAGTCTTGTTGTAGCATACCTAATGACCAGACACACCCAAGTAGACCAAAGTGCCCACCCAGATCCTGTGGATATGGGCTCTAACACCACCTCTTCAGGCCCAGTCTGCAGGCCAGCTCTCACGTGCCCAGGACCTACACCCACCTCCATGGAATAAGTTTCAAGGCCTGACTTAGTACCGGACCAGTCCTTATGGACTCAGGATCCAAGCCTATGCCAGTTGTTTCAGGCACTAAGCTCATCTCAGTACCTTGCCAGAGCCTGCAGACTCAAGCTCAGGACCCATTCCAGTGACAGGTTCACCTTGATGAACCTAGGTTTCTGACTGGCTCATACAGATATGGGCTCCAAAGCCTCTCATGTTGATTCAAGCTTTCGGCCTATCTCTGAAGATTGAATTAGCAGGTTCACCATAGTAAATCTAAGCTTCAAGCCAAGCCCTAAATACACAGGTATAGTGATTGCACACATGCTGAATCAGGCACAAGGTCAGCTTGCCTGGGGATTTCAGCACCAAATCCACCCTTGGATTATGCCAAATGGCCTGCCTGGAACCTAAACAGCTAACTGGTGAAGAATTCCCCAAACAAGGCCAGTCTGCAAAGACTGGAATAAATCCATACTTTTTCAAATGTACTAACATCAATCTAAGACTACAAGAAACATGAACAACCAAAGAGACACAACAGCATCAAAAGAACACAATAATCTTCTAGTAACAGAACCAAAGAAAATAAAGATACACAAGATGTCTGAAAAATAATTTAAAATAACTTACTTTTAAGGAAGCTCAGTGAATTTCAAGGAAATACAAAGAAACAAGTTAATTAAGTAAGAAAAACAATAAATGACTAAAATGAGACATTTAAACTAAATACAAACTCTACAAAAAATCTCCAGAAATTCTGAAGCTGAAAACTATGATGAAAAAATGAAAAATGCAATAGAGAATACCAATAGAGTTGATCAAGGTCACTAGAATTAATCAAGTATAAGAAAGATCTGTGAGGACGGTTGCGGTTGATCATGCCGGTAATCCTAGGACTTAGGGAGGCTGAGATAAGCAGATCATGAGCCCAGAAGGTTAAGACCAGCCTGGGCAACATGGCACAATCTTATCTCTACAAAAAAAAAAAAAATACAAAACTTAGATGGGTGTGGTGATACATGCCTGTAGTTCCAGCTACTCAGGAAGCTGAGGAAGGAGGATTGCTTGAGCCTAGAAAGTGGAGGCTTCTGGGAGCTGAGATCATGCCACTGCACTCCAGGCTGGGTAACAGAGAAATACCTTGCAAAAAAAAAAAAAAAAAAAAGATATGGGAAATCAAAGACAGGTTATTTAAAAATATATAAACAGAGAAGAAAAGAATAAAAAGTAATTGTATTAGTCACGGTTCTCTAAAAGGACAGAACAAATAGGATATATGTATATATAAAAGAAAGTTTATTAAGGAGAATTGACTCACAGGATCACAAGGTAAAGTCCCTGGATAGGAAGTCTGCAAGTTGAGGAACAAAGAAGCCAGTAGTGGATCAGTCTGAATCCCCAAACCTCAGAAGTAGGGAAGCCTACAGTGTAGTCTTCAGTCTGTGGCTGAAGGCCAGAGATCCCCTTGCAAACCAAGAGTGTAAATCCAAGAGTCCAAAAGCTGAAGAACTTGGAGTCTGATATTCGAGCGCAGGAAGTATTTAGCATGGGAGAAAGATGAAGACCAGAAGACTCAGCAAGCCTTCTCATTCCACATTTTTCTGCCTGCTTTTTCTAGCTGCTCTGGCGGCCTAGGGGATGGTGCCCACCCAGGTTAAAAGTGGAACTATCTCTCCCAGTCCACTGACTCAAATGTTAATTTTCTCTAGCAACACCCTCACAGACACACCCAGAAACAATACATTGAATGCTTCAATCCAATCAAGCTGACACTTAATATTAACCATCACAAGTCAACTCCTCATCAAATTGAACCCATATACATATCCAAATAAAGAAAATAATAAGATCACAATTACACCTAACATAATACAGCTATCCTTTGTACAACAGGAAGCACGCTAATCCCTAATCTAAATGCTATTACAAGAAGTTAACAACACTGAAATGCTGATATGGAGTCACTAAATCTTATGTCACATTATAAAGGGAAAAAAGAAAACAAAGATATTTTCTTAGTACATATGTATACAAGAACAAGCATATTATTAACTAAATAAGGAGAAAATATTCATGACAATTACAGTTCTCATTTCTGCCACTGGTCATATGGTCACAGCTGGTATGGATAACTACCTTCTTTTATCATCCATTCTGTATTCCCTTTGCCTTTAGCAAGCTCCTTAGATGGTCATTATTTTTTATCTGGTGGAATGACCCAAATGTTCTTTCTTGGAGGGTCCAGGTAATTTGTAGTCCTGCTTGGATAGGGCTGCTGTAGTTTCCCATTGACCTTAATTACGGGACATGGTAATATTAAGAGATGCCCTAAGGGATCTCCTGTATTCCACACATACTCTTCCTTACCTCCATTGTGGAGTAGTAGACTGATTTCATCTTGATAGTCTGGGTCAGTCACCCCAGACAACACTGTAACTCCCTTCTTAGCCTGTTGACTCAGAGGTAGGAGAAACCCAAAGTGGCCAGGTGGCAATCTTAACTTCCACTTTAATAGAATTATTAATGTGTCTTCTGATGGCCGCATTCCTCCCTCTGGAACTGAGACCTCTAGGCCAGCAGAACATAGTGTCATGGAAACAGGAAGCAAAATTTTTGCTAGTGGGTCACTAAGGTTGATGGTGCCACCTTCAATTCAACAGTTTTATTCCTGTACCCTTAAATCCTGGCTATGAGAGAAACAGTACTATATATTGGATGCTGATTCAGAGCATAAACAGCCCTCTAGAGAACTTGGCCCCATCCCTGCAAAGTATTGTCACCTAGTTGGCTTTGTAACTGTGACTTCCAAAGGGCATTGAATCCAGCTGATTCAGGATGATGGGAAACATGGTAAGACCAGTGAATTCCATGAGCATGAGCTCACTGCTGCTCTTCTTTAGCTCTAATGTGAATGCCTTGGTCAGAGGCAATGCTGTGTGGAATACCATTATGGTGGATAAGGCATTCCTTGAGTCCATGGATGGTAGTTGTGGCAGAAGCATTGCATGCAGGATAGGCAAACCCACATCCAGAGTAAGTGTCTGTTCTAGTGAGGACAAACCCTTCCCTTTCCGTGATGAAAGAGCTTGCACAGCCGCCTGGACCTCTTTCAGAGGCCTCTCCTGTTCTGGACACTACTCAAAACTGGCAGTCTTTTGGGTAATTTGATAAATGGCTGGAATAACACACCCAAATGAGGAATGTGTTGTCTTCAAAATCCAAATAGGTTCACTGGGTGTTGTGCCTCTTTCTTGGTTGTAAGATGGGCCAAATGCAGCAACTTATCCTTCACCTTAGAAAGAATACCTCAACAGTTCCCACATCACTGGGCCTCTAGAAATTTTACTGAGGTAGAAGGTCTCTGAATTTTAGTTGAATTTATTTCCCATCCCCTGACACACAAATGTCTCACCAATTAGTCCAGTGTGTTTTCTACTTCTCACTCACTGTGTCCAGTCAGCATAATGTTATCAATGTAATGGACCAGTGTGATATCTTGTGGAAGGAAAAAGCGATCAAGATATCTGTGATCAAGATTATTACACACAGCTGGAGAATTGATACACTCCAAAGGTAGGACAATGAAGGTATATTGCTGGCTTTGACAACTGAATACAAATTGCTTCTGATGGGCTTCGTGGACAGAAAGGGGAAAAAAAGGCATTTGCCAAATCAATTGCTGCATACCAGGTACAAGAAGATGTGTTAATTTACTCAAGCAATAAAACCACATGTGATAAAGCAGCTGCAATTGGAGTCACCACTTGGTTAAGCTTACAATAATCCACTATCATTCTCCAAGATCCATCTCTCTTCTGCATAGGCCAAATAAGAGAGTTGAATGGGGATGTTATAGGAATCACCACCCCTGCATCTTGATGGTGATACTGCGCTTCAAAATCTCTCCAGAGGATGTGATATTGTTTTTGATTTACTATTTTCCTAGGTAGAGGCAGCTCTCATGGCTTCCATTTGGCCTTTTCCACCATAATAGCCCTCACCCTACGAGTCAGGGAGCCAATGTGGGGACTCTGCCAGCTGCTAAGTATGTCTATGCCAATTAAGCATTCTGGCACAGGGAAAATGACCACAGGATGAGTCCAGGAACCCACTGTAAGGCAGACCTGAGCAAAAACTCCATTTATTACCTGACCTCCATAACCCCCTACTTTAACTGGAGGGCCACAGTGATGTTGGGGCTCCTGGAATTAACATCAGCTCACAGGCAGCGTCCAGTAGTCCCGAAAACGTCCGATCATTCCCCTTTTTCCAATGCACAGTTACCTTGGTAAAAGGCTGGAGGTCTTCTTGGGGAAGGATGGGATAAAGATTACCAGTATAAATTGTCAGTGGTGTAATGGGGTCCTTCCTCAAGGGGAACCAGCGTCCCCTTCATTCAAGGGGTTCTGGGTCTGTAAAATGATTCAAGCCTGGAAATTGATTGAGGGGCCATGATTTTCTATTTTAATAATTCATATTAGTCATTTGTCCACTCGACCTGGATGTTTTCTGCTTATACAAATTAAGTAAGAATGCCGTAGGCTTCTTATCAATTTCACTTCTAGGAACTCCGTGATTAATTAGCCAATGACAGAGCTCTACACAATTCAGACTATTCTGATTACTACTTTGCCTCTGCTGTCTATTATGGTAACTATGTCCACCTTGTGTCTGATGGTTGAGTGCCACCACTTGGCCCCTGACACCTCAGGACTCAATTATTCTCATCGCATTTAAATTTTGTAATTGAGTGACTGCAATTCCCACTGTAAGATCTGGCATACAGATCCTGTGCACCTGTGGCACAGGGATTACCTTGACGCTTTCATCCCCAGCAGAGGGGTTGTGCCTTACTTTGGTAGAGAAGCTTCTACACACCTTTGGCATGTGGAACAGCCAGGCATCTCTGTCCCCAGTGGGAAAGCTGCATGTGGCCCTGGTGAAGCAGCCCTTGCACATTCACAAAATAGCCCAGCACCCCCACCCCTAATAGGGTAACCACACCTGACCTGGTGGAGCATCCACATATTCTTGCAGCCTAAGCCACTAGTGGATTTGTAAGCATTGCTAAAATTGACTACAGATGAAGAAACTGCACAGAGACTACACTACTGCATTCATCCAGAACCAAAGCCAACATGCTCTACATAATTGACTCCCTATGACACATCTTTAGGTGATTTTTTTTATTATAACAACTCTATAAAATTGGAATAGGTGACCATTTCATCAGATGCATAGATATCAATGCAGAGACACACAAAATATTAAAAAGCAAGAAAATATAGTACTACCAAGGAAACACAATAACTCTCCAGAAACAGACCCTATAAAATGAAAATTTATGGGTTTCTTGAAAAGGAATTTAAAATAATGATCTTAAGGAAACTCACTGAAATACAAGAGAATAAAGATAGACAATTCAACAAAATTGGGAAAACAATTTATTAGCTAAATGAGATATTTGAAAGAGAGATCTTGTTAAGAAAACGTAAATCCTGGAGGTGAAGACTTTAATGAGTAAAATTAATAATAGAAATGAGAGCTTCAAAAGCAGACTAGATCAAGCAGAATTAAAAAAAATACTGAAATTGAAGACCATTCTTTAAAATAATTCAGTCAGAAAGAAAAAAACATAAAAGATCCTAAAAGATCCAAGAAAATCTGAGATCTGTGAGACACCATTAAGTGAACAAAATTTTGCATTATTAAATGTTCAGAGGGAGATGAGGCAGACAAATATGCAGAAAGTTTATTTAATAAAATAATAGATGAAGACTTCCCACGTTTTGAGACAGATACGAACATCTAGATCCACAAAACTTATAAAGTCTTATTAGTTTCAACCCAAAGAGGTCTTTTTCAAGGCACATTAAAATGAAACTGTCAAAAGTCAAAGACAAAGAAAAAATTATAAAAGACAAAGAAAAAATTATAAAAGCTTCAAGAGAAGAGGATGAAGTCACGTATAAGTGAACTTCTGTTTGATTTTTAAATGATTTCTCACAGAAATCTTGGAGGGCGAGAGTGGAATATTATATTTGTTAAAAAAAAACATGCTAGACAAGAATACTAACTCAGCAAAGCTATTTTGCAGAAATGAAGGAGAAATAAAATATTTTCTAGACAAGCAAAAGCTAAGAAAATTTGTAACCACTAGACCAGCCTTACAAGAAATGCTTAAGGGAGTGCTTTGACCAGAAGTAGAAGAACGTTAATTATTATCACAAAATCATGAAAACGTAAAACTCACTGGTAGAGGTAACATCATAATCAAAATCAAATTGTGTCTTTACTTTAATGGTGGTATGTAATCTTTCAGGTCTCTAGCGCTAATGATAAAAGTCAAAATGGCAAACAATAACCATAGCTATAATAAATTGCTAAGAAATACACAATATAAAAAGATGTAAATTAAGGTAGGAATATTACAAATTATGGGAGGGGAGAGTAAAAGTCTAGAATATTTGTATACAACCAAAGTTAGGTTGTAATCAGCTTAAATAGTATTCTAGAACTACAAGATTTTTAAATGTAAGCCCTACAGTAACCACAAAGAAAAAAAATTACAGCAGCTACATAAATGAGAACAAATAATAATAAAAGCTTATCACTAGGAAAAACAATCAAACCACACAGGTAAAAAACAAAAGAGGAGTAAAAGAACAAAAAAATACAAAATAAATAAAATTATATAACAGGGTAGAAAAATGTCCATACCTATCAAAAATAACCTTAAACGTAAGTGAATTAAATTCTCCAGTTAAAAAAGGAGTAACTAAGTAGATTATAAAACAAGATTCAGAAGGTGGCCAAGATGGCCAACTAGAAGAGGCTAGTAGTGTGTGTGGCTCTCACAAAGAGGAATGGAAGGGGTGAGTAAATACAGCACCATCAGCTGAAATGCCCAGGTATTTGCACTAGGAGTAATCAAGGAAACAAGTTGACCTGCAGAAAGTGGAGAAGAGCAAGGCAGGACCACAGACCATTCAAAAGTGACATGGAGCCAAGGGAACGTCTCCTGCCCAGGGAAGTAGTGAGTAAATGTGTGACCCTGGGAACCAACACTTCTCCCACGGATCTTTGCAACCATCAGGTCAGGAGATTTCCTTCTGAACCAACTCCACAAGGGCCTTTAGTTTGACACAAGGAACTATATAGAATCTCAGCAAAGCAGCTACTTAGGAGTACATGGAGACCTGGGAGCCTTACTCAGGCTCTCTGGTCTTCCTGGCAAAAGTAGCTGCAACTCCAGCAAAGTGGGAGGTTAGACCCCTGTACATACCTCTAGGAAAGAGGCTGAATCAAAGGGCTGAGCAGTGAAAGCCTGCAAATCCCACTTCCACAGGAACTTGCAGGATAAGACTCCCTGGCTTGGAATTCCAGCCAGCCACCGGTAGCAGCATTGCACCTATATGGGATGGAATTCCTTGGGGGAGAAGAGGGCTACCATCTTTGCTTTTTGAGTGGTTTAGCTGTTCCAGCCTTCAGGCTTTAGAGAACCGAAGCCAACTGGGGGTGGAAGGGATCCCCCAGCACAACACAGTTGCTTTACCAAAATGTGGTCAGACTGCTTTTTTTTAAGCAGTTCCCTGATCTCATTTCTCCCAACTATATCCTCCAGCCACCCCAACCAGTGTTCTTCACTTGACATAGATTTGAAGTCTCCTTTGAATGGAGCTGCCATAGGGAGGGGTGGACCACCATCTTTGCTGTTTGGGTGACTTAGCGTTTCAAGCCTTCAAGCTCGGGAGAGTCTAAGCTGACAGGAGGTGAAAGTGGTACTCCAGCACAGCATGACTGTTTTATAAACATGTGGCCAGACTGCCTTTTACAGTGGGTTCTTCATCCCATTCCTCATAACCAGGTGGGGACTTCCAACCAGGGTCTCCTGTTACCCCAACTGGTGTTCTCTGGCTGACAGAGGTTTCTGGAATGGAGCTCCCAGAGGGAGAGCTGGGCAGCCATCTTTATTGTTTAGGTGACTTAATTGTTTCTACCTTCAGGCTTTGGAGAGTCCAAGCCAAATGGAAGCTGAGGCAGTCCCCCCAGCACAGCACAGCTGTTCTGTGAAAATGTAGCTAGATTATTTCTTAAAACAGATCCCTGACCTCATCCCTCTTCACTGGGCAGGACCTCCCAACTAGGGTCTCCAGCCAGCCTCCCCAGTGCTCTTCATCCAACAAAGACTTGAAACCTTCCTGGATTGATGTCCCAAAGGGAGGGAAAGGCCATTATCTTTGCTGTTTGGGTGACTTAGCTATTTCACCTTCGACCTTTGGAGTGTCTGAGGTAATTGGGGGCTGAAGCAAAGCCTCAACATAGCACAGCTGCTCTACAAAAACATGGCCAGACTGTTTTTTAAAGGGGCCCCCAATCCTGTTCCACCCCACTGAGAGCAACTCCCCAATCAGGGTCTCCAGGCACCTCCTACAGGTGTGTTTGGGCCAGCAGCAAGTCCATACCTCTCTGGGAGAGAGCTTCCAGAGGGAGAGGCAGATTGTCATCTTTGCTATATTGCAGCCTTCACTGGTGACACTTCCAGGTACTGGAAAATCCAAGGCTACTAGGGAATGGAATGGGCCTCCAGCATACTGCAGCAGCCCTATGAAAAACTGGACAGAGTATTATGTGGGTGCCTGTTCCCATATCTCCTCAATTGGCAGGTCCTCCAGGCATAGGCCTCCAGCCACCCTCTACCAGAGCTATCGAGCCAGTAGTAACTCAAAAGCTCCCTGGACAAAGCCTCCAGGGGCAACTGAAAGCCTCTCTGCCACTACCTCGGCAGTGGAACTGCCCTTTCCACCCATGGACTAATGAAGGAACAAAGATCCTAAGTGCTTTATTAACACCTCCAACAAGCTTCAGTTGACTGAAGGAGAGGGGACCAGTCCATCTTCCATGGGTCTCACACACCCACTTCCGTTCATCACCAGACGGGGAACTTCCACCTTGAGCCCATAGCACAGACCCTCCATCCTGGGCTGATTGCACTGAATGACGCTGACCTGCATTCTCTGGGGTGGAGGCTCTAGCAGGTGAGCAAAAGACCCTACAACCATTAATAAGGTCCCTTCCTTTGTTGCCCCCCCAAGCTGGGGAAGAAACATAAACACTGAGATCCAACCAAAGCTGCAGTGGGCAGACCAGGAGTTCCAAGCCATGATCTACAGCCTGCACTCAAGAAAGAGAGGAATCTACACTTTCAGAATATTGACAGGGAACACAGCTGCCACTGTGAGGGAACATATTGGAGCCACACAACTGAGCAAGAGTTTACCAACTGACCAATAAGTGCCACCTACTGAATCACATCCCAAAGTTTCCACATCAAAAATACCTCACTAATGTACCCAACTCTGAAACAAAAAAAAAAAGTCAGTTTCAAATAAAGGCACTGCACAAATCCTCAGCCAGATGTAAACATCCAGAAAATAGGTGTATTAACTGTATTCAATCTACACTGCAGTTAAAGTAACACACACATGCAGAGATAAGAAAGAACCAATGCAAGAACTCTGGTGACTCAAATGGCCAGACTGGAGTATGTCCTCCAATTAACTGGACCAATTCTTCAACAAGAGTTCTTAACCAAGCTGAACTGGCTGAAATGACAGAAATGGAATTTGGAATATGTATAGGAATAATATTTATCCTAAATATATATGCACCCACACAGAAGCACCCAGATTAATGAAGCAAGTTACTAAAGATCTACAAAGAGACATAGAGTCTCACACAGTAATAGTGTAAGATTTCAACACTCCACTTACAGTACCAGACAGATCATCAAGGCATAAAATTAACAAAGATATTCAGGAAGTTAATTCAACATTGGACCAAATGGATCTGATAGACCTCTGCAGAACTCTTCACCCAAAAACAACAGAATATACATTCTCATGGCCACAGAGCATACACTCTAAAACTGACCACACAATTGGACATGAAACAATCCTTAGCAAATGCAAAAGAACTGAAATCATACCAAACACAGTCTTAGACCACAATGCAATAAAAATAGAAGTCAAGACTAAGAAAATCACTCAAAATCAAGCAATTACATAGAAACTAAGCAACATGCTCCCAAATGACTTTTGGGTAAATAATACAATTAAGGCAGAAATCAAGAGGTTCTTTTAAACTAATGAAAACAAAGGTACAACATACAAGAATCTCTGGAAAACAGCTAAGGGAATGTTAAGAGAGAAATTCATATGCCCACATCAAAAAGTAAGAAATATCTTAAATTAACAACTTAACATCACAACTGAAAGAATTAGAGAAGCAAGAACAAATTAACCCCAAAGCTAGAAGAAAACAAGAACTAACCAAAATCAGAGCTGAATTGAAGGAAATCGAGACATAAAAAAATCATTCAAAAGATCAATGCTTATGGGAGTTGTTTTTTTGAAAAAAATTAATAAAATAGGCTGCTAGCTAGAATAATAAAGAAGGAAACAGAGAAGATCCAAATAAACACAACTAGAAATGACAAAGAGAATGTTACCACTGACCCTACAGAAATAAAAATAACCATCAGAAACAAATACAAACACCTCTATGTATACAAATTAGAAAATTTAGAAGAGATTGATACATTCCTGGACACATAACACCCTTCCAAGACTGAACAATATATTCCTGGACACATAACACCCTTCCAAGACTGAACCAAAAAAATTAATTTCCTCGACAGACTAATAACAAGCTCTGAAATTGAATCAATAATAGACTACCAACCATGAAAAGCTCAGGAGCTGATGGATTCACAGCCGAATTCTACCAGATATACAATGAAGAATTGATATCATTCCTACAAAAACTATTCCAAAAAAAATGAGGAGAAGAGACTCCACTCCAACTCAGTATATGAGGCCAGCATCATCCTGATACCTGCGTCTGATCTTAGAGACCTCTGGCAGAGACACAACAGCAACAGAAAAGTTCAGGCCAACATCCTTGATGAACAGAGATACAAAAATCTTCAACATAATAATTGCAAACTGAGTCCAGCAGCACATCAAAAAGATAATCAACCATGATCAAGTAGGCTTCATCCCCAGGATGCAAGGTTGGTTCAACATATGCAAATCAATAAATGTGATTCATCACATAAACATAACTGATGACAAAAACCACATGATTATCTCAATAGACACAGAAAAGGCTTTAAACAAAACTCAACACCATTTATGTTAAAAAATCTGGATAAGCTAGATATTGAAGAAATATGCCTCAAAATAATAAGAGCCAACTATGGCAAACCCACACCAACATTATACTGAGTAGGCAAAGCTGGAAGCATTTCTATTGAAAACCAGCACAAGACAAGTATGTCCTCTCTCACCTCTCCTATTCAATGTAGTATTGAAAGTCCTAGTTAAAGCAATTAGGCAAGATAAAGAAGTACAGGGAATCTAAACAAGAAGAGAGAAAGTCAAACTATTTTTGCAGAAGACATGACTCTATATGTGGAATTCCCCATAGTCTTGGGTCAAAAGCTACTTCAGCTGATAAAAAACTTTAGGAAAGTTTCAGGATACAAAATCAATATACAAAACTCACTAGTATTCCTATACACCAACAACAGCCAAGACAAGAGCCAAATCATAAAGGCAATCCCATGCACAGTTACCACAAAATATAGCATTCCTAGGAATACAGCTAAACAGGGAGGTGAAATATCTCAACAATGAGAATTTAAAAAAAATTCTCAAAGAAATCAGAGAAGACACAAACAAACAGAAATGCATCCCATTCTCATAAATAGGCAGAATCAATATCATTAAAATGGCTATACTGCTCAAAGCAATTTACAAATTCAATGCTATTCTTATCAAACTACTAATGACATTACTCAGATAACTAGAAAAAAACTATTTTACAATTATTTTCACTACAGGGCTACAGTAACTAAAACAGCATGGTACTGGTACAAAAACAGACACATAGCCCAATGAAACAGAATAGAGAGTCCAGAAACAAGGCCACACAACAACAACGTCCTGATCTTTGACAAAAGCTACAAAAGCAAAGGGGAAAAGCCTTTCTATTCAATAAGTAGTGCTGGGATAACTGGCTAGCTATATGCAGAAGACTGAAGCTGGACCCCTTCCTTACACCATATTCAAAAATCAACTCAAGATGGATTGAAGATTTACATGTAAAACTGAAAACTATGAAAACCCTGGTAGACAACATAGGCAATACCATCCTAAACACAGGAATGGGCAAAGATTTCATGACAAAGACAACAAAAGCAATCGCAATAAAAAGCAAAAATTGACAAATGGGAGCTTCTGCACAGCAAAAGAAACTATCAACAGAGTAAACTCACAACCTACAGAATGGGAGAAAAATATTTGAAAACTATGCATCTGACAAAGGTCTAACATCTAGCATCTATAAGGAGCTTAAACAATTACCAAAGGTAAACAACCCCATTAAAAAGTGGATAAAGAACATGAACTTTTCAAAAGAAGATACACATGTGGCCAGCAGTCATATAAAAAAAGCTCAATGTCACTGATCATTAGAGAAATGTAAATAAAAGCCACAATAAGATACTATCTCACATCAGACAGAATAGCTATCACTAAAAAGTCAAAAAGTAACAAATGCTGGTATGGTTGTGGAGAAAAAGGAACACTTATACACTCTTGGTTGGTGGGAGTATAAATTAGTTCAAACATTATGGAAGGCACTATGGCTATTCCTCAAAGAGCCAAAAGCAGAACTATCATTCAACTCAGCAATTCTATTACTAGGTATATACCCAGAGGAATATAAATAATTCTACCATAAAGTCACATGCACAGAAATGCTCATTGCAGCACTATTCACAATAACAAAGACATGGAATCAACCTAAATACCCATCAGTGGCAGATTGAATAAACAAATGTGATACATATACACTGTGGAATACTATGGAGTTATAAAAAACAATGAGATCATGTCTTTTGCATGAACATGGATAGAGCTGGAGGCTATTATCTTCAGCAAACTAATGCCAGAACAAAAAACAAAATACCGTACGTCCTCACTTATAAGTGGGAGCTAAATGATGAGAATTTATGAAAACAAAGAAGGAAACAACAGACACTGAGGTCTACTTTAGGTGGAGGGTGGAAGGAGGGAGAAGAGAAGAAAAGATAACTATTGAGCACTGGGCTTAATACTTGGATGATGAAATAACCTGTACAACCAATCCCCATTATGTGAGTTTACCTATGTAACAAACCTTCATATGTACCCGTGAACCTAAAATAAAGGTTAAAATAATTTTTAAAAACCCTGAGATTCATCCATATGCTGTCTGGAAGAGGCTCACTTTGCCTTTAAAGACACATATAAAGTGAAAGTAATGGGATGGAAAATGATATTCAATGCAAATGGAAATTAAAAGAAAGCAGAAGTTGGTGTACTCATATCAATTAAAATAGACTTTATGTAAAAAACTGTAAAAAAAGACCAATATGGTCATTATATAATGATAACTGTGTCAGTTTATCAAAAGAATATAACAATTGTAAACATATATGAACTCAACACCAGAGCACAAAAATATATAAACAAGTTATATTACACCTTAAAGGCAAGATAGACTGCAATACAATAATAGGAGGAAACTTAAACACCCCACTTTCAGAAATGGACAGATTATTCAGACAGAAAATCAACAGAGAGACATCAGATTAACACCGCACCCTAGATCAAATGAACCTAATAAACATTTACAAAACTACCCAACAGCTGCAGAATACACGTTCTTCTTATCAACACATAAAACTTTCTTTAGAATAGATCATATGTTAGGCCCAAAATCAAAATTATATCAAGTATCTTTTCTTACCAAAATGTAATAAAACTAATCATGAATAACAAGAAGAGCTTTGGGAATTATGTACGTCTATGTAAAATAAATAACATACCCATGAATAACACATGGATCAATAAATAAATTAAAAGGAAATTTTAAAAAATTTTGAGACAGATGGAAATGAAGAACAACATACCAAGATGTATGGGATACAGCAAAAGCAATATTAAGAAGAAAGTTTATAGAAATAATCACACACATTAAAAAATTAGAAATATTGCAAATAAACAATCTAACATTGAATATCAAAAAATTAGAAAAACTAGAACATACTGAGGCCAAAAATGGTAGACGATAAGAAATAATAAAAAAAGAGCATAAATAAACAGAATAGAGACTGATAAACAACATAGAAGTTCAACAAAATGAAGAGTTGGTTTCTTGAAAATATGGTTCAACATGCAAAAATCAATTAGTGTGATACATTGCATTAACAACAATCAAAATAAAAACCGTATGATTATTTAAATGAATGCAAAAAAATTAATAAATTTGAATATCTATTTATGATTAAAGAACTATTAAAAAAATTAGGTATAAAAGAAATGCACCTCAACATAATACAAGCCACATATGACAAATTTACAGCTAACATCATACTTAATGTTGAAACTTTCAAATCTTTTTCTCTAAAATCTGGAAGAAAACAAGGATGGTCATTTTTACCACTTTTATTCAACACAGTAAGATAAGTCCTAGCCAAAGTAATTAGGCAAGAGAAATAAATAAAAGGCATTCAAATTGGAAAGGAGGTAGTCTTTATTCAGACAGTCCCTGTTTGCAGATGGTATGTAGAAAACCTTACAGATCACACACACACACACACACACACCACACACACACACACCACACACACACTGTTAGAACTAATAGATGAATTCAGTAAAGTAGTGGGACTGGCAATAACAAATGCTGGCTAGGATGTGGAGCAAAGGAAACCCTCAAACACTTTTTGTGGGAGAGTAAATTAGTACTACCACTATGGAGAACAGTTTGGAAGTTCCTCAAAAAACTAAAAATAGAGCTTCCATACAATCCAGCAATCCCACTACTGGGTATGTATCCAAAGAAAATAAGATCTGTATGTCAAAATGATACCTGCACTACCATGCTTATTGCAACATTATTTATAATATCCAAGATATAAAATCAACAAACTATGTGTCCATTAAAGGATTAATGGATAAAGAAAATGTTGTATACATACAGAATGGAATACTATTAAGCCTTTAAAAAGGATAAAATCCTGTCATTTGTGACAACATGGATGAACCTGAAGAACATTGTGTTAAGTGAAATAAGCCATGCTCAGAAAGACGAATACCATATGATCTCAGTTATATGTAGAATCTAATAAGCTGAATACATAGAAGCAGAGTAGAACATTGTTTATCAGAGGACACGAGTAAGGGAGTTGAGATGTTGATGAAAATACTTAAAATTTCAGTTAGATAGGAGTAATAAGTTCAAGAGATCTGTCTTACAACATGGTGACTATAATTAATAACCATGTATAGTATTCTTGAAAATTACTGAGAGTAGATTTGAAATGTTCTTATCAAAAATAATAAATATGAGGTAAAGCACATGTTAATTAAACTGATTTATTCATTTCACAATGTATAAATACTTCCAAAAAATATGTACATGATAAATATATACAATTTGTATTTGTCAATTTAAAATATGAATTATGAAGAACAGCAATATCAGCAAATACCATTAAGGTATTTCTAAGCCATGTGCAGGAATATCTCTCTATTGAAGGTCTTATAATTTTTTTTATCAAACTCAGTATAAGCTGTATCTGCACTTTATTTTTCAAAAATTGTTTATATTTTGACTTCATTAGTCTGTGATATTCCAACTTGAGTGTGTTATACATCACTTAAGAAGCTTGTTAAAATGTTGATGCCAAGGGCACATCCCCACAAATTTAGATTCAATCGTTGTAGAAGGGGGCTTGGAATCTGCATTTTAACAAACACTGTAGGGAATTTTTATGTCCACTCACATTTCAGAATCACAACTCTTAAGGAAGAAATCTAGCATATAAAGAAAAGGCCTCTCTCACACAGATGAGATGCTTTAACCTTTGCCATAGAGTGCCATTCCCTATTTCAGATCTAGTCCAAGACATTTCTGGGTCCAATCAGTATTACTAAGCCAGTCTTCTCTCTCCATGCCCCATTCCTACTGCTACCCAGCACTGCCAACTTTCCCAACAGGGGCAAGGCATAGTTGCTTAATCCGGCCCTGGAAGGAAAACCTGTAAAACCCCAGGCTTCATTTTGCCTCTTTCTTATGTCACTCAGCTGACATGCTTAACTACTTTTGCTATAGCCTCCACATAGCTGTGGTACCCACATTTTCTCACTAAAACTTAGCATAATAGGAAGAGACAATAAGGAAGACCTGAATGCATTTTTCTGGTTTTTGGTGGTAAATTTCTTTAGAACTCAGGAAATTTATGGAGCAGTTCATTCACCCCCTAATTTAAGCCAGGCCCGGCTTGGCTGAGACTCTGGTTGGGAAGGAATGAGTGAAGAGGTAGAATACAAGAGGGATAGAATAATGTTCTTGCACCCAGAAAAACTTCTTGCTGAGGAAAGTTGAAATAGGGTTTGGAGGTATTCTCATAACAGTTATTCCAGAATTTGGGAATCCGAAGTAATATTTTAGGCTACTCACTTAAGTCAAGCTTACACTCCATCCCTCCCAAATGATGTCAGAACCAGCCTTCCTGTCCCCAATGATGATGTGTTTATTTCCTTCTGAAGTCTTCCACGAAGGACAAACTGAAAACATTTGCTCCCTCTGCTGTTATAGCCTTCGGGCAATCTGATGTCTGAGACCAAGTCCTACTGATTCTTCTCTTTTCCAAACTAAACAGCCCCAGGACATCCAACTGTTCCTCATTGGAATGTTTTCCAAGCCCTTTTGTTTTAAACTGAATATTTGTGTTTGCCCCACAAATTCATATGCTGAAGCCCCAACTCAAGTGTGCCTATATTTAGAGTAAGGAAGTACATAAGGTTAAATGAAGTAATAAGGGTGGGGCCATTATCTGATCAGATTAGTTTCCTTATAAGAAGAGACACCACAGAGCTTGGTCCCCAACATGCCCTTGTTCACATAATGAAGAAAAGCCATGGGAGGACATTATGAGAAGGCGGCAATCTACAAGCCAGCAAGAGATTCCTCTTCAGAAACCAAAGCTCCTGGCACCTTGATCACAGATGCCTAGCCTCCTGAACTGTGAGAAAATAAATTTCTGTTGTTTAAGGCACTCATTTTATGGTATTTTGCTAATAGGAGCCTGAGCACACTAATACACCAAGCTACTCACTTTCCTCTGTACAGACCTCAGTTTGTTTGTGTCTCTCTTCATGTTCTGGGTCTAGAGCTACTCCCCTGATGTGGGTCTGGCCAGAAGAAAAGAGAGCTACATTATGAAATTTGGTAACTAACTCCCTTTTGGAATTTTGTTAGTGTTTTCTAAAGTAAGTTCTCCTGACCCAACTTACCACGTCTTCCCTGAATGCCCTGAATGCCACACAGACCCACCCTACTCCCCAGGGATCTGATTCCAGAGGCAGATAGCCCATTCCTTTCTCTGCTCTAATCTGAATCTACTAACTTATTTGATAAATACTTACTATAATACTTACTCAAGCAGCGCTCTGGACACTAGAAACAGAACACTAAATAAGGCAGATACTTTCCTGTTCTGTTGGGCTTATATTCCAGTGGGAGAAAACAGATAGTGAAAAGCTGTTTTCTTGCCTTCTGGCAAGTAACAAGATAATTCCTAGCTGGACACAGACTCAGACAGAGGCTTGCAACACTCCTGCCTCAAAACCCATCCTTAACAGAGTCATTTTCATAATTGAAGGCTTTCCCTGCCCCCACAAAGATGTCTGGATTTTTAGCTGGGCTGCAAACTGATGGCTAGCAATTAGAGCTGTGCAGTAGTCAAAAAAACTCTCTGGAGACTAAGTGTTGGAAGAACCCTTGTTATTTAAGGGAGCATGAGGCTTAGTGGAGATTTCCCATAAAACACTCCAAGTCAGGCTGCCAATTCAGTCTCCAGGACAATGTTCACCTTCCACATTAGCATATATATCTCTGCTACATTCCTAGATTTTTTAGATTTAGTTTTGGATATTACAGTCTATTATGATGGAGCAATGAAACAGTGCTTTCTAGTCAGGTAGGCTTTAGTTCAAATCCTAGCCCCATTTTCATAGCCACATAGCTTATAGTCTTATGCAAGTTAGTGAACACTCTAAACCCAGTTTCCTCACTCACTACATGGATTGTTGTTAGGAGGTGACGAAGACATCACTTCAATAGACTCAACTGATTTCTTTAGCACGTTCACTTCCCTTTAAAGTTCCAACAACTTTCATATCATTTACCATAAGTAGTCACATGTCTTAGCAGATTCTCCTCCCCAATTTATTTCTGGAAGTAGCTAAGGAACTTCCATGTTATACTAGTATGTTCTGGTCATTTTGCTTCTCACCACTTCAGCCAGCCACTTTGCTTGGAACTGTTACTACACTCCAGGCTAGGCATTTCTTGCCCTTTCTTAACTGCTTTTCTTCAGGCTGCTCCCTACAAGTTTCTGCTGTTTTGCTCTTAGGTCCCACCTCCCACCTCCACTCCCAAAGCTTAACTCAATTTTCTATCCCAACTGGAAGAGCTACAGGATATTTTGTCAAGCTTTCAAAGGTTCCAGAGACATTTTTCTTAGCTGGGGATGAAGAACAGAGGACCTAGGATTCCCATTTTCCCAGGAGTCTTTATGAGAGAAAAGTGTTTCTTAAGCCTATAGCCTAGGATTGTGGACCCAACACCAATATGGGAGGAGGAGGAGTATAGCTACCTCTCTATCCCAAAGCATATCTCAGGGAACAGGATAATTTTTTCAGGTTATAGATGAAAAGTGCCTGGCATAACTCTATAGGCACTGGACCTGACAAGTGGGTGAGGTGAAAAGAGAGACCTAAAGTTGATCATTATGTAGTCCTTAATTTGCAGTTTTGCAAGGGAGGAAAATACATATGTGAATGGAAGACATATTTGGGATATTACTTTACCACCAAAGGCCTAGTTACATTGTAGAGGGGAGGGTTTCCATTCCCTCAATTTTGTCTCTGGGAAAACAGACCTGACTAAATGCTATTAGCAAGCCTGCTGATATCATCCCAGCTATCACAGGAATCTGGCTTGGCAGAGCTCTTATGGTGCCTGAGGATCTTCTATTATGCCAGGATCATCCTCAAGTCTTCTCCAGTTTGCTGTTGTTACTCTTGTAAAGCAGAATCTCCCAATCCTAGGACCCCTGAGGTCCTGAGCAATACACTCATGTACCATGAACTTTGTTTTCAAATGGGCCTTAGCTTTTAGCCTTCTCATGATGCTTCCTTTAAACTGTGACTTTCTGAAGATGCCTCCATGCCATCGTACGTTCCCTGATAGAACCACTGGGCTAAGCAAGAAATGTATCTTCTGATCAGATCATTTGGCTTCTTCATTAAGAAGGACAAAAGAAGTATGCTTATCTTACCTCTGGCTTTCTACTCTATCTTCCAGACATACCAAACATTTTGCCACATCTCAATCACATAGTAGTCTTTCACGTATCCATGTAATTTTTTGAAATAACACCTCTTGCCCTAACCTCTTTTATAATCACCATCAAGACTTTATATAACCTGAACCTTGCCCACATCTGCAATCTCATCTCATACTACTCTTTCTCTCATTCACTATATACCAGGTGTAGTTTTTTTTTTTTTTGAAAGTTATTCTTTGATACCACCAAGCTCCTGTGTCTTTAGAGGCCTTTGCACTAGCTATTTCCTCTACTTAAACTGATTTTATATTACTACTTAATGCTTGGTTCTACATTTATTTGTTTATCGTCGGTATCTGAAACTAGAATTTAAAGGTGATGGGGGCTAAGACTTCCATCTTGGTTGTCTAGTGCAGTACCTAGAAAACAGTAGGTGTTAAATAAATATATTTGTAATGAAAATAACTGTCGCTATATTTTTCAAGCAAAGAGCTGGCATGCAAAGACTGTATTAGTACCATGCTCATGTCAATTTACTGCCAGGAGAAAGTGATGGAGATGTAGGGTTGTCAGCCCAGTTCCAAGATTCATGCTAGAAATTCAAGCTTTCAACCTCTGGCCTTTGCTTTAATCCATTTTCCATACAGCAGTAGAAGTTGAAATTTATATTTTTTCCAGCTTTGTTGAGTTATAATCAACAAATAAAAATTTCATATACGCAAGGAGTACAACGTGGTTATTTGCTATACATATACATTGCAAAATGATAATCACAATAAAATTAATTAACACATCAATCACCACAATTAGTTATGATTTGTGTGTATTGGGGATGAGAACACAAAATCTACTGTCTTCACAAATTTCAAGTAATCAAAACTGAAGTGTTAACTGAATCACTGTGCTATATGTTAGGTATCAGAACTTACTCATCTCACAAATAAAAGTTTGTACCCATTGACCAATATCTCTCCATTTCCCTCACACCCCTGTCCCTGGATATCATTATTCTATTCTCTGATTCTATGAGTTGGACTTTTTATTTTAGATTCCATATATAAGTAAGATGACACAGTATTTGTCTTTCTATGTCCGACTTAACTTACTTACCGTAATGCCCTTTAGATTAATCCACGGTGTCACAAAAGGTAGGATTTCCTTCTTTGTAGCACTGAATGATATTCCATTTTATCTATCTATTTATCTATCTATCTAGCTAGTTAGCTATGATGTATCAATTTATCTTTATCTCACATTTTCTTTATCCATTCATCCATCAACAGACAGTTAGGTTTTTTCCATATGTTGGCTATTGTGAATAATGCTGCAAAGAACATACAAATATCTCTTCAAGATACTGATCTCTTTTTCTGTGGATATATACCTAGAAATAAAATTGCTTCTCATTTTCTATGGATATGTACCCAGAAGTAGAATTGCTGGATTGTATTCTACTTTTAATTATTTGAGGAAACTCCATACTGTTTTCCATAGTGGCTGTACTAATTTACATTCCCACTAACAATTTCCAAGGATTTCCTTTTCTCCACACTCTCGCTGACACATTATTTCATGTTTTTTGGTAATAGACACCTAATAGGTGTGAGGTGATATCTCATTGTGATTTTGAGTCACATTTCCATGATGATTAGTGACACTGTGCACCTTTTTATATAGCTGTTGGCCATTTGTATATCCTCTTTGGAAAAAATGTTTATTCAAGCCCTTTGCTCATTCAATTCAAATTTATAAATTTAGTTACCTATTATTTCATTTTGTCTTTGAGTTGTGACAGTTTCTTATAAATTTTGGATATTAACTCGTATCTGATACATGGTTTGAAACTATTTTCTTCCATTCTGTGAATTGCCTTTTCATGTTGTTGATTGTTTTCTTTGCTGTGCAGAAGCTTTTTAGTTTGGTGCAGGCCACTTGTTTATTTATTTTCTTGCTTGGGCTTTTGGTCTCATATTGAAAAAATCATTGTCAAGACCAATGCCAAGGAGATATTTTTCCTGTTTTCTTCCAGTAGTTTTATGGTTTCAAGTCTTACATTTAAGTCTTTCAACCAGTTTGAGTTCATTATTGTATATAATGTAAGACAAGGGTCTAATTTTGTTATTTTGTCTGTGAACACCCCGTTTCCCCTGCATCATTTATTGAAGAGACTAACTTTTCCCTATTGAATATTCTTGGTGTCCTTGTCAAATATCAGTTGACCATATATGTGTGGATTTATTTTGGGGCTCTCCAATCTATTATATTGGTCTATGTGGTTTTTTTTTAATATTAGCATCATACTGCCTTGATTACTATAGCTTTGAAATATAATTTAACTCCAGAAACTGTGATTCCTCCAGCCTTGTTTTTCTCAAGATTGCTATGGATATTTAGGATGTTTTGTCATTTCATATGAATTTTGGGATTCTACTTTTATTCCTGTGAAAAAAAGTCACTACAATTTTGATAAAGATTGCATTGAATTTGTAGATCATTTTGCAAAATACAGACATTTAAACATTTCTAAGTCTTCTGGCCAATGAATACAGGGTATCTTTTTATTTGTGTCTTCTTTAATTTCTTTTATCAATTTCCTACAGTTTTCAATGTACCTAAATTTATTTCTTAGTATTTCATTTTTATACTATTCTAAGTGTAATTGTTTTCTTAATTTCTTTTTCAGATAGCTTATTGTTAGTATATGAGAGCACAACTGATTTTTGTGTGTGGATTTTGTATGCTGCAATTTTGCTGAATATGTTTATTGGTTCTAACAGTTTTTTGGTGGAGTCTTTAGAATTCTCTATGTGTAAGTATATGCCATCTGCAATCAGAGACAATTTTACTTTTTTTTGGATTAATTTTATTTGTTTATCTTGCCTAATTGCTCTGGCTAGGACTTCCAGTACAATATTGAATAGAAGTGACAAGAGTGAGCATAATTTTTTTAAATTTTATTTTAAGCTCATGGGTACAAGTGTAGGTTTATTACCTAGGTAAACTTCTGTCATGGGAGTTTATTGTACAGATTATCACCCAGGTATTAAGCTTAGTATCCATTAGTTATTTTTCCTGATCCTCTCCCTCCTCTCACCTTCCACCCTCTGAAAGTCCCCAGTGAGTGTTGTTCCCTTTCATTTGTCCATGTGTCATCATCATTTAGCTCCCATTTATAAATGAGAACATATGTTATTTGGTTTTCTGTTGCTAGGTTAGTTTGCTAAGAATAATGGCCTCCTGCTCCATCCATGTCCACGCAAAGGACATAATCCCATTCTTTTATAAGGCTGCATACTATTTTATGGTGTGTATATACCACATTTTCTTTATCCAGTCTAACATTCATGTAAGTTTATGTTGATTTCATGTCTTTGCTATTGTGAATAGTACTGCAATGAACATATGTGTGCATGCATCCTTATAATAGAGTAATTTGTATTCCTTTGGGTATATACCCAGTAGTAGGATTACTGGGTTGAATGGATTTTCTATCTTTAGGCCTTTGAGGAATCGTCACACTGTCTTCCACAATGACTGAACTAATTTACACTCCCACCAACTGTGTGTAAGCATTCCCTTTTCTCCACAACCTCACTAGCATCTGTTATTTTTTGACTTTTTTGGTTTTTTTTTTTTGAGATGGAGTCTCACTCTGTCATCCAGACTGGAGTGCAGGGGCACACTCTTGGCTCACTACAACCTCCACTTCCTAAGTTCCACCGATTCTCCTGCCTCAGCCTCCTGAGTAGCTGGGACTACAGGCATGCACCACCATGCCTGGCTAATTTTTGTATTTTTTAGTAGAGACGGGGTTTCACCATATTGGCCAGGCTGGTCTCTAACTCCTGACCTGGTGATCTGCCCCCTCAGCCTCCCAAATTGCTGGGATTACAGGCATGAGCCACCATGCCTGGCCTTGACTTTTAATAATAGCAATTCTGACTGATGTGAGATGGTATCTCATTGTGGTTTTAATTTGCATTTCTCTAATGATCAGTGATGTTGGGCCTTTTTTTCATATAATTGTTGGCTGTATGCATGTCTTCTTTTGTGCCTACTGTTCATGGGCAAAGGACATGAAAAATGGGCATTCTTATCTTGCTCCTGGTCTTAAGGGGAAAACGTTTTAGCTTTTTATTGTTTAGTATGATGTTTTCTGTGGTCTTGTCACACAAGGCCTTTATTTTGTTTAAGTACACTCCCTCTACATCTAAATTTTTTGGTGTTTTATTGTGACAGAATGTTGTCTTTTTTCAAATGCTTTTTCTGCAACTATAGAGAGGATTATATGATTTTTATTCTTCATTCTGTTAATGGGGTATATCACACTTATCAATTTTTGTATGTAGAACCACACTTTCATCTCAGGGACAAATTACACTTGATCATGGTGCATGATTCTTTCAATAAGCTGTTGAATTCAGTTTGCTAGTATTTTGCTGAAAACTTTTGCATCTACTCATCAGAGACATTGGTCTGTAATTTTCATTTTTTGTAGGAACCTTATTCGGATTTGTATGGTAGACTTGTAAAGTGAGTTTGTAAGTGTTCTCTTTTTATTTTTTTGGAAGTGTTCGAAAGTAGGCATTTGTTTTTTCTTAAAAATTTTGTAGGATTTACCTGTGAAACCATGTCCTGAAATTTTCTTTTGTTGCAGGTTTTTTGTACACCTTTAAGCACCTTCTTTGTTACTGGTTTGTTTAAATTTCCGGTTTCTTTATGATTTAGTGTTGGTAGGTTGTAAGTTTCTAAGAATTTATCCATTTTGTCCAGGTAATTTAATATATTAGTGTAGTATTTTTAATAGTAGCATATTACTAATATTTGTAATTCTGTAGTATCAATTGCAATGCTTTTTCTTTCATTTTAAATATTATTTATCTGAGTTCTTTCTCTTTTCTGTTAGTCTAGCTAAGGGTTTGCTGATTTTATCAATTTAAAATATCTACTCAGGAGGTGGAGCCAAGATGGCCTAATAGGAACAGCTCCAGTCTACAGCTTCCAGCATGAGTGACGCAGAAGACTGGTGATTTCTGCATTTCCAACTGAGGTACCGGGTTCATCTAACAGGGGAGTGTCAGAAAGTGGGTGCAGGACACTGGGTGCAGTGCACTGAGCATGAGCCAAAGCAGGGCAAGGCATTGCATCACCAGGGAAGTGCAAGGGGTCAGGGAATTCCCTTTCCTAGTCAAACAAAGGGGTGACAGAAGGCACCTGGAAAATTGGGTCACTCCCACCCTAACACTGCACTTTTCCAATGGTCTTAGCAAATGGCACACCAGGAGATTATATCCCGTGCCTCGCTTGGAGGGTCCTATGCCCATGGAGCCTCACTCATTGCTAGCACAGCAGTCTGAGATCAAACTGCAAGGCAGCAGTGAGGCTGGGGGAGGGGCATCTACCATTGCCAAGGCTTGAGTAGGTAAACAAAGAGGCCTGGAGGGAAGCTCAAACTGGGTGGAGCCCACTGCAGCTCAAGGAGGCCTGCCTGCCTCTGTAGACTCCACCTCTGGGGGCAGGGCATTGCCAAACAAAAGGCAGCAGAATCCTCTGCAGACTTAAGTGTCCCTGTCTGACAGATTTGAAGAGAGTAGTGGTTCTCCCAGCATGCAGCTGGAGATCTGAGAATGGACAGACTGCCTCCTCAAGTGGGTCCCTAACCCCCAAGTAGCCTAACTGGGAGGCAACCCCCAGTAGGGGCAGACTGACACCTCACACGGCCAGGTACTCCTCTCAGACAAAACTTTCAGAGGAACAATCAGGCAGCAACATTTGCAGTTCACCAATATCCGCTGTTCTGCAGCCTCTGCTGCTGATACCCAGGCAAAGAGGGTCTGGAGTGGACCTCCAGCAAACTCCAACAAACCTGCAGCTGAGGGTCCTGACTGTAAGAAGGAAAACCAACAAACAGAAAGGACATCCACACCAAAACCCCATCTGTATATCACCATGATCAAAGACCAAATGTAGATAACACCACAAAGATGGGGAAAAAACAGAGCAGAAAAACTGAAAATTCCAAAAATCAGAGCACCCCTCCTTCTCCAAAGGAATGCAGCTCCTCACCAGCAATGGAACAAAGTTGGATGGAGAATTACTTTGACGAATTGAGAGAAGAAGTCTTCAGATGATCAAACTACACTGAGCTAAAGGAGGAAGTTCGAACCCATGGCAAAGAAGTTAAAAACCTTGAAAAAAAATTAGACGAATGGCTAACCAGAATAACCAATGCAGAGAAGTCTTTGAAGGACCTGATGGAGCTGAAAACCAATGCACGAGAACTATGTGACAAATGCACAAGCCTCAGTAGCCAATTTGATCAACTGCAAGAAAGGGTATCAGTGACGGAAGATGAAATGAATGAAATGAAGTGAGAAGAGAAGTTTAGAGAATAAAGAATAAAAAGAAACAAACAAAGCCTCCAAGAAATATGGGACTGTGTGAAAAGACCCAATCTACATCTGATTGGTGTACCCGAAAGTGACGGGGAGAATGGAACAAAGCTGGAAAACACTCTGCAGGATATTATCCAGGAGAAATTCCCCAATCTAGCAAGGCAGGCCAACATTCAAATTCAGGAAATTCAGTGAACACCTCAATGATACTCCTCGAGAAGAGCAATTCCAAGATATATAATTGTCACATTCAACAAAGTTGAAATGAAAGAAAAAATGTTAAGGGCAGCCAGAGAGAAAGGTCGGGTTACCCACAAAGTGAAGCCCATCAGGCTAACAGCTGATCTCTTGACAGAAACTATACAAGCCAGAAGAGAGTGGGGGCCAATATTCAACATTCTTAAAGAAAATAATTTTAAAACCAGAATTTCATATCTAGCCAAATTAAGCTTTGTAAGTGAAGGAGAAATAAAATCCTTTACAGACAAGCAAATGCTGAGAGATTTTGTCACCACCAGGCCTGCCCTAAAAGAGCTCCTGAAGCAAGCACTAAACATGGAAAGGAACAACCAGTACCAGCCACTGCAAAAACATGCCAAATTGTAAACACCATCAAGGCTAGGAAGAAACTGCATCAACTAATGAGCAAAATAACCAGCTAACATCATAATGACAGGATCAAATTCACACACAACAATATTAACCTTAAATGTAAATGGGCTAAATGCTCCAATTAAAAGACACAGACTGGGAAATTGGATAAAGAGTCAAGACCCATCAGTGTGCTGTATTCAGGAAACCCATCTCACTTGCAGAGACACACATAGGCTCAAAATAAAGGGATGGAGGAAGATCTCCGAAGCAAATGGAAAACAAAAAAAGGAAGGGGTTGCAATCCTAGCCTCTGATAAAACGGACTTTAAACCAACAAAGATCAAAAGAGACAAAGAAGGCCATTACATAATGGTAAAGGGATCAATTCAACAAGAAGAGCTAACTATCCTAAATATATATACACCCAATACAGGAGCACCCAGATTCATAAAGCAAGTCCTTAGAGACCTACAAAGAGACTTAGACTTCCACACAATAATACTGGGAAATTTTAAAACCCCACTGTCAATGTTAGACAGATCAACGAGACAGAAAGTTAACAAGGATATCCAAGAATTGAACTCAGCTCTGCACCAAGCAGACCTAACAGACATCTACAGAACTTTCCTCCCAAAAATCAACAGAACATACATTCTTTTCAGCACCACACTACACTTATTCCAAAATTGACCACATAATTGGAAGTAAAGCACTCCTCGGCAAATGTAAAAGAACAGAAATTATAACAAACTGTCTCTCAGACCACGGTGCAATCAAACTAGAACTCAGGAATAAGAAACTCACTCAAAACCACTCAACTACATGGAAACTGAACAACCTGCTCCTGAATGACTACTGGGTACATAACGAAATGAAGACAGAAATAAAGATGTTCTTCGAAACCAATGAGAACAAAGACACAACGTACCAGAATCTCTGGGACACATTCAAAGCAGTGTGTAGAGGGAAATTTATAGCACTAAATGCCCACAAGAGAAAGCAGGAAAGATCTAAAATTGACACCCTAACATCACGATTAAAAGAACTAGAGAAGCAAGAGCAAACACATTCAAAAGCTAGCAGAAGGCAAGAAATTACTAAGATCAGAGCAGAACTGAAGGAGATAGAGACACAAAAAACTCTTCAAAAAATCAATGAATCCAGGAGCTGGTTTTTTGAAAGAATCAACAAAATTGATAGACCACTAGCAAGGCTAATAAAGAAGAAAAGAGAGAAGAATCAAATAGATGCAATAAAAATGATAAAGGGGATATCACCACTGATCCCACAGAAATACAAACTACCATGAAAGAATACTATAAACATCTCTACGCCAATAAACTACAAAATCTAGAAGAAATGGATAAATTCCTCAACACATACACTCTCCCAAGACTAAATCAGGGAGAAGCTGAATCTCTGAATAGACCAATAACAGGCTCTGAAGTTGAGGCAATAATTAATAGCTTGCCAACCAAAAAAAGTCCAGGACCAGATGGATTCACAGCTGAATTCTACCAGAGGTACAGGGAGGAGCTGGTACCATTCCTTCTGAAACTATTACAATCAATAGAAAAAGAGGGAATCCTTCCTAACTCATTTTATGAGGCCAGCATCATCCTGATACCAAGGCCTGGCAGAGACACAACCAAAAAAGAGAAGTTTAGACCAATATCCCTGATGAACACCTATGCAAAAATCCTCAATAAAATACTAGCAAACCGAATCCAGCAGCACATCAAAAAGCTTATCCACCATGATCACGTGGGCTTCATTCATGGGATGCAAAGCTAGTTCAACATATGTAAATCAATAAACATAATCCAGCATATAAGCAGAACCAAGAGCAAAAACCATATGATAATCTCAATAGATGCAGAAAAGGCCTTCCACAAAATTCAACAACCCTTCATGCTAAAAACTCTATAAATTAAGTATTGATGGGATGTATTTCAAAATAATAAGAGCTATCTATGACAAACCCACAGCCAATATCGTATGGAATGGGCAAAAACTGGAAGCATTCCCTTTGAAAACTAGCACAAGACAGGGATGCCCTCTCTCAACACTCCTATTCAACATACTGTTGGAAGTTCTGGCCAGGGTAATCAGGCAGGAGAAGAAATCAAGGGCATTCAATTAGGAAAAGAGGAAGTCAAATTGTCCCTGTTTGCAGATGACATGATTGTATGTCTAGAAAACCCCATCGTCTCATCCCAAAATCTCCTTAAGCTTATAGGCAACTTCAGCAAAGTCTCAGGATACAAAATCTATGTGCAAAAATCACAAGCATTCTTATACACCAATAACAGACAAACAGAGAGCCAAATCATGAGTGAACTCCCATTCACAATTGCTTCAAAGAGAATAAAATACCTAGGAATCCAACTTACAATGGACGTGAAGGACGTCTTCAAGGAGAACTACAAACCACTGCTCAATGACCTAAAAGAGGATACAAACAAATGGAAGAACATTCCATGCTCATGGGTAGGAAGAATCAATACGTGAAAATGGCCATACTGCCCAAGGTAATTTATAGATTCAATGCCTTCCCTATGAAGCTACCAATGACTTTCTTCACAGAATTGGAAAAAACTACTTTAAAGTTCATATGGAACCAAAAAAGAGCCTGCATTGCCAAGTCAATCCTAAGCCAAAAGAATAAAGCTGGAGGCATCACACTACCTGACTTCAAACTATACTACAAGGCTACAGTAACCAAAACAGCATGGTACTTGTACCAAAACAGAGATATAGATCAATGGAACAGAACAAAGCCCTCAGAAATAATGCCACATATCTACAACCATCTGTTCTTTGACAAACCTGACCAAAACAAGAAATGGAGAACTGTTTCCCTATTTAATAAATGGTGCTGGGATAACTGGCTAGCCACATGTAGAAAGCTGAAACTGGATCCCTTCCTTACACCTTATATAAAAATTAATTCAAGATGGATTAAAGACTTAAATGCTATACCTAAAACCATAAAAACCCTAGAAGAAATCCTAGGCAATACCATTCAGGACATAGGCATGGGCAAGGAGTTCATGTCTAAAACACCAAAAGCAATGGCAACAAAAGCCAAAATTGACAAATGGGATCTAATTAAACTAAAGAGTTTCTGGACAGCAAAAGAAACTACCATCATAGTGAACAGGCATCCTACAGAATGGGAGAAAATTTTCACAACCTACTCATCTGACAAAGGGCTAATATCCAGAATCTACAACGAACTCAAACAAATTTACAAGAAAAAAACAAACAACCCCATCAAAAAGTGGGCAAAGGATGTGAACAGACACTTCTCAAGAGAAGACATTTATGCAGCTAACAGACACATGAGAAAATGCTCATCATCACTGGCCATCAGAGAAATGCAAATCAAAACCACAATGAGATACCATCTCACACCAGTTAGAATGGCGATCTTTAAAAAGTCAGGAAACAACAGGTGCTGGAGAGGATGTGGAGAAATAAGAACACTTTTACAGTGTTGGTGGGACTGTAAACTAGTTCAACCATTGTGGAAGTCAGTGTGGCGATTCCTCAGGAATCTAGAACTAGAATTACCATTTGACCCAGACATCCCATTACTGGGTATATACCTAAAGGATTATAAATCATGCTGCTATAATGACACATGCACACGTATGTTTACTGCGGCACTATTCACAATAGCAAAGACTTGGAATCAACCCAAATGTCCAACAATGATAGACTGGATGAAGAAAATGTGGCACATATACACAATGAAGTACTATGCAGCCATAAAAAAGGATGAGTTCATGTCCTTTGTAGGGACATGGGTGAAGCCGGAAACCATCATTCTCAGCAAACTATCACAAGGAGAAAAAACCAAACACCGCATGTTCTCACTCATAGGTGGAAATTGAACAATGAAAACACATGGCCACAGGAAGGGGAACATCACACACCTGGGCCTCTTGTGGGGTGGGATAGCATTAGGAGATATACCTAATGTTAAACGACGAGTTAATGGGTGCAGCACACCAAGATGGCACATGTATACATACGTAACTAACCTGCACGTTGTGCACATGTACCCTAAAACTTAAAGTATAATAAGAAAAAAGAAAAAATATCAACTCAGTTTTATTGATGTTTTTTATTGTCTTTATTTTATTTCAGCTTTATTCATCAGTATTTCCTTCCTTCCGCTACTTTTTGGACTACTTTGTTTTTCTTTTGCTGGTTCATTGATGTCTAAAGTTAGGTGGTTCATTGAGGTCTAAAATTAGGTTGTTCATTTGAGGTCTCTTTTTTCTTATTACAGGCATTTATTTCTATTAACTTTTTATCTCAGAACTCCCTTTGCTGCATTCCTTGATCATTGGCAGGTTGTAGTGTCATTTCTGTTTTTCTCAACATATTTTTAAAATTTCCCTTTTGGTTTCTCTTTGACCTACTGGTTTTTCAGAAGTGTGTTGTTTGATTTCCTCATATTTGTGAATTTTCCAAAATTCCTTCTGTTGTTGATTTCTAGTTTATAGTATTGTGTTTGTAAAAGATACATGATATAGTTTCAATTTTTGTAAATTTGAGAGGAATGTGTACTCTGTTGCTGTTTCAAGAAATCTTCTTTACATTATTGTTAGGCCCATTTTGTCTAAAGTGTAGTTCAAGTTCACCATTTGCTTATTGACTTTTCTGTCTGGATGATCTGTTCATTTTCAGAAGTGGAATATTGAAGTCCCCTACTATATTGTGTTTTTGTTGTTTTCTTCAGTTCTATTAATATTTGGTTTATATATTTAGGAGTTTCAATGTTGCATGAGTACTCATTTATAACTGTTATACACTTTTCATGAATTGACCCCTTTATCACTATATTCTGATGTTCCTAGTCTCTTATGACAGAATTCAACTGAAAGTTTGTTCTCCCTGATATAAGTATAGCCACTCATGCACTCTATTGGCTAAAAGTTTCTTAGACTACCATTTTCATTCTTTAACTTTCAGGCCTATGTGTTTCATTAAGGCTACAGTGAGTCTATTCTAAGTAATATAACCTTGGTCCTTATTTTTTAACTTAAAAAATTGTGGGTACATAGATTTATGGGGTACATGAGATACTTTCATACAGGCATACTATGGATAATAATCATATCAGGGTAAATGGGGTATCAATCACCTGAAGTATTTATCCTTTTCATGTTATAAACACTCCAATTATATACTTTTAGTTATTTTTAAATGTACAATAATTTTTTTTACTCTAGTCATTCTACTGTGCAATCACACACAAGACCATATTTATTATAACTATATTATTGTACCCATTAAATATTATTACTTTCATTACTTCCTCCTTTCACCCCACTATCCTTCTCAGGATCTGATAACCATCATTTTGCTCTGTGTCTGTATGAGTTCAACAGTTTTAATTTTTAGCTCCCACAAAAATGTGAGAACATGTAAAGTTTATCTTTCTGTGCCTAGCTCACCAAGATAATTTGACTTCTCCCTTCCAATTTGGATGCTCTTTATTTCTTTCTCTTGTCTGATTGCTCTAGCTAGGTCTTCCAGTACTATGTTGAATAACAGCAGTGAAAGTGGGAATTGTTGTCTTACTTCAGATCTTAGAGGATAGGCTTTCAGTTTTTCCTTATTCAGTGCGATACTAGCTGTGGGTTTTTTGTATATGGCTTTTACTGTGTTGAGACATGTTCTATCTATATCCACTGTTTTGAGGGTTTCTATCATGAAGAGATGTTGAATTTTATCAAATGCTTTTTCAGTATCAATTCAAATGGTCATATGGCTTTGTCCTTTATTCTGTTGATACAGTGTACACATTGATTTGCATATGTTGAGCCATCTTTGCATCCTTGAGATAAATTCCCCTTGGTTGTGATGAATGATCTTTTTGATATGCTGTTGAATTTGGATTGTTAGCATTTTGTTGAGGATTTTTGCATCAATATTCATCAGAGATATTGGCCTGTAGCTTTCTTTTACTTTTCTTTTCTTTCTTTCTTTTTTTCTTTTTCTTTCTTTCTTTCTTTCTGTCTTTCTTTCTTTCTTTTTCTTTTTTCTTTCTTTCTTTCTCTTTCTTTCTCTTTCTTTCTTTCTTTCTTTCTTTCTTTCTTTCTTTCTTTCTTTCTTTCTTTCTTTCTTTCTTTCTTTCTGTGTCTTCCTCAGGATTGGCTATTGGGATAATACTTGGTTGAATGATGAGTTTGGAAGTATTCTCTCATCCTCTATTTTTTGGAATAGTTTGAGTGGAATTGGTATTGATTTTATTTAAATATTTGACAAAATTTAGCAGAGAAGCCATCGTGTCCTGAGCCATTTTATGTTAGGAGCCTTTTTGCTGCGGCTGTGATCTCATTACTTGCTATGGGTCTGTTCGTTGTTGTTATTTCTTCATGGTTCAATCTTGGCAGTTGTATGTGTCTAGCAATTTATTTATTTCCACTAGATTTTCCAGTTTATTGCCATATAGTTGCTCATAGTAGCCTCTAATGAGCTTTCAAATTTTTCCAGTATCAGTTGTGGTGTCTTTTTTTCTAACTCTCATTTCATTTATTTGATTCTTCTATTCTCTCATTTAGCTGAGTTAAAGATTTGTTTATTTCATATATGTTTTTAGCAAACCAACTCCTTGTTTCATTGGTAGTTTTTGTTGTTTTTCTTCATTTTTAAAATTTAAAAATTTAAAAATTTATTTATTTCTGCTTTGATATTTATGATTCATATTCTTCTGCTAATTTGGGGTGTATTTTGCTCTTACTTTTCTAGTACTTTAAGATGCATCTTAAGGTTGTTTATTTAAAGTTCTTCTACTTTTCTGTAGGCACGTTTAGCCATAAACCTTCCTCTTATTACTGCTTTCACTGTATTTAATAGGTTTTGGTACAATATTTTTCATTATCATTTGTTTCAATAAATTACTCTATTTTCTTCTTAATTTCTTCATTGACCCACTAGTCATTCAGGAGCATATGATTTAATTTCTGTGTGTTCTTATAGTTTCCAAAATTCTTATTGTTATTAATTTTTAGTTTTATTTTATTGTGGTCAGGGAAGATGCTGGATACAATTTTACTTTTTAAAACATTTTAAAGTCTTGTTTCGTTACCTAACATATGGTCTATTCTTGAGAATGATCCATGTTCTGAAGAGAAAAATGTGTGTCCTGCAGCTGTTGATTGAAATGTTCTGTATATATCTATTAGGTACATTTGGTCTATTGTGTAAATTAAGTTTGTTTTTTTGTTGATTTTCTCTCTGCATGATCTGTCTAATGCTGAAAGCAGGGTGTTGAAATCTCCAGCTATTATTGTATTTAGCTATGTCTCTCACTTTGCTTTAATAATATTTATCTAATAAATCTGGCTACTCCAGTGTTGGGTGCAAATACAGATCTACAATTGCTATACCCTTTTGTTAAATTGATCCCTTTATCATTATATAATGACCTTTGTATTTGTTATAAATTTTGTCTTGAAATTTATTTTGTCTGATATAAATATAGCTTTGCCTGCTCTCATTTGGTTTCCATTTGCACAGAATATCTTTTTCTATCCCTTTATTTTCAGACTATATGTGTTTTATTGGTTAAGAGTGTTACCTGTAGGCAACATATCATTAGGTCTAGTTTGTTTTTGTTTATCCATTCACCCAGTCTATGTAGTTTTTATTTTTTTCATTTTCACTTTCTGTGGGTTTATAGTAGGTGTACATATCTATAAGGTACATGATATATGTTTACAGGCATATCATCCATAATAATCACATCATAGAAAATTGGGTGTCCATCTCCTGAAGCATTTATCCTTTATGTTACAAACAATCCAATTATACTCTCTTAGTTATTGTAAAATGTACAATTAAATTATTATTGACTATAGTCACCCTGTTGTGATACCAAATTTTAGGTCTTCATTATTTCTAACTATTTTTTTTTGTACTCACTAACCATCTCAACCTCTCCCTAATGCCCGCCCCCACAATGCTGCTCTTCTCTGCCTTTGGTAACCACCTTTTCACTCTTTATCACCATTTCAATTGTTTCAATTTTAAAATCTCACAAATAAGTAAATACATGTAATATTTGACTTTCGGTGCCTGGCTTCTTTCACTTGACATAATGACATTCAGTTCCATCCATGTTGTTGTACAGTAGAGCACTATTCATCCATAAAAAATGAGATCTACATCAAAAGAGGGGAAACACTTTAAATAAAAAATCTAACAATACATCTTAAAGATCTAGAAAAGCAAGAGTAAGTTGAACCCAAAATTAGTAGAATTTGGGTTCCATAAATTCTCCCTCTGTGCACAGAAGCTGTCTCAGCCCAGCACAGCTTTATTCTCCACTGTGACATGGCAGCAATGAGTTCAAAGTAGAATGCCCCAGTCATTGTGCTCTCCCTCTGCCAAGTGCAGAGATTCTCCCTTCAGGTCACACCAGCCACTGCTCAGGGATATGAGAGCGGTTATATCGGCTACTTAAGATTGTCTTTCCCCTAAAAACAGAAATACTACTCGACTCAGCAATTCCATTATAAGGTATATACACCCCAAAATAGAAATTGTTCTATCATATAGACACATGCATATGTATGTTTATTGCAGCACTATTCACAATATCAAAGACATTAAATCAACCTAAATTTCCATCAATGTAGACTGGATTGAAAAAAAAAGGTGGGACTGGGCTCCGTGGCTTACATCTGTAATCCCAGCACTTTGGAAGGCTGAGGTGGGTGGATCACTTGAGGTCAGGAGTTCAAGACCAGCCTGGCCAACATGGTGCAACCGCATCTCTACTAAAAGTACAAAAATTAGCCTGGTGTGGTCGTGGGTGCATGTAGTCCCATCTACACAGGAGGCTGAGGCAGGAGAATCACTTAAACCCAAGAGGCAGAAGTTGCAGTGAGCCAAGATGGCACCACTGCACTCTAGCCTGGGTGAGAGAATGATACTCCGTCAAAAAAAAAAATCTGTGATACATATGCACCATAGAATACTCTGCAGCCATAAAAATATACGATTATAAGATTATGTCCTTTGTGGAACTTGGATGGAGCCGGAGGCCATTATACTTAGCAAACTAACACAAAAACAGAAAACCAAATACCACATGTTCTCACTTGTAGTGGGAGCTAAATGATGAGAACACATGGACACATAGAGGAGAGCAACACACATTGTAGCCTGTCAGAGGGTGGAGTGTGGGAGGAGGGAGAGGATTAGGAAAAATAACTTATGGATACTAAACTTAATACCTGGATGACAAAATAACCTGCACAACAAACTCCCATGACACATTTACCTATATAACAAACCTGCACATGTATCCCTGAACTTAAAATAAAAGATAAAAGACTGTCTTTTATCTTGAATATTAATATCTTGAATATAATATTGAGTCTTAGATTCATCCTTTTGAGGCTGTTTTCTGGATCTTGTATGTGTGCTTCGTTCTTTTTTATTCTTTTTTATTTTGTCTCCCCTGATTGTGTACTTTCATATAGCTTGTCTTCAAGCTCACTGATTCTTTCTTCTGCTATTAAGAGACCCTGTTACAGTCTTCAGTATACTAATTGCGTTTTTCAACTGTAGAATTTCTGCTTCTTTTTATTTCAATCCTTTGTTAAATTTATCTTATAAGATTCTGAATTATTTCTTTCGTGTCTGTGATTACATTGAACTTCAAAACAGATATTTTGAATTCTGTCTGAAAGGTCACATATCTCTGTCTCCCTGGAACTGGTCATTGATGACTCATTTAGTTTGTTTGGTAAGTTCGTGTTTTCCTAGATAGTCTTGATGCTTGTGGATGTTTGTTGGTGTTAGGGCATTGAAGACTTAGGTATTTTTTGTAGTCTTCACATTCTAGTCTTGTTTGTACCTGGCCTTCTTGGGAAGGCTTTCCAAGTATTCAAAGGTGTGTTTTGATCTAAGTTTTTGGTCCCTCCAGACATATCTGCATTAGTGGACACCCCAAGCCTAATAACACTATGGCTTTTCCAGTCTCATATATGTACCATTTTGGTTGCCTTGGGTAGGATCTGGGAGAATTCCCTTGATTACCAGGCAGAGACTCTTGTTCTTTTTCCTTACTTTGCCCCAAACAAACACAATCTCTCTCTTTGTGCTGAGGTGCCTGGAGCTGGGAGGGGTGGCACAGACACCCTCGTAGTTACCAACACTAGGATTGTGTTGGGTTAGAGCCAAATCTAGCACATCAATGGGTCTTGCCCAAAGCCCACAGTGATCAGTGCCTGGCTACTGCCTATGTCCACTCAAGGTACAAGGGCTCTACAATCATTAGGTGGTAACTTTAGCCAGGCTTCCATTCTTTTCTTCAGGACAGCAAGTTTCCTCCAGCCTCAGGTCATTCTGAAGATGCCATCCAGAAACCACAGCCTGGAGTTGGAAATCTTAAAAATCTACTGGGTGTTGCATTCTATTGTGGCTGAGCTCGCGCCCAAGCCACAACACAAAGTCCTTCCCACTTTTCCTTCCCATAGCCACCACTGCCCTGTGCCTGTGGTGAATACTGCCTGGCTACTGCTGATATTTACTCAAGGCCTGGGGACTCTTCAGTCAGCTTGCAGTGAGTGCTCCCAGGCCTGGGTCTCTCCCATGAGGGCAGTGTGCTCCCTCTGGCCCAGGGCAGGTCCAGAATTTCTATCTAGGGGCCCAGGCCTCGAATTGTGTACCCTAGAAGCCCACTTGTTGCTCTCCCCTACTGTGGCTAAGCTAATACCCAAGCTGCGAGAGAAAGTCATTTTTTCTCTTCCCTCTCCTTTCCTCAAGCAGAAGTTGTCTCTTCCCATAGCTATCACACCTGAGAACGTATTGGGTCACACCCAAAGTAAGGATAGTTCTGAGTATCACACATGGCCCATGGAAAATAAGGCCTGGCTACCACTTCCACTTATTCAAGGCCCAAAGGCTCTTTAGTCAGCAGATGATGAATCCTGCCAGTATTTTGTCCTTCTCTTCAAGGCAACAGGGCCACTTTTGGGCCAGAGTATGACCATAAATATCAGCTGAGAGCTGGAGCCTGGAATGGGGGCCTCTGGACTCTTCCAGATGCCCTATTTTACTGTGGTTGATGTGGTAGACAAATTAAAAGACAATGTCCTCTTTACTCACCCATCTATTCTCAAGCAGAAGGAAGGAGTATCTCCCAGAGCTGTGGGCTGTGTTACCTAGAGTTGGGGGAGGGGTTATGCAAGTAATCCCTTGATCACCCCAGCTGGTGTCTCACTGGGTTGTGCGCACCATAAGTCCACTGGCTCTGAGCCCAGCACAGCACCAGGACTTGCCCAAGAATTGTAGTCCTTGTGGCTTGGACTGCCTTTTAAGTTCATTTAGGACCCCAGAGCACTTTAGTCTGTAGTGGTGCACTTTGCCAGCCCTCAGTTTCTGACCACTGGTATGTACAATTTGCCTCTTGCTAGGGCTGTTCTAAATGCTGACTCCATGGGATCCAGCTGAATTCTACTTTGTGTTTCTTTCCGCTTTGACAATGCAGCACCAAGTTCGAATTCAAAGTCTCCAAATCACTGTGCTTTCCCTCCTGCAAGTGTACAGATTCTCTCTCTGTGGCATGCTGCCACTACTTGGCCATGGGGGAGGGGTGTTGTATGAGATTCAAGTGCCCTCTTCTACCCTCTTTTCTTAATATGATGTTAAAACCAGGTACTGTAATTACTTACCTCAGTTTTGGTTCTTATAAAGGTGTTTTTTTGTGTGGATAGTTTTTCAATTTGATGTTCCTGCAGAGTGAGTCATCGCTGGAGGCCTCTATTCAGCCCTCTTGCTCCACCAACCCCACTTAAAAAAATCCATTCATTCATTCTTTGTCTTTTGATTGGAGAATAGAATCTAATTACTTTTAAGGTAATTATTGATAGGTAAAGATCGTTACTTTCTTTTTGACTATTTTTTGGATTCTTTGTTCCTTTTTTTTGTTTTATGTATTTTTGGTGATTTATTGAGTTTTTTAAAACTAAATTTGCTTTAAGTGCCTTTCCCTTTATCTTTTGTATATCTACTAGAGGTTTTCTCTTTGTGTTTACCATGGACTCCCATGAAATATCTTATAGTTATAACAGTCACTTTTAGCTAGTAGTAACTTCACATCAATTGCATGCAGAAACTATACACTTTTACTCCCCTCCACCATATTTTATACTGCTGATATCACAATATCTTATCATGTTGTGTATTCACTAACAAATTATTGTGGCTATAGCTATTTTAATAATTTTATCTTTTACATTTTATACCAGAGTTAAAAGTGATTTATACATCACTCCTGCAATCTTATAGTATTCAGAATTTGACTATATATTTACCTTTACCAGAGTGTTTTATACTGCCATATATTCTCATGTTGTTTATTGGTATTCTTTCACTTCAACTCAAATAACTCTCCTTAGTATCCTTCTAAGGTAGGTCTTGTGGTGATGTACTCCCTTAGCTTTTGTTTGGGAATGTCTTTATTTCTCCTTCATTTCTGAAAAGCCATTTTCCTGAATGTATTATTCTTAGTTGTTATATTAGTCAGAGTTCTCTAGAGAGACAGAATTAATAGGATAGATGTTTATACAAAGGGGAGTTTATTAAGGAGTATTGACTCACATAATCACAAGGTGAGGTCCCACAATAAGTCATCTGCAAGCTGAGGAGCAAGGAAGCCAGTCTGAGTCCCAAAGCTGAAGAACTTGGAGTCTGATATTCGAAGGTGAAAAGCATCCAGCATGAAAGAAAGACAGGCTGGGAGACCAAGCCAGTCTAGTCTTTTCACATTCTTCTGCCAGCTTTTATTCTGGCTGCACTGGCAGCTGATTAGATTATGCCCACCACGATTGATGGTGGGTCTGCCTTTCCCAGTCCACTGACTCAAATGCTAACCTCTTTTGGCAACACCCTCATAGACACACCCAAGAACAATACTTTTCATCCTTTAATCCAATCAAGTTTACACTCATTATTAACCATCAAAGTTGCCATGTTGTTTTTTCTTTTGGCACTTTAAATATTCATCCCACTCTTTCTTGGCCTGCAAAGTTTCCGTTAAGAAATTTGCTGATATCATTATTGAGTTTACCTTGAATGTAATGAGTCTCTTTTCTGTCATTGCATTATTCAGCTCCGGAATTTTTGTTTGATTCGTTTTATGTTTTCTGTTTATTAAACTTTTCATTTTACTCATATCTTCTTTTCCCTATTTCTTTTAGGTGTTTATCTGGGTTTCCTTGCATCTCATTGAGCTTCTCAGGCAATTCATGGATCTCCACTTCTTTGAGGTTGGTGACTGTATTTTTATTAGCTTTCTTTGGTGGTGTCATGTTTGCCTGATTCTTCATTATCTGTGCAGCCTTGTGTCTGTGCATTTCCAGTCTTTACTGACTGGTTTTGGCAGAGAAAGATCTTCTCCTGTTGGGTCCCCAGTCTTATGGGATTACCTCTTGGCTTTTAATTGAATGGGTTTGGATTAAACTTATGTGGCTCCTGCTGGGTCCTTAGTGTGGTTCACAGTTGGTGAGCCTCTTACAAGAAACTTATACAGACATGGACCCTGGGTGGACTGGACTGTCTCCAGGGCCTTGATCAGTAGGGCTGGCACTGAGATAAGGGTCTTCTTCAGTACCCACATACCATGGGCCTGTTACCAGGAGAAGAGATGGATATGGGTCACAAGTCCATACCAGGGTCCAAAGCTGAGATTGAGGTCTGCAGACCTGCCTCTGAGGGTATGTATAGGCATGTCTTCCTCCAGAATCCTGGCAGTCAGTACTGTTCTCAGAAAAGAAGCTGTTGGGGCTAGAGCCAATATATAGGGCTGTTTCTGTATCCACAGCCAAGACATGAGACATAAGTTCTAACCTCAGCTCTGTCACTGCCTGCTGGTGTGACCACAGAGCAGTCTAATTGTCTCACTGTGCCTCAGTTTCCCCATCTCTAATCTGAGGAGTTGGGAGAACATGAGATAATCACAATTAGTTCTTTCCTGAATTACACATGCCAACCCAGGGTATATTATAGAGCCTCCAGTGGGCTTCTCTCATGGAGCTTGTGTTGAACACAGTTAGGAGAAATGAAATAAAAAGTACTCACAGCTTAAGCTTAAACAAAAGATAGAGTATCACCAACTAGCGCTGTATGAATTCCACATCAGCTGTAGTGACACAATCCATGAGAGCTTAGGGCAGGTCAGTAGTTCTAGTCTGGAGACACAGACAGCTTTTTGTTAAGACTGAATTCAAGAATTTGTGGCACAAAGGAAACGCTCTGTATATCTGGGCTTCTTCCAACTGAGAGAGATCAATCTTTCAACAATGAAAAAAAAATAAGGGCAGTAGAAGTGAAGGATGAGCAGAACAAACGAAAAGAACTCACATATACTGAGTATCTACTATGTGCAAGATTCTGTAGTAAGTTCTGATGAAAGAGAGATGAATCCATGGTTGATACTGCTTTCAAAAAGCTAACTTAATTTATTCATCAAGAACATCTTCTGCTGCTACTATGCAACAGGCACTGTTCTAGGTGCTTAGGACACACCAAAGCACCCTAAGCACCTAGAACGGTGCCTGCTGCATAGCATAGTAGGAGCAGTGCATAAACAAAGACAAAAACCCCTGCATTAGAAGAGCACAGGTTGAATGTCATGAGGAGTTTACAGTCCTTGGCACTATAAAGGACAAGAAAAGAAATTACAATCCATTATCCTTCCTTTAGGTTCTTAAAAATTAGTTGAGGAAATATGATTACTACTCATAAAACAAAAGACAAATTCAAGGCAGGATATAACAAGGATCAAGGATCACATTTTGTGCTATGAATAGGTTTTCTTCTTTTGCTTAGACTGGTAAAACTTCATTAAAAATTATTTATGTGGCAAGGTTGAGTTAATCATGTGTTTCAGTTTATGGCACTTGTTATCAATGATCCATGCAAGGCTCCACTCATGTTTTTGTTTGTTTATTTATTCTTCTATTTATTTTCCCCTTCACCTGTACCCATTCACTTAACTAATCTTCCACTGGTCTCTGTTTAAATGTCACTTCTTCAGAGAAGACTTTCCTGACTCTCCTATCTAAAATCTCACCTCCTCATCACTCTTACTCTGTTTTATTTTTCTTTACAGAATATATCACTACTTAAACTCCAATTACTTATCTCTTTCACAAGAATGTAAGCTTATTGGGAGTAGGGACTTTGTATTATACAGTACTGCATTCCTAGAGCTTAAAACAGTGCCTGGCACAAAGTAGGTGGTCAACTAATATTTGTAAATGAATGTATGAGTAAATGAATAAATGAATAAATAAAAAGAAGATCAATGATAACTGGGGAAGTTAAGTATTCATAGATGACTCATAAATACCTGAAGTATTATATATGTTAATAATTAATCTCTTGTCTTGTCTGTACTTTTATTGATATACTCCTTCAAAAAATATTCATTGCCTACTTGTGATAGGCACTGTGCTAGGCACTACAGAGACCAAAACAAATAGGACAAGGTCATTATTTCCAACAAGAAGATTGCAGTCCAATAAGCAAAATAGACAGATAAGTAGATAATTATAAATATGATGTGACAAAATCATTAATAAACATATGGACAAAGTGCTATGGGATCTCTGGGAAAAAAGTAATAAATTTCAGAAGAGCCATATGTCTTATTGGAGAAGAAGACATTTCATTTGTTCTTTCAACAAAAATTAATGGGGCACCTGCCGTTTGCCTACCCTGTGCTAGGTGCCAGAGACACAGCAGCAACTGTGAGTTAGGTTCAGTATAAGGAATAGCTGAGCACCAAACAAGAAGAATTTACCTTCTAGAAGAGCTGAAAAGAAGCTACAACCCAGGGCGTGCATGACTGCCAATGTGAGAGGCTTTATTCCAGGTAGTTGAAAAGTCCAGCAAAAAGGAATTTTGGCAGCCACGTGGAAGGAGACATGTTCTGAAGAATGAAAACAAACAGACAGTTCAAATAAGCTCAAATTGACTTTGCTAAGTAACATTGCTTCAGCTCCCTGAAATGGAAAGGTGAGGCTAAAAGTACACTCTGTTCCAATGGTTAGGTCATTTTGGAGCCAGCTTCTGAGATCCCAAAGCACAGAAAAGAGGATTAATGGAATACATTTGGAATTAAAACAAATAAAAAAACTAACAACAGAGGTTGCAACAGCACATTTCAAAGTGCTGTGGTAAAGAGTGTAAGTCTAATTCCTCCAGCTACCTTTGAACGACCTCATTGCTTTCAAACTTTGTAGTTACCTGGAAGCATTTGCTTTGTAGCACAACCACTATTATAAGTCACAATTGCAAATGCTCCAAATAACAGGCATTGATTTGTGATAGAGCTGCTTCCTGCATGGTTAGCTCTAAGTAGCATGCTCTAGAGTGACGAATTTCAAAGATTTACAGTAGAAAAACAAAGGTGGTGTATAAAGAACTTTATTTCAACTTTGAGAATTACCACAGCTCCATATTAATCATTACAAATAAAGTCAATAATATAAATCCAAGAATAATTATTTTATTTGTTCTATTAAACTGTATTTAACAAGGTTATTGATATCTCTGAACAACATCAGTTAAGACAGCTAGTAATAAATATAAAAGTTTGATGTGATGCATCTAAAACTTAGCACAAGCATTTAAAATATCCATAATAGATATTATCACAATGCAACATGTTACAAATCCTTCTGATATTTTGCATCTGACTATCACTCACGTCCAGAAGAGTGCAGGTGCCAAATCAATGGGCCTGAACCTTGGTTGTCCACTTGAGTAGACATGTACAGACTGAATTCAAAGAAATACTGGACAAAACTCACACCTTTCTGAATAGTGGTGCACTTAGAGGACGATTAAATATAAAGTTCAGACATTCCAGGATCCTTACTTCAATGTCTGCATGACAAACAAATTAACCATGCAGTCCAGGTTAATTCATAACTGGTTTCCAAAAGAATCCAAATTTAGTACATCACACACACATTTGCATAAGAATTCTGTTTTTAACTATGATAATTTGAAAACATCCTTAAGATGTATTTCAAAAATGAAGCTAAAATTAAATGTCTGTGAATTTTCTGAAGACTTTCATTAGATAAGTTTATAGTTGCCTATTAGCTTAAAAAGTAAACAGGGAGGGCAGTAACTTTAGACCAGTGTTTCTCAAACTGTAGTTTATAATCCATTAAAAAGGCATAAAATGTATTTAGTGGGTGGAATGGGACCAGTAGTGTGTGTATGTGTGTGTATATATATATATATATATATATATATATACACACACAGACATATATATATACACATATATATATACACACACATATATATACACACAAACATGCACACATACACACACATATATATACATATATGTATACACACAGACACACACACACGCACACACACAAAAATACTAAGTAATAATGTACATTTTTTTTTTTACTATGGGTCGCAGCCAAAAAATTTTCAAATGTATTTCTTTAGACTCCATTTTCTTCTATGCAACAAGAGTTACAAATACCTCCATTTGTTTCTGAGGCCTAAATCCTCCAGGTTGCGTCTAATACTCATTTTATTTTGGCTCTTCTCTAATAAAGTTATCTCTGGTTATTTGCTTCAAGGAGACTGGCTGGGTTCCTTAATATCAGCCTTCCTGCTACACCCAATCACACACAAACCATAGTCATTTCTGTGCTTGAGGCTTTGCTTCTCTCAGCTCTCTTGCTGCGTGTATCATTTACCTCTTCTGTATTTATCCAATTTCCATTCCCAGATCCAGCATAAGGGTGACTGATCCCATGAAGCCATCTCTGACCATATATTTCTAACTGTTCACACCAACATCTCTTTCCTCTCTTTAATTTAACCAGGATACCTATCTTCCAAGCCATGTATCTGAATACTTAAAGAATAGTAAGAATTTCAAAGATATAAAAGACTTCAAAGTCTATTTGGTCTAACTCTCTATGAGGGTGGTACAGCTCAGGAAAATCTGCATCCAAATCACTTGGGGAGTGTATTCCAGATACAGATTTCTGGGTCTTATGACCAGACCTCTTGAATCAGGATTTAAGGGCTGGGGTATGGGAATCTGCATGTACATCATTTAGGGAGGCCCTGATGCCTAATTGAGTTTGAGAATTGAGGGTCTTTTTTGTCCTACCACCCAGCTGAGGTACTATTGCTTTCGCTGTTTTTCTGGGAAAAGCCTAGGGTCACTGCTTCCATTAGTACCCACTCAATTTTTCTAGTACTGTCCAGCTGGGCAGTAGGGGTTCCCATTTTGCAGATTTGTGGAGACTAAGAGCAAAATTTAGCCACCAGGCAAGAACATAATTGAGTGATAACACCTTTCCAGGACCATAGGGAACTAACTACTGGAGCCCCCAGGACTTTCTACCTGCCTCTCTAGAATGGCCAGAGTAGCCTCCATCTGTTGCCACATGTCATGAAGCTCAAAAATATTACCTTCAAAATCACCAGAGATTGGGCCCATAATTTCAAATTCTGTATTTACAGCTCTGCAGATTATCTACTCTAAGTCTGAGTTTCCTCATCTGAAAAATGGGAATACTAGTGGTATCAATTTTGTGTGGTTATGTGAGAATTAAATATAGCAATGAACAGGAAACTGGCTGTGATACAAGAGAGGCTCACTAAATGATGGTTGTCATCATTCCTATGGTCTTTCTGGTTCTAAATAACTTTTGACTGTTATTTTATCACCCAGGCTCAGCAGGAAACTCTAAGAAACAAAGGACTTTTTACAATTCTATGAAGGCTGATAAATTCAACTCTTATACAACTAGTCTCAGACAGCAAAAATATCTGATGAACCTGGGACCTCTCTTACCCTAAGCAAGAATCATACCCCTAGACCAACGAACCAAGCTTGGCTTATATTGTAGGTGAGGATCTGTCCAATAGAAAGATTATGAATGCTACCTGATACTGAGATGTGCATCACAGAATCCCCGTAAGCCTAGGTTATATAACCTACCTTTCTCCTGTACTCATACAGTAAAACTTATACAGGGACTTAATATGTTTTCCACAAAATATGCAGATATTTAAAACCTTGATTATTCCATGAAGCTTGATATTATCCATAAATGTAAACAACCAATATCTTGATCTATGTCACCGATATCAAGTAGTATAAAGCTCAGTATAGAATCTGTGGGACTCCAGTACACACCTCCATAAATTAATGAGTTCTTATAGAGATGAATCATTTAGTCACTCAACAGAAGGACTGTTGGACTCATCTAACAGTCCACAAAGATGTCACAACTTTTAATAACTTGATTTCAACAGTTTTAAGCAACGTCTCTCTGCATGCTTTCAGTCTGGTAACCTTGTCAAAGGACAAAATATTAACATAAGTCACTTTTCTGTAACTCTCATAAGACATTTTATTTGCATTATTTGTATAAACTTATGACAATGACAAGCAACTTACCAGAATTGGGAAGTTTTTCATAGTATAATATTGTATCTTACCTTTTTAAAAATTACTTTTTGGGGAGCATAAAGTTCTATGAGTTCCTCCATATGCATAGATTCATGTAACCATCACCACAATCTAGGTACAGTGCAGTTTTGATGATGCCAAATTATTCCCTTATCCCCTCTGTAGTTACATCTGCCATCCCTAAACACTGGCAACCACTGATATGTTTGCTCCTGTAGTTTTGCTTTTACTAGAATATCATGTAAATACAACTATATAGTAAGTAAGTTTTTGTCTCTGGATTCTTTTTCTTAGCATAATGTATTTACAAATACACCCATGCTGCTATATGTATCAGTAGTTGGTTCCTTTCTATTCCTGAGTAGTATCCCATGGAATCCAAGTATCACGGTTTGCTTATCCATTCAACCGTTGGTGAACATTTGTAATGTTTTCAGTTTTTGATGATTTTGAATAGGGATATTATAATTAATGTGCAGATTTTTATGTAAATGTAAGTTTTAAATTTTCTAGATTAAATGCTCAAAGGAGCTGTTCTGGGTCATGTGGTAAGTACAAATTTTAAAGAAACTGCCAAACTGTCTTCCAAAGTGGTTGTATAATTTTACATTCGCCCTACTTCACTTGTTTCTTGTGAAATAAGACTGAGCTTTTGTCTCATCAATCCCACTGGTTAGAATACAGGGGCTTCATCTATGTATGCCTCATAGCACCTAGCCCCAGGCCTGGGTATAAAGCAGGTACTTGTTGAATGTCATATATAGCTATTATTGTTTTCTACCTTTCACACATGTCTTTTTAAAATTTATTCTGTTTAATGGGTCGCTTGTAACTTGTAGAATAAAAGCTACATGCTTAAAGGTCACATTTAAAGTCTTTCATAAGCTGTTCCTCACATTACTTTCCTAGCTTCATCACCATATATCATCATAGCCCATATTCCGACAATACCAGAAAACTTCAGTTTATTCCTTCCACCTGGAATGTGCCCCCCATCTCATACTACATCTACTATGAATATTGGAAATTATATTTACTAAGTAAGTATCTCAGGACAATCTATGTACTATATCATATTATATCCCCATAATATTTTATTTTATTATCTCCATTTTACAAATTTGGAAACAAAAGTTCAGATAAATTAAGTAACTTGGACAAGATCACTCAGCCAGTGAATTCTAGAGCCAGAAATCAAACAAAAGACTACAAGATAGAGCCCCAAATCTTTTCCCTGGCATTCAAGTTTCTTCATAACCTTTTTCCAGCCTTTGTTGAAAGGTAATGTGCTATAGAGGTTGAGAGCATGTGTTTGGATCCAGGAAGTTTGGATCCAAACTTCCTGGGTTTGAATCTTGACTCTGCTACTTGCTGTCTGTGGGATCTTCAGTAAGTTACTTAACTTCTGTAGGTCTCCGTTTCTGAACTGTCAACTGGGAATGATGATGTTCATAATATTAATCTGTCTCCTAGGGTTATTGTGAGGATAATACATGTTAAACTCAGTATTGTTTCTGATATACAGTAAGTAATGAACTAATATTAACTATTGGTATTACTTTCTATAATCACCTTCTCTCATTCCATTACTATATATTCTGTATTCTGCATTGTCCTGTTTCTGTGTATTAGTCTATGTCGTTGCCTGCATCTAATCTGTATGTGTAAAAACTCAATTTGTTTTTCTCAGCCCAGGTCAAATGCAACCCTCTTTGTAATCTTCTTGGATTACTTTTGATAGAAGCCAGCCTTTCCTTCTCAACACTTTCAGAGTAATTTGTTTACACCTCTCTCATTATAGTGCTTATCAATTTCTGCCTTTGATTAACTTGTGTAGGTACCTCTCTCTTGATTGACTGTTTATGTTCCAGAATGGAAATTTACACTTTTCTCTGTTGCTTACAGTGTTTAGCACAATATATGACACGGGACCTTTAAGTGCAGTGAATCGTTGAATTGTAATCATCTCTTTCTTGTTACGCTCAGCAGTGGCAGCTGCAGTCTGCAATAAGCTGATGGAAGTTTCATTCTGAAGTTAAGCCTGCCAAGCCTTTCACCGCCTCTTTGCAGACACTTTTATTTTGTGTTAATATTTTCTATATGGGTATCTTTAAACCAAAGCCCAGCAGTTGAAGGTGACTAGAATAGGCCTAGCCTAGGCAAGCCACCCTGTAGTTAGTAGTTGTTTCAAACTTTGGAGTCTTCCCTTACAGTGGAGATGGGGGTGAGGAGCTCCTCTAATTTCTTGACACTGATACAGACATTGAGTCTGATGACACCACATGCTCCCAGTAAATTACACAGATCAGGGGCTCTCCAGATTTCTGCCATCTGGGGTAGCTTCCAAATCAGCCCTATTTGATTTCATCTAGGACCAGACACAAACACTCTTAAACATAAATACAAGTATTGCTCAGCCTTCTGCTTCTGAAAGGAGTCAGTCATAAGTCTCTCAGAATGCCCAGTCCTCTGATATCTGTTGAGGTGGAGAAGGAGAGCCAGTGGGAAGTATGGATAGACATGGCTGGGTATAAAAGGGAACCTAGACTGATGAGGATAGCCTTTTAATGTTTCCATGCCCAAAACATTGAGGATGAGTTCAGCAGGAGAACTATTATTTATTAAGCTTGTTGCATTCATGTGTTCCTCCATCCGTATTAAAAAATATATTGTCTTCGGACTCATGACATCTTAGCATACTGTCCTCCATCCCTTTTCTTTGCTATCACTTATGTACTTTCTAGTCAGTCTCTTCATTTATTGTAGACATTGGCACCTGGCTTACTGTCTTCATCCCTGCTATCATCCTGGAAGACAAATTCTAAGAGATGATCCAGCTAACATCTGGGCTCTTGGGTCCTTTGACTTCTTCATCAGTAGTGATTTTGTTCTACATCTCTTTTCAACCACCTTGGCTATTGTCATCACCCAGAACTACTCCACTCTTGAAATACTAAATGTAAACATCCAGTTACTATCACACATCCTTTCAGGTTTCTTTTCAGTTACTCCCAGGAGAGCTCTCTGCATCATTCATATTTAAGCAGTTAGGGTGAAAAAATCTTGTTTATATCACATAATCTTGTTTATAATGTCTCCAAAAGGCAGGAGCCAGGCCCTCAGTACCCTTCCTTCCCCCCACCACCAACCTTAGTCCACTCCAGTGGAAGCTCATATTACAAATAAACTTCTTCCCCAGTCTGAAAAAGAACACCTAGGCCAAGCCACTATGGCCATGGCCTCTCAGCTATTGATCATTGTTAAAAATTAACCAATGATTAGGTTTAACAGCCCCAGTCTCTTGAAACTAGGGCTAGAGTGTGTGAGTATAACAGTGATCTTCCTAGAGTATTACGTGAAGGGCACTGGGGGAGAATTGTCCTTGGGGTCCTTAAATCCCCAAGCAAATGCCATTTTTAAATAAGACTTTCTCCCTTTGGTTACCAGAATGGTATTTTAATTATTTTGAAGCCTTTAGGCCTTAAATGAAAAGTGGACCAAAACAATTTTATTATAATGCAACAATTTGATTGGCTCAAATAATTTATTTCAAATATAAGAGTGGCTTTTAGCAATGTAATTGAGAAGGGCTGATAAATTACTATTGTCTGGGAAACCAAGGTCTTGAATACCTGGATGCTCTTGGTAAGAGTTGTGACTATGCCCTGGGCCTTTCCTCCATTGAAGCCTGAAGGAACAGGATATATTTCCAGTGTCAGATATTGTTATCCCAGACAGAACCTTCAGTTCCAATTGCTTTCTATAACCAGAAAAGACAGACCCATCTTTCTGGAGATCTGGAGGTTGCTGTAAATTATGTTCACCATTCCTTTCTACAGTCTGTCCAAATGAGAGAAATTCTAATCCTTTTCTCCCCTCTCATCTAGGCAAGAGGATACTCTAAAATTTGCCTTGTTTTACTCACTTCTGGCCAATCTGTGCTTTCTGTATAAAGGGCCCTTCATTAAGAAGGGGGAAAATGGTACTTTTAGTTCAACTTTTGGAACTATAAACTTGGTCATAACCAGATAAGAACGGATGTGGGAGGGGTAGAATTGGGAGGACAAGTGGAGCTACCGGAACTACCACTGGAGTGCATGAGAGGAGTCTGGGGACCACATCCACTGCCACAGTCCAAAATTCTCTCTAAAATACCATAATATAGTAGGGGATACATTGCCCTAGCATCATAATACCTGGGTTTTAAATCCTAACGCTACCATTTTTCAGTTTTGTACGCTTGGGCAAGATATTTCATCTATCTGAGTCTCAGATTCTCCACTTGTAAAATGGGGATACTACTTGCCTTATAAAGTTATAGTCAATTCTAAATGAAATGATCAGTATAAAAGCATTTGCCTTATTCCTCCATTCAGAATATTTGTCAGGAATGTGACAGGGAATTCCACCTGATTAGCAATGTACTCAGAGGCCCAAGGGTAACAGAAACAACAGGTAGGGATGTTGAGTCTTGTTCTGTACTCTGGCTTGTAGTCTGGTCCCCTAGGGCCAGATGAGGCAGTATTTACTCAAGAAACTGTACTTGAGTACTCTGAATCCCCAGACTGGACTATGTTTTCCCACTGATATGTTTTCAAGATCTAGTAACTAAAAGTGTAGATTTAGGAGTCAGACTGACTGGGTTCAAATTTTGCCCCATCACTTTCCAACTATTGTGCAAATGGCTTAACTTCTCAGGCTTCAATGTGTAAAATAGGGATAATAATGCAGTACATATTTAAAGTGCTTAATAGAACAGTGCCTTGTACATTAGAAGTGCTGCAGAAGTTATTCACTTTTATTACCATCATCTCAATGTTTGTTGAAATGCATTACCCTCACCTATTATTAGTTTGTGACATATACCCCCACTTGGCAGGGAACTCATCCAATGCAAATAACACATATGTGTAAAAACTTCAAACAAGGCTACACGAATAAAATATGAATGAACATCCTCTTTATTTTACCTCCAGAGATAACCACAATTTTCTTGTATATGTTTATGATCTTTGAAAATACATGTATGAGATCATACTACATATACTGTTTTATCACCTGCCTTACTAAGTTAACAAAGAATTGTGGCAGTCTTTTCTTGCAAAATCTTTTTCTCAGTTTCAAAAATTCTGAGGTCACTTTTAAGATCATTGTTAATATTTTAGTATAAGATGATTGAGAAAATAGTTACATACAAAATGTCACAGTAACTGTATCACAGTCATGTTTAAAAATGTTTGAAAAATTGCAACTCCTGTATGTGTAAGACACATTTTTTATGTATCATAGATATGTACCTATAGATTAAAAGAGTCCTCACTCTATCTCTGGAATGCCAGAGGGATCTATAACCTTGAGGATAGAGCCCGTGATGCAATCAAATTGGTACTTCCAGATCTGACAGTCTATGGCTATATGTTGGATGGTAGATATTTGTGGGTCTTGGTGGGTTTCCTTTTGCTAATCAATATCTTGAGCTGGCCTTGGGTGTCATTTAAAACTGCCTTGTTGTTCAAGAACAAGGCTTCCATGTGGGCTAGGCAGTTGGGAGGGAGAAAGAGAGGGAGGAGCAAGAAGAGAGGGTGGAAAATACAACCACCCCAGAGTCCACTAGAAGACCCATCAGAGCAAATCTGCTGCCAGTGAGATGATGGAGATTTAGTTGTGAGAAGGAGAAGATGTTTGGGCACTGAAAATTGTGTAGCTCTTGAGGAGGCTTGGAGAAAACATTGATAAAGCTTTTGAAACAATGCTTTGCTTTCATGTTACAAATAAAAAAAAGTAATGAGACAAAAATGAAAGTCTCTCACTGCTCCTCTAGACTAGACATCAAGATATACTTAGAAGTCATAAACATAATGCTCTTCTATTGAAGTATTTGACCTTCATTCATTCTTCTATACTGAATAGAGGCTAAACACTTGGACAGCACCATCCTTAGGGTAAATCTTTGGATGCAGAGCATTAAGTTACCTTTTTGTCAGTTAGGATCCTGGCAGGAAACAAATGGCATGCTCAAATTGGGAATTTGTGCTGAGATTTAATAGAAAAATAATTACAGAAGATGCAAATAGGGTAGTGTAGTACCTTGGAACTATAACAGTAGGGGTATACCCACCATTCTAGACCTAAAGAAGTGAAAAGAGACGCAGTGAAAATGTAGCCCAGCCATGGCAAAACCTTCCCCACAAGAGGGTAAGTGGTGGAAATAAATACCCTAACTTCACTATCTCCACCTCATCTTATCTCCTTCCAGAGCACCTCAGCAGCCAAACCCAACCAGAAACTACACTCTGGTCAGTCTCCTCATGCACAGAGGAGGGTGGAACATGGATCTGGAAGGCCAAACAAAAGGTATGCAAGCCACTGTATGCCATTTTTTTTTAATTCCTAGAAAATCAGAGTTAGAGAAGCTTTTAGTACAGGATTTTTATATGGAGAAACTAAGGTCCACAAAGGAAAAGTGACCGGCCCAGTGTCAAATACAAACCAGTGGCAGATTCAGGGAATTATTTTATCTTATTTTATAGATCCCATTTCAACCCTTTGGGTCACTTTTATGATTGATATCGTTTTTAGCAATTGCATGTTCTTTTCAAAATAAACACAACAAAATATTACAGAGATGAAAACAGATGTTAAAGGCATGATTTACTTTATGAAATGGAAGTTTTCCTGAAAAGGAAAAAAGCCTATAAAACAAATTGTGCTTTATAACTGAATTCTAAGAAATAATTGAGGACATATTCTGATAAGCAATTAGTTTTTAGACACCAACTTTGTAACAAAAGTAACAAATGACCATGTAATAAGTGATATACAAAAATGCAATTTTAAAAGACTCAATAATAAACATAACAATACCTCAAATAAAATTCAAAATTTATTAAGAGAAATTATAGAACATAATGACTATTAGCAATATGTTTACAACAGTTTAGTAAACTCATTTTTCCAAAACTAGAAAGTTGTTACAAGTAATATATTTAAAGGAAAATTGAATTTCCCCTTAAGCATTAATACTCAAAATGTCACAAAGAACAAATACCAAAATGAAATTTAAAATATCATACTGGAAACTGAACTCCCTTGGAAAGACAGTTACATATTAGAATATGTATTGTGCATGTTGAATGGACATTTAAAGGTGGTCAATGACTCCCTTTCTATCCCTAAGTAAAAATGCTCTTTTAAATTAAATCTTCAAGCATTCGCTTGTTCCTTTTGGAATAGTTATATTCTAGGAAATTCCTTAATTTCTGTTATTTCTCATTTCAGGTAAGAACAGTTAATTACTCTGCCTGTGTTTAGACAGTATTCTTTGCAAAACTCCATGGTGACACTACCATAGTTCATTGCAGTTCCCATTAAATAGAAAATTTCCAGGTTAATTTGTGTTTCTCTAGGTCACACTGCAGTAGAATTTTAAGTAAGTCATTTCTCTAGTCTTCCTTCTTGCTCAGTGTTTAAGGGCTTCAAACTCCCTTCATGTTTGTTATTTTTTCCAATTCTTTCTTTCATGATTTTGTGCAATATATTGACAATAAATGAGGTTTATGCAGTTGGGAAGGAACCAAGTTAAATCCTGGTAATATGACCTATCAGCTTTTGACCTTGACAAAATTACTTTTAATTTCTTTGGGCCTCACTTTTCTAAAGACTAACAAAGTAACTAACTTATACAATTGTTCTGAGGATTAAATGAGATAATACACATAAAAGCTTTCAATACAGTACCTGACACATAAGAAGTGTTTGATAAACAATATATGTATTTTAAAAATAGTTAAAAAGCAAGATCTTTGAGTCTCTACTAGCTAATGAGGTTTATACTTTCTATGCTTTGTATATTTAATGTACAGAAGCCAAGCTATATGTTAGCAGACAAGAGAAGCATACACCTTCATCCTTTGGTGTTTTTTTTTTCTTTATTTAAAATAATTTACTTATTTATTTATTTTATTACACTTTAAGTTTTAGGGTACATGTGCACAACGTGCAGGTTAGTTACATATGTATACATGTACCATGTTGGTGTGCTGCACCCAGTAACTCGTCATTTAACATTAGGTATATCTCCTAATGCAATCCCTCCCCACTCTCCCCACCCCACAACAAGTCCCGGTGTGTGATATTCCCCTTCCTGTGTCCATGTGTTCTCATTGTTCAGTTCCCACCTATGAGTGAGAGCATGCAGTGTTTGGCTTTTTGTCCTTGCAATAGTTTGCTGAGAATGATGGTTTCCGGCTTCATCCATGTCCCTACAAAGGACATGAACTCATCATTTTTTATGGCTGCATTGTAGTCCATGGTGTACATGTGACACATTTTCTTAATCCAGTCTATCATTGTTGGACATTTGGGTTGGATCCAAGTCTTTGCTATTGTGAATAGTGCTGCAATAAACATATGTGTGCATGTGTCTTTATAGCAGCATGATTTATAATCCTTTGAGTATATACCCAATAATGGGATTGCTGGGTCAAATGGTATTTCTAGTTCTAGATTCCTGAGGAATTGCCACACCGACTTCCACAATGGTTGAACTAGTTTACAGTCCCACCAACAGTGTAAAAGTGTTCCTGTTTCTCCGCATCCTGTCCAGCACCTGTTGTTTCCTGACTTTTTAATGATCACCATTCTAACTGGTGTGAGGTGGTATCTCATTGTGGTTTTGATTTGCATTTTTCTGATGGCCAGTGATGATGAGCATTTTTTCATGTGTCTTTTGGCTGTATAAATGTCTTCTCTTGAGAAGTGTCTGTTCATATCCTTTGCCCACTTTTTGATGGGGTTGTTTGTTTGTTTCTTTTAAATTTGTTTGAGTTCATTGTAGATTCTGGATATTAGCCCTTTGTCAGATGTGTAGATTGCAAAAATTTTCTCCTGTTCTGTAGGTTGCCTGTTCACTCAGATGATAGTTTCTTTTGCTGTGCAGAAGCTCTTTAGTTTAATCAGATCCCATTTGTCAATTTTTGCTTTTGTTGCCATTGCTTTTGGTGTTTTACACATGAAGTCCTTGCCCATGCCTATGTCCTGAATGGTATTGCCTAGGTTTTATTCTAGGGTTTCTATGGTTTTAGGTCTAACATGTAAGTCTGGAATCCATCTTGAATTAATTTTTATGTAAGGTATAAGGAAGGGATCCAGTTTCCGTGTTCTACCTATGGCTAGCCAGTTTTGCCAGCACCATTTAATCAATAGGGAATCCTTCCCCCATTTCTTGTTTTTGTCAGGTTTGTCAAATATCAGATAGTTGTAGATATGCGACATTATTTCTGAGGGCTCTGCTCTGTTCCATTGGTCTATATCTTTGTTTTGGTACCAGTACCATGCTGTTTTGGTTACTATAGCCTTGTAGTATAGTTTGAAGTTAGGTGGCATGATGCCTCCAGCTTTATTCTTTTGGCTTAGGATTGACTTGGCAATGTGGGCTCTTTTTTGGTTCCATATGAACTTTAAAGTAGTTTTTTCCAATTCTGTGAAGAAAGTAATTGGTAGCTTGATGGGGATGGCATTGAATCTATAAATTACCTTGGGCAGTAGGCCATTTTCATGATATTGATTCTTCCTACCCATGAGCATGGAATGTTCTTCCATTTGTTTGTATCCTCTTTTATTTCATTGAGCAGTGGTTTGTAGAGCTGGTTTTTTGAAAAGATCAACAAAATTGCCAGACCGCTAGCAAGACTAATGAAGAAGAAAAGAGAGAAGAATCAAATAGACACAATAAAAAATGATAAAGGGGATATCACCACTGATCCCACAGAAATACAAACTACTATCAGAGAATACTATAAACACCTCTATGCAAATAAACTAGAAAATCTAGAAGAAATGGGTAAATTCCTCGACACATACACCCTCCCAAGACTAAACTAGGAAGAAGGTGAATCTCTGAATAGACCAATAACAGAATCTGAAATTGAGGCAATAATTAATAGCTTACCAACCAAAAAAAGTCCAGGAACAGATGGATTCACAGCTGAATTCTACCAGAGGTACAAAAAGGAGCTGGTACCATTCCTTCTGAAACTATTCCAATCAATAGAAAAAGAGGGAATCCTCCCTAAATCATTTTATGAGGCCAGCATCATCATGATACCAAAGCCTGGCAGAGAAACAACAAAAAAAGAGAATTTTAGACCAATATCCCTGATGAACATTGATGCAAATATCCTCAATAAAATACTGGCAAACGGAATCCAGCAGCACATCAAAAAGCTTACCCACTATGATCAAGTAGGCTTCATCCCTGGGATGCAAGGCTGGCTCAACATACGCAAATCAATAAACATAATCCAGCCTATAAACAGAACCAGCAACAAAAACCATATGATTATCTCAATAGATGCAGAAAAGGCCTTTGACAAAATTCAACAGCCCTTCATGCTAAAAACTCTCAATAAATTAGGTATTGATGGGACGTATCTCAAAATAATAAGAGCTATCTATGACAAACCAACAGAGAATATCATATGGAATAGGCAAAAACTGGAAGCATTCCCTTTGAAAACTGGCACAGACAGGGATGCCCTCTCTCATCACTCCTATTCAACATAGTGTTGGAAGTTCTGGCAAAGGCAATCAGGCAGGAGAAGGAAAAAAAGTGTATTTAATTAGGAAAAGAGGAATTCAAATTGTCCCTGTTTGTAGATGACATGATTGTATATCTAGAATACCCCATCATCTAAGCCCAAAATCTCCTTAAGCTGATAGGCAACTTCAGCAAAGTCTCAGGATACAAAATCAATGTGCACAAATCACAAGCATTCTTATACACAAATAACAGACAAACAGAGAGCCAAATCATGAGTGAACTCCCATTCACAATTGCTTCAAAGAGAATAAAATACCTAGCAATCCAACTTACAAGGGACATGAAGCACCCTTTGGTGTTATACTCTGTCACACTTGGTATACTATTTATTTAGAGGTTTTATGAGGAAATCTATCTCATATTTTTTAAAAATTGTCTTCCTCAATTATTTAAAAATGAGTACATAAAGATCTGGAGCATGGAACAAATACAGATGGCATTTATTTGCCATGCTGTATTTAGTATCATTTCTCCTATCCAGTTGAGACACTGTTATTGAGCTAGTCTTGTCTTGTTGACCCTTTCTTCTCTTAGGGTGTGTTTTTCCCTAAAAATTACTTTTTTGTTTACCTGCAGAAAACATATCCCTGGTAGGCTTATCACACTTCCTGCAATGTCTGAATCTCAATTGTGAACCCAAGTTCTATTGAAACTGGGATCTGTGTTGCTGGAAACATCACTGACTCTTCTTCACAATCCATCTCCCCCTTTTCCTTTTGGCAATAGAATCATCCCTAAGTTAGCTGAGTACACAGGCATTCAGCTAGAGGCTACATTTTCTAGTCTCCCTTGTAGCTAAGTATGTCAATGAAACTAAGTTATAACTAAAGGGCTGCAAGTGGACATAGTGTATGCAACTTCTTGTTTATCTTTGTAAAGATGAACCTGCTTTCCACACAATTTATCTCACTCCTCCACCTCCATCAGTTTGAAAGAAGAGAAACTAGTTTAAACCATTCTCATGGAGATTTGAGTCCATTTATATTCAGTGTTATTGATAGATAAGAACTTACGACTACTATTTTGTTGCTTGTTTTCTGATTGTTTTGCAACTCTTCTTTTTCTTTATTCCTTTCTTATTGTCTTCCCTTGTGGTTCAGTGATTTTTTTCTGGTAGTGTGTTTTGATACGCTTTTTACTTTCAGTAAATCTGTTCCAGGTTTTTGCATTGTGGTTACCATTAGGCTTACAAAAAACACCATTTTACAGTTATAACAAGTTACTTTAAAGAGATGACAACTTATTTTAGATCACAAAGAGAAGAAAGAAAAATGGAATACAAAACTGTCTGCACATTAATGCCATTCTCCCTAGATTTTGACATCTAGTCATCTCAATTTACATATTTTATATTACCTATTTCTTACCAGGTTGCTGTAGTTATTATTGGTTTCGATAGATTTGTATTTTGGGCGCCATACTAGAGTACTGAATAGATTGCTCACCATAATTGCGGTATTATAGTATTCTGGATTTGTCTGTATACTTAATTTTACTAGCAAGTTTTATACATTCATTTTTTTCATGTTACTGTGTTTTTCTTTCAGATCGGAGAACTCATCAGCATTTGTTGTAAGATGGGTCTAGTGGTGATGAATTGTTTCAACTTTTGTTTGTCTGGGAAAGTCTTTATTCTACATATTTGTAGGATAAATTTTTTGGATACAGTATTCTTTTTTTTGTTGTTGTTGTTGTTGTTTATTATACTTTAAGTTTTAGGGTACATGTGCACATTGTGCAGGTTAGTTACATATGTGTACATGTGCCATGCTGGTGCGCTGCACCCACTAACTCGTCATCTAGCATTAGGTATATCTCCTGATGCTATCCCTGCCCCCTCCCCCCACCCCACAACAGTCCCCAGAGTGTGATATTCCCCTTCCTGTGTCCATGTGATCTCATTGTTCAATTCCCACCTATGAGTGAGAATATGCGGTGTTTGGTTTTTTGTTCTTGTGATAGTTTACTGAGAATGATGATTTCCAATTTCATCCATGTCCCTACAAAGGACATGAACTCATCATTTTTTATGGCTGCATAGTATTCCATGGTGTATATGTGCCACATTTTCTTAATCCAGTCTATCATTGTTGGACATTTGGGTTGGTTCCAAGTCTTTGCTATTGTGAATAATGCCGCAATAAACATACGTGTGCATGTGTCTTTATAGCAGCATGATTTATAGTCCTTTGGGTATATACCCAGTAATGGGATGGCTGGGTCAAATGGTATTTCCAGTTCTAGATCCCTGAGGAATTGCCACACTGACTTCCACAATGGTTGAACTAGTCTACAGTCCCACCAACAGTGTAAAAGTGTTCCTGTTTCTCCACATCCTCTCCAGCACCTGTTGTTTCCTGACTTTTTAATGATTGCCATTCTAACTGGTGTGAGATGGTATCTCATTGTGGTTTTGATTTGCATTTCTCTGATGGCCAGTGATGATGAGCATTTTTTCATGTGTTTTTTGGCTGCATAAATGTCTTCTTTTGAGAAGTGTCTGTTCACGTCCTTCGCCCACTTTTTGATGGGGTTGTTTGTTTTTTTCTTGTAAATTTGTTTGAGTTCATTGTAGATTCTGGATATTAGCCCTTTGTCAGATGAGTAGGTTGTGAAAATTTTCTCCCCTTCTCTAGGTTGCCTATTCACTCTGCTGGTAGTTTCTTTTGCTGTGCAGAAGCTGTTTAGTTTAATAAGATCCCATTTGTCAATTCTGGCTTTTGTTGCCATTGCTTTTGGTGTTTTAGACATGAAGTCCTTGCCCATGCCTATGTCCTGAATGGTATTGCCAAGGTTTTCCTCTAGGGTTTTTATGGTGTTAGGTCTAACATGTAAGTCTTTAATCCGTCTTGAATTTATTTTTCTATAAGGTTTAAGGAAGGGGTCCAGTTTCATCTTTCTACATATGGATAGCCAGTTTTCCCAGTACCGTTTACTAAATAGGGAATACTTTCCCCATTGCTTGTTTTTGTCAGATTTGTCAAAGATCAGATAGTTGTAGATATGCGGCATTATTTCTGAGGGCTCTGTTCTGTTCCATTGGTCTATATCTGTTTTGGTACCAGTACCATGCTGTTTTGGTTACTGTAGCCTTGTAGTATAGTTTCAAGTCAGGTAGCATGATGCCTCCAGCTTTGTTCTTTTGGCTTAGAATTAACTTGACAATGCGAGCTCTTTTTTGGTTCCATATGAACTTTAAATTAGTTTTCTCCAATTCTGTAAAGAAAGTCATTGGTAGCTTGATGGGGATGGCATTGAATCTATAAATTACCTTGGGCAGTATGGCCATTTTCACGTATTGATTCTTCCTACCCATGAGCATTGAATGTTCTTCCATTTGTTTGTATCCTCTCTTATTTCATTGAGCAGTGGTTTGTAGTTCTTCTTGAAGTGGCCCACCACATCCCTTGTAAGTTGGATTCCTAGGTGTTTTATTCTCTTTGAAGCAGTTGTGAGTGGGAGTTCATTCATGATTTGGCTCTCTGTTTGTCTGTTATTGGTGTATAAGAATGCTTGTGATTTTTGCACATTGATTTTGTATCCTGAGACTTTGCTGAAGTTGCCTATAAGCTTAAGGAGATTATGGGCTGAAACGATGGGGTTTTCTAGATATACAATCATGTCATCTGCAAACAGGGACAATTTGACTTCCTTTTTTCCTAATTGAATGCCCTTGATTTCCTTCTCCTGCCTGATTGCACAGGCCAGAACTTCCAACTCTATGTTGAATAGGAGTGTTGAGAGAGGGCATCCCTGTCTTGTGCCTGTTTTCAAATTGAATGCTTCCAGTTTTTGTCCATTCAGTATGATATTGGCTGTGGGTTTGTCATAGATAGCTCTTATTATTTTGAGATATGTCCCATCAATACCTAATTTATTGAGAGTTTTTAGCATGAAGTGCTATTGAATTTTGTCAAAGGCCTTTTCTGCATCTATTGAGATAATCATGTGGTTTTTGTCTTTGGTTCTGTTTATATGCTGGATTATGTTTATTGATTTTCATATGTTGAAAAAGCCTTGCATCCCATGGATGAAGCCCACTTGATCATGGTGGATAAGCTTTTTGATGTGTTGCTGGATTCAGTTTGCCAGTATCTTATTGAGGATTTTTGCATCAATGTTCATCAAGGATGTTGATCTGAAATTCTCTTTTTTTGTTGTGCCTCTGCCAGGCTTTGGTATCAGGATGATCCTGGCCTCATAAAATGATTTAGGGAGGATTCCCTCATTTTGTATTGATTGGAATAGTTTCAGAAGGAATGGTACCAGCTCCTCCTTGTACCTCTGGTAGAATTCGGCTGTGAATCCATTTGGTCCTGAACTTTTTTTGGTTGGTAAGCTATTGGTTATTGCCTCAATTTCAGATTCTGTTATTGGTCTATTCAGAGATTCAACTTCTTCCTAGTTTAGTCTTGGGAGAGTGTTTGTGTCAAGGAATTTATCTATTTCTTCTAGATTTTCTAGTTTATTTGCTTAGATGTGTTTATAGTATTCTCTGACAGTAGTTTGTTTTTCTGTGGGATGGGTGGTGATATCCCCTTTGTCATTTTTTATTGTGTCTCTTTGATTCTTCTCTCTTTTCTTATTTATTAGTCTTGTTAGCAGTCTATCAATTTTATTGATCTTTTCAAAAAACCAGCTCCAGGATTCATTGATTTTTTGAAGGTTTTTTTTTGTATCTCTATTTCCTTCAGTTCTGCTCTGATCTTTGTTATTTCTTGCCTTCTGCTAGCTTTTGAATGTGTTTGCTCTTGCTTCTCTAGTTTTTTTAATTGTGATGTTAGGGTGTCAGTTTTAGATCTTTCCTGCTTTCTCTTGTGGGCATTTAGTGCTATAAATTTCCCTCTACACACTGCTTTGAATGTGTTCCAGAGATTCTGGTATCTTGTGTCTTTGTTCTCGTTGGTTTCAAAGAACATCTTTATTTCTGCCTTCATTTTGTTACGTACCCAGTAGTCATTCAGGAGCAGGTTGTTCAATTTCCATGTAGTTGAGTGGTTTTGAGTGAGTTCTAGTTTGATTGCACTGTGGTCTGAGAGACAGTTTGTTATAATTTCTGTTCTTTTGCATTTGCTGAGGAGTGCTTTACTTCCAAGTATGTGGTCAATTTTGGAATAGGTGTGGTGTGGTGCTGAAAAGAATGTATATTATGTTGATTTGGGGTGGAGAGTTCTGTAGATGTCTATTAGGTCTGCTTGGTGCAGAGCTGAGTTCAATTCCTGGATATCCTTGTTAACTTTCTGTCTCGTTGATCTGTCTAATATTGACAATGGGGTTTTAAAGTCTCCTATTATTATTGTGTGGGAGACTAAGTCTCTTTGTAGGTCTCTAAGGATTTACTTTATGAATCTGGGTGCTCCTGTATTGGGTGCATATATATTTAGGATAGTTAGCCCTTCTTGTTGAATTGATCCCTTTACCATTATGTAATGGCCTTGTTTGTCTCTTTTGATCTTTGTTGGTTTAAAGTCTGTTTTATCAGAGACTAGGATTGCAACCCCTGCCTTTTTTTGTTTTCCATTTGCTTGGTAGATCTTCCTCCATCCCTTTATTTTGAGCCTTTATGTGTCTCTGCACATGAGATGGGTCTCCTGAATACAGCACACTGATGGGTCTTGACTCTTTATCCAATTTCCCAGTCTGTGTCTTTTAATTGGAGCATTTAGTCCATTTACATTTAAGGTTAGTATTGTTATGTGTGAATTTGATCCTGTCATTATGAAGTTAGCTGGTTATTTTGCCTGTTAGTTGATATAGTTTCTTCCTAGCCTTGATGGTCTTTATATTTTGGCATGTTTTTGCAGTGGCTGGTACTGATTGTTCCTTTCCACACTTAGTGCTTCCTTCAGGAACTCTTTTAGGGCAGGCCTGGTGGTGACAGAATCTCTCAGCATTTGCTTGTCTGTAAAGGATTTTATTTCTCCTTCACTTATGAAGCTTAGTTTGGCTGGATATGAATTTCTTGGTTGAAAATTCTTTTCTTTAAGAATGTGGAATATTATCCCCTGCTCTCCTCTAGCTTTTAGAGTTTCTGCCAAGAGATCAGCTGTTAGCCTGATGGGCTTCCCTTTGTGGGTAACCCGACCTTTCTTTCTGGCTGCCCTTAACATTTTTTTCTTCATTTCAACTTTGGTGAAACTGACAATTATTTGTCTTGTAGTTGCTCTTCTCAAGGAGTATCTTTGTGGACTTCTCTGTATTTCCTGAACTTGAATGTTGGCCTACTTTGCTAGATTGGGGAAGTTCTCCTGGAAAATATCCTGCAGAGTGTTTTCCAACTTGGTTCCATTCTCCCCATCACTTTCAGGTACACCAATTAGACATAGATTTGGTCTTTATACATAGTCCCATATTTCTTGGAGGCTTTGTTTGTTTCTTTTTATTCTTTTTTCTCTAAACTTCTCTTCATGCTTCATTTCATTCATTTCATCTTCCATCACTATACCCTTTCTTCCAGTTGATTTCATCAGGTACTGAGGCTTAGGCATTTGTCATGTAGTTCTCGTGCTGCAGTTTTCACCTCCGTCAGGTCCTTTAAGGACTTCTCTGCATTGGTTATTCTAGTTACGGAATTGTCTGTTTTTTTTCAAAATGTTTAACTTCTTTGCCATTGGTTCACACTTCCTCCTTTAGCTCAGAGTGGTTTGATCTTCTGAAGCCTTCCTCTCTCAACTCTTCAAAGTCATTCTCCATCCAGCTTTGTTCCGTTGCTGGTTAGGAGCTGCTTTCCTTTGGAGGAGGAGAGGCACTCTGATTTTTAGAGTTTCCGGTTTTACTGCTCTGGTTTTTTCCCATCTTTTTGGTTTTATCTACCTTTGGTCTTTGATGATGGTGACGTACAGATGGGTTTTTGGTGTGGATGTCTTTTATGTTTGTTAGTTTTCCTTCTAACAGTCAGTACCCTCAGCTGCAGATCTATTGGAGTTTACTGGAGGTCCACTCCAGACCCTGTTTGTCTGGGTATCAGCAGCAGTGGCTGCAGAACAGCGGATATTGGTGAGCCACAAATACTGCTGCCTGATCGTTCCTCTGGAAGTTTTGTCTCAGAGAAGTACCCGGCCGTGTGAGATGTCAGTCTGCCCCTAGTAGGTGGTGCCTCCCAGTTAGCTACTGGGGAGTCAGAGACCCATTTGAGGAGGCAGTCTGCCTGTTCTCGAATCTCAAGCTGTGTGCTGGGAGAACCGCTACTCTCTTCAAAGCTGTCAGACAGGGACCTTTAAGTCTGCAGAGGTTATTGCTGTCTTTTGTTTGTCTGTGCCCTACTCCCAGAGGTGGAGCCTACAGAGGCAGGCAGACCTCCTTGAACTGTGGTGGGCTCCACCCAGTTCAAGCTTCCTGGCCACTTTGTTTACCTACTCAAGCCTGAGCAATGGCAGGTGCCCCTCCCCCAGCCTTGCTGCTGCCTTACAGTTTGATCTCAGGCTGCTGTGCTAGCAGTGAGTGAGGCTCCGTGGGCATAGGACCCTCCAGGCCATGTGTGGGATATAATCTCCTGGTGTGCCGTTTGTTAAGTCTGTTGGAAAAGCACAGTATTAGGGTGGGAGTGACCCAATTTTCCAGGTGCCGTCTGTCACCCCTTTCTTTGACTAGGAAAGGGAATTCCCTGACCCCTTGCACTTCCCGGGTGAGGTGATGCCTCACCCTGTTTTGGCTCACACACGGTGCACGGCACCCACTGTCCTGCACCCACTGTCCAGCACTCCCCAGTGAGATGAACCCAGTACCTCAGTTGGAAATGCAGAAATCACCCATCTTATGCAACGCTCATGCTGGGAGCTGTAGACTGGAGCTGTTCTTATTCTGCCATCTTGGCTCCCTGCCTGTTACTTCTCTTTCAAGTTTTTTGAAAGCTTTTATTATGAAGGTATCTTGAATTTTATTAAATGCTTTTTCAACATCAATTGAAATAATAATATCATTTTAATTCTTTATCCTGTTGACATGACGTATCACATTGATTGATGTGCATATGTTGAACCACCCTTGCGTCACAGGAATAAATCAAACTTGGTCCCAGTGGGTGATCTTTGTGATGTATGGTTGAATTTTGTTTGCTAGTATTTTGCTGAGGATTTCTGCATCAATATTCTTCAGAGACATTGGCCTGTAGTTCTTTTTTGTAATATGTCTTTCATTTTCTTATCAGGTTAATCCTGAAGTGATAGAATGAGTTTGGAAGCATTCCCTTTTCCTCTATTTTTCAGAATACTTTCAGTAGAATTGGTGTTAGTTCATCTTTAAGTGTTTGGTAGAATCAGCAATGAAGCCATCAGGTCCCAGGCTTTTCTTTACTGGGAAACTTATTACAGCTTCAATCCCATTACTTGTTATTGGCATGTTCAGATTTTGGATTTATTCTTGGTTCAAACTTGGTAGGTTGTATGTATCTAGAAATTTATCCATTATTCTTGATTTTGTAATTCTTTGTCATATAGATACTCATAGTAGCTTAGCCACTAAATATCTTTTAAATTTCTCTAATATTAGTTGTTATGTCTCCTTTTTCATTTCTGATATTATTTATTTGAATCTCCTCTCTTTTTTCTTAGTCTGGCTATAGCTTTGTCAATTTTGTTTAACCTATTAAAAAACCACTTATTGTTTCATTGCTCTTTGTGTTTTTTTTTAAATTTCAATTTCTTTTATTTCAGCTCTGATTTTTATTATTTCCTTTTTTCTACTATTTTTGGGTTTGGTTTGGTCTTGCCTTTCCAATTCTTTAAGATGCATCATTAGGTTGTTCATTTGCAGTTTTTCCCCTTTTTTGATGTAGACAGTTATAGCTATAACCTTCCCTCATAGTACTGCTTTTGTGGTATCCCATAGGTCTGGGTACACTGTGTTTCCATTATTATTTGTTTCGAGAAATTTTTCAAAGTTCTTATAAATTTCTGCATTGACTTACTGGTCATTTAATAACATATTATATAGTTTCCGTGTATTTGTATAGTTTCCAAAATTCCTCTTGCTATTCATTTCTAGTTTTTTTTTCCATTGTAGTCATATAAGGTGCTTGATATTATTTCAATTTTTTGAATATTTTAATTATTAATTTTTAACTAATATATGTTCTATGCTTGAGAATAATTCATGTTCTGAGAAAAAAACACATGTATTTTGCAGTTCTTAGATAAAATGTTCAAAAAACGTTTATTAGATTAATTTAGTCCATAGTGCAGATTAAGTCTGATGTTTCTTTTTTGACTTACTGTCTAGAAGATCTGTCCAATGTTGAAAATGAATTGTTGAAGTGTCAGCTTTTGGTGTATTGGGTTTATCTCTAACAGAATTTCCTTTTTACATATGGGTGCTCCAGTGTTGGGTGCATATATATTTAAAATTACTGGGGGGAGTGGCCAAAGTGGCTGACTAGAAGCAGCTAAGGTGAGTGACTCTAACAGAGAGGAATGAAAGAGGAGAGTAAATACAGCACCTTCAACTGAAACATCCACATACTCACATTGGGAATAATCAAAGAAACAACTCAACCTGGTGAGAATGGAGAAAAAGCAAGGAAGGATGACAGCCTGCCTGGAAGCAGCAAGGAGCCAAGAGACTCTCCCACGCCCAGGGAAGCAGTGAGTAAATGTGTGCTCTCCAGAACCTATGCTTCTCCCATGAATGTTTGAAATCCTTGGGTCAGGCGGTCCCCTTGTGAACCTACTCCATCAGGGCCTTCAGCCTGACACTCAGAGCTATGTGGAGTCTTAGCAGAGAAGCCACTCAGGCACATGTGGAGATGTGGAAGCATCAGATACTCTGGTTCTGGGCTTCCCAGCATAACTAATGGCAACTCTGGCAAAGCAAGAGATTAGACCTCTCTTCATACCCCTATGACAGAGGCTGAACACAGGTGGCTAAGCCACAGTCTCTTGGCCCCACCTCCACAGCACCACTTAGGATATGACCCACTTGCTTGAAATTCCAGCCAGCCACTGGCAGCAGTGTTGTGCCTACCTGGGATAGAGAATCTAGGAGGAGAGGCAGGCCATCATCTTTGCTGTTTGGGAAACTCAGGTGGATGTTGGAGAGTTCAAACTGACCAGTGGTGGAATGGATTCCCCAGCAGAGCACAGCTGCTCTACCAAATCGTGGCCAGATTGTTTCTTAAAGTGGGTCCCCCATCTTTTCCTCCTTATAGGGTGGGACCTTCTAGCCTGGTCCTCCAGCCTCCCTGACCAGTGTTCTCTGGCCAACAGAGATTTGAATTCTCCCTGAGACAGAGCTCCCAAAGAGAGAAGTTAACAGCCAATATTTGTTGTCTGGGTGACTTAGTCATTTTAGTTTGTGGGCTTTGGAGAGTCTAGGCCAAATCGGGTAGAAGCAGTACCCCAGCACATTAAGTGGCTCCACAGAAACATGGCCAGACTGCTTGTTTAAGTGGGACCACAATTGCATTCCTATTCACTGAGCAGACACTTGCATCTCAGATCTCCAGCCACCTCCTACAGGTGTGTGCAGGCTGGCCACAAGTCCATGCCTCCCTAGGATGGAACTCTCATAGGAAGATGCAGGTTGCAGTCTTTGATGTTTCACAGCCTTCACTGGTGATATATCTAGGTACTGAAAAATCCAAGGTGACTAGGAACTGGTGCAGACACCCAGCAAAGCATAGCAGCCCTACAAAAACATGGCCAGACTAGTTAAAAAAATTTAAAGTTCACCAACCCCAAGAATTGAAGGTAGACAAGCCCACAAAACAAGAAAGAATCAGTGCAAGAACACTGAAAACTCAAATAGCCGGAGTTCCCTCTTTTCTCCAAATAACCACATCACCTCTCCAGCAAGAGTGTGGAAGAAGGTTGAGGCTGAGATAGCTGAAATGATAGAAGTAGAATTCAGAATATGGATAGGAATGAACATTACTGACCTAAAGGAGTGCATTGTAACCCAATGCAAGGGAGCTAAAAGTTATAATAAAACATTGCAGGAGCTGACAGACAAAATAGCCAGTATAAAGAAGAATGTAATGAACCAGAGAGAGCTGAAAAACACACTACGAGAATTCATAATGCAAACACAAGTATTAATAGCAGAATAGACCAAGTGGAGAAAACAATTTCAGAGCTCAAAAACTGGATTTCTGAAATAAGACAGGTGGATAAGAATAGAGAAAAAGAATAAAAAGCAATAAACAAGCTCTTTGAGAAATGCAAGATTATGTAAAGAGACCAAATCTAAAAGTGATTGGTGTACCTCAAAGAGGTAGGGAGAATGGAACCAAATTGAAAAACATATTTCAGGATATCATCCATAAGAAACTTCCCAACCTAGCGAGAGGTGCCAAGATTCACATTCAGGAAATTTAGAGAAAATCAGTAAGATAATTCACAAGAGGATCATCTCCAAAACACATAATCATGAGATTCTCCAAGGTCAAAATGAAAGAAAAAATGTTAAAGGCAGCCAGAGAGAGAGGATGGGTCACCTACAAACAGAAGCCCATTAGACTAACAGTGGACTTCTCAGCAGAAACCCTACAAGCCAGAAGAGATTGGGGGCCAATATTCAACATACTTAAGAAATTCCAACCCAGAAAATCATATCCAGTCAAACTAAGCTTCATACGTAAAGGAGAAATAAGATCCTTTTCAGACAAAAAAAAAAAAAAAAAAATGCAGAAATTTGGTACCACTAGAACTGCCTTACAAGAGCTTCAGAAGGAAGCACTAAATATGGAAAGAACATTATCAGCCACTACAAAAACACACTGAAGTACAGACCGGTGACTCTATAAAGCAATGACATAAGCAAGTCTGCAAAATAACCAGCTAACATCATGATGACATGATCAAATCCACACATATCAATAATAACCTCAAACATAAATGGGCTAAATGCACCAATTAAAAGACACAGGGTGGCAAGGTGGATAAAGAATAAAAAACAAATGGTATGCTGTCTTCAAGAGAACCATTTCACTTGCAATGACACACATAGGCTTAAAATAAAGGTAAAGAGAAAAATCTACCAAGCAAACGGGAAAGAGCAAAAAACAGAAGTTGCAATCTCAATTGCTGACAAAACAGACTTTAAACCAACAACGTTTTAAAAAAGACAAAGAAGTGCATTACATAATGGTAAAGCCCTCAATTAAACGAGACAATCTTACTATCCTAAATATATACACACCCAACAAATGAGCACCCAGATTCACAAAGCAAGTTTTTGGAGACCTTCAGAGAGACTTAGACTCCCACCCAATAATATTGGGAGACTTTAACACCCCACTGACAATATTAAATATGTCACTGAGACAGAAAATTAATGAAACATTCAGGACATAAACTCAGTACTGAGTCAGGTGGACCTGATAGATATCTACAGAACTCTCCACCCTAAACCAACAGAATATACACACTTCTTATCACCATATGACATGTACACTAAAATTGATCACATAATCAGGAGTAAAACACTCCCTATCAAATGCAAAATAACTAAAATTATAACAAACACTATTTTGGATATCAGCACAATCAAATTAGAAATCAAGACTAAGAAATTCCCTCAAAATCATACAATTATATGGAAATTGCATAATCTGCTCATGTATGACATTTGGGTAAATAATGAAATTAAAGCAGAAATGAAGAAGTTATTTGAAACTAATGAGAGCAAAGATACAATATACTAGAATCTCTGGGACACAGGTAATGCAGTATTAAGAGGAAAATTTATAGCATTAAATACCCACATCAAAAAGTTAGAAATATCTCAAGTTAACAACCTATCATCACAACTAAAAGAACTAAAGAATCAAGAAATCAAATCTCAAAGCCAGCAGAAGACAAAGAAATAACCAAAATCAGAGCTGAACTGAAGGAGACAGAGATGTGAAGAAACAACCAAAAGATCAATAAATTCAGGAGCTATTCTGTGAATAAATTAATAAAATACATCATTAGCTAGACCAATGAAAATGAAAAGAGAAAAGATTCAAGTAAATGCAATCAGAAATGCTAAGGCAGATGTTACAACTGACCCCACAGAAATACAAACAACCATCAGAAAATATTAAGAACACCTCTATGCATGTAAACTAGAAAATATAGAAGAAATGGATAAATTCCTGGACACATACACCCTCCCAAGAATGAATCAGGAAGAAATGGAATTCCTGAACACACAAATAATTAGTTCTTAAATAGAGGTGGTAATAAATAGCCTATGAACCAAGAAAATGCCCAGAACCATAGGGATTTATAGATGAATTATTCCAGATGTACAAAGAAGAGCTGGTACCATTTCTATTTAAACTATTCCAAAAAAACTGAGGAGAAAGGATTTCTTCCAAGCTCATTCCATGAGGCCAGCATCACCGTGACACCAAAACCTGGCAGCAGTACAACAAAAATAGAAAACTTCAGGCCAATATCCTTGATGAGCATCAATGCAAAACTCCTCAACAAAATACTGGCAAAACAAATCCAGCAGCACATCAAAAAGCTTATCCACCATGATCAAGTAGGCTTTATTCCTGGGATGCAAGGTTGGTTAACCTTATGCAAATCAATCAATGTGATTCATCACATAAACCGAACTAAAGACAAAAACCACATGATTATCTCAATAGATATATAAAAGGTTTTTGAAAATTTTCAACATCCATTCATGTTAAAAACTCCCAATAAACTAGGTATTGAAGAAACATGCCTCAAAATAATAAGAGCCATCTATTACAGACCCACAATCAATGTTATAATGAATGGGAAAAACTAGAAGCATTCCCCTTAAAAAGTGGCACAAGACAAGGATGTCCTCTCTAACCACTTCTATTCAAAATCCTATTGGAATTTCTGGCCAGGGCAATCAGGCGAGAGAAAGAAGCAAAGACATTCAAATAGAAAGAAAGGAAGTTAAACTATCCCTGTTTGCAGATGACATGATCCTATATCAAGTAAATTTCATAAACTCAGCCAAAAAGCTTCTTAAGCTGATAAAAAACTTCAGAAAAGTCTTACAATAGAAAATCAATGTGGAAAATTTCTAGCATTCCTATACAACAACAATAGTCAAGCCAAGGGCCAAATCAGGAATAAACTCCTATTAACAATTGCTACAATAGGAATAAACTACCTGGGAATACAGGGAACTAGAGAGGTGAAAGATCTCTACAAGGACAACTACAAATCACTATTCAAAGAAATCAGAGATGACACAAACAAATGGAAAGACATTGCATGTCAATGGATAGGAAGAATCAATATTAAAATTACCTTACTTGTCAAATCAATATATAGATTTGGTGCTATTCCCAATTAAACTACCATTGAAATTCATCACAGAACTAGAAAAAAGATTTAAAAATGTATATGGAACCAAAAAAGAGCTCAAATAGCCAAAAATAACAAATCTGGAGGCATCACGCTACCTGACTTCAAACTATACTACTGGGCTACAGTAAACAAAGCAGCATCGTGCTGGTAAAAAATAGACACATAGACCAATGAAACAGAATAGGGAACCCAGAAATAAGACTGCATATCTACAAGTATCTGGACTTCAACAAATCTGACAAAAACAAGCGATGGGGAATGGAATTCCTATTCAATAAGTGATGCTGGGATAACTAGCTAACCATAAGCAGAAGATTGAAACTGGACCCCTTCCTTACACCATATACAAAAATTAGCTCAGTGTGGATTACACACTTAAATGTAAAACCCAAAACTATAAAAACTCTGCAGACAACTAGGGAATATTATTCATGACATATGCATGGGCAAACATTTTATGACAAAGACACAAAAAGCAATGGCAACAAAAGCAAAAATTGACAAATGGAGTCTAATTAAACTAAAGAGCTTCTGCACAGAAAAGGAAACTATCAACAGAGTAAGCAGATAACCTACAGAATGAAAGAAAATTTTTGCAAGCTATGCATCTAACAAAGGTCTAATATACAGCATCCAAAAGGAACTTTAACAAATTTACAAGAAAAAAAACTAACCCAATTAAAAGTGGGCAAAAGACATAAAGACACTTTTCAAAAGAAGACATACAAATGGCCAAGAATTATATGTTAAAAAGCTCAACACCACTGATCATTAGAGAAGTGTAAATCAAAACCACAATGAGATACCATCTCATACCAGTAAGAATGGCTACTATTAAATAAAAAAATGACAGATGCTGGCAAAGTTGAGGAGAAAAAGGAATGCTTATACACTGTTGGTGTGAGCGTAAATTATTTCCACCATTGTGGAAGACAGGGAGGATATTTCTCAAAGACTCAAACACAGAAATATTATTTGACCCAGAAATCCCATTACTAGGTATATAACCAAAGGAATATAAATTATTCTATTGCAAAGACACAAGCATATGTATGTTCATTGCAGCACCATGCACAATAGCAAAGACATGGAATCAACCTAATTGCCCATCAATTATAGAATGGATAAAAATTGGTAGATATTTACCATGGAATACTATGGAACCATAACAAAGAATGAGATTATGTCCTTTGTAGGGACATGGATGGAGCTGGAAGCCTTTATCCTTGGCAAACAAAAACAGGAACAGAAAACCAATTACTGCATGTTCTCACTTACAAGTGCAAGCTAAATTATGAGAACACATGGACACATAGAGGGGAACAACAGACACAGGCTTTTCAGAGGGTGGAGGGTGGGAGGACAGAGAGAATCAAGAAAAACAACTAATGGTTACTAGGCTTAATAGCTGGGTGAAACCAACCAACTATCTCTTGCCTTCAGGAGACTCACCTAACACATAAGGACTCACATAAACTTAAAGTAAAGGGATGGAAAAAGACATTTCATGCAAATGGACACCAAAAGTGAGCAGGGTTTGCTGCGCTTATATCAGAAAAAACAAACTTTGGAGCAACAGCAACTAAAAGAGACAAGGAAGGACATTACATAATGGTAAAAAGCCTTGTTGAACAGGAAAATATCACAATCCTAAACGTATATGCACCTAACACTGGAGCTCCCAAATTTATAAAACAATTACTAATAGACCTAAGGAATGAGATAGACAGCAACACAATAATAGTGGAGGAATTCAATGCTCCTCTGACATCACTAGACAGATCATTGTGACAGAAAGTCAACAAAGAAACAACAGGTGTAAAGTATACCCTGGAACAAATGAACTTAAAAGGTGTATACAGAACTTTTCATCCAAAAACTGCAGAATGCACATTCTATTAAATATCACATGGAACTTTCTCCAAGGTGGACCATATGACAGGTCATAAAATGAGCCTCAATAAATTTAAGAGAATTTAAATTGTATCAAGCACTCTCTCAGACCACCATGGTATAAAGCTGGAAGTCAACTAGAAAAAGAACCTTAAAAACCATGCAAATACATGGAAATTAAATAACCTGCTCCTGAATGAGCTTTGGGTGAAAAACGAAATCAAGATGGAAATTAAACATTTCTTTGAACTGAATGACAATAATGACACAATCTACCAAAACCTCTGGGATACAGCAAAGGCAGTTCTAAGAGGAAAGTTCACAGCCCTAAACATCTACATCAGAAAGTCTGAATGATCACAAACTGATATTCTAAGGTCACACCTCAAGTATCTAGAGAAACAAGAACAAGCCAAACCCAAACCCAGGAGAAGAAAGGAAATACCCAAGATCAGAGCAGAAATAAATAAAATTGAAACAAAGAAACAAACAAAAAATACAAAAGATAAATGTGATAAAAAGCTGGTTCTTTGAAAAGGTAAATAAAATTTATAGACCCTTAGCAAGATTAACCAAGAAAAGAAGAGAGAAAATCCAAATAACCTCACTGAGAAACAAAAAAGGAGATATTACAACTGACGCCACTGAAATACAAAAGATCATTCAAGGCTACTATGAACACCTTTATGCATATAAACTAGAAAATCTAGAAGAGATAGATAAATTCATGGAAAAATACAACCCTCCTAGCTTAAATCAGGAAGAATTAGATATCCTGAACAGACCAATAACAAGCAGTGAGATTAAAACGGTAATTACAAAATTATCAACAGAAAAAGAAGTTGAAGACCAGATGAATTCATAGCTGAATTCTACCGGACATTCAAAGAACTGGTACCAAACTTTTTGACACTATTACACAAGATAGAGAAACAAGGAACTATCCCTAATTCATTCTATGAAGCCAGCATCACCCTAACACCAAAACCAGGAAAGGACATAACCAAAAAAGAAAACTACAGACAGATATCCTTGATGAACATAGATACTAAAATCCTTAACAAAATACTAGCTAACCGAATCCGACAACATATCAAAAAGATAATCCATGATCAAGTGGGCTTCATACCAGGCATGCAGGGATGGTTTAACACATGCAAGTCAATAAATGTGATACACCACATAAACAGAATTAAAAACAAAATTCACATGATTATCTCATAAGATGAAGAAAAAGCATTTGACAAAATTCAACATCTCTTTATGATTAAGACTCTCAGCAAAATTGGCATATAAGGGACATATCTCAATGTAGTAAATGTCATCTTTGACAAACCCACAGCCAAGATAATACTGAATGGGAAAATGTAGAAAGCATTCCCTCTGAGAACTGGAACAAAAAAAGGATGTCCATTCTCACCACTCAACTTCAACATAATACTGGAAGTCTTAGCCAGAGTAATCTGAGAATAGAAAAAAATAAAGGGCATTCAAATTGGTAAATAGAAGTCAAATTGTCACTGTTTATTGATAATATGATTGTTTACCTTGAAAATCCTAAAGACTCCTTCAGAAAGCTCCTAGAACTGATAAAAGAATTCAGCAAACTTTTCAGATACAAGGTTCATGTACACAAATCAGTAGCTCTTCTATACACCAACAGTGACCAAGTGGAGAATCAAATCAAAAACTCAACCCCTTTCACCATAGCAGCAAAAAAAAAAAAAAAGGAAAGAAAAAGAAAAGAAAAGAAAACTTAAGATTATACCTAACCAAGGAATCAAAAGAACTCTACAAGGAAAACTACAAAACACTGCAGAAAGAAATCATAGATGACACAAACAAATAGAAACACATCCCATGCTCATGGATGGGTAGAATCAATATTGTGAAAATGACCATACTACCAAAAGCAATCTGCAAATTTAATGTAATCCCCATAAAAATACCACCCATTATTCTTCACATAATTAGAAAAAAAAACAATACCAAACTTCGTATGGAACCAAAAAAGAGTCCACATAGCCAAAGGAAGACTAAGCAAAAATGGAACAAATCTGGAGGCATCAAACTACCTGAATTTAAACTATACTATAAAGCCATAGTCACAAAAACAGCATGGTACTTGTATAAAAATAGGCACATAGAACAATGGAACAGAATAGAGAACCCAGAAATTAACCCAAATATTTACAGCCAACTGATCTCTGAGAAATCAAACAAAAAACATAAAGTGGGGAAAGGACACCCTTTTCAACATAATGCTGAGATAATTGGCTAGTTACATGTAGGAGAATGAAATTGCATCATCATCTCTCAACTTATATAAAACTCAACTCAAGACGGATTAAGGACTTAAACCTAAGACCTGAAACTATAAAAATTCTAAAAGATAACATTGCAAAAACCCTTCTAGACATTGGCTTAGGTGAGAATTTCATGACCAAACACCCAAAAGCAAATGCAACAGAAAACAAACAAAAACCATAAATAGCTGGGACCTAATTAAATAAAAGAGCTTTCTCACAACAAAACGAACAGTCAGCAGACTAAACAGGAAACCCACAGAGGGGGAAAAAGTTTTCACAAGCTATACTTCTGACAAAGGACTAATATCCAAAATCTACAATGAACTTAAAAAAATTCATAAGAAAAACAAACAATCCCATCAAAAAGTGGGCTAAGAACCTGAACAGACAATTCTCAAAAAAAATTACAATAGCCAATAAGCATATGAAAAAATGCTCAACATCACTAATGATCAAGGAAATGCAAATAAAAAATGCAATGCAATACCACCTTACTCCCAGAAGAATGCCCATAATCAAAAAATTATAAAACAGTAGATGCCAGTGTGGATGTGGTGATCAGAGAACACTTCTACAAGTGGTGGGAATATAAGCTAGTACAGCCACTATGGAAAACAGTAAACAGTGTGGAGATTCCTTAAAGAACTAAAAATAGAACTACCATATGATCCAGCAATCCCACTATTGAGTATCTACCCAGAGGAAAAGAGGCCATTATACAAACAAGATACTTGCACACACATGATTATAGCAGCCCAGTTCACAATTGCAAAATAGTGGAACCAAACCAAATGCCCATCAATCAATGAGTGAATAAAGAAACTGTGGTATATATACGTGATTGAATACTGCTTAGCCATAAAATGTAATGAACTGACAGCATTTGCAGTGACCTGGATGAGATTGGAGATAATTATTTTAAGTGAAGTAACTCAGGAATGGAAAACCACAAATCACATGTTCTCACTGATATGTGGAAGCTAAGCTATTAGAATGCAAAGGCATAAGAATAATACAATGGACTTCAGGGACTTGGGGAGAAGTGTGGGGGTGGGAGCAAGGTATAAAATACTACAAATATGGTGCAGTGTATACTGCTCTGGTGATGGGTGCACTAAAATCTGACAAATAACTACTAAAGAACTTACTCATGTAACAAAACACCACATGTATCCCCAATAACTTATGGAAAAGCAATTTTAAAAAGGGAAAAATATACCTGGATGAAAAAAATAATCTATACAAAAAAAAAACCCATGACACAAGTTTACATACGTAACAAACCTGCACTTGTACCCCTGAACTTAAAAAAGTTGTTAAATAGAAATTATAATGACATTGTTATATTCTCTTGCTAAATTCACTTCTTTATCATTATAGAGTGAACTTCTTTGTGTCTACTTATAGACTTCGTTTGAAATCTATTTAGTCTGACATAAATATAGTGGCTTCTGCTCTGTTTTGTTTCTCATTGGTATGGAATATCTTTTCATCTCTTTATTTTCAGTCTATGCATGCATTTATAAGTAAGGTGCATTTCTTGCAAGCAACTAATCAACGGGTCTTGTTTTTTCACCCTTTCAGCCAGTCTATGTGTTTTGATTGGAGAGTTTAATTGATTTACATTCAATGCTATTATGGATAAGTAAGGCCTTACTCTTGCCATTCTATTTTTTGTTTTCTGGTCTTCACTTGCTTCTTGTTTTCCCTATCTTTCTCTAGTTAAGCAAATTTTCTCTGGTAATATGATTTAATTTATTACTTTTTATTTTTTTGTGTATTGATTGTGTATTTTTTTGGTTCAAAATTACCATGTGACTTGCAAATACTATTCTATGACTCATTTTTTAAACCTGATAACACCACTATTTGCATAAACAACAAAAAAGCAAAAAAATAAATAAATACTCTTGTCTTAAGTTCATCCTCCTGCTTTTTAATTTTTTGTTGTTTGTATTTATATCTTTATGTAATAACTATGTCTTGAAAAGTTGTTCTACTTATTATTTTTTATTTGTTCATTGTTTATTCTTTCTACTTAAGAGTAGTTTACACACCACAGTTACAGTGTTTTAATATTCTGTGATTTTCTTTGTACTTACTATTATCAGTGAGTTTTGTACCTTCAGATGATTATGTCTTTTTCTTTCTTATCAAAGTAGGCTCTTTAGCATTTTATGTAGGACAGCTCTGGTATTGAGGAAATCTCTTAGCTTTTGTTTGTCTGTGAAAGCTTTTATTTCTCCTTCAAGTTTGAATAATATTTTCACTGGATATAGTATTCCATGGTAAAGTTTTTTTTTTCCTTTAGAACTTTAAGTATGTCATGCCACTATCACCTGGTCCTTAAGGTTTCCACTGAAAAGTCTACTTCCAGACATACCGAAGCTTTATTGCATGCTGTTTATTTTCTTTTTTCTTTTCTTTTCTTTTATTTTTTCTGCTTTATTTCTGCTTTTAGGATCCCTTTTTGTCTTTGGCCTCTGGGAGTTTGATTATTCAATGCCTGGAAGTAGTCTTCTTTGGGTTAAATCTGCTTGGTGTTCTATGACCTTCTCATACTTGAATGTTGATATATTTATCAATAGGTTTGGAAAGTTCTGTGTTATTCCTAGGTTTGGGAAGTTCTCTGTTATTATCAAACTGAATAAGCATTCTACCACATTACTTTCTCTACCTCCTCTTTAAGGTCAATAACTTAGATTTGCTCTTTTGATGCTATTTTCTAGATTCTGTAGGCAAGATTCATTTTTAAAAAATTATTTTTTCTTGTCTCGCAACTGTGTGTTTTCAAATAGCTTGTCTTCAAGCTCGCTAATTCTTTCTTTTGCTTGATCTATTCTGCTATTAAAGTACTCTGATGAATTCTTCAGTATGCCAATTGCATTTTTCACTCCACAATTTTTACTTGATTCTTCTGAATAAATTCAATCCTTGTTCAATTTATCAGATATAATTCTTAATTCCTTTTCTGTGTTATCTTGAATTTCTTTGAGTTTCCTCAACACAGCTATTTTGAATTCTCTATCTGAAAGGTCACCTATATTTCTTTGTCCATGATTGGTCCCTGGTGCCTTATTTAGTTTCTTTGGTGAGGTCATATTTTCCTGGATGGTGTTGATGCTAGTTGATGTTCTTCAGCATCTGGGCATTGAGGAGTTATTTATTGTAGTCTTCACTGTCTGGGTTTATTTGTAGCCATCCTTCTATGGAAGGCTTTCCAGATATTTGAAAGACTCGAATACTGTGATCTACACTTTATCTCCTTTAGGGAGCATGTTAAGCCCAGTAACACTGTGGTTCTTGCAGACTCATAGAGGTACCACCTTGATGGTCTTCTACAAGGTCCAGGAGATTTATCTGCATTACCATGCAGATACTCTTGTTCTTATCCTTTACTTTTTTTCAAACATACAGAGTCTCCATCTCTGTTATAAGCCACCTAAATAAAGCTGGGGGTGGTGTGACACAAGCACCTCTGTGGCCACACCACTAGGTCTGCATCGTGTCACACCTGAAGCCAGCACAACACTGAGTCCAACCCCAAACCTGCTGTAACCACTCTCTGGCTGCTTTCTTTGCTCACCCAAGGACTTGGGACTCTACAGTCAGCAGGTAGCAAAGCCAGGAAGGCCTGTGACCTTACCTTCAGGGCAGCAAGTTCCCCCAGTCCCCAGGTGGGTCCAGAAGTGCTGTCTGGGAGTCATGGACTAGAGCCAAACCTTAGAAGTCTAATGGAATTATTTCAAAAGAACACAGGAGTCAAGTTTAAGGAGTTTCACTAGCCAAATATTGGACAATTTTATCATAAAAAGAATATCAGTGGAAGTGTATATAACACCTTAATTTTTTTGAAATCCATGAGTTCATATTGCTAACCTAAAAAAGGTGGAAAAGGGAGAGGAAGGTTAATTTTTTAAAAATATGTGTATGTGGTGGTAGAGTACTCTTCTTTACAAAGAATGTTCACTAAGAAATATTGAGGGCATAAAAAAATCACCATTCTGCCACCTCCAGTGTATGATTAATTTAGTCATTCATTATCATCAATAGATACTAAAACTGGCAAGCAAAACATTATTGACAAACAAGATATTCACACAATGTGATAATGATATTGTGGCTATATAAGGCATGTCTTTATTCGTAAGAGGTGTATGTTGAATTATTTAGGTATAACATGTTGTGATGCAACTTATTTTCAAATGGTTTGTCAAAAAATTAAATATGAACATAATTCATGCAAATTTGTAAATTACATAAATATGTGTATATATGTGTATATATAAAAACATATATGTGTGTGTGTGTATATAAGTAGAGAGAGAGAGAGGAAGAGCAGAGAAAGCACAAAATGGCTACAATGTTAGCCATTGGTGAGTCTGAGAATATGCGCAAAGAGATAGAGGTGTTCAGATATTCACTCAGTGTCTTTAAACTTTTCTTCACATTGAAAATTTCAGAATAAAAATTAGAAAAAATAGGTATTTGAAATTTTGAACCAAAAATGTATTAAAACAATTCTGTTACCCAGAACACATCTTAGTGTTTTTATAAATTATATGAAATAGGGCTTGCTGCTTAAATATAAACTTTGCAGGTAGCAAACAGCCAACTTACGAGGATATATGTCAGTGAGCTCTCTCCTTCAGGATGATAATTGAAAAAAAAATTAAAAAACAGCACATTACCTCCCTTGCACACCACCATCCTATTCTTGTGTGAAATAAAGGAGCAGCTACATTGAGAATATTATGTGCAGTCTAAGAAATAATCCTAAATCCCACCAACAGCATAAAAGTGTTCCTATTTCTCCACATCCTCTCCAGCACCTGTTGTTTCCTGACTTTTTAATGATTGCCATTCTAACTGGTGTGAGATGGTATCTCATTGTGGTTTTGATTTGGATTTCTCTGATGGCCAGTGATGGTGAGCATGACTGTAAACTAGTTCAACCCTTGTGGATGTCAGTGTGGTGATTCCTCAGGGATCTAGAACTAGAAATGCCATTTGACCCAGCCATCCCATTATTGGGTATATACCCAAAGGACTATAAATCATGCTGCTATAAAGACACATGCACTCATATGTTTATTGCAGCACTCTTCACAATAGCAAAGACTTGGAACCAACCCAAATGTCCAACAATGATAGACTGGATTAAGAAAAGGTGGCACATATACACCATGGAATACTATGCAGCCATAAAAAATGATGAGTTCATGTCCTTTGTAGGGACATGGATGAAATTGGAAATCATCATTCTCAGTAAACTATCGCAAGAACAAAAAACCAAACACCGCATATTCTCACTCATAGGTGGGAATTGAACAATGAGAACACATGGACACAGGAAGGGGAACATCACACTCTGGGGACTGCTGTGGAGTGGGGGGAGGGGGGAGAGATAGCTTTAGGAGATATACCTAATGCTAAATGACGAGTTGATGGGTGCAGCACACCAGCATGGCACATGTATACATATGTAACTAACCTGCACATTGTGCACATGTACCCTAAAACTTAAAGTATAATAATAATAAAATTAAAAAAATACAAATGAAGAGAAAAAGGTAAAAAAAGAAAGAAATAATCCTAAATCATACATTCTTTTTAATTTTTTTAAAATTATACTTTAAGTTCTTGGATACATGTGCAGAATGTGCAGGTTTGTTACATAGGTATACACGTGCCATGGTGGTTGGTTAAACCCATTTACCCGTCATCTACATTAGGCATTTCTCCTAATGCTACCCCTCCCCTATGCCCCACCCCACCAACAGGCCCCGGTGTGTGATGTTTCCCTCCCTGGGTCCAGGTGTTCTCATTGTTTGACTCCCAATTATGAGTGAAAACATGTGGTGTTTGGTTTTCTATTCTTGTGTTAGTTTGCTGAGAATTATGGTTTCCAGCTTCATTCATGTGCCTGAAAAGGACATAAACTCATTCTTTTTTATGGCTGCATAGTCTTCCATGGTGTATATGTGCTAAAATTTATTTATCCAATCTATCATTGGTGGGCATTTGAGTTGATTCCAAGTCTTTGCTATTGTGAACACTGCTGCAATAAACATAATTGTGCAAGTGTCTTTATAGTAGAATGATTTATAAATCATATATTCTTTTTTATAATTAAATGTATCAATACATAAGGCATTTAGAGCAGTCTGTGTCATACAATAAAACTTTAATAAATGCTAAAGTTATTAATTGTATTGATACATCTATACATATTGTGGTCCATATGTGATATTCTGATACATGCATTTAATCTGTAATGATCAAATCAAGGTGTTTAGGATATTCATGACCTCAAACATTTATCATTTTATATATTGGAAACATTTTAATCCTCTTTTCTAGTTATTTTGAAATATAAAATACATTGTTGACTATATTCACTCAACTCTGCTATCAAACACCAGATATTATTTATTCTATCTAACTGTATGTTGGCAGCCATTAATCAACCTCTCTCATCCTTCACCACACTTCCCATTCTCTGCTAACCATCTTTCTATTCTTTACCTTCATGAGAACAACTTTTTTAGCTCCTACAAATGAAGCTGGAAGCCATCATTCTCAGCAAACTAACACAAGAACAGTAGAAGATGTGATATTTCTCTTGCCGTGCTTGGCTTATTTCATTTAACCTGCAGTCTCATCCATTTTGCTGCAAATGACAGGATTTCCTTCATTTTAATAGCTGAATAGCATTTTATCAGGTATGCATAACACATTTTCTTTGTTCATTCATCCATTGATGGACACTTAGGTTGATTTCATATCTTGACTATTGTCAATAGTGCTGAAAACCATGAGGGTGCAAGAATCCCTTTGATACACTAATGTTCTTTCCTTGGGCTAAATACTCATTAGTGAGATTGCTGGATCATGTGGTAACTATATATTTAGTGTTTTACAAACATCTGTGTTGTTTTTTTGTAATGGCTGTACTAACTTGCATTCCTACCAACAGTGTATAATGATTCCTTTTTTTCCTACATCTTCACCAGTATTTGTTGTGTTTTCTCTATTTGATGACAGCCATTCTAACTAGGTGAGATGACATCTCGTTGTGGTATTGATTTGCCTTTTTCTGATGATTAGAGATGTTGAGCATTTTTTAAATATACGAGTTGATCATTTGTATGTCTTTTTGAAAAATTTCCATTCAGGTCTTTTGCCCATTTTTAATGAGATGATGATACTATGATGATGATGATGATGACTGCTGTTGAGTTGCTTGAGTTCCTTGTATATTCTGGATATTAGTCTCTTGTCAGATGAATAGTTTGGAAATATTTTCTCTTATTCCACAGATTATCTCTTCACTTTGTTGATTGTTTATTTTGCAGCATAGAAGCTTTTTAGTTTAATATAGTCCCTTTTGTCTAATTATTTTTTCTATGCTTTGGAAGCCATAAAATTTGTGCCTAGACCAAAGTCCTGAAGCACTTCTCATATGTTTTTTTCCTAGTAGTTTTACAGTTTGGATTTTATGTTTAAGTCTTATTATATTTTAATTGATTTTTATATTGGTGAGAGATAGGCAACCAGTTTTATTCTTCTGCATATGAATATCCAATATTCCCGACACCATTTATTGAAGAAGTTGTCCATTCCGTAATGAGTGTTCTTGGCACCTTTTTCAAAAATGAGTTGACTGTAAATACATGGACTTATTTCTGGTTTCTCTATTCCGTTCCATTGGTTTGAGTGTCTATTTTCAATACTAATACTACACTGGTTTTGTTACTATAGCTTTGTAGTATATTTTGAAGTCAGGCAGTGTGGTGCTTCCAGTTTGGTTCTTTTTGCTGAGGACTGCATTGACTATTTGGGGACCCATACAAATTTGAGGATTTATTTTCTACTTCTGTGAAGAACATCACTGGAATTTTGACAGGGATGGCATTGAATCCACAGATTGCTTTGAGTAGTATGGTCATTTTAACAATATTACTTCTTCTGATCCATGAGCATGGAATATATTTCCATTTGTTTTTTCACTCTTCAATTTCTTTCATCAGTGTTTTCTAGTTAGCATTGAAAAGTCTTTCACCTCCTTTGTTAAATTTATTCCTGAGTAATTTATTTTTTGTAAGCATTATAAATAGGATTGTCTTCCCGATTTCTTTTTCAGCTAGTTCATTGTTAGTGTATAAATACACTGCTGATTTTTGTATGATTATTTTGTATCTGGCAACTTTATTGAATTTGTTTATCATTTCTAATAATTTTGGGGTGGAGTCTACAGGTTACTCTCTATATAAGATCATATTATCTGCACAGAGGGACAATTTGATTTTCTCTTTTCCAATTTAGATACTTTTTATGTCTTTTCCTTGCCTGATCGCTCAGGCTAGAGATTCCAACATTATGTTGAATAACAGTGGTAAATGTGGGCATCCTTCTCTTGTTCCAGTTCTTAGAAGAATGGCTTTCAGCTCTTCCTCATTCAGTATAATGTTAGTTTTGAGTTTGTAATATATGACCTTTATTATGCTGAATTTTGTTCCTTCAATATATGACTTGTTGAGAGTTTTTATCATGAAAGAATGTTGAATATTATCAAATGCTTTTTCTGCATCTGTTAAGATACTCATATAATTTTTGTCCTTAATTCCATTATGTTATATATTAAATTTATTTATTTTCATGTGTTGATCTAGCCTTATATTCTTGAAATAAATACTACTTGCTCCTTGTCTTTGTTGTTTTGATGTGTTTTTGGATTTGGTAGCATTTTCTTGAGGAATTTTGTATCTGTGTTCCTCGGGAATATTGGCCTATAGTTTCTTTTTTGATGTCTATTTGTTTGGTTTTGCTTTCCAGATAATACGGGCCTTATAGAACAAGTTATGGAGAATTTCCTTCTGTTTAAGTTTTTGGACAAGTTTGAAAACAATTGGTGTTAGTTTGTCTTTATAAGTTTGGTGGAATTCAGCATTAAGTCACCTAGTCCTTGGCTGTTCTTCGTTGGGAGAATTTTCATTACTGATTCAATCTTCTTACTCAATATTGATCTGTTCAAGTATTTTTTTTTCTCGTTTAATCTTGGTAGGTTTTATATACCCAGAAGGTTTTATATGCCCAGGAATTTATCTATTTTCTCTAGGTTTTCAAATTTGTTATCTTATAGTTGTTGATAATAGTCTCTAATGATCTTTTGTATTTCTGTGGTGCCAGTTGAAATGTCTCCTTTTTCGTTTCTTATTTTATTTATTTGGGTATTCTCTCTTTTTTCCTTGGTTCATTTAGCTAGCGGTTTATCAATTTTGTTTATAGTTTTAAAATACCAACTTTTTGTTTAAAAGAACCTTCAGAATTTTTTAGTTTTTATTGTGTTTAGTTCTGTTCTGATTTTTATTTTTCTTCGTGTCTACTAATTTTGAGTTTATCTCGTATGTGCTTTCCATTTCCTTGAGGTGCATCATTAGGTTATTTATTTGAAATATTTTTACTTTTTTATGCAAGTGTTTATTGCTATAACCTTATCTCTTAGCACTGCCTTTTCTATGTCCCATAGGTTTTGATATGTTGTGTTTCTATTTTTATTTGTTTCAATAAAAATTTTTATTTTCTTCTAAATTTCTTCATTGACTCAATCGCCCTTCAGGAGCATATTGTTTAATTTCCATGTGTTTGTACAGTTTCTAAAGTTATCTTCATATAGATTTCTAGTTTTATTCAGGTGTAGTCTGAAAAGATACTTGATATGATTTTAATTTTTACAAATTTGTTAAGGCTTGTTTTGTGTCCTAACGTATTGTCTATTCTAGAGAATGTTCCATTTGCTAATGAAAATTTGATAAAATTTTCCATAAATGTTTGTTAGGTTCATTTGGTCTGTAGTGCAGATTAAGCCCAATGTTTCTTTGATAATTTTTTTTTCTATATGATATATCCAATGCTGACTGTGGGTGTTGGGCTTTCCAGTCATGATGTTTTGAATTCCCCAACTGCATTTGTATTGGGTTTATCTCTTATGTTACCTCTTATAAATGAGGGATATGTATTTCATATATGTGGGTGCTCTGTTATGTATATATATATTTAACATTTTATATCTTCGTGCTGAGCTGATTCTTTTATTATTATATAACGACTTTCTTTTCATGCTTTTTGACTTAATGTCTACTTTGTGTGATATAAGTATAGCTACTCTAGCATGCTTTTGGTTTCTGTTTATGTGAAATATTTTTTCCATCTCTTCAATTTCAGTCTATTTATTTACAGATGAAGTGAGTTTCTTGTAAGCAGCCTATAGTTAAGTCTTGTTTTTTAAATCTATTCTACTAGTCTATATATTTTATTGAGGGAATTTAAGCCATTTACATTCAAGCTTATTACTGTTAGTTGACGACTTACTCCTGTCGTTTGGTTAATTTTTTTCTGATTGTTTTATATGTCTTTGTTCCTTTCTTCCTTTTTTATTGTTTGCCTCTACCATTTGATGGGTTGTGTGTGTGTGTGTGTGTGTGTGTGTGTGTAGTGATAATGTTTGCCTCTTTTCTCTTTTTCATTTGTTTTTCTGTTTTACCAGTGAGTTTTATATTTTTGTGTGTTTTTATAATGCTATATATCATTCTCTGCTTCCAGATATATATCTTCGTTACTTATTTATTGCAAAATATGACTAGGTGTAAAATTTCCTCAGTTTTTGCTTGCCTATGAAAGACTATTTCTTCTTTATTTTTGAATTATAGTTTCTTGGATGTAGTTAGAATTATTTACTGACTTTTTTTTTCATCCAGCACTATGAATACAGCATCCCATTCTCTCCTGTCCTGTAAGGTTTCTGCTGAGAAATCCTCTGTTAATCTAATGGAGAGACCATTATATGTGATTTTACACTTTTCTTTCTCTGTTTTTAGAATTCTCACTTTGTGTTTGGCTTTTTGACAGTTTGACTATAACATGCCTTAAAGAAGACTTTTTGTGTTGAATCTATTTGGAGATCTTGGAGCTTCTTGTATCTTGATGCCTACATATCTTGCAAAACTTGTGAGGTTTTCAGCTATCATTTTTAAAAATAGGTTTTCTATGACTTTGCCCATCTTTTCTCTTTCTACAGCTCCCAAAATTTGAAAATTGGACACTTTATGGTGTCCCACATATCACATAGCCTTTCTTATTTTTGTTGTTGTTTTTTATTATTTTGTTGTCTGATTGGGTTGTTTCAAAAGCAGTACATTAAAGTGCCAAAATTTTTTCTTCTGCTCAATCTAGTCTGTTGTTGAAGCTCTTGATTATATTTTTATTTTATTTCTTAAATTCTTCAGTTCTAGGATTTATGTTTAGTTCTTTTAATGATTTCTATTTCTCATTCAGATTATAAATTATTTTTCTGATTTCTCTTTATTATTCATCTGCATTCTCTTTTGTCTCACTGAATTTCTTTAATATTATTTTGAATTCATTTTTAGGCATTTCATAGATTTTCTTTCCATTGGGATATTTTATTGCAGAATTATTGTGTTTCTATGAAAGTTTATATTTCCTTTCTCTTTCATATTTCCTGTGTCTTTACAATGATATCTTCACATCTGGTGTAACAGTCATTTTTTTCCAATTTTATGAATTGGCTTTCTAAGAGAATGACTTACTTCTATACATATATCTATAGTTTTGGTTGGGGAAGGTTCTTGGGCTTTGATTCTGAGTGGATACCATGGTGTAGTCTCCATATAATTTCTTTGGCTGTAATCAGTGTTTGTGATGTCTGTGAGTTCCTCAATGGCTTAGGCTGTGGTTTTTAATGGAGGCTGTGGTAAGGCTTCGTTGGGGATGGGTATGTGCATCCTGGCAGTCCAGTCCTCAGGCATCAGTGGTGGTGGTCCAAAGGTTTCAGTCTTCAGGCTTCTGGGCATCATGCATGGGCACTAGTGGTATTGATTTCAGATGGGCTCATCCTTGGGCCTTCCAGTCGTCATGTTTGGGTGCTGGTGGTGGTGGGTTGAGACAGCAGGATGTGGTCCCCCAAGCAGCATGAAGAGAGTCAGCATTGACAGTAGCAGTGGTAAGGCAACCTTCAGGCTTCCAAGTAGGTTACACAGCTACCAGTAGTAGAGGCACTTAGCTGGATGGGCAATCACCATATCCCTAAGTGATATGCATCGGTTAGTGCTGGCATTAGCAGTAGCAAGCAGGGTGGACCAGGCCCCAGGTCCCAGGCCCTAAGATGCACATACAAACACCAGCAGCAGGGTGGGACCATCCTTATGGACCTGGAAGACAATCACTTGTACCGCTTATGGTGGGCAAGGCATGCCTATCCCCATCACCACATGCAATACATGTGGTCAGCTGTGTTAAGTATGGTGGGACTGTCCTCAGGCTCTTGGGCAACATTCATGGGTGCCAGCAGTGGCAGGCAAGGCAAGTTGATCTCCAGACCCACAGATGACACATGTGTGTGACAGTGGCAGTGGGCCGTGTGGTCCTGTCCTTGAGCTTCTTGATGTTTTTCATGGGTGGGTGCTGTCTGCACTGGGCAGTGTAGATAAATCCCCTGTTCCCTGTATGGCACACCTGGGTGCTAGTGATCATGGTGGTGGGTGAGAAGGGCCTGTCTTCAGGACACCTAGATGGTGCATCCCAGCAGTGGTAGGCATGACAGATCTGTTCTCAGGCCCCAGGATGGCTTGCAGGTTGCTCAGTCCCTAGTCCTCCTAATGATGGATGCAGGAGTATGGAAGCCCTGCTGTTGAGGGGTGGTGCAGTTGCTGTCAGTAGCAGCAGCCTTGGGCAGGTGGCTCTAAGAAGTACATGCTTTGGCTCCCTTTGTCCCAGGGGCAGCCTCCCTATTGTTCTAAACTTTCTATTTCCTGAGGTTTAGGACACGACATGGGCTAGAGTGCTGGGGACACAACCACACAGCTGGGTCTAGCTGGCATCGTGATGCTACAGCCCTCTGGGTGAATGTCCTAAATCATGTATCCTTAGAAAGCATCTAAGTATCTACCATGCCATTTGACAGACCCTGCCCCTAGAAATGTACATATCAAGAGACTGAGGACCAGAAATGTCTCTTGCCCAAAATTAAGCTGCTGCTTATTAGCAGAGCTTTGGCTGAACCACAGTCTGCTGACAGTTTTATGTGCTTTCATGATGAAAAGACAGACCAAGAGGGAGTGTAAAATAAACACTGTTATCACAAAAGACATGAAGAGAGACAAAATAGCCTTGTTCACAAAAACCCAGAATTAGAGAACTTGAAACCTTTTTCCTTAAAACTTAGAAGAAAACAAAAATATTATTTTACACAGCAAATAGTGATTTTATACAACTGTTATTTCAATAAGTAACATAGAATAAAATAATTAAAACAAAATCCAAAAAGTTTTAGGTAGTCATTGAATATAAATTAATAATAAGCTGTTATTAGAGAAAGCTACTAAGGGAATATGATATGGTGCAAACAGGAGTGGACCACAGATTCTTGAGTTATAGACCTGAATTCTGGTCCTGCCACTGAGCCAACATTGCACCTTAAGCAAAATTTATTTTTTCTATATGTTAAATGGATGGATTAGACAAAACCAGCATTTTTCAAAGTTTGTTCTTTAGAATATTAATTCTATGAAATCCTCTGTAAAATGAGTTTTATATTTAAATAATTTGAACAAACATTAAATGTTATACAGTTTTGTTAGCATTTTATAATACACACTAGAATATTAAAAACTCTTGGAAGTCCTGAAATAGAGTACTGTCAACTTTATTTCATGCAATATTTTTCAAACATATCTAATCTCAGAATTTATTTTTCTTAAAATATTTACTAACATCATGTAGGAATACAATTACATGGAACCTCCTTTTGGTGAAGTATACTCTTCTTTTGAAGGCCCTGCTTATGGTTAAGTCTGAGCTGGCATTCAATCTATGGTATAATGTCTTTTTGATATAGAAGGTATTACAGAAATGTAGGCCAGGTCTGGTGGCTCACATCTATAATCCCAGCACTTTGGGAGGTCAAGGCTGGAAGATCACTTGAGGTCAGGAATTCAAGACTAGCCTGGGCAACACGGTGAGACACCATCTCTACTAAAAATACAAAAATAAGCCAGGTGTGGTGGCGGGCCCCTGTAATCCCAGCTACTTGGGAGGCTGAGGCAGGAGAATTGCTTGAACCTGGGAGGTGGAGGTTGCAGTGACCTGAGATCTTACCACAGCACTCCAGTTTGGGTGACAGAGTAAGACTCCATCTCAAAAAATAATAATAATATATTACAGGAATGTGTTTGGAGTAATACTATATACACAGATACATACATATACACATATATGTATACATTTATGTGTATGTATGCATGTGCATTACAAACACGCATATGCCATATATCTTCCGTTTGTTCCTCAAAATCAACTTCCAAGGTGGCTGACCTAATTGGACTTCATCTTCTAGATTCTTGTGTCCTCTGGGTTCAGTCAACAGGAGGCACTATAAGAAAATTGGATAAAGGACAATAAGGTCAGCATTATTATTGCCTTGGCTTCCTCTCTGAGAACTTGGCCTGTGTGGCTTAAATCTGTAAACCAAAAAACACTGCTCATTTCAAGGTGGCCAACTCTACAGAATTGCCTCTTCTTCCAGATATTAGCAATTGCTCCCTCCCTTAGTCCTCTCCTAGAAGTGATAACAGCTCAAGGTCCGCTATCTTGGCTGACTTCCCTATCTCTTGTTTCTCTCTCATATCTATCCCCTTTATAAATAGTGCCTTTGTAAAGAAGTCTGTTTGAAATTATTCTATTTTGAGTGTGCCATCTGCTTCTGCTTGAGACTCTAACTAATCCCCTGTTTTCAGCAAGTTTAGCTTGAAGTTCATGTGGAATCTCCAGGTGGAGATATAAAGAAGTAGAGAATTGGATCAATGGGTTTGGAGCTCAAGAGAGATGCCTAAACTAGAGCTAGTGATATGATACTCATTAATTATGGGAGGACATTGAAGCTGTGGCAGAGAAGGTAATTGTCCAACAAGAGTGTAGAGTAAAAGAAAGACTCAAAACAGAAGAAAGTCTGCAAGGGAGGAATATTACCTCCTAGAAAGAGGGATTATTCAGCATAAGAATATGGTTGTTTAATGAGAAAGGACCCAGGCAAAAAGAAGGTGGATAATTTTAAGGGATATTTTATCCAGACCATCTCTATCTGTTAACAACACTTTCTAGGAACTTTGAGTTTGGGTGTCTTCAAATTCTGGTGGTGCTTAGACTTTGCTGGATACACTGTGCCACCTGGGATCTCTCTGACATCTTGTTTCTCTCTGTGTCCATAATGATTCCATCTCTTACTGATTCACACATTCTCCCTACAGATGTTAACACAACTGATCAAGCTGTGATCAAGCTGCTTGATTTATCTTCAGGAAGATAAATATATTTTCTCTTAACATTGTATGTTGATTTTATCAACCAACTTCTGAAATCTGGGATTGTTCCACTGCCTTTCTGTATACCACAAAATGTATCATTGCAGTGGTCCATGCATAAGCAATTACCAGGGATACCTCCATTTCCATTCTTGCTATAAGAGAGAAAGTATCCTTGCCAAAATATTTTAAGAAGAAGTTTATAAGAAGATGCAGCATAGAGTTTTAAAAAAAAGTTTTCTGGATTAGCAATCAGGAAATCTGGGTTTTTGATCTGAAAATGAACTAAACTTCCAAGTAATTTTGGGCCTTAGTTTGTTTTGTTTTGTTTTTTAATCTATAATATGAAAGAATTGGTCTAGATTGGTATTTTTAAAAATGTTTTCCTTGGAGCCCTAGGTTACTACTTCAGAAAGCACTTCAGGAAGGAATGGGAAATTGAGAAGGTGGGCTCTTGGTGAAGGATATAATTTGCATATTTTCCCCTCCAAATCTTATGTTGAAATATAATCCCCAGTACTGGAGATGGGGCCTAGTGGAAGATGTTGGATCATACAGGAGGATCCCTCCTGAATGGGTTAGCATCATTCTTGCTGTAATGAGTGACTTTTCACTTTGAGTTCATGTGAGATCTTTTACTAAAAAAGTGTGACACCTTCCTTTTCTCTTTCTTGTTCCCACTCTTGCCATGTGATGTGCCTTCTCCCCATTTGCCTTTCCATCATGATTATAAGCTTCCTAGTGCCCTCAAAAGAAGCAGATTCTGGCACAATGCTTCCTGAACAATTTGTAGAACCATGAATCAATTAAATCTTTTTTTCTTTATACATTATGCAGCCTCAGGTATTTTTTATAGCAACTGAAAAACAGACTAATACAAAAAACTGGTACTAAGAGGTGGGGCATTGCTCTAAAGATACCTGAAAATGTGGAAGAGTCTTAGAAACTGAATAGTGGGCAGAGACTGAAAGAGTTTAGAGGGCTCAGGAGAAGACAGGAGGATGAGAAAAAGTTTGAAAACAAATGGTTCCAAGTGGCTATGACAAAAGTGCTGATAGAAATATGGACAGTGAAGTCCAGGGTGATGAGGTTTCAGGTGGAAATGAGGAAGTTATTGGAAACTGGAGTGAAGGTCACCCATGTTACACCCTAGCAAAGAACTTGGCTGCACTATGTCCAAGTCCTAAAGATCTGTTGAAGTTTGTGCTTAAGAGTGATAACCTAGGGTATCTGGAAGGAGAACTTTATTTGTTTTATGTTTCATTTTAATAGTTTTGGGGATACAGGTGTTTTTTTTTTGTTACATGGATGAGTTCTTTAGTAGTAAATTCTGTGATTTTAGTGCACCTGTCATCTGAGCAGTGAACACTGTACCCAATATGTTGTCTTTTATTCCTTGCCTCCCTCCCAAACTCCCCCCCAGAGTCTCCACAGTCTATTATATTGTTCTGTACATCTTTGCATCCTCATAGCTTAGCTCCCACTCATAAGTGAGAACATAGGACATTTTTTTTTTTATTCCTGAGTTACTTCACCTAGATAATGACTTCCAGTTCCATCACAGTTGCTGTAAAAGACATTATTTTTCCTTTCCTGAGTTCCTTTTATGGCTGAGTAGTATTTCATGTTGTATATATACATTTTCTTATCCACTCATTGGTCAGTGGGTACTTAGGTTGGTTTCATATCCTTGCAGTTGTGAATTGCACTCCTATAAACATGCATGTGCATGTATTTTTTTCATATAATGATGGCATAAGAAATTTCTAAGCAGCAAAGCATTCAAGAGGTGGTCTGCCTACCTCTAACAGTCTATGATCAGATATGCAAGCAAAGAAATGACTTAAAGTTGGAACTTATATTTAAAAGGGAAGCAGATAGTACAAGTTTGGAAAATTTGCAGCCTGGCCTGTGGTAAAGAAAGAATCCAAGCAGGCTATGGAACAACCACTTGCTAGAGAGATTAGCATGACTAAAAGGAAGCCCAGTGCTAATATCCAAGACAATAGGAAAAAGACCTGGAAGGCATTTCAGTAGTCTTCAGAACAGCCCTTCCCATCACAGGCCAGAGGCCTAGAAAGAAAGAATGGTTTCAGTGGCCTGCCCAGCCTCAGGACACTGCACCTCACATCCTGGATCCTCTGGCTCTAGCCTCAGCTCAGAAGTGCCCAGGTACAGCTCAAGCGGCTGCTTCAGAGAATGCAAGTTATAAGCCTTGGTAGATTCCACATAGTATGAAGCCGGCAGATACAAAGAACACAAACATGAAGTAGGCTTGGCAGCTTCCACCTAGATTTCAGAGGATGTGTGGAAAAATCTGGGTGCCTGCTGCAGGGGCAGAGCCACAGCACTGAGCCTCTACTAGGGCAGGACTGAGGGGAAATGTGGGGTTGGAGGACCCACACTACCAAGGAACTGCCTAGTGGAGCTATTGGAAGGGTGACCCCACCCTCCAGATCTGAGAATGATAGAGTCAGCAGTGCTTTTCATTCTCAGTCCAGGCACTGGACTCCAACCCATCAGGACAGCCACAAGCGCTGCATCTAGCAAAGCCACAGGGGCAGAACTGCCCACAGTATAGCATCCACCCCTCATACCAGTGTACCCTGGATGTGGGACATGGAGTCAAGGGAGATTATTTTAGAGCTTTAAAATCTAATGACTGCCATATCTGGTTCTCAGGCTTGTGTGGGGAATATTGCCCCTTTCTTTTGGCTGATTTCTCCCTTTTGAAATGGGAATGTCTACCCAATGTCTGTACCATCATTCCACCTTGGGAGTAAATAACTTGTTTTTCCATCTGACAGGCTCATAGGTAGAAGAAACATCTCCACATGCAACTTTGGACTTTGGGCTCAATACTTGGGACTTTTGAGTTCATGCTGGAAAGTTAAGACTTTGGGGGACTATTGGAAAAGTATGATTTTATTTTGCAATGTGAGAAGGACATGAGATTTTAGGAGCCAGGGGCTCGATGATATAGTTTGGATATTTGTCCCCTCCAAATCTCATGTTGAAAGGTAATCCCCATTGTTGGAGTTGCGGTCTAGTTGGAGGTGTTGGATCATGGGGGAGAATCCCCCATGAATAGCTTAGCACCGTTCTTGCTGTAATGGGTTATTTCTTGCTCTGAGTTCACGAGTGATTTGGTTAAGAGTGTGGCATTTCCCCACCTTCTCTCTCTTGCTCTTGCTCTCATGACATAACAAGCCTACTTCCCCTTCACCTTCTGCCATGATTGTAAGCTTCCTGAGGCCCTCATCAGAAACAGATGTCAGCATCATGCTTCCTGTGCAGCCTGCAGAACCATGAGCTAATTCAACTCTTTTCTTTATAAATTACCAAGCCTCAGGTATTTCTTTATACCAATGCAAAAATTGACTAATACAGCCCATATCCCCATTTTTCCAGAGCAGCTTTGCTTTCTCTTGTAGACCTTCAATTGCATGTAAGATTTTATTTGAATGAAAGACTTCATTGCACACCCAACCAACCAACCAAAGAATCAAAACACCCTGGATGATTTTTGGGATCCCTTCTAGAGATTAAAGTCTAGAAGTTTAAAGATGAGAGCATAGATAACAGTATCTTACCTGAAAAAGATTGCTTTGTGAGATACTTTTGGCTCCCAGGTATAGTCATTCTATGGGCAGAGAAAGGCCATAGCTGACTAAGCTTAGTCTCCTGGTTCTGGTACTGCCTTAGCCTGTTGTAATCCCATATCTCCAGTTATATGGTGGCAGAAAGGGGGAGTCTAGACTTTATTATGGTGTATTTTTTGTCCCTCTCCCACAGTGAATTATTCAGGGCTATGTGGGAGAGGGGTATTATTTAGGTAAGATGGACCAGGTTCCTAAATTAGAAAGCAAACAAGCTCAAAATGTTTCTCTCACAAAACTGTGGTCTCTAATCTCTCCCCTCCCATCTTTATTATTCTTCTATTAATTTTGTGGTTGGAACAAGTCTAAATACAAGTAAAATCTCCCCCATATGGCCATCCTTTTCAGCCAGATTCCAAAGTACAGGGAACTATGTTGTTTTCACCATTTGCTTTACATCTGGAATCTCAAAAGAGGATGAAGCAAGGGTAAGCCTTGGTCTACGCCTCCTAACAGAAATTCTGATGCTGGGCTGCTGGAGACTGAGCCAGAGCAGAAAATAAAGAGAGAATCTTCTTTGTTTTGGCAAGAAAAGGGATACACAAAAGATAGGCCTCCACAGAAGATATGAGTTGGTTGTCAGAAATGTGGTTTGCAAGGCAAGTCAGAGAAACTAAATGAGAACTCTCAGAAATTGGATTCCAGCTGTCAATAACCTTAGAAAGGAAAAAGAAATTTAGGCTCAAATTTTTGAAAGTAGCCAGGAAAAGAGGCAGCTACCATGATGTCAGAGGATCCAAAAAGTGATTTCCTTGTCAAGACTTCTGCCTTTCTCACTATTGATCCTTGACTGCCCTTACAGAGTAACTCAGGGAGAAAGGAATGGAGCTTAAGTGTGAAATCCCCTTGGGCTCTGTGACATCAGTTTTCTACTTTGTCCACATACCACGACTTTTGAACATGGTGTCAGAAATAATTCTAGTTCACTTCAGGAAACACTGACATAAGTGCCTACAAAGTGCCATACCATGTGTTAGGCCAAACATTTCACAGCCTAATAGGAGAAAGAGTAAACACAATTTCAACACAAAACATAAGTGGAGTGATAGTTGTCCAAATAGCATCTTGCAGAAGCATAAAGAAGGGGCACTTGACTTGAAGACACAGTTTCATAGAACATGAAATCTGGACAGAAATAAAAGATGCAGTCCAATTTCATCTCTGTGTAGATTGGAAAAGTGAGGTTCAGAATACTGAAGAGACTTGTCCAAGGTTACAGAGCCAGACAATGGCAGAACTGGACTTCTAGTTTAGAGAATTAGGCTCAGTCAGTCCTCTGCCATTCTGCACAGATAATGAACTTTTCCCTCCTTCAAAGTGGGCATTTTGATCTGCAAATTATCTCAGGACTCTGGCCTGGGAAAACATATAGAAGAAGCTAGTGAAGTGTCTGCAGTGTGAAGGACATGTCTGTTGATTTCCTGAAAAAGCAGAGTATATCTGTCTTTGTGTGTCCTTTCCCTTCTTATGATGGGCTCCACATCAAAAGGGCTCACACAGAAATCTACCATTGCTTATTTGTGTAGCAAGACTAGGATTCCCAAATTTATTATCCCTAGAAGCAGTGGAATTCTGGTTGGGAAGAAAACATCTTGGGTCCCCTTATCTCTCTTCCAGTTTAAGAGTTGTTTCTAATACTCTCAGGGCAAGACAATGGTAGAAAAGTTTCTCTAATATAATTCTGTTAAAAGTTTCATATTCCATCCAGGCACAGTGGCATTCACCTGAAATCCCAGTTACTTGGGAGGCTGAGGCAGGAGGATCGCTTGAGCCCAGGAGTTTGAGGCCAGCCTAGGCAACATAGCAAGACCCTATCTCTAAAAAAAGTTTAATATTCCTGTTAGGTGTTCATTCAACACCTTTGTGAGCACCTTCAGTAACAGGGACCCGACTCTCCTCAGAGATAAACAGTTCCATCTCAGAATAAATCTGAAAGAAAGCACTGTCTTATGGCCAATAGACAGACATTTGATTCCTTGAAGTTTCTTCCTTCTGGGGACATTCTCATTAGGTTGGTATCCTCTGGCTTTCAGAGATTTGAAGACCAAACTTACACCACTTGGAGTTTTCTATTCTCCAGGATCAACAATCTCACATCCTTCAATTGCTCTTCATGGGACCTAGATTCTAGCCCTCTTCTTGACTGTAATGCTCTAGACGCATTCTTGTTTTGGCTCAAGGAAAGCATGTGGGGAGATGTACTCTTTCATATATTTCTGGTAGGAATGTTAATTGACAGAGATTCAGGATAGGATAATTTAGCAACATCTATAACTATTTTAAATATGGATACCTTATGACTCAGGAACTCTACATTTAAGACTCCATCCTACAAAACTAGCAGCATCATTGGATGGATAGATAGATACATAGACAGATAGATAAATGTGGTATTTCTTATCACAGGAAAAACTGGAAAAATTTAAGTGCTCACTAAACAAGCATTGATTTAAAAATTTGCTATAGCCATACTATGAAATAAAGTGCTAGCAATGATGTGACTGAAGTAGAGTTACTTTATAATATGGAAAGATGCCCAAGGTACATTATGTGAAAAAAAGTAAGTTGAAAATCAATATGCACTCTATGATTTCATTTTTGTAAAATAAACCCACAAAATTATATGTGGGTATATTTATATGAAAACATAAATTTTATAGGCATAGGAAACATCTGTAAAGATACACACTAAATTATCTCTGAAACATAGGCTTGAAAGGGAAATGAGAAGGAGAGAGTTTTCTCCTTGATAAATGTCTATATTGGTTTCAATGAGCATGAATTACTTTTCAAGTTAAAATACATTAAGATGATAAAATAAGAGGATAGCTGAAGAAACCAAGTTGACTCATCCCCTCTACTTCCTCATTTATGACAGTCATCCCAGGGATATCTGTACAGAGGCAGGTATAACATAGGGTTTACTGTGGGTCCTGGAACCAGACTGCCTGGGTCCAAATTCAAGCTTTGATTTAGTAGCACATGATTGTGGTGAAGTTACTTATAAATCAGTTTCCTCCTTTTTGAAATAGGGATAAACATTATTCTTACCTCAGGAAGTTGTTCTGAGAATTAAATAGTTTAATATGTGTAAAATACTCAAATCATGACTAGCACGTAATAAAAGTTTAGTAGATATAATTCATATATCAATATAATTCATATTGTCTTATAATCAATTATATCCTGTCAGTTGTCAAGACTTTAAATACTCATCTTCCTTAACTCTTTCCTTTTCCTCACTCTTCACAATAAGTCAATCACCATGTCCTGAATTCTATTAGGTCAAGCTGTATGCAGTTCCCATTTCTGTAGAGCAGAAAGGGTCAAATATCAGTCATGTTCCATAGTTCAACCTAATACCTTCCCAAGGTTTAACAAAACTTCTCATTTTCTTACATTACTAGGCTTGGACTGTTACAGCAGTTAGTCTTTTAATTGATCTCCCCAATCCCTAGTTCTCTTCTTACACTAAGCTGCCTTACATGCATACTCCCGATGGAATTATGACCCTAAACCTACTGATCATGCTTCATCCTGCTCACAGGCCACCAATGACTTCCTATTGATCACAAAAGGAATTTTCATTCTCTTTTCTGACAATGTATATATAACAGGTAATGTTCACATGTATGATACACTCTCATGGACTTACTCTGATTTTGGGTTACCACAAAACCTGTTCTGCAGGGAAGTGAAGCACATTCACCGCAAATTTTTGATGTGTTATTCATAGAAGCATTTTGCAAAACTGTGAGTAATTAAATCAAAATTTAAATTTCCTCGGCCATTTTGAATGATGTCAGAAGGTATTAACCTAATAACATTAAGTGTTTTAAAATAACTCTCAGAGATGATTTTATTTCTTTTAATGAGGAACAAAGTTGATGGAAATAACTTGTAAACTTCTTGGCAGCTTGCTCAGGATTTGATTTTAAATGTATCTTTAACGTGTTTGGAACCATTGATCAAGTCAACCATGACTGGACTCTACCCCCCCCAGGGCATTGTGGTTTGCAATTGTTTTTCTCATCAACCCAACTGAGTTTGAAATTTATAAAACTGCCTTTTTGTTTATAATACTGTACACAGCATATGTTCATTAAGCACTTATTATGTAATTGGTACTATGCTCTTCTGTGATCTTATTAACAGAAACATTCATAGTGTCATTCTCACTTATGTACGAAGTAAATATAGAGGCAGTGAGCACCCTTTATTTATCTATCCTTGCCTTTCTCTAATAATGAATGTACCCATGTGTAAGGTAAAAAGAAAAATATAAGTAACTGTAAAGTTACAGCTTACAAGCCCTACAACTTCCAAGTCCTTACATTCATAGTCACCTACTGTAGAATGATTAGGTATAAGACTGGGTAAATATAAGGGTGAGGGTTTTATGTAATTCTTAGTAAGCTAGCTTATAACTCCACCCAAGCCCATCTCTTACTCAAGAAAGCACATTGGAAAACAAGTTAGTAAAGATGATCTTATTATAGGATAACTCTAAATCTACTTAATTTTCCTTTCAGGTAAATCATTTGCAAACTTTGGTACTTTAAATTTTATGGGTAACAGATTACTTTCGACACATCAGTGCGTTGCAACACTGATCTGGTCTTCTGAATAAAGTCCAAGGCCTTTTGGCTGGCCTTCAGGAGAGGCTGTGCTCTGGCCCTCATCTTTTATGAGTACCTTCCCCATACCTATTGCTCTGAAGAAATGGATCTCGTCACTGCTGTCTATTGCACTCCAAGCCTTGGTGCTTTCTCTTCATATCAAGGACTAGTGTTGGAGCCAGAATTTAATCCCAGGCAGGTAGTCTGGCTATAGAGTTCGGGTATTTAACCAGTACACTCTACTGCCTCTCACATAATTCTTGCATTATAGTGCTTGCTGTAAGGTGCAGGAGGAAGGCAGAATGTCTCTTTCACGTGAATTTTTGTCCTCTATGGAACCGTGCATGTAGTAGGTCTACTCAACCCACTTAATGTGGGTTTAATTAATACCCTAGCTTTCTGGAATGTTAAAAAATGTAAGCAGCATTTAAAAATAAATATATTAAAGTTTAGGGAAGCTACATTAAAAATTGTACCCAATGTATTTTTATATTAGACCCTGTGGCAAACCAAAAAGACTACCGGAGATAGGAAAACAAACTTTGCCTTGTGAATTCGCTGTTTACTGCTTCACAAAGATTCCAGATGGCTCGTAGCATAGCTACTCCTTCAAGTTTAAAGGTTAAAGGTTAAAAGTTATAGAACTGTAGTGGCAATTTACAAAGCCACTGCATTTAAATTCTATTGCTTCATATATAACAAGTGTTATGTGTTATTTCTTTATTTCTTCCATTTACTAGTTATTTGACAGTGAGTTGAATGTCTGGGCTTTTCTTTCTTTCTTTTTTTTTTTTTTTTTTTTTTTTTTTGAGACTGAGTTTCACTCTTGTTGCCCAGGCTGGAGTGCAATGGCGAGATCTCGGCTCGCAGCAACCTCCGCCTCCCGGGTTCAAGCCATTCTCCTGCCTCAGCCTCCTGAGTAGCTGGGATTACAGGCAAGCACCACCAGGCCTGGCTAATTTTTGTGTTTTTTAGTAAAGACGGGGTTTCTCCATGTTGGTCAGGCTGGTGTCAAATTCCGGACCTCAGGTGATTCGCCAGCCTCGGCCTCCCAAAGTGCTGGGATTGCAGGCATGAGCCACAGCGCCCGGCCCATGTCTGGGCTTTTCTATCCCTATCTGTAATATGCAGATAAACCCTCTACAAGATTGTTGTAAGGATTAAATATCATAACGTATATAAAACACCTAGGACAGTGCTTGGCATTTATTAGGGGCCTCAAGCATATTAGTTTTTACCCTCATCCTATCTCTTCACTGAGATTACAAAATCCTAGCATGGGGCTAATTACAGGGGAAGATTATAATACATACCAAGATACATGGGCTTTGGCCAGTGGCTTTGGGGAGGCAAAATTGAAACCTATAGAATGTTAAGCAGCAATTCAGCGTATGATTTTTTCTTTAAATCTGGAAGTCATCACTGCCTGTTCTTGTCACTAACTCCTCACACCAAATACAGCACCAAGTCTTGTCTATTTTGCCTCCTAAATATCTCCAATATGTTCCTTTATTTGTAAACCCTCACTGTCTCTCACCCGGATGGTTGCAACAGCCTTCTCATTGGTCTCCTTTTGGTTTTGCTCTACCTGATTCCACTCTCCACACTGTTGCCCTCTTTCTAAAGTTCAAATCTAATCATGTCACTCAGTGGCTTAAAACACTTTAGTAATTCTTCATCATGCTAACGGTAAAATAAAGGAAAAACTACTTAATGTGACTTGCTGGTCAGTTATGTCCAATCCCTGCCTTTCTCTTTGGTCTTATATCTGCCTACTTCTCACACGCAAACTGTATGATTTGGTACAATTGAACCACCTAGAATTCTACAGACAACAATTCATTATGTCTCTGTCTCTGTCTCTCCCCACTCACCCTCTTTGTACATGCTTAAATGCCCTAAAGCCCTTACAGTGGCCTAAAAGTCCTTACATCTTTTTGCTTCATCCACTGGCTTCTTTCCTGTTTGTTGAACACATCGAGCACACTCTGATTTAAGGGTTTTTGCACTTGCTGTTTTCTCTGCTTTAATTGCTCTTTGTCTTCCTATATACATTGACCCATCAATTTCCTTCACATCTCTGTTCAGACATTATCACAATTCTATTTACAATAGCACCCTATCCCCCTCACTCTTTATCCTATACTTTTTATCTTCTTGACCTGTTTACTTTTCTTTATACTATCTGATTTACACATGTATGTGTATGAGTGACCTGCTTTCAGAATATTTGCTCCATGAGAGCAGAAACTAAAGGTTATTTAAATGAGTGCATCTTTTGGTTTCAAAAACTTTTAATTCCTACATTTCCAATTTTTTCCTGGGTAATGTCTATTTAATCTTCAGCTTACATCTTTTTTTTTTGCAGCAAACAGCTAGGTTAGGCATGCTTCCTCGGGCCTTCCCCAGCTCCTGCTTTCTCTTATGACAACACTAATCAGATTATTTCTCTGTGGAAAGGGTAAATGGGCCCAGATCATGGCAGTCACTGAATGCCACATCAGACTGTTTGAATTTCATCCTATTAGTTGTGAAATCATTGCAAAATTATTCAGGGGCATATTATGTCTTGAAAGAATGTTTTTGAAATATTTTCTAGCCACAGTGTGCAAGATATATTAAAGGAGAGCAGGGAGAGCAGAGACCTCTATGAACAGGGATATAAAGACTGAGACAGGTCAGGTGCAGTGGCACACTCCTGTAATCCCAGCACTTTGGGAGGCTGAGGCAGGCAGATCACCTGAGGTCGGGAGTTCGAGACCAGCCTGATCAACATGGAGAAACCCTGTCTCTACTAAAAATACAAAATTAGTTGGGCATGATGGTGCATGCCTGTAATCCCAGCCACTCAGGAGGCTGAGGCAGGAGAATTGCTTGAACTCGGGAAGCAGAGGTTGCGGTGAGCCGAGATCACACCATTGCACTCCAGTCTGGGCAACAAGAGCAAAACTTCTTCTAAAAAAACAAAACAAAAAAAGGACTGAGACAAAGGGAAAAAACTTGAAGCATGCAGAATTCAGAATGGGTCTGGAGCTGTCATGAAGGAATAATTAACAGGGCTATATGACAGTTGGATACAGTGAAAGATGCAAATTATGGCAATGACAATATTAAGTTATCGAATCTGGGTGCCTATAGAGTTGAGCTGGAGTGGTTCAAGGGGAAATCTAAGTGGAAATGGTCATCAAGTAGTTGCAAATTTGAAGTCACAAAGTTAAAGATGCTCTGATAGGTTTGGGGGTCACACTTGTTAGAAAGACTGTGCTTCTGAGGAAGACAGTGGAGAGCATAGATATCTCCACTTTTGATGTTAATTCTATGGTGGCATCTAAAGCTAAATTTTATTGTTCTTTTTTTATGATTGTACTTTAAGTTTTAGGGTACATGTGCACAATGTGCAGGTTAGTTACATATGTATATATGTGCCATGTTGGTGTGCTGCACCCAGTAGGCTTTGAAGAAAGAAGTCACTAGATAGAAAACATGACTAAAACTGATTAAGCTCTGCCTGTGTGCTAGTTACTGTGCTAGGCGTACAGTGGGTATTTGATTCTCACAACAATGCTGTGCACTAGGTTATGTTTCTCCCATTTTATAGATGAATAAACAGAGGCTCAGCAAAATTTCATATAGCCAGGAAAAGGTTAAGCTTGCATGGGAGCTCCGATCTTTGTGATTCTTTCTACTGCACCACCACCCAATGAACAATTACCATCAATAGACCCCTCTTGTGAAGGACATCAAAGTATTATATCCCACTCTGCCCCCCAACCCTAATTTTTAAAGAGTTTCTGCTATGATATAACTGATGGCAGGGAGGATTGATCCATGATGAATGTGTAGTAGGAAAAAGCTTCTGTGGTTTACTGTAAAATGGTAAGGATTAAAGAGATTTACTGACCTCTGTAACAAGCTACCCACTCCTCATAATGTGCTATGGCTACTATTAGGGGTGGGGAGACACTCTAGTAACTATTTTAGAAATTAACCTGGGTTTATGGAATCCGTTATGGAAAAACAAAGCTAACTTCAACTCTTTCCTGATTCTTTTTACTATAGGAAGCAGAGGCCTAAAATTATATTTGAGGCTGTGAGATCTTTTTTGAGGGAAAAATACCTAAATGAATCTCACAATTATGACAACATAAAACAATAATTTTAACTGGAATGAACAATGAAGAACTAAACTTGAGTTCTTTTCTGTTTGTTTGCAGGGATTTGGGACTGGCTTCTTCTGTCTGGGACTTAGGAGATGGATTTGGGGTTCTGGTTTTTGTTGAAGACTGACAGGGTCATAAACAAGCTCCATCTGGCAACATGAAGGTAGGCTGAGGAAATCAGGCATGATAGATGGACTCCAGGAGCAATTGTCTCTAGTGTTTAGTTTAAAGATTTTCCTCTATTATAATTCCTTTCAGCAAAATTTATAAGACATCACAATCTGTTGCTGCCTGTGCCTTGGATAATGAAGGGAAGAACATTTATCTACTCTGAGAAAAAGAGATGCAAGAAGAAAAATAGCCACCGGTGAAATGTTGGTTAGGCGATAGCTTCAGAAGAAAGGCAGAGAAGTCTGGGGTTATAGGTGACAAGAGACCACCAGGAAAGATTTGTGACAAATGTAAGCATTAACCAAGGAGTCTCAGAAAGATGTAAAGAGAGGAGTTGATAATCATGGAATTTCTTCTGCCACCTTAAAGTGCCCTACTATTCTGACACCTCAGCAGTTTTTGGCTACAGTTTTGAGTCTACCTCCTTTACCTGAGGCCATCTCCTCACCAGCCCTGCCAGTTTCCTTCTTCTATTTTATTGAGCCTTGCAGATGGCAAGAGAGAAGGGAAGGTTCTGGAGTTATCAGCCTGCTTCATCATTCTTGCTCCCCTTCCCCCTAGGAAGCTGGGGCAGGGAGGGAGGGGACTGCAGGTTGGAACAGCAAGCTACCCACAGGCCAAAGTGAGGGACAGGGTACCTTTGATCAGCTCCCCGTTAATGAACTGTTTTTCCTCATGTCCTACTTTTTTCTTTTTCTTTGTTTCTTTCTTTTTTCCTTTGGTCTTTAACATTTATTTATTTATTTACCAACTTGGTCTGTGCCGAGCAGACGTGGTTAGCTATCTAAAGGTCACTAGGATGAAACCATTTGGCCAGAGCCCAGTGTTTCAGCTTTGCCAGGGACACGCTGTTCTACTGTACCTCAGCACTATCAGAAACATGCAATTAAAGCTCATTTTACATTTCTTTCCTCCTTTATTTTCTCCTTCTTATCTTATACCCACTCTTTTGAGTCTGTTACTCTAATTGTATCTGTTTTCTCTGTTTTTTCTATTTCCATTCTTTGCAGTCTCTACTCTTTTCCCTCTGCTTCTTTTTCCAGGCTTGGCTCTTTCTGCTTGAGTTGACTTGAAGCAACTCTCCATTACCAGTGGAAATTTTCTGTGCCTGGTAGTCTGGGAAGGTGGTAGGTAGAAACGTCAGTGGAGTATTGTTTTTATCTCTATAAAGTAGAACTAAAGTTAAGCTATTGGTGGCTGGGTGTGGTGGCTCATGCCTGTAATCCCAACACTTTGGGAGGCTGAGGTGGGTGGGTCACTTGAGGCCGGGAGTTTGAGACCAGCCTGGTCAACATGGCAAAACCTCATCTCTACTAAAAATACAAAAATTAGCTGATTGTGGCGGCATGCACCTGTAATTCCAGCTACACAGGGGTCTGAGGTAGGAGAATCACTTGAACCCAGGAGGCGGAGGCTGCAGTGAGCCAAGGTCACACTACTGCATTCCAGCCTGGGTGACAGAGTGAGAATCTGTCAAAAAAAAAAAAAAAGTTAAGCTATTGGTGAGATCTCGATAGAATGCTGAACTGTGGCAGGAGCTAGTGAGGGGAGGTGAGGAATCCACACTGCAGACAGATACTCACTTTGGAAAAGACTGAGGACACATGAAGGCCATCAAACAGGGAAACTAGAAACTATATTTCTTGAGGGCAAGGGGGCACTGAACTCAGAAGTCTAAGAGGCTTTGGCGCAGCCTATTTACATGATTTCAGAGATTACCTTATCTTGTTGACCTTTCTATCTTTCATCCTTTTCCCCACTTTGGTCCACTATCTCTCTATCATCACCATGACCACTAGTGCTACCACCTCTTAATTCATGGTTTACTTCCCTTTTGTCTCACCCCCTACTCTTTTCTGCCAGGCCTCTTGTATAACCCCTCCCAACACCTTTGGGGGTATCTCTGAATCACTTTCTTGGTGCTCGAATTTATTGCCATCCTTCTTCAGTGAAATTATGAGACGGCATAAAATGAGGACAGGGAAGGCCTTGTTGAATTCAAACACATAGATCCACATCCCAGCTTCCAGAACTAGAGAAGTTTCTCTTTTCCAGCTCTTCCCGTGGGCATCAAATCTCAGCTGCAGGGCCCTGCCTTTATCTGTTATCGCAGGCAATCTCTATACAGGCAATGCAGACTATCCCGAACCAAGGCCCCACTGGAAATGAAAGGATTGTGTCCCTTAAACACAATTAGACCATAGGTGGAGAGAAGGAAAATCTCTGAAAAAAGGAGGTAAAACGTTCATATGCAGCTTTATGGAAATGAGGAGAGGTAAAAATTGTAAGATGATGACTGTGGGCAAGATGAAAAAATAAATAAATAAATAAAAAGCCTTCCAAAAAATGTGGATTCTAAAATAGTAGCATAATTAACTAAAAAGTTGTTACATTCTTTCTAGGAGATTCTCAAGAATGGGGTATCCTCTCTTCTCTGGGTAGGTCAATGCTGTAATTTCATAAGAGTCCCGCAATTAGTTCTGGGCTCTATGTTTATAAAGGACATTAGCAAATTGAAGTTTGCCCAGAGAAGTTTGAACCACAACTTAAGGTATGGCCTAGATGTAAGAGCTGAAGAAACAAAAAAGACTTATTCTGGGAAAGACAAGATTCATGGATTACTACCTTTAAACACTGAAGGTCTTACATGTAGAAAATGAACTAGATATTTTTATGGCCCCTAAGTCTATATCTGGGAGCAATGAGGTAGACTCCGTGGAGGTGAGAGGTGGGACAGTAAGTGATGATTAGGTCATACAGAAACCTTGATTAACTCCACCGAGTTTAAAATATTCTTAAAAGAGGTAGGAATCTTTAAGGTTAATATGGCACATGTATACATATGTAACAAACCTGCACGTTGTGAACATGTACCCTATAACTTAAAGTATAATAAAAATAAAATAAAATAAATAAAGGTGCTAGTACTTTAAAAAAAAAAAGAGGTAGGAATATATGAAACAGTCAGTGTTTGAGAGTGTCTATTTACTATTCTGTGCTTTGTGAAGGACTTAGAGAACTAGAAAAAAATTTCATTATGAGATTACAGTAGATTTGCGAATTAGGCGCAAAGGTGTCCCAGCCTTCATTAGAAGTAGCATAGCCCTTGGAACCAAACCCACTGGATCATCTTTCCCAGACTCCATCTGCTGCATCAAAGGGTAGTTCTACTTTTAGTTCTTTAAGGAATCTCCACACTGTTTTCCATAGTGACTGTACTAGTTTACGTTCCCACCAGCAGTGTAGAAGTGCTCCCTTTTCACCACATCCACACCAACATCTATTATTTTTTGATGTTTTGATTTTGGCCATTCTTGCGGGAGTAAAGTAGTATTGCATTGTGTTTTTGATTTGCATTTTCCTGATCATTAGTGATGTTGAGCATTTTTTCATATGTTTGTTGGCCATTTGTAAATCTTTTGAGAATTTTCTTTTATTATTATTATTATACTTTAAGTTTTAGGGTACATGTGCACAATGTGCAGGTTAGTTACATATGTATACATGTGCCATGCTGGTGTGCTGCACCCATTAACTCGTCATTTAGCATTAGGTATATCTCCTAATGCTATCCCTCCCACCTCCCCCCACCCCACAACAGTCCCCAGAATGTGATTTTCCCCTTCCTGTGCCCATGTGTTCTCATTGTTCAATTCCCATCTATGAGTGAGAACATGCGGTGTTTGGTTTTTTGTCCTTGCAATAGTTTACTGAGAATGATGATTTCCAATTTCATCCATGTCCCTACAAAGGACATGAACTCATCCTTTTTTATGGCTGCATACTGGGTATATACCCAAAGGACTATAAATCATGCTGCTATAAAGACACATGCACACGTATGTTTATTGCGGCACTATTCACGATAGCAAAGACTTGGAACCAACCCAAATGTCCAACAATGATAGACTGGATTAAGAAAATGTGGCACATATACACCATGGAATATTATGCAGCCATAGAGAATTTTCTTTTTTTAATTATACTTTATGTTTTAGGATCCGTGTGCACAACGTGCAGGTTTGTTACATATGTATACATGTGCCATGTTCATATGGGTGTGCTGCACCCATTAACTCGTCATTTACATTAGGTATATCTCCTAATGCTATCCCTTTATGTCCTTAGCCCACTTTTTGATGGGGTTGTTTGTTTTTTCTTACTAATTTCTTTGAGTTCCTTGTAGATTCTGGATATTAGTCCTTTGTCAAATGTACAGATTATGAAGGTTTTCTCCCACTCTGTGGGTTGTCTGTTTACTCTGCTGACTGTTACTTTCACTGTGTAGAGGCTTTTTAGTTTAACTAAGTCTCACCTATTTATCCTTGTTTTTGTTGCATTTGGTTTTGGGTTCTTGGTCATGAAGTCTTTGCTTAAGCCAATGTTTAGAAGGTTTTTTCCGATATGATCTTCTAAAATTTTTATAGTTTCAGGTCTTAGATTTAAGTCCTTGATCCATCTTGAGTTGATTTTTTGTGTAAGGTGAGAGATGAGGATCCAGTTTCATTCTCCTACATGTGGCTAGCCAATTATCCCAGCACCATTTGTTGAATAAGGAGTCCTTTCCCCATTTTATGTTTTTGTTTGCTTAGTCAAAGATCAGTTGGCTGTAAATATTTGGGTTAATTTATGGGTTCTCTGTTATGTTCCATTGGTCTATGTGCCTATTTTTATACCAGTGCCATGCTGTTTGGGTGACTATGTCCTTATAGGATAGTTTGAAGTCAGGTAATGTGATGCCTCCAGATTTGTTCTTTTTGCTTAGTCTTGCTTTGGTTATGCTGGCTCTTTTTTAGTTCTATGTGAATTTTAGGATTTTTTTTTTAGTTCTGTAAAAAATGATGGTGATATTTTAATGGGAATTGCATTGAATGTGTATATTGCTTTTGGCAATATTTCACAATGTTGATTCTACCATCCATGAGTATGGGATATGTTTCCATTTGTTTGTGTTGTCTATTATTTTTTTCAGCAGTGTTTTGTAGTTTTCCTTGTAGAGGTCTTTCATCTAACTGTGTTCTTTTTGAATGATTCTGGATCAGTGTGAGGGTACATAGTCTAATATGTCTAGTTTTGCTCAATAAATTCTGAAGTCAGGGTCTATCTACTTATTAAGCATATGAGAAAAGTATTCCATGAGAATCAACCCTGTAAGCCTTATCTCAACTCTCAGAAGGAGTCAGCCAGCAGCCACAGTGGGCAAATGGTCTCGTTGTTACAGAGTGCTGATTAGGAGATAGACAATGGTGGGGTCTGAAGCCAGCTAAAGAACCATCCCTCTCATCCAGATGTCCCAGGATACCTCTCCCAAATCCATCACTGTCTACTGAGAAAATGATATGAGACATTGCCCCCTATATTTTGCTCCCTAATCATGCCTCCAGTCATGATACAAAAATCAGCAAGCCCTTCTGGAGATGAGCACCAAAACACCAAGGGAAAGACATGTGACTCAGTTCAATATCCTGCATGATTACAAGAGCTGGTCCTTGCCATCGGCTACTACACAGACTTCACCAGTGATAGGGCAGGTCCCCAAAAGCCAACTGATTGCTATGTAGGACAGTGGGCAGTGATGTTCATGATAATCCAAGACCTGATGAGATGGGAATGTAAAGAAAACAGAGGTGCTCACAGAACTATAGGGTGGAAAATGGGAAGTAAGGATGAGATAAACAGGAGGAACGCTTTAATGATTTGTTGATGCTCAACATCAAATAAATAGACTCCTATAGCATAGTACCAAGAAACAATAACATAGAGACCATGGGCAACAGTAGCCAGGACTCCCAGGAGGTAGCAAAAAAGGAGGCAAGAAGAGAAAGACTCTTCAAGAGCAGAGACATCTGGTAGGCCCTAGAGACAGAGAAACAAATAACACTAGGAATTGCTCTGATCTGTAAGTGCTGTTAAGACAGAAAAGATAGGAAATTAATCGGATGACAAGCAGGATCTATAAAAGTTCTTAACAGACTCAAGTGATAGACGTAAACTCACAAAATGGAGTTTCACAGAGAAATGCAATCACTTTTATACTTGGGTACAGAAAAATCAACTACAGAATTATAGTATGAATGAAAATGACCAATAGTCAGCCATAGAAATATCAAAAAACTTAGGATTTTAGTTCAATATGACAGAACAGGAATTATACAATTGTCCAGAAATCTAATTTTGTCAATTTCAGGATACAGTAATAGAAGCATAATGTTCAAAGTAAGGAAGGTGATAATCTTACATTGGATATAATTCTAGTTGTCATAATTTAAGAGTATCAATGATAATTTAAAGGGTGAGAGTAGAATAAATAGTGATAAAGGTGCTGGAAAACATAACGTCAGGATTAGCTGCAAGAACTATAGCTACTTAGGCTGGGAAAGAAAAGATTTAGTAGAAAAAAATATCTATTATTAATATTTAATATGTTCAGTGTAGTCACATGAAAGAGGCATTACTCCTACTTTGTGTTGCTTCAGAGGATACAATTAATGTTATAATGGACAAGAAGGAGATTTAGGGTCAATCTAAATAACTAATTGTCCCAGAAGATGATAGGTTCCCCAAGACATTTATGAAGACGGTGAAATACCACCTATTATAGATACCATACTGTGGAGAGACTCCCTTGGGCTGAAAGATGTGTTTGGTCAGCTTTCTTTGCAACCTCTGAGATGGAACCAGATTAAATCCTAAGTGACTTCTAGAGCCCCTAAACAATAGTAGGACTTCTGCATGAGAGATGCATGAGAGGCATTAGCACCTTGTCTCTTTAATTAAATATAGATTATGCCTTGGTATAGGATCAATTAGAAATCTGAGTAATGTAAGCACAGACAAGCTCACCTAATTAATATATTATACACATTTGCCTATATACATATTTGTTGTGTAGACCAGCAATGCCCAAAAGAAAGATAATGCAAGTGACATATGTAACTTAAATTTTCTATTAGCTACATTTTTAAAAGTGAAAATAAATAATAAAAATTTATTTTAATTATATATGTATATATATACATATACATATACAGATATATCTATATCTATATATCTATATCTGTATCTATATCTATCTATATCTATATCTATCTATCTATCTATCTATCTATCTATCTATCTATACTTTTTTTTGAGATGGAGTCTGGCTCTGCTGCTCAGGCTGGATTGCAGTGGCCCAATCTCGGCTCACTGCAACCTCCACCTTCTGGGTTCAAGCGATTCTCCTGACTCAGCCTCCCGAGTAGCTGGGACTACAGGCGTGTGCCATCACACCCGGCTAATTTTTTTGGAGTTTTAGTGGAGACGGGGTTTCACTGTGTTAGCCAGGATGCTCTAGATCTCCTGACCTCGTGATCTGCCTGCCTTGGCCTCCCAAAGTGATGGGATTACAGGCATAATATTGTATTTAAACCCAACATATCAACAATTATTGTTTCAACATGGAATCAATACTTTTAAAGTATTAATAAGGTATTTTATGATGCTTTGTCATACTATTTCTTCAAAATCTGGTATGTATTTTGTACCAACAGCTCATTTCAATTAAGACCAGCCATATTTCAAGTGATTGATAGCCATATATGGTTAGTGGATACTGCATGAAATAGCAAAGATCTATAAAAAGTTTATGAAGTCTCTGAGTAGCAAGAAGAACTGTATGAACTCTCCTGAAAAGAAGTGTTAAAACCTCACAATAAATGTACAAATTTGATATTATTATGGGTAAAAGACAGGTTCTTGTTTGAGAAGCTTGGCTATTTGGTTTCTCTTGACAACTTTTATTTCTACTTTAAATCAGTAATTTTCAAACTACATGGACATACATACAGAAAATGAAAACCATAGTTTCCTGAAAGAATATTAACCTTTGCAATACATCTTCTGATATTTTCTTTTCTTCATTTTTTTCTACACTAACCTATTGCCTTTTTTCTAACATCTTGTCTTGACCCAATAAACTGATTTCTCAATCCACTAATGCCATTAATATCAACTTGTAATGCATTACAAGTTGAGTAAAGAGAACAAGAAAGGGGGACACTTTCTAGAAGCAGATCTGTCTCAGGCTGCAAATAAGTAATGTATTAGCCCACTAATCAAGAGTATGTTTGTGCTCAATAAATAAATAAATAAATAAGTTATGCTTAGAAATGTTCCTGACACAGAGAAGGTGTTCAATAAATGGGATTTTTCCTGCCTCCTTACTATTCTCGTAACTCCCTTGTAAGTGCCTTTAGTTTGACTGAACCCTCTTAGTCAAATGGCTATACCCAAGGATAGAGATGGGGACTGAAAGGTCCTGGCTTTGTTATGGCTCAGCCTGGGTGTCTATGCAGATAGGGCAGATTGTGGATATGGGAATCATCTCAACATCCTCGTGCCACAGGACAGAGGTAAGGTTGAGATTTATGTAATAATTACATCATTATTTTTTGGAAAGGCTACCCAACATTGTAAGTAGTGAAACGAGTTTAGTATTGAGAGTAGTTTAGTTCTGAAGGTAGAATATACAGCTGACATGCTTTGAAGCATACTGGAAAGTCTACCCTCCAGAAATCTCCAACGCATGCTAGTGGGTCAAAAATTTCACCATTAGAGATTCAGTCCTTTGAATCCTAGTCTTCCAAAATTACCTACTAAAATTCAGGGGCCACATACTGAGCCTTAAATTCTCAACCAATAAGCCTGTAGTGTGTATCATATGGCACATAAACATTAAGGTGGTCCATTAAGATGAGACATAGAATGAGTCTTCAGATTTGGAAAGGGGATCTGGTGAAGTTAGGGATGGGAAAATCTTCAGCAATTCTGCTTTATTTGCAACCTTCCTTTCCACATGCCTCATGATATCCCTATTCTCCTCACACAAATACATCCTTCTTAGGTCTGTCCATGATAAGTGTGGCATAGTGCATTGTTCTTTCACTGCAACATGTGCATGTGCAATACTTACACATGCATAGACACAGACACACCCCCTACTATTTTTATCTTGCTACCCAAATTCATTCAGCTAACCTGCTCAGTCTTCCCCCTTTTATCTCTCCTATTCTACCTCTTGAATTCTAACCACTCATAAAGTACACTTTCTCATGCAAACTACCAGCTTCATTGATCTCCCACTCAATTTCTTTTAGCCCTTAGAATTTGTTTTATGTGATCCAACACTAAATGCTGGACTACTTGCTACACTGGTCACATTCTGCTTTGTGCCCAAATCAGCTGGATATTACTGCATCTCCTCTACTAAGCAGGGAACTCCTCAGAGGTGGAGGTTGTGCCTGATTCCTCTCTGTTCCCCACAGCACAGTGAAACGCTCATTCCTATAACTGAAGCTCCAGAAATGCTGATGTTGGGCTTCATGTACCTCCAGTCTTTGCCTCATTGGTAGTCCCTACGACAATATTCTACAAGGCCAAACATCTGAAGGCCAAAAACTTCTCTTATGGCTTAAAGAAGACTCAGGCTCAGGTTCTATTGAAAACACCATGAAACAGGGAAAAGCAGTTTAGATATATGTCATTTTAATACTCCTTAGTGTGGATACCTATAGCATAGTGGTTAAAAACATGGGCCTTAGAGTCAGATTATCTGGGTTAGCAGCCTAGGTCAACAACTGTCCAGCTCTGTTAGGTTAGCCAAGTTACTCTTCATCAGCAAACTTCAGATTTCTCACCTGGAGCAAGGGAATAATTGTGAGAACTAAACTAGGTAGTTCCTGTTATGCTCCTGGGACTGTACATGTTCAATAATTGTAGCCATCATTAGCACTTTTTTCAATGTTGTAGTCTACGAAGAACTCAACTACCTGAGCTCTCAGAGCTCACATCAGCATTTCTGACAGGGGTACCCTCTCGAAAAGACTTTCTTCTTTACAAAAAAAAAAAGAAAGAAAAAAGTCTCTCCTTTTTACTGGTGGTCTCCCTCCATTCCAGAAATATGTATTCCTTTTCAATGAGTCCCTACTCTCGACCCATACAGAATTTTGTGAAGTATACGTAAGTTTCCTTTCACGTTTGTCCCTCAAATTATTTATTTATTTATTTATTTATTTATTTATTTATTTATTTTGAGATGGAGTCTTGCTCCGTGACCCAGGCTGGAGTGCAGTTGCGTGATCTTGGCTCACTGCAATCTCCGCCCTCCAGGTTCAGGTGATTCTCCTTTCTTAGCCTCCCGAGTAGCTGGGATTACAGGTTCCCACCACCACGCCTGGCTAATTTTTGTATTTTCAGTAAAGATGGGGTTTCGCTGTGTTGGCCAGGCTGATCTTGAACTCCTGACCTTGTGATCCACCTGCCTTGCCTCTCAAAGTGCTGGGATTACAGGCATGAGCTATGATGCCCGACCTGTCCCTCAAACTATTAACACATCATTTCACACATTATTTGTCCATAAAACAGAGAGAACTCTGGCTGCAACAGTTCATGTGAGATTCACGCCAGTTAACATGGACTCATGAGCAGTCTTTCTCTATTTTAATTTGATGAAGAACCATGACTTATGGTCCCCGAAGATAGGACCAGAGTAGATAGGGCTTCTGAAAGAATTTGGAGAAGCAATAAGAGTTATTGGTTCAAGGATTGTGGGCCTCTAGTTCATTCAGCTAAACTGAATGCATTCCTAGGAGAAAGCTGGAGAGCTTATTTTCTACCAATATTTCAAATAATCAAATTTGAAGACTGAAAGGGGCCCTAGAGATAAAGAAAAAAAGACAGTCAGGAAAAAAAAGGTCTTTCTCTAGGTTACAGTAGATAATTCATAAAATTGGAAGGGGAACTTAGGTCTTTTTAGACTAAAGTAAATGTTTATTTCATTTTATGACCCTGGAAAAGCATGTCACGCTTTTCCAAAGGGGGGGTTAGGGTAAAGCAGGGGTTTTCAAGCTTATTATGAGGTGTCTGATGATTCTGCAGAGGTGCTTCAGAGACAAAGGTGGATCCTAACAGGTAGGACTTCACAAAAGTCCCCCACCAGTTCTTCAGGGAGAAAAGCTCTTGTTTCCTTTATTTTATATACCAGCTATTTCAGTTTCCTAGAGCTACTGTAATGAAATACCAAAAACTGAGTGGCTTAAAACAACAGAGATTTTTTTCACAATTTTAAAGGTAAGAAGGCCAAAATCAAGGTGTCAATAGGGCCATGCTCCCTTTGAAACACGTAGGAGATAATTCTTTCCCGTTTCTTTCTAGCTTTTCTTGGTTTGCTGGCAATCTTTCACATTCCTTAGCTTGTAGATGCATCACTCCAATCTTTCAACTTTCCATGGCATTCTCCCTGGGTTTCTTCACATAGTCTTCCTTCTCTATGTCTGTCTCTGTGTCCACATTTCCCCTTTTTATAGGGACACTAATCATATGGGATTAGAGCCCATCCATATGACCTCATTTTAGCTTGATTACCTCCGTAAAGACCCTATATCCAAATAAGATCACATTCTTGTGTACCATGGTTAGCACTTCAGCATATCTTCTGGTGGTAGTGGGGAAACAATTCAATCTGTTAAACCAAACTTCCATGTAAGAGTTTGTTTGGGAAATAATAGGGGCCTTATGACTTTATAATCTAAATGGTTCAGAAATCTGTCTCATCTGTCTCCATTCTGTGAACTGATCAGTTTACAAAGACATGGCTGCCATGCTTTGTTAAAAAAAAATACTGACCGATTCTAGGAAAACATGGCAAGGAAGTACTGACATAACGGAGTTTTGACCTATGAGGATGCTTTAAGCCTAGTCTTCATTGTGCTTGTGTTCTAACAGAGGCTTTCCTAAGGGTTAATGTAGTTTGTACCCAGCATAAATGACACCCTTTTGTAAAGAAAGAGAGAAGAATCTTCTTTCTGAGAGTTGACTCATAGGCGTCTAGTCACCTATGAGGAGGAGAGCCAACCCCCGGCTTGGCTTGCAGTAGAAATCTTACTGAATATCTTTTCTCACTACCAAGCTTACAGTTAACATCTAAAACTAGGCTCTCATGAGAAGGGAGGAGGAGGAAGAGTACACAGAACTTCCATGTGCCTATGGAGAGTCTTTTCAACTCTTGAAGTGCCCTTCTTAATTCATTTTCTTTACAAGAGCTCATTTTCCATAGGTCCTCTATGTTGATTAAACATATTAGTTCTGAACTAATTACATCTATGTATTAAATAGCTTTTATATCAAATTTATTGTTCACCAGGGAATAATTTATATGATTCTGAGAGTACTGTGGGAACCCAATAAAAAAATAATCAATGAAGTCTATACAATTTTATGTATAAAGACATGGTTGGTTAAGACATTTGAAAACTCAGATTAATGGGGCTATACCACTCACTTGGGCCCACTGGATGCAATTTGAAAGTAGGGCTGCCTTCCTTTGAGCAGGCTGGGGAAATTCTTATGACACCATACTGCTGGGCAAAGTTTGGAAGGGAAGATGATGTCCTGTGTGGTATCAGTGAGAGATAGAGACAAAATAGAGGTAGATTGGCCACTTCTTTTTCTCTGGGCCTGAGAATGGAACAAGGCAGCTGCCCCACACCAAATCAGGAAGTAAGGGAAGACAGCTAATATTAGCCAGGTTGGGCTTAGCCCCAGAAGGCAGGTCAGTATATAAGTGGTTCAGGAACATGTCCTCAGCTTGTTTCTTCACCACAAGAAATGTTATAGTGTCGCAGAAGGAAGAACCATGTGACAAAGCTTGCCATGGTGCCCCTAAACTGAAAGTTTCCCACATTTGTTGCTGCTTGAATCCTGCTGCTATCACAAAGAACCAAGAGCTTTTCATTTTTACTCATTTTGTGCTTCCCTTCCCCTAAAACTTTTCTGATTTCATTATCTGTATATTTCAACACAAGAGGTAAACTCTTTCCTGTGTCACTGAAGAAACATTAAGGGAATATGTTCTGAGCATGCATGCAAAAATACCTATTACAGCACCTGACACATGAAAGATGATGAATATGCTGAATGCTTTGTTTGCTTGTTTTGTTTTCAGTTTTCTACAATAAGATACAACTTGCCCCTTCATACCTCACCTCTTTCAGCTATAGGCCAACTCTGCTGTCTGCAACACAGTTATTGGGATTGTTAGGACCTTTCAGGATGGAGTCTAGCCGCAGTCTTGTCATTGCACCCTCATTAGTCTTCTGGCTCTTATTATCCTGCGCTCACCCACTATTGCTTTTTAACAACTTCTGTCCTAAAAACTATCTTCTCTACTTATGTCGTTTCCAAAATGCCTTTTTTTCTAAGCCTCTGCCCTTAACTCTGCCTAATTCTGGCTTTTCTATTCAGTGCTGCACTCAGAATTCTTCAGGGTAGCTTTTGCTCTGACCATACCTTTTTCCTGTACGAAGCCTTTCCTAAACCCTTCATTCTCAGTTTGTTTTAAAACAGCTTTATAACTTTCTGTTATTTTCCAGAACTCGCTGCCTTTTCTGGAGCTGTCCTGTTCATGTCAACCACTTTCTTACCCATTGTTAAAACAAATATGCCCACCCCATCCCATTTAAATCAAGTTACATGATATAACTTTCTTGAAAAGAGTAGAACTACAATTTATGTAAAATCTCTCTCTCTCTCTCTCTGTGTGTGTGTGTGTGTTTGTGTATGTGTGTGTGTGTGTGCAGAAGGTCTTCAGATCACAAGAAGCACAAAATTATACTTGCTTAGTCTCTAATCCAGGGGTTGTCAAACTTTTCCTGTAACATCAAATAATGAATAGTTTAGACTATAAGCGTCATATATAGTCTCTGTTGCAAGTAATCAATTTTGCCACTGCAGCACAAAAGCAGCCATAGACAATATGTAAACAAACAAACAAACAAAAAAACAGATGTAGCTAAGTTGCAAATTTATTTGCAAAACCAGGCTGTGGGCCAGATTTGACCCACAGGCCAGAGTTTACTGACTTCTGCATCTAGTCTTCCAAAATGTTTTCTGCATAGTTTGATGTAATGATGATGATAATGATAGTGATGATGACAAATCACTTCTATTGAGTACTTACTGTGTAATGGCCCTGTACTAAGCATTTTACATGCATTATATCATTTATCTTTTCTGCATATCAGCTTTATAAAGAAGACCCTATTTTTAATCATATATTACAGATAAAAAAACTGAGACACAAAACAGGTAAAAGTGGAATGAGAGGAATTAGGTTTCAGTCCTAGCTCTGAAGGTATAAAATCATTGAACTTCTCTGAATCTCAGTTTAGTTATTCTCTAAAATAGCAGTAAAAATATAGGCCTGCTTTGTTTCACCCCCAAGAGTACTACAATGAATGGATAGAAAAGTGCTTTGTACAATGTAATGTACTATAGAAGTAAAAGTTATCATTGTCATTATAGTTATTTATAATTTGTCTAGTTCCAAAAAGGATTTGAGATGACATATTACTAGTATATTGACCCTTACCCTGATAGGTACACATTTTTCATTATTCCCTAAACAGAAATGGTTACTCAAACTGGGCAAGTGGATATTTGCAAGACTGATTCATATCAAATAAGGCATGGACTCTGTCTTCCTTGTGGACGAGTTGACACAATTTGTGATGTGTCTATGATTCAGCTAGAGAAAATAAGAAACAAGCGAAAGTCTGAATGTTTAAAGACAGTCCAATGGACATCTTCAACTCACCTTACCCAAAACCAATCTTACTATATTCCTCCACAATCAGCTCCTACTCATGAGTTCCCAATCTCAGCTAATAGCATAATCATGCTCCTCGTAATCCAGTCCAGATACTTGTGTATCTTCAATTCTTATTTCTTTTCAGCTTTCCCCATCCAAACAACTTCCAGATCTCATTATTTCTGTCCCAGGCCTTCATCATTTTTACCTGGACCATTGCTATAAACTCTTAAGTCATCTCCTGCTCTCCACTCCAATTTGGACTTCTTAGTACTTTCAGAATTATCTTGCTGAAACGTGGCTTTGACTATGTCTCTTTTCTGCTCAGAAGCCTTCTATCTCTTTGGCATGCCATCCAGAATTTGTCCCCAAGCCCTCTTTTTCACATTTAATCCCCATTACCTCCCATTTTGAACTCTTCTTCTTCATATGTCAAAACTCAGTTAAAGTTCAACCCCTTTTGTAATGCTTTCCTTAAGCCTCATCCTCACCTATGGGTATTAGTAACTCATTTTGAAGCACTGCATATTAGCTAAAATTATGTATATGCAGGCCTATTTCCTTCACTGAAGGGTAACCTCCAAAAGGGCTTTGTGGTAAGCATGATAATGCACCCCCCCCACAACGAAATACGTGTCCTGATCCCAAAAAACTGTGAACATGACGCTTTATATGACAAGAGAAACTTTGCAGATGTGGTTATACTAAGGAAATTGAGATGAGAAGATCCTCCTGGACCATCAAAATAAGCCCGGTGTAATCACATGGGTTTTTAAAAGAAGAGAACCTCTCCCACCTGCAGAGAACCATAAATGTGGTAGTATAACACTGCTACTGACTTTGAATTTGGAGTAAGGGGGTCATGATTCAAGGTAGTGAGAAGCCTCTAGAAGCTGAAAAAGGCAAAGAAATGCATTCTCTTCTAGACACCCTCAAAACTAACACAGCTGTGCCAATACCTTGACTTTAAACTAGTGATATTCATCTCAAACTTCTGATCTACAGAACTGTAAGATTAGTAAATTTGTGTTGTTTTAAGACACAGAGTTTGTGGCAATTTGTTATGGCAGTAATAGAAGTTCCTAGCACCTAGTGTCACTCTTGGCCTTAGGCACTCATGGAGTACTTGAAGTATGAACTGAGAAGGCCATATTCCAAAGCATTCTTCACATATAATCATAATATAAGGTTCTCCTTCCTGCCCAAGCTATATATTTTTTTCTATTTACCACGCCATACTATTTTTGGGACTCTCCAGCATCAGTCCATGGCAAATGAGTACAGTTGTTATTTTTATTCACAAAACTTTGGCTGTTTACGCCCTGGCCATCTGCATGCCAGCTAATTTACTTGGTTATTCTAAAACAAATTTGCAAATCAAAAGCCAAAATCAACATATACAACTACAGTCCTTGTTGGTTACTCAGGCATTTTCTGCCCTGTCACCTAGAAGCTGAGAGATACTAGAGGGATTCTAGCCTGAAGGAAGCTGGGTGGTATATTAGGAAGAGCCCTAAGTTGAGAAGCAGGAGACCCAGGTTCCAATCCCCATTCTGCTACCAATTAGTTTTATGACCTCGAGCAAGTCTGTGCTCCTTTGTGAAATTTAGTCTACTTGTCTACCTAATGGAGAAGTCTAGGTTGGTGGTTATTAAATGATGTTAATGCAGAAACCCCTCCTGGGTTATGGCAGGCACAGTCACAGGCCCTTGGAACTCTAATCAGCCTAATCAGCCTTGGATTTATCTGTGGAAGCTTTCATTTAAAGAAAAGTTTCCATGAGGAAATAATTCAACCCTCTTGGATTAGCTAAGCTCTACAGTCGCCTCTTGCTCTGTCATTTAACAAGCTAAGCTTGGAAGGGAGTTTTGTATAACCTACTTTGGATCTGGCCAGCCAGAGTTCAAATTTTGTTTGTTTTGGTGTTCCGTGGTTTCCCTATGATATGTCTAGGCATTGATTTCTCATTGATTATCTTTTTTTTCTTTATTTTATTTATTTATTTATTATTATTATACTTTAAGTTTTAGGGTACATGTGCACAATGTGCAGGTTAGTTACATATGTATACATGTGCCATGCAGGTGCGCTGCACCCACTAACTCATCATCTAGCATTAGGTATATCTCCCAATGCTATCGCTCCCCCCTCCCCCCACCCCACAACAGTCCCCAGAGTGTGATGTTCCCCTTCCTGTGTCCATGTGATCTCATTGTTCAATTCCCACCTATGAGTGAGAATATGCAGTGTTTGGTTTTTTGTTCTTGTGATAGTTTACTGAGAATGATGATTTCCAATTTCATCCATGTCCCTACAAAGTACATGAACTCATCATTTTTTATGGCTGCATAGTATTCCATGGTGTATATGTGCCACATTTTCTTAATCCAGTCTATCATTGTTGCACATTTGGGTTGCTTCAAAGTCTTTGCTATTGTGAATAATGCCGCAATAAACATATGAGTGCATGTGTCTTTATAGCAGCATGATTTATAGTCCTTTGGGATGGCTGGGTCAAATGGTATTTCTAGTTCTAGATCCCTGAGGAATCGCCACACTGACTTCCACAATGGTTGAACTAGTTTACAGTCCCACCAACAGTGTAAAAGTGTTCCTATTTCTCCACATCCTCTCCAACACCTGTTGTTTCCTGACTTTTTAATGATTGCCATTTTAACTGGTGTGAGATGGTATCTCATAGTGGTTTTGATTTGCATTTCTCTGATGGCCAGTGATGGTGAGCATTTTTTCATGTGTCTGTTGGCTGCATAAATGTCTTCTTTTGAGAAGTGTCTGTTCATATCCTTTGCCCACTTTTTGATGGGGTTGTTTTTTTCTTGTAAATTTGTTTGAGTTCATTGTAGATTCTGGATATTAGCCCTTTGTCAGATGAGTAGGTTGCAAAAATTTTCTCCCATTTTGTAGGTTGCCTGTTCACTCTGATGGTTATTTCTTTTGCTGTGCATAAGCCTTTTAGTTTAATTAGATCCCATTTGTTAATTTTGGCTTTTGTTACCATTGCTTTTGGTGTTTTAGACATGAAGTCCTTGCCCATGCCTATGTCCTGAATGGTAATGCCTAGGTTTTCTTCTAGCCTTTTTATGGTTTTAGGTCTAATGTTTAAGTCTTTAATCCATCTTGAATTGATTTTTGTATAAGGTGTAAGGAAGGGATCCAGTTTCAGCTTTCTACATATGGCTGGCCAGTTTTCCCAGCACCATTTATTAAATAGGGAATCCTTTCCCCATGGCTTATTTTTCTCAGGTTTGTCAAAGATAAGATAGTTGTAGATATGTGGCGTTATTTCTGAAGGCTCTGTTCTGTTCCATTGATCTATATCTCTGTTTTGGTACCAGTACCATGCTGTTTTGGTTACTGTAGCCTTGTAGTATAGTTTTAAGTCAGGTAGTGTGATGCCTCCAGCTTTGTTCTTTTGGCTTAGGATTGACTTGGCAATGCAGGCTCTTTTTTGGTTCCATATGAAATTTAAAGTAGTTTTTTTCCAATTCTTTGAAGAAAGTCATTGGTGGCTTGATGGGGATGGCATTGAATCTATGAATTACCTTGGGCAGTATGGCCATTTTCATGATATTGATTCTTCCTAGCCATGAGCATGGAATGTTCTTCCATTTGTTTGTATCCTCTTTTATTTCATTGAGCAGTGGTTTGTAGTTCTCCTTGAAGAGGTCCTTCACATCCCTTGTAAGTTGGATTCCTAGGTATTTTATTCTCTTTGAAGCAATTGTGAATGGGAGTTCACTCATGATTTGGCTCTCTGTTTGTCTGTTGTTGGTGTATAAGAATGCTTGTGATTTTTATACACTGATTTTGTATCGTGAGACTTTGCTGAAGTTGCTTATCAGCTTAAGGAGATTTTGGGCTGAGACAATGGGGCTTTCCAGATATACAATCATGTCGTCTGCAAACAGGGACAACTTGACTTCTTCTTTTCCTAATTGAATACCCTTTATTTCCTTCTCCTGCCTGATTGCCCTGGCCAGAACTTCCAACACTATGTTGAACAGGAGTGATGAGAGAGGGCATCCCTGTCTTGTGCCAGTTTTCAAAGGGAATGCTTCCAGTTTTTGTCCATTCAGTATGATATTGGCTGTGGGTGTGTCATAGATAGCTCTTATTATCTTTTTAAAGATTCATTATATTTAATATGTTTTAGGATTCATGTCTTTCAACAATTGTGAAAAGTTATGAAGTAAAAACAAAACAAAACAAAAACAAAGCCCAGCTCTGACATGACATGTCTATGTATTTTTGGGCAAGCTCCTTAAACTTCTCTGTATTTATTTCTTTTTTTCTGAAAACAGGGAAAGTAATTGTACTTACCCTCTCCCATGCCAGGGTTTTGTGAGAGTTAAATTATTAATTATGTTTAATACACATGAAGTATTTAGAAATGTGCTTACCACATAGTATTCAACAAATGATTCCTTGGGAAGATCAAAGTGGGAGAAATGCCTATTTTGGGCAAGGTTTTCATTTCAGTTCACTTCTGAGAAAGTGAAACTTATTCTAGAATGCCCTCCACCTAACCGCTTTCTCTTCCTCTGGAGGGTGAAGAGGGCTTTGGAGGAAGACTGAAAGGAGAAGACATTCCTATTCTTTTTCTCACATTTCAACTTTGGACTCCTCTTCCTCTCACTATTTAACAGACCTAGGGCACAAAGGGATAGGGGAGGCTGGAGATCATGGGGTAATTGCCAGGCTTCTTTAAATCTGGCTTGGACTTCCATAGGGAAGCAACAAATATCTGTTGGATTGCATTGAAAGATCATCTGCAAGGGAGCTTCAGCTCAGGTGGGCAGACAACAGTTATGTTTAACCCACAACAGTGTTTCTCTTGGTTGAAGGGTTGTAATGTTAGCTTCTTACAGGTGCATCATGATTTTCTGAAACTTATCAAGAATGCATATTTCTGTACCCCATTACAGACATGCTGAATCAGAGCCTTTTGAGGTCCAGCCTGGGAATGTGCACTTTATCCAATTTTCCAAGTGATTCCCTTCTGCCCTAGATATTAAAGAAAAGGTAATGTGGGAATAGGAATGGAGGAGGCATGGAGAAACTTAGTGGTAAAAATAAGATCTCTGCACCTAGATTGGCTACATTTGAATCCCAACTCAAACACTTTCTGTCTACGTGATCTTGAATAAATTACTTATATTCTCTGTGCCTCAGTTTCTTCATCTACAAAGTGAAGTAATATTATGCACTTTAATATTGCTGTGATAATTAAATGAGGTGATGTATATAAAATGTCTAACATTGTGCCTGAAATATGGTAAGAGCTGAATACATTTTTAGGTATCATTATTACTATTACAGATTTTAAGGGAGTGGGCCTTGTTAGAGCTGATGGAGGAGTGAAGACTATGTCATTTTTCTCAAGACAGGTTGGCAAGAGGGTATCTCTGGTTCATAGTAGCAGACTTCTTTATAAGTCTGCTTTATAAGTAATTCTTTATAGGTAATTCTTTATAAATTACCTATTCTCAAGTAGTTCTTTATAGCAGTGCAAGAACAAACTAATACAGACAAAAAGAGCCACATACCACTGAAATCTACACAATTTTCAATAGGTTATTGACTGCTGTTCCAAAATCACATGACCATATAAACAAGATCTGATTTGTTGGCCATTGTGGAAGTACAATTACTCTGTCACAAAGATAAAATATTTAATGCTTTCCCCAAAGGAATTTATGGGTAGAAGCTGTAACCATGATGGAATCACCATTTATATGCAGCTTTTAATATGTGAGAATGAGGTTAAAGATAGTGGTCAACTTTATACAAATTCAGGCCAAGGAGTGCCTAAACTTGCTGCTTGTATGAAAGCAGCCAATGACTTGTTTGTTTGTTTATTTTCTTGAGATGATGGTGAAATGTGATTGTCTCATCCAAAACAACATGAATTTGGGTTATGTTAACACACACAACATCTATAATATGAGGGACAGTGACTGTTTCTCAGTTCACTCTCCAGGTACTATCTTGGGGTTTCTGGATTAATCTGGAGGAATATTACAAATTAAGAAGTGTATTCAGGGATCAGCCAGAAGAGGCAAAATTTCCAAACAACCTAGAAAACAAAAAGAGATGAAAGAACTGTTGCTAGTTAGAATAGAGAGAAAAGTGGAGGAGCGGAATTATTATCTTCCAGAAGCTGAAAGTTTGTATTCTGCAGGAGAAAGCTGACAGTTCTGAAACTATAGAATGAGCAAAGGCTAATGGTAGGAATCTGTGGGAAGATAGCTTACAGTTCTCTGAGAGAACAACCCAATTGAGTTATTTGACAATAGAATGATAGGAGACTCACTATTCATTGGGTAATTATTTCCCCTTCACTGGAAGAATTCAAGCAAAAATTAACCCCTATATGCCAAGAAGAACATAGATATAATCACATATCAGATGCAGAGTGTCTTAACCCAGTGTCCTAAATAAAATTCATGAAATCCATGAATTTTATAGAAAAAAATAAATTTTTATTTTTGCTAATTTCTAAAACTTATCATTTTCTTCATTTATAAATATAGCCCACAAATTATACTAACAACAGTAATACTTGTAATTTTGCCACCAATTAATATGGTTTGGATTTGTGTCCCTGCCCAAATCTCACGCTGAATTGTGATTCCTGGTGTTGGAAGAGGGGCCTAGTGGGAGGTGGTTGGATCATGTGGGTGGATTTCCCTCTTTCTGTTCTTGTGATAGTGAGTTCTCATGAGGTCTGGTTGTTGAAAAGTGTTTGGCACCTCCCTCAGCTCTCTCTTCCTCCTGCTCCAGCCATGTAATACGTGACAGTTTCCCCTTTGCCTTCTGCCATGATTGAAAGTGACCTGAGGCCTCCCTAGCCATGCTTCCTGTATAGCCTGTGGAAATGTGAGTCAACTAAACCTGTTTTCTTTATAAATTACCTATTCTCAAGTAGTTCTTTATAGCAGTGCAAGAACAAACTAATACAGACAATTGGTACTGGGAGTTGGGTATTGCTAAAAGTTACCTGAAAATGTGGAAGAGACTTTGGAACTGAATAATGGTTAGAGGTTAGAACAGTTTGTAGGGCTCAGAAGAAGACTAAAAGACGGGGGAAAGTTTGGAACTCCCTAGAGACTTGTTGAATTGTTGTGACCAAAATGCTGATAGTGATATGGACAATAAAGTCCAGGCTGAGGTGATCTCAGATGGAGATGAGGAACTTATTGGGAACTGGAGCAAAGGTAACTTTTCTTATGGATTACTAAAAAGGTTGAAGACATTGTGTCCTTTCCCTAGAGGTGTGTGGAACTTTGAACTTGAGAGTAATGATCTAGGGTATTTGGTAGGAGAAATTTCTAAGCAGCAAAACATTCAAGAAGTGACCTGGCTGCTTCTAGCAGACTATACTTATATTCATGAGCAAAGAAATGACCTTGAATTGGAACTTATATTTAAAAAGGAAGCAGAGTGTAAAAGTTTGGAAAACTTGAGGCCCAGCCAAGTGGTAAAAAAGAAAAACCCATTTTTGGGGGAGGAATTCAAACCAGCTTTAGAAATGTGCATATGTAAAAAGAATCCAAATGTTAATAGCCCAGACAATGGGAAATGCCTCCAGGGTATTTCAGAGACATTTGAGGTGGCCCCTCCCATCACAGGTTTGGGGGCCAAATGGGAGAAGAATAATTTCTTTGGCCAGGCTCAGGACCCTGATGCTCTGTGGAGCCTTGGGACATAGTGCTCTGCATCTCAGCCACTCCAACTCCAGCCATGTCAAAAAGGGGTGGAGCTACAGCTTGGATGATTTCTTCAGAGGGTACAAGCCCCAATCCTTGGAGGCTTCCATGTAGTATTAAACCTATGGATGTACAGAAGGCAAGAGTTGAAGTTTGGGAGCCTCTGCCTAAATTTTAGATGTTGTATCGAAATGCCCAGATGTCCAGACAGAAGTCTGTTGCAGGAGTGGGGCCCTCATAGGGAACCTCTACTAGGGCAGTGCAGTGGGGAAATGTGGGATTTAAGCCCCCACAGAGTCGCAATTGGGGTACTGCCTAGTGGAGCTGTGAGAAGAGGGCTACCATGCTCCACACCCCAGAATGGTAGATCCACCAACAGCTTGCATCAAGCACCTGAAAAAGTCTCATGCACTCAACACCAGCCCATGAAAGCAGCTGGGGGTGGGGGGCTGTACCCTGCAGAGTCACAGAGACAGAGCTACCCAAGACCTTGGGAGCCCACCCTTTGCAACAGTGTGGCCTGAATGTGAGACGTGGAGTCAAAAAATATTATTTTAGAGCTTTAAGATTTAATGACTGGTGTGCTGGATTTCAGACTTGCATGGGGACAGTAGTCCCTTGGTTTTGGCTGATTTCTTTCTTTTGGAATGGAACTATTTAGCCAATGCTGTAATGTATATTGGCAATGTAGCCAATGTCTCATTGTATTTTGGAAGTAACTAATGGGTTTTAATTTTATAGGCTCATAGGTGGAAGGGACTTGCCTTGTCTCAGATGAAACTTTGGACTTGGACTTCTGAGTTAATGCTGGAATGAGTTAAGACTTTTGGGGATTGTTGGGAAGGCATGATTGTCTTTTGCATTGTGATAAGGACATGAGATTTGGGAGTGGCCAGGGGTGGAATGATATCATTTGGCTCTTTGTTCCCACCCAAATCTCATGTTGAATTGTGATCCTGAGTGTTGGAGGTGGGGCCTAGTGGGAGGTGATTTGGTCATGGGGTTAGTTACTAATCGTTTAGCACTACCTTCCTAATGCTGTCTTGTGATAGAGTGCTCATGAAATTTGGTTGTTTGAAAGTGTGTAGCACCTCCCCCTTCACTCTCTCTTTCTACTGCTCCAGACATGTAGGATGTGCCTGCTTCCTTTGCCTTCCATCATGATTGTGAGTTTCCTGAGGCCTCCACCACCATGCTTACTGTACAGACTGTGGAGCTGTGAGTAAATTAAACCTCTGCTCTTTATAAATTATCCAGTCCCAAGTACTTCTTTTTAGCAATGTAAGAACAGACTAATACACTAATATAAATCACAGATACTTTTATGTTACATTACATTTGCTGCAGATTCTTTACATATTATGTATGTTCTGTTACTTTGAAATTATGATAGCTTTTGGATCTGCCACAAAATCTTATTTTTTATTTTGTTAATAAGAAAACTCATATATTCCTATGTCTTTTTTTGTATTTTAATATAATTGGTACTTTTTAATCCTAGCATTTTATTTTATATATTTACAAATATTATTCTAAAAAGAGGCAAGAAAGATCTGAGGAACAAAACATGCTGATTGCTCAGATTAGAGGGTTATCCTCTAAGGTTCCCTCCAAATATGAGATTTCAGGATTTTAGGGAGCTAGAATGGCTGACAGTGAGAAATCAATTTGAGATGGATATATATTATGGTTGGATCTCTGAATTGTTGCCATTAAGGTGAAGGAACTTGAGACAGCCTTTAAAGAAACAAAGCAATTACATGAAGTTTGAAGACAGGCAAATTAAGTCTAGATTTCTCCCTGATCATGAAGAAAGCTGCAAAGACAACCATAATTACAGGATCTCCAAATGGCAGTTTATTCTAAATCAACATTCAATAAGTGTTGGGCATTTGGAAAAAACAGCCAGTTCCTGAAATGTAAAATAATGTGTTTAAATCAGGGAAGGAGAAAAGACTTTAACAAAGGAGAGAAAACACAGCCAAACATGCCCAGGTAGACTTTAGAATGAAGCTGGGCTGATTGTTAGCTGAAGAAACCTGGGCAATGGGAACAGGGATGCTGAGAGCTACAGTGCTTCACACATTAGCTCATTTAACATTCAGAGCAAGACTGCAAGAGAGAGGAAAGTTATTTTTTATATCTGTCCCATTTTATAATTTGAGGAGACTGATGCTTAGGTAAAGGAACTTGTCCACGATCAAATGGTTGAACTAGGATTTAAACCCATTTCTGGCTAACCATAGCCAAAGCTATTAGCCACCCTATGCTATTTATCAAGGTTTAATATTCAAATGCAGGTTATCTTTTACTACATGTGCATCATTTGGCAAGTAAAAATCTCATCTGTAAGATGGAAACAATAATACCAATTACGAAAGACTGTTAAGAAAAATAGAGATGATGAATGTACTTTTCCTAACTTGTGTGTGTGTGTGTTTGTGTGTGTGTGTGTGTGTGTGTGTGTGTGTGTGTTGGGGTGGGGGAGGATGGTTGGTAAGGATTAAATTACATGATGTGTAAAAGCATTTATCCCTTAGCATGACCAAACAGTGAGCTCCTTGAAGTCTGAAACTGCCACTATTTTCTTTTTCCTTGAATCCTGAGTGCCTAGAACTAGAATTAACACATAAGAACTTAATAAATAATTTTTGCATAAATAAAAGAATATATGCACTATTTTATTTAATTATAATTCTAAAATACTACCATTTCATAGCATGAATAATCACATGTATCCTGAATAAGAAATTTATTTTCTGATGTAAAAGGAGAGAGAAGAGAAAGAGAGAGAGAGAGAGAGAGAGAAAACTCAGACAGTTATGATATTAATGGCTTCTGAGAGCAAACCAACTTAACCCCTCCTTCCCCATATCCAAGCCATCAGCAAGACCTATCATCTCTACCCTTCAAAATATATCCCAAATCTGACCACTTCTCACCACCACCACCACCGCTCTAAGCCAATTTGACATCTCTTGTCTGTACACCTGCACTAGTAGCCTCTTTCCTGGTCTCTCTGCTTCTACTGTTATCCTCCTACAGTCTGTTATCAGAGAAGCCAGAGGAATCTTTCATAAAATTTAAATCAGATTATGTATCCCCTCCATTTAAACACACAAATTCCACTATGCTTAGAATAAAAGCTCAACACTTTATCATGGTTGGAAAGGCCCTTCTTGACACAGTCAATGCTTACCCCTTTGATTCTCTCTCCTACCACACTCCTCCTGTGCATCACATCTCACTTTCACAGGCCTTCCTAAAAATTCTAAAATCTTATATTAATTCCTGACTCAGGGCATTTAGGTTTGTTGCTCATTCTACATAGAACACCTGACTAGCTTCCTCACTTAATTCAGATCTGCTGAAATGCCATCTTCTCAGAGAGGCTTTTCTCTATCATGCTATTAGAAACATCAAATGACTCTTGTCACTCTTCTCCCCTTTACCCTGCTTTATTTTGTGTGGCCCTAAATACCACCACAAATGTTGTGTTTTGATTTATTAACATGTTTACTCTGTCTCCACAAATAAAATGTGTGCTTCTTGATGTCAGGGTAACACAGTGGTTAAGAGTACCAGTTCTGGTACTGGACTCTAGATTTGAAAATTTGCTCCATCACTTACAAACCTATTATCTTGAGTAAGTTAATTAACTTAAACTTTTCTGTTTCTCAGTTTGCTCATTTGTAAAATGGGGATAAGGATGGTGTTATGATAAGAAAATATAAGAATTTTATGCAAATAAGCCAAAATAGTGTCTGCATATAGTAAGTGCTGTATAAGTGCTAGTTATTGTTATTACTCTCTTCTCTATTTCAACACTTTGGAAAAACTTCTGGAACATAGCAAGCATTTAATCAATACATATAGAATAATCATGTATGTGCGTTGTGGACCTGGTTTTCATAGCAATTATAAGAACAAGTTAAATGACAAAAGTTTAAAGAGAACAGAAAGGTTCCATTGCTTGTTATCTCCCAGCATGCCAAAGCAATGACACTGACGGAGGATGAGAAAGTCACTCAAAAAGAAAAGGAAGAAGCATCATATATCCCTCAAATTTGAGGGTGGTGCTAATCTGGGGGGTATCAATAGTCAATAGAGAGAAGCAAAGACGCATGTGTTCATGTGTGTGTGTCTCTGTGTGTGTGTGTGTGTGTGTGTGTGTGAGAGAGAGAGAGACAGAGAAAGAGAAAGGGAGAGAGATATATAGATAGAGACAGAGAGGAAGAGGTGATGCACACAGACAATGAAAAAACATTTTTCGGTTGAACCTACTCATCTGCTAAATATGCAGCTCTTCTCTTAGTCTCAGTAGACATAATACCAAGTAAAATTAAGGTCTGAAAAATTTGGAAATATAGTTAAATGAACCCCAACCCCTTTCTATCCTTAAGAGTTTGTGATTCACTGAGTACCCATTAACGAGCCACTTCTGGGATTCCAGTTGAAAGCCAAGCCATTTGCCTAAATACCTGGGCAATCGCAACTCTATACAAAATCTTTTGGTTAGGAAATGGGATGGGTGGACTGAAGAACTTTTAAATAACAAATAAGCAATAGCCTGGATTATCTCTTTCAGAAGCAGAAGAATGTCCATCAATTCCCTTCTCTCACTCTATAATAGAATTTCCCATCAGAAACTGAGTAGTGTCAATGGTAGTGGGGAGGGACTTTTACTATTTAGTGAGGAAGTGAAAAAAACAGGACATGACCTAACTATAGTACCACTTGCCCTTTGTCCCCAGAGGAGAGAAGCAAACCAGAAGGTGGGCCAGACAAATGCTGTATTCCTTATTGCTAGGCCACGCCCACTTTTTGCAACAGTCTGACACAGTGTGAAGCAGATTGAAAATAAAGTTACAGCCCAATCTTTGTCCTACAGGGACTTCTCAACTATAATCTTGACCCAAATGTGTACTGATAAGGACTAGTTGCTCATCTCTGAAAACTTAAGAGAGTTGAAAAATCTTCCAAAAGGAAGAACGAACTGATTGGAGACTCACTGTCTGCCTGTGTCACACCAAGTATTTCAACCAGTCAATACAGAAAAAAAATCCCACCAAACTGACTAATCAGTTTGATTTAAAGGCCATCAGGTCACCCCATGTAGACTCAGGCTGTGTTGAAAAAGTCAGTCCTGGCACCTTTTTCTTCTGTTTCATCGGACTTTACTGGATTAAGAGGTATAAAAGCAAAGCCATAAATTCAGCTACTGAAACAAACCTGAACGATGTCTTACCAGACTTCATTTATATAAATTAGATTTAGAGAGTCATCTCAAGGGTATGGCAAATCAAGGCAATTCATTCTTACAAACTCAGATCTTTAGAGCTCCAAAGGCCCTGACAGACCATGTAATTCAGCTTCTTTATTTTACAGATATGTAACCTGAAGACAGGGAGGCCTCATATAGCAAGCTAGCAGCAGAGCTTAGTCTAAAATCCAAATATCCAGAAAGCTCATCTAGTGTTTTTATCCAATGTACCTAGGTCTCTAGATTTTTAGGAAGGTATCTTCTACTATTCTGAAGATGATTGGTGCTTTGCCCTTTTAATCTGAGGGTAGCTGTGGACTTTGTTCCTATCTCTACCTCAAAAATTTACATATAAAATGTAAGCAGAATTTTGCATACATTGTCAGGGATTAAGAGATCTAAGGTTAAGAACTCTTGCCGGGTCACATTCAGACAATTCAGGGACACATTCACATGCCTTATTTATCCAACATCCTACATCTTACCATGTTTTTCAACTGGAAAATGTTAAGATAACCACTGTATCTTTGAGGCATGATACTCACTCCACCCTTGCTATGCACTTTGCCCTCAGACCAGTTAATTTTGTCCAGATGTGGCCATGCTTATTTTTTAAAGAGCTCACCTAGGTAACTAAGAAAATGGAAAAAGGAAAAGCAAAAGCACAAATTATAGGAATCCCTCTATAGATTTTCAAACTTAAATATCAAAATCTGGATGACTTGCTTGATATAGGTTTTCTAGATAAAACAAAACATATTCTATCTCATCTTAGAGAAACTTTGAGCTACAAAAGTTGTCACTAGCCAAGTTGCCATAATACATCCTAATAAGCTCTCCATTCTTCATTCCCCAAGTAAATTATTTGCCCCTAGTTCTGTGCTGGCCTCTCCAACCAAGCGTCCTCTTAGACATGGTCTACAGCCCTTAGTGAGAAAGGTCACTTTCTAGCTAAAATCCAAGAGCCATTGTCTCCATCATCCCTGAAGCCTACATCAAGTTTTTTTTCCCTACTTCTGCAAGGATCTATGATTTCAATTTCTGAATCCAAAGAATGGCAGGATCTCCTGGGCCAAAGAAGTTCTGAAAGCAGTCGTTTTCTCAGGGCCAGAACTCGAGTATGACAATTCTAATCTCATTCTGACCTCTTTATCCATGTCCTGAGGTAGGCACCAGTGGCCCCCTCAGCTTTCTTGAGAAAATGAGCTTATCTCTAAATGACATGAATTAGTAGACACACAAGAAACTGCTCTCTGGGCTCCTCTCCCCTGCCTGACACTCATTATCAAAGCAAATCAGATCAACACACATGATGCCCCATGATGATTTATTTGCTTCTTAGCTCAGGCTTTCCACTTTATCCATTTAGGAAAGATTCAGATTTCTCACTCAGGTGGTACTTTCTCCTTTCTCTGGACATTAAGTGTCCCAAGTCTAACCTCAAGACTCCATAATGCATTAATTACACATACCAGCACTGTGCATGTGTAATTATCCTTATGACAACTTTTCTTGAATTAGAAATAGGCACTGCTTAAATACAATCATACACCAGCGCATATTGACTTAATTCTTCTCAGCTATACATCATTGTGCAGTGAATAATCTGCACAATTGTATGCAGTAGCTTTGTAGATCCACTAATACTGATCGACATACATAATATGTGAATGTGCACTTCTGGGAGCATTTGGAAGTAAATAATGTGGTTTTGCCACCTGGCAAAAGAGTTGAGATGTCTTTCCCAGAAGTCCTTGATGTTCCCCACAGTAAATAAATAAATGAGAAAAGGGAGAAAGGAAGGAAGGAAGGGGAAAGGAGTCTGTTGAGAAGTAAGAGGTTTAGCAGAGCCTAAGTCATCTAATAAAATACAAAGAGAGAAGTTGGGGAGGCAAGGTAGAGAAAAAGATGATAGCACCTAACAATGGTTGAGCACCCATCATGAGCTAAACATTCTGCTAGGTGTTTTGAAAGTGTCATAACACTGATACCTCAAAGTCCTACAAGATAATAGGTCCATTTTCTATTTATTTTTATTAATTGTGGTATAATATGCATAATATAAAGTTTACTATCTTAACCACTTTTTTGTTGTGCTAAAAAACTCACCACATAAAATTGATCATCTTAACCACTTTAAGTGGGCAGTTCAGAGGTATTAAGTACATTCACATTGTTGTGCAAGTATCAGCACCATCTATCTTCAGAAGTACTTTCATCTTAAAAACTGAAACTCTGTACCCATTAAACCATAAATTTCCATTCTCCCTTCCCCCAAGCCCCTGGCAACCAGAATCCCACTTGCTGTCTCTATGAATTTGACTACTCTAGGTACCTCAAATAAATAGAATCGTGCCATATTTGTCCTTTTTTGACTGACTTGTTTTACTTAGCATAATGTCCTCAATGTTCTGTGTACTGTTGCAAATGACAGTATTTCCTTATTGTTTCAAGGCTGAATAATATTCATTGTATGTATATACTACATTTTGTTTATCCATTTATCCATTCATGGACAGTTGGGTTTGAACTTTTGGCAGTTGTAAATAATGGCACTACAAACATGGCTATATAAATATCTCTTAAAAAACTAAAAATAGAACTACCATTTCATCCAAAATCCCAGTAACTGTTACCTACCCAAAGGAAAAGAAATTGTTATATCAAATAGACATTTTTGCACTCATATGTTTATCACACTGCTATTCACAATAGCAAAACTGTAGAATCAACATAAGAGTCCATCAATGGGCAACTGGATAAAGAAAATGTGGTATATATGCAACATGGAATATATTATGCAGCCATAAAAATAATAAAATCATGTCTTTTGCAGCAACATGGGAAGCTGGAGGCCATTATCCTAAGTGAAATAACTTAGAAAATCAAATGCCACACGTTCTCATTTGTGGGAACTAAACAAGTAGGAGCTAAACAATGAATACACATAAACATACAGAGAAGTATAATAGACTCTGGGGACTCCACAAGGGGAGATGTTTGGAAGGAGATGAAGGTTCAAAAGGTACTTACTAGGTGCAATGTTCACTAGCTGGGTCATAGGTACACTGAAATCCCAGACTTCACTACGCAATGTATTCATGTAACAAACCTGCCTATGTACCCCCCCTGAATTTATAAAAAATTTTAAAAAGTAAAAAAAAAAATTCTCTTTAAGATAATGTTTCTGATTAATTTGGGTATATGCCCAGAAGTGGAATTGCTGGATCATATGGTAATACTATTTTTAATTTTTTGAGGAAGTGCCATGTTGTTTTGCATAGCATCTGTACCATTTTACATTCCCAACCACAATGCACAGTTTTTCAATTTCTTCACAGCTTTGCCAACATTTGTTATTTTCTGTTTTCCTAAACACACACAAACATATTTATAGTGACCATTTTTAATGGGTTTAAAGTGGTGTCTCATGATTTTGCTTTGCATTTCCCTAACGATTAGTGATGTCTAGCATGGTTTCATGTTTCATTATTGCCATTTGTATATCTTCTTTGAAGAAATGTCTATTTAAGCCCCTGCCCATTTTTAGTTGGGTTGTTATGTTGTTGCTGAGTTGTGACAGTTCTTTGTATATTGTAGATATTAACTACTTATATGTATATGATTTGCAAATATTTTCTTCCACTCCATGGATTGACTTTTTACTCTGTCAATTGTGTTATCTGATGTACAGAAGTTTTAAAATTTTATGTAATCTAACTTGTTTAGTTTTTCTTTTGTTACCTATGCTTTTGGTGTCATATTCAAGAGAGCATTGTCAAATCCAATGTCATGAAGATTATCTCCTATGTTAATAGTTTTACAGTTTGAGTTCTCATGTTTAGATCTTTGATCTATTTTGATTTAATTTTTGTATATGGTGTAAGGTAGGGGTATAACTTTATTCTATTTTTTTTGTTATTATACTTTAAGTTTTAGGGTACATGTGCACAACGTGCAGGTTTGTTACATATGTACACATGTGCCATGTTGGTGTGCTGAACCCAGTAACTCGTCATTTAACATTAGGTATATCTCCAAATGCTATCCCTCCCCCTTCCCACACCCCACAACAGGCCCTGGTGTGTGATGTTCCCCTTCCTGTGTCCATGTGTTCTCATTGTTCAATTCCCACCTATGAGTGAGAACATGCAGTGTTTGGTTTTTTGTCCTTGCGATAGTTTGCTGAGAATGATGGTTTCCAGCTTCATCCATGTCCCTACAAAGGACATGAACTCATCATTTTTTATGGCTGCATAGTATTCCATGGTGTATATGTGCCACATTTTCTTAATCCAGTCTATCATTGTTGGACATTTGGGTTGGTTCCAAGTCTTTGGTATTGTGAATAGTGCCACAATAAACATACATGTGCATGTGTCTTTATAGCAGCATGATTCATACTCCTTTGGGTATATACCCAGTAATGGGATTGCTGGGTCAAACAATATTTCTAGTTCTAGATCCCTGAGGAATCACCACACTGACTTCCACAATGGTTGAACTAGTTTACAGTCCCACCAACAGTGTAAAAGTGTTCCTATTTCTCCACATCCTCTCCAGCACCTGTTGTTTCCTGACTTTTTAGTGATCACCATTCTAACTGGTGTGAGATGGTATCTTATTGTGGTTTTGATTTGCATTTCTCTGATGGCCAGCGATGATGAGCATTTTTTCATGTGTCTTTTGGCTGCATAAATGTCTTCTTTTGAGAAGTGTCTGTTCATATCCTTCGCCCACTTTTTGATGGGGTTGTTTGTTTTTTTCTTGTAAATTTGTTGGAATTCATTGTAGATTCTGGATATTAGCCCTTTGTCAGATGAGCAGATTGCAAAAATTTTCTCCCATTCTGTCGGTTGCCTTGTCACTCTAATGGTAGTTTCTTTTGTTGTGCAGAAGCTCTTTAGTTTAGTTACATCCCATTTGTCAATTTTGGCTTTTGTTGCCATTGCTTTTGGTATTTTAGACCCTTCATGCTAAAAACTCTCAATAAATTAGGTATTGATGGGACATATCTCAAAATAATAAGAGCTATCTATGACAAACCCACAGCCAATATCATATGGAATGGGCAAAATGTGGAAGCATTCCCTTTGAAAACTGGCACAAGACATGTATGCCCTCTCTCACCACTCCTATTCAACATAGTGTTGGAAGTTCTGTCCAGGGCATTCAGGCAAGAGAAGGAAATATAGGGTATTCAATTAAGAAAAGAGCAAATCAAATTGTCCCTATTTGCAGGTGACATGATTGTATATCTAGAAAACCCCATCATCTCAGCCCAAAATCTCCTTAAGCTGACAGGCAACTTCAGCAAAGTCTCAGGATACAAAATTGATGTGCAAAAATCACAAGCATTCTTGTACACTAATAACAGACAAACAGAGAGCCAAATCATGAGTGAACTCCCATTCACAATTGCTTCAAAGAGAATAAAATACCTAGGAATCCAACTTACAAGGGAGTTGAAGGACCTCTTCAAGGAGAACTACAAACCACTGCTCAGTGAAATAAAAGAGGATACAAACAAATGGAAGAACATTCGATGCTCATGGCTAGGAAGAATCAATATTGTGAAAATGGCCATACTGCCCAAGGTAATTTATAGATTCAATGCCATCCCCATCAAGCTACCAATGACTTTCTTCACAGAATTGGAAAAAACTACTTTAAAGTCCATATGGAACCAAAAAAGGCCTGCCTTGCCAAGTCAATCCTAAGCCAAAAGAATAAAGCTGGAGGCATCACACTACCTGACTTGAAACTATACTACAAGGCTACAGTAACCAAAACAGCATGGTACTGCTACCAAAACAGAGATATAGACCAATGGAACAGAACAGAGCCCTCAGAAATAATGCCACCTATCTACAACCATCTGATCTTTGACAAACCTTACAAAAACAAGAAATGGGGAAAGGATTCCCTATTTAATAAATGGTGCTGGGAAAATTGGCTAGCCATATGTAGAAAGCTGAAACTGGATCCCTTCCTTACATCTTATACAAAAATTAATTCAAGATGGATTAAAGACTTAAATGTTAGACCTAAAACCATAAGAATCCAGAAGAAAACCTAGGCAATACCATTCAGGACATAGGAATGGGCAAGGACTTCTTTTATAACTATTCTTTTGAATATGGACATTCAATTTTCATGAAATCATTTGTGGTAAAGATAGTTGTTCTCCCTTTTAATGGTTTTTGTATCATTATCAACAGTGATCATATATGCAATGGTTTCTTGCAGAGCCCTCTATTTTATTCTATTGGTCTAATCATCCTACTTTGTGTTTGCATCATACTTTTTAATTATTGCAATTTTATAGTAAGTTTTGAAATCAGGAAGTGTGAGACCACCATTTTGCTCTTCCTTTTTAATATTGTTTTGGCTATTTGAGGTCCTTGAGATTCCATGGGAATTTTGGAATAGATTTTTTCATTTCTAAAAAAAATGTCATTTACATTTTGATATACATTGTACTGAATCTATACATCACTTTTTATAGTATTAACTTCTAAACAATATTTTCTTTCAATCTATGAACATGAATGTCTTTCCATTTATGTATAGCTTTTAAAATTGGTTCAGCAGTGCTTTGCACTTTTCAGTGCATAAGTCTTTTACCTCCTTGGTTAGGTTTATCCCTAATTATTTTATTCTTTTTTATGTTAACCTACATTTTAAAGATGAGAAAATTTAGACAGTCTACAAAATAGTTGTATAGTTAGTCAGAGGGAGAATTGGGCTTTAAACTGAGATCTGTTTGACTCTGAAGTTTATATACTTTCCAGTATGCCATATTACTTTTCTTGATTCCAAACACATTCATTACCCATACATTTCTCCTGCAAGGGGCCTGTTAGTCTACTTTTAATGGAAGAAGAGCCAATGTAAAAATAAATCAAAAACATCAACTGGAGCACTTCTCTAACTCAAAGGTGAGAGAAGTCAGTGGGTAGAATTTAGTGCAGCTAAGAACAATGCCAGATGTTCAATTCCCATATGGGCTTCTGAGCTTTGTTTTCAACAGTTACTACAAACAGCCCTAAATCCAGGCACAAGGCAAAATAGTGCCATAATAATAGAAAAGGGAAACAAACAAACAAACAAACAATGTTGGTGCCCCAGGACAGTTTCATGGGTGAGTGAAAAATTGAAACAGGTCACAAAGTATAAGTAAGAGATCATCATCCAGAGGTGGACAAGACTTGCTATGTAAAAGGAATGGCTTGTTCAAATATATGAAAGACTAAAGCAAGCCATGAGATCTGTGATTAGTTCAGTGGCATTACAGTCCACATTTCAGGGAGATAAGAGAAATGACAGTTAAAGCAAGGAAGTTGAGTGGGGGCCATGTTGGAAAGGCAAGCTAAGAAGCTTGAGACAGTGACATAATGAATAAGCATAGCAATTATTTGTTCATATAAGAAGGCTTGCACTAGAGATATCTTTAGAATTTACTTCATCTCTGACTTATTTTACAAATCTCTCTATGGCAATTTTTCATGGTCATGTTAGGCCAGGGATTAATGGCAAACCTCAAGACAAAATGCTTTAGTTATGTTGCAGAAATATTTATTATGGCAAGTGTGGATTCTTCCAACTGGCAGATTTGAAGAATTGGCTAATATTCCTGAAAACTCTGATCCTGTTAGAAGAGATTTGCTCAGAGAACCTATAGGTCACTTCAAGTGACCTATGGAGTAGAATCTTTCTCTGCTAGTGACCATCAAGGGGAATGAGGAGGGGAATAATTAGAGTCAGATTGTTCTTGCCTTGATCTTACTTCTTCCCTGAAGACAGAAAAATCGGTTTTAAATCCTCAATCACTACTGAATCTTTTGTTGGGAGTCCCATGGAAATAAAAGAGTTAATTGAAGGGATACCCTCTGTGTTCCTTGGAAAGAGCCTTATCCACACAATACAATGTTTATGGCCTGTATGTAATAAGTGGTATTGATGTCTTTTGTGTGACTCAGACATTAGATTCAAGATGTGGGCACTCGGTCCTGCTTGTAGCTTCCTACTCAGGGCAAACTCTTTTCCCTCTGAGCAATTCTCCTCCTAATCTACCAGGAGTTTTCCATTCTCCTCCTTTCCATTCTCCATTGTTGGGTCCAGGCAGTAGTCTTGTATGTATCCCTACTGCCAGCTCTGGGCTCACAGAATGTTGTCATGGAGATCCTCCAACTTCTTCACTGAGCACCCATTGCCTTGAGGGAAGAAGCTGACCAAGTCCTCTTGCTTTTTTCACTTAAGGTTGACGTTATTTACAAAAAAAAACTCCTGCGTGCTTCATGCTTAGCCAGGGCCAGAGACCATGGACTAGAAGAAGGGAAGACAATGGTAGAGATGTTACCCTTGGTTTGTAGGAGTATTTGGCATTGTACCTTCCACTTACCATCAAGATCCACTTCCAAGTCTTTTTTCAGAGCCACTAAAATCAGCCTGTACAAAAATGTAAAAAGCCCTTTTGTTCATGAAGCTTAGTGAAAGACCAGATACAACCAATCCCCCAAGTTTCATGCCAATGACTGAAGAACTATCAGGGTTGGCTCATAGACAACAACCCTCTCTCTCTAGTTACAGAGGAAATCTCCAACCATAAAGCACCTCTCTTTTTTTTTCAGGGTTTTTTTTTTTAATTGGGGGATGGAGAAATATGCAGCCTCTGCCTGGAACATAGCAGAATTCCAGACTCCCAGAAGGAAAGCAGGTGTTCAGCATAAACCACATTGTTTCTACAAACCATTTGGGCACAATAAGACACTATCACCAGTTACTTACTCCAAAATCCAAGTTCTCACATGCTAGTCAAGGGCCAACAGTAGATGCAGCCTTGTCTAGGGATAGCAGTATGGCCTGCTATGTTAACTCTTTTCTGCAAAAGCTCCAAACTGGAATTAATTAGGAGCTAAAAAGTCTAACAGCAGTAGAATGGAACAGTGAATAAATAAATTATGGTATGTCCATACAATGGATTACTTTACAAAAAATGAGAATTATACTCCAAAAATCATATGCAACAATATGGCTGAGATATAATGCTGACTAAAAGAAGCAAGATGTAAAAGGATACATATTGCATGTTTATGTTTGTGGGAAGTTCAAAACTAGGTGAAATTAAACATCATAATGTTTGAAGTCACCTAGGGAGACTAAAAATCTTAGTGTTGATTACATGTTCACTTTGTGACTATCCTTTGGGTGAAACATGATTTTTGCTCTCTTCAATATTATGTTCTATAGCAATAAAAAGTTTACTAATAAACATTTCTTATTTTTTTGCCTGAGAATTCAATATATTTCTTTTATTATTATCATTATTATTATTATTATTATTATTATTATACTTTAAGTTTTAGGGTACATGTGCACAATGTGCCGGTTAGTTACATATGTATACGTGTGCCATGCTGGTGTGCTGCACCCATTAACTCCTCACTTAGCATTAGGTATATCTCCTAATGCTATCCCTCCCCCCTCCCCCCACCCCACAACAGTCCCCAGAGTGTGATGTTCCCCTTCCTGTGTCCATGTGTTCTCATTGTTCAATTCCCATCTATGAGTGAGAACATGCGGTGTTTGGCTTTTTGTCCTTGCAATAGTTTACTGGGAATGATGATTTCCAATTTCATCCATGTCCCTACAAAGGACATGAACTCATCATTTTTTATGGCTGCATAGTATTCCATGGTGTATATGTGCCACATTTTCTTAATCCAGTCTATCATTGTTGGACATTTCATAAAAACCCTAGAAGAAAACCTAGGCATTACAATTCAGGGCATAGGCATGGGCAAGGAGTTCATGTCTAAAACACCAAAAGCAATGGCAACAAAAGCCAAAATTGACAAATGGGATCTAATTAAACTAAAGGGCTTCTGGACAGCAAAAGAAACTACCATCAGAGTGAACAGGCAACCTACAAACTGGGAGAAAATTTTTGCAACCTACTCATCTGACAAAGGGCTAATATCCAGAATCTACAATGAACTCAAACAAATTCACAAGAAAAAAACAAACAACTCCATCAAAAAGTGGGCAAAGGATATGAACAGACACTTCTCAAAATAAGACATTTATGCAGCCAAAAGACACATGAAAAAATGCTCATCATCACTGGCCATCAGAGAAATGCAAATCAAAACCACAATTAGATACCATCTCACACCAGTTAAAATGGCAATCATTAAAAAGTCAGGAAACAACAGGTGCTAGAGAGGATGTGGAGAAATAGGAACACTTTTACACTGTTGGTGGGACGTAAACTAGTTCAACCATTGTGGAAGTCAGTGTGGCGATTCCTCAGGGATCTAGAACTAGAAATACCATTTGACCCAGCAATCCCATTACTAGGTATATACCCAAAGGACTATAAATCATGCTGTTATAAAGACACATGCACACGTATGTTCATTGCGGCACTATTCACAATAGCAAAGACTTGGAAGCACCTCTCTTAATGGTAGTAACCTGTAGTTGCATTTGTAAAACCCTTCCCTTTGAATCTACTACTTTGGCATCTTCTGAGACATATTTCCTTACAGCTAAGATTCTCCAGAATGGTTCTTTATGCTATAAAGAATTATTTCAAGGGAATCTTAAGAAATTTTAAAAAATCAAAGGTTTTTTATCCATCTTTGTGTGGGATACACTGGTAAAAAAAAGGAGGCTGCCTACTCCTAAGAGAAGAAAAGAAGACAAAAAGTGTGATGAACATGAGTCATAATGTAGTTCTGTCTTTTGGGTTAAGGTCTGCTTATTTCAAGCTGATTTTCTCATAGAATCTTAAACAGCTGACCCTCTATATCCTCAGGTTCCACATCTTTGGATTCAACCAACTGGATTCAATAGAAAATACCTGGGGACAAAACAAGTAAAAATAACAGCATGACAATTAAAAATAATAAAAATAAAAATGCAATTAACAAATATTTATATAACATTTACATTGTACTAGGTAGTATAAGTAATCAGAGATGATTTAAAGTATATTGGAGGATATGCGTTAGTTATATGCAAATATTATGCCATTTTTTTCTAAGAGTCTGAACATCTGAGGATTTTGGTATCTGCTAGGATCCTGGAAGCAATCCACCAGAGATACTAAAAGTTGATTAAATTTATCTCAGGGCTGGAAGCAAGCCCCAGCCTCCTCTCTTCCAACTCTTTGTTGCCTGGAGTCACCTTATTAAAAATTAGTTTTTAAAAATTTTGTTGGTAAAGAGTAGATGTAGGCATTTATAAGGTACATGAGATATTTTGATACAGGCATGCACTGTAAAATGTGAAATAAGCACAACATGGACAATGGGGTATTTATCTCCACAAGCATTTATGCTTCGAGTTACAAACAATCTAATTACATTCCTTAAGTTATTTTAAAATGTACAATTATTATTGACTGTAGCCCCCTTATTGTGCTATCAAATAGTAGGTCTTATTCATTCTTTCTATTTTTTTTTTAATCCACTAACTATCCCCATCTTCCCCCTAACCCCCATCTACTATTCTTTCCAGCCTCTAGTAACCATCCTTCTACTTTCTATGATCCCACAAATAAGTGAGCACATATGATGTTCGTCTTTCTGTGTCTGCTTTATTTCGCTTAACATAATGATCTCCAGCTTCATCAATTTGTTGCAAAAGACTGGAACTCATTCATTTTATGACTGAATAGAACTCCATTGTCTATAAGTATCACATTTTCTTTATTTGTTCATCTGTTGATGGACATTTAGGTTGCTTCCAAATCTAAGCTATTGTAAATAATGCTGCAACAACCATAGGAGTGCAGATATCTGTTCAACATACTGATTTCTTTTCTTTTTGGTGTATACCCAGCAGTGCGATTGCTGGATCATATGATAACTCAATTTTTAGGGTTTTTGGTGTTTTTTGTTTTTTTTTTTTACATGTTGCTTTAAGTTCCAGGATACGTGCACAGAACATGCAGTCTTGTTACATAGGTATACGTGTGCCATGGTGGTTTGCTGAATCTATCAACTCATCATCTAGGTTTTAAGACCCACATGCATTAGCTATTTTTCCTAATGCTCTCTTTTCCCTCGCCTCCACCCCCTGACAGGCCCAGGTAGGTGTTTTTTCCTTCCTTGTGTTCATGTGTTATCATTGTTCAAATCCTATTTATGAGTAAAACATGCAGTGTTTGGTTTTATATTCCTGTGTTAGTTTGCTGAGGATGATGACTTCTGGCTTCATCCATGTCCCATCCTCAAATATTTTCTATTGAATCCATTTGGTTGAATCCAAAGATGTGGAACCTGAAGATATAGAGGGTCAGCTATTTGTGATTCTATGAGAAAATCAGCTTGAAGTAAGCAGACCTTAACTCAAGGACATGATCTTATTCCTTTTTATTGCTGCGTTATATTCCATACTGTATATGTACCACATTTTCTTTATCCAGTCTATCATTGATGGGCATTTGGGTTGGTTCCATGTATTTGCTATTGTAAATAGTGCTGCAATAAACATACATATGCATGTGTCTTTACAGTAGAATGATTTGTAATCCTCTGGGCATATACCCAGTAATGGGAATGCTGGGTCAAATGGTATTTCTGGTTCTAGATCCTGGAGGAATCATCATACTGTCTTCCACAATGGTTGAACTAATTTACATTTCCCCCAACAATGTAAAAGCGATCTTATTCTCCACAGCCTCACTAGCATCTATTGTCTCATGACTTTTTAATAATTGACATTCTGATTGGCATGAGAGGGTATCTCATTGCAGTTTTGATTTGCATTTCTTGATTTGCATTACTTTTATGATCAGTGATGTTGATGTTCTTTTTTTTTTTTTTTTTGAGACAGAGTCTTGCTCTGTTGCCCAGGCTGGAGTGCAGTGGTGCAATTTCAGCTCAATGCAACCTCCACCTCCTTGGTTAAAGGAATTCCCCTGCCTCAGCCTCCCAAGTAGCTGGGACTACAGGCATGCACCACCACACCCGGCTAATTTTTGTATTTTTAGTAGAGATAGAGTTTCACCATTTCAGCCAGGCTTTTATCGAACTCCTGACCTCAGGTGATCTGCTAGCCATGGCCTACCAAAGTTCTGGGATTACAGGCAGGAGCCACCACGCCCAGCCAATCTTTTTTTCATATGTTTGTTGGCTGCATAAATGTCTTCTTTTGAGAAGTGTCTGTTCATACCCTTGGCTCACTTTTTGATAGGGTTGTTTATTTTTTTCTTGTAAATTTGCTTAAGCTCCTTGTAGATTCTGGATATTAGACATTTGTCAGATAGGTAGATTGCAAAATTTTACTCTCATTCTATAGGTTGCCTGTTCACTCTGATGATAGTTTCTTCTGCTCTGCAGAAGCTCTTTAGCTTAATTAGATACCATTTGTCAATTGTAGCTTTTGTTGCATTTGCTTTTGGCGTTTTCGTCATGAAATCTTTGTCTATGCCTATATCCTTAATGGTATTGCTAAGGTTTTCTGCTAGGGTTTTAATGACTTTAGGTTTTACATTTAAGTCTTTAATCCATCTTGAATTAATTTCTGTATAAGGTGCAAGGAAGGGGTCCAATTTCAGTTTTCTGCATGTGGCTAGACAGTTTTCCCAACACTGTTTATTAAATAGGGAATCCTTTTTCCATTGCTTGTTTTTGTCAGGTTTGTTGAGGCAGATGATTGTAGATGTAGGGTATTATTTCTAAAGTGTCTGTTCCATTCCATTGGTCTATATATCTGTTTTGGTACCAGTACCATGCTGTTTTGGTTACTCTAGCCTTGTAGTATAGTTTGAAGTCAGGTAGCGTGATGTCTCCAGCTTTGTTCTTTTTGCTTAGGATTATCTTGACTATACAGGCTCTTTTTTTGTTTCATTTGAAATTTAAAGTAATTTTTTCTAATTTTGTGAAGAATGGCAGTGGTAGTTTGATAGGATTAGTATTGAATCTATAAATGACTTTGAATCTATAAATGACTCTACATTGAATCTATAAATGACTTTGGGCAGTACGGCCATTTTTACAATACTGATTTTCCCTATTGTATTAGGATTCTCTTAGAGGGACAGAACTAATAGGATATATATATATATATATATATATATATATATATATATATATATACACACACACACACACATATACACACATATATATACACACGTATATATACATATATATGTATATACGTGTATATATATATGTGTGTATATACGTGTGTATATATATATATAAAGTATTAACTTACATATACTTCTTTTCACGTTTTTCTGCCTGCTTTACATTTGCTGGGAGCTGATTAGATTGTGCCCACCAGATCAAGGATGGATCTTCACATCAAGGAGGTCCTTCACATCCCTTGTTAGCTGTATTCCTGGGTATTTTATTCTCTTTGAAGCAATTGTAAATGTGAGTTCATTCGTGATTTGGTTCTCTGCTTGTTTATTGTTGGTATATAGAAATGCTTGTGATTTTTTTACATTTATTTTGTATCCTGAGACTTTGCTGAAGCTGCTTATCAGCTTAAGGAGTTTTGGGGCTGAGACTGTGATGTTTCCTAAATATAGAATCATGTCATTTCAAACAGAGACAATTTGACTTCCTCTCTTTCTATTGAAATATGCTTTATTTCTTTCTCTTGCCTGATTGCCCTGGCCAGAACCTCCAATATTATGTTGAATAGGAGAGGTGAGAGAGGGCATCCTTGTCTTGTGCTGGTTTTCAAAAGGAATGCTTCCAGCTTTTGCTCATTCAGTGTGATATTGGCTGTGGGGTTGTCATAAATAGCTGTTATTCTTTTGAGATATGTTCCATCAATACCTAGTTTATTGAGAGTCTTTAACGTGAAGGAATGTTAAATTTTATTGAAGGCTTTTTCTGCATCTATTCAGATAACCATGGGGCTTTTGTCATTGGTTCTGTTTATGTGATGGATTACATTTATTGTTTTGTGTATGTTGAACCAATCTTTCATCCCAGGGATGGAGCCAACATGGTCATGGTGGATAAGCTTTTTGATGTGCTGCTGGATTTCATTTGCCAATATTTTATTGAGGATTTTTGCATTGATGTTCATCAGGGATATTGGCCTGAAGTTTTCTTTTCTTGTTGTGTCTCTGCCAGGTTTTGGTATCAGGATGATGCTGGCTTCATAAAATGAGTTGCGGAGAAGACTCTCCTTTTCAATTGTTTGGAACAGTTTCAGAAGAAATGGTAGCAGCTCTTCTTTGTACCTCTGGTAGAATTCGGCTGTGAATCCATCTGGTCCTGAGCTTTTTTTTTTTTTTTTTTTTGGTTAGTAGGCTATTAATTACTGCCTCAATTTCAGAACTTGATATTGATCTCTTCAGGGATTTGATTTCTTCCTGGTTTAATCTTGGGAGGGTGTATGTCTCCAGGAATTGACACATTTATTCTAAATTCTTTCTAGGTGTTTTTTTGTTTTGTTTTGTTTTGTTTTGTTTTTATTTGCATAGAGGTGTTTATACTACGCTCTGATGGTAGTTTGTATTTCTATGTGGTCAGTAGTGATATCCCCTTTATCATTTTTATTGTGCCTATTTGATTCTTCTCTCTGTTATTCTTTATTAGTCTAGCTAATGGTCTGTTTTATTAGTTGTTTTTGAAAACCTAGCTCCTGTATTCATTGAAATTTTGGTGGGTTTTTTTCATGTCTCTATCTCCTTCAGTTCTCTGATCTTAGTTATTTCTTTTCTTCTGCTAGCTTTTGGATTTGTTTGCTCTTGCTTCTCTAGTTCTTTTAATTTTGATGTTAGGGTCTCGATTTTAGATCTTTCTAGTTCTCTGATATGGGCATTTAGTGCAATAAATTTCTCTCTAAACACTGCTTTAGCTGTGTCTCAGAGATTCTGGTACATTTTCTCTTTATTATCATTGGTTTCAAGGAACTTCTTGATTTCTGCCTTAATTTTATTATTTAGCCAGGAGTCATTCAGGAGCAGGTTTTTCAACTTCCATGTAGTTGTGTGGTTTTGAGTCAGTTTCCTAATCCTGAGTTCTAATTTGATTGTACTGTGGTCTGAGAAACTGTTTGTTATGGTTTCTGTTCTTTTGCATTTGCTGAGGAGTGTTTCACTTTTAATTGTGTGGTCGATTTTAGAATAAGTGCCATGTGGCACTGAGAAGAATGTATATTCTGTTTATTTGGGAGAGTGGAGAGTCTGTAGATGTCCATTACGTCCACTTGATCTACAGCTAAGTTCAAGTCCTGAGTATCCTTGTTAATTTTCTGTCTCATTTATCTGTCTAATGTTGACAGTGGGGTGTTAAAGTCTCCCACTATTATTGTGTGGGAGTCTACATCTCTTTGTAGGTCTCTAAGAATTTGTTTTATGAATCTGGGTGCTCCTGTATTGATCCCTTTACCATTATGTAATGCCTCTCTTTGTCTTTTTTTATCTCTGTTGATTTAAAGTCTGTTTTGTCAGAGACTAGGATTGATACCCCTGTTTATTGTTGTGTTTTTTGATTGTTTGTTTGCTTTCCAATTGTTTGGTAAACTTTCCTCCGTTCCTTTATTTTGAGCCTATGTGTGTCTTTGCACATGAGATGGGTCTTTTGGATACAGCATACCAATAGGTCTTGACTCTTTATCCAATTTGCCAGTCTGTGTATTTTAATTAGGGCAGTTAGTGTATTTACATTTAAGGTTAATATTGTTATGTGTGAATTTAATCCTGTCATCATGATGCTGTCTAATTATTTTGCACACTATTTGATGCAGTTTCTTTATGGTGTCTTTGGTCTTTATATTTTGGTGTGTTTTTGCAGTGGCTAGTACTGGTTTTTCCTTTCCATATTTAGTACTTCCTTCAGGAGCTCTTGCAAGACAGACCTGGTGGTGACAAAATCCCTCAGCATTTGCTTGTCTGGAAAGGATTTTGTTTCTTCTTTGCTTCTAAAGCTTAGCTTGGCTGAATATGAAATTCTGGGTCAAAAATGCTTCTTTCTTTTTTACACAATGTTGAATATTGGCCCCCACTCTCTTCTGCCTTGTAGGGTTTCTGCTGAGAGATCCGCTGTTAGTATGATGGTCTTCCCTTTGTATGTGACCTGGCCTTTCTCTCTGGCTTTATCCTTCTCTCTATTATTTTTTATTAGTCTAGCTAGTGGTCTATCTGTTTTGTTAAATTTTTGTTAACTTTTTTCCTTCATTTTGACCTTGGAGAGTCTGATGATTATGTGTCTTGGGGCTGATCTTCTGATGGAGTATCTTAGTGGTGTTCTCTATATTTCCTTAATTTGCATTTTGGCCTGTTTGCTAGGTTGGGGAAAATTCACCTGGATAATATCCTGAAATGTGTTTTCCAACTTGGTTCCATTCTCCCCATTTCCTTCAGGTAACCCAATCAATCATAGGTTTGGTTCCCATGTTTCTTGGAGGTTTTGCTCGTTCCTTCTTATTTTTTTATCTCTAATCTTGTCTGCATGCCTTATTTCGGTAAGATGGTCTTCAGATTCTGATATTCTTTCTTCTGCTTGATCATTTTCGCTATTGATACTTGTGTATGTTTTGCAAAGTTTTTGTGCTGTATCTTTTAGCCCCATCAGGTAGTTTATGTTTCTCTCTAAACTAGTTATTCTACTTAGCAGCTCCTGTAACATTTTATCAAGGTTCTTAGCTTCTTTGAACTGGGTTAGAACATGCTCCTTTAGCTCAGTGGAGTTTGTTGTTACCCACCTTCTGAAGCCTACTTCTGTCAATTCATGCATCTCATTCTCTGTCCAGTTCTGCACCCTTGCGGGAGAGGTGGCGTGATCATTTGCAAGAGAAGAGGCACTCTGGCCTTTTCAGTTTTCAGCACTTTTCTGCTGATTTTTTCCTTATCTTCCTGTCTACTTTCAATCTTTGAGGCTGCTGACCCTTGCATGAGGTTTTATTGGAGACTTTTTTTTTTGTTGATGTTGCTGTTGCTTTCGGTGTGTGTCGTGTTAGGGGGAAACCCACTTGTCTGGGCTGTCCAGATGCCTCAGAAAGCCTCCTTTGGCTGGGTGATGGGGGCTCCCTTGCCCCATGTAGCACTTATTTGGGCTGCTGCACGACACTGTTTTTCTTTCCTCTCCATAGGTCAAGCCAGCCACCCAGTCAGTCCTGATGACAGAACATGTATACCTTGGTTGCCGGTGCTGGATTCTCATGGTGTTTAGTTATTTTCAATGGGACCCTCTGGTCTCCACGTCTTCCAGTCAGCCATCTTTGTCCTGCCCACTTTAGTTTTTTGAGGAACCTTTAAACTGTTCTCCATAGTGATTGTACTAATTTACATGCCCACCAACTAGGATTCCCTTTTCTTGACATCCTCACATGCATTTGTTATTGCCTGTCTTTTTAATATAAGCTATTTTTTTGGGGTGAGGTAACATCTCTTTGTTTTGGTTTTTATTTATCGGATTATCAATGATGTTGAACACGTTTCCATATGTCTATTTTCCAATAACGTGTCTTCTTTTTTAAATATATATATATGTATATGTATATATATATATATATATATATATATATATATATATATATATATATTTTACTTTAAGTTCTATGGTACATGTGCACAACGAGCAGGTTTGTTACATATGTATACATGTGCCATGTTGGTGTGCTGCACCCAATAACTCATCATTTACATTAGGTATATCTCCTGATGCTATCCCTCCCCCTTCCCCCCACCCCACAAAAGGCCCCAGTGTGTGATGTTCCACTTCCTGTGTCCAAGTGTTCTCATTGTTCAATTCCCTCATATGAGTGAGAACATGCGGTGTTTGGATTTTTGTCCTTGAGGTAGTTTGCTGAGAATGACGGTTTCCAGTTTCATCCATGTCCTTACAAAGGACATGAACTCATGCTTTTTTATGGCTGCATAGTATTCCATGGTGTATATGTGCCACATTTTCTTAATCCAGTCTATCATTGTTGCACATTTGGGTTGGTTCCAAGTCTTTGCTATTGTGAAGAGTGCCACAGTAAACATACGTGTGCATGTGTCTTTATAGCAACATGATTTATAATCCTTTGGGTATATACCCAGTAATGGGATGGCTGGGTCAAATGGTATTTCTAGTTCTAGATCCCTGAGGAATTGCCAAACTGACATCCACAATGGTTGAACTAGTTTACAGTCCCACCAACAGTGTAAAAGTGTTCCTATTTCTCCACATCCTCTCCAGCACCTGTTGTTTCCTGATTTTTTAACCATCACCATTCTAACTGGTGTGAGATGGTATCTCATAGTGGTTTTGGTTTGCATTTCTCTGATGGCCAGTGATGATGAGCACTTTTTCATGTGTCTGTTGGCTGCACAAATGTCTTCTTTTGAGAAGTGTCTGTTCATATCCTTCACCCACTTTTTGATAGGGTTGTTTGTTTTTTTCTTGTAAATTTGTTTGAGTTCATTGTAGATTCTGGATATTAGCCCTTTGTCAGATGAGTAGATTGCAAAAATTTTCTCCCATTCTGTAGGTTGCCTGTTCACTCTGTTGGTAGTTTCTTTTGCTGTCCAGAAGCCCTTTAGTTTAATTAGATCCAATTTGTCAATTTTGGCTTTTGTTGTCATTGCTTTTGGTGTTTTAGACATGAAGTCCTTGCCCATGCCTATGTCCTGAATGGTATTGCCTATGTTTTCTTCTAGGGTTGTTATGGTTTTAGGTCTAACATTTAAGTCTTTAATCCATCTTGAATTAATTTTCGTATAAGGTGTAAGGAAGGGATCCAGTTTCAGCTTTCTACATATGGCTAGCCAGTTTTCCCAGCACCATTTATTCAACAGGGAATCCTTTCCCCATTTCTTCTTTTTTGTCAGGTTTGTCAAATATCAGATAGTTGTAGATATGTGGTATTATTTCTGACGGTACTGTTCTGTTCCATTGGTCTATATCTCTGTTTTGGTACCAGTACCATGCTGTTTTGGTTACTGTAGCCTCGTAGTATAGTTTGAAGTCAGGTAGTGTGATGCCTCCAGCTTTGTTCTTTTGGCTTAGGGTTGACTTGGCAATGTGGGCACTTTTTTGGTTCCATATGAACTTTAAAGTAGTTTTTTCCAATTCTGTGAAGAAAGTCATTGGTAGCTTGATGGGGATGGCATTGAATCTATGGGACGCATCTCAAAATAATAAGAGCTATTTATGACAAACCCACAGCCAATACCATAAGGAATGGTCAAAAACTGGAAGCATTCCCTTTGAAAACTGGCACAAGACAGGGATGCCCTCTCTCACCACTCTTATTCAACATAGTGTTGGAAGTTCTGACCAGGGCAATCAGGCAGTAGAAAGAAATAAAGTGTATTCAATTAGGAAAAAAGGAAGTCAAATTGTCCCTGTTTGCAGATGACATGATTGTATATCTAGGAAACCCCATCGTCTCAGCCCAAAATCTCTTTAAGCTGATAAGCAACTTCAGCAAAGTCTCAGGATACAAAATTTATGTGCAAAAATCACAAGCATTCTTATACACCAATAACAGACAAACAGAGAGCCAAATCATGAGTGAACTCCCATTCACAATTGCTTCAAAGAGAATAAAATACCTAGGAATCCATCATACAAGGCATGTGAACGACCTCTTCAAGGAGAACTACCAACCACTGCTCAACGAAATAAAAGAGGATACTAACAAATGGAAGAACATTCCATGCTCATGGATAGGAAGAATCAATATCATGAAAATGGCCATACTGCCCAAGGTAATTTATGGATTTAATATGTCTTCTTTTTAGAAATATCTTTTCAAATCCTTTGCCCATTTATTGATTGAATTATTAGAGTTTTTTCCTATAGAGTTATTTTAGCTCCTTATGTATTATAGCTATTAATCCTTTGTCAGAGTGGTAGTTTGTAAATAATTTCTCTAACTCTATTTGTTGTCCATTTGCTTTGTTGTGCAGAAGCTTTTTAACATGATGTGATCCCTGGAGTCTCCTTTTAAGAATATCTGCCTAAGGGCTTTTTAGCTTCTCTGTGTTCACTTCTAGTAACTGTAAACTCACTATCTTTTGAATCCATTCTATGTATAGACAAATATAATGGTCAGAAACTGCTTCCCTGTTTTTGGTTGAAATACACCTCTGTGTATTTCTCCTATCCATGGCTCCTAGCTCTGACTTAGGGGCAGCAAATAATACATCCATTTGTCTACTTCATCTTTCCTGTAACAAAACCTACATCTTCAGGGCTCCAGAATGAAAAATCTTTCTTTCACACATTTTCCAAGAGAACTGAGTTCCTGTCTGTTCTCCCTGCAGCTTCCTAAAAAATGCTCTAATTTATCTGTATTTATTTTAACATATGACACTCAGAAATGGAACTGAACTTGCTGATGAGATCTTGACCAGGTAATACAAGCCTATCACCTATCTCCTGCTGTCTGTACTATAGAAATGCAGTCAGATACTATATTACCATATTGAGCTATCACGTTATACTTATGTGTAAGCTGTAATAACTGCTTAGTCATTTTTATCTCTGCCTTTGTTCTCTGTCGCATCCTCCACCTCTCTCCTATCTCACATGACTAAATTCAATCCATGATGGAAATGCAGGTAACTTATTGCCCTCCTTCTAAGCCTAATCCAAGGACAGCTTGTCCAAATTCTCAGCTTAATATTTGCCCTGTGCTTACTTCAAGCAAACATCATTTTGGGGAAAGGGATCTCAAGAAGATATTTTGTCCTTCCTACATACTCCTTTAAAATCAAGAAAAATATTACTATTATAACTGTTACAGACTACTCCAAAACCAGGATTTGAAGAGGCTATTAAATGGGGACAGATACTTTGGCTACTTTGTTCATTCATTGAAGGAAAAGGTAGTACAACACTCTCACTTGGAAGAGTCCAAGAGCTCTCACTCTCAAGAAGTGTTTATTTAAGTCTAACTGAATTTCTTTGGTTGAAATTTAAGCCAATTTCCATTTTTTTTAAAAAAAAAAGAGAGGAAGGATGTTATATTGAAAACAGTCTACTCTGTCAAAGAATTCCTGAATGTTCAAGGCCAAGAACTTTTCTTTCTCTGATCATCAATTTTCTCATTTGTAAGTCAAGAAAAACAATACTTTACTCAAAGTGCTGTTGTGACCATTCAATGATAAAGCACCAATTGAAAGGGCAGTCATCAGTGTCTGTCAAGTAACAGATGGACTCAATAGTTTTCTTAATTCTGTATCCTATAGTGACAGAAATGAAACAAGAGTTTCCTGATCCCCCTCTCAGAGCATCCAACAGGGGTTTGGCTTTGCCTTTTGGGTCATCCCATCCATCTGCTTAAATCCTAGCAGGAGGGGGAATATGAAGATGGGCAGGTGCAGAGGCCAGGGCAAGAGCTCTGGGCTCCAGCCTTGTGATAGTGTCTAGGGGTGGGTGCCTGCAACCCCAGTGTTACAAAGCTCTTTCAGCTTTACTGTCCACAGATGGCTTGAGTGTTGACCATCTCAATGCACCCTCTCCTTTTTTGCAAGTGCAGAGGGCCAGTAGAACAGCTTTCTGTATCTCGAGCTCTTTCCCAACATCCCAGAAATATTGGTCACACATGGATTTGAACAATGAATGCGAGGTTTTATTCAGTTGTGGATGTGGCTTTCAGTGGGCTGGATGGGGAGCCGGAATGGTAGATAGGTTTGAGTTGTTAGAATTTGAGATGAAGTAGAGTATTCCCTGGATGTAGGATATTGGTAGTGAGGCTTAAGAAGAAGAGGACAGACAGGACATTCTTGCAAACTAAGCAGAGTAAATGCATCCCATTGGGCACTAGTCAATGCAGTATACAGCCCAGACAAGCTGGAGGACCTCGTGACCATTGCTAAGTGTAGAGAAAAATTGTGAGAGAGCCAGCCTGTGATAAAGTCTTTAGATTGTGGGTGGATGTTAAAATTTTAACCTCTGCTCTCAGCTTCCCACAACCACTACCATCTCTTAGATCATCATTATTTTTTCTGCAAATGTATTTGTCCTTTTGAAGCATTTATGCAATTTGTAGTTATTTGTTTATATGTGGATCTGTTTGTTTATTTTTTGTCTTCCCCACTGGATTGAGAGCTCTCTGAAAATAAGTGTTGGTGTTTAGCTCTTTAGCCATACTACTTAGCACAATTCCAATAACATAGTAGACTTTTCCTAAATGATTGTTGATTGAATGAATGATATGTCTAGGGCTCCTTAAGCCCAAAGAAACCTGCAGCCCAGAGTTCTTAAAAAGAAGAGGTCTAGATCTGTAAAACAGAATGTCTGACAGAGTTACTTTCTCATGTTTATTTTCAAATGGCATTTTGACATGTATCCTTAAAAAATCACAAACCATTAAATATAAACTTTTACCTAAGACCTATATACATCAAATATCCTCACCTTATTTCTGATTCCATCTCCATCATTTAACCTTCTCATCATTGTGTATAGAATAAAGGAAGGAGCAGAGATGAGGGGTGGAATGGAAAAATGAAATGGGATTAAGATGAAGAATGAGTAGGAGGTAGAACACGGTGAGAGTAAGGAGAAAAATAAAGGTGAAGAATGTCTTTTACAACTTGATATGGTTTGCATGTGTGTCCCCACCCAAATCTCATGTTTAATTTTAATCCCTAATGTTGAAGATGGACCTTGGTCAGCAGTGATTGGATCATGGGGACAGATTTTTCATGAACGGTTTGTCACCATCCCCTTTGGTACTGTCCTCATGATACTGAGTGAGTTCTCGCTAGAACTGGTCATTGAAAAGTGTGTGACACCTCCACCCTTGCTCTCTCTTGCTCCTGCCCCTGCCATGTGAGATGTTTCACTCTCCCTTTGCCTTCCTCCACGACTGTAAGCTTCCTGAGGACTCCCCAGAAGCCAAGCAGATACCACCATCATGCTTTCTGTACAGCCTATGGAACTGTGAGAAAATTAGTTATTGCTCTATAGGTCACCCAGTCTCAGGTTTTTTATAGCAATATTAGAGCAGACTAATACACATTTACTATTTGGTAATCAACCAATAGAATTTTATATGCTGAAAGATGCATCCAAATGTTCTGCTTTGTTGCCAGGTTAGCTTAAAGGATGATGCCTGGTCCCCTTTACCTGTGCCAGGAGACATGTTCAGAAACCTGGGACAGGATTTGAGGGGAAAGACCTGAAGGGTAGTAAGGGAAGTATAAGCTATCATGAGTTGGTTCTTTATAGGCTTGGGATCTTTCCACAGGTTCTACTCCTTTCTGATTCTCCATAAAACTTCTTAGAGCCTGGTTGCTGCCTAAAATCAATCAGGACTTTATCCCTTTAGTTGAAATATTATTTTCTGTTATAACACAACTCCCCACCACTGTATCACTCAACAAAATTAACATGAAAGTTTGAAAGTCCAATCCTACTTTCATATTCAAGATGAAGTATAGGTTAGTAGGAAAAGTGCTGTAATATTGTCTGAAACTTTGCTCTTGAAATCCTAGCTCCATCACTTCCTAGAGGTGGAAAGTAAATTTACCTCCATTAGCCTGGTGTCTCATATGCAAACCGGAGTTAATAATAATCCCTTCCTCCCAGGTTGTTGTAAGAATTAATTTAAATAAAAATGTCATTGGGCATGGTGGCTCATTCCTGTAATCCCAACATTTTGGGAAGCCAAGGTAGGCTGATTGTTTGCATCCAGGAGTTCAAAACCAGCCTTGGCAACATGGTGAAACCCCGCCTCTGCAAAAAAATACAAAAAATTCATTGGGCATGGTGGTGTGCTCCTGTAGTCCCAGCTACCCAGGAGGCTGAGGTGGAAGGATCACCTGGGCCTGGGGTCCGAAGCTGCAGTGATTCATGATCATGTCATTGCATTCCAGCCTGGGCAATAAAGTGAGACCCGGCCTCTAAATAAATGAATAAATAAATAAATAAATAAATAAATAAATAAATAAATAAATACATAAGAAAATGTCTAAAAAGTTTGTAGCATGTCTCTAATAACAAAGTTGGTATATGTAAATATTTTAATCACCCAATGCCATCAGTAAATGTATTGGAGCCCAGATTAATGTCATGCTTTTAAGAAGTGAGATTACACCATGAAAAAAAGGCTACATAAGTGTGTGTGGGTAAGATGAGGCCAGTAAGTAGAAAGGCATAGATGACCTGTGTAAGAGAGATAACTGGTCCAGGAGTGAGCAAAAGGGCAAAGAAACCTCATCAACCTCCAACTTTTACTTTTCATGTCACGGTTTCTTGCATGATTTCTGGACAGAAAGGAAGTGAAAGATTTGCATGGTTTTAGACCATACAGAGGTATGTCTTCTCTTGCTATTTGTAGAACTGAGCTGTGGTGTAGTTGCTATAATTTTTCTATAGGAATTCTTTTTGGGTGCTGCACCAGTGTTCAGCTGAACTGTTCCAACATTGAAAAAATCAGGTTGGAGAGTAAAATACATAATTTTATACATATAACACAAGGAGCCAGTTTAACTTTGATTTTTGTCTGGATGGTATTTCGATGCTGTAAGCCAAAATCCTGACTTGACTGAAAGAAAAAGCACTTGCTCAGAAGCCAATATACATGGGTTAAAATTTTACCTCTCTGAGTCAGCTTGACTTACTTCTGTTAAATGTCATCCATAAAATGGGCATAAGAAGAAATGATCCAGCAGGCAGAGCAAGATGACAGAATAGAAGCCTCCAACAATCGTCCCTCTGGCAAGGGCAACAATATAAAAACTATTTACACAGAAAAAATATACCTTTATAAGAACCAAAAACCAGGTGAGCACTCACAGTACCTGGTTTGAACTTCATATTGCTAAAAGAGGCAATGAAGAGATACAAAAAAAGCTTCTGAATTGCCAACACTGCCCCTCCACCACACCCCCGGTAGTGGCAGCATGAAGTGGAGAACATCTCTGGGCACCAGAGGAGGGAGAGCACTGCAGTTGTGAGGCATTGATCTCACTGCTGTCCTGTTACAGCAGAAAGAAACCCTGGACCAAACTTAAATGATACACTCCCATGGAGGCAGTATTCAAACCAGCCCTAGGTAGAGGGAAATTGCCACAGATCATGAGTTCAAAACTTGAGTTCCCACACACCTCACCACCTAGGACTAAATTGCTTTGGGACTCCAAGTACACTTGAAAGGTAGTATAGGTCATAAGGACTGCAACTCTTAGGCAAGCCCTAGTGCTGAAATGGGCCCAGAGAAAGTGGAGTGTGGGGGTGAGAGTATATGATCTACTGATCTGGGGTGTCTAAGAAAATGCTGCCATCACCCCTACCCTAACCCTAGGCTACACAGTTTGTAGCTCCAAAAGAGACTCCATATTTCCACCCGAGGATAGGAGAGGAAAGAGTGGGGATGACTCTGTCTTGTATCTTGGATATCAGCTCTGGTACAGCAGGATAGGACACTTGTCAGAGTCATGAGGCCCCTATTCCAGGCCCTAGCTCCTGGATAGCATTTCTAAACACGGCCCAAGCCAGAAGGGAACCCACTGCCTTGAAAGGAAGGATCCATTCCTGGCATCCTTCATCAACTATTAACTGAAGAGCCTTTGGGCCCTGAATAACCAACAGTACTACCTAGGTACTACATCAAGGGCCTTGGATGATCCTTTGAGATGAACAGGATTCAGTTGAGACATAGCATATTACCAACTGTGGTGGCTACAGGGCAAAACTTCTTCTGTTTGAGAAAAGCAGAGAGAAAAGTAAAGGGGATTTTGCCTTACACCTTAGGTACCAGCAGGGACACAGGGGGATATAGCACCAGGCAGACTATTGGGGTCCCCGATTCCAGGACTTGACTCTGAGATGGCATTTTTAGATCTGCCATGGGCCAGAGGTGAGCCCACTTCCCTGATGGGTGAGTCCCAGGCCAGGCAGCATTCATGAAAAGCTGACATAAGAGCCATTGGGCCTTAAGGGAAAAACAGTGATAGTCTAGCATTACTCCATGTGACATGTGATGATAGAGACTATGGGGTAAGCCTCTTCTGCATTTGGAAATGGGAGGGAAGAATGGGAAGGACTGCATCTTGTTGTTTGAGGACCAGATCAACTGCAGTAAAATAGAACACCAGGTAGATTTCTAGACTTCTAAGGTCTTTTATTCTAGTCCCTGACTACTGGAAGTCACCTTTGGACCCATCCAGGGACGGGGAGAACTCACTGCCCTGAAGGGAAAGATACAGGCTTCAGTGGTTTTACCAGCAGCTAATTGTAGAGCCCCAGAGTTTTCAGCAAACATAGACAGTAGCCAGCAAATGTTTACAGTAGGCCTTGAGCAAGATGCAGGTGCTGTGCTGGCTTCAGTTCTGACCCAGTGCAGTCATAGTGGAGGTGGCCACCAGGGTGCTTGTGTGACTTCACCCACAGATTTAAGTGGCTCAGAACAGAGACAGGATCCATTTGTTTGGGAAAAAGTAAGGGAAAAGAATAAGAGTCTCTGCCTGGTTATCCAGAGAATTATGGCGGTCATGTCCAAGATCATCAAAGTGGTACCTTTATGAGTTTTCAAGAACCATCGTGTTACTGGGCTTGGAGTGCCCCCTAAAGCAGATACAGCTTGGATAGCAACATCCAAGTCCTTTCAAATATCTAGAAAACCTTCTAAAGAAGGACAGTTACAAAAAAAAGCACAGACAGTGAAGACTAAAATAAATACCTAACTCTTCGATGTGCAGACACCAAAGAGCATCTACTAGCATCTACAACATCAAAGAAAACATGACCTCACCAAATGAACTCAATAAAGCACCAGGGACTAATCCTGGAGAAACGGAGATATCTGACCTTTCAGACAGATAATTCAAAATAGCTGTGTTAAGGAAACTAAAAAAAAATCAAGGTAACACAGAGAAGAAATTCAGAATCCTCTCAGATAAATTTAACAAACTGATGGGAATAATTTAAAAGAATCAAGCAGAAATTCTCAAGATATAAATTGCAATTGACATACTGAAGAATGAATCAAAGTCTTTTAAAGGCAAAAAGGATCAAACAGAAGAAATAATTAATGAACTTGAAAGCAGGTTATTTGAAAATACACAGTTAAGAGGAGACAAAGAGTAAAAAGGAATGAAGCATGCCTACAAGACCAGGAAAATAGCCTCAAAAGGGCAGATCTAAGAATTATTGGCCTCATAGAAGAGGTGGAGAAAGATATAAGGAGAGATAGTTTATTCAAAGGGATAATAACAGAGATTGTCCCAAACCTAAAGAAAGATATCAATATCAAAGCATAAGATGTGTTTAGAACACCAAGCAGAAATACCCCAAAGAAGCCTAGCTTAAGGAATTTAATAACCAAAGTCCCAAAGATCAAGATCAGAGAAAGATTTCTAAAAGCAGCAAGAGAAAAGAAACAAATAACATACAATGGAGCTCTCATACACTTGGCAGCAGACTTTTCAGTGGAAACCAGATAGGCCAGGAGACAATGGCATGAAATATTTAAAGTGCTGAAGGAAAAAGAAGAAACTTTTACTATAGAATAATATATCTTGTGAAAATATCCTTCAAACATGAAGGAGAAATAAAGACTTTCCCAGACAAATAAAAGTTTAGGGATTCTATCAACAATAGACCTTTTCTAGAAGAAATGTTAAAGGAAGTACTTCAATCAGAAAGAAAAGGACATTAAAGACCAGTAAGAAATCATCTGAAAGTACAAAACTCACTGCTAGTATTAAGTACATGGAAAATCACAAAATATTATAAGACTGTAACTGCAGTGTATGAACTACCCTTACCCTAAGTGAAAAGATTGAATGATGAACCAATCAAAAATAATAACTACAACAAATTTTCATGGCATAGTGCTATAAGATATAAATAGAAACCAAAATAGGTAGAAAGTTGGGGCAGAAAGTTGAGGCATGGAGTTTTGATTAGATTTGTTTGTTTGTTTGTTTATGCAGTGAGTGTTAAGTTGTCATCAGGTTAAAACAATGGGTTAAAAGATAGTATTTACAAGCCTCATGGTAACCGCAAACCAAAAAACATACAATGGATACACAAAAAAATAAAAAGCTAGAAACTAAATAATGTCACTTGAAAAAACCACCTTCAGTAAAAGAAGACAAGAAGAAGCAAAAAAGAGAATACCACACACACAGACACACACACACACATCAGAAAACAAAAAAACAAAATGGCAGCAGTAAACCCTTACTACCCAATAATAATATTGAATTTAAATGGATTAAAGTCACCAATCACAAGAAATAGAGTGGCTAAATGGAATAAGAAGAAAAAGAGGCCCATGGACCTGTTACCTACAAGAGACACACTTCACCTACAAAGACAAACATAGACTTAAAATAAAGGGATGTAAAAAGATATTCCTTGCCAATGGAAATAAGAAAGAACAGGAATTAGTATACTTTTATCAGACAAAATAGATTTCAAAACACAAACTACATGAAGAGACAAAGCAGATAACGATATAATGATTAAGCGGTCAATTCAGCAAGAAGATATAATAGTTTTACATATATATGAACCCAACTCTGGAGCACCCAGATATATAAAGCAATCATTATTAGGACTAAAGACAATGATAGGCTCCAATACAAAAATAGCTGGAGGCTTCAAACCTTCCATTAAAAATTGGGCAGATTCTACAGCAGAAATTCAACAACAACAAAAAAATCAGAATTAATCTGCACTATAGACCAAATGGATCTGATAGATATTTACAGAACATTTCATCCAATGGCAGAATACACATTATTTTTTTCTCCGCACATGGATTATTCTCAAGGATGGACCATGTTAAGTCTGAAATGTCTTAAAAAATTAAAAAAATTGAAATAATATAAAGCATTTTATTTTATATTATTTATAAAATATAATATATTGATTCTTATAAATTATTTTCTTAACTGTTAAATTTATCTGATCAAATTCTGAATTTCTTCTCTGTGTATTTAAAGCATCACCAAAATGAAATAAAAATATAAATTAATAAAAAGAAGAAATTTGGAAATTATACAAACACATGGAAATTAAATGATATGGAATGACTAGTAGGTCAATGAAGAAATCAAGAAAGAAATTAAAAAAAAACTTGAAACAATTAATAGCAGATAGAAAACGCACCAAAACTTATGGGATACAGCAAAGGCAGTACTAAGAGGAAAGTTTATAGCTATGTGCCTACATCAAAAAGGAGAAAATACTTCTAATAAATAATTTAACAATACATCTTAAAGAAATTGAAAAGCAAGAGCAAACAAACCCAAAAGTAACAGAAGAAAAGGAATAATAAAGATCAGGACAGAAATCAAAGAAATTGAAATGAAGAAAACAATACAAAAGATCAATGAAACAAAAAGTTGATTTTCTGAAAACTTAAACAAAATTGACAAATTTTCAGCCAGAGTAAATAAGAAGAGAGACACAAATAAATAAAATCAGAAATATAAAAGGAAACATTACACCTGACACAGCAGATGTTCAAAGCCCCATTAGTGGTTACTGTGAGCAACTATATGCCAATAAATTGGAAAATCTAGAAGAAATGGACAAATTCCTATACATATACAACCTACCAAGATAAAACCATGAAGAAATCCAAAACCTCAACAGAACAATAACTCGTAACGAGATTGAAGCCTTAATAGAGATTGTTCCAGTAAAGAAAAGCCCAGGACCTAACAGCTTCACTGGTGAATTCTACCAAACATTTAAAGAACTAATACCAATTCTCCTGAAACTATTCTAAAATATGAAGGAGAAAATATTTCCAAAGACATTCTCCAAGACCAGTATTACCCTAATACCAAAACCAGACAAGCACACATCAAAAATAAAACACAGACCAATATCTGTGATGACTATTGATGCAAAAATTCTCAGCCAAATATTAGCAAAATGAATTCAACAGTACATTAGAAAGATCATTCATTATGACCGGTGAGATTAATCCCTGGGACGCAAGGATGACTCAACATACGCAAATTAATCAATGTGATACATTATATAAACAGATTGAAGAATAAAAAACATATCATTTCAATTGACGATGAAAAGGCATTTGGTAAAATTCAACATGCCTTCATGATTAAAACCCTCAAGTAACTGGGGATAGAGGGAACATACCTCAACATAATAAAAGCCATAAACAACAGGTCCAAAACTAGTATCACACTGAATGGGGAAAAACTGAAAGACTTTCCTCTAATAGCTGACACATGACAAGGATGCCTACTTTCACCACTGTCCTTCAGCCTAAAACTGGAGGTCCTAGCTGGAGTAATCAGACAAGAGAATGAAATAAAGGGCATCCAAATGAAAAAAAAAAAGTCAAATATCCTTGTTTGCAGAAGATATGATCTTATATTTGGCAATACCTAAAGATGCCACAAAAAAAACCTATTAGAACTGAAAAAATATCAGCAAAATTGTAAGATACAAAATCATCATACAAAAATTAGTAGTATTTTTATATGCCAACAGTAAACAATCTTAAAAAGAAATTAAAAAGTCATCCCATTTACAATATCCACACATAAATTTAAATACGTAGAAATTAACTGTAAGAGTGAAAGATCTCTACAATGAAAACTATAAAACACTGATGGAAGAAATTGAAGAAGAGGACACCAAAAAAAATCCATGTTCATGAACTGGAAGAATCAATAGTGTTAAAATGTCCCAAACGATATACCGATTCAATATAATCTCTTTCAAAATGTCAGTAATATTCTTTACAGAAATAAAAGATGTCCTAGGATTTATATGAGACCACAAAAGGCCAAGAATAGCCAAAGCTGTCTTAAGCAAAAAGAACAAAACTGAAAGAATCACATTACCTGACTTCAAATTATACTACAGATCTACAGTAACCAAAACAGCATGGTACTGGCAATGAAAAAACAGACTCATAGAACAATAGAACAGAATAGAGAACACAGAAACTAATCCACACACTTACAGCAAACTCATTTTTCACAAAGGTGCCAAGAATACACACTAGGCAAGAGTCTCTTACATAAATGGTTCTGGGAAAACTGGATATCCATATGCAGAAGAATGAAATTAGACCCCTATCTCTTACTGTATACAAAAATGAAATCAAAATGTATTAAAGACTTAAGCCTAAGCCCTCAATATATGAAACTACTACTACCACTACTACTACTACTACTACTACTACTACAAAAATAGGGGAAAATACTCAAGATATTGGTGTGGGAAAATTTCTTAGGCAATCCCTCACAAGCTCAGGCAATCAAAACAAAAATAGAGAAATGGGATCACATCAAGTTACAAAGCTTCTGCACAACAAAGTACACAATCAACCCAGTGAAGTGGCTTACTACAGAATGGAAGAAAATATTTTCAAACTACCCTTCTGAAAAGAGATCAATAACTAGAATATATAAGGAGCACAAACAACTCTATAGGAAAAAATCTAATAATCAGATCAAAAACTGGGCAAAGTATTTGAATAGACGTTTCTCAAAAGGAAACATAGAAAAGGGAAACAGACATATGAAAAGGTACTAATTATCATTGATTATTAGAGAAATGCAAATCAAAACTACAATGAGTTATCATCTCTCCTCAGTTGAAATGGCTTATATCCAAAAGACAGAACAATAAATGATACAGAGGTTGTGGAGAAAAGGGAATCCTCATACACTGTTGGTGGGAATGGGAATTATTACAACCACTATGGAGAACAGTTTGGAGGTTTCTCAAAAAATTAAAAATAAACTGCTGTATGATCCAGCAATCCCATTCCTGAGTATATACCCAAAAGAAAGAAATCAGTATATTGAAGAGGTATCTGCATTTCCATGTTTGTCTCAGCACTCTTCCCCATAGCCAGGAGTTGGAGGCAAATAAATAAATGAGATTCTGTAATTTGCAACAACATGGAAAGAACTGGGCATCACTATGTTAAATAAAATAAGCCAGGCACAGAAAGACAAAAATCACATGTTCTCACTTATTTGTGAAATCTAAAAATCAAATCAATTGAACTGATGGACATAGAGTAGAAGGATGGTTACCAGAGACTTGTAAAGGTAGTGGGGGGCTAGGAGGGTACTCAGGATAATTAATGGGTACAAAACAATAGAAAGAATGAATAGGACCTAATATTTAATAGCACAACAGGGTGGCTATAGTCAATAATAAGTTAATTGTACATTTAAAAATAACTAAAATAATGTGATTGGATTCCTTATAATAGAAAATATAAGTGCCTGAGGGGATGAATATCTCATTCTCTATGATGTGCTTATTTCACACTGCATGCTTGTATCAAAACATCTCATGTACATTACAAATATATCCACCTACCATGTACCCGCAAAAAATAAAAATTAAAAATTAAAAAATTATGTTTCTATGTGTTACCAATGAACCATATGAAAAGGAAATTGGGAAAACTGTTACATTTATAATAATATCAAAAACATAAAATATTTAAGAATCAACTTAATAAAAGAAGTGCCAAAACAGTATCCTGGATTGGAATGCAATGCAGCCAAACTGATCTACAGATTCAGCAAAATATTCTATCAATAACCCACCTACATTTTACTTTTTCAGAAATGGGCATACCGATCCTAAAATTCTCATGGAAATGCAAAAAAAATGCAAAGTCAAAATGATTTTGAAAAGAACAAACTTGGAGGAATCTCACTTCCTGATTTCCAACCCTACTACAAAGCAGAAGTCAAGACAGAATAAAATTTAGAGTCAAAAAATAATCCTTTACATTTATAATTAATTGATTTTTGACAAGGGTGCTAAGACAATTCAATGGGTAAAAACATTCTTTTCAACAATAGTGCTTGAAAAACTGGATATCCACATGCAGATAATGTATGTGAATACTTTCTTCATAATATCCACAAAAGTTAGCTCAAATGGATTATAGATCCAAATGTAACAATTCAAGTGATAGAATTTTAAAAGAAAACAATTGAGTAAATGTTTGTGAGCTTGGTTTAGGCAGTGGTTTTTAGACTAAACTCAGAGCAAAGCAACAAAATGAAATCAGATAAAGTGTACCTTAAAATTAAAACCTTTTTTGTTTCTCAGGCCGCTATCAAATAATGACAGAAAATACTTGCAAATGCTGTATCTGATAAAAATTTTGTATCCAAAATATATAAAGAACGGTTCAAATTAACAACAACAACAAAAAAAGCCCAATTTTAAAAATCAGCAAAAGAATTGATTTTTTTTCCCAAGGAGATACAAATAGTTTATAAGCATATGAAAAGCTTCTCAAGTCTTTAGGGAAATGCAAATCAAAACCACAATGAGATACCACTTTGTGCCTACTAGGAGGGCTATTATATAAATAAAATCTAGGCAATAGCAAATGTTAACAAATGTGTGTTGAGATTGCAACCCTGATATATTGCTGGTAGTCATGTAAAATGGTACAGTCACTGTGGAAAATAGTTTGGCAGTTCTTCAAAATGTTAAACATAGAGTTAACTCTGTGACCTGGTAATTCCATTCCCAGATATATATTCAAGAGAATTGAAAACATGTTCACACAAAAACTAGTGACTCTTCATAGCAATATTATTCCTAATAGCCAATAAACAAGAATAAAGTGCCCATCAGCTGATGGGCAGGAAACAAAAAGTGGTATAATTCATGAAACTGAATAATATTCAGCAATTAAAAGGAATGAAGTACTGATACATGCAAAGACATGGATGAACCTTGAAAGTATTATGCTTAGAGAAATAAGCCAGACATAAAAGGACAAACATTATATGATCCCATTTATATAAAATATCCATAATAAATAAATTCACAGCTATGAAAGGTATATTAGTGGTTGTGTAGGATTGGGGAGAATGAGGGAGGAATTCTTAAAAATTGATACAGAGAGTTTGTTTGCTGTGATTAAAATATTTAAAATTAGATATTGGTGATAGTCCAAACTCTACAAGTATACTAAAAGCCACTGAATTGTATACTTTGAAGTTCTGAATTTTATGGTATGTTAATTATTATCTTAATAAAGCTGCTATTTTAAAAGATAGGATACAATAAATATGAAAAGAATTTCTAATATTTACATCATGAATCCCTTTTAAAGATCACTGAAAAAGGAAATCAGATACAGAATAATTAAAGCAAACTGTCTTCCAGATTGAGATTTTCTGTGGATCAACTCATGTAATCCTCCAACTTACTCTGTGAAGCAGTTATTGCATTTCTAATTGTTTAAATAAGAAACAACAGCTGAGAGAATTGAAGTACACTCCTTAAAACTACAAGTAGTGGAGCCAGGTTTTGAATATTGCTCACTAGTTTAATCACCATTTTATATTTGCAGCTGAGCAATACTACTTCTCATATGGAGCTTGACATTTCTAGATTTTTCAGTGACTTTTCTTTCTTCTGCACCCTTGATCTTTCAACGTCCCCTGCATTATTCCTTTCAAATTGCTTGCTCAGCTTTATTTCCCTAATGTCTAGAGTTAATTGTGTCTTTTGGTTAAAGAACCACAGGGGACTTGCTTATCTCCTGGGATCCTTTCTATATCTCTCTCTGTTCCTGTCTGCCTTCTCTGAGGCCCCAGGAAATCAGTTTGTTTTCTTTTCCTCTTCCTTTTTATTTCTTCAAATAATTCAATTTCTTTTTCATAACTTTTATTCTGATTATAAGCAAAATATATGGCCATAGTAGTAATTTTATAAACACACAAAAATGGGATGAAAACTGTACATTCTTATCCTGATGTAATCTACTTTATTTCAATTCTTCCCCCTTTCTTTCTCTGCTTATACAAATTGGCATTAAACTGTGTATAAATTTATGAATTGCTTTTTCACTTAATAATATGTCATGATATTATTTGCATGCATGGCAATTAGTGATTGCATCATCTTCCATTATATTGATGTTTATATCTTATTTACATTACTACTATGTTTATCTTGTACCCATATTTTTAACATCTTTATTGAGATGTAGTTCACATGTTGCATAACATCCACTTAAAGTGCTCATTTTAATGATTTTACGGTATTCATAGACAGGTGTAACTATCACTACGGTCAATTTTAGAACATTTTCACTAACTTAAAAAAATTCTGTGCCCTTTAGCAATCATACTCATCTATGCATCCGTCCCAGTGGCATCTATAGATATGACTAATTTTGTACCCCTATATTTGATTATTATGGAAATTTTGCATAACTGAATTATATAATATGTGATCTTTTCTGACTAGATTATTTCACTTAGGGTAATGTTTTCAATATTAATTTGTGTTGCAGCATGTATCCGTGCTTCATTCCTTTTTATGGCCATATAACATTTCATTGTAGAGATATACTATATTTTGTTTATCCATTCATCAATTCGTGAACATTTTAGCTGTCTTCACTTTTTATTATTGTGGATATGCTTCTATAAACATTCATGTATAAATTTTTTGTTGATTTGTTTATTTTAAATTCTATTTTTAAGTGACAAATAACTTTATTGAGTACTATGTGAAGTTTTGATAAATGTTTACAATGTGGAATAATTAAATCAGGCTAATTAACAAATTTATTACCTCACATACTTATTTTTTTTTGTGATGAAAACACTACACACATGAACATATGTTTTTAATTCTCTTGGGTTTATACCTAGCAGTGGAGTTGCTGAGTTAAATGGTAACTCTATTTCTAATGTTTTCAGGAACTATAAAAGTTTTTTTTACAGGGACTTTATCATTTTACATTCCCAACAGCAATGTATGAGGGATTAATTTCTCTACATTCTCACCAATATTGGCCATCAGAGAAATGCAAATCAAAACCACAATGAGATATCATCTCACACCAGTTAGAATGGCAATCATTAAAAAGTCAGGAAACAACAGGTGCTGGAGAGGATGTGGAGAAATAGGAACACTTTTACACTGTTGGTGGGACTGTAAACTAGTTCAACCATTGTGGAAGTCAGTGTGGCGATTCCTCAGGGATCTAGAACTAGAAATACCATTTGACTCAGCCATCCCATTACTGGGTATATACCCAAAGGACTATAAATCATGCTGCTATAAAGACACATGCACACGTATGTTTATTGCGGCACTATTCACAATAGCAAAGACTTGGAACCAACCCAAATGTCCAACAATGATAGACTGGATTAAGAAAATGTGGCACATATACACCATGGAATACTATGCAGCCATAAAAAATGATGAGTTCATATCCTTTGTAGGGACATGGATGAAATTGGAAACCATCATTCTCAGTAAACTATCGCAAGAACAAAAAACCAAACACCGCATATTCTCACTCATAGGTGGGAATTGAACAATGAGATCACATGGACACAGGAAGGGGAATATCACACTCTGGGGACTGTGGTGGGGTCGGGGGGAGGGGGGAGGGATAGCATTGGGAGATATACCTAATGCTAGATGACACATTAGTGGGTGCAGTGCACCAGCATGGCACATGTATACATATGTAACTAACCTGCACAATGTGCACATGTACCCTAAAACTTAGAGTATAATAAAAAAAAAAAAAAAAAAAGAAAATGTGGCACATATACACCATGGAATACTATGCAGCCATAAAAAAGGATGAGTTCATGTCCTTTGTAGGGACATGGATGAAATTGGAAATCATCATTCTCAGTAAACTATTGCAAGAACAGAAAACCAAACACCACATATTCTCACTCATAGGTGGGAATTGAACAATGAGAACACATGGACACAGGAAGGGGAACATCACACTCTGGGGACTGTTTAGGGGTGGGGGCAGGGGGGAGGGATAGCATTGTGAGATATACCTAATGCTAGATGACGAGTTAGTGGGTGCAGCGCACCAGCATGGCACATGTATACATATGTAACTAACCTGCACGTTGTGCACATGTACCCTAAAACTTAAAGTATAATAATAATAAATAAATAAATAAAATAAAAATAAAAAAAATATAGTCATCCTAGTGGGTTTCAAGTGGTATACCATTGTATTTTCAATTTGCATTTCTCTAATGACATTGAGTGTCATTCCATGAGCATTTTGGCCTTTTTTGTATCTTCTTTAGGAAAATATGTGTTCAAATACTTCACCAATTTTAAAATTGTGCTTTACGATTTTTGGCTTCACAGTCAAAAAATTACAGATTGTGGTGAAGCTACAGAAAAAAAGGGAACACTTATATTCTGTTGGTGGGAATGTAAGTTAGCTCACCCCTATGGAAAGCAGTTTGGAGATTTCTCAAAGAACTAAAAACAGAAACTACTGATCAACCCAGGAATCTCATTACTAAGTATATGTCTGATATCGTTCGGATTTGTGTCCCTGCCCAAATCTCATGTCGAATTGGATCTCGTTTTTTTATTCATTCAGCCAGTCTATGATTTTTCATTGGAAAGTTTAGTCCATTTAGATTCCATGCTATTATTGAGAAGTAGGGACTTAACGCCTGCTATTTTGTTGTCTGTTTTCTGGTTATTTTGTGGTCTTCTCTTCTTTCCTTTCATCCTGTGTTCCTTTCAGTGAAAGTAATTTTCTCTGGTTGTATCTTTTAAGTTCTTGCTTTTTTTATGTGTGTATTCATTGTATGTTTTTTCACTTGAGGTTACCATGAGGATTACAGATATTATTTTATGATCCATTATTTTAAATTCATGACAACTTAGGACCAATTGCAAAACACATAAATAATAATGCAAAATAAAACTAATAAAAACTCTACTCTTGTACTTCGTCCCCTGCTTTTTAACTTTTTGTTGTTTCTTTTTATGTCGTATTATAATTTTTATGTCTTGAAAAGTTGTCATAGTTATTTTTGATTGCTTCATTTTTCTTTCAACTAAAGATAACAGGAGTTTACATACTACAATTACAATGTTATAATATTCTGTGTTTTTCTCTATGCTTACTATTAACAGTGAGTTTTAAGCCTTCAGATAATTTATTTTTGCTTCTTTCAGACTGAAGAATTCCCTTTAGCATTTATTGTAGGACATATCTGGTGTTGATGAAATACCTCAGCTTCTGTTTGTCTGGGAATATCTTTAGTGTCTTATATGAATAAAAGGATATTTTCCCTAGGTATACTATTCTAGGGTAAAACCTTGTTTCTGTCAGCACTTTAAATATGTCATGCCTCTCTCTTCTGGCCTGTAAGGTTTCCACTGAAAAGTCTGCTGACAGTCGTATTGGAGCTCCATTGTACATATATATATTATATATATAAGCATATATATAATATATATATTATATATATGTACACACATATATACATATATACACAAACATATATATATACACACATATTTTACATATATATACATATATACATATATACATATATACACATATATACATGTATACACATATATATTTATATATATACATATATACACACATATATATATTTCAATTCTCTTTCTGCTTTTAGGAGCCTTTCTTTATCCTTGACATTTGAAAATTTAATTATTATGTGCCTTAAAATAAACTTCTTTGGGTTAAAACTGCTTGATGTTCTATAAGCTTCTTGTACATGAATGTTATGTTTCTCTAGGTTTGGGAAGTTCTCTGTCATTATCCTTGTGAATAAACTTTCTACCCCAGTCTTTTTCTCTACCTCCTCTTTAAGACTAATAAGTCTTAAATTTGCCCTTTTGAGGCTATTTATGTAGATTTTGTAAATGTGCTTTATTGTTTTTCTTTTTTCTTTTGTCTCCTTTTATTGTGTATTTTCAAATAGCCTCTCTTCAGGCTCATTAATTTTTTTCTCATTTGATTGATTCCAGTATTAAGAGACTCTGAGAATGAATTAGAGAGGAGTCCTTTCTTCTCAGTTTTTTGGAATAGTTTCAGCAGGAATGGTTCCAGCTTTTCTTTATACATCTGGTAGAATTTAGCTGCAAATTCATCTGTCCCTAGGCTTTTTTTGTTGATGGTGGTAGGATATTTATTTCTGATTCAATTTCATAGCTTGTTATTGGTCTTTTCAGGGATTCAGTTTCTTCCTGGTACAGTCTAGAGAGGGTCTATGTGCCCGGGAATTTATCAATTTCTTCTAGATTTTCTAGTTTATATGCATAGAGGTGTTCATAATATTCTCTGATGTCTGTTTCTATTTCTATGGAGTCAGTAGTAATATACTCCTTGTCATTTCTGATTGGGATTACTTTAATCTTCTCTTTTCTTTTTTAGTAGTCTAGCTAGAGGTCTATCTATTTTACTAATTTTTTTCAAAAATAAATAAATAAATAAATAAATAAATAAATAACCTGCTCCTGGATTTAATTTTTTGAACGGATTTTCATCTCTAGCTTCCGTTCAGCTCTAAGTTTGATTATTTATTGTCTTCTGCTACCTTTTGGATTTGTTTTCTCTTGGTTCTCTAGTTCTTTTAGTTGTGATGTCAGCTTGTTAACTTGAGATCTTTCTAACTTTTTGATCTGGGCACATAGTGTTATAAATTTTCCTCTTAACGTTCCCTTACGTATGTATACATGTGCCATGTTGGTGTGCTGCACCCATTAACTCGTCATTTAGCATTAGGTATATCTCCTAATGCTATCCCTCCCCCCTCCCCCCATGTATACATATGTAACAAACCTGCATGTTGTGCACATGTACCCTGAAACTTAAAGTATAATAATGATAAAATAAAAAAATAAAATAAAATAAAAAAATTTCCTTTAGCTGTGTCCCAGAGATTCTGAAATGTTGCATCTTTGTTCTCAATAGTTTCAAAAAGCTTTGATTTCTTCCTTCAGATTCAATGCAATTCCCATAAAAGTGCTATCATCATTCTTCACGGAACTAGAAAAAAAATCCTAAAATTCATATGGAACCAAAAAGAGCCCTCATAGCCAAAGCAAGACTAAGCAGAAAGAGCAAATCTGGAAGCATCACACTGCCTGACTTCTAACTATACTACAAGACTGTTGTTATAAAAACAGCATATACTGGTATAAAAATAGGCATGTACATCAACAGAACAGGATAGAGAACCCGGAAAGAAAGCCAAATACTTACAGCCAACTGATCTTTGACAAAGCAAACAAAAACATAAAGTGGGGAAAGGACACTCTATTCAACCAATGGTGCTGCAATAATTGGCAAGCCACACGTAGAAGAATGAAACTGGATCCTCATCTGTCACTTTATACAAAAATCAACCCAAGATAGAATAAATACTTAAATATAAGAACTAAAAGCATAAAAACTCAAGAATATAACATTGAAGAAACTCTTCTGTACATTGGATTAGGCAGAGTTCATGACCAACAAACCCAAAGCAAATGCAACAAAAACAAAAAATAAATAGATGGTACTTAATTAAACTAAATGTTTCTGCACAGCAAAATAAATGATCAGCACATGTATCTCATTTTTTAAAGAAGAAATAAAGAAAAAAGAAATAAACAGCAGAGTAAACAGACAACCCATAGAATGGGAGAAAATATTTGCACGCTATACATCCAACAAAGGACTAGTATCCAGAATCTACAAGGAACTCAAACAAATCAGCACTAAAAAACAAATCATCCCATCAAAAAAGTGGGCAAAGGACATAAATAAACAATTCTGAAAAGAAGATATACAAATGGCCAACAAACGTATGAAACAATGCTCACCATCACTAATTATCAGGAAAATGCAAATCAAAACCACAGTGAGATACACCTTACCATGATATAACATGTCTTCTGCAAGAATGGTCATAATTAAAAAATAATAGATGTTTCTGTGGATGTGGTGAAATCGGAATATTTTAACACTGCTGGGGGAAATGTAAATTGGTACAACTACTGGGTGTCTACCTGAAAGAGTAGAAATCATTTTATGAAAAAAGACACTTGCACATACATGTTTATAGCAGCACAATTCTCAATTGCAAAAATATCAAACCAGTCTAAATGTCCACCAACCAATGAGTGGATAAATAAAATGTGGTATACATACACTGTGGAATACTACTCAACCATAAAAGGGAATGAAATAATGGCATTCACAGCAACTTGGACAGAGTCGGAGACATTATTCCAAGTGAAGTAACTCAGGATTGGAAAACGAAATATATTCTCACTTACAAGTGGGAGGACACAATGGCATAAGAAAGATATAATGGACTTTGGGGACTCAAGGGAAAAGTTGGGAGAGGAGTGAGGGATAAAAGATTACACATTGGGTAGAGTGTACACTGCTTGTGTGATGGGTGCACTAAAATCTCAGAAACTAGGACGAAAGAACATATCCACGTAACCAAAAACCACCTGTTCCCCAAAACTGTTGAAATAATAATAAATAAATAAATAAATAAATAAATAAATAAATGTTGTTTTACTGACAAAAAAAAATCTTCAGCTGGGCGTGGTGACTCATGCCTGTAATCCCAGCATTTTGGGAGGTCCAGGTGGGCGGGTCACCTGAGGTTGGGAGTTCGAGACCAGACTGACCAATATGGAAAAAACCTCGTCTCTACTAAAAACACAAAATTAGCCAGGCGTGGTGGCACATGCCTCTAATCCCAGCTACTCGGGAGGGTAAGACAGGAGAATTGCTTGAACCCCGGAGGCGGAGGTTGCAGTGAGCTGAGATCGCACCATTGCACTCCAGCCTGGGCAACAGGAGCAAAACTCCATCTCAAAGAAAAAAAAATCTTCATCTCTGCCTTAATTTTATTATTTATCTATAAGTTATCTAGGAGCAGGTTATTCAATTTCCATTTAATTATATGGTTTTGAGTGAATTTTTTTGTCTTGATTTCTAATTTGATTGCACTCTTGTCCAAGAGAGTGTTATAATTTGAGTTATTCTGCATTTAGTGAGGAGTGTTTTACTTCTGATTATCTGATTGGTTTTAGAATTTGTGCCATGTTGCAATAAAATAATGTGTATTCTGTTGTTTTTGTGTTGAAAGTTGTGTAGATGTCTGTCAGGTCCATTAGATTCATTGCTCACTCCAGGTCCTGAATATCTGTTAATTGTCTGTCTTGATCTGTCTAGTATAGTCAGTGGAGTGTTAAAGTCTCCCACTACAATTTTGTGGGAGTCTAAGTCTCTTCGAAGATGTTTACGAACTTGCTTTATGAAACTAGGTGCTCCTGTGTTGGGTGCATATATATTTAGGATAGTTAGAACTTGTTGAACTGAACCCTTTACCATTATGTAATGCCCTTCTTTGTCTTTCTTGATCCTTGTTGGTTTAAAATCCATTTTGTTAGAAACTAGAAATGCAATCTCTGCTTTTTTTTTAATTTTCTTGGTAGATTTGTCTTCATATCTTTATTTTGAGTCTTCCTGTGTCATTGCATATAAGATTGCTCTCTTAAAGACAGCATAACAATGGATCTGAGCTCTATTCAGGTTGCCAGTCTGTGTCTTTTAGTTGGGGCATTTAGCCCGTTTACATTCCAGGTTAGTAATGATATGTGTGGATTTGATCCTGTCATCATGATATAGGCTGGTTATTTGACAGACTTGTTTTTGTGGTTGCTTTATAGTGTCAAGTGTCACTGGTCTGTGTACTTCAGTGTGTTTTTGTGGCGGCTGGTAACAGTCTTTTCTTTCTATATTTACCGCTTCCTTCATGAGCTCTTGTAAGGCAGATCAGGTGGTAATGAAGTCCTTCAATATTTGCTTTTCTGCAAAGGATCTTATTTATCATTCACTTATGAAACTTAGTTCGACCAAATATGAAATTCTGGATTAAAATTTTCTGTCTTTAAGAATGTTAGATATTGACTCCAATCTCTTCTGATTTTTAGAGTTTATTTTGAAAGGTCTGCTATCAGTCTGGGCTTCCTTTTGTCGGTTACCTGACCTTTCTCTCTAGCTGTGTTTAACTTTTTTTCTTCATCCTTGGAGAATCTGTTGATTATATGTCTTGGGGATGATCTTCTGGTGCAGAATCCTACTGAGATTTTCTGAAATTTAATGTTGGCCTCTCTACCTAGGTTGGGGAAGTTCTCATGGATGATAACGTGAAATATGTTTTCCAGGTTGGATCCATTATCATCATCTTTTTCAGAGACACCAATGAGTCATAGATTTGGTCTCTTTACATAATGCCATATTTCTGGCAGGTTTTGTTTGTTCCTTTTCGTTCTTTATCCACTATTCTTTTCCCACTGTCTTCTTTCAGAAAGCAAATTCTCAAAAGGAATTCACAACCAAATTCTACCAGATGTACATACAAGAACTGATATTATTCCTACTAAAACTAACCCAAAAAATTTAAGAGGAGGGACTCCTCCCTAACTTAATGTATGAGACTAGTATTATCTTTATACAAAAACCTGGCAGAGACACAACCGAGAAAGAACTTTCGGCCAATGTTCTTGATGAACATCAATGCAAAAATCCTCAACAAAATACCAGAAAACCAAATCCAGCAGCACATGAAGAAGCTTATCCACCAAAATCAAGTAAGCTTTGTTCCTAGTATGCAAGTTTGGTTCACCATATGCAAATCAATAAATGTAGTTTATCACATAAGCAGAACCAAATACAAAAATCACATGAATATCTCAATAGATGCAGAAGGCACTTTCGATAAACTTCAACACCTCTTTACTTTAAAAATTCTCAATAAACTAAGCGGTAAAGGAATACACCTGAAAATAATAAAAGCCATCTATGAAAAATCCACAGTAAACATTACACTGAATGGGCAAAAGCTGGAAGCATTCCCATTGAAAACTGGCAAAAGACAATGATGCCTTCACTCTCACCACTCCTATTTAACACAATATTGGAAATCCTGGCCAGAGCAATCAGGTAAAAGTAAGAAATAAGGGGCAACCAGATAGGAAGAGAGGAAGTCAAACTATCCTGCCTTGCAAATGACGTGATCCTGTATCTAGAAAACCCCATAGTCTTATCCCAAACCTCCTTCATCTTGCAAACAACTTTAGCAAAGCCTCAGGATTCAAAATCAATGTGCAAAACTCACCAACATTTCTATACACCAAAAAGAGTCAAGCCAACAGCCAAATTAGAAATGCAATCCATTCACAATTGCCACAAAATAGAAAATGATACCTAGGAATACAGCTAACCAAAGATGTGAAAGATCTCTACAAAGAAAACTGTAAAGCACTGCTCAGAGAAATTAGAAATGACACAAACAAATGGAAAAATATTCCATGTTCATGGATAAGAATAATCAATATTACTAAAATGGCCACATTGCCTGAAGTGACTTATAGATTCAATGCATTAAATTCAAATTTTATAAAAATATTATTAAATTACCATTGACATTCTTCACAGAACTAGAAAAAGTATTTTAAAATTCAAATAAAAATAAAGGAAGCCTGAATAGCCAAGACAATCCTAACCAAAAAGAACAAAGCTGGAGGCATCATGCTACCTGATTTCAAAGTGTACTAAAGGGCTATAGTAATGAAAACAGCATGTCATTAGTACAAAAACATATACATAGACCATTGGAATATAATAGATAATAGATAACCCAGAAATAAGACCACAGTCATACAACTTTTTGATCTTTTATGAACCTGACATAAATAAGCAATGGGGGAAATATCTCCTATTCAATAAATGGTGCTGGGAAAACTGGCTAGCCATATGCAGAAAGTTAAAACTGGACCCCTTCCTTACACTATATACAAAAATTAACTTTAACTCAAGATGTATTAAAGACTTAAATGTAAAACCCAAAACAATAAAAACCCTAGAATAAAATCTATGTAATACCATTCAGGACATAGACATGAGCAAAGATTTCATGATGAAGACACAAAAAGCAATTGCAAGAACAGCAAAAATTGACAAATAGAATCTAATTAAACTAAAGAGCTTCTGCACAGTAAAAGAAACTATCGTCAGAGTGATCAGACAACCTACAAAATGGGAGAAAATTTTTGAAATCTAGCCATCTGAAAAAGGTCTAATATCCAGCATCTACCAGGAACTTAAACAAATTTACAAGAAAAAGAAAAACAAAAAAAAACTCATTAAAAAGTGGGCAAAGTACATGAACAGACACTTCTCTAAATATGACATGCATGCAACCAACAAACATGAAAAAAATCTCAACATCACTGATCAGTACAGAAATGCAAATCAAAACCACAATGAGATACTATCTCACACCACTCTGAATGGCTATTACTAAAAAGGAAAAAAAAAAAACAGATGCTTGTGAGGTTGTGGAGAAAAAGGAACAGTTTTACATCATTGCTGGGAGTGTAAATCAGTTCAACCATTTTGGAAGACTGTGGCAACTGCTTCTATACCTAGAGGCAGAAATACCATTTGACCTAGCAATCCCATTATTGGGTATATATCCAAAGGAATATAAATCATTCTATTATAAAGATACACTCACACATATGTTCATTGCAGCACTCTTCACAATAGCAGAGACATAGAATGAACCTAAAAGTCCATCAGTGATAGACTGAATAAAGAAAACGTGGTACATATACACCATGGAATACCATGCAGCCATAAAAAGAAACAAAATTATGTCCTTTGCAAGGACATGGATGGAGTTGGAGGTCATTATACTCAACAAGCTAACACAGAAAAAGAAAACCAAATGCTGCATGCTCTCATAAGTGGGAGATGAATGAGGAGGACACATGGGAGGGGAACAACACACACTAGAGCCTGTCAGAGGGTGGCAGGCAATGGATGCTAGGCTTAACACCTAGGTAATGAGATAATCTGTGAGCAAACTACCATGGCATACATTGACCTATGTAACAAACCTGCACATCCCGCACATGTATCCATGAACTTAAAATAAAAGTTGGAAATAAAAAAATAATAATCTCTTCAACAAATTATGCTGAGAAAACTGGATACTCATATGCAAAAATTAAACCTCCAATCTCATGTAAACATAACTTGAAATGAATCACAGGCCTAAATATGAAAGCTGAAACTATAAAGCTTCTAGAAGAAAGCAAAGGAGAAAGTCTTAAAAAACTACAGAAAGCACAAATTATTTAAAAATTGATAAAATGGAATTTAGAATATTTAAACTTTCCCTCTTTGTAAGATATATTAAGAAAATGAAAAGGCAAGTCACAAACAGGAAAAATAAATTTGCAAACCCTATACATGTAAAAGAACATCTGCCTAGAATATAAGAGGAAACTTCAGAATTCAAAGAAAACTAAACAGCCAAATAAAAATGCAAAACAGATTTGAACAGACACTTCAGCAAGGAAGATCTACCAATGGCTAGCATGCACAGGCAAATATGTTCTACATCATTAGTCATTAAAGACATTCAAATTTAGATCACAAAAAAGATACTGCTACTTCCCCATTAAAATGGCTAAAATGATAGAAACTGACTATAGCATGTTTATCACTGATGCGGAGGAACTAGAACTCTCATCCACTGTTAAAGGTAATGCAAAATTATACAGTCATTCTGGAAAACAGTTTGGCAGTTTCTTTAAATGCTAAATATAAACGTATCATGTGACCCAATCAGTCCACCATTGAACTCTTAGGTGTTTAATCAAGAGAAATAAAAGCATATGCCCATGTAAAGACTTGTAGGCAAATGCCTATAGTAGCCTTGTTTATAACAACCAAACATGGAAACAACTTAAATTTCCTTCAAGAGATGGATGAGTAAACATATTGTCACACATCCATACAATGGAATAGTACTCAGCAATAAACAGAAATGAGCATTACTTCACACTACAGCATGGATGAATCTCAAAACAGTTATTTTGAGAGAAAAAAAGTGACAAGAAGAGTACATAATGTGATTCTCTGTATATAAAACTCTAGAAAATGCAAGCTAATCTACACTGGCAGAAAGCTGATCAGCAGTTCCCTAGGAATAGGGGTGAGGTGGCAGGGAGTGGCAGAAGCAAGGGATTACAAAAAGGTAAGAGAACAAATAAATATGTTCATTATCTTTATTGTGGTATTAGTTTCATGGATATATGCATGAAAACTCATCATATGGGACACTATATATATGTGCATTTTATTGTATACTTCAATCATCCCTCAATAAAGCTTTTCTAAAAAGTTGGAATGCATCTAATAGTAGGTTTCCATACAGCCTCTGTCAATATTCTACCAATATACTCAGAAGAAACGACTCATCACATTCACAATAAAATTAATTGTCTACCTAATTTCAGATTCTGGTAGGAAACCATACTAAGTGCAAGATTTATTGAAGACCAACCTACTTATGCATTACCTCATAGAACAATTTGCCTCTTGACATAGTTTGAATATTTGTCTCTTCCAAATATCATATTGAAATGTGATTCCCAATATTGAAGGTGGGGCCTACTGGGAGGTGTTTGGGTCATGGGGATAGATTCTTTATGAATGGCTTGGTGCCCTTCTTGCAGTAATGAGTTCATGGAAGACCTGGGATCTTGTTGATAAATAGAGTCTGGGACCTTTCTTCTCTCCCTCTTGCTTCCTCTCTCGCCATGCGACACACTTGCTCCCACCTCATCTACTATGAGAGAAAGCTTCCTGAGGTCCTCACCAGAAGCAGATGCTGGTATCATGCTTCTCATACAGTCTGCAGAACTGTAAGACAAATAAATCTCTTTTCTTTATAAATTTTTCCACCTCAGGTATTGCTTTATAGCAATGCAAAATGGACTAACACACCTCATGAGCATAAGAACATGTCCAAACTTTCATTTGCTATCTTTTTGTGAGTCAGAGATCTAGCTTCGGTAATAACTATTAAGTTGAACAATGTGACCCCCAATATTGACAATCTTTGATCTTTAAAAGAAGTAATTTCAAATGGTTTAACCTAATAGAAGCTTAAACAACACGTCCTCTACCAAGATAATGCAAAAATCAGGGAAATGCCTGCCATACATTACTTTTTCTACACCCAGAGACGGGACCTCCCAAAGGATAAATGAGCAAAATGTAGGGTGGTGAACAAGATAACTGCTTCATTGTATTAGGAGCACATTGCTCCCCCATAGGTAAAAAATTCCAGGCAGAAACGTAAGAACACTGGTGTAACATAACCCTAGGAAATGTAGTTTTTGTACTTCATCACAAAACCATGTAATGGGAATTGGAAAATATACTCTCATCATTGCATACTAGAAACTGGGAATTGAATTGGGAACTGTGTGTATATCAGCCTTCCTTGTAGCATTAGAATTGATGAACCACAATAGCAGTCACAGAGTAGGATCAATGCTAAACCACAAAACTAGATTTTTGTTCAGTTTTTAAGATATATGTTGATATGGTTTGGCTGTGTCCCCACCCAAATCTCAACAGGAGCTGAGCTGCCCAAGATCATGTGAACACACTTCTTGCATCAGCGTGACCTGGATGTGAGACCTGTAGTCAAAGATCATTTTAGAGTTCTAAAATTTGACTGCCATGCTGGATTTCAGACTTTCATGGGCCTGTAACCCCTTTTGGCCAATTTCTCCCATTTGGAACAGCTGTATTTATCCAATACCTGTACCCCAATTGTATCTAAGAAGTAACTAGCTTGCTTTTGATTTTACAGGCTCATAGGTGGAAGGGACTTGCCTTGGCTCAGATGACTTTGGATGTGGAATGTTGGGTTAATGCTGAAATGAATTAAGTCTTTAGGGGACTATTGGGAAGGCATGATTGGATTTAAAATGTGAGAATATGAGATTTGGAGGGGCTAGGGGTAGAATACTATGATTTGGCTGTATCTTCACCCAAATCTTTATCGGCAGCATGAAAACAGCCTAATACATATGTGTCCAACGATTCCTTATTCTGTTTAAGGTAATTTGTTTACATATGAGTAAAGGGGGAATAAACAATGATATGAGGCCTACAAAAGAACACAGAAGGGGATTCAGACAATTCAGAGATAGAACTTACCTCTGAAAAAGTCCGCTGTGGAAGTCAGAAAAAAATATTAGAAAATTTCCAGCATCCACAGTGAATGTATAAGAAGGTAAGTAGCAAGAAGAAACAAAGCAACACATCAATGAACAGAACAAAAATGAAGATAAAATGGTACCAGGCTGCAACAAAATAGAAAGTGAATAAAATCAGGAAGGATTTCCAGGATACTAAAAATAAAATACCATAATTCAAAGACAAATTGAAGGTCATGAGAATATGATTGAAATTTTGTTGAATGAAATCATTGATATGAAGAATAAGTTTGAGAAACTATCCTAAAATTAAAAGTAAGAGGAAAATGGGATGAAAACATTGTAAAAGAAATGTAGACACAGCATAAGCAAATGGAGACTTTACATATGTCTTATTAATATTTCTAAAAATGAAATACAAATAAATGAATGGAAGCATTAACCAGATAAAATAGATAATGTATTGCTAAGCTTTTAATAAGAGCAAAGACATACGGCAAAACTTCAAAAAGTTCATAAAAAATGAAATTAAAATATAAAAGTAAAAAGTACAAACTATATTTTTCAACTTTTGTTGTTCAACTTTCAAGACACTTTTGTAAGCATTTATACCAGCCATTTCATTCATCTCTAAAGAACTGAGGGTCCTGGGAGTTTAACAATGTCAATGCTGTTGTTTTTACATTATTAACTGAAGAAAAATGGGTGCCCTTTAAAGTTTTCTCAAAAAAAAAAAAACGAAGTTTTACTCTTGTTACCCAAGCTGGAGTGCAGTGGCACGATCACAGCTCACTGCAACCTCTGCCTCCTGGGTTCAAGCAATTATCCTACCTCAGCCTCCCGAGTAGCTGGGACTACAGGTGCATGCCACCACAACTGGACAATGTTCATATTTTTGTAGTAGAGACGGGGTTTCACCGTGTTGGTCAGGCTGGTCTCGAACTCCTGACCTCAGATGATCCACCCACCTCAGCCTCCGAAAATGCTGGGATTACAGGCGTGAGCCACCACACCCAGCCTAAAGATTTTTAAGATTAAGAAATAAAAGGAAGTGAGAAGGAGACAAGTAAGAACTATGAGTTACATGTCTAATGATTTTCCATTGAAATTCTCAAAAATTGCTCTTGTTTGATAAAAGGAATGAACAGTAGTATTGCCATGGTGGAGAAAGACTCTCTTGAAGTTTTCTGGGCACTTTTCTGCTGAAACTTTGACCAACTTTCTCAAAACACTCTCATAATAAGCAGATGTTATTGTTCTTTGGTCTTCCAGAAATTCAACAAGCAAAATGCTTTGAAAAAAAAAATGTCACCATCACCTTTGCTCTTTACCATAATTTCACTTTTGCTTTGACTGGAACAATCCCACCTCTTGGTTTGCATAAAAATAATAATGTAATCTGGATTGAAATTGCCAGGTAATACTCATAGACTTATAAGCAGGGTAGAAATGAGAAATAAACTCTTAAACTGTTGACCTTAAATTGATCAAAACAAAAAAGCATTTCACTTTTAAAACTGACATAAAGGAAAGATTTTGTAGAATATTAAAGTATCTACTAGTTAAATTTAAAAGAGGCTATATACATTATAAAGCAATGAAAAAAGTAAGGGACAATAATGCAAGACGAACATCATTAAACTGGACAATACAAGTTATTTTATATTAAAAGTGAAAATATAATGGTCATGAACCTTTATATGTCACACAACATTACATCAAAATAAAGCAAATCTTCAGAAATACAAAGATAAATAGACAGAAACACAATAACAGAGGACTTTAACCTCTAAAATTTCTCTACAGATCAAGTAGACAAAAATAAAATAGAATTATAAATAATTTTAAAAACACAGTAAGTTATATTTTTACTTATATATATGTTATTTTATATATAGATAAAACTTCATATATATAACTTAAGTTATATATGTTAAATGTGTGTGTATATATGTACATGTATATATATATGTGTGTATATATATATATATATATATATATTTATATATATATATTTAAATGCCCATGGCACGTTTACAAAAATTACTCACATACTAGGCCACAAAAAAAACCTCAATAAATGTCACAATATATTGCAGAAAAGAATAAATCTATAACAGCGTTAGAAAAAGTATATATTTTTGTCAATAGAGTAGACATATTTAGAAATTCCTGGAAAAAGGAGAGAGGAGATTAGATTGAACAGCATGTCTATTTCCCTTTCTGCTATTACCTCAGGCTCACTAAAGTGAAATCAGTCAGTAGCCATGCCTCCACCCTCTAACAGTGATTCTCTAGTCAATTTTATTGTTCATTAAACACTTTCATTCACACTAAGTAAGATAGTCTTACATTTGTATAGATGGAGAAGCAAGATTTTCAAACATGTAAGGAAAACCAACAGCAAAAAAGAGAAAGTTCAAGATGATCACATAGAATGACAGACTGATAAAAACATAGCTCATAAAACAGAGTAATTTTTAAATTGTAATTAATATCCTCAGAGATGTCAAGAGATTATTGCATTCACAAATAAAAATCAGGCTATTCTGAAAAAGAAGCAGATAAAGAAAAAGAAAGTATATCTTCAAATGAAAAATAAGATTACTTAAATAATAATCATTATTAGAAGGGCTTAACAGTACAATGATTATGACTAGAGATTGAATTCATAATCTTATAGTTGTGAAAATCAAGCATACCACAAAGAAAAAAAGATGAAAACTATGAAATGAAAACTGACATACCTATATGTGTAATCCAGAATGTTCACCGTACAACTAAGAGGAGTTATAAAGATGGAGGACAACAATATAAGTCAGGGTAAATAATCAAATAAATAGAAAAAGACAATGTCCCCATGCTTCCCCCAAAGCATGAGACCAACAAGAATCAAGCAGAATAATAATAATAAAAGTAACCAAAATCTGCCCTTAGACACTTCATTAAATTTCAGAACTATAACTTAAAAAAACTAAATGTTTCCATATTAGGAAGAATAAAAACAGCTTTTACACACAATAAATGAAAATTAATTTGGCATCTAAATTTTCACTAGCAACACTGGATGCCAGAAGGCAATAGCATCACATCTTTAAATTTTTGTGCTAACATTATTTTGATTTACAATCAATCCCCAACCAAGCCAACCATGAACCATGAAAGTAGAATAGAAAAGTTTTCAGAAATACAAACCTCAGGAATGTTAAGGCCCTTTGAGTGAAATAATTACTTGAAAACAAAATTCCAAGAAAGAGGAAAATGTAAATATCAGAAAGAGCAGTAAACACTACAGCCAATAATAATTATAATAGGTTTCCAAACAATGTTAGTTTATAACAATTCCAAACTTTAGTCACAGATGATTACATTAAGAGAGAGATGGAGAGAAAGCGAACATGTCAAATTATTTTAAATTCTAGGCTTGATAGAAAATGCAAATTTAAATATGCAATAAACACTTATGGGTAACTATTCATAAAAAGTTTACTATAACTTCCAATGCACTAGAAGAAAAAGGACAAAGAAATTTTGAATAATTCAACAAAAAGGCAAAAAAATAGTGAATAGGACTGTGTGTGTGTCTACGCCTGTATGTGTGTGCACACACTATTACATGAAGGAGAAAAAAGAGCACAGTAAATAGAAAACAGAAAAAAAAGGATACCTGAATCTTTCAAAAAAAGATTTTAAAAGTTAGAAAATAAATAGTGAAAAAAATATATATTACACAAATAATAGAATGAAGACAAATACTAGAATGAAGAAAACAACTGAGAGGAAGATGAAATCAAGTATTCAAGCACTATTATCAGGCAATGTTAATATCACACATATAATAGAATTAAAGGCAAAAAATGTTTAAACAGGAAAAAAAGAAGAATTTTATATTCTGAAAGTAGCAATGCTAAAGGAAGCTGTAATACACATGATTGCTTACCTAAGGATATTGTTTTAAAATCTACAAAGCTGTTAGAAATGCTAGGGACAATGAGCTTATCAAAAAACATCAGGAAGATCACCATAAAAGTCTCTCAGAGATATAAAGGGCTACAATATGATAAAATAAAGAATCGATATCAAAGGGTAATGCATAAATATGCATCCATATAATTAGAAAATATTTGCAATTATTTTTTCAGCTTGTTAAGTTAAAATCTAAATTAATTTTTTTCTAATATTTATTTGTTTCTAAAATATTTAAAGCTGAAAGAATTCTTCAGTATTCCTTTGTCTACATCACATAGGTTTTGTATGTAAGTTTTTTTTAATTGTTGTATTATACTTTAAGTTCTAGCATACATGGGCACAACGAGCAGGTTTGTTACATATGTATACATGTGCCATGTTGGTGTGCTGCACCCAGTAACTCATCATTTACATTAGGTATATCTCCTAATGCTATCCCTTCCCCCTCCCCCCACCCCACAAAAGGCCCCAGTGTGTGATATTCCCGTTCCTGTGTCCAAGTGTTCTCATTGTGCAACACCCACCTATGAGTGAGAACATGCAGTGTGTGGTTTTTTGTCCTTGTGATAGTTTGCTGAGAATGATGGTTTCCAGCTTCATCCATGTCCCTACAAAGGACACAAACTCATCCTTTTTTATGGCTGCATAGTATTCCATGGTGTATATGTGCCACATTTTCTTAATCCAGTCTGTCATTGTTGGACATTTGGGTTGGTTCCATGTCTTTGCTATTGTGAGTAGTGCCGCAATAAACATATGTGTGCATGTGTCTTTATAGCAGCATGATTTACAGTCCCTTCGGTATATACCCAGTAATGGGATGGCTGGGTCAAATGGTATTTCTAGTTCTAGATCCCTGAGGAATCGCCACACTGACTTCCACAATGGTTGAACTAGTTTACAGTCCCACCAACAGTGTAAAAGTGTTCCTATTTCTCCACATCCTCTCCAGAACCTGTTGTTTCCTGACTTTTTAAAGATCACCATTCTAACTGGTGTGAGATGGTATCTCATTGTGCTTTTGATTTGCATTTGTCTGATGGCCAGTGATGATGAGTTTTTTTTCATGTGTCTGTTGGCTGCATGAGTCTTCTTTTGAGAAGTGTCTGTTCATGTCCTTCGCCCACATTTGATGGGGTTGTTTGTTTTTTTTTCTTGTAAATTTATTTGAGTTCTTTGTAGATTCTGCTTATTAGCCCTTTGTCAGATGAGTAGATTGCAAAAATTTTTCTCCCATTCTGTAGGTTGCCTGTTCACTCTGATGGTAGTTTATTTTGCTATGCAGAAGCTCTTGAGTTGAATTAGATCCCATTTGTTAAATTTGGCTTTTGTTGCCATTGCTTTTGGTGTTTTAGACATGAAGTCCTTGCCCATACCTATGTCCTGAATGGTATTGCCTAGGTTTTCTTCTAGGGTTTTTATGGTTTTGGGTCTAACATGTAAGTCTTTAATCCGTCTTGAATTAATTTTTGTATAAGGTGTAAGGAAGGGATCCAGTTTCAGCTTTCTACATATGGCTAGCCAGTTTTCCCCACACGATTTGTTAAATAGAAATCCTTTCTCCATTTCTTGTTTTTGTCAGGTTAGTCAAAGATCAGATGGTTGTAGATGTGTGGTATTATTTCTGAGGGCTCTGTTCTGCTCCATTGGTCTATCTCTCTGTTTTGGTACCAGTACCCTGTTGTTTTGGTTACTGTAGCCTTGTAGTATAGTTTGAAGCCAGGTAGCATGATGCCTCCAGCTTTGTTCTTTTGGCTTAGGATTGACTTGGCAATGTGGGCTCTTTTTTGCTTCCATATGAACTTTAAAGTAGTTTTTTCCAATGCTGTGAAGAAAGTCATTGGTAGATTGATGGGGATGGCATTGAATCTATACATCACCTTGGGCAGTATGGCCATTTTCATGATATTGATTCTTGCTACCCATGAGCATGGAATGTTCTTCCATTTGCTTGTATCCTCTTTTATTTCGTTGAGCAGTGGTTGGTAGTTCTTCTTGAAGAGGTCCTTCACATCCCTCTTAAATTAGATTCCTAGGTATTTTATTCTCTTTGTAGCAATTGTGAATGGGAGTTCACTCATGATTTGGCTCTCTGTTTGTCTGTTATTGGTGTAAAAGAATGCTTGTGATTTTTGCACATCGATTTTTTATCCTGAGTCTTTGCTGAAGTTGTTTATCAGCTTAATGAGATTTTGGGCTGAGATGACGGGGTTTTCTAGATATACAATCACGTCATCTGCAAACAGGGACAATTTGACTTCCTCTTTTCCTAATTGAATAGCCTTGATTTCCTTCTCCTGCCTGATTGCCCTGGCCAGAACTTCCAACAATATGTTGAATAGGAGTGGTGAGAGAAGGCATCCCTGTCTTGTTCCAGTTTTCAAAGGGAATGCTTCCAGTTTTTGCTCATTCAGTATGATATTGGCTGTGGGTTTATCATAAATATCTCTTATTATTTTGAGATACGTCCTATCAATACCTAATTTATTGAGAGTTTTTACCATGAAGGGCTGTTGAATTTTGTCAAAGGCCTTTTCTGCATCTATTGAGATAATCATGTGGTTTTTGTCGTTGGTTCTGTTTGTACGCTGGATTATGTTTATTGATTTGTGTATGTTGAACCAGCCTTGCATCCCAGGGATGAAACCCACTTGATCATGGTGGATAAGCTTCTTGATGTGTTGCTGGATTCGGTTTGCCAGTATTTTATTGAGGATTTTTGCATTGATGTTCATCAGGGATATTGTTCTAAAATTCCGTTTTTTTGTTGTGTCTCTTCCACGCTTTGGTATCAGGATGATGCTGGCCTCATAAATTGAGTTAGGGAGGATTCCCTCTTTTTCTATTGATTGGAATAGTTTCAGAAGAAATGGTACCAGCTCCTCCTTGTACCACTGGTAGAATTCAGCTGTGAATCCGTCTAGTCCTGGACTTTTTTTGTTTGATAAGCTATTAACTATTGCCTCAATTTCAGAGCCTGCTATTGTTCTATTCAGAGATTCAACTTCTTCCTGGTTTGGTCTTGGGAGGGTGTATGTGTCGAGGAATTTATGCATTTCTTCTAGATTTTCCAGTTTATTTATGTAGAGGTGATTACATTATTCTCTGATGGCAGTTTGTATTTCTGTGGGATCAGTGGTGATATCCCCTTTATCATTTTTTACTGCGTCTATTTGATTCTTCTCTCTTTTCTTCTTTATTAGTCTTCCTAGAAGTCTATCAATTCTGTTGATCTTTTCAAAAAACCAGCTCTTAGATTCATTGATTTTTTAAGGTTTTTTTGTGTCTCTATTTCCTTCAGTTCTGCTCTGATCTTAGTTATTTCTTGCCTTCTGCTAGATTTGAATGTGTTTGCTGTTGCTTCTCTAGTTCTTTTAATTGTGATGTTAGGGTGTCAATTTTAGATCTTTCCTGCTTTCTCTTGTGGTCATTTAATGCTATAAATTTCCCTCTACACACTGCTTTGAATGTGTCCCAGAGACTTTTATGTTGTGTCTTTATTCTCATTGGTTTCAAAGAACATCTTTATTTCTGCCTTAATTTCGTTATGTACCCAGTAGTCATTCAGGAGCGGGTTGTTCATTTTCCATGTAATTCAGCGGTTTTGAGTGAGTTCTAGTTTGATTGCACTGTGGTCTGAGAGACAGTTTGTTATAATTTCTGTTCTTTTACACTTGCTGAGGAGAGCTTTACTTTCAACTATGTGGTCAGTTTTGGAGTAGGTGTGGTGTGGTGCTGAGAAGAATGCATATTCTGTTGATTTGGGGTGGAGAGTTCTGTAGATGTCTATTAGGTCTGCTTGGTGCAGAGCTGAGTTCAATTCCTGGATATCCTTGTTAGCTTTCTGTCTCATTGATCTGTCTAATGTTGACAGTGGGGTGTTAAAGTCTCCCATTATTATTGTGTGGGAGTCTAAGTCTGTTTGTAGGTCTCTAAGGATTTACTTTATGAATCTGGGTGCTCCTGTATTGGGTGTATATATATTTAGGATAGTTAGCTCTTCTTGTTGAAATTATCCCTTTACCATTATGTAATGGCCTTCTTTGTCTCTTTTGATCTTTGTTGGTTTAAAGTCTGTTTTACCAGAGACTAGAATTGCAACACCTGCCTTTTTTTGTTTTCCATTTGCTTGGTAGATTTTCCTCCATCCCTTTATTTTGTGCCTTTATGTGTCTCTGAATATGAGATGGGTTTCCTGAATACAGCACATTGATGGGTCTTGACTCTTTATCCAATTTGCCAGTCTGTGTCTTTTAATTGGAGCATTTAGCCCATTTACATTTAAGGTTAGTATTGTTATGTGTGAATTTGATCCTGTCATTATGATGTTAGCTGGTTATTTTGTTCATTAGTTGATGCAGTTTCTCCCTAGCATCGATGGTCTTTACAATTTGGCATATTTTTGCGGTGGCTGGTACTGGTTATTCCTTTCCATGTTTAGTGCTTCCTTCAGGAGCTCTTATAGGGCAGGCCTGGTTGTGACAAAATCTCTCAGCATTTGCTTGTCTGTAAAGGATTTTATTTCTCCTTTGCTTATGAAGCTTAGTTCACTGGATATGAAATTCTGGGTTGAGAATTCTTTTCTTTAAGAACACTGGATATTGGCCCTCACTCTCTTCTGGCTTGTAGAGTTTATGCCGACAGATCTGCTGTTAGTCTGATGGGCTTCCCTTTGTGAGTAACCCGACCTTTCTCTCTGGCTTCCCTTAACATTTTTTCCTTCATTTCAACTTTGGTGAATCTAACAATTATGTGTCTTAGAGTTGCTCTTCTTGAGGATTATCTTTGTGGCCTTCTCTGTATTTCCTGAATTTGAATGTTGGCCTGCCTTGCTAGATTGGGGAAGTTCTCCTGGATAATATCCTGCAGAGTGTTTTCCAACTTGGTTCCATTTTCCCCGTCTATTACAGGTATACCAATCAGACTTAGATTTGGTCTTTTCACATAGTCCCATATTTCTTGGAGGCTTTGTTCCTTTCTTTTTATTCTTTTTCCTCTAAACTTCTCTTCTCACTTCATTTCATTCATTTGATCTTCAATGACTGATACACTTTCTTCCAGTTGATTGAATCAGCTACTGCAGCTTGTGCATTCGTCATGTAGTTCTTTTGCCATGGTTTTCAGCTCCATCAGGTCCTTTAAGGACTCCTCTGCATTGGTTATTCTAGTTAGCCATTCATCTTATCTTTTTTCAAGGTTTTTAACTTCTTTGCCATGGGTTCGAACTTCCTCCTTTAGCTTGGAGTAGTTTGATCATCTGAAGGCTTCTTCTCTCAACTCGTCAAATCATTCTCTGTCTAGCTTTGTTTCCTTGCTGGTGAGGAGCTGCGATCCTTTTGAGGAGGAGAGGTACTCTGGTTTTTAGAATTTTCAGTTTTTCTGTTCTGTTTTTTTCCCCTACCTTTGTTCTTTGATGATGGTGACATACAGATGGGGTTTGGGTGTGGATGTCCTTTCTTTTTGTTAGTTTTCCTTCAAACAGTCAGGACCCTCAGCTGCAGGTCTGTTGGAGTTTGCTGGAGGTCCACTCCAGACCCTGTTTGCCTGGGTATCAGCAGCAGAGGCTGCAGAATGGCGAATATGGCTGAACAGCAAATGTTGCTGTCTGATCGTTCCTCTGGAGGTTTCCTCTCAGAGGGGTACCCTGCTGTGCGAGGTGTCAGTCTGCCCCTACTGGGGGTTGCCTCCCAGTTAGGCTACTCAGGGGTCAGAGACCCACTTGAGGAGGCAGTCTGTCCATTCTCAGATCTCAAACTCCGTGCTGGGAGAACCACTACTCTCTTCAAAGCTGTCAGACAGGGACATTTAAGTCTGCAGAGGTTTCTGCTGCCTTTTGTTCAGCTATGCCTTGCCGCCAGAGGTGGAGTCTACAGAGGCAGTCAGGCCTCCTTGAGCTGCGGTGGGCTTCACCCAGTTCGAGCTTCCCAGCCCCTTTGTTTACCTACTCAAGCATCAGCAATGGTGGGTGCCCCTCCCCCAGCCTCACTGCTGCCTTGCAATTCGATCTCAGACTGCTGTGTTAGCAATGAGTGAGGCTCCGTGGGTGTGGGACCCTCTGAGCTAGGCATGGGACATAATCTCCTTGCGTGCCATTTGCTAAGACCGTTGGAAAAGCGCAGTATTAGGTTGGGAGTGATTCGATTTTCCAGGTTCCATCTGTCACAGCTTTGCTTGGCTATGAAAAGGAATTCCCTGACCCCTTGAGGTTTCTGGGTGAGATGATGCCTCGCCCTGCTTCAGCTCATGCTCGTGGCACTGCACCCACTGTCCTACACCCACTGTCCGACAACCCCCAGTGAGACGAACCTGGTACCTCAGTTGGAAATGCAGAAATCACCCGTCTTCTGCGTTGCTCATGCTGGGAGCTGTAAACGGGAGCTGTACCTATTTGGCCATCTCGGAACCGCCTCCTGTATGTAAGTTTTGACATGTAATCTTTTTATTGTCAAGACTAGTAAATTAAAAAACTATAGGGAAAACAAAACTGAAGACAGGTGCAAAGTTACAGATTGTTTTCTTCCATTTAGGTTATTTTTTCTATTTCTAAAAAAACTAGAATTATCTTTTTTAAAGTAGGAAAATGAAGAGTTTTTGAAAAAAATATGCCATAAATTGTTGTCTTTAACTGATAAAAAAAGAAATTCATTTTCATTAAAATTATTTATTTATTTTATTTTTCCATTTTTCCATTTTTCCATATTTTCTATAGTGTATATATTTTTACAAATAGTTTTTAAAATATAATACAGTTTAATTCAAGAAGTTGAAATAAGACTATGAAATTCATAGTTACTTCAATTGTTAGCAGCTGATGCCTAGAAAATAATGATTCTTTGTGCATAAAACTTACACATGCACCGTTGAGGGAAAATAAGTCCTCAAGCAGTACATATTGTATAATTTTCTTTCCGTAAAGTTTAAAACAAGCAAAACTAATCTATATCAAAAAACAAACTTTTTACCAGTTAGAATGGCAATCATTAAAAAGTCAGGAAACAACAGGTGCTGGAGAGGATGTGGAGAAATAGGAACACTTTGACACTGTTGGTGGGACGGTAAACTAGTTCAACCATTGTGGAAGTCAGTGTGGTGATTCCTCAGGGATCTAGAACTAGAAATACCATTTGACCCAGCCATCCTATTACTGGGTATATACCCAAAGGACTATAAATCATGCTGCTATAAAGACACATGCACACATATGTTTATTGCGGCATTATTCACAATAGCAAAGACTTGGAACCAACCCAAATGTCCAACAATGATAGACTGGATTAAGAAAATGTGGCACATATACACCATGGAATACTATGCAGCCATAAAAAATGATGAGTTCATGTCCTTTGTAGGGACATGGATGAAATTGGAAATCGTCATTCTCAGTAAACTATCACAAGAACAAAAAACCAAACACCGCATATTCTCACTCATAGGTGGGAATTGAACAATGAGATCACATGGACACAGGAAGGGGAATATCACACTCTGGTGACTGTTGTGGGGTGGGGGGAGGAGGGAGGGATAGCATTGGGAGATATATCTAATGCTAGATGACGAGTTAGTGGGTGCAGCACACCAGCATGGCACATGTATACATATGTAACTAACCTGCACAATGTGCACATGTACCCTAAAACATAAAGTATAATTTAAAAAAAAACTTTTTGTGTAAAGGGCCATATAGTAAACATTTTAAGCTTCATGGGTCATACAGTTCCTGTTGCAACTACTCATCTCTGAAGTGCATAAAAAACTGTTGACAATACTCAAATGAATGTGTATGGTTGTTCTCCAACAAAACTCTACAAAAAACAAGGGGGAGATTGGATTAGACCCACGAGCCATAGTTTGACAAATCATGCTCTGTATTGTTTAGGGATGCATAAGTATGTGTAGCACTATTTCTTAAAGCAAATAAATTATTACTGTAAATGCTAAGCTATGATTACCACTAGTATAAGTGTTGCAATTGGCCAGGTATACAAAGGGAAAGTCTAAGTGATAGTAATGTTTTAGTCTTTTACTTCAGTGGTTATTACATGTTTCACTATACAAACATTTGTATATTTCACATGTATGTTTTATGCCCCTTTTTGAACACTATATATTGCATTAGAATTTCAACTCAAAAGAAATGTATTAAGAACTACCAAAAAGAAAAATGACCCTAGCAGTACAAAGATACACAAAATAAATCACTATGTGGTATTCTTTGGTCTGTTTAAAAAGCCACACCAATTGATACCATCTTTCACTTGACCCCATAGCAAGATTCTCATTTAAAATTGTGTAAAAAAAATTATATATACAGACAAACAATTGGGAGGAAAAGGACATATCTAGAGAAGCTACCTCTTTGCATCCATGATCCATGTGAAATACAAGATTTGGGGCCAGTCAAACCTCAGTTCGAATATGGGCCCTGCCACTTATTAACTAGGGGAACTTGGGCAAAGGCAACTAACTTTATTCAGCCTTAGTTTCATGTCCTACAAAGGACATGAACTCATTCTTTTTTATGGCTGCATAGTATTCCTTGGTGTATATGTGCCACAATTTCTTTATCCAGTCTATTCTTAATAGGCATTTAGGTTGGTTCCAAATCTTTGCTATTGTAAATAGTGCTGCAATAAACATACATGTGCATGTGTCTTTATAATAGAATAATTTACAATCCTTTGGATATATACCCAATAATGGGATTGCTGGGTCCAATGATATTTCTGTTTCTAGATCCTTGAGAAATCACCACACTGTCTTCCACAATGGTTGAACTAATTTAAACTCCCACCAACAGTGTAAAAGCATTCCTATTTCTCCACATCCTTGCTAGCATCTGTTATTTCCTGACTTTTTAATGACCACCATTCTAACTGGCATAACATGGTATCTCATTGTGGTTTTGATTTGCATTTCTGTAATGACCAGTGATGATGAGCTTTTTTAAATACATTTGTTGGCCACATAAATGTCTTCCTTTAAGAAGTGTCTGCTCGTATACTTTGCTCCCTTTTTGATGGGGTTGTTTGTATTTTTCTTGTAATTTGTTTAAGTTCATTAAGTCCTTTGTCAGATGGATAGATTGCAAAAACTTTCTCCCATTCTGTAGGTAGCCTGTTCACCCTGATGATAGTTTCTTTTGCACCCCACTGTCAATATTAGACAGATCAATGAGGCAGAAAATTAACAAGGATATTCAGGACTTGAATTCAGCTCTGGGCCAAGCGGACCTAATAGACATCTACAAAAGTCTCACATCAAATCAATAGAATATACATTCCCTCAACACCACATAGCACTTATTCTAAAATGGACCATGTAATTGGAAGTAAAACACTCCTCAGAAAATGCAAAACACAGAAATTATAACAAACAATCTCTCAGTCCACAGTGCAATAAAATGAGAATTCAGAATTAGAAAACTGAGACAAAACCCCACAACTACATGGAAACTGAACAACCTGCTCTTGAAGGACTACTGGGTAAATAACGAAATTAAGGCAGAAATAACGAAGTTCATTGAAATCAATGAGAACAAAGAGACAATGTACCACAATCTCTGGGACACAACTAAAGCAGTGTTAAGAGGGAAATTTGTAGCACTTAATGCCCTCATCAGAAAGCAGGAAAGATCTAAAATCGATGCCTAAACATCACAATTAAAAGAACTAGAGAAGCAAGAGCAAACAAACTCAAAAGCTGGCAGAAGACAAGAAATAACTAAGATGAGAGCAGAACTGAAGGAGACAGAGACAAGAAAAAGCCTTAAAAAAATCAATGAATCCAGGAGCTGGTTTTTGAAACAATTAACAAAATAAATAGACCGCTAGCCAGATTAATAAAGAAGAAAAGAGAGAAGTGTCAAATAGACACAATAAATAAAGATAAAGGGGATATCACCACTGATCCCACAGAAATAGAAACTGCCATCAGAGAATACTATAATCTCATCTATGAAAATAAACTAGAACATCTAGAAGAAATGGATAAATTCCCGAACATATACATCCTACCAAGACTAAACCAGGAAGAAGTTGAATCCCTGAATAGAACAATAACAAGTTCCGAAATTGGGGCAGTAATTAATAGCCTACCAACCAAGAAAAAGCCCAGGACCTGATGGATTCACAGCCTAATTCTACCAGAGGTACAAAGAGGAGCTGGTACCATTCCTTCTGAAACTATTTCAAACAATAGACAAAGATGGACTCCTCCCTAACTTATTTTACGAGGCCAGCATCATCCTGATACCAAAACATGTCAGAGACACAACAAAAAAAAAGTAAATTTTAAGCCAGTATCCCTGATAAATAGCAATGCAAAAATCCTCAATAAAATACTGTCAAACCGAATCCAGCAGTACATCAAAAAGCTTATCCACCAAGAACAAGTCGGCTTCTTCCCTGGGATGCAAGGCTGGTTCAACATACACAAATCAATAAACGTAATCCATCATATAAATAGAACCAATGACAAAAAACACATGATTATCTCAATAGATGCAGAAAAGGCCTTCGAGAAAATTCTACACCCCTTCATGCTAAAAGCGCTCAGTAAACTAGATATTGATGGAACGTATCTCAAAATAATAAGAGCTATTTACAACAGACCCATAGCCAATATCATACTGAGTGCACATAAGCTGGTAGCATTCCCTTTGAAAACTGGCACAAGACAGGGATGCCTTCTCTCACCACTCCTATTCAACACAGTATTGGAAGTTCTGGCCAGGGCAATCAGGCAAGAGAAAGAAATAAAGGGTATTCAAATAGGAAAAGAGGAAGTCAAATTATCTCTGTTTGCAGATGACATGATTGTATATTTAGAAAACCCCATCTTCTCAGCCCCAAAACTCCTTAAGCTGATAAGTCCATGAGACTTCAGCAAAGTCTCAGGATACAAAATAAATGTGCAAAAATCACAACCATTCCTATACACCAATAATAGACAAACACCAAGAGAGCCAAGTCATGATAGAACTCCCATTCAAAATTGCTACAAAGAGAGTAAAATACCTAGGAATACAACTTACAAGGGATATGAAGGACCTCTGCAAGGAGAACTACAAACCACTGCTGAAGGAAATAAGAGAGGACACAAACAAATGGAAAAACATTCCATGCTCATGTATAGGAAGAATCAATATCGTGAAAATGGCCATACTGCCCAAAGTAATTTAGAGATTCAATGCTATTCACATGAAGACACCATTGACTTTCCTCACAGAATTAGAAAATAACTACTTTAAATTTCATGTGGAAGCAAAAAAGAGCCCATATAGCCAAGACAATCTTAAGCAAAAAGAACAGAGCTGGGGGCATCACGCTACCTGACTTCAAACCCTACTATAAGGCTACAGTAATGAAAACAGCATGGTACTGATACCAAAACAGATATATAGACCAATGGAACAGAACAGAGTCCTCAGAAATATCATCACACATCTACAACCATCTGATCTTTGACAAACCTGACAAAAACAAGCAATGGGGAAAGAATTCCCTATTTAATAAATGGTGCTGGGAAAACTGTCTAGCCATATGCAGAAAACTGAAACTGGACCCTTTCCTTACATCTTATTCAAAAATTAACTCAAGATGGATTAAAGACTTATAATGTAAAACCTAAAATGATAAAAAAAAAAAAACCTAGAAGAAGACCTAGGCAATACCACTCAGGACATAGGCATGGGCAAAGACTTCATGACTAAAGCATCAAAAGCAATTGCAACAAAAGCCAAAATTGACAAATGGGATCTAATTAAAATTCAGCCTTAGTTTCCATATTTTGAAAATGATGTTGATAATACCTACCTTTTACAATTGCTTAACCGAAAATTGTAGATCAAAAGAGGAGAGGAGAGAAAGAGAGAGAGAGAGAGAGAGAGAGAATCATAGCACAGTGCTTACCTCTTTCTGGATCAGCACATTTCTGAGAACAGTTTTTCCAGTCCCTTACTATTTTATTTGGGCTATTAAATTCTAGATACATTTACTTAACACATACAATGTACCTACCAGGCAATGAGCTTGATGTGGGTAGGACGCCAAAGCCATTGCCCAACAGAAACTCACAGCCAGCAGAAAAGCCCAGTTGTTCAATATCTACTCTGTGACTGAAGAAAGATCTCAGAGGTTGGAGTTCCTGAAAAGCAAAGACAGAGATTAGTGTGCAGGAGGTATATTAGGAATACTCTTGAGATCAATACCTGTGAAAGAGAAGGGAAGAAAGCAGGATTTGGCAGAGAACTGAGGTGTGTTTGAAACTGGAATGATCCTTCAGAGTTTTCCTGAGTTGAGGTAAGGTGGCCAGGTCTTTATAACTTTGTATTTATTACTAATAGAGGCACATGTATTTTCCCTTTCCCTGGAGAGGGGCATGACCTTGAGCAAGGCAGCTCTCTTCAACTGAGGAAATCCCTACTGGAGACTGACTGTTGAGGGCCATATTTCACTGTGATTGCCAGCAAGTATGGAAATAAATGTATTCTTGTAGGCAGATTGTGCAGCTCATTAAAGACCACAACAGATGTGCCACTGATTGCTGGTTATCCCTCCAATGTGCCTGTATTTATTTTTGTTGAATATTTCAAAAGCCCCTCAAGAACTCTGCAAACAGGAGGAGCTTAATAGAAGTCTAGATGTCAAGGAATCCTGTGACCAATTTTGAACTTCTTGGAAAAAAGGGTTCAACAAATGCAACAAATGAGACAGCTATTTTTTCCCTACTTTTTCTTCTTTATTATGACTTCTCTCCATCATTTTGTCTTTAATTAATGATATATTTTATTGGACTTCTTCCCCTAAGCTTTCAAGGCAGAGAGCATGTTTCTAAAAAATCAAAGAACTGAATAATAAATAAAAGCCTGAGCAGTAAATAGATCCTCGGATGAAGAAATAGAAATCAAAATTCAAAGCAGAAAATGAGCCAGCTCATTTTGGTTGCCAACTGAGAGGGAGGGCCTCATGCACAGATGAATCTATCTCAATTCTTCATGTCAGAAGCCCTTAGTAATAGTCCTACTTGTCCACATTTTGGCCTTAAATCCAGGGCACCTTAAGAAGCTGCCTACTTGGCTACAGTACAATGATCCAAGCACTTTTATGGTTTGAACAAAGTTCTGTTTTCCACCCACCTAGGTCCATAAAGTGACGTTTTAGCAATTCAGCTTCTGAGAGCCAGAGGAGGTTGGGGGTAGGCAAAGGACTTAGTTGAGTGGCTCAGCAAATTTGATCAAATTCAGCAAACACTTCCTGAGCACCTACTCTGTGTCAGGCCCTATGGTGGGCCCTGGAAAGACATAAATCTGAGACATTAACTGCCTGCTAGCAATTTCTAATCTAGTAGGGAAGACTCAGAAAATTAGATAATTATAACTAGTTGTTGGGAGAGGGGATCTTGATCAAGAGTGGTAATATAGAATCAGGAGTCAGGAGACAGAATTTTGAGGGCTTGAGATCAGTTAGATAGATATTGTCATGGACCAGGTGAGGATCAATAAAGGCTTAAGTAATGATGGAAATACAGTCCATCTCTGTCCAATTAGATATGATTGCCAATATATGTCTCCCTCTATCTGAGGTGGGGCATCTTTAATTTGCATAAAGGTGTTAAATCATGCCTCTAAAAATATCTTTGGCATTATGTATATTTTCCAGCTGCTCTGGACATTTAATGAGGTGAGAAGGGGAAAGAAGATGGGGAGGAAATGATGGGAATTGAGGCTAGGAAAGTAGTTAAGCAAAGGTTGGATTGTTTTTTTTATTATTATTATACTTTAAGTTTTAGGTTTCATGTGCACAACGTGCAGGTTTGTTACATATGTATACATGTGCCATGTTGGTATGCTGCACCCATTAACTCATCATTTAGCATTAGGCATATCTCCTAATGCTGTCCCTCCCCCTCCCCCCTCCCCCCACCCCTCAACAGTCCCCGGTAAAAGACTTTGTAATGTTCACAACTATTAATATTCACAATTATTAGACAGCCATAAAAGAGATCTTTTTCTTTTTTAGTAGGACATCATCCCATTATAAGGGCTACACCCTCGTGACCTAACTGCCACCCTAAGGCTCCACTTCTAATTACCAACACATTGAGGGTTAAAATTTCAACATATGAATTTGGCACGGGTAAGTGCATAAACATCCAGTCTATAGCAAAGACTTTTGTCAAATACGTGGTTTACAAATATTTTCTCCAAGTATGTAGCTTGGATTTTCATACCCTTAACAGGAATCTTGAGCACATCAAACATTTTTTGTTGGTTGGTTTAATTTTGATGAAGTCTAACATTTCAATTCTTTGTGAAGTATGATTTGATATCATGTCTAATACTTCAAAAATTTCTAGGTCCCAGAGATTTTTTTCCTGTTATCTTCTAAAAGTTTTATAGTTTTATGTTTTACATTTAAGTCTGTGATCCATTTCGAATTGCTTTTGTATAGAGTGTGAGGTTTTAGTCAAAGTTATTCTTTTATGCCTATTGATGTCCAATTTTTCCCACACTATGTGTTGAAAAGACTATCCTTTCCTTATTGAATTGCCTTTGCACCTCTGTCAAAAATCTGGGTTCTCTGTTCTATTCCATTGATCTATGTGTCTATCCCTCTGCCAATACCACATAGTCTTGATTATTGTAGCTTTATACATTCTGAAGATAGGAAAACTGATTTCCTCTCATTGTATTCTCTTTTTTCAAAATCATTTAAGCAATTCTAGTTCCTTTGGCTTTCCATACAAATTTCAAAATTATTTTGTATACATCTACAAAAAACTTGCTGAAATTTTGATAACAACTCTGATAAACCTACAGATGAATTTGGTGACAATTCGTATCTTCACAATGGTGGATCTTCCAATACATAAACATGGCATGTCTCTGCATTTATTTAAATCATCTTTGATTTCTGTCCTCCAAATTTTGTAGTTTTTAATACAAAGTCTTACATATACTCACACATATATATACATATATATACACACTTATATAGACATATATATAGATATATATACACATATATAGACATATACATAGACTTGTATATATATACTTATATATATATATATATATATATACACTACTTATATCTAAGTATTTCCATTTTTTAGTGACTGTATTATGCTTTTAATTTGAAAGTCCACATGCTCATTTGCTAGTATATAGAAATGTAATGGCTATTTTTATGTTGATCTTGTATCTTGAGACCATGATGAACTTACTTATTAGCTTTAAGAGTTTTTGCTGGGCATGATAGTTCACGCCTGTAATCCCAGCACTTTGGGAGGCTGAGGCGGGTGAATCACGAGGTCAGGAGTTTGAGACCAGCCTGGCCAACATGATGAAACCCCACCTCTACTAAAAATGCAAAAAAACAGCTGGGCGTAGTGGCAGGCACCTGTAATCCCAGCTACTCGTGAGGCTGAGGCAGGAGAACCACCTGAACCCAGGAGGCAGAGGTTGCAGTGAGCCGAGATCACACCACTGCACTCCAGCCCCACTGCACTCCAGCCTGGGCGACAGAGATTCCATCTCAAAAAAAAAAAAAAAAAAAAAAAGAAGAGTTTTTATGTTCTACAAATTTTGATCTTGTGTATTTTAATTTTCATTCAGTGAAATGTTTTATTTAATTTATCTTGAGGGTTCCTTTCTAACTTATGTATTATTCACTAGTGTGTGGCTTTGTATGCAAATATTTGGAGATTTTCCTGTTATCTTACTGTTATTGATTTGTACTTTGATTTCATTTGGTTAAGGAACATATTCTATATAGTTTAAATTATTTTAATATTTGTTTAGGTTTGCTTTGGGTCCAGAATATGGTCTATCTTGGTATACATTCCCTGGGCACTTATAAAATATGTGTATTCTATTGTTGGGTAGAGTTTTATGTAAATGTTTATTTATTAGATCTACCTGTTGGCTGATGTTGTTGTTGAATTCTCTGTCTTTGTTGATTTTCTGTCTACTTGTACTGTCAATTGATGAGAGAGGGGTAAAGTCCCCAACTATAATTCTGATTTGTCTATTTCTCCTTTCAGTTCTATTAATTTTTGCATCACATATTTTTACAGCTCGGTTGATGTGATATACCTATTTAAGATTATCATCTTTGTGGATTGACTTTTTATCATCATATAATTTTATGTGTCTTTAAATTTTCTTTGCTCTTGTCTACTTTATCTGATATTAATATGGTTACTCTTGCTTCCTTTTTATAAATATGCTCTTAATATATATTTTATGTTATTTAGTTTTCATGATGCTTTTAATGTTATATTTCATATGAGTTTCTTACAGATAGAATAGTTCGGTCACGCCTGTTTATTCCACCCTCTCATCCTCTGTCTTTTAAATTTATGTGGTATATTTTGACCATTTACATTTAATGAAATTATTAATAGATTAGGGTTTAAATTTGCTGCTTCACTTTTGGTTTTCCCTTTGTTCTTTCTGTTTTTATTTCTCTGTTTCTTCTTTCCTGCCTTTTTGGATTACATGAACATATTTTAGAATGCTATATTGAATTATACATAGGGTGTTTGAGTGTATCTCTTTGTATAGCTTTTTTTGGTGGTATTCTAGGTTATTCTATCTTATATATATAAAATATATATAAATATATATAAATAATGTACAAACTATTATATATGTATGTGTGTGTGTGTATATATATATATATATATATATAATCATTTACTGGTTTTATCATGTTACTAGGGTTTTTGCCCCATTTATAATTTATTTGTCTTAGGTATTTTTTGTACACACATTGAGAACCACATCAGAACTCCCAGGAGTTCCCACATCAGAACCATATCAAACAGTGTAATAATTTTTGTTTAAATCATCAAACATAATTTTAAAATCTGAAGAGAATTGTCTATTTTATTTACTTATATTTTTAGTGCTGTTTTTTCTTCTTTCTGATAGTCAAGCCTCCTTCTTTAGTAATTTATTTTCTTTTTAGATAACTTCTTTTAACCACTCTTTTGAAGTTGAACTGGTGAAAAATTCTCTTTGTTACCCTTTATCTTAGAATGTCTTGATTTTTCCTCTATTACTGAAGTATACTTTCACTGAGTACAGAATTCTGGGTTACATGAGTTTTTTCTTTCATACTTGAAAAACGTTGTGCCACTTTTTTTCTGACATTCATAATTTCTAATAAGAAACCTGTGATTTAAATTGTTTTTTACCTATAGTTAAATTATAATTTCTCTTTCACTGTTTCAAGATTTTTTTCTTTGTCTTTAATAGCTGTGGCTATGAGTCTTAGTGTTTATTTCTTTGAGTTTATTCTATTTGGGGTTTTATCAATTTTTAAAATCTATAGATGTATTTTTTTTTCCAAATTCAGAAAGTTTTAGCCATTATTTTTTCAATGTCTTTTGCTCTACCTTATTTTGTCTCTTCTTTGGAACTCTGATGACATGAATGTTAGACCCCTTCTTACAATCCCACAGACCTCAGAAGCTCTGTTTACTTTTTTCAGTAAATTTCTCATTGTTGTTCAGTTGTAGTAATTTCTATCATTCTAGCTTCCAGTTAATTTAGTCTTTCCTCTTTTCCTTCCATTCTGCTATTGAATCCATTCATTGCATTTCTTATTTTGGTTGTTGCATTATTTATTGCTAGAATTTCTATATTTCTATCTGGTTCTTCTTTATAGCTTTTGTTCTGTGTTGAAATTTTCTATCTCTTACTGCTTGGAGTTCTGACCACCGACTAGGTGGAAATTCTGACACCCCCCCCCCCCCACTAGATGTCCTCTAATAGCTCCTGGGTTGCAAGAGGTAGGAATATCTTGTTACTGCTCCTCAGATGGCCTCCACTTGTACTGCAGGGGAGCTGGTCTCAATACTGCTGGACAGTGGTGAGTGTCCTGACTCTATAGGAAGCCTTCTCTGATAACATATTTGGGAGATGGAGGGGCACTCTGTTATTGCCAGATGAGTATGGAAGTTGAAGATCCCTGCATGGTTTTCATTCACACCTAAAGAGGAGTGCTAAATACTGCCAACTGGTGATGAAAGTTTTGGTTCCCCACTCAGGTTTCTCTGATACCTCCTTGGCAGAGAGTGTTGAGTGCCTTGTTATAACTTGTAAAGGGTAAAATTCTAGGTTTCTCACTCAGCCTCTGCTAGTATAGTGACTGTAGTTTTTTCTGTGATATCTAGCTGTAGGAGAATGGTCAGTGTCTAAAAGTTTTGAATCTTTCTAGGCTGCCCCTTTCTTGGTCCTTTACCTAGAAAGGGCAGGCTTTTGTTTGGAATTCTTTTTTGTCTGCAGCTATTGGTATTTCTGGGTTACAGCTTTCTTTAGTATCAAGTGTGGGATATATGAAGCAAAAAGGAAACCAAGGAAACATGCCAGATGCTGTTCCTCAAGGCTTGCAGTTCCTACCCACTCTTCCTACTTCTTTCCAGTTTTGCAAGTCTTCTTATGTTTGTTGTACATATAATGTCATGGGTTTATAATTTTGCATAGTAAAAGAAAAGACAAGTATATCTACTCCATATTTCTCAAGTTAGAAGTTCAAGCCTGTCTTAAAAGATAACGAGGCAGCATGATGAATGGGATAGGATTAGGAAGACTCTGGATGGGGTCCTGGACCACTCAGGCGAGGGCAGTCATTTTTATTTCAGTAGATTTGACCTCCTGGTGTTTTTATTGTCCATTTCCTTATAAAAATGCCTCTTGGAGAGAAGTGAAGGATGTGAAAAGTTAGAAGGAAGTTGCTGCTCAGACCTCACAGAACTGCTGTTAAGTATTCAAATATACTCACACTAACATACTGTACTGGGTCAGGTAAAGAAGAGGGGGGAAATTGGGTATCTAACTTGAAACTTCTCAGGTTTCTCTTTTTTGACATTTATACCAGTGTAGTTGGGATATAATTTGGAGTTTCTCTAATCAACTGTTCAAGAACTCAATACTTGGAACAACCAAATATACAAAAATCTCATCTTTAACTTGAACTAATGCCTATGCAGGGAGGTGGGTGGCACAAATTTAGTTAGTTAAGGCAGCTTGGTTTCATGGTTTCTGGGCAGCGCAAGGCAGTATGTGCTTATAAACTGAACAACTATAATGTTAATTGTCTGATGTTAAAAAAGGAACAGTACGCACAATAAAACAATAAGCAGTGCACAAGACATATTTCCGATGATAAAGAGAAAGCCTGTAGATAAAAATGGAAATTTGCAGGGGAAAGTGAAGCATAATGGATTTCATATTCTGTCTGAATTTACCTTTATACTCCATTATAATCTATTCTGTTATGTTTGTGATTGATATATCTATATACACACACATACACACATATATATATATGTTTGTGTATGTGTGTGTGGGCATATGTATTTTTATATTCTATATATTGTGTAGTTTTGAGGTTGGATGATTTTGAATGGAGTACTGAGAGGATCCATAGTCAGGAAGGCTCAAGGAGATATTGTAAGTCTGTTGCTTCCCAGGTAGCTCAGAGAAAAAATAGGCTAGGAACTGAATAACCAGAGACATCAACACAAAATGTTTGATTCTGGATTTATTCCCTGGGCCAAATTTTTGTTTTGGAACAAAGTAAAAAATTCATTCAGCAATCACAGTAGATGTTTGTACTCAGAATTCTCAAGCCTGTAAAAGCACTGTTCTAGGGTCTAGGAGACCAAAGCCCTAGTCTAGTCTATTTCATTGCCTGTTCAGATAATCATGGGAGAGTTACTCCCCTATCTGGATCTCAGTTTCCCGATCTGAATAAGAAGGGATTAGACTAGACTAATCCCAGATGTGTGACATTCTCTGACTTTATTTTTTAGGCAACCAAGAGGCTTTGAAATGTCTAAGGATGGTACTGTCCTGTCAAAATGATAACAATCCCTATCTTTTAAGGCAGTGGTTCTCAACATGATCTGAGTAATTGTTGGTACCCAGGACTTTATTTTTAAAAAGTGATCTGATGATTCTGATGCAGTTTATCCACTGATCACATTTTAGAAAGTATGACTTCAAGGTCTAGATAATGAAGGTTTTGAGTGCACATGCTGGAAGAGAATCATGTGGGCTTGAACAGTAGTCATTTCAACACACACACGTGTATGTGCATACAAAAACACACAAATTCCTTGTGTCTTTCATGTATAGTGATCCTTGCTTTTGTTTGCCATTCAGGCTTAAAATGTTTGAAAGGAAAATCATTATCACTTATCTCCAATTCACATGCATCAAGCCTGCTCCACTATATTCCCATTCTTGGTTAATAACATCACCATATATGAAGACACCCTAGCTAGAAATACTTAAGTTATCCTTGGCTATTTTATTTTTCTGAAGCATAGTAAATTCTGTCCTCTCATTATAGTGTTATTTACTCACATTGGCTGCCTGCCAACTCCCAGTCTTTCTTTAATCCTTCAAAATATCGTCTATATCTCACCTCCTCTGAAAAGCTTTTTCTTACATAATGTTTCTTTCTCCCACCATAGATGTATTTACTCTTTCTCCAAAGTTATTTATGAATCTTAAACGTGCCCCTATCTTTATGGTTGTCAGTTTATATTTTATTAAAATAATGTTTGTTTTTTCTATTAGACTGGGAGCTCCTTAGAGCAGTGGATTGGTCATCTCTGCCTCCCCAGGGACATGGACAGTAAGCATTCGTTAAAATGAATGTTCATGTACTTTTCTAGAAGAAGAGAGTGCTTCCAAGACCTGAAGCCCAGTATACTCTGCCCCAAGGCCTGGGAGGGAGAAACCTACTCAAGCTCTCTAAAGACTTTGTTGAGTTAAAAATATTATGGCTGCTTTAAAATATCTGAAGAGCTTCTATGTAGAGGATGAATAAAATTCAGTTCTTCTCTGTGGTTACAAAAGTGAAAACAATCTGTAGAATCTACAGGGAGATAGATTTAAGCGAAAGAGCAAACTTCTTATCCAGCCATCCTTAGGTTCTCCAAAATCTGGTCATGACCTATCCACCCAGCTGAATCTCTCCCTACCTATGCATGGTAACACTACTCTTGTCAAACGTCAATACTGACTTCTCCCAGGACAAGCCTTATGCTTCAGTTTTGGCCCCCTCTCCTGTCTCTGATTGTCTAAATCTTATTTCTATCCTTCAAAGACCAGATAAAATGGCACCCTCCATGAGGTTCATCATACTTCCTTCCCCTCTCCATCACTTTCTTTAGGATTTTTCCACCTCTAAAGTGCTCCTCTAAATAGTATTTAGGATTAGTGATTGCAAGGTGTGTCATTTTATAATCTCTTTATTTCAACACATATGTGTTTATATTTCAAGGTTTCTTGTAGAAGCTTTCCTTTTTAAACCCAATCTGACAATCTTTGTCTAGCCATTGTAATTGATTTGTACTTTTCTTACAATTCTTATGACTTTATTGTTGTATATTAACAATAAAAATAGCTAACATTTATTGAGTGCTATCTGTCAGCTACTATTCTAAGTGTTTTACATACATTATTTTATTTATATCCTTACAACTAGTTTATCAGGTAGATACTATTATTATCCTCATCCTACAGATAAAGAACTTAAGGATTGAATATATCAAGTATTTTCTCAATTATATGCAGAACAGTTAAATAATTTTCCTAATAAATGATACATGTGGAAGAAAAGGAGCTGCTAAGCCTAAGGCTTTTCACTTTTGCTTATCCCCTGACCTCTGTCTGGACCACACTGTCTTGGTTTGGACAAATCTGTACTTTATTTCAACTCTACCTCAGCAATTTTTATACCTTTAAGGGAGGAGACCAACTCTCATTTGTCTTCTGCCTAATTTCTGCCTCAAAGGAAAGAGAAAGTAGGAGTTAAAGAAAAAGCAGAAGTGAAATTCAATAGTCAGACAGCCTGGTGCTACACCCCAGGCCTGGTAGTTAAAGATCGACCCCTGACCTAATTGCTTATGTTATCTGTAGATTGCAGACATTGTATGAGGAAGCATTGTGTAACTCCCTGTTCGGTTCTGTTCTGTTCTGATCACCAGTGCATGCAGTCCCAGTCACATAGCCCCCACTTGCACAATGTATCAAGACTCTTTCACTTGGACCCCTTAGAGTTGTAGGCCTTTAAAAGGGACAGGAATCTTGACTTCGGGGAGCTTGGATCTTGAGACTCGAGTCTACCGATGCTCCCAGCTGATTAAAGCCTAAACCTTCCTAAAACCTGTGTCCAGGAGGTCTTGTCTAAGACCAGTCCTGCTACACCTTCAGTCAACTCTAGGAGACCAGCGCTGGTGGGGTGGGGAGATTTGAGTCTGCCTTCCTTGTGGGTGATGGATGGAAAGAAAATGGGAGTACACGAACAGGTCATGATTTGGGGAAGGAAGCAGCATAGGGGCTTGAGAGGCAGACAGAACAGGGCTCAAGTCCTGGCTCCTTTACTTCCTGCTGTGTGACCATGGACATCTGCTAAGCCTTCGTAATAAGCTGGAATATTAAAGTGGAAATCTGAACAAGTCCAAAGATCTCTGAAGAAAAACCTGTCATGTGTCTATAACTGTATCAGAATTTACATCACTTTTGTCCCCATGTTTGACCTGCTGTGTAGCTTTGAGCAACACCTTCCTCTTTCTGGACCTCATTGTCCATATCAGTAACCTGAAAAACTTCAACTGGATTTTCTCTAAAGGTCCCTTCCACTCTGATACTCTGTGAAAAAACATTAAATAAATCAGGCAGATTAGTCTCCATAAAGGAGCCAGTTTGGGTGACTTACAACATGGCTGTTTCCTACTTTGGCCTAGAAAAGAGTAAATAGTGGTATTAGTCATCATTTTTATCATCATATTCCCAAAGAAACATTTATTGTGGGCTTCAGTGTGTATCTGTTATAATCGGGAAGATTTATACGTGGGTAATGGTATACTTATAATTGGTTGCATTTATACAACTCAGGAAAAATTATAAAATACTTATGCCCATTAATGACATTTCATTCTCATAACAATTTATTGAGGATGGTACTTGTCACCCCCATTTTACAGATAAGGAAACTAAGTTTGAAGTGATTACATAGTATGCCCAAAGTCACACACCTAGTAAGTGAAGTAGCAAACGCCAACACCCAGATCCATCTGCATCATAGTCTCTTTACTATATGATAGCTGCCTTTTAAAATAACTGACATAAAATAATTTTCATATTTGGCAATTTGTAAAGAGCTTTTCCATCTATTAGCTGAATTAATTGAGTAGGATACTATCTCTACACTGAAAAAAAAATTCATATAGTCTGGTTGGGGAAGTCAGACATAAACGTACAGATGAAAAGTACCAAATTAGTGATATAAGCAATGAGAGTAGAGGAGAAAGAAAGAGCCCTGGAGGGACACAGGACTCTCATTGGAACTTGAAGAAAATTTGGATGGGATGAGAGAAAGTGGGTAGGCCTTCCAAACTAGAATAACAATGTGAGGTATAGAGGAAGAGAATGCCCCAGGCATGTTTAAGGAATGAGTAAACAGGTTTTGTTGGGGCCAGATAATTCGACAGTTAAACATTCAATTGTTTGGGAGAGTCTAATTGGTAGCAGGCTGGAAATACCAGGCTGTTTATCTCCCATGGTAGTGTAGCATTCAAATGCCCTGCAAGGAAGGCCTATGTGGACCATAGAAAGTCATGTGAATTTCTAAATGTCAAATGGACCCATGGAAGAAGTAAGGTTTGATGTTGGCATCCTATCTTCTCAGTCGGTGCTATTTCCAACACAATTCAAATTCCATAGTCTTGCCTAGTTCAGGGACAGTAATATGTAATGATTCATACTAAATATCAGGATGGGTGGGGAGATTTTTTTCACTACCAAGTCTCTTCAAAGTACCTCATCAGTAATCTTAACATTTCCATCTTTGAAGGAATTGGAAGGGTGTGGGTCAACACCACTTCCCCAGTTCTTTCTCAGAAAAATATACAATCAAGACACTAGTTTTCTTATTGCCTATCTTCAACACTCCCCAGATTTAGCAAAGAGTAGGGAATTCCTCAAGAAATGAGACATAGACTTGGAGAAATGGGCAGAATTGATGTCAACTCTAATAAGACAACAAATTGGAACATTTTCTCCTTTTTATTCGAAGGCTACATTTTACCTTGATGGCTTTTAAAATAAATATCAATTTGAAACATGAAGAAAGCTTCCTTGTCTGTGGCTGAATCACTCTTGAAGTTCTGGGAATCACCTTTGCTCATTGTCTCCCTTGCTTTCTGTTTCAGGTACCTGGGTCTGCTCTCTCTCTTCTCATTCCTTTTCCTGTTATTCTCTCAATTCCCAGAAACTCACTTATGGATGCTGCCATTGTTAGGAATCACAATCACTAATAAATCATTAAAATTTGGGGTGCAACATTATCAGAAAGTTTATCTTAACTATAGAAGTGGTGTGTGTGTGTGTGTGTGTGTGTGTGTGTGTGTGTCTACCCATTGACTGAAGAATATTTCTTCTAAACCACTGATTAAAGTTTTAGAATGAGAAAATTAAAACGGCCTCAACGAACCTGTCCTTAACTTGGAAAGAAATCAAAGAACCAAGCTGTTCCTCTGACACGGATGAAAGGGCCCATCTCAAAAATATCTGAACCCACTCATAATTTCCAAATAACATGAGTTCAAGGCCCAAGCCCTGGGGGATGTCTTCTGTAGAGACAGCTGGAGAGCTACAGGGAAAATACAAAATTCTTGCCCATTTTTATCTAATCCCACGCAGATCTAATCTCATCCTTCATGAAACACATCTTTTAATCAAATTCTGTGTAGAGAGGGAGAAAAAGTACCTCAGGCATAATTTATGTTTTATTTTTAGCTCAATTAACCACCAGAGCCATTAACTGGCCTGTAGCTTCAGGGCTTATCTGGAGGAAACCTCAAAAGCTTTTGGGCCTCCTCAGTCTGACAGCCCTATCTTTAGTCAGTGCTATAGTAGTTTAGAACTTGAACTTTAAGAGTCACACCCCAGGGTCCCCATTTCCATTTTATTAAAACACAGGCATTAGCAAAGCTTAATTTCACTATGATAAGACCTGATTTATTTGAAGCTCAGAGCCACAGAAGACCTACTTAATTAAACTAGCTATTGTAAGTCAAGTCCAACTTTTTAATGCTGCATGGTAGTTTTTAAAAATAAATACTTTTTAGAAGTTACAATGATGTCTTTACTTCTCCTTTGGAATATTCCTTTGGTTATATTTTAGTAAACTTGAGGAAGTTATATTCCTTTTTTAGGTCTTATTCTTCCTTTATATAAAGAAGGAGAAAGGTATATTAAATCAACAGTTCTCAAATTTTGTGGTACATTAAAATCGCGGAAGGTGTTAGTTAAAAATACACATGTCTAGTCATCAGCCATGTTGATGCTGATATAGCCCAGCTGGGTTATAGCTCTGAAAGCTGATTTTTAAATAAACTTCCCAGACAATTCTGTTGGACAACCACCAAACTCAATGCTCTCTAAACAGCAGTCCACACTTAAAAAATATTAAAAAAGAAAGATGTCTCTTGAAGAACTGTTGACATGTTACTGGGCCATTCAGTTTCCTAAGAGCCTCTGAGTCATTATTTAATGCATTGAAACTCACCAGAGTGCTAAAAATCCTGGTTGATAATAAGAATAGTGCCCAAAATAGAAAGAAGATCCACAAAAAAAACAGTAACAAAATGCAGAGCTGGATTTCCTGAGAAAAATCGGGATAGGTACTTTCCTCGGAAAAAGGGCTTTTCTCCCATAAGACCTTCTATTTTGAATAATATTCACAATCTCACTGACTTAGAAATAGGAGAATGTTTGACATTTTTAATCTATGTAAAAAAAAAAAAAAAAAAAAAAAAAAAAAAAAAAAACTTGGCTGGAGGTTACCTGGTAGGACAGGCTTAGGTTCAAGTATTTCAACAAACACCACATATTCTCACTTCTAAATGGGACCTAAATATTGGATACTCATGGATGTAAAGATGGCAATAATAGACACTGAGGACTACTAGAGGGTCTAGGGAGGAAGGAGAAAGTGTTGAAAACATACCTATTGGGTACTATACCCACTACCTGGGTGACAAGGTCATTTGTACCCTAAACCTCAGCATCACACAATATACTCATGTAACAAACCTGCATTTGTACCCCCGACTCTGAAATAAAAGTTGAAACTATAAAAATAAAGTATTTTGAGTGGTCCAGTTAGAGATTCTAAGTAATAAAAGATCTTCATGAGACTCCTTAGTCCCTCTCAGTACCACACAATCAGGGGTTTTCTGATAGTACTCCACTACTCAAAAACCCCTTGAGAATTTTTTATTTTTTATTTTTTTATTTTTTTATTATTATTATACTTTAAGTTTTAGGGTAAATCAAGTCTGGCACATAAATTTTGTCTGTGCAAGAATAATAGACCCCAACTTTCTCCTGTAATGGTGTTCTTGTCCAGAGTGTTCTAGCCAGCACAGCTCTTCTTAATGGTAACCCTTGCTTTGTCTCAGCCTAAGGATTAGGAAGACTTAATTGCACACACCTGATAAGGGGAGGCGGGATTTACTCTATGGATAAAGTTCTTATGCCAAAAAGCTTCTCCCTGAGGTGGAAAAACATCAAACCACACATCCAACATCTCAACTTTTACATTGCTGCCTAAGGGACTGACTTCTCTCTTGCCTTTATTGGAGTGCTGATGGGACCAAACATATACTAGATACCTGGGGGATACAGAGAACAAAAACAGTGGTTTGAACTAGTACATGAGTAGTTGTCATGGATTATACCACTGGTTCATCACAGAATGAGTGAGTGAAAAACCCAGCTTGCAGCTTCTCCCTGGGGAGAGAAAGAATTGGACCATGTGTCAAAAGTTTCAACTTTTCCAGAAGCTGCATTAGGAGTTGGCTTCTTACTCATCTGTCTCTGTGTGCTGACAGGGTATGGCATACTTTAGAAGCCTGAGGAAACTACTAATACAGCAGTTTGAACTATCATAAAGGTTTAAGAGGCCCACAAAATCTCTGGCCAGATAGATTGGTGAAAGTCTTCTCCTATACAAGGCCAATCCATGAAGACTGAAAAATGTGGTTGTTTTACTAACATATAGACATTAATACATTCAAGGAAAATGAAGAAATAGGGAAACACAACCCTCAAAAAAGAACAAGATAAAACTCCAAAAACTGGCTCTAATAAAACAGAGATAGATGAATTACCTGACAGAGAATTCAAAGTAACAATCATAAAATATGTTCAAAGATCTCAAGAGAATAATGCATGAACAAAGTCAGAACTTCAACAAAGAAATGTGAAAAATTTTAATGAACTAAATAGACACCTTGGAGCTAAAAATTATAATAAATGAATTAGAAGATTCAGCAGAAGTGTTCATCAAAAAACTAGATTAAGCACAATGAAAAAATCACCAGGCTGGGTGTGGTGGCTCATGCCTGTAATCCCAGCACTTTGGGAGGCCAAGACAGGCAGATAACAAGGTCAGGAGCTCAAGAGCAGCCTGACCAACTTAGTGAAACCCCGTCTCTACTAAAAATACAAACATTAGCTGGGTGCGGTGGTGGGAGCCTGTAGTCCCACCTACTCAGGAGGCTGAGACAGGAGAATCACTTGAACCCGGGAGGTGGAGGTTGCAGTGAGCCGAGATTATGCCACTGCACTCCAGCCTGAGTGACAGAGTGAGACCCCCTATCAAAAATAAATAAATAAATAAATAAATAAATAAATAAATAAATAATTGGCACACCTGAAGAAAGGTCATTTAAAAGTATCCAGTCAGAGTAGCTCAGAGGAACAAAAAGAAAAGAAAAGGAAAACCATGAAGAAAACCTAAAAAACTTATAGGACACTATCAAGTGAAAGAATATAGGTATTATGGATTTCCCAGAAGTATGAGAGAGAGAGAATCAGAAAGCTTATTAAAAAATAATGGCTGAAAATTTCCCAAATTTGGAGGGAAAAAAATGGACATCGAGATCCAGGAAGCTCAAAAGGTCTAAAATAAGATGAACCCAAAGAAATTCTTATGAAGACATATAATTAAATTGTCAAAAATAAAAAACAGATAGTTTTTGAAAGCAGAAAGGTAAAATAACTTGTCACATGCAAGGGAGCTGTACAAGACCATCAGTGGACTTTTCAGCAAAGCATCACAGGCCAGAATTGAGTGGAATCATATATTCATACTGCTAAAAGAAATTTTTAAAAGCCCTGTCAACCAAGATACTATACCAAATAATGCTGTTTTTCAGAAATGAAGACAGCATGAAGAATTTCTCAAACAAATGGAAAATGAAGAGGTTTATTATCATGAGCCCTAACTTACAATAAGTGTGAAAGGGAGTTCTTCAACTTGAAATAAAAATACTCTACCAGCAACATGATAGCACAAGAAAGCATAAAGCCCATTGGTAAAGATAAACATAGACAAATACAGAAACTACATTTCAATAGTGATGGTGGGTAAACCAGTTTTAATTCTGATAAAAATGTTTCAAGTAACAAATATTGAAAGTAATAACTAAAATATGTTAATGGATAAACAAAACAGATATAAATTGTGACATCAATAATATATAGTGAAAGATGTAAAAGTGTAGAGTTTTTATATATGATTGAAGTTAACTTGTTATCAGTTCAAAATAAAATTTTATGGTGACAACAAAGAAATATTTAAAGACGTTATACAAAGGTAAAAAGGAGGGGAATCAAAGCATATCAATACAAAAATCAACAAATACCACCACGACTGCAAGAGGGGAAAAGAGGAACAAAAGGGATAAGAGACAAGCAGAAAATAATGATCAAAATGGCATAAGTAAATTATTTCCTCTAAAAATTAATTTAAATGTAAATGTATTAAATTTTCTATGCAAAAGACAGAGTGGATGAAAAGATTTAAAAAGCACCATCCAACTATATGCTGTCTACAATAGTTCATTATATTTAAGGACGCTCAAAGGCTGGAAGTGAAAATATTGAAAAAGATATTCTATGCAAATGATAGCAAAAAGAGAAAATGGGTGGCTATATTTACATAAGAAAATATAGACTTACAGTCAAAAGCTATCACAAATGACAAAAAGAACATTATATAATGATAAAGGGTCAATTCATAAAGAAGATATAATAATTACAAACATATGTTCAACCAATATAAAAACATGTAAATATATGAAGCAAACATTGACAGAACTGAAGGGAAAAATAGATAACAATAATATAATAGTAAGAGACTTTGATATATTCCCTTCCTATAAAGGATTTAACAACTAGAATACAATGAACAAAGAAAAAGTTGACTTCAACAGCATTATAGGCTAATTGCTCTGACAGGCATATATAGAACATTCCACCCAAAAGCAGCAGAATACATATTCTTCTCAAGCACATGTGAAAAATTCTCCATGACAGATTACATGATATGTTACAAAACCAGCCTTAGAAAATTGAAGAAATTTGAAATCATACCAGATATCCTTTCTGACACGAATATTATAAAACTAGAAAACAAGTTGGATTACTAGGTATTTTATTCTTTTTGAAGCAATCGCAAATGGGAGTTCACTCATGATTTGGCTCTCTGTTTCCCTGTTAATGCTTGTGATTTTTGCACATTGATTTTGTATCCTGAGACTTTGCTGAAGTTGCTTATCAGCTTAATGAGATTTTGGGCTGAGACAACGGGGTTTTCTAGATATACAATCATGTCATCTGCAAACAGGGACAATTTGACTTCCTCTATTCCTAATTGAATACCACTTATTTCTTTCTCCTGCCTGATTGCCCTGGCCAGAACTTCCAACACTATGTTGAACAGGAGTGGTGAGAGAGGGCGTTCCTGTCTTGTGCCAGTTTTTAAAGGGAATGCTTCCAGTTTGTGCCCATTCACTATGATATTGTCTGTGGGTTTGTCATAAATAGCTCTTACTGTTTTGAGATATGTCCCATCAATACCTAATTTATTGAGAGTTTTTAGCTTGAAGTGCTCTTGAATTTTGTCACAAGCCTTTTCTGCATCTATTGAGATAACCATGTGGTTTTTGTCGTTGGTTCTGTTTATATGCTGGATTATGTTTATTGATTTGTGTATGTTGAACCAGCCTTGCATCCCAGGGATGAAGTCCACTTGATCATGGTGGATAAGCTTTTTGATGTGCTGCTGGATTCAGTTTGCCAGTATTTTATTGAGGATTTTTGCATCAATGTTCATCAGGGATATTGGTGTAAAATTCTCTTTTTTTGTTGTGTCTCTGCCAGGCTTTGGTATCAGGATGATGCTGGTCTCATAAAATGAGTTAGGGAGGATTCCCTCTTTTTCTATTGATTGGAATAGTTTCAGAAGGAATAGTACCAGCTCCTCCTTGTACCTCTGGTAGAATTCGGCTGTGAATCCATCTGATCCTGGACTTTTTTTGGTTGGTAAGCTATTAATTATTGCCTCAATTTCAAAGCCTGTTATGGGTCTATTCAGAGATTCAACTTCTTCCTGGTTTAGTCTTGGGAGGGTGTATGTGTCGAGGAATTTATCCATTTCTTCTAGATTTTCCAGTTTATTTGCGTAGAGGTTTTTATAGTATTCTCTGATGGTAGTTTGTATTTCTGTGGGATCAGTGGTGATATCCCCTTTAACATTTTTTATTGTGTCTATTTGATTCTTCTCTCTTTTCTTCCTTATTAGTCTTGCTAGCAGTCTATCGATTTTGTTGATCTTTTAAAAAAAACTAGCTCTTCAATTAATTGATTTTTTGAGGGTTTTTTTTTGTGTCTCTATCTCCATCAGTTCTGCTCTGATTTTAGTTATTTCTTGCCTTCTGCTAGCTTTTGAATGTGTTTCCTCTTGCTTCTCTAGTTCTTTTAATTGTGATGTTAAGTTGTCAATTTTAAATCTTTCCTGCTTTCTCTTGTGGGAATTTAGTGCTATAAATTTCCCTCTATACACTGCTTTGAATGTGTCCCAGAGATTCTGGTATGTTGTGTCTTTGTTCTCAATGGTTTCAAAGAACATCTCTATTTCTGAATTCATTTCATTATGTACCCAGTAGTCATTCAGGAGCAGGTTGTTCAGTTTCCATGTAGTTGAGCGGTTTTGAGTGAGTTTCTTAATCCTGAGTTCTAATTTGATTGCACTATGGTCTGAGAGACAGTTTGTTACAATTTCTGTTGTTTTACATTTGCTGAGGAGTGCTTTACTTCCAACTATGTGGTCAATTTTGGAATAAGTGTGGTGTGGTGCTGAGAAGAGTGTATATTCTGTTGATTTGGGGTGGAGAGCTCTGTAGATGTCTATTAGGTCCTCTTGGAGCAGAGCTGAGATCAATTCCTGGATATCCTTGTTAACTTTCTGTCTCGTTGATCTGTCTAATGTTGACAGTGGGGTGTTAAAGTCTCCCAATATTATTGTGTGGGAGTCTAAGTCCCTTTGTAGGTCCCTAAGGACTTGTATTATGAATCTGGGTGTTCCTGTATTGGGTGCATATATATTTAGGATAGTTAGCTCTTCTTGTTGAATTGATCCCTTTAACATTATGTAATGGCCTTCTTTGTCTCTTTTGATCTTTGTTGGTTTAAAGTCCGTTTCATCAGAGACTAGGATTGCAACCCCTCCCTTTTTTTATTTTCCATTTGCTTGGTAGATCTTCCTCCGGGAATCCAACTTACAAGGGATGTGAAGAAACTCTTCAAGGAGAGCTACAAACCACTGCTCAACAAAATAAAAGAGGATACAAACAAATGGCAGAACATTCCATGCTCATGGATTGGAAGAATCAATATTATGAAAATGGCCATACTGCCCAAGGTAATTTATAGATTCAATGCCATCCCCATCAAGCTACCAATGACTTTCTTCACAGAATTGGAAAGAAACTACTTTTAAAGTTCATATGGAACCAAAAAAGAGCCCGCATTGCCAAGTCAATCCTAAGCCAAAAGAACAAAGCTGCAGGCATCATGATACCTGAATTCAAACTATACTACAAGGCTACAGTAACCAAAACAGCACAATACTGGTACCAAAACAGAGATATAGACCAATGGAACAGAACAGTACCCTCAGAAATAATACCACACATCTACAAGTATCTGGTCTTTGAGAAACCTGACAAAAACAAGCAATGGGGAAAGGATTCCCTATTCGACAAATGGTGCTGGGAAAACTGGCTAGCCATATGTAGAAAGCTGAAACTGGACCCCTTCCTTACATCTTATACAAAAATTAATTCAAGATGGATTAAAGACTTAAATGTTAGTCCTAAAACCATAAAAACCCTCAAAGGAAACCTAGGCAATACCATTCAGGACATAGGCATGGGCAAGGACTTCATGTCTAAAACACCAAAAGCAACGGCAGGAAAAGCCAAAATTGACAAATGGGATCTAATTCAACTCAAGAGCTTCTGCACAGCAAAAGAAACTACCATTAGAGTGAACAGGCAACCTACAGAATGGGAGAAAATTTTTGCAATCTGCTCATCTGACAAAGGGCTAATATCCAGAATCTACAATGAACTCAAACAAATTTACAAGAAAAAAACAAACAACACCATCAACAAGTGGGCAAAGGACATGAATAGACACTTCTCAAAAGAAGATATTTATGCAGCCAAAAGACACATAAAAAAATGCTCATCATCACTGGCCATCAGAGAAATGCAAATCAAAACCACAATGAAATACCATCTCACACCAGTTAGAATGGCAATCATTAAAAAGTCAGGAAACAACAGATGCTGGAGAGGATGTGGAGAAATGGGAACACTTTGACACTGTTGGTGGGACTGTAAACTAGTTCAACCATTGTGGAAGTCAGTGTGGCGATTCCTCAGGGATCTAGAGCTAGAAATACCATTTGACCCAGCCAACCCATTACTGGGTATATACCCAAAGGAGTATAAATCATGCTGCTATAAAGACACATGCACACGTATGTTTATTGTGGCACTATTCACAATAGCAAAGACATGGAACCAGCCCAAATGTCCAACAATGACAGACTGGATTAAGAAAATGTGGCACATATGCACCATGGAATACTATGCAGCCAGAAAAAAATGATGAGTTCATGTCCTTTGTAGGGACATGGATGAAGCTGGAAATCATCATTCTCAGCAAACTATCACAAGGACAAAAAACCAAACACCACATGTTCTCACTCATAGGTAGGAATTCAACAATGAGAACACTTGGACACAGGGAGTGGAACATCACACACTGGAGCATGTTGTGGAGTGGGGGGAGGGGGGAGGGATATCATTAGGAGATATACCTAATGTAAATGACGAGTTAATGGGTGTAGCACACCAACATGGTTCATGTGTACATAGGTAACAAACCTGCACGTCGTGCGCATGTACCCCAAAACTTAAAGTATATAAAAAAAAAGAAAACAAAAGCGGATAAAGTTGTATTCCTAGGTATTTTATTCTCTTTGCAGCAATTGTGAATGGGAGTTTACTCATGATTTGGCTCTCTGTTTTTCTATTATCTGTGTATAAAAATGCTTGTGATTTTTGCACATTTATTTTGTATCCTGAGACTTTGCTGAAGTTGCTTATCAACGTGAGGAGATTTTGGGCTGACACAATACGGTTTTCTAAATAAATAATCATGTCGTCTGCAAATAGAGACAATTTGACTTTCTCTCTTCCTATTTGAATACCCTTTATTGCTTTCTCTTGCCTAAATGCCCTGGCCATACCTTCCAATACTATGTTAAATAGGAGGGGTGAGAGAAGGCATCCTTGTCTTTGCAAGTTTTCATAGGGGTTGCTTCCAGGTTTTGCTCATTCAGTATGATATTGGCTGTGGGTTTGTCATAAATAACTCTTATTATTTTTGAGGCATGTTCCATCAATACCTAGTTTATTGAGAGTTTTTAGCATGAAGGGGTGTTAAATATAATGTAAAGACTTTTCTGCATCTACTGAGATAATCATGTGGTTTTTGTCATTGGTTCTGTTTATGTGATGGAATAAATCTGTTGGTTTGCATATGTTGAACCAGCCTTGCATCCCAGAGAAGAAACTGACTTGCTCATGGTGGATAAGCTTTTTGATATGCTGCTGGATTCGGTTTGACAGCATTTTATTGAGGATTTTCACATTGACGTTCATCAGGCATATTGGTTGGCCTGAAATTTTTTTTCTTTTTTTTTTTTTTTTTTGTTGCATCTCTGCCAGGTTTTGGTATCAGAATGATGCTGGCCTCATAAAATAAGTTAGAGAGAAATCCCTCTTTTTCTATTTTTTGGAATAGTTTCAGAAGGAATGGTATCAGCGCCTCTTTGTACCTCTGGTAGAATTTGGCTCTGAATCTGTCTGATCCTGGGTTTTTTTTTAGATGGTAGGCTATTAATTACTGCCTCAATTTTAGAACTTGTTATTGGTCTATTCAGGGATTCGACTTCTATCTGGTTTAGTTTTGGGAGGGTGTATGTGTCCAGGAATTTATCCATTTCTTCTAGATTTTCTAGTTTATTTGCATAAAGGTGTTTATAGTATTCTCTGATGGTAGTTTCTATTTCTGTGGGATCAGTGGTGATATTCCCTTCATCATTTTTATTATTTCTACTTGATTCTTCTCTCTTTTCTTCTTTATTAGTCTGCCTAGCGTTCTATTTTATTAAAATTTTCAAAATACCTTCTTTTGGATTCATTGATTTTTAAAGGGTTTTTGTGTGTCTATCTCCTTCAATTCTGCTCCGATCTTAGTTATTTCTTGTCTTCTGCTAGCTTTTGAATTTTTTTACTCTTGCTTCTTTATTTCTTTTAGTTGTGATGTTAGGGTGTCAATTTTAGATCTTTCCTGCCTTCTCCAGTGAGCATCAACTTACAAGGAATGGGAAGGACCTCTTCTAGGAGAACTACAAACCACTGCTAAAATAAGTAAAAGAGGACACAAACAAATGGAAACACATTTCATGTTCATGGATAGGAAGACTCAATATCATGAAAAAGGCCATAATGCCCAAAGTAACTAATATATTTAATGCTATCCCCATCAAGCTACCATTGACTTTCTTCACGGAGTTAGGAAAAACTACTTTAAATTTTATAAGGAACCAAAAATGTGTTTGTACAGGCAACACAAGCCTGAGTAAAAAGAACAAAGCTGGAGACATCACACTACCTGACTTCAAACTATACTACAAGGCTAAAATAACCAAAAGATCATGGTACTGGTACCAAAACAGATGTATAGACTAATGGAACAGAGCAGAGGCCTGAGAAATAATGCCACACATCTACAATCATCTGATCTTTGACAAACCTGACAAAAACAAGCAATGGGGAAAGGATTCTCTATTTAATAATTGTGTTGGGAAAACTGGTTAGGCATATGCAGAAAACTGAAACTTACACCTTACACAAAAATTAACTCAAGATGGATTAAAGACTTAAATGTAAGACCTTAAACTATAGAAACCCTAGAAGAAAACCTAGGCAATAGCATTCAGAACATTGGCATGGGCAAAGACTTCATGACTAAAACACCAAAAGCAATGGCAACAAAAGCCAAAATTGAAAAAGGTGATAAAATTAAACTAAAGATCTTCTACACAGCAAAAGAAGCTATCGTTGGAGTAAACAGGCTACCTACAGAATGGGAGAAGATTTTTGCAATCTATCCATCTGACAAAGGGCTAATATCCAGAATTTACAAGGAACTTAAACAAATTTACAAGAAAAAAGCAAACAAACCCATCAGCAAGTGGAAGAAGAATATGAACAGACACTTCTCAAAAGAAGATATTGATATGGTCAACAAATATACAAAAAAAAGCGCATCATTTCTGGTCATTTAGAGAAACAAAAATCAAAACCAGGATGAGATACAATCTCATGCAAGTTTGAATGGTGATCATTAAAAAGTCAGGAAACAATAGATGCTGGAGAGTATGTGGAGAAATAGGAATGCTATTACACTATTGGTGAGACTGTCAATTAGTTCAACCATTGTCGAAGACCATGTAGTGATTTCTCAAGGATCTAGAACTAGAAATACCATTTGACCCAGCAATCCCATTACTGGGTATATACTCAAAGGATTATAAATCATTCTATTATAAGCTTCTGCACAGAAAAAGAAACCACCATCAGAGTGAACAGGCAACCTACAAAATGGGAGAAAATTTTTGCAACCTACTCATCTGACAAAGAGCTAATTTCCAGAATCTACAATGAACTCAAACAAATTTACAAGAAAAAACAAACAACCCCATCAAAAAGTGGGTGAAGGATATGAACAGACACTTCTCAAAAGAAGACATTTATGCCGCCAGAAAACACACGAAAAAATGCTCATCATCACTGGCCATCAGACAAATGCAAATCAAAACCACAATGAGATACCATCTCACACCAGTTAGAATGGCGATCATTAAAAAGTCAGGAAACAACAGGTGCTGGAGAGGATGTGGAGAAATAGGAACACTTTTACACTGTTGGTGGGACTGTAAACTAGTTCAACCATTGTGGAAGTCAGTGTGGTGATTCTGCAGGGATCTAGAACTAGAAACACCATTTGACCCCACCATCCCATTACTGGGTATATACCCAAAGGACTATAAATCATGCTGCTATAAAGACACATGCACATGTATGTTTATTGCAGCATTATTCACAATAGCAAAGACTTGGAACCAACCCAAATGTCCAGCAACGGTAGACTGGATTAAGAAAATGTGGCACATATACACCATGGAATACTATGTAGCCATAAAAAATGATGAGTTCATGTCCTTTGTAGGGACATGGATGAAACTGGAAATCATCATTCTCAGCAAACTATCACAAGGACAAAAAACCAAACACCACATGTTCTCACTCATAGGTGGGAATTGAACAATGAGAACACATGGACACAGGAAGGGGAACATCACACTCTTGGGACTGTTTTGGGTTGGGGGGAGTGGGGAGAGATAGCATTAGGAGATATACCTAATGCTAAATGACGAGTTAATGGCTGCAGTACACCAACATGACACATGTATGCATACGTAACAAACCTGCACATTGTGCACATGTATCCTAAAACTTGAAGTATAATAATAATAAAATAAAATAAAATAAAATAAAATAAAATAAAATAAAAAGACACATGCGCACGTATGTTTATTTCAGCACTGTTCACAATAGCAAAGACTTGGAACCAATGCAAATGCCCATCAATTATATACTGGATAAAGAAAATGTGACATATATACACCATGAAATACTATGCAACCATATAAAAAAGGATGAGTTCATGTCCTTTGCAGGGACATGGATGAAGGTGGAAACCATCATACTCAGCAAACTAACACAGGAACAGAAAACCAAATACGACATGATCTGATTCATAAGTGGGAGTTAAACAATAAGAACACATGGACACAGGGAGGGGAACATCACACACCAGGGCCTGTCGGGGGGTGGGGGCTAGGTGAAGGATAGCGTTACGAGAAATACCTAATATAGATGACTGGTTGATGGGTGCAGCCAACCACCATGACACGTGTATAGCCCTGTAACAGTCCTGCAGGTTCTGCACATATATCCCAGGACTTAAAGTAATAAAAATAAATTTTAAAAAGAGAATTCAAAAGCAGAAAGAAACAGAAAAAAAATGGACAAAAATGTGGAAATTAAACAACACACTACTGATTAACCACTGTATCTAAGAATAAATGAAAGGAAACATTTAAAGTATCTTCAGAAAAACAAAACACAACAAAAGAAAACTTAGAAGATAAAGTAAAAGCAGCACTAAGAGGGAAGTTTAGAGTGATAAAAGCCTGAATCAAACTTTTTAGTCAAAAAAATTAAAAAGATGTCAAATAAACATCTTAACTTTTGCCTCAAGGAACTCTAAAAATAAACTTATTCTAAATATATAAATAGAAAATTAAAAATAAAAATTAAAACAGTGATAAATAAAAGAGACTAGAAAAAATAGAAAAAAATCAACAAAATCAGGCCTGTGTTTTCGAAAAGACACACAGAATTAACAAACCCTTAGACTATGAGAAAAAGAGAAAATGCTCATATAATATCAGAAATTAAAAATGTGACATTATGAGGAAAGCCTAAGAAATAAAAAGGACTATAAGACACTATTATGAACAATTATTTATTAACAAATTGAACAATCTATGATAAATGTATATTTCACTAGAAACATGTAATGTACCAAAATAGAATTGAAAAGAAGATGAAAGCCCGACCAATAAGAAATGAGATTTAATCATTAATCAGAAACCTTCCAACAAAGAAAAGCTCAGGACCAATCTATTTATGGGCAAATTCTACCAAACATTCAAAGAAAATTAATACCAATTATTCTGAAATTTTTTCAGAAAAATAGAAAAGAGAGCATTTACAAGCTTTTTTAAAAACCCATAGAAAGCAAGAAAGACACCACACAAAAAGAAAACTTCATGTCAATATTCCTGATCAACACAAAGGCAAAAATCATTAATAAATTACCTAAAAAGTGAATTCAACCACACATTAAAAACATTACATGACATGAACAAATGGCATATATCTCTGTGTTGCAAGAATGTTTAACACACGCAAATCAATGTGATACACCACTTTCATAGAATAAAAGATTAAAACCACATAGTTGTGTCAATAGATGCAGAAAAACCACTTCAAAAAAAATCAAAATTCATTTATGATAAAATCACTCTCAAAAAATATGTATAGAAGAAACTTACCTCAACAAAATAAAACCCATGTATGAAAAGTCAACAAGTAACATCATAATCAGTAGGAAAAAACTGAAAACTTTTCCTCTAAGATCAAGTACAAGGCAAGGATGCTGACTCTTGCCACTTGTATTCAACATGGGACTGGAATTTCTTGCCAGGGAAATTAACAACAAAAACAAAAATGAAATAAATAAAAGTCATCCAAATATGAAAGGAAAAAGTAAAATTATCTGTATGGAGATGATATTATCATGTACTTACAAACCTTAAAATCTCAACAAAACAACTGTTAGAACTAACGAGTGTATTCAGTAAAGTTGCAGAACACAAAATCAACTTAGAAAATTAGTGGAGTTTTTATACATTAACAGCAAAATATACCAAAATGAAATTAAGAAAGATATCCCCTTTATAATCAAGAGTAAAATACTTAGAAATAAATTTCTCCAAATAAGTAAAAACAAAAAACAAAAACTATAGACTGTAAATTTTAGAAGTTCTATGAGAGAAATTAAAGAAGACAGAGAAAAATGGAAAGTCATACTTTGTTCGTGGATTGGAAGAAATAATATAATTAAAATGTACATTCAACCTAAAGTGATCTACAGATTTAATAAAATCCCTATGGAAAACTCCAATGCCATTTTTCACATAAGTAGAAAAACAATTTCAAAATTCTTATAGAACCACAAAGACCTCGAACAGCCAAAGCAATCTTGAGAATGTAGCACAAGTCTAGAGGCATCACACTTCCTGGTATCAAACTATACTAAAGAGCTGTAACAATCAAAACAGTATGATTGTGGCATAAAAACAATTATACCAATGGAACAGAGTTGAAATCCCAGAAATAAACCCACACATATACAGTCAATTAATTGTTGACAAGGGTGCTGAGAATAAACAATAAGGAAAGGATATTCCCTTCAATAAATGGTGTAAAGAAAACTGGATATTCACATGGAAAGAATGAAATTGGAGTTTCATCTTACACTGTATACCAAAATTAACTCAACATAGATTAAGGACTTAAATATAAGACTTGAAATCATAAAACTCCTAAAAGACAACAGGGAAAAACTTTCTGACATTTGTCTTGGCAATGTTTTTCTGGATGTGACATCAAAAGCACAGGCAACAAAAGCAAAAACAAATAAGTCATACTACATCAAACTAAAATGCTTCTACACAACAAAAGAAATAACACAGTGTAGAGACAATCTAAAAATGGGAGAAAATAATTGCAAACTATATATCTGATATGGGGTTAGTATTCAAATTATTTAAAGAACTCATCCAAATCCATAACAAATATTAAAAATTGGCACAGGCTTTGATAGAAATTTCTCCAGAGAAGATATTTAAGTAAATAGTCAACAGTTATATGGAAAGGTGTTCAACATCACTAATCATCAGAGACATGCAAATCAAAATCACAGTGAGATATCACCTCACACCTATTACAATGGTTTTTAAAAAGAAAGGAAATAACAAGAGTTGGTGTGAGTGTGGAGGAAGAATACACTCGTACAATGTTGGTGGGAATGTAAATATGTACAACCTACTGTAGAAAACCATATGGTAGTTTTTCAAAAAATTAAAAATAAAAATACCATATGATCCAGCAATTCCAATTTTGGGTATATATCCAAAGGAACTGAAATCAGGATCTTGAAAAGGTATCTGCACTCTCATGTTCATTGCTGCATTATTCACAGTAGCCAAGATATGAAATCAACCTACAAGTCCATCAGTGGCTAAGTGCATTAAAAAAATGTGGTATAAGAACACAATGGAATACTCTTCAGCCATCAAAAATAAGAAAATCCTTTCATCTGCAACAATATGGATGAACCTGGTGGATACAAAGTTATGTGAAATAAGCCAACTACAGGTAGACGAATGCCACATGATCTCACTTATATGTGAAATCTAAAAAAAGTTTAATTTAAAAAGCAGAGAGAAGAATAGTGGTTACCAAGAGCTGGGGTGGGGGGTTTGGGGATATGTTGGTCAAAAGATCCAAACATCACTTACACAAGAGAGGTAAGTTCAAGAGATCTATTGCACAGCATTGTGTGTACAGTTAATAATAATGTATTGTATACTTGGAGATTGCTTACAGAGTAGATTTTGAGTGTTCTCAACACAAAAAATAATTATATGAGAGAATATATACAATAATTAGCTCACTTTAGTCCTTTCATAAATATGGCAAAAGAGCATGCTGTATCATAAATATATATGATTTTACTTGTCAATTAAAAATAAAAAAATAGAAATAACATATTATCCAGCAATCTTGCTTCAGCGTATTTATCCAGAAGAACTAAATCAGGATCTTAAAGAGATATTAACACTCCTATGTTTGTTGAATCACGATTGCCAATAACCAAGATATGGAAACAATCTAAAGAACTATCAAGAGACGAATGGATAAAGAAAATATGGTGTATATATACAATGGAATATTATTAAGCCTTAAAAAGGAATAAAATCTGACACATGTTATCACAAGGATGAACCTTGAGAGATGATTCAAGGTAAAATAAGCCAGTCACACAAAGACAAACACTGCATGATTCCACTTACATGAGGTATCTAAAATATCTAAAATATTCAAACTTACAGAAGCAGAGAGTTTAATGGGAGTTGTCAGGAACTGGGGAGGGGAAAATGGAGAGTTTTTATTTAATGGATATAAAGTTAAAGTTATGTAAGATGGGTAAGTTCTAGATATCTGCTGTGAAACATTGTGCCTCTGGTTAACAATACTGTACTCTACACTAAATATCTGTTAAGAGAGTAGATCTCATCTTAAGTTTGGTTACCACAATAAAAAAAAATTTAAAATTTTGTTCCACAACCATAGAATTTGCTAGATGAAATAAATTCCTCTTTCATTTTTCTAAAATATTTTTTATTACACTTTAAGTTCTAGGGTACATGTGCACAACGTGCAGGTTTGTTACATATGTATACATGTGCCATGTTGGTGTGCTGCATCCATTAACTCGTCATTTACATTAGGTATACCTCGTAATGCTATCCTTCCCCCCCTCCCCATCCCACAACAGGCTGCTGTGTATGATGTTCCCCTTCCCGTGTCCAAGTGTTCTCATTGTTCAATTCCCACCTATGAGTGAGAACATGCGGTGTTTGGTTTTTTGTCCTTGTGATAGTTTGCTGAGAATGATGGTTTCCAGCTTTATCCATGTCCTTACAAAGGACATGAACTCATTCTTTTTTATGGCTGCATAGTATTCCATGGTGTATATGTGCCACATTTTCTTAATCCAGTCTATCATTGATGGACATTTGGGTTGGTTCCAAGTTTTTGCTATTGTGATAGCAAAAATGATACCACAGTCACAACTATGCCAGATGACTTCGGGTGGCTGTAAAACCATCTTCAGTTAATTCATCATTTATTTGGCAGCAATGTGAAAATTAGGTACACCAAATCTGGAGTCATTTTGTCTAGATTCAAACTCCAGATCTACCATTGAGACAAGTTACTTAATCTGTAAGTGGCACAGTTTTCTCATCTGTAAATGGGATAATAATAAACCATAGGATTTGTGTGTTGATAACATGAATGCCTGGCACATAGCAAGCAGGCCATAAATGTTAGCTACTATTATTAGTGATTATGCTCCTGAATATATTTGAAAGGCAAAGCTCTTATCCCTTCCGGTAAAATCCACAATCTTTCTCTGGCACCCACTTGGAATAATGCCTTTCCTGCTTACTTACAGCCAGTTATAACTCCACTCTATACCCCATCAAAAGACCTGTTTCCTTAAACGTTCCTCCGGATAGTGTCAATTGGAGCAAATATAAATATAACACAGGCTTCAAATCTGGGTGGCACGTGTGTAGGAATAGCCTCTGGCATAGCAAGTAAAATCTACTAACAGGTAAATTTAAATGAATTTATGCCTATTAGAGTGTGTATTCTGAGCTCCCAATCACAACCAAAAAAAGGGATTTTAAAATCACTACAGAACACTCCTTGAGAGATTGGTTCAATGAGGGACTCTGAACACAAAATTTTTTAAAAAATTATTTTTTCCACATACAAGGCTGTATGCCTTTGTGTCAAAATTAAACGTGAAACTAGCTTCTGTGTTTCAAAAACAAATAAACAAACAAGCAGTTGGAGACAATGCCCATAAAGGCAATTAAAATGATCACAGTGATGGAAAGAATTTTGAAAATGATATAAAAAAGATAGCTGGAAGAGGCTATTAGAAAAATTTCTTAAGTTCTAAGAGCAGTGAATAAGGTAAACATCCAAATAAATTTTAACATTTACTGAGCCCTCTTATATCAGGTATTTTGTCTGCATTACCTCCTTTTTATTTTCCTCATGGCAATCTTATGAGGTATGAGTCATTTTTATCCTCATTGTACCAATGAGGAAACTGAGGCTTAAAGTGGCAAAAGAACCTTGAAAAAAAAAACAGGAATCACATGGTTTCAAACTTAACAGTTTGGCTTCAGAGCCTACAATTATAACCATTGTGTTACACTTCCTCCCATATTATTTGGGAAAAGGACAGAGTCATTTATTAACTTTAGAGTCTGCTACGTTAAACAAGAGTATTAACAATTTAGATATGATCACTTAAAAAGACAGCAATAAAGTACACAACTTACAAACCAGTAGAGGCAAGATAATAATTGGAATAAAATATGCTACAAATCCAAAAGAAAGCAGGAAATGAGAAAAAAAAGTAATATTAAAAAAGGAGAATAGAGGAACCACAAAACTAGATGGTAGAAATAAATCCAAAAACTGTCAGTAAACATGAAAAGCAAATGGATTAAACTCATAAGTTTGAAAGATTATCTAAGTGGGATTTTAAATGATATTCATAAGACTCATACCTTACCTGTAAGACACAGAAAGCTGGGCCATAAAAAAAAGTTGAAAATAGATACGCCAGACAAATCTCAAGCAAATATAATGAGAGATAAACCTAATGGGAGAGGGTAACACATATTCCTTAAAAACTGTCAGTTTAAGTATTAGAATATTAGTAAGATTACAGGAGTGATGAAAATCACAAAGAATAAATTTGATATGAGACATATTTAGAACATATGGTGGCTTTCTTATCAATTACACATGGAATATTTACAGAATTGACTACATGTTAGGTGCTAAAGCAAGGATCAAAAAATTTCAAAGAATATGCATCACATATGATACAGTCTCTGAGTGCAATGCAATTTACAAATAAATAGTAAACAAACAAAAATATTAAAGGTGTGTTTAGAAATTCAAGTGCACATTTCATATTTCACTGTTCAAAGCAGAAATTATAATGGGAATAGGAAGATAATTCAAATTCAATTTTAGTAAACATAGATACCACAACTTGTGAAATACACAGAAAAAGAATGTTCAGGGAAGTGTACAGCCTTAAATTTTTGTATCGCAAAAGAAGAAAGCTTAAATACTGAGTCAATTATCTAACTTAAAGAAAAATTAGAAGAACAGAAAAATAATCCTAAGCCATGTGGAACGGAAGAAATTATAAATACAAAAGTAAAAATGTTGAGTAGAAAAAATCAAATAGATCAACAGAAATAAACAGTAATCCTTTGAATTGACAAATATTTGGTAGGTTTATCATGAAAAGAAAAAACAAAAATAAACAATACTAAGAAAGAAAAAGAGTGCTTAACTACATATGATGTAAAGATTTTTAAAATAAGGGAATACCATAAAAACTTCACACCAACAAATTCAAAAACTTAGTCAAAATTGCCAATTTACTAGGAAATTAAAACTTCCAGAAATAACTCAGGAAGAAATGAAGCCTGATTGAACCTATGATCATTAAAATCATTGAACCAATTGTTAAAAAAATTCTACAATCAAATAAACAAAAAAGAATGGTAATAAAAAAAACAGGAGCTAATTGTTTAAGGATCTTTCTATCAAATATTCAAGGGATGGATAATTCCAATTTTATGCAAGTTTCTCCAGAAAATAGGAAGAAAGAAACACTATCCAGGTCATTTTATGAAACTAACATAACCTTAATACTTAATACATAAGAGAAAGAAGTACTCACAATACAAGCAAGCAAGAAAAAAATCAGCTAAAACTGTAACAAATTATTAAAGGCCAAATGTGGGTTAGCATATCAGTCTGGACATATCGGTCTGGAATAGCTGTAGGCCCAAGATACAAGAGAAATTTTGAGAATGTTTTACTTGTACCTCCACCAGGTGATCAGGAAAAAGATTGAGGGAAGGCCAGGAGATCAAAGAAAGCCCCCTTCAATGATATCGGCATGCAAAAGGTGTGTTCCTCAGAGAACAAGGACAAAACTTCACTTGCTTACCTAGATCCTTCAGTCCTGCAAGCCAAAAGCCTTATACCACTAGGGGAGACTTAGTTAATGCTGGTGTTCTTAGGAGAGAGGCAAAGATTTATTGTCACTTCAGGGGGACTAGAAGCAATGCCCTTTATGCCTGTTGGGGTGAGTAGGAAACACTTTTTTCTCAAAAGACAAAGGAAATGATTCATTTCTGTTGGGAGGAGTTAGAAGAAGTTTTATACTCCTAGAAGAGAAGAAGAAAACTGCTTTGAGCCCAGGATCCTACACTAATACAAAGCAAATGGATACTACTATTGAGAGAGGAGCAAGAAACTCCCACCTAAGAACAACTAGAGATACAAAGCATAGTTTGACTATCACAAAGTCAAAGGCAGAAATAAAAACAACCCAGCCCATCCTCCCAGGTACACTGGGCCTGACCTAGACTAAGACTACACCAGGGTGAAAGAGTGTTTTTCTGTCTTCACCACAAGCCTAGTAGCTAGTAATAAGCAATGGCATTCTACCACTAGGCAAGGGGCAAGAGCATGGAGAGAGACCCCTCTGTGGCTCAGACATACAGAAATGACTAAAAGATGTGGGGTGAGCCAGAACTGAGAAAAACCTTTTGGCACTCAGTTCCCTCTTTAAGAACAAGAAAATAAGATTCCAATTCTGCAAGAATTTGAAGCCTATATTGCCCATAAATTCTTGGCATCAACAACAAAACTCAAACTTGGCTTAGGTCGTGAGTTAACTGATCCAAAACTTAATATTAACAAGCTAACAAAGGAAGAGACATGCCCATTTTCAGACATTTAATATATTAAAAGATCTAGTGGAGAAGACAGACTACATGTGCAAACAGATAAGGAATTTCAGCAGAGAGCTGGGCACCATAAGGGTCAAATGAGACTGTGGTCCAGGAAATGTGGTCTGTCTCACTGAATACCAGTATAAATCCAGAAGATAATACATAGAGCAGCTATCTGAGGACATGAAAATGTAAATAGTAGCAAACATATTTGAGAAAAACACTGTAGCACTGAATTAATTGTAAATTTACTTTTTTTTAAAATCTGGCACTTGCCAGACCTAGATTCAATGACAGTAAAAAAAAAATCTAGAATTGTGCATCAGGTACAGACAGAAACACCTCCAAGAAAAATTATCCCTTACTATTCTGAGAAGAATGAAGAAAGAGACTGCTAAGGACTAGAGACAGTAAGGGAATGCCCAGGTCGTTTTTCCCTTTTTTTTAAATCACTTTTTCTTCACCCTAGTCCCCCTTGAATGAAGCCACACAACAAGCAGTGGGATCAATGTCTGGGAAGGTGCCTAGAACTCTAAAGAAGGAAAATTATTCTTTCTGAACAGGAAAGCTATGGTCCTAAGACCACTGGGAAAGACCTCATAGTGTTCTCTCTCTCTCTTTCTCTCTGTTCCTTTTTCTCTCTCTCCCTCCATCCTCCTCCTTCTCCTCTTCCTCCTCCTCCTCCTCCCACTACTGCCCAGCTATGAATGCAAAAGCAGTCCCAGGAAGAATGTGAGGGGGAGTTAGGGCAAAGAGCTGGAAAGATCATAACAACTTATAGACACCTGAGCCACAGGGTAAATCATCACCTAGATCCAATGACAGATGGTTTAAAACAAAATTTCAGAATATTTGAAAACTGAACTGACTTTGGAACCGCAACACACAGAATGCAGCAAGAATTTGTGGCCTGGACTTAACATAGTGAATTGCCTGGTAGAAAAATCACAAAAAAACACACTAACATTCTCCTTAGAATTTAAAAAAAAAGTCAAAATCTTATGACATAGGATTCACAATGTCCAGGATATAATCTAAAATTACTTGACATACATACACACACACAAACAGGAAAATCTAAACTCATATGGAAAAAGATAAACAACAAATTCCATCTCAGATGACACAGATGTTGAAATTATAAGACAAATACCTTTAAATCAACTAATACAACAATGCTCCAAGAAGTAAGTGCAAACTCACCCAATAGAAACGTATAAAGGTATAACGTTTCAGTAAATAAACAAAAAATATAAAGAAGAACACAATGGAAAATTTATAGCTAAACAATATAATGATCAAATTGAAAAAAATACTGGATGGGATCAATTGCAGAATGGAGATGAGAGAGGAAAATCTGTAAACTTGAAGACAGAGAGACCAATATAACCAAAAGCTAGTTATTGGAAAATATTAATAAAATTTACAATGTGTTACTCATGAAATAATAGACACATATAAAATAGAAAAGAATAGAGTTCAGAAAAAACCATGATAAATAAGGCCAATTGACTTTTAAAATTATTTTTATTGTGGTAAAATATATGTCTGCCTGCCTGTTCCTCCAAGATTTGATTCAGTAGATGTAAAGTGGGGTCTGGACATTTTTATTGTGAAAAGTCTCCTGATGAGACCCCACCAATGCCCCACATTGAGAACCACTGACAGAAGATATCAAAGATGACTAAGGACGGACAACATTTAATAATAGTATGTTTGGAAACATAGACTGGAAAGAATGTGACATTTGGAAAAAATAGAGATGTATTTATAGTGTTACAGTATGAGGTACACAATGGGATGGCATTTGGGTGAGAATGAGGCTGATGGAAAATTAAACTAGAAATGTGATTTGGTATAATATTTTGAACAATCTTGCATGCCATGGCATGGGATTTTGTGTTTATTCTGTAAGCACCCAGGAACCAGTGGTTATTTTGCAGCACAAATATAACAAATTGCATTTATTTTTAATTAATTCAATAAATATTTACTCGGTCCCTATTCTGGGTATTGCAGTGAGTGCTAGGCACAGGGCTACAATACAATACTAAGCAAGATAAACAGTATAAAAATAGATAGGAGAGGGGTGGTTCCAAGATGGCTGAAAATGAACATCTCCAGTCTACAGCTCCCAGTGCCAGCAACGCAGAAGATGGGTGATTTCTGCATTTCCAACAGAGGTACTGGGTTCATCTCACTGGGGCATATCAGACAGTGGGTTCAGGACAGTGGGTGAAGTCCACCGAGTGTGATCTGAAGCAGGGTGAGGCATCACCTCACCCAGGAAACACAAGGGGTCAGGGAATTCCCTTTCCTAGCCAGGGGAAGCTGTGACAGATGGCACCTGGAAAATTGGGTCACTCCCACCCTAATATTGCACTTCACTAACAGTCTTAGCAAATGGCACACCAGGAGATTATATCTCATGCCTGGCTCAGAGGGTCCCACACCCATGGAGCCTCGCTCATTGCTAGCACAGCAGTCTGAGATCAAACTGCAAGGTGACAGCAAGGCTGGGGAGGGGTGCCCACCATTGCTGAGGCTTGAGTAGGTAAGCAAAGGGACTGGGAAGCTCAAACTGGGTGGAGCCCACCACAGTTAAAGGAGGCCTGCCTGCATCTGTAGACTCCACCTCTGGGGGCAGGGCATAGCCGAACAAAAGGCAGCAGAAACCTCTGCAGACTTAAATGTCCCTGTCTGACAGATTTGAAGAGAGTAGTGGTTCTCCCAGCACAGAGTTTGAGATCTGAGAATGGACAGACCACCTCCTCAAGTGGGTCCCTGACCCCCAAGAAGCCTAACTGGGAGGCATCCCCCAGTATGGGGCAGACTGACACCTCACATGGCTGGTTACCCTGCTGAGACGAAGTTTCCAGAGGAACTATCAGGCAGTAACACTTGCTGTCCAGCAATATTCACTGTTCTGCAGCCTCCACTGCTGACACCCAGGAAAACAGGGTCTGGAGAGGACCTTCAGCAAACTCCAACAGACCTGCAGCTGAGGGTCCTGACTGTTAGAAGGAAAACTAACAAAAAGAAAGGACACCCACACCAAAACCCCATCTGTACGTCACCATCATCAAAGACCAAAGGTAGATAAAACCACAAAGATGGGGAAAAAACAGCAGAAATGCTGAAAATTCTAAAAATCAGAGTGCCTCTCCCCCTTCAAAGGAATGCAGCTCCTCACCAGCAATGGAACAAAACTGGACAGAGAATGAGTTAGATGAGTTGAGAGGAGAAGGCTTCAGACAATTAAACTTTGCTGAGCTGAAGGAGGAAGTTTGAATGCATCACAAAGAAGCTAAAAACCTTGAAAAAAGATTAGACAAAAGGCCAACTAAAATAACCAGTGCAGAGAATTCCTTAAATGACCTCATGGAGCTGAAAACCATGGCACAAGAACTACATAATGAATGCACAAGCTTCAGTAGCCGATTTGATCAACTGGAAGAAAGGGTATCAGTGATTGAAGATCAGACGAATGAAAAGAAGCAAGAAGAGAAATTTAGAGAAAAAAGAGTGAAAAGAAATGAACAAAGCCTCCAAGAAATATGGGACTATGTGAAAAGACTAAATCTACATCTGATTGGTGTACCTGAAAGTGATGGGGAGAATGGAACCAAGTTGGAAAACACTCTTCAGGGTATTATCCAGAAGAACTTCCCAAAACTAGTAAGGCAGGTCAACATTCAAATTCAGGAAATACAGAGAAGGCCACAAAGATACTCCTCGAGAAGAACAACTCCAAGACAAATAATTGTCAGATTCACCAAAGTTGAAATGAAGGAAAAAATGTTCAGGGCAGCCACAGAGAAAGGTCGGGTTCCCCACAAAGGGAAGCCCATCAGACTAAGAGCTGAACTCTCAGCAGAAACTCTACAAGCCAGAAGAGAGTAGGGGCCAATATTCAACATTCTTAAAGAATTTTCAACCCAGAATTTCATATCCAGCCAAACTAAGCTTCATAAGTGAAGGAGAAATAAAATCCTTTACATACAAGCAAATGCTGAGACATTTTGTTACCACCAGGCCTGCCCTACGAGAGCTCCTGAAGGAAGCACTAAACATGCAAAGGAAAAACCGGTACCAGCCACTGCAAAAACATGCCAAATTGTAAAGACCATCAGTGCTAGGAAGAAACTGCATCAACTAATGAGCAAAATAACCAGCTGATATAATGACAGGATAGAATTCACACATAATAATATTAACCTTAAATGTAAATGGGCTAAATTCTTCAATTAAAAGACACAGACTGGCAAATTGGATAAAAAGTCATGACCCATCAGTGTGCTGTATTCAGGAGACCCATCTCATGTGCAGAGACACATAAAGGCTCAAAATAAAGGGATGGAGGAAGATCTACCGAGCAAATGGAAAACAAAAAAGGGCGGGCAGGGGTTGCAATCCTAGTCTCAGATAAAACAGACTTTAAACCAACAAAGATCAAAAGAGACAAAGAAGGCCATTACATAATGGTAAAGGGATCAATTCAACAAGAAGAGCTAACTATCTTAAATATATATGCACCCAATACAGGAACACCCAGATTCATAAAGCAAGTGCTTAGAGACCTACAAAGAGACTTAGACTCCCAAACAATAATAATAGGAGACTTTAGTACCACACTGTCAACATCAGACAGATCAATGAGACAGAAAGTTAAAAAGGATATCCAGGAATTGAATTCAGCTCTGCAACAAGTGGACCTAATAGACATCTACAGAACTCCCCACCTCAAATCAATGGAATATACATTCTTCTCAGCACCACCCCACACCTATTCCAAAACTGACCACCTAGTTGGAAGTAAAGCACTCCTCAGCAAATGTAAAAGAACAGAAATTATAACAAACTGTCTCTCAGACCACCGTGCAATCAAACTAGAACTCAGGGTTAAGAAACTCACTCAAAACCACTCATCTACATGGAAACTGAACAACTTGCTCCTGAATGACTACTGGGTACATAAAGAAATGAAGGCAGAAATAAAGATGTTCTTTGAAACCAATGAGAACAAAGACACAACATACGAGAATCTCTGGGACACATTTAAAGCAGTGTGTACAGGGAAATTTATGGCACTAAATGGCCACAAGAGGAAGAAGGAAAGATCTAAAATTGAAACCCTAACATCACAATTAAAAGAACTAGAGAAGCAAGAGCAAACACATTCATAAGCTGGCCGAAGGGAAGAAATAACTATGATCAGAATAGAATTTAAGGAGATAGAGTCACAAAAATCCCTTCAAAAAAATCAGTGAATCCAGGAGCTGGTTTTTGAAAAGATCAACAAAATTGACAGACCACCAGCAAGACTAATAAAGAAGAAAAGAGAGAAGAATCAAACAGATGCAATAAAAAATGATGATAAAAGGGATATCACCACTGATCCCACAGAAATGCAAACTACCATCAGAGAATAGTAGAAACACCTCTAAACAAATAAACTAGAAAATCTAGAAGAAATGGATAAATTCCTCAACACATACACCCTCCCAAGACTAAACCAGGAAGAAGTTGAATCACTGAATAGTCCAATAACAGGCTCTGAAATTGAGGCAATAATTAATAGCTTACCAACCAAAAAAAGGTCAGGATCAGACGGATTCACAGCCGAATTCTACCAGAGGTATAAGGAGGAGCTGGTACCATTCCTTCTGAAACTATTCCAATCAATAGAAAAGGAGAGAATCCTCCCTAACTCATTTTATGAGGCCAGGATCATCCTGATACCAAAGCCTGGCAGAGACTCAACAAAAAAGAGAACTTTAGACCAATATCCCTGATGAAAATTGATGGAAAAATCCTCAATAAAATACTGGCAAACCAAATCCAGCAGCACATCAAAAAGCTTATCCACCAAGAACAAGTGGGCTTCATCCCTGGGATGCAAGGCTGGATCAACATATGCAAACCAATAAATGTAATCCAGCATATAAACAGAACCAACGACAAAAACCACATGATTATCTCAATAGATGCAGAAAAGACCTTTGACAAAATTCAACAGCCTTTCATGCTAAAAGCTCTCAATAAATTAGGTATTGATGGGACGTATCTCAAAATAATAAGAGCTATTTATGAGAAGCCCACAGCCAATATAATACTGAATTGGCAAAAACTGGAAGCATTCCCTTTGAAAACTGGCACAAGACAGGGATGCCCTCTCTCACCATTCCTATTCAACATAGTGTTGGAAGTTCTGGCCAGGGCAATCAGGCAGGAGAAAGAAATAAAGGGTATTCAATTAGGAAAAGAGGAAGTCAAATTGTCCCTGTTTGCAGATGACATGATTGTATATCTGGAAAACCCCATTGTCTCAGCCCAAAATCTTCTTAAGCAGATAGGCAACTTCAGCAAAGTCTCAGGATACAAAATCAATGTGCAAAAATCACAAGCATTCTTATATACCAATAACAGACAAACAGAGAGCCAAATCACGAGTGAACTCCCATTCACAATTGCTTCAAAGAGAATAAAATACCTAGGAATCCAACTTACAAGGGATGTGAAGGACCTCTTCAAGGAAAACTACAAACCACTGCTGAATGAAATAAAAGAGGATACAAACAAATGGAAGAACACTCCATGCTTATGGATAGCAAGAATCAATATTGTGAAAATGAACATACTGCCCAAAGTAATTTATAGTTTAATGCTGTCCCCGTCAATCTCCCAATGACTTTCTTCACAGAATTGGAAAAAACTACTTTAAAGTTCATATGGAACCAAAAAAAGGCAGCATTGACAAGACAACACTAAGCCAAAAGAACAAAGCTGGAGGCATCACACTACCTGACTTCAAACTATACTACAAGGCTACAGTAACCAAAACAGCATGGTACTGGTACCAAAACAGAGATATAGACCAATAGAACAGAATAGAGCCCTCAGAAATAATACCACACATCTGCAACCATCTGATCTTTGACAAACCTGACAAAAACAAGAAATGGGGAAAGGATTCCCTATTTAATAAATGGTGCTGGCCAGGCACAGTGGCTCATGCCTGCAATCCCAGCACTTTGGAAGGCCAAAACGGGTGGATCAGGAGGTCAGGAGTTCGAGACCATCCTGCCTAACACCATGAAACTCTGTCTCTACTAAAAATACAAAAAAGTAGCTGGGCGTGTTGGTGGGTGCCTGCAGTCCCAGCTACTCGGGAGGCTGAGGCAGGAGAATGGCATGAACCTGGGAGGTGGAGTTTGCAGTGAGCCAAGATCATGCCACTGCACTCCAGCCTGGGGGACAGAGCGAGACTCCATTTCAAAAAATAAAAATAAAAAATATAAAAATTGTTGCTGGGAAAACTGACTAGCCATATTTAGAAAGCTGAAACTGAATCCCTTCCTTACACCTTATACAAAAATTAATTCAAGATGGATTAAAAACTTACATGTTAGACCTAAAACCATAGAAACCCTAGTAGAAAACCTAGGCAATACCATTCAGGACATAGGCATGGGCAAGGACTTCATGTCTAAAACACCAAAAGCAATGGCAACAGAAGTCAAAATAGACAAATGGGATCTGATTAAACTAAAGTGCTTCTGCACAGCAAAAGAAACTACCATTAGAGTGAACAGGCAACCTACAGAATGGGAGAAAGCTTTTCCAATCTGCTCATCTGAAAAAGGGCTAATATCCAGAATCTACAAAGAGCTCAAAGAAATTTAGAAGAAAAAAAAAACAACCCCATAGAAAAGCGGGTGAAGTATATGAACAGACACTTCTCAAAAGAAGACATTTATGCAGCCAACAGACACATGAAAAAATGTTCATCATCACTGGCCATCAGAGAAATACAAATCAAAATCACAATGAGATACCATCTCACACCAGTTAGAATGGCGATCATTAAAAAGTCAGGAAACAACAGATGTTGGAGAGGATGTGGAGAAATAGGAACACTTTTACACTGTTGGTGGGACTGTAAACTGGTTCATCCATTGTGGAGGACAGTGTGGCAATTCCTCAAGGATCTAGAACTAGAAATACCATTTGACCCAGCCATCCCATTACTGGTTATACACCCAAAGGATTATAAATCATGCTGCTATAAAGACACATGCACACTTATGTTTATTGCGGCACTATACACAGTAGCAAAGACTTGGAACCAATCCAAATGTCCATCAATGATAGACTGGATTAAGAATATGTGGAACATATACACCATGGAATATTATGCAGCCATAAAAAAGGATGAGTTCATGTCCTTTGTAGGGACATGGATGAAGCTGGAAACCATCATTCTCAGCAAACTATCACAGGGACAAAAAACCAAGCACTGCAAGAAGGTGGAGCAAGATGGCAGAATAGAAGGCTGCACTGATTGTCTCCCTCACTAGGACACCAATTTCACAACTATATACCAGCAAAAAAACTTCACAAAAAACAAAAATTGGGTGAGCTCTTATAGTACCCAGTATTAAATTCATATCCTTGAAAGAGGTGTTGAAGAGGAAGAAAAACAGTCTTGAATCACTGATGCCATCCCTCCTCCACCCTCAGCACCCTTGGCAGCAGCAGCAGCAGCAGCAGAATACTGTGCAGATTATCTTTGAGTGTTGAGGGAGGAAGAGAAGCAACTGTGAGGCATTGACCTAAGAAATGTCCTGTTGGAGCAGAAAGGAAAACCACACCAAACTCAGTTGACACTTGCCCATGGAGAGACCATTTAAGCCAGCCGTAGCAAAAGGGGAATTGCTAATCCCAGCAGTCAGAACTTGAGTTCCCACAAATCTCACTACCATGGGCTACAATTCTCTAGATCTCTAAGTAATCTTGAAAGGTAGTCTAAGCCCTAAGGACTGCAACTCTTCAGTCAGTCCTAGAGCTGACCAGGTCAAGAGGCAGTGATTTGGGGTGAGAAATGTAACCTACTGAGACGCCAGCTAGAACAGCTAAGAAAGTGCTGTCATTACACCTCCCCTAACCCAAGGCTGCACATCTCGTGGCTCAAAAAGAGATGCCTTCCTTCCACTTGAGGACAGGAGAAGGACGAGTAGCAAGGACTTTTTTCTTGCTTCTAAAATACCAGATCAACCACAGCAGGGAACAGCACTGGACAGAGCCATGAGGCCCCCATTCAATTCCCTTGCTCCCAAATGACATTTCTAAGCAGACCATGGGTTAGAGGGGAACTCACTGCCTTGAAGGGAGGGACCCAGACCTGACAGCATTTATTATCTGTTAACTTAAGAGCGCTTGGGACCTGAATAACCAGCAGCAACATCCTGGTAACACATATAGGACCTTGGGTGAGCCACTAAGACTTTCTGGTTTCAGGTGAGAATCAGCACATTACCAGCTGTTGTTGCTAGAGGGTGAAACTCCTGCTTGAGAGAAGCAGAAAGAATAATAAAGGGGACTTTCTCTTGCTCCGTAGGTAGCAGCTTTGCACAGGAGGATAGAATACCAAGCAGACATTTGGGTTCCCCAATTTCAAAACATGGCAATTGGACAGCATTTCTGGAACTGCCCTGAGCCAGAGGGGAACCCAAGACACTGAGGGGTGAGCCCCAGGCCAGGCAGCATTCACCACAAGATGACTGAAGAACCCTGATTTAATTTAATTTAGGAGGGAGCTGGTGGGAGACAATTAGATAATGGGGGCAGTTTCTCCCATACAGTTCTCATGGTAGTGAATAAGTCTCACAAAGTCTAATAATTTTATAAGGGTTTTCCCTTTTTACTTGACTCTCTCATCTGGCACCATGTAAGACGTGCCTTTTGCCTGCCATCATGATTGTGAGGCCACCCCAACCACGTGGAACTGTGAATCCATGAAACTTCTTTTTATTTATAAGGTACTCAGTCTCAGATATGTCTTTATCAACATCGTGAAAACAGACTGATGCAGTAAATTGTTATCAGAAGTGGGGTGCTGCTGTAGAGATACCTGAAATTGTGGAAACTGTGGAACTGGTTAACAGGCAAAGGTTAAAACAGTTTGGAGGGCTCAAAAGACAGAAAAGTGTAGGAAACTTTGGGGACTTGTTGAATGGCTTTCAGCAAAGTGCTGATAATGATATGGACAATAAAATCTGGACTGAGGTGGTCTCAGATAGTGATAAGGAATTTTTTGGGAACTGGAGTAAAGGTGACTCTTGCTATGTTTTAGCATAGAGACAGGTGACATTTTGCCCCTGCCCTTGAGATTTGTGGAAGTTTGAACTTGAGGGAGATGATTTAGGGTATCTGGCAGAAGAAATTTCTAAGTAGCAAAGCATTCAAGAGGTGACTTGGGTGCTGTTAAAATATTCAGTTTTAAAAGGGAAACAGCATAAAAGTTTCGAAAATTTGCAACTGATGATGTCCTAGAAAAGAAAAACCCATTTTCTGAGGATAAATTTAAGCAGGCTGCAGATATTTGCATAAGTAATGAGGAGCCAAATGTTAATTGCCAAGACAATCGGGAAAATGTCTCCTGGGCATGTCAGAGACCTTTGTGGAAGCCCCTCCCATCACAGGCCTAAAGGCCTAGGAGGAAAAAATGGTTTCTTGGGCTGGACCCAGGGTCCCCCTTCTGTCTGCAGCCTAAGAACTTGATGCACTGCATCCCAGCCACTCCAGCCATGGCTAAAAGGGGCCAAGGTACAGCTCAGGCCATAGCTTTAGAGGGTGCAAGCCCCAAGCCTTGGCAGCTTCCATGTAGTATTGAGCCTGTGGGTGCACAGAAGTAAGAATTGAGGTTTGGGAACCTCTGCCTAGATTTCAGAGGATGTATGGAAATGCCTGGATGTCCAGGCAGAAGTTTGCTGCAGGGGCAAGGCCTTCATGGAGAACCTCTGCTAGGGTGGTGCAGAAGGGAAATGTGGGGTTGGAGCCCCACACAGAGTCCCCACTGGGGCACTGCTTAGCAGAGCTGTAAAAAAAGGGCCACCATCCTCCAGACTCCAGAATGGTAAATCCACCAACAGTTTGCACCATGCACCTGGAAAAGCAACCAACCCTCAACACAAGCCTGTGAAAGCAGCTGGGAGGGAGGCTGTACCCTGCAAAGCCACAGGGGTGGAGCTGCCCAAAGCCATGGGAGCCCACTGCTTGCATCAGCATGACCTGGATGTGAGACAGAGTCAAAGGAGATCATTTTGGAACTTTAACTCTCACAGGAAGAAGGACTTCCTTGTCTCAGATGAAACTTTGTACTATGGACTTTTGAATTAAGCTTAAATGAGTTAAGACTTCGGGGATTTTTTGGAAAGGTATGATTGGTTTGAAATGTGAGGACATGAGATTTGGGAGGGGCCGGGGTGGAATGATATGATTTGACTGTGTTCCCACCCAAATTGCATTTTAAGTTGTAGCTCCCATAATTCCCTCATGTTGTGGGAGGAACCTCATGGGAGACAATTGAATCATGGGAGCAGTTTCCCCCATACTGTTTTCATGGTAGTGAATAGGTCTCACAAGATCTAATACTTTTATAAGTGGTATCCCTTTTAACTTGACTGTCTTATTCTCTCCTGTCTGCTGTCATGTAAGATGTGCCTTTTGCCTTCCATCATGATTGTGAGGCCTCCCCAGCCACATGGAACTGTGAGTCTATTAAAACTCTTTTTATTTATAAATTGCCCAGTCTCAGGTATCTCTTTATCAGCAGTGTGAAAATGAGCTAATACACAATTTAATAGCAGAATTGATCAAGCAGAAGTATTAGTATGGAAAAAGGCTATTTGAAAATACACAGTAATAGGCGACAATGAAAAACAGAATAAAAAAGAATGGAGCATGTGTACAGGATCTAGAAAGTAGCCTCAAAAGGACAAATCTAAGAGCTATTGCCCTTAAAGAAAAGGTAGAGATTGGGTAGTTTATGCAAAGAAATAATAATAGAGAATGTCTCAAACCTAGAGAAAGACACCAATATCCAAATACAATAAGACTATAGAACATCAAGTATATTTAATACAAGGAAGACTACTTCAGGCATTTAATAATCAAACTCCCAAAGGTGAAAGATAAAGACAGGATTATAAAAGCAGCAAGATAAAAGAAACAACATGCAGTTGAACTTCAATACATCTGACAGCAGATTTTCAAGTGAAAACCTTACAGGCAAGGAGAGAGTGGCATGACATATTTAAAGTGTTGAAGAAAAAATAATATTTACCCTACAGTAGTGTATCTGGCAAAAACATCTTTCAAACATGAAGAAAAAACAATTTTCCAGACAAATGAAAGCTAGGGGCTTTCATAAACACCAACTTGTCTGACAAGAAACGTTAAAAGGAGTACTTCAATAAGAAAGCACAAAACATGAAAGAGCAATAAGTAATCACCTGAAGATAAAAGAGTAAGTATTGATAATAGTACTTACCAGTAATCTCTGGTAATAGTAAGTACATATAAATACATAGAATGCTATATTACTGTAACTGTGGTGAGTTAATTATTCCTATCCTAAATAAAAAGAATATACAAGAAACCACTCAAAAATAACAACTACAAGTTTTTCAAGACATAGATACTACAAAAAGATATAAATAGTAACAAAAGAAAATTAAAAAGCAAGAGGACGAAGTTAATGCATAGAGTTTTTATTAGTTTTATTTAGCTTATTTGTTTGTTTACATAAAAGTGTCAAGTCCTTACCATATAAAAAATAATTCATTATAAAATAGTATTTGCAAGCCTCATGGTAACCTAAAACAAAAAAATACAATAGATACCCAAAAATAAAAAGCAAGAAACTAAGTCATATCACATGAGAAAGTCACCTTCACTGAAAGATGACAGGAAGGAAACAAAGAAGGAAGAGAAGACCACAAAACAACCAGAAAAAAAAAATGACAGGAGTAAGTCTTTACTTAACAATAATAACATGGAACGTGAGTAGATTAAACTCTCCAGTCAAAAGACATAGACTGGCTGACTGAATGAAAAAAACAAGACCCACTGATCTGTGCGTGTAAGAAACACACTTTACTTATAAAGACACACATACACTAAAAATAAAGGGATCGAAAATATTCCATTTTAACAGAAGCCAAGGAAGTGCAGAATTAACTACATTTATGTCAGACAAAATAGATTTCAAGACAAAAACTGTAAGACTAACAAAAGAAGGTCATTATATAATGATAAATAGGTCAATTCAGCAAGAAGATATAACAGTTTTGAATATATAAGAACCCAATATTGGAGCACCCAGATACATAACACAATTATTATTAGAACTAAAAAGAGTGATAGGCCACAATACAGAAATAGCTTGAGTCTTCAAATTCCCACATTAAAAATTGGACAGATTCTATAGCAGAAAATCAACAAGGAAATATTAAAATTAATCTGCACTTGACTAGGTGCAGGGCCTCGCGCCTGTAATCTTAGCACTTTGGGACATTGAAGAAGGTGGATTGCCTGAGCTTAGGAGTTTGAGACCAGCTTGGGCAACATGATGAGAAATCATCTCTACTAAAGTAGAAAAAATTAGACAGACCAGGTGGCACACACCTGTAGTACCAGCTACTCAGGAGGCTGAAGCACAAGAATTGCTTAAACCTGGGAGAGAGAGGTTGCAGTCAGCCAAGATCACACCACTGCACTCCAGTCTGGGTGACAGAGTGAGAGTCTGTCTCAAAAAATAATAATAATAATAATTAATCTACACTATAGATCAAATGAATCTAATAGATATTTACAAGAACATTTTATGTAACAGCTGCAGAATACACAGCATTTTTTTCCCAGCAAATAAATTATTCTCAAGGATGAGCCATATGTTAGGTCTGAAACAAGTCTTAAAGCATTCAAAAAATTGAAATAATATAGAGCATCTTATTTGGCCAAAATGGAGTTAATGTAGAAATTAAAAACAAGAAAAAATTTGGAAATTATACAAACACATGAAAATTAAATGATGTGGTCCTGAATGACTAGTAGTCAATGAGGAAATCAAGAAAGAAATTGAAAAATTTTTGAATCAATTGGTAACAGAAAGACAACACACCAAAACCTATGGGATACAACAAAGGTGGTACTAAGAGGGAAGTTTATAGCTATAAGTTCCTTTATCAAAAAGGAGAAAAAGCTATAAATAAACAACTTAATGATGCATCTTAAAAAATAGCAAAGCAAGAGCAAACAATACCTAAAATTAGTAGAAGAAAAGAAATAATAAAGGCCAGGGCAGAAATCAATGAAATTGAAATGAAGAAAATGATAAAAAAGATCAATTAAACAAAAACTTGATTTTCTGAAAGTTAAACAAACTTGACAAATTTTTAGCCAGAGTAAGAAAAGAAGAGAGACACAAATAAATAATATCAAAAATAAAAATGGAGACATTACAACTGATACTGCTGATGTTCAAAGGCCCATTACTGGATACTGTGAGCAACTATATGCCAATAAATTAAAAAATCTAGGAGAAATGGACACATTCCTAGACACTTAAAACCTACCAAGATTAAACCAGGAAGAAATTCAAAACCTCAAAAGACCAATAACCAGTAATGAGATTGAAGCCTTAATAGAAATTATCCCAGTAAAGAAAAGCCCAGGACCTGATGGCTTCACTGCTGAATTCTACCAAATATTAAAAGAATTAATATCAATCTTACTCAAACTATTTCAAAAAATAGTTTTTTTGAAATATTTTTTAGAGAAGAAGGAAATACTTCCAAATTCATTCTACAAGGCCAGTATTACCCTGATACTAAAACCAGGCAAAGACACATCAATAAAATAAAAACACAGGCCAATATCTCTGATTAATACTTATGCAAAAATTCTCAACAAAATACTAACAATCTAAATTTAACAATACATTAGAAAAATTATTCATTATGACCAAGGGAAGATGGGGGACATGAGACAAGGCTGAACTGCAGCTCCCATTTGGATTGACAGAACACTGTGTAGAGACTCACACATGGATTTTTGCTCTAGGAACCATGGCAGGAATGTACCAGAAAAAGCAAAAGACATCATAGATTCTTTGAAAGAAGCACCAGTCTACAACAAATTCCATAAGACAGGCAAAAATTATAAGTTCTCAAAGTGCGAGGGAGAAAAACCTGCCTCTGAACACATGTCCCCACTGGGGAACCTGAAAATCCAGATTACGGGAGAAGGATTTAACATTACGTAGTGCTGAAACAGATTTAGCATGAAATATAAAAAAAAAAAAGAAGGAGCAGTGGGAAGAGCCTTGTAGGCACTCCCATTCTCCAGCTCAATCTCAGGGAAGCCACCCTTGACTATACCTCACAGAGGCCCTCAGGGAAAGCAACTGGCAAAATCTGGGGTGGGGGGGGTCACAGGGTGAAAGATGCTTCCAATTGAACTTTGTAACAATTTTGACTGGGCACAAACTCTGTTGAGGAGAAGCCAGAGGCAAATGGGAACTGCTGCAGAAAGGAGAGCAGGAGTCACAGCTAATGGTGTGGGCAGATGGAAAAGGGCATGGCCTGAAATCAGTGCTTGCTTTCTCAACAGGAAAACTTATGGCCTAAAATTGTGTCTGAGTCCCACTCACAGGGTGCCTGGAGATAAACTTGGTGCTGTTAGCAGGACACAGCAAGAGAGAGACTGGCCAGGTAAACTGGATGGGAGCTGAGTGAGGCCTGTGGCTACCAGGTTTTACTCACTTCCTTGGACACATAGGCAGCCACAATTCTCTCTGGAACATAACTTTATTGGTTCAAGAATCAACCACCATCCCCCACAGTGGCTGTGGTAAGCTCCACCCAAGGAGAGTCTGAGCTTAGACCCACCTAACACTGCCCCCACCTGATGGTATTTCTCTACCCACTTCAGAAGCCCATCACAAAAGACATAAACACTTGGGTGCTTTATGACCCCACTCATTGCCTGAGAAACCCAAATACTTATCCTGACCAATGTAGGGCAAGCTTATGTCCATCTTCTACTATCACAGCTGCTGCTCTTTTGAAAGTGTTACCTCTGGCTGGAGGCCAAACAGCTCAAGACATTACAGCAACTCATGACAAAATAACCTTGCTCCCAAGAAGAAGAAAACAACAGCTAATTTTACTGCTTCCAACATCCTGGCTAACCAGTGGTCCTGAGTCTGTCCACATGACAATTCACTGCTAGCATAACCAGCATTTGAGAAAGCCAGCACACTAAACTTATCTGCAACCAGACTCTCACAGAGTCTAATTCACTCCTCTGCCTCCTCCACCAGAGCAAGTGCTGGTATCCACACCGGGGAGGCCTGAAGATGGATCAAATCACAGGACTCTTTGCAGACATTCCCCAGCACCAACCCAGAGGCTGTTAGTCCTGCTGGGTGGCTAGACCCAGAAGAACAACAACAATCACTGCAGTCTAGCTCTCAGAAAGCCTCATCCATAGGGGAAGGAGGAGTGTACCACATCAAAGGATCACCCTGTGAAACAAAAATATCTAAACAACAGCACTTGAGTTCCAGATTTCTCCACCAAAATAGTCTACCCAAATGAGCAGGAATCAGAAAAATAATTCTGGCAATATGACAGAATAAGGTTCTATAACACCCCCAAAAAACCACAATAGCTCTGCAGCAATAGACTCAAACCAAGAAGAAATCTGAACTGCCAGATAAAGAATTCAGAAGGTTGATTATTAAACTACTAAAGGAGATACCAGAGAGAGGTGAAGATCAACTTAAAGAAATTTGGAAAAAAAATCAGAATATGGATTTAAAAAATGCTCCAGAGAAATAAACATCATAAAGAAAAAATAATCACAACTTCTGGAAATGAAAGACACACTTAGAGAAATGCAAAATGCACTGAAACATTTCAACACTAGAGTCAAGCAAGTAGAAGAAAAAACGTCAGAGCTCAAAAACAAGTCTTTCAAATTAACCTGACCAGGCAAAGTCAAGAAAGAATAAAAAAAAATTGAACAAAGCCTTGAAGAAATTTGGAATTATGTTAGTCAGAGAAACTTAAGAATAATTGTTGTTCCTGAGGAATAAGAGTAATCTAAAAGTTTGGAAACATATTTGAGGCAAAAATTGAGAAAAATGTGTCAGGCCTCACTAAAGATCTAGACATCCAAATACAAGAAGCTCAAAGAACACCTGGGAAATTCTTCAAAAAAAGGTCATCACCAAAGGACACAGTTATTGGGTTATCTAAAGTCAAGACAAAGGAATAAATCTTAAGAGATGTTAGGCAAAAAAAATCAGGTACCCTATAAAGGAAAACCTATCATATTAACAGCAGATTTCTCAGCAGAAACCTTAAAACCCAAAAGGGATTAGGGTTCTATCTTTAGCCTCCTCAAACAAAATAATTGCCAACCAAGAATTTTGTATCCAGCAAAACAAAGCTCCATAAATGAAGGAGAGATAAAGTCTTTTTCAAACAAATGCTGAGAGAATTCACCACTACCATGACAGCACTTAAAAAGAAGCTAAAATGAGTTCTAAATCTTGAAACAAAACCTCAAGCCATACCGAAATAGAACCTCCTTAAAGTATAAATATTATGGGGCCTTTATAATAATAACAAAATAAAAAAAAAACACAAGATACTCAAGCAAGTGTCATGATGAATAAAACAGTACCTCACATCTCAATAATAACATTGAATGTAAATGGCCTAAATGCTCCTCTTAAGAGATACAAAATTGTAGAATGAATAAAAATCCACCAAACAAGTATCTTGCTGTCTTCAAGAGACTCACCTAATAAATAAGGGCTTGCATAAACTTAAGGTAAAAGGGTGGAAAAAGACATTCCATGCAAATGGAAACCAAAAGTAAGCAGGAGTAGCTATTCTTAGACAAAACAGACTTTAAGCAACAACAGTTTAAAAAGACAAAGAGAGTCATTATATAATAATAAAAGGATAAGTCCAGCATGAAAATGCCACAATTCTAAATATATATACACTGAACATGGGAGATCTCAAATTTATAAAACAATTATTATGATTGGTGGCTGGCAAGATGGCCAAATACGAACGGCTCCGGGCTACGGCTCCCAGGGAGATCAGCAAATAAGACGAGTGATTTCTGCATTTCCAACTGAGGTACAAGGCTCACTGGGGCTGGGTAGACTGTGGCTTTAGCCCACAGAAGGTGAACAGAAGCAGGGTGGGATGTCACCTAACCTGGGAAGCACATGGCGTCAAGGAACTCCCTCCCATAGCCAAGGGAAGCCCTGAGGGACTGTGCTGTGAGGAACAGTGCACTCAGGCACACATTCTATGCTTTTCCCAAGGTCTTCACAACCCATATACCAGGAAATTCCCTTGGGTGCCTACGCCACCAGGGCCCTGGGTTTCAAGCACAAAACTGGATGGCGATTTTGGCAGACACCAAGCTAGATACAGGAGAGTTTTTCATACCCCAGTGGTGCTTGGAATGCCAGCAAGACAGAACCATTCACTCCCCTAGAAGGGGCTGAACCCGGGGAGCCAAGTGGTCTAGCTCAGCGGATCCCATCCACAAGGAGCCCAGGAAGCTAAGATCCACTGGCTTGAAATTCTCACCAAAGTCGACCTGGGACACTTCAGCTTGGTGGAGGGAGGGGCATTGCCATTACTGAGGCTTGAGTAGGTGATTTTCCCCTCACAGTGTAAACAGAGCTACCGGGAAGTTTGAACTGGGAGAAACCCACCTCAGCTCTCAAAGCCACTGTAGCCAAACTACCTCTCTAGATTCCTCCTTTCTGGGTAGGGCATCTCTGAAAGAAAGGAAGAAGCCCCAGTCCGGGGCTTATAGATAAAACTCCCATCTCCCTGGGATAGAGCACCAGAGGGAACGGGTGGCTGGAGGCGCAGCTTTAGCAGACTTAAACGTTCCTGCCTGCTGACACTGAAGACAGCAGTGGATCCCCCAGCACAGAGCTGGAGTTCTGCTAAGGGACAGACTGCCTCCTCAAGTGGGTCCCTGACTCCCATGACTCCTGACTGGGAGTCATCTCCCAGAAGAGGTTGACAGACACCTCATACAGGAGAGCTCCAGCTGGCATCTGGTGGGTGCCCCCTGGGACAAAACTTCCAGAGAAAGGAACAAGCAGCAATCTTTGCTGTTCTGCAGCCTCCACTGGTGATACCCAGGAAAACAGTGTCTGGAGTGGACCTCTAGCAAACTCCAGCAGACCTGCAGCAGAGGGCCCTGACTGTTAAAAGAAAACTAACAAACAGAAAAAAATATAATAAGCATAAACAAAATAGACATCCACACAGAAACCCCATCCAAAGGTCACCAACATCAAAGACCAAAGGTAGATAAATCCAGGAAGATGAGGAGAAACCAGTGCAAAAAGCCTGAAATTTGCAAAAACCAGAACGCCTCTTCACCTCCTAAAGATCACAACTCCTCACTAGCAAGGGAAAAAACTCGACAGAGAATGAGCTCGATGAATTGACAGAAGTAGGCTTCAGAATGGGGGTAATACCAAACTCTCCCAAGCTAAAGGAGCATGCTCTAACTCAATGCAAGGAAGCTAAGAACCTTGAAAAAAGGTAAGAGGAATGGCTAACTAGAAGAACCAGTTTAGAGAAGAACATAAATGACCTGATGGAGCTGAAAAACACAGCACGAGAACCTTCTGAAGCATACGAGGAAGAATAGCTGAATCAATCAAGAGGAAGAAAGGATATCACAGATTGAAGATCAGCTTAATGAAATAAAGCATGAAGACAAGATTAGAGAAAAAAGAATAAAAAAGAAAGAACAAAACCTACAAGTAATATGGAACTATGTGAAAGGACCAAACCTATGTTTGATTGCTGTACCTGAAAGTGACAGGGAGATTGACACCACATTGGAAAGCACTCTTCAGGATACTATCCAGGAGAACTTCCTTAACCAAGTAAGGCAGGCCAACATTCAAATTCAGGAAATACAGAGAACACTACAAAGATAATTCTCGAGAAGAGCAACCCCAAGAAACATAATCGTCAGATTCACCAAGGATGAAACGAAGGAGAAAATGTTAAGGGCAGCCAGAGAAAAAGGTCGAGTTACCCACAAAAAGAAGCCCATCAGACTAACAGTGGATCTCTCTGGAGAAACCCTACAAGCCAGAAGAGAGTGGGAGCCAATGTTCAACATTTTTAAAGAAAAGAATTGTCAACCCAGAATTTCATATCCAGCCAAACTAAACTTCATAAGCGAAGAAGAGATAAAATCCTTTATACACAAGCAAATGCTGAGAGATTGTGTCACCACCACACCTGCCTTACAAGAGATCGTGAAGGAAGCACTAAACATGGAAAGGAAAAACTGGTAGCAGCCACTGCAAAAACATACCAAATTGTAAAGACCATCGACACTATGGAGAAACTACATCAACTAATGGGCAAAATAACCAGCTAGCATCACAATGACAGGATCAAATTCACACATAGCAATATTAACCTTAAATGTAAATGGGCTAATTGCCCCAATTAAAAGACTCAGATGGGCAAATTGGATATACAGTCAATACCCATCAATGTGCTGTATTCAGGAGACCAATCTCACGTGCATAGACACACATAGGCTCAAAATAAAGGGATGGAGGAAGATCTATTAAGCAAATGGAAAGCAAAACAAAGCTGGTGTTGCAATCCTAGTCTCTGATAAAACAGATTTTAAATCAACAAAGATCAAAAAAGACAAAGAAGGGCATTACATAATGGTAAAGGGATAAATGTAACAAGAAGAGCTAACTATTCTAAATATAAATGCAGCCAATACAGGAGCACCCAGATTCATAAAGCAAGTTCTTAGAGACTTACAAAGAAACTTAGACTCCCACGTAATAATAATGAGAGATTTTAACACCCCACTGTCAGTATTAGACAGATAAATTAGACAGAAAATTAACAAGGATATTCAGGACTTGAACTCAGCTCTGGACCAAGGAGACCTAATAGACATTTACAGAACTTTCCACCCCAAATCAACAAAATATACATTCTTCTCAGCACAACTTTGCACTTATTCTAGAAAGTGACCACATAATTGGAAGGAAACACTCCTCAGCCAATGCAAAAGAACGGAAATCATAACAGTCTCTCAGACAACAGTGCAATGAAATTAAAACTCAGGATTAAGAAACTCACTCAAAACTGCAAAACTACATGGAAACTGAACAACTTGCTCCTGAAAGACTACTGGGTAAATAACGATATTAAGGCAGAAATAACAAAGTTTTTTGAAACCAATCAGAACAAAGACATAATGTACCAGAATCTCTGGGACATATGTAAAGCAGTGTTTAGAAAAAAATTATTAGCACTAAATGCCCACAGGAAAAATCAGGAAAGATCTAAAATTGACACCCTAACATCACAATTAAAAGAACTAGAGAAGCAAGAGCAAACAAATTCAAAAGCTAGCAGAAGACAAGAAATAACTAAGATCAGAGCAGAACTGAAGGAGATGGAGACACAAAAAACCCTTCAAAAAATCAATGAATTCAGGAGCTTGTTTTTTTTTTTTAAGATTAACAAATTAGATAGACCTCTAGGCAGACTAATAAAGGACAAAAGAGAGGAGAATCAAATAGATACAATAAAAAATGATAAAGGGGATATAACAACTGATCCCATAGAAGTAGAAACTACCCTCAGAGAATACTATAAAAACTTCTATGTAAATAAACAAGAGAATCTAGAAGAAATGGATAAATTCCTGGACACATAAACACTACAAAACTAAACCAGGAAGAAGTAAAATCCCTGAGTACACCAATAACAAATTCCAAAATTGAGGCAGTAATTAATAGCCTACCAACCAAAAAAACACAGGAGCAGACGTATTCACAGTCGAATTCTAACAAAGGTACAAAGAGGAGCTGGTACCATTCCTTCTGAAACTATTCCAAAGAATAGACAAAAAGGGACTCCTCCCTAACTCATTTTTTGAGGCAAGCAGCATCCTGTTACCAAAACTTGGCAGAGACACAACAACAACAAAATTTCAGCCCAATATCCCTGATGAATATTGATGCAGAAATCATCAACAAAGTACTGGCAAACTGAATCCAAGAGCACATCAAAAACTTATCCACCACGATTAAGTCGGCTTCATCCCTGGGATGCAAGGCTGGTTCAACATACGCAAGTCAAAAAATGGAATCATAACATAAACAGAACAAATGACAAAAACCACATGATTATCTAAATAGATACAGAAAAGGCCTTCGATAAAATTCAACACCATTTCACGCTTAAAACATTCAATAAACTAGATATTGATGGAACATATATCAAAATAATAAGAGCTATTTATGACAAACACACATCATACTAAAAGGGCCAAAGCTGGAAGCATTCTCTTGAAAACCAGCACAAGACAAGGGTGCCCTCTCTCACCCCTCCTATTCAACATAGTACTGGAAGTTCTGGCCAGGGAAATCAAGAAAGAAACAAAATTAAAGGTATTCAAATAGAAAGAAAGAAAGTCAAATTGTCTGTTTGCAGATGACATCATTGTATATTTAGAAAACCCCATTGTCTCAGCCTAAAATCTCCTTAAGTTGATAAGCAACTTCAGCAAAGTCTCAGGATACAAAATCAATGTGCAAAAATTACAAGCATTCCTATACACCAATAATAGACAAACACAGCCAAATCACGAGTGAACTCCCATTCACAATTGCTACAAAGATAATAAATTACCTAGAAATCCAGCTAGAAATGGATGTGAAGGAACTCTTCAAAGAGAACTATAAACCTCTGCTCAAGGAAATAAGAGAGGACACAAACAAATGGAAAAATATTTCATGTTCATGGATAGGAAGAATCAATATCATGAAAATTGTCATGCTGCCCAAAGTAATTTATAGATTCAATACTATTCCCATCAAGCTACCATTGACTTTCTTCACAGAACTAGAAAAAACTATTGTAAATTTCATATGGAACAAAAAAAAACCTCATATAGACAAGACAATCCTAAGCAAAAAACAAAGCTGGAGGCATCACGCTACCTGACTTCAAACTATACTGCAAGGCTACAATAACCAAAACAGCATGGTACTGGTACCAAAACAGAGATATAGACCAATGGAACAGAACAGAGCCCTCAGAAATAATGCGGCATATCTACAACCGTCTGATCTTTGACAAACCTGACAAAAACAAGCAATGGGGAAAGGATTCCCTATTTAATAAATGGTGCTGGAAAACTGGCTAGCCATATGTAGAAAGCTGAAACTGGATCCCTTCCTTACACCTTATACAAAAATGAAAACAGATATATAAACCAATGGAACAAAACAGAGGCCTCAGAAATAATGCCACACATCCACAAACATCTGACCTTTGACAAACCTGACACAAACAAGCAAAGAGAAATGGATTTCCTATTTAATAAACGGTGTTGGAAATCTGGCTAGCCATATGCAGAAAACTGAAACTGAACCCCTTTCTTACAGCTATTACAAAAATTAACTCAAGATGCATAAAGACTTATACATAATTCCTAACACTGTAAAAACCCTAGAAGAAAACCTAGGCAATACCATTCAGGACACATACATGGGCAAAGACTTCATGACTAAAACACCAAAAGCAATAACAACAAAAGCCAAAATTGACAAATGGGATCTAATTAAAATAACTTCTGCACAGCAAAATAAATTATCATCAGAGTGAACAGGCAACCTACAGAATGGGGGAAAATTTTTGCAATCTATCCATCTGACAAAGGGCTAATATCCAGAATGTACAAAGAACTTAAATAAATTTATAAGAAAAAAGCAAACAGCCCCATCAAAAAGTGGGCAAAGGATATGAAAAGACACTTCTCAAAAGAAGACATTTATGTAGCCAACAAATATATGAAAAAGACTTCATCATCACTGTTTATTAGGTAAATGCAAATCAAAACCACAATGAGATAACATCTCAGGTCAGTTAGAATGGCGATCATAAAAAGTAAGGAAACAACAGATACTGGAGAGGATGTGGAGAAATAGGAACACTTTTGCACTGTCGGTGTGAGTGTAAATTAGTTCAAACACTATGGAAGGCAGTGTGGTGATTTCTCAAGGTTCTAGAACCAGAAATACCATTTGACCCAGCAATCCCATTACTGGGTATAGACTCAAAGGATTATAAATCATTCTAATATAAAGACACATGCGCACGTATGTTTATTGCAGCACTGTTCACAATGGCAAAGATTTGGAAACAACCCAAATGCCCATCAATGATAGACTGGATAAAGAAAATATGGCACATATACACCTTGGAATACTATGCATCCATAAAATAGGATGAGTTCATGTCCTTTGCAGAGACATGGATGAAGCTGGGAACCATCATTCTCAGCAAACTAACACAGGAACAGAAAATCAAACACCACATGTTCTCATTCATAAGTGAAAGCTGAACAATGAGAACATATGGACACACGGAGGGGACCCCCAAAATTTAAAAAAAATCCTTGTTCATAAATTTGAAGAATCAATAATGTTAAAATGTCCATATGACTCAAAGCAATCTACAAAATCAATGCATTTTCTATCAAAATGCCAATGACATTTTTCACAAAACAGAAAAAAATTACTAAAATTTACATAGAATTAAAAGAAAAAAACATAGAGTAGCAAAAGCTACCCTGAGCAGAAATAACAAAACTGGAGAAATCACGTTACCTGACTTCAAATTATACTACAGAGCCATAGCATATAAAACAGCATAGTCCTGGCATAAAAATAGAGACATGAAGGAATGGAATAGAATACAGAACCCAGGGCTAGGCATGGTGGCTGATGCCTGTGATCCCAGCACTTTGGGAGGCCAAGGCAGGCAGATCACTTGAGGTCACGAGTTCGAGACCAGCCTGGCCAACAAGGTGAAATTCCGTCTCTACTAAAGATACAAAAATTAGCCGAGTATGGTGGTGCATGCCTGTAATCCCAGCTACTCAGGAGGCTGAGGTGGAAGTTGCAGTGAGCTGAGATGGTGCCACTGCACTCCAGCCTGGGCAACAGAGTGAGACACCATCTCAATATAATACTAATAATACAGAACCCAGAAAAAAAATCCACACACCTATAGTAACTCCTTTTTGACAAAGATGCTAGGAGCATATGTTTGAAAAAAAAGAGTCTCCTCAAAAAAAAATGATGCTGGGAAAACTGGATATCAATATGTAGAAGAATGAAACTAGACCCCTCTGTCTCACCATATAAAAAATAAAATAAAAATGCAATAAATACTTGAATCTAAGACCTCTAACTATGAAACTACTACATGAAAATATTGGAGAAAATCTTCAGGGCATTTTTCTGGGCAAAAATTTCTTGAGCAATAAACCACAAGCACCGGCAACCAAAGCAATAAAATGGACAAGTGGGATTACATTAAGTTAAAAAGCTCTTGCACAATAAAAGTAACAATTGACAAAGTAAAGAGACAGCCCATGTAATGGGAGAAAATATTTCCAAACTACCCATCTGACAAGCGATTAATAACTAGAATATATTAGGAGCTCAAACAACTGTATATGAAAAACCTCTCATAATCTGGTCAAAAGATGGGCACAAGATTTGAATAGATGTTTCTCAAGAGAAGACATACTACTGGCAAACAGGCATATGAAAGATGCTCAACATCATTGATTATCAGAGAAATGTAAATCAAAACTACAATGAGATATCATCTCACACCAGTTAAAATGGTGTATATCCAAATACAACCAGTAACAAATGCTTGCGAGGATGTCAAATAAAGGGACCCTTCATGCATTGTTAGTGGGCAAGTAAATTTGTATAAATTAGTGCAACCACTATGGAGAACAGTTTAAAGGTTTTTCAAAAAAGTTAAAAATTGTACTACCGTATGATCCAGCAATCCCACTGCTAGGGGTATATCCCAAAGAAAGGAAATCAATGTCTCAAAGAGATATCTGAACTCCTATATTAGTTGCAGTATGGTTCACAATAGCTAAAATTTAGCAGCAATCTAAGTGTCCATCAACAGCAATACCCCCAACAAATGAATGGATAAAGAAAATGTGGTACTTCTACACAATGGAGTATTGTTCAACCATAAAAAAAAGAGATCCTGTCATTTTCAACAACATGGATAGAACTAGTGATCATTATGTTAAATGAAATAAGCCAGGCATAGAAAAACAAACATTGCATGTTTTCATTTATTTGTGGAATCTAAAAGCTCATGGAGATAGACAGTGGAATGATGGTTAATAGAGTCTGGAAAGTGTAGTAGGATTTGGGGGGATGTGCAATGGCTATTGGGTACAAAATACAGAAATAACAAAAACTACTATTTTATAGCACTACAGAGTGACTATAGTCAATAATTTCATTGTACATTTAAAAATAACTAAAAGTGTAATTGAGTTGTTTTAAATTTAAAATATACATGCTTAAGAAATGGATTCCCCATTCTCCATGATGTGATGATTATGCATTGAATGCTTGTATAAAAACATGTCATGTACCCCATAAATATATTCACCTACTATGTACCCAGAAAAATTAAAAATTTTTAAAATTAAAAAAACTGCAGATATTTCTAAATATTCCCTAGAGAGCAAAACCACCCTCAGTTGAGAACCTCTGTTGTACGGCCATACTGATTTATAAAACATTGAAACATTTTTTCATGTGTTTTTTGGCTGCATAAATGTCTTCTTTTAAGAAGTGTCTGTTCATGTCCTTCGCCCACTTTTTGATGGGGTTGTTTGTTTTTTCCTTGTAAATTTGTTTGAGTTCATTGTAGATTCTGGATATTAGCCCTTTGTCAGATGAGTAGGTTGCGAAAATTTTCTCCCATTTTGTGGGTTGCCTGTTCACTTTCATGGTAGTTTCTTTTGCTGTGCAGAAGCTCTTTAGTTTAATTAGATCCCATTTGTCAATTTTGGCTTTTGTTGCCATTGCTTTTGGTGTTTTAGATATGAAGTCCTTGTCCATGCCTATGTCCTGAATGGTAATGCCTAGGTTTTCTTCTAGGGTTTTTATGGTTTTAGGTCTAACGTTTAAGTCTTTAATCCATCTTGAATTGATTTTTGTATAAGGTGTAAGGAAGGGATCCAGTTTCAGCTTTCTACGTATGGCTAGCCAGTTTTCCCAGCACCATTTATTAAATAGGGAATCCTTTCCCCATTGCTTGTTTTTCACATGAACAAATGCTCACCATAACTGGCCGTCAGGGAAATGCAAATCAAAACCACAATGAGATATCATCTCACACCAGTTAGAATGACAATCATTAAAAAGTCAGGAAACAACAGGTGCTGGAGAGGATGTGGAGAAATAGGAACACTTTTACACTGTTGGTGGGACTGTAAACTAGTTCAACCCTTGTGGAAGTCAGTGTGGCGATTCCTCAGGGATCTAGAACTGGAAATACCATTTGACCCAGCCATCCCATTACTGGGTATATACCCAAAGGACTATAAATCATGCTGCTATAAAGACACATGCACACGTATGTTTATTGTGGCACTATTCACAATAGCAAAGACTTGGAACCAACCCAAATGTCCAACAATGATAGACTGGATTAAGAAAATGTGGCACATATACACCATGGAATACTATGCAGCCATAAAAAATGATGAGTTCATGTCCTTTGTAGGGAAATGGATGAAGTTGGAAATCATCATTCTCAGTAAACTATCACAAGAACAAAAAACCAAACACTGCATATTCTCACTCATAGGTGGGAATTGAAAAATGAGAACACATGGACACAGGAAGGGGAACATCACACTCTGGGGACTGTTGTGGGGTGGGGGTAGGGGGGAAGGATAGCACTGGGAGATATACCTAATGCTAGATGACGAGTTAGTGGTTGCAGCGCACCAGCATGTCACATATATACATATGTAACTAACCTGCACATTGTGCACATGTACCCTAAAACTTAAAGTATAATAATAATAATAATAAATTATTACAAGCAAAAAAAAACATTGAAACAATTTTTACTAGTTGGCAATTAGCCACCTCATGCCTCTCAAGTTTATTCTTCATTGCCGTGGTTTTCCCAGTACCACTCCCAGTTTTCCCCAGTAACAAGTATTGCCTGGCACAGCAGCAAACCTTAAAAACCTTGATCCAGAAACATGGGGCAGTGTCCTTTGTCATTTATCATTTTCCTTGCTATATATGTTGTCAATATTTTAATAACATTTTTAAGCAGCCTGAAGGGAAACCAGTTCTTTTAAATATCTTCCTTTACATCCATCTATGAATCCTAGCTATCCAAGCTTACTCCACTCCAGAAAAAGTTTTCCTTCTAATGGTGCTAATATCTTTCAGATATTTATAGAGGAATATGTGGTCTACCCTCTGTGCCTCCTCATTGAGTAACACAGCTTCTTTAATCTTTCCCTGCCAATCATGTCTTCCCACTTTATCAATCATGTCTACAGCCGCTTTCTTACATGCCTCTCTGTGTCCTCATCATCTGGAGCCTCTGATGGTCCCACACTGACTCAGACATCCTAGGTGCCATCTCATCAATGTCACATTGTTCCATGACACAGTGTCTCTCAGAACACTCCTGGAAATAACATTGACTTCTTTCATTTACCTTATCATATTGCAAAACCATATCTAATATAAGAAAAGCTCATCCTCACACACACCTTGTTACCCAGTCCCATAGATAACCACATGTTCACATGTCTGAGGTCAAAAATAATATTTGATGGTGGACAGAGGTAATGTTTCCAGGAAATATTCCCAAATTGACCAGAGAAGAGCTGGCCACTTCTCTTCATCTTGCCCTGCCTGGAAGTAAACTGCAATTAGTTTTTCTTCTCAGTCATTGTACAGTGCCACCACAACACACATATACTACCACCCTTAAGATCTTCTAACTTTTTATGATTTAAAGGCTTTCTTATTCATGAATTTTCTTCATGCTTGAATTCACCTAAGTATGTCCTACTTCAGGGTTTCAATTAGTTTTATTTAAACTATAAATGCAGAAATTTAGTATGTATAACAGTATTTGTAGAACAACAGTGAGAGCTCACTTTGCTCATGTATATGAGTCTTTATGGGTAAGGAGAAAGAAAAAATGGGTTTCACTGGATATTCTACCTCATGAATATTGTCAGAAAAATGTTTGGAAGTGAGCGGTTTTGACAGTCAAAAAGTTCAGGTGGCCTGGTATTTATTGGTGCTTGTTTATAATATTGGAGAAAAGGATGCAATAAAACACAGGACATGAGGACTTCATGGCTATTCCCCCAAATAAGGACATTAATAGTATGATGCAGCCATAAAAATAATGGTTGTAAAAGAGTATATAATAACAGAAAAATATCTGTAAGATAAGGTAAAGTGAGAAAACACGATAGTAAGATACATGGAAAAGCTTATTTGCATTTTAAGTAATGTACACATAGAAATGTGTTTCAAAACCCTGGATAACAATACAACAAAATCTCATCAACATTAATGTTACAATAGTGAAATCTGAGTGAATATACATCTTTTTCTCCATTTATCCAATTTCAAATAGTTCTTGTACTATTCTAGTGATAAATACATGCAGAATTTGTGAATAAAAAGAAAGACAAGGAGATAAGGACCCCTCCAAAAACGTATTCAACAAATATTTATTGACCATCTACCATATGTCCAGCACTCTACTAGGCACCAGAACACAAGAAACAGGAAACACAAGAATAACCTGTCAAGAGGAATAAAAAAGTGTCATCACTGAAAATGTTAAAGAATAAGTCAGACAAACATCTCCTTGGATGATCTGGGTTTATCCTGCTGGACTACATAATTTCTGATTTTACTCCCACATCTTTGGAACCTAAAACCATTGGCGAGATCTAACCTTAATAAGCTACCCCAGATAAACAGAAAATATTTTTGGTTATTAGAGATGATTGGAAACTAGAGATCATTTGACAAGAGGTCAAATTCCTTGCCCTCTCTTTTTATCTATTAAAATGAAAGTTGGAATAGGTGTTCTTTAAAGGCCACCCAGCTCTGATGTACATGTTTTCATGAGTTTCAAAGACCAAAGACTCCTGCGAGAAAAAAGTTCATGAGAAGAAACTATGAAAGGAACTGAAACACACAGAACATTTTCATATACTTTGTGAGGGAAGGTAACTCCACTGAGAAATTGGTCAGATGACCTTCAAGATATGAGATTTATTTAAATTTTGTTATTTTTATTTTCTGTGGGTACATAGTGTATGTCATTATGGGGTACTTGAGCTGTTTTGGCACAGTCATACAACGCATTATAAACATATTGGAGTAAATGGGGTTATGCATCACCTCAAGCATTTATCCTTTCCAAGCATTACAAAGAATCCAATTATACTCTTACAAATACCTTAAAATTTTCAATAAATATCATTGACTGTACTCACCCTGTTGCGGTATAAAAGACTAAAACTTATTTATTATAACTATATTTTTGTACACATTATTTATCTGCACTCCTTGCCACAGATACCCTTTCCAGACTCTGATAACCAACATTCTACTGTCTATCTCCATGAGCTCAATTGAATAAGTGAAGACATGCCAACTTCTCTGCCTGGCTTATTTCACTTAACATAATTACCTTAATTCCATCTGTGTTGTTAAAAATGACTGAATTTCATTCTTTTTTATGGCTTAATAGTATTACATCATGTATATGGAGCACGTTTTCTTTATCCATTCATGTGTTGAAGGACACTTAGGTTGCTTCCAAATCATGGCTATTGTGAACAGTGCTGCAACAAACATGGGAATGCAGATAACCTCTTTGATATACTGATTTCCTTTCTTTTGGAAAAATACTGAGCAATAAAACTGCTGGAACAAATGGTATATCTATTTCTAGATTTTGAGGATTCCCCCAAACTGTTCTTTATAGTTGTTGTACTAATTCACATTCCCACCAAACAGTGTATAAGGATTCCCTTTTCTCCACATCCTAGCCAGCATTCACTATTGCCTGTCTTTTGAATAAAAGCCATTTCAACTGAAGTAAGATAATATCTCATTATAGTTTTAATTTTCATTTATCTGATGATCAATGATGTTGAGCATCTTTTTATATATCTGTTTGCTATTTGTGTGTATTCCTTTGAAAAATGTATATTCAAATATTTTGCCCATTTTTAACCAAATTATTAGATTTTTTTCTATGGAGTTGTGTGAGCTTCTTATATATTCTTGTTATTGATCTCTTGTCGTATGAATAGTTTGCAAATATTTTGTCCCATTTTTTGGTTTTTCCTTCACTTTGTTGATTATGTCCTTTTCCATGCAGAATTTTTTTAACTGTTTGTGATCATTTGTCCATGAACATTTGTCCATTTTTTCTTTGGTTTCCTGTGCTTGTGGGATATTACTCAAGAAATCCTTGCTCAGTTTAATGTTCTGAAGAGTTTATCCGTATTCTTTTAGTAGTTTAATAGTGGGAGATCTTAGATTTAGTCTTTAACCCATTTTTATTTGATTTTTGTATGTGATGTGAGATAGGGAACTAGTTTTATTATTTTGCATATTCAAATCCGGTTTTCTCAGCACCACTTATTGAAAAGACAGTCTATTCCCAAATGTATGTTTTTAGAACCTTTGTCAAAAATGAGTTCACTGTATATGCAAGGATTCGTTTTGGGGTTCTTTAATATATTTCAGTAGTGTATGTGTCTGTTTTTATGCCAGTACCATGTTATTTTGGTTATTGTAGCTCTGTAGTATAATTTGAAGTCAGGTAATGTGATTCCACCAGTTCTGTTCTTTTTGCTTGGGATAGCTTTCACTATTCTGGGTCTTTTGTGGTATTGTATATATTTTGGGATTGTTTTTTCTATTTTGGTAAAAAATGTCATTGGTATTTTGATAGAGAATGCATTGAATCAGTAGATTGCTTTGAGTAGTATAGACATTTTAAATATAATGATTCTTCCAATCCATGAACATGAAATATCTTTCCATTTCTTGTGTCCTCTTCAATTTCTTGCATCAATATTTTATTTTTTTATTGTACAAATATTTCATATTTTAGCTTAAGTGAAACCCTAGGTATTTAATTTTATTTGTAGTGATTGTAAACAGGATGACTTTCATGATTTCTTTTTCAGATCATACCCCATTGGTATACAGAAATGCTACTGATATTTGCATGTTGATTGTGTCCTGCAACTCTACCAAATTTGTTTGCCAGTTCTAATAGTATTTTGCTATAGTCCTTAGGTATTTCCAAGTATAAGATCATATCATCTGCAAATAAGGACAGTTTGACTACTTTCTTTCAAATTTGGATGCCTTTTATTTTGTTCTCTGTTCTGATTTCTCTAGCTAGGAATTCCAGTACGATGTTGAATAACAATGATGAGAGTGAGCATCCTTCTTATGTTACTGACCTTAGAAAAAAATGCTTTCAGTTTTTTCCCATTCAGTATGATACTAGCCTTGGCTCTGTTGTATATGGCTTTTCCTGGGTTGAGGTATGTTCTTTCTTTTCCCAGTTTTTTTGAGGATTCTTATCATGAAGGGATATTACATTTTATCAAATGCTTTTCAGCATCAAATGAAAGGATCATATGGTTTTTGTCCTTCATTCTGTTCATATGATGTGCCACATTGTTTGATTTGCATATGTTCAACTGACCTTGCATACCAGGGATAAATCCAACTTGGTCATGATAAATGATATTTGTAATGTGTCATTGAATTCAATTTGCTAGTATTTTGTTGAGGATTTTTGCACCAATATTTATCAGGGATATTGATGTGTAGGGTTTTTTCTTTCTAATGTGTCTTTGGTGTTGTTATGAAAGTAATATTGGCCTTGAAGATAAATTTGGAAATATTCTCTTCTCCTCTATTTCTTGGAATAGTTTCATTAGGATTGGTATTCTTCTTTAACAGTTTTATTAAATTCAGCAGTGAAGCCATTGGGTCGCAGGCTTTTCTTTGCTAGAAAACCTTTTATTAGAGCTTTGATCTCATTATTTACTATTGGTCTGTTAAGGTTTTGGATTTCTTCATAGTTCAATCTTGCTAGGCTGTATGAGTCTAGTAATTTATCCATTCATTTTATCTTTTTCAATATATTGGCATATAGTTGCTCACAGTAGCCTCTAGTGATCCTTTGACTTTCTGTGGTATCAGTTCTGATGTCTCCTTTTGTATGTCTGATTTTATTTATTTGGATCTCTCTTTTTTTCTTAGTCTGGCTAAAGGTTTGTCAATTTTGCTCATCTTTTCAGAAAATCTACTTTTTATTTTATAGATTTTTGTATTGTTTTTATTTAAATTTTATTCATTTTGCCATTTTTTATTACTTTTTTCAACTAATTTTGGGTTTGGTTTGCTCTTGCTTTTCTAGTTCTTTAACATGCATCATTAATTTTTTTATTTAAAGTTTTTCTACTTTATTGATGTAAGTTCTTATTACTATAAAAATTTCTGTTAGTACTACTTTCACTGTATCCCACTGGCTTTAGTATGTTGCATTTTTATTTTTATTTATTCCAAAACATTGTTTAATTCCCTACTGAATTTCTTCATTGACCCACTGGTTATTCAAGAGTGTATTGTTTAATTTCCATGTGCTTGTATAAGTTCCCAAATTCTTCATTATTGATTTCTAGTTTTATCCCATTGTGGTCATAGAAGATATGTGTTATAATTTCAATTATTTATGTTTTTGGAAACTTGCTTTGCAGCCTAATATATTACTTGTCTTTGAGAATGATCTGTGTGCTGAGGAGAAAAATGTATGCTCTGCAGACATTGGATGAAATATTCTGTAAATATATATTAGGTCCACTTGGTCTATAGTGCAGATTAAATGCAATGTGTCCTTACTGATTTTTTTGTCTGGATGATCTGTCCAATACTGACGATGCTGTGTTGAAGTATTTAGCTTTTGCTGTATTGGGATCTATCTCTCTCTTTGACTCTAATAATATCTTATTTATATATCTGAGTGCTCTAGTGTTGGGTGCATATATATTTCAAATTGTCATACTTATTTGCTGAATTGATTTCTCTATCATTATTTAATAACTTTTTAAATCTGTTTTTATAATTTTTGTTTTGAAATTTAATATGTCTATAGCTACTTCCCCTCTCTTTTTGTTTTCATTTGCATCAGATATCTTTTCCTATCCTTTTATTTCCAGTCTATCTGTGTCTTTAGGTAAAGTGTGTTTCTTGTAGGCAGCAGATCATTAGATCTTTTTTTTTAAATTAATTCAACCATTCTATATCTGATTGGAGAGTTATATCCTCTTACATTCAATGTTATTATTCATAAAAAAGAATTTTCTCCTGCCACTTTTTGGTTGTTGTTGTTTGTTTTCTTGCTGTTTTGTGGACTTTTTTCCTTTCTTTCCATTCTTCTTGTCTTTCTTTTGATGAAGGTAATTTTCTCAGATGGTAAGTTTTGATTCCTTGCTTTTTACTATTTGTGTATTTGTTGTGTCTTTTGTATTTTTTAATATTTTTGTTGGTATATAGTAGGTGTATATTCTTATAAAGTACATGAGGTTTTGAAACAGGCATGCAATATGAAATAAGCACATTATGAAGAATGGGTTATTCATCTCATCAAGCATTTATCCTTTGAGTTACAAAATAACCAGTAACACTTTCAAGTAATTTTAGAGTGTACAATTCAGGTATTATTGACTCTAGTCACCTTGCTGTGCTATCAAATACTAGGTCTTCCTAATTCTTTCCATTTTTTATACCCATTAACCATCCTCACTGCCTCTCCACGAGCCCCACACTATCCTTCACAACCTCTCATAACCATTCTTCAACTCTCTAGGTCCATGAGTTCAATTGTTTGATTTTTAGGTCCCCCAAATAAGATAGAATATATGATGTTTGTCTTTCTGTGACTGGCTTATTTCACATAATATAATAATGTCTAGTTCTATTCAGGTTGTTTCAAATGACTGGATTTCATTTATTTTTATGACTTAATAGTATTCCAATGTGTATGTGCAACACATATTCCTTACCCATTCATCTGTTGGTGCACACTTAGGCTGCTTCCAAATCTTAGCTATTGTAAAAAGTGCTGCAACAAACATAAAAGCACAGATATATCTTTGATAAACTGATTCTCTTTCTTTTGGGTATATACCCTGCTGTGCGACTGATGGATAATATGGTAGCTCTATTTTTAGTTTCTTGAGGAACCTCAAAACTATTGTCTAGAGTGGCTAGAGTGGTACAAATTTACATTTGCACCAACAGTGTATAAGGGTTCCCTTTTCTCTGCACCCTTGCCAGCATTTATTTTTACCTGTCTTTTGGATGTAAGCCATTTAACTGTGGTGAGATGATATCGCCTTGTAGCTTCAATTTGCATTTCTCAGATAATCAATGATGTTGAGCACCTTTTCATGCACATTTGCCTTCTGTATGCCTTCTTTTGAGAAATGTCTATTCAAATCTCGTGCCTATCTTTTGATTGAATTATAATTTTTTTTTTCTGTAGAGTTTTTTAAACTCCTTATACATTCTGGCCGTTAAATCCTTGTCAGATGGGTAGTCTAGAAATATTTTCTCCCATTCTATGGGTTGTCTCTTCACTTTTGATTTTATCCTTTTCTGTGCTGACATTTTTAACTGAATGTGATTCCATTTGTCCATTTTTGCTTTGGTTGCCTGGGTTTGTAGGGTATTACTCGAGAAATTCTGGCCCAGTCCAATGTCTTGGAGAATTTCCCAAATATTTGCTTGTAGTAGTTTTATAGTTTGAAGTCTTATACTTAAGTGTTTAATCCATTTTGATTTTAGTTTTGTACATGGTGAGAGATAGTAATCTAGTTTCATTCTTCTGCATATGGATATATAGATTTTTGACATCATTTATTGAAGACACTTTATTTTCCCCAGTTTATGTTCTTGGCAACTTTGTCAAAAATGAGTGCACACTAGGTGTGTGGATTTATTTCTGGGTTTTCTATTCTGTTCCATTGGTCTATGTATCAGTTTATATGCCACTGCCATGCTTTTTTTTTTGTTATTAAAATGCTGTAGTATAATTTTAAGTCAGGGAATGTGATTTTTCCTGTTGTGTTTTGTTTTATTTTCATTTTTTTTCCTTAGTATAGCTTTAGCTATTCTGGGTTTTTTGGATTCATATATATTTTAAGATTATTTATTACTGTGATTAATGTCATTGGTACTTTGACCGGGATTGCATTGAATGCATAGATTGCTTTGGGTGGTTACGGACATTAAAACAATATTGATTTTTTGAATCCATCAACATAGAATGTTTTTGCATTATTTTGATATTGTTTTTAATTTATTTCGTCTGTCTTTTATACTTTTTATTGCAGAGATATTTTCCTTTTTTGGGTAAGTTAATTCCTTGGTATTTAATTTTATGCGTGGTTATTCTGGGATTACATTTTTAATTTCATTTTCACATTGTTCACTGTTAGCATACAGAAATGCTACTGATTTTTGTATGCTGATTTTATATGCCACCATTACACTGAGTCTGTTCATCAGTTCTAATAATTTTCTTGTGAGACATACAAGTATTCCCAATATAAGATCATGGAGGCTAGGAAGAAACTGCATCAACTAACGAGCAAAATAACCAGCTAACATCATAATGACAGGATCAAATTCACACATAACAATATTAACCTTAAATGTAAATGGGCTAAATGCTCCAATTAAAAGACACACACTGGCAAATTGGATAAAGAGTCAAGACCAATCAGTGTGCTGTATTCAGGAAACCCATCTCAAGTGCAGGGACACACATAGGTTCAAAATAAAGGGATGGAGGAAGATCTACCAAGCAAATGGAAAACAAAAAAAGGCAGGGGTTGCAATCCTAGTCTCTGATAAAACAGACTTTAAATCAACAAAGATCAAAAGAGACAAAGAAGGCCATTACATAATGGTAAAGGGATCAATTCAACAAGAAGAGCTAACTATCTTAAATATATATGCACCCAATACAGGAGAACCCAAATTCATAAAGCAAGTCCTTAGAGACCTACAAAGAGACTTAGACTCCCACACAATAATAATGGGAGACTTTAACACCCCACTATCAACATTAGACAGATCAATGAGACAGAAAGTTAACAAGGATACCCAGGAATTGAACTCAGCTCTGCACCAAGTGGACCTAATAGACATCTACAGAAATCTCCACCCCAAACCAACCGAATATACATTCTTCTCAGCACCACAGTGCACTTATTCCAAAATTGACCACAAAGTTGGAAGTAAACCTCTCCTCAACAAATATAAAAGAACAGAAATTATAACAAACTGCCTCTCAGACCACAGTGCAATCAAACTAGAACTCAGGATTAAGAAACTCACTCAAAACCACTCAACTAAATGGAAACTGAACAACCTGCTCCTGAATGACTACTGGGTACATAACGAAATGAAGGCAGAAATAAAGATGTTCTTTGAAACCAGTGAAAACAAACACACAACATAGCAGAATCTCTGGGACCCATTCAAAGCAGTGTGTAGAGGGAAATTTATAGCACTACATGCCCACAAGAGGAAGCAGGAAAGATCTAAAATTGACACCCTAACATCACAATTAAAAGAACTAGAGAAGCAAGAGCAAACACATTCAAAAGCTAGCAGAAGGCAAGAAATAATCAAGATCAGAGCAGAACTGAAGGAAACAGAGACATAAAAAACCCTTCAAAAAATCAATGAATACAGGAGCTGGTTTTTTGAAAGGACCAACAGAATTGACAGACCCTTAGCAAGACTAATGAAGAAGAAAAGAGAGAAGAATAAAATAGATGCAATAAAAATGATAAAGGGGATATCACCACTGATCCCACAGAAATACAAACTACCATCAGAAAATACTATAAACACCTATATGCAAATAAACTAGAAAATCTGGAAGAAATGGATAAATTCCTCGACACATACACCCTCCCAAGACTAAACCAGGAAGAAGTGGGATCTCTAAATAGACCAAGAACAGAATCTGAATTTGAGGCAATAATTAATAGCTCACCAACCAAAAAAAGTACAGGACCAGATGGATTCACAGCCGAATTCTACCAGAGGTACAAACAGGAGCTGATACCATTCCTTCTGAAACTACTCCAATCAATAGAAAAAGAGGGAATCCTCCCTATCTCATTTTATGAGGCCAGCATTACCCTGATACCAAAGCCTGGCAGAGACACAACCAAAAAAAGAGAATTTTAGAACAATATCACTGATGAACATCGATGCAAAAATCCTCAATAAAATACTGGCAAACAGAATCCAGCAGAACATTAAAAAACTTATGCACCATGATCAAGTGGGCTTCATCCCTGGGATACAAGGCTGGTTCAATGTATGCAAATCAATAAACGTAATCCCGCATATAAACAGAACCAACAACAAAAACCATATGATTACCTCAATAGATGCAAAAAAGGCCTTTAACAAAATTCAACAATGCTTCATGCTAAAAACTCTCAATAAATTAGGTATTGATGGGACATATCTCAAAATAATAAGAGCTATCTATGACAAACCCACAGCCAATATCATACTGAATGGGAAAAAAATGGAAACATTCCCTTTGAAAACTGGCACAAAACAGGGATGCCCTCTCTCACCACTCCTATTCAACATAATGTTGGAAGTTCTGGCCAGGGCAATCAGGCAGGAGAAGGAAATAAAGGGCATTCAATTAGGAAAAGAGGAAGTCAAATTGTCCCTGTTTGCAGATGACATGATTGTATACCTAGAAAACCCCATTGTCTCAGCCCAAAATCTCCTTAAGTTGATAAGCAACTTCAGCAAAGTCTCAGGATACAAAATCAACGTGCAAAAATCACAAGCATTCTTATACACCAATAACAGACAAACAGAGAGCCAAATCATGAGTGAACTCCCATTCACTATTGCTTCAAAGAGTATAAAATACCTAGGAATCCAACTTACAAGGGATGTGAAGGACCTCTCCAAGGAGAACTAGAAACCACTGCTCAACGAAATAAAAGAGGATACAAACAAATGGAAGAACATTCCATGCTCATGGCTAAGAAGAATCAATATCATGAAAATGGCCATACTGCCCAAGGTAATTCATAGATTCAATGCCATCCCCATCAAGCCACCAATGACTTTCTTCAAAGTATTGGAAAAAACTACTTTACAGTTCATATGGAATCAAAAAAGAGCCCGCATTGACAAGACAACCTTAATCCAAAAGAACAAAGCTGGAGGCATCATGCTACCTGACTTCAAACTATACTACAAGGCTACAGTAACCAAAACAGCATGGTACTGGTACCAAAACAGAGATATAGACCAATGGAACAGAACAGAGCCCTCCGAAATAATGCCACATATCTACAACCATCTGATCTTTGACAAACCTCAAAAAAACAAGCAATGGGGAAAGGATTCCCTATTTAATAAATGGTGTTGGAAAACTGGCTAGCCATATGTAGAAAGCTGAAACTGGATCCCTTCCTTACACCTTATACAAAAATTAACTCAAGATGGATTAAAGACTTAAATGTTAGACCTAAAACCATAAAAACCGTAGAAGAAAACTTAGGCAATACCATTCAGGACATAGGCATGGGCAAGGGCTTCATGTCTAAAACACCAAAAGCAATGGCAACAAAAGCCAGAATTGACAAATGGGATCTAATTAAACTAAAGAGCTTCAGCACAGCAAAAGAAACTACCATCAGAGTAAACAGGCAAGCTACAGAATGGGAGAAAATTTTTGCAATCTACTCATCTGACAAAGGGCTAATATCCAGAATCTACAACGAACTCAAACAAATTTACAAGAAAAAACAACCCCATTCAAAAAGTGGGTGAAGGATATGAACAGACACTTCTCAAAAGAAGACATTTATGCAGCCAAAAGACACACGAAAAAATGCTCACCATCACTGGTCATCAGAGAAATGCAAATCAAAACCACAATGAGATATCATCTCACACAAGTTAGAATGACAATCATTAAAAGTCAGGAAACAACAGGTGCTGGAGAGGATGTGGAGAAATAGGGACACTTCTACACTGTTGGTGGGACTGTAAACTAGTTCAACTATTATGGAAGTCATTGTGGCGATTCCTCAGGGATCTAGAACTAGAAATACCATTTGACCCAGCAATCCCATTACTGGGTATATACCCAAAGGATTATAAATCATGCTGCTATAAAGACACATGCACACGTATGTTTATTGTGGCACTATTCACAATAGCAAAGACTTGGAACCAACCCAAATGTCCAACAATGATAGACTGGATTAAGAAAATGTGGCACATATACACCATGGAATACTATTCAACCATAAAAAATGATGAGTTCATTTCCTTTGTAGGGACATGGATGAAGCTGGAAACCATCATTCTCAGCAAACTATCACAAGGACAAAAAAAACAAACGCCGCATGTTCTCACTCATAGGTGGGAATTGAACAATGAGAACCCGTGGACACAGGAAGAGGAACATCACACACTGGGGCCTGTTGTGGGGTGGGGGGGAGGGGGAAGGGATAGCATTTCGAGATATACCTAATGTTAAATGACGAGTTACTGGGTGCAGCACACCAACATGGCACATGTATACATACATAACTAACCTGCACGTTATGCACATGTACCCTAAAACTTAAAGTATAATAAAAAAAAAAGATTATATCATCTGCAAACAAGGATAACTTCATTTCTTCTTTTCCAGTTTGTGCGTCCTTTATATCTTTCTCTTGTCTGATGGCTCTAGATAAGGGTTCAAGTACCTATGTTCAATAGCAATTTTGAAAGTGCACACTTATGTTGTGTGCCAGATCTTAGAGAAAAGGCTTTCAAGTTTGTTGTTGTTGTTTTGTATTCAGTATGATACTAGTAGTGGGTCTGTCATATAGGGCTTTTATTATGCTTTGGTATGTTTCTTCTATCCCCAGTTATTTTAGTGTTTTTCTCATTAAGGGATGTTGAATTTTATATTAATAAATGCTTTTTTATTATCAATTAGAATGACTGTAAGATTTTTATTCTTCATTCCATTGAAAAGATGTATCACATTGATTGGTTTGTATATGTTGAACCTGCCTTGCATCGCAGGGATAAATCCCACTTCATCTTGATTAATATTCTTTCTAATGTATTGTTAAATTTCATTTGCTAGTATTTTGTTGAGAATTTTTGGATCAATATTCATCAGAGATATTGGCCTGTAGTTTCCTTTTATTGATATGTCTTTGTTTGGTTTGAGTATCAGGGTAATACTGGCCTTGTAGAATGAGTATGGAAATATTCCCTCTTCCTCGATTTTTCAAAATAATTTGAGTACAATTAGTATTAGTTCTTCTTTAAATGTTTGATAGAATTCAGCAATGAAGCCATCAGTTCCTGGGCTACTCTTTAGTAGAAAAATAAAAGGCTCCTGGGCTTTTCTATTTATGACAGCTTTGATCTCATTACTTGCTACTGCTCTGTTCAAGTTTAAATTTCTTCTTCGCTCAATCTTAATAAACTGTATATGTCTAGAAATTAGTTTATTGTCAATTGCCCAATTTATTGGCATATAGTTGCGCATAGATTCCACTAATAATTTTTTTAGATTTCTGCAGTGTCAGTTGTAATGGCTTCTTATATATTTCTGATCTCATTTATTTGTATCTTCTTCCTTTTTTCCATTTATTTGTATTGTCGTCCTTTTTTGTGAGTCTGGCTAAAGGTTTTCTTTTTTTTTTTTTAATGGAGTCTCATTCTGTCACCCAGGCTGGAGTGCAATGGCATGATCTCAGCTCACTGCAATCTCTGCCTCCTGGGTTCAAGCAATTCTCCTGCCTCAGCCTCCTGAGCAGCTGGGATTACAGATGCCTGGCACTGCACCTGGCTAATTTTTGTATTTTTAGTAGAGACAGGTTTTCACCATCTTTGTCAGGCTGGCCTTGAACTCCTGACTTCATGATCTGCCTACCTCAGCCTCCCAAATTGCTGGGATTACAGGCATGAGCCACCATGCCCAGCCCAAGGTTTGTCAATTTTATTTAACTTTTCAGAAGACCAACTTTTTGTTTCACTATTTTTTTGAATTTTTTTGAATTTTGAATTTTTTTTTTTGGTGTTGTTCTGGTATTTATTACTTCTTTTCACTCAATTTTGTATTTGGTTTGCTTTTGCTGTTCTAGTTCTTAATTATGCAACATTAGGTTCTTCATTTGAGGTTTTTTCTCTTTTTTGATGTAGGAACTCATAGCTACAAACTTACGTGATAGAACTTCTTTTGCTGTATCTCATAGGTTTTGGTATGGTGTGTTCCCATTATTACTTGTCTCAAGAAACGTTTTAAATTTATTTTTAATTTTTTATTGACTCCCTGATCATTCAGGACCTACTGTTTAATTTTTGTGTATTTGTATGTGTTCCAGAATTCTGTCTGTTATTAATATCTAGTTTCATTTCCTTGTGGTCAGAAATGATGCTTGATATTACTTAAATTTTCTGAATGTTTTAACACTTGTTTTGTGACCTAACATATCATGGGTCTATCCTTGAGTATGACCCATGTCCTGAGGAAAATATTGTGTATGCTGCAGCCATTTGGGAAAATGTTCTGCAAATGTCTATTAAGTCCATTTCATCTAAAGTGCAGGTTATGTCTAATGTTTTTGTTGTTGCTGTTGTTGTTGAATTTCTGTCTGGATGATCTGTCCAATGCTGAAAGTGGGGTTTTAAAGTCTCACATTATTATTGTACTGTAGCCTGTCTCTCTCTTTAGTTCTAATAATATTTGCTTTATATAGCTGAGTGTTCCAGTGTTGGGTGCATATATATTTTAAATTGTTGTATATATCATTTTACTGAATTGACCAATTTATCATTATATAGTGATCTTCTTTGTCTCATCTTATACATTTTGTTTTGAAATGTATTTTGTATGATATAAGCATAAAGACACCTGCTGTACTTTTTTAATATAAGTTTAGTGACTCCTGCTAGTCTTTTTTATTTCCATTGTCATGGAATAATTTTTCATCTGATTATTTCAGTCTATGTGTGTCTTTATAAGTGAAGTGTGCTTCTTGTAGGCAATAGATCAATAGGTCTTGTTTGTTTATCCACTCAGCCACTCTATGTCTTTTGGTTGGAGAGTTTAGTCTATATATATTCAATATTATTATCATGATATTATATAATAATTTCTCCTGCCATTTTGTTATTTGTTTTCTAACTGCATTGTAGTCTTCACTTTCTTTTTTCTTTCCTTTCCGTCTTCTTTTTTTGCCACATAAAATATAATTTGCTTTATTTTTCCCCTTTGCACCATTAAGAGATTTATTATCTTCTATTTATTTTCAGCACTTCTCTTCATTTCTGGAAAGTCAGAACTGCCTAAATCATTATTGCATCTGAATAGAGTTTTGCAGGCAAATTTCCAGTAATGGGCTCAAATAATAGGTTCTAACTGGCATTTCATAATGGCCTCCTTTCTGTCTTCTTTAGTGAAGGAGATTTTCTCAGGTGATTTAATTTAACTTCTTCCTTTTTTGTTTTCTGTCTCCGTTGTGTATCTTTTGGTTTAAAGTTACCATGAGGCTTGCAAATATTATTGTATAATCCATTATTTTAACTTGATAACAACTTAACACTTTTTGCATGAAAATCAAACAGGCAGAAAGAAAACTAATATAAACTCTATGCCTTAACTCTATCAACCTGCTTTCTAAATTTTTGTTTTTTCTATTTATATCTCCTTGTACTGGCTCTCTCTTCAAATGTTGTTCTAGCTATTATTTTTGACTTGTTCATCATTTAGCCTTTCTACTTAGGTTAAGAGTAGTTTACACACCACAGTTGCAGTGTTATATTATTCTGTGTTTTTCTGTTTACTTACTATTATCAATGAGTTTTGTGCCTTCAGGTGATTACTTATTGCTCATTAATGTCCTTTACTTCCTTACTAAAGTACTCCCTTTAGCATTGTCTTTAAGATTGGTCTGCTGGTGATGAAATCCCTCAGCTTTTGTTTGTCTGGAAAAGGCTTGTTATCAGACACTCTACTCTAGGATAAAAGGTTTTCTTTTTTCAGCTCTTTAAATATGTAAAGAGCCACTGTCTCCTAGTTGGTAAGGTTTCCACTAAGAAGTGGGCTGCCACATGTATTGGAACTTCATTGTACATTGTTTGTTTCTTTTCTCTTGCTGCTTTTAGGATCTTTTCTTTATCCTTGACCTTTGGGAGTTTGACTGTTGAATGTCTTAAGTAGTCTTGTTTCGGTTAAGTGTGCTTGGTGTTCTATAACCTTCTTGTACTTGAATATAAATATCTTTATCTAGGTCAGAAGTTATCTGTTGTCATCACTTTGAATAAACTTTCTATCATAATTTCTCCTTCTACTTTCTCTCTATGGCCATTACTTCTTAGATTTGTCTTTTTGAGGTTATATCTCACCGTGTAAAACACCTAACAAAAGATGAATTAGAGGAGTAGCTAAGAAGGCCAACTAGAAGCAGCTATTGTGTGTTGCTGTAATAGAGAGGAATGGAAGGAGCAAGTAAATACAGCACCTTCAACTGAAACATCCAGGTACTCACATTGGTACTAATCCAAGAAACTACTTGACCCATGAAAATTGAAGTAAAAGCAAGGCAGGATGACTGCCCACCTAGGAGTCACATACAGCCAAGAGAACTTCCTCTGCCTGGGGAAGCCATGATGAATGTGCATTCCTGGGAACCCATGCTTCTCCAATAGATTTTTGTAAACCTTGGGTCAGGAGATCCCTTTGTGAACCCACTCCACCAGGGCCTTCAGTCTGACACACAGAATGATGTGGAGTCTCAGAAGAGCAGCTCCTCAAGTATGTGCAGAGACCCAGGAACCTTGGATACTCTGGCATTATGAGCTTCCTGGCAAAAGTAGTTGCAACTCTGGCAAAGTGGGGTGTTACTCCCCTACGCATTCCCCTAGGAAAGAGGCTGAATTCAGGGGGCTGAGCAGCGACAGTCTGTGGGCCCCATTTCCATGGCACCACACATGATAAAACCCACTGGTTTGAAATTCCAGCCAGCCACATGTAGCAGTGTTGTGCCTTCCTGAGATGGAGATCCCAGGAGGATGGGCACGCTGACATCTTTGCTGTTAGGGCAATGTAGCTGTTCCAGCCTTTGGGCTTTGGAAAGTCCAAACTGACTGGAAGTGAAAGGGATCCCCCAACACATCAGAGGTGCTCTATGAAAATGTGACCAGACTGCTTTTTAAAGTGGGTACCCAATCCTGTTTCTCCTCACTGAGCAGGCCCTTCCAACCAGGGTCTCCAGCCACATCTGCCAGTGATTTCTAGCTGACATAGTTTTGAAACCTCCCTGGGATGAAGTTCTCAGAGAGAGGGGCGAGCCACCATTTTTGCTATTTGGGTGACTTAGCTTTTCCAGTCTTTGGGCATTGGAAACTCCAAGCCAACCAGGGTTGGAAACTGTACCCCGTACAGCCTAGCTGCTCTATCAAAATGTGTCCAGACTGCTTCTTTAAGCAAGTGCCTGTTCCCGTTCCTCCTCTCTGGTTAGTACCTCCCAACCAAGGCCTCCAGCCATCCCTCCTGGTGTTCTCCAGCTGACAAAGATTTGAAAAGTCCCTGAGAGACAGCCCCTAGAGGGAGGAATGGGCCACCATATTCGCTGTTAGGGAAACTTAGCCAGTCAACCCTTTGGGCTTTGAAGAGTCCAAGCCAACTGGGAGCAAAGGCAGTCCCTCAGCACAGCACAGTTACCTTATGAAAATGTGGCCAGACTGATGTCTTAAGTAGGTTCTCAATCCCATTCATCACCAGGTGGAGCCTCCCAACTGGGGTTTCTGCCTACTGTAGCCAATGATCTTTGGCTGACAGAGGTTTCAGGGCTCCCTAGGATGGAGCTCCAATGGTGAGTGGCAGGCCCGACTGGTGGAGACCTCCAAAGAGGCAGCCCCTATGGCTGTGTGATAGCTGGCACATTCTCTCCCCATACTGCAAAATCCTCTGAGCCCACAGCACCTCCCCACATCACTTTGCTGGTGTGCGTCTGCATGGGTGGTTTTTTTTTACTTGATCCACCAACATGCAAGAGTACAGTATGTGCCTCCACCCCTGCTGACCACCATTACAGATGAAGCCTTGGTGGTCACAGAGCCAGCAAGCCTTACCCCCACAAGCACCCCACCCTTGCACTAAAGCTGCACAGAGAACAGAATATCCTTGCACACCCTGAGTGATCACTCCTGCCCATGAGACACAGAGAAGGCACCCAGACCTGTGTTGACTAGCACCCCTCCCCAAGCCAACACCATCTCCAGTGCAATCATGCACACAGTCCCCAGCAGAGGCACCTGCTTCCCCCTCCAGCTGTTTTGCCTCTGCCACTGTGGTGAATGCCCACATGGAGGCAGGCACCCTTGAGTCCACTAGCAGTCTGCTGCATCTGCCACAACTCAGTCACCCCGGAGCAGCAGACTAAAAATCTCAAGCAGCCAGAGAACAAAGTCAGGGCACAATAAAAGTCTCCCAGAGTTAGAGCACACAGTCTCGGAGTTGAGAGCTGAGTGTTGGCACCCTAAAATCTCCCAGAAATGAAGCCAGCTGGCCCACTTTATACCACAATCAAACCCTCAAGGACATCAAATAGGGCAATAGAAAAAAACATCTAATGGTCAGCAACCTCAAAGATTGATTGCAGATAAGCCCAAAAGATGAGAAAGAATCAGCACAAGAACACTGAAAACTCAAAAAAGCCAGAGTGCCTTCTTTCCTCCAAATGACCACATCACTTCCCCAGCAAGGATTTGGAACTGAGCTGAGGCTGAGATGGCTGAAATGAAAGAAGTAGAATTCAAAATATGGATAGGAACAAAGTTAATGGAGCTACAGAAGTACATTAAAACCCAGTGCAGGCTGGGTGCGGTGGCTCATGCCTGTAATCCCAACACTTTGGGAGGCTGAGGTGGGTGGATCACCAGGTCAGGAGATTGAGACCAGCCTGGCTAACACGGTGAAACCCGGTCTCTACTAAAAATAGAAAAAATTAGCCGGGCATGGTGGCTGGCACCTGTAGTCCCAGCTGCTCCAGAGGCGGAGGCAGGAGAATGGCATGAACCCGGGAGGCGGAGCTTGCAGAGAGCTGAGATTGCAACACTGCACTCCAGCTTGGGCAACAGAGCAAGACTCTGTCTCAAAACAAATAAAATAAATTTAAAAATCCCAATGCAAGGAAAGTAAAGATCATGATACAACATTGCAGGAGATGACAGGAAAAAAAAAAAAAAAACATAGCCAGTATAGACATGATAGAGCAGAAAAACACACTTTAAAGATTTAATAATGCAGAATTAATAGCAGAATAGACCAAGCAGAGGTAAGAATCTCAGAGCTTGAAGATTGGATTTCTGAAATAGACAGGAAGACAATAATAGAGAGAAAAAAATAGAAACAATTGAACAAAACCTCAGAGAAATATGGGGTTATGTAAAGAGACAAAATATACAACCCATTGGTGGTCTTGAAAAAGATAGGAAGCATGAAACCAACTTGAAAAACATATTTCAGGATGTCATCCATGAGAATTTCCCCAACCTAGCTAGAGAGGCCAACATTCACATTCAGAAGAGGCAGAGAAACTCAGTAAGATATTTCACAAGATCATGCTCAAGACATATAAATATTAGATTATCCAAGGCAGAAATAAAAGAAAACCATTTTAAAGGCAGCTAGAGAGAAAGGTCAGGTAAGCTACAAAGAGAAGCCCATCAGACTAACAATAGACCTCTCAGTTGAAACCCCAGAAACCAGAAGAGATTGGGGGCCAATATTCAACACTCTTAGAGAAGAAATTGTAACCTAGAATTTCATTTCTGACCAAGCTAAACATAAACAAAGGAGAAATAAGATGTTTTTCAGACAAGCAAATGTTGAGGGAATTCATTACCTCCAGACCTTCTTTACAAGAGCTAGTAAAGGAAGTACTAAAAATGAAAAGGAAAGACCATTACCAGCCACTACAAAAACACACTGAAGTACACAGACCAGTGACACTATAAAGAAACCACAAAAACAAGTCTGCAAAATAACCAGCTAACATCATGATGGGATCAAATCCACATATATCAATACTATTTTTGAATGTAAATGGGCTAAATGACCCTATTAAAATAAACAGAGTGGCAAGCTGGCTGAAGAACCAAGACCCATTGGCATGCTGTCATCAAGAGACCAATCTCACATGCAATGACACACATAGGCTCAAAATAAAGGTATGAAGAAAAATTTACCAAGCAAATGGAAAAAAGCAAAAAGCAGAAGTTGCAATCTTAGTTGCTGACAAAACAGACTGTTCAAAAAAGAGAAAGAAGGGCATTACATAATGGTAAAAGTTCAATTCAATAAGAAGAGCTAACTATCCTGAATAAATATGTACCTAACTCAGGAGCACCCAGATTCATAAAGCAAGTTTTTAGAGACCTTCAAAGAGAATTAGACTCCCACTCGACATTGGTGGGTGACTATAATACCCCACTGACAACATTAGACAGATCATGGAGACAGAAAATTAACAAAGATATTCAGGACCTGAATGCAGCAGTAGACCAAGTGGACTTTATAGTTATCTACAGAACTCCACCCCAAAACAACAGAATATACATTCTTCTCATTGCCACATGGCACATACTCTAAAATTGATTACATATTCATAAGTAAAATACTGCTCAACAAATGCAAAAGAGCTAAAATTATAGCAAACAGTCTCCTGGACCACAACACAATTAAACTAGAAATCAAGACTGAGAAATTCACTCAAAACCATACAATTACATGGAAATAGAATATGAGCACATGAACCTGCTTCTGAGTTAATTTCAGATAAATAATTAAAATAAAGCAGAAATGAAGAAGTTCTTTGAAAGTAATGAGAGGATAAATACAACCTACCAGAATCTCTGGGACACAGCTAAGGCACTGTTAAGAAATTTATAGCACCAAATGCCCACATCAAAAGGTTAGAAACATCTCAAGTTAGCAACTTAACATCACAACTAAAGGAACTAGAGAACCCACAGAAAACAAACCCCAAAGCTAGCAGAGGACAATAAATAACCAAAATCAGAGCTGAACTGAAGGAGATAGAAACACATACAAAAAAAAGTACAATAAAAAGATCAATGAATTCAGGAACTTGTTTTTTTAAAAAAAATAATAAAATAGATCTCTAGTCAGACTAATAAATAAGAAAAGAGAAAATTCAAATAAATACAATCAGAAACAAGGAGGATATTGCCACTGACCCCACAGAAATACAAACAACTATCAGAGAATATTATGAACACCTCTATGCACATAAACTAGAAAATCTAGAAAAAAAATGAATAAATTCCTGGACATATACAACCTTCCAAGACTGAATCAGGAAGAAGTTGAATCCCCAAGCAGACAAATAATGAGCTCTAAATTTGAGGCAGTAATAAACACCATACCAATCAAAAAAAGCCAGGACCAGTGGGATTCACAGCTGAATTCTACTAGGTGTACAAAGAAGACCTTGTACCATTCCTACTGAAACTATTTCAAAAAATTAAGGAGTAGTGACTCCACTCTAACTCATTCTATGAGGCCAGAATCATTCCGACATCAAAACCTGGCAGAGATACAGTAAAAAGGAAAACTTCAGACCAATAACCTTGATGAAATTGATGCAAAATAACTTCACTACACAATACTGGCAAACAAAATTCAGCAGCACATCAAAAAGATTATCTACCCATGATCAAGTAGGCTTTATCCCTGGGATGCAAGGATGGTTCAATATATACAAATCAGCAAATGTGATTCATCGTATAAACAGAACTAAAGACAAAAAACACATAATTATCTCAATAGATGCAGAAAAAGCTTTTGATAAAATTCAACACTTCTTTATGTTTAAAACTCTCAATAAGCTAGATATTGAAGAAACAAACCTCAAAATAATAAGAGCCATCTATAACAAACCCACATCCAACATCATACTGAATGGGCAAAACTTAAAACCTTTAAAACTGGCACAAGACAGGGATGCCCTCTGTCATCACTCTTATTCAACATAGTATTGGAAGTCCTGGCCAGGGCAGTCAGATAAGAGAAAGTTAAAAAGGGCATCCAAATAGGAAGATAGGAAGTCAGACTATCCCTGGTTGCAAACCACATTTTCCTGTATTTAGAAAACCTCAAGTCTCAGCCCAAAAGCTCCTTGATCCAACAAACAACTTCAGCAAAGTCTCAGGATACAAAATTAATGTTCAAAAATCACTAGCATTCTATACTCCAAGAACACTCAAGCCGAGAGCCAAATTAGAAAGAAACTCTCATTCATAATTGCCACAAAAAGAATAAAATACCTAGGAATACAGCTAACTAGGGAGGTGAAAGATCTCTACAAGGTGAATTATGAACTACTGCTCAAATAAATCAGACATGACACAAACAAATGAAAAAACAGTTCATGCTCATGGATAGGAAGAATTAGTAACTTTAAAATGGTCATAGTTCCCAAAGCAGTTCATAGATCTAATGCTATTCCTATTAAACTACCATTGAGATTCTTCAGAGCAGTAGAAAAAAATATTTTAAAATTCACAGGGAACCAAAAAGAGCCTGAATAACCAAGGTAATCCTAAGCAATAAGAACAAAGTTAGAGGCATCACCCTAACTGACTTCAAACTAATCTGCAGGACTATAGAAACCAAAACAGCATAGTAGTAGTATGAATACAGACACATAGACCAATGGAACAGAATAGAGAACCCAGAAATAAGACCGCAAACCTACAACTATTTGATCTTCAACACACCTGATAAAAACAATCACTGGGGAAAGTATTCCCTATTCAATAACTGGTGCTGGGATAACTGGATAGCCATAGGCAGAAGATTAAATTGGACTCCTTCATTACACCATATACAAAAATTAACTCGAGATAGACTAAAGACTCAAATGTAAAACTCAAAACTATAAAAGCCCTGAAAGACAACCTATGCAATGCCATTCAAACCATAGGCACTGGCAACAATTTCATGATGAAGATGTCAAAAGCAGTTGCAAAAAAAAACGAAAATTAACAAATGTGATGTAATTAAACTAAAGAGCTTTTACACAGAAAAAGAAAATATCAACAGAGTAAACAGACAACATACAGAATGGGAGAAGTTTTTGAAAACGATGCATCTGACAAATATCCAGGATCTATAAGGAACTTTAACAAATTTACAAGAAAAAAAACAAAGAACCCATGAAAAAGGGGGCAAAAGACATAAACTTTTCAAAAGAAGACATACCTGCAGCCAACATTCACATGAAAAAAAAATCTCAACATCACTGATCATTAGGGAAATGTAAATCAGAACCACAATGAGATATCATCTCATACCACTCAGAATGGCTATTATTAAAAAGTCAGAAAACAACAGATGCTGGCAAGGTTGTGGAATAAAAGGAATGTTTTTACACTGTTGCTGGGAGAGTAAATTAGTTCAACCATTGTGGAAGACAATGTGGTGATTCCTCAAAGATCTAAAGACAGAAGTACTATTTAACCCAGTAATCCTATCAGTGAGTATATACCCAAAATAATATAAATTGTTCTGTTGTCAAAATGAATGCAAGCTTATGTTAATTGCAGCACTATCCACAATGGGAAAGACATGGAATCAACCTAAATGTCCATTAGTTATAGACGGGATAAAGAAAATGTGGTACATATACACAACAGAATAATATGCAGCCATAAAAAAGAACAAGATCATGTCATTTGCACGGACTTGGATGGAGGTGGAGGCCATCATCTTATCCAACCAATGCAGAAACAGAAAACCAAATACCACATGTTCTCACTTATAAGTGAGAGCTAATTGATGAGAACACATAGACAGATAGAGGGGAACAACACACACTGGGACCTATGAGTGTGGAGGATTGGAGGATGGAGAAGATGGGGAAAAATAACTAATGGGTACTAGGCTTCATACTGGAGTGACAAAATAATCTGTACAACAAACTCCCATGACACAAGTTTACCTCTGTTATAAACCTGCTCATGTAACCCTGAACTTAAAATAAAATTTATAAAAGAGGAATTAAGGACATAAATGTAAGACTCAAAACTGTAAGCCTACTGGAAGAAAACAGGTGAAAAGCTTCAGGGGATTGGTCCAGGCAAAGATTTTATGGTTAATATCCCAAAAGCAGAGGCAATAATAATAGACAAATGAAACTATATTAAACTAAAAAACTCCTGCATTGCAAAAGAAAGAATCAGTAGAATGAATAGACAACCTGTTGGTTATGAGAAAATATTTGCAAACTAGTCATTCAAGAAGGGAATAGTATCCTGAAAACACAAGAACCTCAAACAACTCAACAAAATATAATTTCATCAAAAATGAGCAAAGGACATGAGTAGACTTCTCTGAAAAGAAGAAATACAGATGGCCAATAAGCATATGAAAATACTCATCATCGCCATTCATCAGTAAAGTGCAACATAAAATCACAATGAGATATTATCTTACACAAATCAGAATGGCTATTGTTTATAAAACAAAAAATAACAGATGTTACTAAGGTTGAGGAACAAGGGGAATGCTTATACACTGTTAGTAGAAATGTAAATCAGTACAACCTCTATGAAAAACAGTATGGAGATTTCTATAAGACCTAAAGTGGAACTACCATTTGATCTAGCACTCCCACTCTTAGGTATCTACCTAAAGACAATAAAATCATTATATTTAAAAGATACCTGCACTTGTCTGTTTATGACAGCATTGTTTGCAATAGCAAAGATATGGAATCAAGCTAAGCACCTATCAATGGATGGTTAGATAAAGGAATTGTGAGATATAGTGTGTGTGTGTGTGTGTATATATATATACTATTTGTCCATATAAAATAATTAAACTACATTTTCTGCAGCAACACGATGGAACTCAAAGTCATTATGATAAATGTGAAATAAGTCAGGCACAGACAGACAAACATTGCATGTTTTCATTCATATGTATGAGCTTAAAAAGTTGATTTCCTAGAGGTAGAAAGTAGAATAATAGATGTCAGAGTCTGGGAAGGGTTTGTAGGTGGTGTGGGGGACAAAGAGAAGTTGGTCAGTGAGCACAAATATACAGTTAACTAGAGGGAATATGTTTTAATGTTCAAGAGCAGAGTAGGGTGACTATAGTTAACAGCACATATATTTATTTTAAAACAGCTAGAAGAGTTATTGATAGTTAAGTGTCTTGAGGAAGTCTCATTTGCTTTAAATCTGCTTGGTGTTCTATAACCTTCTCGTACTTCAATACTGATATCTTTCTCTAGGCTTCAGAAGTTCTCTGTTTTTATCCCTATGAATGAAATCTCTGTCTTTCTCTCTCTCTTCTCTTTAAGGCCAATAACTCTTAGATTTGCCATTTTGAGGCTTTTCTTTTTTTTTCTTTTTCTTTTTTTTTTTTTTTTTTTTTTTTTTTTGAGACGGAGTCTCGCTCTTTCACCAGACTGGCTGGAGTGCAGTGGCACGATCTCGGCTCACTGCAACCTCCACTTCCCAGGTTCAAGTGGTTCTCCTGCTTAAGCCTCCTGAGTAGCTGGGACTATAGACACGCGTCGCCACGCCCAGCTAATTTCTGTATTTTTAGTATAGACGGGGTTTCACCTTGTTAGCCAGGATAGTCTCGATCTCTTGACCTCGTGATCTGCCCGCTTTTGAGGCTATTTTCTGGATCTTGTATGGATGTTTACTTTTTTCTTATCCCTTTTCCTTTTGTCTCCTCTGACTATATATATATATATATATATATATATATATATATATATATAATATACTTTAAGTTCTGGGGTACATGACCTCTGACTATATTTTTAAATAGCCTGTCTTCAAGCTCACTAATTCTTTCTTCTGATTGCTCAATTCTCTTGGTAGGATACTAATGCATTCTTCCATATGTCAATTTCATTTTCTCCTCCAGAATTTCTGCTTAATTCCTTAAAACATTATTTCAACTTCTTCGTTAAATTTATCTGATAAAATTCCAAAATTTTTTCTGTGTTATCTTGGATGTTGAGCTTCCACAAAGAAGCTATTTTAAATTCTCTGTCTGAAAGGTTACATTTCTCTGTCTTTCCAGGATGGGTCAACTGGTGCCTTATTTAGTTCACTTGGTGAGGTCATGTTTTCCTGGATGGTCTTAACTCTTATGGATGTTTTTAAGTGTTTGGGCATTGAAGAGCTACTTACTCATTCTAATCTTCACAGTCTGAGCTTCTTTGTACCTGTCCTTCTTAGAAAGGCTTTTCAGGTATTCAAAGGAACTTCAGTGTTGTGATCTAAGTTTTTGGTCACTGAAGACATATCTGCATTGGGAGGCACCCCAAGTCCAGTAATACTCTGGTTCTTGCAGACTCATGGAGATTTTGTTGTCAATCTTTGAATTGATTTAAACTGGAGCTATTGATAATATAGTGGAATGGGGAATACCCTCTGTTCTCTACTAAACTTTCTGGCTGAACTTGCTGAATTCCTCAAGTCTTAAGTTCTCTTGGGTGAAATCTGGCTACCAGATGTCAGAGAAGCAAAAAAAAAAAAAATACAATCATAAAATATTAACAAGAGCTATTAATTTTTTAGAATACACCAAGGTACTGTACATCAGAATAAATAACACCTCTAGAACTTACAGCTAAACTCTCACCTTATCTCCCTTGTTCTGTTTTACTGTTACCCCTTAAGATTTGTCTCAGACCCCACCTCCTCCAAGGATCCTTTTCTAATCTCACCTATGTGAGTTAGGGCTCCTCTAGCCTTTGTATATATCTCAGTTATAACATTAAACCCATGTCTTGTCATTATTAGTTTAATTTTGTCTCACCCACTATATTTTGTGTTTCTTGTGAATAGCAAAGATGTCTTATTTATTCAAAGAGCCTGGCACAGATGTGCTCAGTAAATACCTGTTACATGAAATAAAATATGTACATACATACATACATAAATGGAGCTTAATTTTTATCTTCATACACATTCCTTGAGAAAAGTAACAGAAATTATATTTTCCTAGGACAAGGAGTCTCAAACCTCACAGTGCATTAGAGCACCTGAGGTTACTTATTAAACCTGGGCCCATTTGACCCGGGCCAGGGGAACTTGAATCTGAGGTATGTTACTTCTGGTATCAGATGAATCTCTAGCTCTCATTGACAGTTCTCATTCCATTCAAAAAAATATATAAGGCAATAAGAACCAGTCAAAATATTGTTCCTGGTTCCATTTGGACAAGTTAAGGTGGAGGGTGGGGTGGAGGTGGAGCATCTTGTAGACAGGCTCATTATGAAAAGTGATACTTCAATTAACCACTACCTGGCAGGAAGCTTCCTCATACTCCCAATATGTCCTTTTCTGGAGAAAATAGTCTGAAAGAATTAGCTTACTATCTTTCAAGAATTGCAGGATTTCAGAGAATGAAGAGGACAATCCAATTATATTTTCCATTACACAGAGGGAGAAACTGAGGCACCAGGTGAGGGAATAATTTGTCTAAATTTACACAGTTGCTCAGTGGTAAGGCTGTAATTAAAACACAGGATTCCTAACTCCTAGTCCATTGTAATTTCCACTAGAAAACAACCAGTCTCTAATTGTGAATTTTCAGGAACTATAAAATCATGGGTTGTTGATTATTTTAAGTTTATGGAGAAGGAATGCTTTCTCACATCTCTAAGCCCACATCACAAAGGGGAAAGGTTATTCCTCACAGAACATTCTTACTGTAGTGAAAGTAACCTGAGCATTGGGTCAGGGAGACACAGATTTAAATGTTGTGTTACATATTTAGTAACTGTAAATATGGACAAGTTATATAAACTCTCTGAGCATTGGTTTCTTCACCTAAAAAAATGATGCTCATATTAAGTCCCTCTCAGTGTCATTGTAAGGATTAAGTAAAATGATGTTTATAAAGCACCTAACATAGTTCCTGGAGTATTTTAAACACTCAATAAATGGTAGCTGTTATTGTATCCTAGGCTGTGGTCTATTCTGTCTACCCAAATCTAACAGCAGTTTTAGTATGCTGGAGGCACGAGAGTTCCTGGTGCCTGAGGAAAGATTACAACTCCTACTTCCCTCGTCAGCATTGTATACTTCTTAAGAAAAGAGAAATGTCCCAACTCATTTCTACACCAAACCAATGTGCATCTGTTTGCTACTGAAGAACAAAGCTCCTCCTCAGAGAACTGGAAGGACTGAAGAGTTGGAAATAAGTCACTGGAATAAAAAATATTTATAATCCCTTGATTTAGCCTAAGAAAGAAAAGGTCAAGCAGTGACATCATAGCATATCAGTGTAAATATATAGGATGCAGTGAAATGCTCTTCCCCAAGTCCTAAGAGAGGAAAATAGTCAGTAAGAACAGTGAAAACAACATGGTAATTGGCCCAGAAAACTTACATTTGAGGCCTGGAGCTGTCTCTTATGAGCTGTGTAATTTTTGGCAAATCACTGTATCCCAAGGGGTCTTAGTTACCTCATTTTTCAAATGTAGAGACTGGACTAGATAGCAATAATAATCAATTACATCTGTGCAGCTCTTTATGGATTGAAAAGATTCTCATATAATACTAACAGCCCCTTCTAGTTCTAACTTTCTAAGACCTGAAAAAGAAATGATGCTAATTGAGAGCAAGAGAAAACAAGATGCATGCAAGGAAGACATTCAAAGTGTGGAGGTTCTTGGATTAATCAAAGGAAGCTATAGAATCACTTTTTGACAGGATCTTTTTGAGCAGATTGAAGACACGTAGGTATGAATACTCAAAGGGAATCATGCTCTTAGATAAGTGGCAGCGGGTTCTCTTGGCCAAAAGACTACATGATTCTACAATTTTTCTTAAAGTTTAAGGTAAAAAGTTCCAAGGACTGAGAGGGAGATTGCCCAGATAGTGAGAGTAAAGGCAAGTAAGCAAGCTGAACTGAGACATGTCATTTCCCCAATTCTGTCATCCCCTGAGGTCTGCCCACTGCTAGAGAAAATGTCAGCAGGAGACTGACCCTCAGGCCTTCTTCACAAATAAACAAGAGAAGCTTTCTCAACAGAACCAAACTCCATGCCCTTGAGAGGCATGATCTGGTGGTGAGCGAGCCTCTTTTTACACACACTCTTGTCTTTCTCAACCCCTCCTCTTAACAATGCTGGCCAGGCCTGAGGAATGAGAAGCAGCAGCTGCAATAGCCAGCAGAGTCTTGTGCATCAGAACTAGGCCAGGCCTCAGAGGACTGCTGCAGAAGACCCTTTTCATCCATTTGTGACCTGGGCTGGGAGGGCATTAGTCAGCCCAGGAGACCCAGAATATAGCCCAAGGGCTAAGCCTCATTTCCTTTCTTCCTCACTAACCTGACTGCTTTCTACTTGCTTGTTTATGGTTCTGCTGAAAAACCTAAGGCAGCAGCAAAGGATAAATGAAAAGATGTGTTAATCTTGGCCGCAGCATTCCTAGGAATGTTTTCATCAGAGTCTGCCAGAGGGATGTTCCAGTGCTGCAGCCGAAGCCTGACATGGAGCTCTAGAGAGGAAAAAGGGAGCCAGCTCAAACTGGGGTCTGCCTTACTTGTCAGCTTTCTTATTTGAAAATGAAGATTCAAATCCCAAACTTTCAGGGTTGGCAGAAAGATTCAATAGAACAAAAAAAATGTAAATAAAATTCCTATACTTGTCATGATGGAGGCTCAACAAATGCTTGTTCTTTTCCCTAATCAAGGGACCTAGGTGATCATTCTGAATGGCTACCAAGACAGAGAGAGAGAGAGTGGTATATTTGCCAGCGCACTGATTCTGAAGTCAGACATTCCTAAAATTGTGCCTAGAACAATGTCTGGTACCTAATAAGTGTTTAATAAGTATATGGGGCTTACTGACTTACATTCTGCTGTTAATTTATTGTGTGAACCTTGGGCAAGTCACTAACTCTCTTTGGGCTTCAATAGTCCTGTTTGTAAAATGATATGACAATATTTCCTGCTAAGCTTACCCTACAAAATTGTTGAGGGACACAAGACCTATGAGAGAATATATAGGGAAGTTCTGTGCACCTGTTAGAGGTAATTATTCTTGCATTTAGAAAGTCTAGGTGAAAGAAATTCCCCAAAGGATATAACTACTTGCCTAGCTCATGTTATATGGAGGGAAGGGGAGGATGAAGAAACAGTCAGGGAAAAGCCAGTCAATGAAGACTGATAGAAGAGAACTGGACCTTATCAGGGATTAAAACATACCCTGAAACAGAAGTACAGTATCCTTGTGCCCCCTGAGGGGTTTTACCCAAGCATAAGAGGCAGTATATCACAGTGGCAATAGCATATATTCTAGAACCAGATATTCTAGGTTCAAATCTATACTCAGTAACTTACATTATATATAACCCAGGGAAAATCACTAGATCTTTCAGTTTCTTCATCTGAATATGCAAGTGATCTACCCCACAGATTGTTATGAGGTTTAAAAGTTAATATGGGGAAATATGTTTAGACTAGTGCCTAGCACAGGGAAAGCACTATAGAAATTTAGGATTGGCTATTATTAGTATTATGTTGCAATGTCATCCTTTCTCAGAGTGTGCATGGGAATGCTGACCCTTTTTTTAGCTTCTGATCTTCTGACCCATTGAAACCCCTTTTAATAAGCATTAATCCGCAATGTTCAACCCCACCAATTCTGCAAAGGTTTCTAAGCCACTGTCTGTTTGCAGCTATAAAGCAAACAATTTCACAATCAAATCACTCACTCTTTCCTGACCTCTCTCCTCCTCTTCCTAGAATTAATATCATAGTTAGTATTCAATGCAACTACCCAAGCAAATTTCCCATGAGGCTTTGAAACACCAACTGATGCACATTTTACAAGAAATTACTCAGATTGTAATCAAAATGACAAAAAAGGAAATATTCCATCTTTTGCTGATTCCATTGTTCTTTCTCCTGCCTTGTAAAACTCCTTCTTTCTGCCTGCTTTCAAAATAACATGTGTCATTCTCAGGCAGAATGGAGAGCAAGGTCAAAGAACAAGGAGACAGGAAAAGTTGAGGGCAATGCATCAAATCAGAGCTTTTTGGCAACATTACATGGTGACAAGATGATGGCCTATTAAAAAAAAAAAACAAACAAAAACCTGCAATGAGCCTGTCATCGAACCCTGTTTCACAGCCCACAACACAAGACCGAGATCTGAATCACAGCAATAGACTGAAACACGCTTTGAAAATCATCCTGCTGATGCCTCCTTACATCAATAGACAGGGAAACTGAGGAACATAGAAGAGGCTCAATTATTAAAGAGCAAATCTGGGATGATAGAGTTTTTTGCATTTCACTCTCACGTACTGAGCCCCCATACTGTGCTAGGCACTGTGTTAGCTTTTTGATCTATTTTATTTCATTTTAATTTCAAGACATTCCTGTGAGGTAGGTACTACATTAAAAACAAAACAAAACAATAGATCCCCTTTGTCGCATGCATAACTGAGACTCAAAGACCATGAGAGACATGCTTCAGGTTACCCAGTCATCACCCTGATGGCCTTACTTCCAGAGCAATATGCCCTTCACCAAACCATGATGTCTCAAGTAGGGAAGAATATTGAGGGTGGTGAACAGAGGAGCCTTTTTCATGAGTGTCTGCAGCAGTCAATCTTCTAGATAGCCTCTGAAATTCACAGCTGCAAACTGCAACACTGGACAGAGTTGTCACTGCATCCTCGCTTATTTATTCAGGTCCTCCAACCTGCCAGAACCATTTCCATGGATAGGACAACTCACAATTTTACCCTGGTCCAGGGGTTCTCAAAATATGTTCCAAGAACGGCCTGCATTAGAAAAACAAATTCCTGTCCACAGCCCACACCTACTGAATCTGAATCTGAATCTCCCTTATGGTGAGGGAAGAGACACTGGAAATCTTCATGCTTAAAAAGCATGCCAAGTGCTCTAATGTACAATAAAGTGTGAGGCCCATTGTCTTAGAAAAATAATCCCTGCTACTTTTCCCAAGGAGTGAAGATGAAGATCAAATGAAGATTTAATCATTTATTTACATATGAAATATTTTCTGATGACGTAAGCTGGTCTCTGTGAGTAAATAAAACATGATGCCCACTCTTAGTAGCCTCATAGTCAAAGTAGATAAAATAAATAATAAAAATATAGTGGGACAAGTGCTAGGACAGAAGTTTGTACAGAGGTCAAAGTGATAATCCTACGTAGATAGGATTAGGGAAATTTTCCTAGAGAAAACTCCCTGAAACTCTCTTTAAAAATGAGTAGAAGGGAAACAAGACAAATAGAGATGTGTTCTAGGCAGAAGGATCAGCTGTAAAGTTCTAAAGTTGTTACATAGTTTTATTGAATAATGTATTATACCTTGTATGCCAATAGCAACTGTTATCAATTATTGTTATTGTTCTTACTATTACCATATAGTCACTGGCAGAAAGATCCCTGACCTGGCTAGAAATCAGGAGACATGAATTAGAGATCTTTGCTCTGACACTTTGAGGCTATTTGATTTTAGGCAATACATTTCTCCTCTCTTGTTCTTAATTTGTACATCTGTAAGACAGAAATTACTTCCTTAATTCAACAAATATATACTGAGGCCAGGCGCAGTGATTCATGCCTGTAATCCCAGCACTTTGGGAGGCCGAGGTGGGTGGATCATTTGAGGTCAGGGGTTCGAGACCAGCCTGGCCAACATGGTGAAACCCCGTCTCTATTAAAAATACAAAATAAATTAGCTAGGCATGGTGGTGCATGCCTGTAATCCCAGCTACTCTAGATGCTGAGGCAAGAGAATAGCTTGAACCTGGGAGGTGGAGGTTGCAGTGAGCCGAGATCATGCCACTGCACTCTAGCCTGGGTGACAGAGTGAGACTCCGTCTCAAAAAAAAAAAAAAAACTGTATATATATATATGTGTGTGTGTGTGTGTGTGTGTGTGTGTGTGGGGTGTGTGTGTATACATACATATATATGTGTGTGTGTGTATATATATATATACTGAATGCCTATTAAGTACTGGGCACTGTGCTAGGTGCTGGGGAAATAGTGATAAACAGTAAAGGCCAGTAGTGATGAAGCAAGACAAATTATAGTAATAAACTGTGATGATTATTTTGAAAAAATGTTATAGGAATAAATGCCAGTGTATAGCAAGGTGCACTGTACTGCCTGCTTTGATGATCAAATGAGAAAATTCAATATGAAAATCCTCTAAAAGCCATGACTATACAAATAAAAATTATTCTGTTAGATATAGCTATTAGAAGTGTAGGGGGGTAGTTGAATTACCGTGTATTTCAACATTTTAACTCATGGACTTTATATGCATTATCATTCTAGCTTCTGGGTAGCTTCCACTTTCAGATGACTTTGTCCAAATTTCCTTGTAATAAGCCTTTCAAATATCTTTCTTCAAACTACACACCTCCTTTCCATTCCCAACATCAGATTCATCCCACTGCATACATACTTTAAAGAAGTCCTGAAAACATGAAGACTATTTTTGTAGAGAATACAAATTAGCTCCTACCACTGGACCCGGGGTAGGACATTATAAATGTAATCCTTGTTTTTCTAAAGAAAATTCCCTCCCCTCCTAGGGCCTCAGTTTGCCTATCAATAAATGGGGATTGGGGTTTCCTGCATGATGTCTTATTCCTTTTTTATTTTGACAGAGTCTCGCTCGTCGCCCTGGCTGGAGTGCAGTGGCGCAATCTCGGCTCACTGCAAGCTCCGCCTCCTGGGTTCATGCCATTCTCCTGCCTCAGCCTCCTGAGTAGCTGGGACTACAGGTGCCCGCCACCACGCCCGGCTAATTTTTTTTTTTTTTTGTATTTTTAGTAGAGACGGGGTTTCACATGTTAGCCAGGATGGTCTCGATCTCCTGACCTCGTGATCCGCCTGCCTTGGCCTCCCAGAGTGCTGGGATTACAGGCGTGAGCCACCGCGCCCGGTCATGATGTCCTATTTCTTACAACACTGCCATTTGGTGAAAGCCCTTCTGCTTCTTCTGTAATGGTAAATACCCAAAGCTGACAGTTGCATGTATGAAAGGGTGAGGATATGCCCTTAGTATCTACTCTTAGTCAGTGCATATGCCTCTGTACTGAGTAAGAGTGGCATCGTTCAAGGGCTAGGCCCTTCTTGAGAATCTCTAGGCAAGCCCACACTATTTAACACTGATGAGTCAGTGATCCCCATGCCAGAGAGGGCTCGCACAACGAGCCCAGAAAAGAGAAGGATAGGAAGCCTGTATCTTGGCAGGTCCTTCAGCTTCTAGACCATCAGAACTCGGGTGTTTGGGCGTAATAGAAAATCTCAAGGAACTATGGCATCCTGGACAAGTCAGTTCAACAAGGCTGAGTTTGCATACCAAACCTAAGAACATAGCATAATAAAAACTACGATTATTTGGTTTCACTCTATACTAAGTGCTTCACAGAAAGCCAGGCATGATTATGTTGTTTCATAGACTAGATTTAGGAGCAATTCATTCGTTCATTGATTTAATACAGACTTATTCAGCATTTGCTTTGGTGCAAGCACTGTTTAGAGTTTTGAAAATATAACAGTGAATTACTCAGAAAAGTCCCTGCTATCATAAACATACAATAGAAACAGAAAATAAATAACTAAACACATAAACAGATAATAAAATGTCAAATAGCAATAAACACTATGGAGAAAACAATGAAGTAATGAACATGAAGTAACGGGATAGAGGCCAGGAGTGAACTAGATAATTTGGTTGAGGAAAGCCTCTCTAAATAGGAGATGTTGAAGTTGAGACCTGAACATAGAAGACAAAGCCAGTCACGTTAAGAGTGCCAGAAAGGAGAAATTTTAAATGCAAAGATTTTTGAGGTTGGATGAGCTTGTTGTATTTGAAGAACATCAGTGTGTCTCGAGAACTCTCAGCAAAGGGGAGGATGGTATGAATTCTGAAAGGCCTAAGCCATGCAGCACCTTGTGGGCTAATGCAGACTCTGGATTTTATTTCAAAAACAATGGAAAGAAGATGCTGTATGGCTTTAAACCTAGAAGTGTTAGATTCTGAATTCCATTCGTACAAAGTCACATAGCAAGTAAGTGGGAGAGCTAGAATTCAAATTCATGTCTATCTGAACTTAAATATTCCCAAGCCCTGTCTCACACAGGAATTATGCACCCTAAAAAACCATACTTCAGTGGAGGTCCCCAAGCATAATGATTGATAGGCAGAGGATTAGGGGTAGCATACATTTTAGTCACCTAAATTAATAAGGCTTCTTGGACTGTGTATTTGTGTGTTTTTTAGTGTGGAGAAGAGGAATTCTAGGAGGCTCTTAATTGAAACAAAAGGGGCTGGGGAGACTAAGATTAGCATAAGGAGCAGTTTGAGAGGCAAGAATTAGCCTTCAAATTCCAGCTCTATCAATCACTAGCTATTTGACCTCAGGCAAGTCACTTGTCAGTAATTAAATGAAAGTAATAATGACTATCTACATGTCAGAGAACTCTGAGAATTACATGAGAAAATGTACTATAAATAATTTCAATACAGAGCTTTATGTACAGTAGGTATTTAGTGTCTCTTAGCTACATTGAATTAAAACTATTTAGAACAAGAGGAAAGATAAGGCTGAAAGATAAGCTACAGATCAGTGAGTATGCTTTCATTTCCAGACCAATCAAACCTAGCCTCCTGCTGATAGGCAAGCTTTTCAACACTCATCTTTCTAATAGGTCTAAGGCACTAGTTCAGGAGATATGGTTCTCTTGCTTTGAATACAGTCCCTCCCCAGCCATTTCTCTTCATGTTAAAATAGGCCTATATAACAGAAGCTTTTCCTGGTTTTAAAAGACAAAGATGCAGAGGCTGGGTGGGATCCAAACGCCTGGGTAATAATCCAGGTCGTGGTGACCTTGAGTAACAAAAATTACTATTTTTTTAACATCTACTCTGGATCACATGCTTTACATTCATTATTATTATTACATTTAATCCTTACAATTGCTCTATGAGGAGGCAAGGTAGGGATTCTCATTCAACAGATAAGGAAGCTGAGACTCAGGAAAAGAATGTGACTTGCCCAAGGTCACTCATGTAGCAAGTGGCAGAGCTAAAGTTTGACTCCACTCTGCTTGGTCTCAAAGTTCATGTTTTTTTTGTACTGGAATCACACTGTATCCTTTCACTCTTTTGGCTTCTAAGTGTGTGAACTTAGGCAAGTGACTTTGCCTCTCTGAATATCAATTCTCTTATATCTAAACTGAAGTTAGTAGTTTATAATTCACAGGGTTATTATGAGGACTGGAAAGAATATACATAAAGAGTTTCGCACACTAGCTACTCAGAAAATTTTAGCTATATCATTAGTTATTATTAAATATTAACTATTTGTTTTCAACAGACATGATCAAAGTCTCATTCCACACTTACAATGACAGACAGGAGACCTACCAGAATGTTTCAGTTCCCAGACTTTTTTTCTGGATAGGAGATGCCAGGGTTATCTCAGGATAAGCTGGAACATCCAGCAGCAATTTCTGGATAATTTAGAGTAGGAGCAGAGCAAGAGCCAGCACCCCACGTAACAAAGTAGGTCATGATGAAGGCTGAGAAGCATGGTCCCAGGCATTGACTGCACCCTGGCTATGAGCTACCCTGTCACATGACCATTATACTAAAAATACCAGCCTCCTTGCAGCACAGTAAACAGAAAGAAAAATGAGCTTCATTCTACATTCATCAAAGGATTCCTGGAAGGACAAATGAGTAGTAGAAGATGGGGACCCATCTAGTGGTTGCCAATTACCAGACAATTCATAAGCAGCCTAGACTACGTGGTATGATGCTGGGATGAACAGACCTAGGAAAAAAACTGTGTCCTGCTCTGATCTTACTTCACTGCACTGCTAAAAATTCAAGTGCTCAGTGAAGGAAATAAAAGCAGATAATAGGAGGATCTAAATAGATTATTCAAAATCACTTAGGCCAAGGGTTTCCAAACCTGACTGTACATGAATCACTGGGTCCACTATAGACCATGGCACATGAGAATTGGAACTTTTGAAAAAGCATCCCAGTTGATTTGGATGATCAGTAAGATTGAGAAGTCACTGAGGTAGTGCTGAGGTGTTCACTACCCCGTAAAAACTTTGAAGGAAGAAACTTTCTTATAACAAACTTTCTTCATATTTAGAAACCTAATACATTAAAGAGATATAAACACACAAACAGAGCAGAGTAGAATTCAGAAGCTAGTTCATGCATATATAAGAATTTACTAGTGATGAAGACAATATTCCAAATGAGTGTAAAGAAGGATGGATAGGCTATACAATAAATGATGTTTGAGCACTTACTTATTCTTTCCTTAAAAAAAAGTGAGACACTTACATTACAGCATACACTAAAATGAAAACTGTTGGTTTTAAAAATAAGAATTTAGGGAACAAAAAAGCAAAATGTAGTAGAAGAAAAATAAAGGAGAAGGGTATCAGCATCACGGAGTGGAAAAGTCTTCATGAGGCTTAACCCCAGGAGGCATAATTTTTTTAATGACATATTTGACTGCATGAAGATTAAAAACAAAATTTAAAAATGAGCAACAGACTGAGAGACTCAACTTCCAATGTTATTAACATAGAAAAGATTAATATATATAAAAGGCAAAAAAAAGCCTAGAAATTGAAAAAGAAAAAGGATAAACAGAAAAAAAGCAATTCACATAAGAACAATTACAAGTGGCCAATTAACATATGAGAAGAAACTTTAATACACTAGTGAGCAAAGAAATGCAAATTGGATCAACAATGAGTTATTTTTAATGCATCAGATTAATGAAGATTTTAAAGAATAATATTCAGTGTTGGCAAAGGTATAGAAAAGCCTTTTGATAGGAGAGTAAATTGGTACAGCTGTTTTGTAATGTCACTTTGGAAGAATGACAAAATGCAAAAGGTTCATACTATATGTCTCAATATTTTAACCCTGGAAATCTATCCTATGGAAAATTTGCACATGTGCAAAAAGATGTCTCCTACAATACTGTAATTACAAAATATCTTAAGCAACTTTAATATCCATCTACTGAGGATTTGTTAGATGTGTTATGGTATAGCCAAATAATGGAAAGTGATTCCGGCCTGTAAGAGAGTGAAGCAGCTCAATATGGACTGAGAGAACAACTTCCAAGATGAGTAAAAAAAAAAGTACTGTAGAACAATATGAATAGTATGAGTCTATTTGTATAAAATGTATATATTGACAAATGCAAAATACATATAGTTTTAATGTACAGAAAAAAGCCTGGAAAAATACAAGCCAATTGTAAAATAGTGGTTACCTTTGAGGAGAAGAATGTAATTGGTAAGGGGAAAGGTTGGTAAAGAAGCTTAAGAGCTTTTGCAGTTTTTATCCTATAGATGTCTATTTTAAATGCTTATATCTTACACACAAATGGGCACTACATACGTGTGTACTATTATTTTTGTTTATTTATATTATTTGAAAGTTTCAATAATATAGATGACATTAGTAAGATGGCAGAATAAGCGAGTGCTTTCTCATATTCCCCAACATCAACAATAATTTGACAGCCACTCACAGACAAAAGTGCCTTCTTGGGAAGTTTGGATACAGGTAGGAGGTTGTGAAGCTCTGGTTGAGTTCAAGACTGAGGAAAGTCATTTTGTTTTTTTGTTTGTTTGTTTGTTTGTTTTATTTTTTAATTATACTTTAAGTTCTAGGGTACATGTGCACAACGTGCAGGTTTGTTACATATGTATACATGTGCCATGTTGGTGTGCTGCACCCATTAACTCGTCATTTACATTAGGTATATCTCCTAATGCTATCCCTCCCCCATCCCCAACCCCACAACAGTCCCCAGTGTGTGATGTTCCCCTTCCTGTGTCCAAGTGTTCTCATTGTTCAATTCCCACCTATGAGTGAGAACATGCAGTGTTTGGTTTTCTGTCCTTGCGATAGTTTGCTGAGAATGATGGCTGCCACTTTCATCCATGTCCCTACAAAGGACATGAACTCATCATTTTTTATGGCTGCATAGTATTCCATGGTGTATATGTGCCACATTTTCTTAATCCAGTCTATTGTTTTTGGACATTTGGGTTGGTTCCAAGTCTTTGCTACTGTGAATAGTGCCGCAATAAACATACGTGTGCATGTGTCTTTATAGCAACATGATTTATAATCCTTTGGGTATATACCCAGTAATGGGATGGCTGGGTCAAATGGTATTCCTAGTTCTAGATCCTTGAGGAATCTCCACACTGTCTTCCACAATGGTTGAACCAGAGGAAAGCCATTTTGAATAGGCGTGTCCACACTCAAGTGGCAGGCTCATTGACCATAGTCTTGGCTACAGACCTGGAATTGGCCTCACCTTCTTAACTTGGTTACAGACCCATTTGGCCTTGGTCCTCCCACCTGCGTGATCCATCAAGAGACCTGGGAGGAGCCATGCCCACCTATGTCTTGGGCAACAGGCCCATTGACCTCAGTTTCAGCTATGAACCCTAAAGCAGTCCATGACGTGGTTCCAACTCCTCTTAACAATGGTCTGAGAGAAGTTCTGCCTGCACGGGGACCCATTCGCTGTCCATGTCCCAAGAGGCAGGCCAACAAACCTGTCCCACAGCAGATTTTGCAATGACCACATTACTCATTTCTAGCTCCTCTCATTTGTGATCCAGGAGTGGTTTTTCCCACCTGGGTACCTATCAGGGTACATGTCTATCTATGCCCAAGTTGGCAGGTCTCTTGACCTGGGCTCCAAAACATATCCTGAAACAGCCCTGTTACCCAGTTCCAACCCCTCTGAGTTGTGTTATGGGGCATTTCTGCCTGTCCAGGGACCTACTGGAAGATATGCTTTCCCATGCCCCCAGTGGGAACCTTGCTGACATCTGTCCAATTGTAGATCCTGATGCATCCTTGTAACTCAGCTCTAGAATCTCTTAGCCATGGTCCAGGGGCAGCTCTGCCCACCCAGTAACCTACCCAGTGATTTATAAGGTGCCTTCTCAGGGACCTGATGGGAACCATATGTATTTCTACAACTGATAATTGGCCTACTGTCTGTAGATCCCATGGTAGCCCCTCAGGCAGCCGTATGTCCTAGGTCCAGCCCAACTGTTCCTGGTCCTAGAGGCAATCCAGTCTTCTCAGGGAACAGACAGGATCCAAACTTGCCCAAGCCCCTGGTAACAGTACTGCCAACCATGATCCATATTGAAGACCCAGAAGCAGCTGTGTGACCTGGCTCCAATCCTATTTGCTTACGAGGCAATCCTATCAGCTCAGGGACCCAACAGACGTTTTTATCTTGGCCAACAACTCTATGTAAAGGCTAGAAAAGGTGTTTTTCTCTTCAAATGCACAGACACCAGTGCAAGGCTACATGAATCATGAAGAATAAAGTAAATACAACCCCATCAAAAGAAACATAATACTACAGTAACCAATCCAAAAAAAAAAAGACCTAATTTTCTCAAAAAGAATTCAAAATGATCATAATGAAAAAGCTCAGTGAGATGTAAGAAAACAGATATAGACAACTAAATAAAATTAAGGAAAAAATATGTGAACAAAATTAGAATATTAATAAAGAAGTAGAAGCCATAAAAAAGACCCAAACACAAATTCTGGATCTAAAGAATACATTCAGAGAACTAAAAAAATCAATAGAGAAAACTAATAGCTTGAAAATGCAGGAGAATCAGTAAATTAAAAAACAGTTCATTTGAAATTAGACAGAAGAACAAAATAAAATAATGTTTAAATGAAGAAAGCATATGGCACTTATGGGCCACCATCAATCATAATGAGTGTATACATGGTGGGTATCCTAGAAGAATAGAAAATGATCAAAGAGTAAAAAGCTTAAAGAAATAACGACAGAAACGTCCCAAATATGAGAGGAAAAGTGAACATCTAGATCCATGAATCCAAAAGAACCCCAAGTAAATTAAATATGAAGAGGTCCTCACTGAGGCACATTATAATCAAGCTCTCAAAATCAAAGACAAAGAAATAATTTTGAAAGCAGCAAGAGAAGACCAACTCATTGCATGCAAGGGAAATTCCATAAGACTATCAGGAGATTTGTCAGTAAAAATCTTACAGATCAGCAGAAGTTGAGATAATATATTCAAAGTGCTGAAGGAAAACATCTGCCAAAGAAGAATACTATATGCATCCAGTCTGCCCTTCAAAAATAAAGAATAGATAAGAATTTTCCCAGACAAAGAAAAAAAGCTGTGTGACTTTATCACCACTAGACATTCCATGCAAAAAATTTGACAGGTAGTTCTCCAAGTTGAAAGAAAAGAATGACTCTTAATAACATAAAAGCACACATAAGTATAAAATTCACTACTAAAAGTAAGTACATGGTCAACTTCAGAATACTCTAATGTTGTAATGGTGGTATGTAAATCACTTATATCTTTTGCATAAAGGTTAAAAGACAAAAATATGAAAAATTATTATAGTTACAATAATTTGTTAATGGTTATGCAGCAAGAAAAGTTGTAGAATGTGACATTAATAGCATAAAGTATGGAATGGAGAAACATAAAAGTGTAGAGATTTTTTATTTGATTAAAGTTAATTGTTATCAGCTCAAAATAGATGGCTATAACTATAAAATTTTTTGTTCAGTCTCATGACAAATACAATTAAAAAGCTTCTAGTAGGTGCACAAAAAAATAAAGGAAAAAATTGAAACATAAAACTGAAAAAAAATAACAAAAAAAGACAGAAAGGCAGGAATGAAGACAGAAAGACACAATCAAACTGACAGAAAACAATTAACAAAATTGCAAGTATAAATCCTCATCTATCAGTAATTACTTTCAACATCACTGAATTAAAGCCTCCAATCAAAAGACACAGAGTGACTGAATAAACGTTTAAAAATAGAAGACCTAACTATATGACAGAATTCACATAGACTGAAGGTGAAGGGTTAGAAAAATATATTTTATGCAACCAGTAATAAAAAGAGAAGTAGCCATACTTACATCAGACAGAATAGACTTTCAGTCAAAATCTTTCACAAGAGTCAAAGAAGGTCACTATATAGTGATAAAGGAGGACATTCTTCCAAAGGATATAACAATTATAAATAATTAAAAATAACAACTCCAAAAATGTCTTAAGGGATTATATAATATAAAAATATCTAAACAATGACATCAAAAACATGAAATGTTGGGGAGGGAGTAAATGTGCAGAGTTTTTATATGTGATCAAAGTTAAGTTGTTATCAACTTAAAATAGCCTGTTATAATATGTTTTATGTGAGCTTCATGGTAACAAAAAACCAAAATCCTATAGTAGAGACACAAAATATCTAAAGCAAGAAATCAAAGTATATTACTAAGGAAAATCATCTAATCATAAAGAAATGCAGCAAGAGAGGAAGTACAGAACAAAGGTTACATAAAATATTCAGAAAAAAATTAACAAAATGTCAATAGAAAGTCATTACCTATCAATAATTACCTCGATGAAAATAGATTAATTTCTCCAATCAAGAGTTATAGAGTGAATAGATTTTGTAAAAGTCCAAAGTATATTTTGTCCATAAGACTCACTTTACCTTTAAGGACACTCAGCCTTAAAGTGAAAAAAATAAAAAAAAAAATTCCATGCAAGTGCAAACCAAAAGATAGCAGGGGAATCTATACTTAGATAAAACTGATTTAATTCATAAATTATAAAAAATATGAGCCCAGCATGCTTCCACAGCGTGGCTCTTACCATTCAGGACATAGGCATGGGCAAAGACTTCATGACTAAAACACCAAAGCCATGGAAACAAAAGCCAAAATTGACAAATGGGATCTAATTAAACTAAAGTGCTTCTGTACTGCAAAAGAAACTATGATCAGAGTGAACCAACAACTTACAAAATGGGAGAAAATTTTTGCAATCTATCCACATGACAAAGGGCTAATATCCAGAATCTACAAGGAACTTAAACAAATTTTCAAGAAAAAAACCAACAGCCCCTTCAAAAAATGGGCAAAGAATATGAACAGACACTTCTCAAAAGAAGACATTTATATGGCCAAAAAACATATGAAAAAAAGTTCATCATTGCTGGTCATTAGAGAAATGCAAGTCAAAGCCATAATGAGATACCATCTCATGCCAGTTGGAATGGCGATCATTAAAAGGTCAGGAAACAACAGATGCTGGGGAGCATGCGGAGAAATAGGAACACTTTTACACTGTTGGTGGGAGTGTAAATTAGTTCAACCATTGTGGAAGACAGTGTGGCAATTCCTCAAGGATCTAGAACTAGAAATACTGTTTGACCCAGTAATCCCAATACTGGTTATATACCCAAAAGATTATAAATCATTATACTATAAAGACACATGCATGCTTATGTTTATTGCAGCACTGTTGACAATGGCAAAGACTTGGAACCAACCCAAATGTCCATCAATGATAGACTGGATAAAGAAAATGTGGCACATATGCACCATGGAATACTATGCAGCCATAAAAAGGATGAGTTCATGTCCTTTGCAGGTATATGGCTGAAGCTGGAAACCATCATTCTCAGCAAACTAACACAGGAACAGAAAACCAAACAACACATGTTCTCACTCATAAGTGAGAGTTGAACCATGAGAACACATGGACACAGGGAGGGGAGCATCACACACTGGGGCCTGTCTGGGGATGGGGGGCCAGGGAAGGGATAGCATTAGGAGAAATACCTAACGTAGATGATGGGTTGATGGGTGCAGCAAACCACCATGGCACGTGTATGCCTATGTAACAAACTTGCATGTTTTGCACATGTATCCCAGAACTTAAAGTATAATTTTAAAAAAAGACACATGAGGCCATTATATACTGATAAAGCAGTCAAATATTCAGTAGTATGTAAACTTGTAAATAAATATGTATTCAACATTTGACCACCTAAATATACAAACCAAATATTAATAAATTCAGGGAAGAGAAAGACTGCAATGGTATAATAATAGGGGACTTCAGTACCCGACTTTCAGCAATGGGAAAGTTATCCAGACAGAAAGCCAATTAGTAAACATTGGATTTAAACTATATGTTTGACCATATGGACATAAAGGACATATACAGAGCATTCCATCCAATAGCAACAGAGTATATATTCTTCCCCAATGCACATGGAACATTCTTCAATGTAGATAATGTGTTAGGCAACAAAATAAGTCTTAATTTTCAAAAGACAGAAGTCATATCAATTATCTTTTCTAATCACAATATTATGAAACTCAAAATCAGTAAAAGAAGGAATTGAAGAAAATACACAAATACATGGAAATTAAGCACCATGATCCCGGATAATCAGTTTTAAAGAAGAAATTAAACAAGAAATTAAAAACCATCTTGAGAAAAATGAAAATGGAATGACGACATACCAAAACACATGAAATGCAGCAAAAGCAGTTCTAAGAGAAAAGTTTATAGCAATAGACACCTACATCAAAAGAGAGTATCTCAAATAAACAACATTACACCTCAAAGGACTAGAAAAAGAAGAATAAACTGAAGCTTAAACTTCATAGAAGAAAGAGGAAGAAAATAATAAAAAATCTGAGCAACAATAAATGAAATGGGAACTAGAAATACAAGAGAAAAGCTCAAAAAACTAACAGTTGAGTTTTTAAAAGATAAATAAAATGAACAAACCTTTAGCTACACTAGCCAAGCAAAAGGAGAGAAAAACTCAAATCAATAAAAGCATAAATGCAAAAGAAGACATTATAATTGATACTGTATGAATACAAAGGATCATAAAAGATAAAACTACTCCAAATAATTTACTAACAAATTGTATAGCTTAGAAGAAATAGGTAAGTTCCAAAACAGGTAAGTTCCAAGAAGCATACAGCCTACCAATCATGAAGAAACAGAAAGTTTGAACAGAACAATAATGAGTAAGATTTAACTGATAATTTAAAGTCACCCATCAAAATAAGTTTATGACCTGAACTCAGTTTCACTGCTGAATTAGAAACACAGGACGAATATAGAAAGAAGAACTAATACCGATCCTTCCTAAACTCCTCCAAAAAATTAAAGAAGAGAAAATGCTCACAAACTAATATTGTCATGCCAGCATTATCCTGATACCAATGCCAGACAAGAACACTAAAAAAAAGTGCAAATTACAGGCCCATATCCCTAATGAAAATAGATGTAAAATCATTAACAAAGTACTAGCAAACAAAATTCAAAAGAATATTAAAAGGATAATTTCTCATGATCAAGTGATCAATTAATTCCACGGATGCAAGGAGGGTTCAACATATACAAATCAATAAATGGGACACAGCATATTAGCATAATAAAGAATGAAAGCCATGTGATCATTTCAAAAGTTGCAGAAAAAAATTGACAAAATTCAACACCCTTTCATGAAAAAAACTCTTAATGAATTAGGTGTAGAAGAACTGTACCTCAACACAATAAATGCCACACATGACAAGCCCACAGTTAACATCATGCTTAATGGTGAAAAGTTAAAAGCTTTTCCTCTAAGATTAGGAACAAGACATGAATGTCCACTCTCATCATTTCTGTTCAACATAGTACTGGAAGTTCTAGCCAGAGCAATTAGGCAAGAGAAAGAAATAAAAAGCACCCAAATAGAAAAGGAAGAAATAAAAGTGTCCATGTTTGCATATGGTATTATCTTATACTGTATATGGAAAACCCTAAAGGCTTCACTATTGAGCATTTATATGATTCCATTTTGTCTTTACCCTTAGCATATTAGTTATATATCTTTTTAAACTGTTTTTAGTGATTTCCCTAGAATTTGTAATACAGTAGTTCCCCCTTATCTGTGGGTGATATGTTCAAAGATTTCCAGTGGATGCCTGAAACCACAGATGTGGCCTTATATGGTCATTCATCACTTATGGTGCATATCACCTTATATGATCATGCATCACTTAACAACATGGATACATCCTATAAATGCATCCATAGGCAATTTCAGCATGGTGTAAACATCATAGACTGTAATTACACAAACATAGATGTTATACCCTGCTTCACACCTAGGCTATATGGTATAGGCATTACTCCTAGGCTAAAAACTTGTACAGCATGTTACTGTACTGAATAGGGTAGGCAATTATAACTCAATGCTAAGTATTTGAGTGTCTAAATATACTTAAACATACAAAATATATAGTAAAAATACCATATACCAGATTTTTAAAAATGGTACACCTGTGTGGGGCATTTACCATGAATGGAGCTTGCATAACTGGAAGCTGCTCTTGGTGAATCAGTGAGTGGTGAATGAATGTGAAGGCCTAGGATGTTACTGTTCACTAATGTAAATTTTAGAAACATTATATGCTTGGGTTATACTAAATTTATTTTAAAATTTTCTTTCTTCAATAATAAATTAACCTTAGGTTACTGTAACATTTTTACTTTATAAACTTTTAATTTTTTTAAAATTTTTGATACCTTTCTAATAACACTCAGCTTAAAACACAAACACACTGTACCACTACAAAAATATTTTCATTTATATCCTCATTCTATAAGCTTTTTCCTATTTTCATTTTTTACTTTTTAATTTTTTGTTAAAAATAATACACAAACACACACATTATCTTAGGCCTACACAAGATCAGGATCATCAATATCACTGTTATCCACCTCCACATCTTGTTCCACTGGAAAGCCTTCAAAGACAATGATACATGGAGCTGTCATCTCCAATGATAACAATGCCTTTCTCTGGAATACCTCTTGAAGGGCCTATGTGAAGCTGTTTTACAGTTCACTTTGTTGTTGTTGTTCTTGTTGTTGTTGTTGAGACAGAGTCTTGCTCTGTTGCCCAAGCTGGAGGGCAGTGGTGCAATCTGAGATCCATCCAAGTTTTTTCAGGTATCAAAATAGATTATTCCTTTTGAATGTCTGACTAGTATTCCATATTATGTATGCAGGACAGTTGTTGAACCACTCATCAATTACAGGATATTTTAGTTCTTTACAGTTTTGTAATATTACAAATAAAGCTGCTATAAAAAATAGTATACACATTTTTATATGGACATAAATTTTCATTTCTCTGAGATAAATGCCTATAAGTGTAATTGTTTTTTTAAACTTTTTATTATAGAGTATTTTAAAAATATATAGAAGTGCAGAGAGCAACAGAATCAATCCTCATATCCATCACCAGTTTCAAGTTATGACACCTCAGCAGACAGTCTGGTTTCCTCTGTCCCCTACCCACACCCATTGCCTCTCCTGCAGACTCTGTTGATGCACTTATTTCATATCATTTGTATATTTCTTGGTGTTTCCAAAAAGTATAGACTCTTTTTAAAGGTATAGTAACAATTATCACACCCCAAAAGAACAATAATTCCTTAATATCACTTAATATCTAGTGAGTGTTCAAATCTACCTAGTTATCTCTTAATTGTTTTTAAAGATTTCCATATCCAAATCCAGTAAGGTCCATACCTACTGTTAGCAGATATGTCTCCTAAGTCTTTTTTGACACACAGCTATTCATTTTTTTCCTTCCTTAAAATGTATTTGTTGAAGAAATGGGTGATTTTTTTTTTGGCTTTTGTTTTTGTGTTTGTCTGTCTGTCCTGTAGCCTTTCCCCCAAGCCTGAGCTCTGAGGATTGCATCGCTGTTGTAATTTATTATTATTATTATTATTATTATTATTATTATTATTATTATTATAGTTTAAGTTCTGGAATACATTTGCAGAACGTGCAGGTTTGTTAGATAGGTATACATGTGCCATGGTGGTTTGCAGCACCCATCAACCTGTCATCTACATTAGATAGTTCTCCTAATGCTATCCATCCCCTAGCCCCTCACCCCCTTCAGCAAATAGTTGGATATTTGTCTTTAATCTCCTTCACCAATCTCTGTACTTAATTGGTGTATGTAGGTCCTTTACATTATATGTAATTTATAGTGTTTTATGGCTTAAGTCTGTCACTTTAGTTTTAGTTTTCTGTTTGTGTTCTCTGTTTTTTGTTTGTTTTTGTTTTCTTTTTCTGCCTTCCTGTGAATTTTTTGAACATTCTTAAAATTCCATTTGATTTATCTGGAGTTTTTGAGTATATTTCTTTGCATAGCTTTTTCATATAACCTTGTTGCTCTAGATATTACATTACATATAAATTACCTATCATAGTCTATTAATATCAACATTTTACCAGTTCAAGTAAAATATAAAAACCTTACCTCCCTTTACATGTCTTTACCCTCTCTGATTTTCAATAAATTTTCAAAAATATTTACTCTACATATATTGAGAACTACGTTGGAGAGTATAATAATATTTGCTTCACCTGTCAAACATAATTTAGGCAACTCAAGAGGAGAAGAAAAATCCATTGTATTTACACATATTTTTACACTTTCTGTTGTTTATTTCTTTTGCCCGATGTTGCAAGTCTCCTTCTTTTATTCTTTCTTATCTGTTTAGAGAACATTCTGTAGCCAGTATTTTATTTTTTTCATAAGTTATTAGGTACAGGAGGTATTTGTTTACATGAGTAAGTTCTTTAGTGGAGACTTGCAAGAACCTGGTGCACTCATCACCTGAGCAGTATACACTGCACCATATTTGTTGTCTTTTATCCCTCAGCCACCTCCCACTCATCCCCCCAATTCCTCAAAGTTCATTGTGTCATTCTTATCATCATTCTTATGCCTTTCCATACTCACAGCTTAGCTCTCACATATCAGTGAGAACATATGATGTTTGGTTTTCCATTCCTAAGTTACTTCACTTAGAATAATATTCTCTAATCTCATCCAGGTGATTGCAAATGCTGTTCATCCATTCCTTTTTATGGCTGAGAAGCATTCCATCATATATATATATATATATATATATATATATATATATATATATATATACACACACACACATATATATATGATGCTATATATATACACATATATATGATGCCATATATATATATACACATATATGATGCCATATGTGTGTGTGTATATATACATATATATATGCCAGTTTCTTTATCCACTCATTGATTGATGGTTATTTGGGTTGATTCCATGATTTTGCTATTGTTTATTGTACTGCTATAAACATGTGTGTGTAAGTATCTTTTTTCTGTCTCTGAGTAGATACCCAGTAATGGGATTCCTTGATCAAACAGTAGTTCTACTTTTAGTTCTTTAATGAATCTCCACACTGTTTTCTGCAGTGGCTGTACTAGTTTAGATTACCACCAGCAGTGTAGAAATAATCCCTGATCACTGCATCCATGTCAACATCTACTGTTTTTTGATTCTCTGATAATGGCGATTCTTACAGGAGTACAGTGGTATCGCTTTGTGGTTTTGATTTGCATTTCCCTGACCATTAGTGATGTTGAGCAGTTTTTCATATGTTTGTTGGCCATTTGTGTATCTTATTTTGAGAATTGTCTATTCATGTTCTTAGCCCACTTTTTGATGGGATTGATTGTTTTTTTCTTACTGATTTGTTTGAGTTAGTTGTATATCCTGGATATTATTCTTTTGTTGGGTGTATAGATTGTGAAGATTTTCTCCCACTATGTGGGTTGTCTTTTTACTCTGTGGTCTGTTCCTTTTGCCATGCAAAACTCTTTAGTCTAATTAGGTCTCAGATATTTATCTTTGTTTTTATTGCAATTGCTTTTGGGTTTTTAGTCATGAAATCCTTGCATAAGCCAATGTTTAGAAGGGTTTTTCCAAAGTTATCTTCTAGAATTTTTACAGTTTCAAGTCTTAGATTTAAGTCTTTAATTTATCTTAAGTTGATTTTTGTATAAGGTGAGAGATGAGGATCCAGTTTCATTCTCCTACATGTGGCTAGTCAATTATCCCAGCACTATTTGTTGAAACAGGTGTCCTTTCCTCAATTTGTTTTTTTCTTTGCCTTGTCAAAGATCAGTTGGCCATAAGCATTTTGGTTTATTTCTGGGTTCTCTATTCTGTTCCATTGGTCTATGTGCCTATTTTTATACCAGTACCATGATGTTTTGGTGACTATGGCCTTATAGTATAGTTTGAAATCAGGTAGTGTGATACCTCCAGGTTTGTTCTTTTTACTTAGTCTTGCTTTGGTTATGCAGGCTCATTTTTTGGTTCCATATGAGTTTGGGAATTGTTTTTTCTAACTCTGTAAAAAAAGATCGTGGTATTTTGATGGGAATTGTGTCAAATTTGTAGATTGCTTTTGGCAGTATGGTCATTTTCACAATATTGATTCTACCCATCCATGAGCATCGGATGTGTTTCCATTTGTTTGTGTTGTCCATGATTTCTTTTAGCAGTGTTTTGTAGTTTTCCTTGCAGAGGTCTTTCAAATCCTTCATTAGGTAGATTTGTAAGGTTGTTTTGTTTGTTTGTTTGTTTGTTTGTTTGCTTTTCTTGCAACTATTGTGAAAGAACGGGGTTGAGTTCTGGATCTGATTCTCTGCTTGGTCACTGTTGGTGTATAGAAGAGCTACTGATTTGTGTACATTTATCTTGTATACAGAAACTTTGTTGAATTTTTTTTCAATCAGTTCTAGGAGCTTCCTGGAGGAGTCCTTAGGGTTTTCAAGGTAAATGATCATATCATCAGCAAACCGGGATAGTTTGACTTCCTCTTAGCTGATTTGGATGCCCTTCATCTCTTTCTTATTTCAAATTGCTCTGGCTAAGACTTCCAGTTGAAGAGGAGTGGTGAAAGTGAGCATCTTGGTCTTGTTCTTATTCTCAGGAGTAATGCTTTCAAATTTTCCCGATTCAGTATTATGTTGGCTATTGGTTTGTCATAAATGCCTTTTATTACATTAAGGTGTGTCCCTTGTATGCCGATTTTACTGAAGGTTTGGATTATAAAAGGATGCTGGATTTTGTCAAATGCTTTTTCTGCATCTATTGAGATGATCATGTCATTTTCTTTTTAATTCTGTTTATGTGGTGAATCACATGTATTGACTTGTGTATGTTAAACCATCCCTGCTATGAAAACCATTGATCATGGTGGACTATCTTTTGGATATTGTTTTTGATTCATTAGCTAGTATTTTGTTAAGGATTTTAGCATCTATATTCATCAAGGATATCAGTCTGTATTTTTCTTTCTTTCTTTTTTTTTTTTTTTTTTTTTTTGGTTGTCCTTTCCTGGTTTGGGTATTAGGGTAATGCTGGCTTCATAGAATGAATTAGGGAGGGTTCCATCATTGTCTATCATGTGGAATAGTGTCAAAAGGATTGGCACCAATTCTTCTTTGAATGTCTGATAGAATCCTGCTCTGAATCTGTCTGGTCCTGGACTTGTTTTGTGTTGGTAATTTTTTAATTAGCAACTCTCTGCTTGTTATTGGTCTGTTCAGGGTATGTAATTCTTCCTGATTTAAGATAGGAGGGTTTTATTTTTCCAGGAATTTACCCATCTCTTTCTAGGTTTTCTAGTTTATGTTTGTAAAGGTGTTCATAGTAGCCTTGAATGATCTTTTGTATTCAGTGGTGTCAGTTATAACATCCCTTTCTTTGTTTCTCAGTGAGGTTATTTGGATTTTCTCTCTTCTTTTCTTGGTTAATCTTGCTAGTGGTCTATCAATCTTGTTTATCTCTCCAAAGAATCAGCTTTTTGTTTTCATTTATCTTTTGTACTGTTTTTTTCTTTCAATTTCATTTAGTTCTGCTCTGATCTTAGTTATTTCCTTTCTTCTGCTGGGTTTGGGTTTGGTTTGTTCTTGTTCCTTGAGGCATAACCTTAGATTGTCTGTTTTTTGCTCTTTCAGACTTTTTGATGTAGGTGTTTAGGGCTATGAACTTTCCTCTTAGCATCGCCTTAGCTGTATCCCAGAGGCTTTGATTGGCTGTGTCATTATTGTCATTCAGTTTGAAGAACTTTTTTTTTTTTATTATACTTTAAGTTTTAGGGTACACGTGCACATTGTGCAGGTTAGTTACATATGTATACATGTGCCATGCCGGTGCGCTGCACCCACTAACTCGTCATCTAGCATTAGGTATATCTCCCGATGCTATCCCTCCTCACTCCCCCCACCCCACAACAGTCCCCAGAGTGTGATATTCCCCTTCCTGTGTCCATGTGATCTCATTGTTCAATTCCCACCTATAAGTGAGAATATGCAGTGTTTGTTTTTTTGTTCTTGCGATAGTTTACTGAGAATGATGATTTCCAATTTCATCCATGTCCCTACAAAGGACATGAACTCATCATTTTTTATGGCTGCATAGTATTCCATGGTGTATATGTGCCACATTTTCTTAATCCAGTCTATCAATCATTGTTGGACATTTGGGTTGGTTCCAAGTCTTTGCTATTGTGAATAGTGCCGCAATAAACATACGTGTGCATGTGTCTTTATAGCAGCATGATTTATACTCCTTTGGGTATATACCCAGTAATGGAATGGCTGGGTCAAATGGTATTTCCAGTTCTAGATCCCTGAGGAATCACCACACTGACTTCCACAAGGGTTGAACTAGTTTACAGTCCCACCAACAGTGTAAAAGTGTTCCTATTTCTCCACATCCTCTCCAGCACCTGTTGTTTCCTGACTTTTTAATGATTGCCATTCTAACTGGTGTGAGATGATATCTCATTGTGGTTTTGATTTGCATTTCTCTGATGGCCAGTGATGATAAGCATTTTTTCATGTGTCTTTTGGCTGCATAAATGTCTTCTTTTGAGAAATGTCTGTTCATATCCTTCACCCACTTTTTGATGAGGTTGTTTGTTTTTTTCTTGTAAATTTGTTTGAGTTCATTGTAGATTCTGGATATTAGCCCTTTGTCAGATGAGTAGGTTGTGAAAATTTTCTCCCATTTTGTAGGTTGCCTGTTCACTCTGATGGTAGTTTCTTTTGCTGTGCAGAAGCTCTTGAGTTTAATTAGATCCCATTTGTCAATTTTGGCTTTTGTTGCCATTGCTTTTGGTGTTTTAGACATGAAGTCCTTGCCCATGCCTATGTCCTGAATGGTAATGCCTAGGTTTTCTTCTAGGGTTTTATGGTTTTAGATCTAACGTTTAAGTCTTTAATCCATCTTGAATTGATTTTTGTATAAGGTGTAAGGAAGGGATCCAGTTTCAGCTTTCTACATATGGCTAGCCAGTTTTCCTAACACCATTTAACTTACAAGGGATGTGAAGGACCTCTTCAAGGAGAACTACAAACCACTGCTCAATGAAATAAAAGAGGATACATACAAATGGAAGAACATTCCATGCTCATGGGTAGGAAGAATCAATATCGTGAAAATGGCCATACTGCCCAAGGTAATTTACAGATTCAATGCCATCCCCATCAAGCTACCGATGACTTTCTTCACAGAATTGGAAAAAACTACTTTAAAGTTCATATAGAACCAAAAAAGAGCCCGCATCGCCAAGTCAATCCTAAGCCAAAAGAACAAAGCTGGAGGCATCACACTACCTGACTTCAAACTCTACTACAAGGCTACAGTAACCAAAACAGCATGGTACTGAAGAACTTTTTAATTTCCATCTTGTTTTCATTATTGACCCAATGCTCATTCAAGAGCAGGTTATTTAATTTCCATGTATTTTCATGGTTTTGAGTGTTCTTTTTGGAGTTGATTTCCGATTTTATTCTACTATGGTCTGAGAGAGTGCTTGATATAATTTCAATTTTCTTAAATTTATTGATGCTCATTTTATGGCCCATCATATGGTCTATCTTGGAGAAAGTTCCATGCACTGTTGAATAGAATATGTATTCTGTGGTTGTTGGGTGAAGTGTTCTGTATATATCTGTTAAGTCCATTTGTTTCAAAGTATAGTTTAAATCCACTGTTTCTTTGTTGACTTTCTCTCTTGATGACCTGTGTAGTGCTGTCAGTGGAGTATTTAAGTCCCGCACTATTTTTGTGTTGCTATCTATCTCATTTCTTATGCCATTAGTAATCATTTTATAAATTTGTGAGCTCCAGTGTTAGGTATATATATGTTTAAGATTGTGATATTTTCCTGTTGGACAAGGTCTTTTACCATTATATAATGCCCCTCTTTGTCTCTTCTAACCACTGTTGCTTTAAAGTTGTTTTGTCTGATATAAGAATTGCTACCCTTGCTCACTTTTAGTGTCAACTTGCATGGCATGCCTTTTTCCACCCCTTTACTTTAAGTTTATGTGAGCCCTTATGTGTTAGGTGAGTCTCCTGAAGGCAGCAGATAGTTGATTGGTGAATTCTGATCCATTCTGCAATTCTGTATCTTTTAAGTGGAGCATTTAGGCCATTTACATTCAATGTTAGTGTTGAAATGTGTAGTACCATTGCATTCATCATGCTTGTTGTTGCCTGCATACTTTGTTTTTTGTTTTTGCTTTTTAACTTGTATTTCTGTTTTACAGGTCCTGTGTGCTTTATGCTTTAAAATGATTCTGTCTTGATATGTTTCTAGGATTTGTTTCAAGATTTAGAGCAACTTTTAGAAGTTCTCATAGTGGTGGCTTGGTAAAGGCAAATTCTTTCAACATTTGTCTGAAAATGACTGTATCTTTTCTTCATATATGATGCTTAATTTTGCTGGATACAAAATTATTGGCTGAAGGTTGTTTTGTCTGAGGTTGAAGATAGGCCCCCAATCCCTTCTAGCTTGTGGGGTTTCTGCTGAGAAGTCTGCTGTTAATCTGATAGGTTTTCTTTATAGGTTACCTGGCACTTCTGTCTCATAGCTCTTAAGGTTCTTTCTTTGTCTTAACTTTGGATAACCTGATGACAATGTGCCTAGGTGAAGATCTTTTTGCAATGAATTTCCCAGATATTCTTTGTGCTTCTTGTATTTGCATGTCTAGGTCTCTAGCAAGGCCAGGAAAGTTTTCCTCAATTATTCCCCCAAATATGTTTTCTGACTTTTAGGATTCTCTTCTTCCTCAGGAACTCCACTTGTTCTTAGGTTTGTTGCTTTAATATAATCCCAGACTTCTTGTAGACTTTGTTCATATTTTCTTATTCTTTTTTCGTTGTCTTTGTTGGATTGGGTTAATTCAAAGACCTTGTCTTTGAACTCTGAATTTCTTTCTTCTACCTCTGCAATTCTATTGCTGAGACTTTCAGAGCATTTCACATTTCTAAAACTGTGTCCATTGTTTCCCGAAGTTTTTACTGTTTTCTCTTTTAAGCCATCTATTTTGTTGAATATTTCTCCCTTCACTTCTTGTATCATTTTTTGGATTTCCTTGTACTGGGCTTTGCCTTTCTCTGGTCCCTCCATGCCTAGCTTAAGAGCTAACCACCTGAATTCTTTTTCAGGTAAGTGAGAGATTTCTTTTTGGTTTGGATCCATTGCTGGTGAACTAGTGTGATTTTGAGGGGGTGTTGATGAGACTTGTTTTGTCATATTACCAAGGTTGTTTTTCTGGTTCTTTCCCATTTGGATAGGCTCTGTCAGAGGGAAGTTCTAGGGCTGAAGGCTGTTGTTCAGATATTTTTCTCCCACAGGGTGTTCTCTTGACATAGTACTCATCCCCTTTTCTTGTGGTTGTAGCTTCCTGTGAGCTGAACTGCAGTGATTGTTGTCTCTCTTCTGGGTCCAGCCATTCAGCGAGTTTACCCAGTTCCTGGCTGGTGTTGAGGGGGTTCTGCACAGAGCCCTGTGATGTGAACCATCTATGGGTCTCTCACCCATGGATACCAGCATCTGTTCCAGTGGAGGTGGTGGAGGGAGCAATGGACTCTGTGAGAGTTGTTAGCTTTGGAAGGATCATCAGGTGGGGATGGAGCTATTTGTGTCTGAGCTCAGACTTTCCTTGAGTGGGTCTTGCTTCAGCTGCTGTGAGGGATGGGATGAGATTCCCAGGTCACTGGAGTTGTGTGCCTAGGAGGATTATGGCTGCCTCTGTTGAGTCATGCAGGTTGTCAGGGAAGTGGGAAAAAGACGGCAGTCAGAGGCATCACCCACCTCCCATGGAAACTGAAGGGCTGGTTTCACTCCCACCATGCCACCAGCAACAGCTCTGAGTTTGTTCCCAGATGGAGGGCAGACTTGAAAACTTGCCCGACATTGTACCAAAACAAAGATATAGACCAATGGAACAGAACAGAGCCCTCAGAAATAATACCAAACATCTACAAAAACCATCTGATATTTGACAAACCTGACAAAAACAAGCAATGGGGAAAGAATTCCCTATTTAATAAATGGTGCTGGGAAAACTGGCTAGCCATATGTAGAAAGCTGAAACTGGATCACTTCCTTACACCTTATACAAAAATTAATTCAAGATGGATTAAAGACTTAAATGTAAGACTGAAAACCATAAAAAACCCTAGAAGAAAACCTAGGCAATTCCATTCAGGCCATAGGCATGGGCAAGGACTTCATGACTAAAACACCAAAAGAAATGGCAACAAAAGCCAAAATAGACAAATGTATCTAATTAAACTAAAGAGCTTCTGCACAGCAAAAGAAACTACCATCAGAGCGAACAAGCAACCTACAGAATGGGAAAACATTTTTGCAATCTACCGATCTGACAAATGGCTAATTTCCAGAATCTACAAAGAACTCAAACAAATTTACAAGAAAAAAATCAAACAACCCCATCAAAAAGTGGGCAAAGGATGTGAACAGACACTTCTTAAAAGAAGACATTTATGCAGCCAAGAGACACATGAAAAAATGCTCATCATCACTGGCCATCAGAGAAATGCAAATCAAAACCACAATGAGATATCATTTCACACCAGTTAGAATGGTGATCATTAAAAAGTCAGGAAACAACAGGTGCTGGAGAGGATGTGGAGAAATAGGAACACTTTTAAACTGTTGATGCAACTGTAAACTAGTTCAACCATTGTGGAAAAGAGTGTGGTGATTCTTCAAGGATCTAGAACTAGAAATACCATTTGACCCAGCCATCCCATTACTGGGTATATACCCAAAGGATTATAAATCATGCTGCTATAAAGACACTTGCACACATATGTTTATTGCAGCACTATACACAATAGCAAAGACTTGGAACCAACCCAAATGTCCAACAATGATAGACTGGATTAAGAAAATGTGGCACATATACACCATAGAATACTATGCAGCCATAAAAAAGGATGAGTTCATGTCCTTTGTAGGGACATGGATGAAGCTGGAAACCATCATTCTGAGCAAGCTATCACAAGGACAGAAAACCAAACACCGCATGTTCTCACTCACAGATGGGAATTGAACAATGAGAACATTTGGACACAGGGTGGGGAATGTCATACACTGGGGCCTGGTGTGGGGTGGGGGGAGAGGGGAGGGATAGCATTAGGAGAAATACCTAATGTAAGTGATGAGTTAATGGGTGCATCACAGCAACATGGCACATGTATACATATGTAACAAACCTGCACATTGTGCACATGAACCCTAGAACTTAAAGTATAATAAAAAAAAAATTTAAAAAATAAAAAGAAAACTTGCCCGATGCTTTCCACCTCCCAGCTGCAAAAGAAAAGGGCTTTAGTTCTTCCCCAGCCTGTGAAATCTGCAAGCGGGATTCGTACCCTCCCCCAAGTTCTGGCTAGGGGGCTTCTTGCCCAGCTCAAAGTGTTACAAAGTTCAGCTAGGGAAGTCTTTCTCCCAGGTGGGGTTTTACACCCTGCTTCTCTGGCCTCCCTCCTAATGGATCCCTGTGGTGCCAAGCAGGAATGGGCTACTTGGGGATTGCAAACAGATCTTCAGCTTCCCCAGTGGGGGTGAGTGTTCGGGAAAGGAGGATCTCCCTCTCTCACTTCTGCAGTTGGGGCACTCAGAGTATTTGTGGTGTCTCCCAGATTCTGCGGGAGCAGTCCACTTCCTTCAGAGGGTGTATGGGTCCTTTCAGGACTGCTGGTTTGTTCTTGCTGTGGATCTGAAGCTAAAATTCACAATGAAAGCCTCCTCAATGCTGCTCTATCTGGAGCTGCAGTCTAGTCCTGCCTCCTGTCGGCCATGATCTACCCAATCAATATTTTAAATAAAGTCTGCAGGCAACAAATTCTTTTCGTTTCTTTTCCTCTTAGAATATCTTGTTCTACCTTTTATTCCTGAAGGATATTTTAGTATATGCAAAATTCCAGGTTGATAGTTACCTTTTATTCCAGAACTTGAAAAATGTTGTGTCTCTTCCTTCTGGCCTCCATGGTTTTGGATGATAAATCTTCTCATTCATATTGGTAAAGTGTCATTTCTGCCCCAAAATACTCAATTTTTTTGTCTTTAGTTTTCAAAAGTTTGACTCTGATGTGTCTTCTCATAAATTCCTTTGTGTTCATCCCGTTTCAGTTCACTCAGCTTCTTGAAAAGATATATGTCTATGTTTTTTGCTAATTTTGAGGATTTTACAGCCATTATTTCTTCAAATACTTTTTGAGACCCATGCTTCTTCTACTCTGTCTTTGGGACTCTGATAACAAAAATCTTTTGTTATAGTTCCACAGGAGTCTAAGGTTCTATTCATCTTTTTAAGTCTATTTTCTCTCTGTTGTTTAGATTAGGTAATATAATCTAGTCTATCTTCAAGTTATCTCATTCATTCCTCTGATCTGTCCATTCTCCTGTTGAGCCCATCCATTAAGTTTTTTTTTAATTTTGAATATTGTATTTTCATATAAATATATAATTTCAACTCATAAAGCTTAGAGCCGGATGCAGCTCTTGGCTTTCCTATCACTGTAAGTATATACTTACTCTCCTGTCACTGTAAGTTTACACTTTGTAGCTAAATTAGCTACAAAGTGTAAACTTACAGTGATAGGGGAGCCTATAATAGGGAAATTTTATCTAATGAGGAGTTTAGAAAACGTTTATTGGGAAAAATTTTGACTGAGCTGAAGTTCTAAAGAGTTAACTGTGTAAACAAGGGAAAAAGTGCATTCCAGACAAAGAAAACACACATTCTAAATTCCTGTGATGAGGAGCAGGGTGCATTAGAGAAAACAATAAGGCCCAGCGTGGTAAGGGTACAGTGCATGCAAAAAGTGAAGAGGCGATAAGTGTGAGATGAGGATAGAAGCCATGGGGCTATTGGCAAGAAGAAAAATTTGATGTGCGTTCTAATTGTGATTGGTACCAGAGGAAAGTTTTAAGCAGGGAAGTGACAGAATATGACTAGATTTTAATTTTCTCTTTTGCTTTGCAGTGAGGAGAGGAAGAGAAAGAATTGGAAGAAGAGAGATCAGTGCAGGTGATGGTGGCTTGGATTAAGGTACCAGGGTTGAAGTAAAGGTAGAAGTAAATAGATAAATGCAGAATCTATTTTGGAGTTAGAACCAACAGATTTTCATAAAAGGTTGGCAATAAGGAGTGAAGGAGAGGGAAATGGGTGTCAGAGCCTGACAACAAACTACTTCATTCATAAATATCTTTGTAGTATCCCCACAAGGTTTACCTTTACTCATAATTCCTAAAATACTTTCACATTTATTTACTCACCTGAGCCTCACAACCTGAGTGGTAGTGGTCATTACTCACCACCAACACTACTGTTTGGTAGGTTTAAAAGTTTACTCATGAAAGTAAGTGATTTGCACAAAGTTGAACAGCAAAAAAAATGGGACATGGAATTTCCTCACTCCAAGATAAATGAGTTTTAGTTAAGTGTTTTTATGGGGCTCCATGTTGAGCTAATTATTCTCAACATCAAGCCAAATGCTCTGTAGTTGAAGGGCCTTTATATAGTGCATGAGGGTCTACTTGTTCTCCCAACACACTCATCAGGCAAGAAGACTTTCTTAAAAACTTCCCTTGTACTAAGTAAGCATTCTGACCTATTGTTCTTCAGAGTGATAATTGCTAGGAGTGTCTATTCTAAAGCTCCCTAGTTTAGATAACTACTACAAAGACATTTGCAAGGTAGACACCACGCAAGGATTCAGTTTTTCACATGGGTCTCCTCATCTGTGGGCCTTACTACCAAGATCCAGTGTCACTTCCACTACTGGAAGAAGGAAAAATGGGTTCCCCGCCCCAGTCAGAGTTCAGCAATATGTACCAAATGCCTTCAAAACGGCTATCTTCTTATACCCTATAATTCCACCTTGAGAAATTACAAAAATGTATATATGGTCATATTCAACACCATGTTGTTTATAACATTCAGCAAACTAGAAATAGAGGAAAACTTATTCTGCTAGATACTCAGCATCAATGAAAACTCCACAGCTAGTATCACACTTAATGATGAAAGACTAAAAACTAACCCCTATTATCAGGAAGAAGACAAAGATGTCCACTCTAGAATACTTTCACTTAACATTACAGTGGAGGCTATAGCATGTAAGCAAGAAAAAACTTTTTAAAGACACTAAGATTGGAAAGGAATATATGAAACTATCTCTTCACAGATGACATAATCTTGTATGTTGAAATTGGTAAATAATCAACAAAAAACTGTTAGAAATATTAAACAAATTCAGCAAGATTTGGGGATACAACCTTTGTATAAAATAGTCAAATCTATTTCTATATATATCAACAAACAATAAAAAATTAAATTAAGAAAGCAATTACATTTACAATAATAAAAAAAAATCTGCTTGCCTCAAACCTTGGGAGAAACCCCTCTCTCTCTGCATTTTTCCCCCGAATTTTAATAGCAACTTTCTAGACTTCTTCTGTGTCTTCACCAATGGCTACTTACATGTCTTTTGAAGAAGACTCCAGAAAAGTAATTCTGGTAGTATGACAAAACAGGGTTCTATAACCCCCAAAAGATCACAGTTGCTCTCAAGCAGTGGACTTAAACAAAGAAGAAATCTCTAAAATTCCAGACAAAGAATTCAGAGGGTTGATTATTAAGCTCCTTAAGGAGATACCAGAGAAAAGCAAAAACCAACTTAAAGAAATTTAAAAAATAATATAGGATATGGATGACAAATGCTCCAGAGAAATAGGTATAATAAAGAAAAAAATATCACAACTTCTGGAAATGAAAGACACACTTGGGGAAATACAAAATGTAGTAGAAAGTTTCAACAATATAGTAGAATAAGGAGAAGGAAGAACTTCAGAAGTCAAACACAAATTAGACAAAAAGAAAAAAGATTTTAAAAATTAAGAAAGCCTCCAAGAAATATGGAATTATGTTAAACAGCACAAACCTAAGCATAACTGGTGTTCCTGAGAAAGGAGGAATCTAAAAGTCTGGAAAACTTATTTGAGGGAATAATTGAGGAAATCTTCCCTGGCCTTGCTAAAGATCTAGGCATCCAAATACAAGAAACTCAGAGAACTCCATAGAAATTCAACCCAAAAAGATAATCGCCAAATCACATACTCATCAGTTTATTTTTTTATTTTTTTATTTTTATTTTTTTAATTTTATTATTATTATACTTTAAGTTTTAGGGTACATGTGCACAATGTGCAGGTAAGTTACATATGTATACATGTGCCATGCAGGTGCGCTGCACCCATTAACTCGTCATTTAGCATTAGGTATATCTCCTAAAGCTATCTCTCCACCCTACCCCCACCCCACAACAGTCCCCAGAGTGTGATGCTCCTCTTCTTGTGTCCATGTGTTCTCATTGTTCAATTCCCACCTATGAGTGAGAATATACAGTGTTTGGTTTTTTGTTCTTGCGATAGTTTACTGAGAATGATGATTTCCAATTTAATCCATGTCCCTACAAAGGACATGAACTCATCATTTTTTATGGCTGCATAGTATTCCATGGTGTATATGTGCCACATTTTCTTAATCCAGTCTATCATTGTTGGACATTTGGGTTGGTTCCAAGTCTTTGCTATTGTGAATAGTGCCTCAATAAACATACATGTGCATGTGTCTTTATAGCAGCATGATTTATAGTCCTTTGGGTATATACCCAGTAATGGGATGGCTGGGTCAAATGGTATTTCTAGTTCTAGATCCCTGAGGAGTCGCCACACTGACTTCCACAAGGGTTGAACTAGTTTACAGTCCCACCAACAGTGTAAAAGTGTTCCTATTTCTCCACATCCTCTCCAGCACCTGTTGTTTCTTGGCTTTTTAATGATTGCCATTCTAACTGGTGTGAGATGGTATCTCATTGTGGTTTTGATTTGCATTTCTCTGATGGCCAGTGATGATGAGCATTTTTTCATGTGTCTTTTGGCTGCATAAATGTCTTCTTTTGAGAAGTGTCTGTTCATGTCCTTCACCCACATTTTGATGGGGTTGTTTTTTTCTTGTAAATTTGTTTGAGCTCATTGTAGATTCTGGAAATTAGCCCTTTGTCAGATGAGTAGGTTGTGAAAATTTTCTCCCATTTTGTAGGTTGCCTGTTCACTCTGATGGTAGTTTCTTTTGCTGTGCAGAAGCTCTTGAGTTTAATTAGATCCCATTTGTCAATTTTGGCTTTTGTTGCCATTGCTTTTGGTGTTTTAGACATGAAGTCCTTGCCCATGCCTATGTCCTGAATGGTAATGCCTAGGTTTTCTTCTAGGGTTTTTATGGTTTTAGGTCTAACGTTTAAGTCTTTAATCCATCTTGAATTAATTTTTGTATAAGGTGTAAGGAAGGGATCCAGTTTCAGCTTTCTACAAATGGCTAGACAGTTTTCCCAGCACCGTTTATTAAATAGGGAATCCTTTCCCCATTGCTTGTTTTTCTCAGGTATGTCAAAGATCAGAGAGTTGTAGATATGTGGCATTATTTCTGAGGGCTCTGTTCTGTTCCATTGGTCTATATCTCTGTTTTGGTACCAGTACCATGCTGTTTTGGTTACTGTAGCCTTGTAGTATAGTTTGAAGTCAGGTAGTGTGATGCCTCCAGCTTTGTTCTTTTGGCTTAGGATTGACTTGGTGATGTGGGCTATTTTTTGGTTCCATATGAACTTTAAAGTAGTTTTTTCCAATTCTGTGAAGAAAGTCATTGGTAGCTTGATGGGGATGGCATTGAATCTATAAATTACCTTGGGCAGTATGGCCATTTTCATGATATTGATTCTTGCTTCCCATGAGCGTGGAATGTTCTTCCATTTCTTTGTATCCTCTTTGATTTCATTGAGCAGTGGTTTGTAGTTCTCCTTGAAGAGGTCCTTCACATCCCTTGTAAGTTGGATTCCTAGGTATTTTATTCTCTTTGAAGCAATTGTGAACGGGAGTTCACTCATGATTTGGCTCTCTGTTTGTCTGTCATTGGTGTATAAGAATGTTGTGATTTTTGTACATTGATTTTGTATCCTGAGACTTTGCTGAAGTTGCTTATCAGCTTAAGGAGATTTTGCACTGAGACAATGGGGTTTTCTAGATATACAATCATGTCATCTGCAAACAGGGACAATTTGACTTCCTCTTTTCCTAATTAAATACCCTTTATTTCCTTCTCCTGCCTAATTGCCCTGGCCAGAACTTCCAACACTGTGTTGAATAGGAGTGGTGAGAGAGGGCATTGCTGTCTTGTGCCAGTTTTCAAAGGGAATGCTTCCAGTTTTTTCCCATTCAGTATGATATTGGCTGTGGGTTTGTCATAGATAGCTCTTATTATTTTGAGATACGTCCCATCAGTACCTAATTTATTGAGAGTTTTTAGCATGAAGCGTTGTTGAATTTTCTCGAAGGCCTTTTCTGCATCTATTGAGATAATCATGTGGTTTTTGTCTTTGGTTCTGTTTATATGCTGGATTACATTTATTGATTTCCTTATATTGAACCAGCCTTGCATCCCAGGGATGAAGCCCACTTGATCATGGTGGATAAGCTTTTTGATGTGCTGCTGGATTTGGTTTGCCAGAATTTTATTGAGGATTTTTGCATCAATGTTCATCAAGGATATTGGTCTAAAATTCTCTTTTTTGGTTGTATCTCTGCCCGGCTTTGGTATCAGGATGATGCTGGCCTCATAAAATGAGTTAGGGAGCATTCCCTATTTTTCTATTGATTGGATTAGTTTCAGAAGGAATGGTACCAGCTCCTCCTTGTACCTCTGGTAGAATTCGGCTGTGAATCCATCTGGTCCTGGACTCTTTTTGATTGGTAAGCTATTGATTATTGCCACAATTTCAAAGCCTGTTATTGGTCTATTCAGAGAGTCAACTTCTTCCTGGTTTAGTCTTGGGAGGGTGCATGTGTCGAGGAATTTATCCATTTCTTCTAGATTTTCTAGTTTATTTGCATAGAGGTGTTTGTAATATTCTCTGATGGTAGTTTGTATTTCTGTGGGATCGGTGGTGATATCCCCTTTATCATTTTTTATTGTGTCTATTTGATTCTTCTCTCTTTTCTTCTTTATTAGTCTTGCTAGCGGTCTATCAATTTTGTTGATCCTTTCAAAAAACCATCTCCTGGATTCATTAATTTTTTGAAGGGTTTTTTGTGTCTCTATTTCCTTCAGTTCTGCTCTGATTTTAGTTATTTCTTGCCTTCTGCTAGTTTTTGAATGTGTTTGCTCTTGCTTTTCTAGTTCTTTTAATTGTGTTGTTAGGGTTTCAATTTTGGATCTTTCCTGCTTTCTCTTGTGGGCATTTAGTGCTATAAATTACCGTCTACACGCTGCTTTGAATGTGTCCCAGAGATTCTGGTATGTTGTGTCTTTGTTCTCATTGGTTTCAAAGAACATCTTTATTTCCGCCTTCATTTCGTTATATACCCAGTAGTCATTCAGGAGCAGGTTGTTCAGTTTCCATGTAGTTGAGTGGTTTTGAGTGAGTTTCTTAATGCTGAGTTCTAGTTTGATTGCACTGTGGTCTGAGAGACAGTTTGTTATAATTTCTGATCTTTTGCATTTGCTGAGGAGAGCTTTACTTCCAAGTATGTGGTCAATTTTGGAATAGGTGTGGTGTGGTGCTGAAAAAAATGTATATTCTGTTGATTTGGGGTGGAATGTTCTGTAGATGTCTATTAGGTCCACTTGGTGCAGAGCTGAGTTCAATTCCTGTGTATCCTTGTTAAATTTCTGTCTCATTGATCTGTCTAATGTTGACAGTGGGGTGTTAAAGTCTCCCATTATTGATGTGTGGGAGTCCAAGTCTCTTTGTAAGTCACTCAGGACTTGCTTTATGAATCTGGGTGCTCCTGTATTGGGTGCATATATATTTAGGATAGTTAGCTCTTCTTGTTGAATTGATCCCTTTACCATTATGTAATGGCCTTCTTTGTCTCTTTTGATCTTTGTTGGTTTAAAGTCTGTTTTATCAGAGACTAGGATTGCAACCCCTGCCTTTTTTTGTTTTCCATTTGCTTGGTAGATCTTTCTCCATCCCTTTATTTTGAGCCTATGTGTATCTCTGCACGTGAGATGGGTTTCTTGAATACAGCACACTGATGGATATTGACTCTTTATCCAATTTGCCAGTCTGTGTCTTTTAATTGGAGCATTTAGTCTATTTACATTTAAAGTTAACATTGTTATGTGTGAATTTGATCCTGTCATTATGATGTTAGCTGGTTATTTTGCTCATTAGTTGATGCAGTTTCTTCCTAGCCTCGATGGTCTTTACAATTTGGCATGATTTTGCAGTGGCTGATATCAGTTGTTCATTTTAATGTTTAGTGCTTCCTTCAGGAGCTCTTTTAGGGCAGGCCTGGTGGTGACAAAAACTCTCAGCATTTGCTTGTCTGTAAAGTATTTTATTTCTCCTTCACTTATGAAGCTTAGTTTGGCTGGATATGAAATTCTGGGTTGAAAATTCTTTTCTTTAAGAATGTTGAATATTGGCCCCCACTCTTCTGGCTTGTAGGGTTTCTGCAGAGAGATCCGCTGTTAGTCTGATGGGCTTCCCTTTGAAGGTAACCCGACCTTTCTCTCTGGCTGCCCTTAACATTTTTCCCTTCATTTCAACTTTGGTGAATCTGACAATTATGTGTCTTGGAATTGTCCTTCTTAAGGAGTGTCTTTGTGGAATTCTCTGTATTTCCTGAATCTGAATGTTGGCTTGCCTTGCTAGATTGGGGAAGTTCTCCTGGATAATATCCTGCAGAGTGTTTTCCAACTTGATTCCATTCTCCCTGTCACTTTCAGGTACACCAATCAGACGTAGATTTGGTCTTTTCACATAGTCCCATATTTCTTGGAGGCTTTGTTCATTTCTTTTTATTCTTTTTTCTCTAAACTTCTCTTCTCACTTCACTTCATTCATTTCATCTTCCATCGCTGATACCCTTTCTTCCAGTTGATTGTGTCAGCTCCTGTGGCTTCTGCATTCTTCATGTAGCTCTCGAGCCTTGGCTTTTAGCTCCATCAGCTCCTTTAAGCACTTCTCTGTATTGGTTATTCTAGTTATACATTCGTCTAAATTTTTTTCTAAGTTTTCAACTTCTTTGCCTTTGGTTTGAATTTCCTCCTGTAGCGCAGAGTAGTTTGTTCGTCTGAAGCCTTCTTCTCTCAATTCGTCAAAGTCATTCTCCGTCCAGCTTTGTTCCATTGCTGGTGAGGAGCTGCATTCCTTTAAAGGAGGAGAGGCGCTCTGCTTTTTAGATTTTCCAGGTTTTCTGCTCTGTTTTTTCCCCATCTTTGTGGTTTTATCTACTTTTGGTCTTTGATGATGGTGATGTACAGATGGGTTTTTGGTGTGGATGTCCTTTCTGTTTGTTAGTTTTCCTTCTAACAGACAGGACCCTCAGCTGCAGGTCTGTTGGAGTTTGCTGGAGGTCCACTCCAGACCCTGTTTTCCTGGGTACCAGCAGCGGTGGCTGCAGAACAGTGGATTTTCGTGAACCGGAAATGCTGCTTTCTGATCGTTCCTCTGGAAGTTTTGTCTCAGAGGAGTACCCGGCCGTGTGAGGTGTCACTTTGCTCCTACTGGGGGGGGCCTCCCAGTTAGGCTGCTCGGGAGTCAGGGGTCAGGGTGTAGGACCCTCTGAGCCAGGTGCAGAATATAATCTGCTGGTGCACCGTTTTTTAAGCCCGTCGGAAAAGCGCAGTATTGGGGTGGGAGTGACCCAATTTTCCAGGTGCCATCTGTCACCCCTTTCTTTGACTAGGAAAGGGAACTTCCTGACCCCTTGCACTTCCCGAGTGAGGCAATGCCTCACCCTGCTTTGGCTTGCACACGGTGTGCTGCACCCACTGTCCTGTGCCCACTATCTGGCACTCCCTAGTTAGATGAACCCGGTACCTCAGATGGAATTGCAGAAATCACCCATCTTCTGCGTTGCTCATGGTGGGAGCTGTAGACCAGAGCTTTTCCTATTCGACCATCTTGGCTCCAGCCACGTCATCAGTTTATTTAAAGTCAAGATGAAGAAAAGAACTTAACAGCTATGAGACAAAAGCATCAGGTAACCTCTTAAAAATCCCTATCAGATTAACAGTAGATTTCACAGGAGAAACCTTAAAGCCAAAAGGGATTGGGGTCCTATTTTTAATCTCCTTAAACAAAATAGTTGTCAGCCAAGAATTTTCTATCAAGCAAAACTAAGCTTTATAAATGAAGGAGAGATAAAGTCTTTTTCACACAAACTAATGCTGAGAGAATGCACAACTACCAAGCCAGCACTACAGAAAATGCTAAAAGGAGTACTAAATCTTAAAACAAAACCTCAAACTACACCAAAGTGCAACCAACTTTTAAAGCTCATAGGGCTTATAAAACATAACACAATGAAAAAACCAAGGTATTTAGGCAACAACTAATATGATGAATAGAATAGTACCTCAAATTTCAATACTAGCATTGAATTTCAGTAGCCTACATGCTTCACTTAAAAAATACAGAATGACAGAGTATATAAAAATTCATGAGCCAAGTATCTGCTGTCTTCAAGAGACTCATCTAACACATAAGGACTCTTAAACGTAGGGTAAATTGGGGTGGAAAATGATATTCCACACATATGGAAGCTAAAAGCAAGCAGGAGCAGCTATTCTTATATCAGACAAAACAGACTTTAAAGCAGCAACAATGAAAAAAGTCAAAGAGGGACATTATATAATCATAAAATAATTAGTCTGAAACAAAAATATTACCATTCTAATTATATATGCACCTAACACTGGAATTCCCAAATTCATAAAACAATTACTACTACACCTAAGAAATGAGGTAGTTAGCAAAACAATAATAGTGGGGGACTTCAGTACTCCAGTGACAGCACTAGACAGGCCATCAAGACAGAAAGTCAACAAATAAACAATGGACTTAAACTATACGATAGAAGAAATGGACTTCACAGATATTTACAGAACATTCTACCCAACAATGGCAGAATGTACATTGTTTTCATCATCATATGGAACATTCTCCAAAATAGACCATATGATATCAAGGCCACAAAACAAGTGTCAATAAATTTAAGAAAATCAATATCATATCACATAGCCTCTCAGAACACAGTAGAATAAAATGAAATTAACTTCTAAAGGAACCCTCAAAATTATACCAATACTTGGAAATTAAATAGTGTACTTTTGAATGATCTTTGGGTCAACAATGAACTCAAGATGGAAATTAAAAAATTATTAGAACTGAATAATAGTGACACAATTTATCAAAACCTCTGGGATACAGCAAAAGTGAGGAAAGTTTATAGCATTAAATGCCTACATCAAAAAGTCTGATAGAGCACAAATAGAAAATCTAATGTCACACCTCAAAGAACTATAGGAATAAAAACAAACCAAACCCCAAACCCAGTAGAAAAAAAAAGATCAGAGCAGAACTAAATGAAATTGAAACCAAAAGAAATTACAAAAAATAAATGAAACAAAAAGCTATTCGCCGATGATATATATGATCATATCATCGGTAAACAGTGACAGTTTGACTTCCTCTTTTCCAATTTGGATGCCCTTTATTCTTCCTCTTTTTTGGTTGCTGTGGCCAGGACTTCCAGTACTATGTTGAATAGAGGTAGTAAAAGTGTGCATCCTTGTCTTTTTCTAGTTTTCATGGGGAATGCTTTCAATTTTTCCTCATTCAGTATGATGTTGGTGGTTGGATTGCCATAGGTGACTTTGAGGTAAGTTTCTTCTATGCTTTTGGTTGAGGGTTTTAATCATAAAAGGATGCTGTATTTTATCAAATGCTTTTTCTGGATCTGTTGAGATGATCACATGGTTTTTGTTTTTAATTCTGTTTATATAATGTATCATATTTGTTGATTTGTGTATGTTAACCTTCTCTGCATGTCTAGTATGAATCCACTTGATCATGATGAATTATCTTTTTGGTATGTTGTTGGATTCACCTAACTAGTAGTTTCTTGAGAATTTTTGCATCTATGTTCATCAGGGACACTGGTTTGTAATTTCATTTTATTGTTTTTATTTTTATTTTTTTTCCACAGTTTCAATCATGTTATTTTGAAAAATTTATTATAAAAAGGACAATTTGCTGAAAGTAAACTTTGCTTACTTTTGAAACATAAATTATAATCATGATTATATTTCCACAATTTAGAGTAAGCTGAAGGAGCTATTTAAATAAATGGAAATGCAAATGTCTTATTTCATATCTTGTGAATATTGGAATCTGCTAGAAGCTGAGACTTAAAAGGCCATACTGGTTCTGCTTTTGCTGTTTTGGAACACTGCCCAGAGACTACATATAAAGAAACCCAGTTTAGCCTCTCTAAGGATGAAAAATCACTTGGAAAGTGAGGCTCATCCATACCAGCACCTCACATGTCCAGCTCCCAACTTACTTACCAGGCGACCCAAAGAATCATGCTAACCCACAGAATTTTGAGAAATAAAATGGTGGTAAAGTCACTGAAGTTTGGAGGTTACTAGTTATGTGGCAGTAGATAACTAATATTGTTGGTGATAAAATAATAATTAATTTTAAATCATATTTACTTGACAATATTTATTATATTCTTTTAATTTTATTTTTATGTCATTTCCTGGTTGTGGTAGCATATAAACCAATGGAACAGAATAGAGAACCCAGAAATAAAGCCAAATACTTACATCCAATTGATCTTTGACAAAGCATACAAAAACATATAGTGAAGAAAGGACACCCTATTCAATAAATGATGCTGGGAAAATTGGCAAGCCACCTGAGGAAGAATGAAATTGGATCCCCATCTCTCACCTTATACAAAAATCAACTCAAGACCAAAGACTTAAGTCTAAGACCTGAAACCATAAAAATTATAGCAGATAACATTGGAAAACTCTTCTAGACATTGGCTTAGGTGAAGACTTCATGACTTAGCACCCAAAAGCAAATGCAACACAAACAAAAATAAATAAGTGGGACCTAACTAAAATAAAAAGCTTCTGCACAGCAAAAGAGATAATCAGACAACCCACAGAATGGGAGAAATATTTGCAACCTATGCATTTGACAAATGACTAATATCCAGAATCTACAAGAAACTCAAACAAATCAGCAAGAAAAAAAAATCCCATCTAAACATGGTCAAATGACATTAACAGACAATTATCAAAAGAAGATATACAAACAGCCTGCCAATATATGAAAAAAAATGCTCAAAATCTCTAATCATCAGGGAAATGCAAATTAATATGACAATGAGATACCAACTTACTTCTGCAACAATTACTGTAATTAAAAAGTAAAAAAAAACAATAAATGTTGGCATGGATGTGGTGAAGAAGGAACACTTTTACATTGATGGTGGGAATGTCAATTAGTACAACCATTATGGAAAATGGTATGCAGATTCCTTAAAGAACTAAAAACCTACCATTCAATCCAGCAATCCCCCTACTGGGTATGTACCCAAAGGAAAATAAGTCATTATATGAAAAGGTCACATACACATGTATGTTTATAGCAGCACAATTCTCAATTGCTAATATACGGAACCAACTTAAGCGTCCATCAACGAACAGGTGAATAAAGAAGATGTGGTATATATGCACCATGGAAAACTACTTAGCCATATAAAGGAATAAAATAATGTATTTTGCAGCAACTTGGATGGAGCTGAAGGCCGTTATTCTAAGTAAATCAGGAATGGAAAACCAAACATCATATGCTCTCACTTATAAGCAGAAGCTAAGCCATGAGAACGCAAAACTTAAGAAAGATATAATGGATTTCGGCGACTTAGGAGAGAAGATTGGAAGGGAGGTGAAGAATAAAAAGACTACATATTGGGTACAGTGTACAGTGCTCGGGCGACAGGTGCAATAAAATCTTTGAAATCACCTCTAAAAGAACTTATCCGTGTAATCAAAACTACCTGTACCCCCAAAACTATTGAAATAAAATATAAAAATAAATAAAAAAGGAAATTTTACCATTTGTGACAACATGGATCAACTTGGAGGGCATTATGCTAAGTGAAATAAGCCAGACACAGAACAAATACTACATAATCCCTTTTGTATCAGGAATCTGAGATGATCAAACTAATAGAAACAGAGAGTGGAATGGTGGTTGCCAGGATTTGGGAGTTGGGGGAAATGAGATGTTGGTCAAAGAGTACATAGTTTCAGTTTTGCAAGATGAAAACCTCCTAGAGATCAACTGTACAGCACAATGAATGTGATTAACAATAATATATTGTACACTGAAACATTTGTAAACAGGTTAGATTGTGTGTCAAATGTCCTCGTCACAAAAAAAGAGGGATGATGTAAATTTTACAGATCGTAGATATGTTAATGGCATTTTTATGATGGTTTTATGGGAGTACATGTATTTTCAAACTCATTGACATGTATTCATTAAATATGTACAGTTTTTGGTATGTCCATTATACTTCAATTTAAAAAAAAAATTACAAAATGAATGAAGGTGGAGATATATTCCTAAAATATAAAAAAAAGATGATAAACTTGAGCAAATTACATTCCCAAATTTATAGAGCACTTGTCAGTTTTCAAAGAAATCTATTATTTGTAATTATGGCAAAATACACATAACACAAAAGTTACTATCTCCACTATTTTAAGTGTATAATTCAGTGGTGTTAAGTACATTCACATTGTTGAGCAACCATCACCACCATCCATCTCCAGTGCCCCTTCATCTTGCAAAACTGGAACTCTATCCATTAAACAATAACAGTCCATCCCCCCTGCCCCCATCCCCTGTGAATTTGACTACTCTAGGCACCTCATATAAGGGGAATCATATTGCATATGACCTTTCGAGACTGGCTTATTTTATTTAGCATAACGGCCTCAAGATTATTTCATGCTGCAGCATGTGTCAGACTTTTCTTCTTTGTTAAGGCTTAATAATATTCCTTTGCACGTATAAACCACATTTTCTTCATCCACTCATCTGTCAATGGACATGGGTTGATTTCACTTTTGACTATTTTGAATGCCACTATGAACATGGGTATGGAAATATCTCTTTGAGAGCCTGCTTTTAATTATTTTTGATATATATCCAGAGGTAGAATTTTTGGATTATATATAGTAATTCTATTGTTAACTTTTAAGGGAACTGTCATACTGTTTTCATGGCAGTGGTACCATTTTGCAATACTACCAACAATGCACAAGTATTCCAATTTCTCTACATCCTTGCCAACACTTGTTATTTTCTGTTTTGTTTTCATAGTAGCTATCTTAATGGATATGAGATGGTATCTTCTTGTGGTTTTGATTTGCATCAGTGGTGTCAAACATTTTTCCATGTGCTTATCCGTCATTTGTATATCTTCTTTGGAGAAATGTCTATTCAAGTTCCTGGACAAATTTTTAGTAAATTTGTTTCTCTATTGTTGAGTTGTAGGAGTTCTTTATATATTCTGAATATCAACTTCTTATCATATGATACTAGATATTTTGAATAGTACATATTAGGTTCTTAGCATAAGTATTTGAAGAGACTTAAGTCATGGTTTATAATTATTCCCAAGTCTATAACTGAGAAGACTAATGCTCAGAGATGAGAAGGGATTTTCCATCACATAATGAGCCCATACATATAGCTATGGCTAGGAGCAAGTCTTCTGTCTTTCTGAATCTAGAATTTAGATCTTGCAGGACCCTTCAAGACCATTGAATCTGAATATTGTACCTCATCTTACAGACAAAATATTGAGGCCTGAAAAGCAGGAGAGATTTATACAAAGCCACACAGTGAGTCAGTTGCAGAACATTTTCTCGGACCCAAATTTCCCGACTCTGTTGCCTTTCCACTCTACTCTCTAACAGAGAAAAATCTGACACAGTTGTAAAAGACTGTATCTTCTGTCTACCTCTTAAAGAATTTCCCTTTTTTTCAAACACCCAGTCCTCTAAAAATGAAAAATGGATGATAAGAATTACACGACCATCTGCATTTCTCAGGCTTTTGGAAAGACTGCAGCTTGGTTGTTGAAGGCATCATATTAAAAAGATCCAGGGCTAAGAACATAGGAAACTTGAATTTAGCCTGTGTTAATAGGGATGAATAAGCACCTACAGCATCTAGGATGGCTCCTCCACAGCCACTTGCAGACATTCCTGTCTGCCACCTTCTGCAACAAAAGTACAGGCACCCAAGGAGTCTTAAAATGCCAAGAATTAGAGGTGGTCCAGAAAAAGAAATCTGTTACTCTTTTTAAAAATGTATTTCAACTGATGCAAAACTTTCTTGTCTTCAAAGGTTTTATATGCATTTGTTTCTGTGATCTTCACAACAGCCCTGTGTAGCAACGTCATTACCCCCATTTTAAAAATGAAGAACCTGAGGCTCAGAGAAGTCATGTAACTTTTTGGGGTCACAAGGCTAGGAAATTGTACCCCATCTGTCTGACATCAAGGCCTAGGTACTCATCATTGTGTTTGCTAGAGTCTATGGAGAAGAAGGTCATGGGTAGCATCAGATGTCTTTAACAGAGATGGTCTGGGATCTCACATGTAAATATTTTTTAACAACTTCATCCTAGTAGCTGGTGCATGAAAGCTGGATGTCATAAGCCAGTCATTTCAACCAATGCATTGCTTACAACAGCGGTTTTCGAAGTGTAGCTCCTGGATCAACAGCATAAGTATTACTTGGGATTTTGTTAAAAATGTAAATTCCCCGTCTCCATCCCAGAGCTACAGAATCTGAATCTCTGAAAGTAGGGCCCAGTCATCTGTATTTAACCAGCTCTCCAGGGAAATCCAGTGTATCTTAGGATTAATGTATTGAAAGTGGGAACTTCATCTGAATTTTCCCAAAAAAGCTGTCAATTGTCTACCTTAATTTGCCAGTACACACCCAGCCATGGTGTTTCCTTATGCTCCAGTTTCTCTGCCTGTAAAATGGGAACCAGCATAAGCCATTGTAGCTTCTCAGATTTATAATGAGGAAGACCAAACTTGGATACAATGGAGGGAGTATGGAATCGAGAGACAGTCAGACCAGGTTTGACTTCTAACTCTTAGCTATGAGACGCTTCTCTTTTTAAACTCAGTTTCTTCACCAGAAAGGGGAAGGATTCGTCCTTCTACTCAGACCCTCCTTAAACATTGATGGGTCATCACTTTGTGCAGTCCGGAAGTTAGATTCCATTATTTAGATATTCTCCTTGTCTTTACTGCTGCTGGTTTAGACACAAAGCCCAGAGAATGGGTGGCTATATCATGTCCAGGAAATAGATAGATTTGTTACTTCCCAGAGAAAGGTTACCTACACTACTGCCCAAAACAGAGATGTCATGGCATTACCTAATCAGTATACATGTACTGCCAAGTCCCTGCTCATGTCTCCTCAACTGTTCAACCCCAGAGGACAATGTTATGCCAGTCCTATCTTATGGTCCCTACCTAAACCATATCTCTTTCCAAGATAAACTGTTCTTAAAACCTAGGCTGCCAGGCTTTTCACCAAGTGACCTCACTCCAACTGAATCTGACCTACGGGCAACCAATATTTAAGCAGACCTGGAGCCTATAAATTGTATTGTCACAAAAAGATAAGCTTCACCAATCAGATTATCTCTGACTCTCATATTTGAACTAGAGCATATTTTTTAAAATACCAAGTACTAGTAGGTGCTTCAACTGAAAGTCATCAGATTGAGTTGGAGCAGAAAAGTTTCTTGTACTGTGTTCACGCTGAAGTTATTGGAGATCCAGTTGATAAGGGAATTGAAAGAAATAGAGGACAGCTGGATCACACTAATGAAAGCCATTTATGACTCCTAGTTGCTGAAGTCTCTGTAGCTTTTTAGGTTAACTTCTTCTACGTCAGGCCTCCTATATGCTTATAATAAACTCCCCTTTCTTTGAAGTCCTCTGCCCCTGACTAAAACAATCACAAAGCGGCTATTAAGCTGCTACTTCTGCATAAATCTCCCTACTCTCACCTTACATCTTTGAGCATCATGCAGAATGAGTTGAACAGATGGGGTCCATGTCATCTAGGTTTACAACAAACCAGGCCAAAGTAAGGAAAGGACAGGCCAACAAAGGAGAGAACATTTTTGAATGCCTGCTACATTACCTACATCATCACCTTTAATCCCCACAGTAACCTCTTGGTACATAATTCTATTTTGTTGATGCAAAATTGAAGACTCTGCGAAGGGATGTGATTTGCTCCAGGTGAAGACTTGAACTTTGTCTGCCTGGAGCCAGAGGCTGGCATCTTTCTCCTATATCTCACCACTTTAATCAGTCTACTGGATCAGTGATTTCCAAATTGATTAAGTATTATCTTCTAGGGACTATTAGTTGGAAATACAGATGTCCTGCCTAACTCATACTTCCTCCCTCTTCAATTCTGAACCTCAGATCCAAGGTAGAGCCTAAGCATCTGGATTTTTAAAACATTTTCCTGGTGATTCTTCTTTGCCCATCTGAAGACCAGTGTGTTTAGAAACAAGTATTTTGAGTCATATTTAATTTCAAAGCAAGCCCACAATTACTCATTAACCATTCTATGATTTTCTTTCAAACATTTATCTGAATAAAGGCAGTGATACCTTCTACTGGAGTTACTTGACTCAAAGGATTAAAAATGTTCAGATCCAGTCACAAGGAACTGTTGCATAACACCATCACTTCCAAATTACTTTCATAGTTCCATCCAAATAGTTGAACCAGATCTGATTTTCTCCCACTTTACAGATGAGAAAACCAAGATCAGAGAAGTTAAGTATCTTAACTAGGGCCAGCCAAAATTAATAATGTGAGTCTTGGAAGCCCAGTGCTTTTCTTAATTGCTTTGAGGCTTGTTTCCGCATGTGTCTCTACAGATCTTCCCTCACAGTCTGGTTTCTTTTCAGCCTGGCCTCATTTCTTCCAAGTTCAGGAACTGAGAACCCTACATACTATGCATAGCTGCATTAATATATACTTGGCCTGAGGCCTGTGTTCCAAAAAAACAATGCATGGGAGAGGGTGTTGTGCCAACATGCCCTGGCACACCTGGCTTAGGTTACTGGGGGGAGGAGACAGAGCCTATGGATTCTGGCCCTTCTATAGGAGCACATCAATAGCACATTCTGGGCCAAAGTGAACCTACAATTTGCAGTCAACATGGTTCTTGAATGCAACATAGGATGCAACATAGGCCCTCTTATTCCTGTCCATGTAGTGTTTCCAACCTAGAAACCTATATTCTATAACCCTATAAGGAGTGGTGGGGGGTGGTAGTCCTTTTGTAAAATTGACCAACACTTGGAAATCATGTGGTATGATGAGAAAAACCCTAGCCTGGTGGTCAGCAGACCAAGCTGCCAATGTCTTCCACTCTCTGGGTTCCAGTGTACCCTACTTATAAAAAGAAGGAGTTGGGCTCTGATATTTCTAAATTCCCTTTCAGCTTTGACACTTGATCATTCTATGCAATCAATTCTTTATGAAATACTTTGTATGCCTGTGAGACTTGGCTAGAGAGTGAAACAGACTCCAAGGATGAGTTGTTAAGCTTTTGGGAAATCTGGGGAAGGTAAGATATTTAGGCAGAACCTCAAGACTTTGGTTTTGAGGGTATTTTCCTTCTGTTAAATACTTAATAAAGAGTAAAGTAAGACTTTTTCTCACTAGTGGGAAATTTATACTCTACAAATGTTCTAATTAACTCTTTGAATTATTCTGAGTTGGAGCTCATTATGGCCCGTCCACATCTTCTTCCACTTTTATCCATAAGTCCATTCTTCATTGATATAACTGGGAAGAATTTAGCACATGAAAAGTTGAGGTGGGAAATGGGAAGGTACTCTGAGAAAAGATTAGTCTTTTTTTCTTGGCAGAAGCAGTACTTAGAAATATTTATTTAAGCGTTTATTTACTCAATAAACATTTCATGAGCACGTATTATATGCAAGGTACTATTCCAGACACTGGAAATATAGGAATGAATGACGCACACAATGATTCAGAGCAATCATATGAGCTTCCTATTCTCCTGTGCTGGATTAGAGAATTCATGCCTGGCCAAAATGTTGGTGTTGGCTAGGACTCTGATCTTCAAGAGGGGGACAGAGAAGTGGTGAGGAGAGATTCTTTAGTTACTTATTGAATGCCACCAATTGGCTGTAGGAGCCTAGAGCCCAAAGTAACTAGCTGAAACACATCAGCTGTATACTACAAAAAATATATCCCATGAAGTTTCATGTTCCCACAGCAATATACCACTGTGAATTGCACTAGTTCCATGTGAAGGATCTAAAGTACAACCCAGCACTGTGACAATTTCTGCCTTCTTGATCTTAAATACTTTAGTCTAAAAATCCCAAAGGATATGTCTCCAGCTCTTAAGTTATCCATTCTTCTCTCTTGACAGGGTTTCCCTACTACCTACCTCCACTCCATTTCCCTGATTAAAAAGGAACAATCTTTCTACAGTATAAAAGCCCAAGCATCTCCTAGGTTTCAACTGAGAAGAGCTCAAGCTGAGTAACGAAAATGAAAGAGCCAATTCCTCAAGAAAATAGTGTTTGGGATGCTGGAACCACTGTCTTTTCTCACATAAGGACCACCCCGCCCCCACCCCCCAAGAAAAGAATTATTTTGTGATCACTACTGAGGGCAAGTCATGATGAATTTTTATGAGGATGGGACTGAAGGCTTTTAGAGACCTTGATATTTAAGTTTTTTCCTACTTACTCTTTCAACATGAACCATGTGCTTTCTGTTCTGGTACAAATAATAGGGTCAGGGATTCAAGACTTCTCCAGGTATTATCAATCTAGTGCAGGCTGATACTGGGGATTGAAGTAAGAATCATGATTCATCAGAACTTATCTCACATCATTTAACAAAAATTAATAGTACAGATAACCTTCTGAGGAACTTTGGCCAAGTTGACCTGTCCAAAAGTGGCATGCCCATCTGTCAAGAAAATTTGGAGGATTTAAAAACAAATAATTATTCCTAATTGGCTTCAGTGGAGTGATCACTCTTACCCTTTACTTACCACTAGAAAGACGATATCAGAAAGATTGTCTTTCATTGATTCCTCCAAACCTAGAGTGGGCTTATAAACAAGATCCCAGTCTGAGCAGAAGGATGACCAAGGTATGAGAAAAACTTTAATGCTATGGTTAAAAACCAACTGAACTCTGTTCTTGTATATTTATTATACAACAGTAATTCATGTGAAGCCACCAAATGTGTTCTGCAAGGTTGACTTTGTCCCACATGTCTATGCCAACACACTGGGAGTTGTTTGAATTCTGTGCCAGGCTTCAGGCAAAAGCTAGCACTCAGCTCTTTCCTTCCTGCTCTTGGAACTTCAGAGGTATGTTCATGGTCAGAAGCAAAGTGGACTGCCAAATCAGGACTCTCTGGTCCACCCTGAGGCCTTCTCCTGGCGATGCATGGCAGGCGAGCCCTAAAGTGGAGCTTATCCCATGAGAGTTCTTGGCTTTGCCCAGGAAAGAATTTAAGGGCAAGCTAGAAGTAGAAGAAAACAGCTTTATTGAAGAGGTAGTGTTACAGCTCCAGCAGTGTTAAAGCTCCTTGAATCTACCAGAGAAAGGCTACCCCTTAGGCAAAGAGTGGGGCTCAAGGCAGTTTTGCAGTCATATTTATACCTACTTTAATTACATGCAGATCAAGGGATGGTTTGTGCAGAAATTTCCACAGAAGGGGTAGTAACTTTTGGGTCATTGGGTCATAGTTATGGAAAGAGGCAGTAGCTCCTGGGTTTTGCCATGGCTATGGTAAATTGACATGGCATGCTGGTGGGCATGTTTCATTGAAATCTGCTTCCTCCCCTGCCCAAATCGTCAATCTGGCCCGGTGTCTAAGCCCTGCCTCTAAAGTTGAGCCCTGCCTCCTATCTCACTAGGAAGCAGAAGCCTAGTATGTAGTAAGACTCAGATTGTACCAGAAGAAGCATCTCCCAGTGTACTGATTCTTTTTTGGCCTGACACACTAGAGACAGGCCTTAATTGACAAGCAAAGGGCAGGGGAATGGAGACATGACTTGTTCAGGCTTAAGTGTCTCTGTCTAATAGATGTGCTGGGACTTCCCTTGTCTTTAATCTGCCTAAGTACCAAAAGTGTGTGGAGGCACTCGCCCAACCTCAATACCTTTTCAAGCCTGGACTCTTGAACTTGGAGTACCAATGCAATAAACTTGTTGAGAGTAATATAAAGCCAGATAGAATACGTGGGTGCTGATGGTACAGCTGGGGAAGCAGAAGAGAGAGGGGAGATAGAACTTTCATTGTGCCACACCAAAGATCCCAAACACCCATCCATAGCCTCCTTCAAGGGTGGGGTAATCTATTGTAGTTGCTCTAATTTTTGGCCTATTGCATATCTCACAGTGCTGTTTTTAACCCAGTCCTCTCTCTTCTTCACAAAATATACTAAAAGGAAGTAATTTTTTTTTGCTTGGGTCCAATCTAGATAGGTGGGTTCAAACCTTCTTCACTCCCAAGTCCAGACTAGGTTCCTGATTTTTCTCTCTACCAAACTCTGCTCTCCTACACACACACACACACATTGCCTGGCCAATTTGACAGGCTAAAGGTTAAATTTGAGTCTTCATTTAATCCTGGAGGATTTAATCAAGGCCCGGTGAGGGAAAGAGCACTGAAATAGAATCAAAAGATGTGAGTTTGAGAGTCCCCTCATGCTGTGTGGCCTTGGGTGAATTGCTTTATGTCTCTGAGCTTCAGTTTTTGACTTGTAAAATAAGGGCACCTGTCCCTGACCATCCTATGGCCCAATTTTTCAAATCCACATGAGATGACAGAGATAAAGGGATTTTGCAAACAGTGAAAAACTTTGGAAATAGCAGTTATTATAAATTGAGTGGATTAGAGATTTCATGGGTATTTTCAGAGCTAGACAATCACAATAATCATCTAATTGAATATTGAGGTATGTCTTCCCCACCATCAATCAGCCAGGGAATGAGTCACCAGGGAGAAATTGTGGATGTGTGCCCTAGGGTATTCTCAGAATAAATACCTTAGTATTGTACCAAACTTTAAAAAGCATGTATTTGAGAGTCATCTCCATGCCCAGGCCACTATATAACCTTGAGCATAATATCAATTTAAAAAAAAACTAATAGGAGCCACAATTTACCAAGTACTTCTTATAGGACAACCATGAGCTAAGTGCTTTGTTATGTGCATTCTGTAATTTAAGCCTCAGAATAGCCTATAAGAGAGAAGCTATTTTTATTCTCTTTTTTTATACATGAGAAAACCAAGGCACAGAGAGGTCACACAGAAGACAGAAGAGCTGGAATATAAACTTTGGACATTTCAATAGAAAGCTCATTGTCTTAAGTGTATGTGATACCACCTTGTCCCGCTCTGAACCAAGGAAAGCCTGAAAGTGTTTCCAAGGGCCCATGTCTCTCTTTGGTTCTTACCTTTTGGCAAAGGGTCTCTGCCTTTCTAAGGTGCTTAGCCTGATTTTCAAGTTTATGTTTATTTGGTCTGGAAAATACAGTTCTTCTCCTCATGGCCTCTCTTAGACTTTTACCTTTTGGCCAAGGGTGTTCTCTGATCAAAGAGTGGGCATCTACAACCTAGTCAGCCTTCTAAAAATGGCTATTTTCCCTACTTTCCACACACCTACACCACCTTGGCTTGGTCACTAGAGTACCCACTCTTACCTAGGCACCTTTGCTCCCACCATTCTTTGCAGTTATTTACCCCAAATCTCTAAACACTAATTCTTCTTTCAAGATATAACTCAAACACAACCTCCTGCAGGAAGCCCTGAAGCTCTCCTTGACCACCCTTTCCCTAGTCTTATCATAATTTGGCTCTTAATTATACATTTCATGATGTGAGTTTCCTAAAGTATTGTATCTTGTTCATCTCTACTTCCCCACCACAGTGACTAGTACTATGCCACAATGACTAGCACAAAGCTAAAGAAGTCACAGATGACCAGCTCAGTCAATAAGTATTGATAAAAAGACTCAGGAGAGCCTTCCTAAGGCCATTGTGTCCTCAGCTTATGTCTTGACAGTGACAGGCAGCATATTCCCTACCTTGCAGCTAAGGAGCTCCTCAAGACTCCATTCTTGTTTTACTTTGTCCTATGAGATAAGAAACAGATACCCCATGACTTCCCCTATTTAGAGTATTTGCATGGCTTGGGCTCAAGTAGAAAAACTCATTTCTATATAAATTGGCCTCCCTTCTTGTAGGTGAAATAGATGTGGTCTGAGCTGGGAGCAAAGTTTATGCCTAGAGCAGCTCCAAGGCACTTGGGGCTAATTTGGAAGCTTCATTCTAACTGACTGGGCTTCCTGTGCCTCTAGCCTCTGAATTCAGAGTGGTGAAGTCAGCTACACAGTTTTTCTGCGGCAGATGTAGTACAAGTTACAAAACACTTGGGACCTACACATGTATTTGATTTTGCTAGGGCAAGGAAAGTGGGATGATTACAGAGGTTATGTGAATGGAGAAAACACTGAGAAAGACTGATTATCTACAAAATTAATGGAAGAGAGCTGTCTGGGAAAACACTGAACTTAAAATCTTATTCTTCTCCCTTCCAGATGAACCCAAATAATTGTCATCTTTTTTTTTTTTTTTTTTTTTTTTTTTTTTTTTTGAGACTGAGTCTCGCTCTGTCACCAGGCTGGAGTGCAGTGGCGTGATCTCAACTCACTTCAATCTCTGCCTCCCAGGTTCAAGCAATTCTCCTGCCTCAGCCTCCCGAGTAGCTAGGACTACAGGCACGTGTCACCATGCCCAGCTAATTTTTGTATTTTTAGTAGAGACAGGGTTTCACCATGTTGGCCAGGATAGTCTCAATCTCTTGACCTTGTGATCCACCCAACTCGGCCTCCCAAAGTGCTGGGATTACAGACATGAGCCACCGCACCTGGCCATAATTGGCATCTTTAAACAACTTGTTAATTAGTTAATATGTGCCAAACACTTCATTATGCACTTTGAAGAGGGTGAAGCTAAAGAAGTCACAGCTTCAATTCTCAAGTTGTCTTGTGAGAATCCTCTTTTGAGTTTCTCCTCTTAGATGGTGTGGTTGAACCTGCCCCTTCCCTCCATCCATTCTGTCTGCCTACCAAAAGCTGTGTTTGCAACAACCTTCCAAAATAGTAAAGTTCAAAGTCTAATTCAGCTTTTGGTCCAGGTCAGTTATCTGAACCTAACGGAAATCTCCTGTAGCTTTGGCATCTTATTTTCTCTCTCTAACACTGAATGAGTTTGAACTTGTGTAGGAAATCTGGATGTGTTTTTACTTTCTATGATATCTCTTTTCAGTGCTTCAGTCAGGGACATTATGGTAGAGTGGAAGAAGCATGAGGCTCTGGAATCAGAAAGATAAAAGTCAGATTCCTGGTTCTGCCACTTATAAACTGTGTGACATTAGGTGGGTCACTTAACCACCCTAAATTTCAGTCTTCTTCTCTGTAGTGAGGATGTGGCATCTACCACACAGAGGTAATTCAAGGAGCTCATGCTTGTAAAGCACCTACTGTAGATGCTAGAACCTAACAAGGGCATTATAAATAATTCCTTAACCCCCTTTTCTCCTTCCCCTAATCTTTTTTTTCTGTCACATTTTGAAGGGGGGGAGGTAAATTAAATTTGTGTGTATTGAGGTTCAAATGGAAAGCACTTTGTAAACTGTAAGGTGCTACAGAAAAGTGTACTAGATGGCCATGATTTTTTGACATTAAATTTATTTGTTTTTCCTCCTACCTCTTGGACTACTCCTTTTCTGGCTCTTCTAGCTTTATTGCTTTTCACTTCCTTCTGCTAGCCCCTTGATGGTGCCTGTTTCCCAAGTTTCTGATTTTTTTCTCTCTTAGTGAACTGATTTTGTATACTAGCTTCAACTGTCACCCCAGCACCTATAAATCAGGGGTGAGGCCTACCTCACTAGGGTGCTGAAAGGAGCCAAAGATCCTGAATACCAAGCCCTCAGAAAATGGTAAAGCACTGTAAGTATCTTAATTGTCAGCATTATCACAACTACAAATGGCAAAGCTGGGTGGAGTTGCCCAAAAAACATGATGTGGAAAGGAGCGTCCAGATTTGGAGTCAGAAATCCTGAGCTCAAGCCCCTCATTAACTCCGATGTGAGTTATAACCATAATAACTCATATTTATATAGTGCATTACAGCTGAAAAGTGCTTTCACATATATTCTCTCATTGATCCTCTTAATTGGTTTCTCTGTTCCAGTCTCTCAATGCTCCAATCCTGCCAGCTAGAGTAAACTTCCAAAAACACAGGCCTGATCATGTTGCAGCCATATTCTAAACCCTTCAAGGGCTCCATACTACTGGTCAAATAAATTATGGTATATTCATAACAATATAATGTCATGCAGCCATGAAAAAGAAGGAAGCAGCTTTATATGTACTTATTTGGAACAATCTTTAAGATACGTTAAGTGAAATAATAATAATAAGATGCATAATGAAGAATAGAATATGCAACTGTTCATATTTTAAGCAAGGGGGCAACATACATATATTACTGTGTAAATATGGGGAAGGAAACCGAAAAACTTGGGGGTCAAAGATAGGCCATATTTTTCTTCAATGTTTATATTTATTACAATATACATGTCACCTTGCCAAAAAACAAGATTAAAACTGCCAATGAATTCCACCATCCTTATGATTAACTTCCTTATTATTTTTTATCTCTTCTGAAAACTTCTAAAATCTGACATTAAAGGACTTATTATGGCTGATTTTCAACTATTTCCTTTTGTGTATTCTATATTTTGTGCAAATTAGACTAGTCAATATTCCCCATATGCCTAACAATTTGTAGCCTCCATGCCTCTGTTCATGCATGGAAGGCCTCCAGGTATCTAAAAACAGAGAGTACGTGTCCTTGAGTATTTTCTTAAAATTATTCTATCTCTAGCATCCATTCCTTATTCCTAGGACATGGGTCCAGCACCCTTCTCAAATTGCTATCTCCCACCAAACCTGTCCCAGTTAGTTCTTTATCCTTCTTAAAATCTAGAATCATAGTTCTACATTATACTTCTATTAATGAAGTTAATATCACTCTAGATTTTTGTTTTTTGGATCTGCATCACTTTTGACACAAACTAACATATAATTAAACAAACCAGTCCCCCATAAGTCTTTTTCATATGTGCTGCTTTTAATTCATATCTCTCGTATTTTGTGTGGATGATTTGAGGGGCTCATGTAAGATCCAAATAAATTTTATTTTTTTTTTAGAATTGGTTAATGCCTTCAATTTGCTGAGATCTTTGAGGAACATCCTGGTTTTATAATCTAAAGTGATCAATGGACCTTCCAAATTGTGGTGTCCACATAATCCACTGCCCATTATTATGTACCCTTAAGTCTAAGAAAAAAACATGTTTCAAATTAGTAGAGTTCAAATTAATAAGACTTTATTGTATTGTGCCTGAGGGTTACCTTTTGTGAATCTCTCTAGGAAGGTCAAGTGAAAATTTAAAGGAAAGTTTAGTAAAAGTCATCATACCGTGTTACAATTTCATATTGAAGACATGAAAGTGGAGAGTATAAGTGAATTATCAAAAAGGCAGAAACTAAGTTTCAGCAGAACAGGAAATATAAGGTTATACTCAAATGTATAGCAAATGTGTAAGCCCTAATTGTCTAGCATGTGGCAAATGTTCAATGATGCTTGGAAGGATGGGTAGATGAATGCTTTCAGAGCCTGCAACAGAAGAATACTTCCAAACAACATTGATTAATTTTCTAATGGCACTTGCTGCGCTGCTGGACCTTGTGCAAAACAACAAGTACAACAACACAACTCTATAAATATGATCCAACTTCTGAAACACATACTGACAAAGCAAACACCAAGATTCCAGAGAACGACATCAACCAATATGTGAATGAACAGCAAAGAGTTCCCATCATCTACAAGTCAAAGAAGAAGTTTGTGGCTTTCCTGCTTGTTATTAATATCTAGAGAAAATGGCTTGAATTTCTGTTCTATGGATAGTCTAATGACCTTCTCAAGATTTCAGTTACTTGCTAAGGAATTTACATTTCTATTGTCACCTTTGGCCTCGTTTGTGCATCTGCTGATTTCCATTTTCCTTCTCTACATCTTGCAGCATTCTTTTGTATTTTTAAGTCACTTGGCTTTTTTCTTGATACCCACAAAACAAACTATTACACAAAATTTTTAATACGTGTGACACTTTGCTGAATATTTGGGGAAATGATGAAGGTTTACATCATAGAAAATCAGACAATTTTAACAGAACATTTACTCATTTTTCTTCTTAAAAAGCTTCTAGATTATTTCAACTAACTCAGGTCTAGCTCCATCCAATTTGATTCCCTTCTTCCTTTTCACTGCCCCTTACTCTGACCAGCAATTCAACTCAAAACAGTTCCTCCACTTGTTTTGTTGAGCAATCCTGCTCTTTCCAACCTCTGTTTAGATGCACATTGTATGTACAAAGAGCTAAAGTAATCTGCATGACAGTGGGTCACCCACACAGGGTCTGCCCTTTCTTCCTCTCCTCTGGAAGGATATTTACTTTTCAACCAATGTGACTTACATTAACCAATCCTCAAACCCAATCACACCCCTCTCCATATTAGTTACCCATTGCTGCATAACAAATTACTCTGAAATATAGCAGTTTAAAGCAACAAACATTGATTATGTCACACAGTTTCTGTGGATCAGCAACCCAGTAGTGTCTTAGTTTTTGTTCAGGATCAGTCAAGATGTCAGTGGGTACAAGCATCTGGATCCAAAGCATCTTCAAAGTTCACTCATGTGATTGTTGGAAGGTTTCAGTTTCATACACGTTTTTGGTGGGAGACCTCAGTTCCTCACCACATGGGTCTCTCTACAGGCTGCCTAAATATCCTTCTGACAGGGTAGCTGGCTTTCCCCAGAGGAAGTGATCTGGGAGAGCAAGCCATTGAGCTTAGTGTCTTTCATAAACTAATCTTGAAAGTGACATATCATCATTTGTACCCAGGACTAGCTCCATAATTACATAATTCTATAGAATAAAAATGTGGGGTCATCTCTATTTCAAAAAGTAAGGAAACTGAGTTAGTAAAGGTACTAAAATATAAATCATTTTTCTTTCTTCCGTTCTCTCTCTCTCAGCTTGTCATGGTATTTTTTGTTTAATATTTAATGTTCTAAGGACAGAAAAGCTAAAACTAACCTTTTAGCCTGATTTTCACCATTCATCTTTATATTGTGCAATACTAGTTTAAAATTCAAATATCAGAGTATTTATTTCATATGAATAATCACAAAATTTGCACAATTTGTATTTTGAGGGTGCCTTCAGATGGCCAGAAGTGGTAAAGAAAAACCATATTTGAGAAGGCTGGAAAGAGGGCTCCCCAGACACAAAGCAGCCTTGAGGGGAGTGTTCCCTTGGACACAGAAACAACATGTGGGACAAGTAAAATGTACAAACCCTCAATGCAGGAGCACACACAATTGCTCAGGTCTTTTGGATGCACTTTTCTCCTCTAATTTACCCTATTACCACTAGCCACAGGAGAATCAACATGCTGCAGACACTGGGGAATTAAGCCATGTGCCTTCCCCTTCCCATAGGTATACCACTTCAATCAAAGTAGATGGGTAAACACAAAGAGTATTGCATCACCCCGACAAGGACACACCAGGTAACTGCATCAATCATGGGCATGGAGGCTTGCCCCAGCTGAGTCATAGCCTCTGGACAGCTTCCCACCAGAGTTTTTATGGTGCTGACAGCCCAGGGTCACCTGGACACCACCATGCCCAACTCTAAAATGTCATGGACCACACACACCCAATCCCAATATTCCTCACACCTGCTACCAGGCCACCACTATAGGCAGAAAGTGGCAGCAGCAGCTAGTAGGGGGAATGGAAGGGGAGTCCAAGTGGGGCCCTGGGTGCCAGAAGATGGCAGGAGAGTAAGAGGCTGACAACCTATTTTATAGTCAGAAAAACAGCAGGAGATGGGACTTCATCCTTGGCCAATGCTTCATTTTCCTATTGGACTTTACTTACAAAACATGAATTCAAAGTTAAATTATTAAGAAATTTTGGACAGTGACTCCAGAGTATTAAAGCCCCAAGTTTAAGGTCCTTTTGAGACCTGGCTCTGTGTGGTTGCATCACCCACAGATAGTGAAGCCAAAACTGTTTCTATCTTATGCAATTAGTCATATAGACCAGCTCTACTACAATGTGGGAGGGTTTTAATACTAAGAAATGGGAATATTGAGGACTGTGAAGTTTTCTTAACTCTCTTCTCCCCATTCTAGATAAGGTTTGCTGCCACACGTATGTGCTCTTCAGCACCCTGTGGAGCTTACATTTATGATAACACTTAGTCTAATGTACTTAAATTATCTATTTATGTGTCTATCTTCCATGAACAAAATGTGAACTCTTTGCAAGCAGAAACTTTAGATTATTCATATCTGTGTTCCCAATACCAGTACCATGCCTGGTGCAATGTTTAGGCTCAATTAATGTTGTTGAGTGAATGAATATTGTCCCTATGCATCTCAAATTTTAATTGTAATGTAATCTAAGCTCTGTGATAATATAGTAGAATGATTCTGTAAAGCTTAAGACCTGAAAATGTTTTAAAATTTTAATATGCATTTAAGATAGATGTGGCTGTTATTTGTTATTTAAGAAGCTGAAATTGAGTTCACGGGAATTGTTCCCTTCACTCAAACTGGCCCAACCCAGTGGCATTTATTACAATATATAGCAGGATGGGGTTCCATGGAGCTAAAGGCCATGACAGGGGTAGTGAGATGGTAAATACGAGGTAAACTGAGCCCAGCCAGATACCAGAAGACAATAGTCAAGATGGCAAATCTTAACCAGCTGAGTGAGAGCAGAAATAAGAGGAGAGCTGAGATTAGGCATACAGTCATGAGACAAAAGCCCAATTCTGAACAAGAATTAGGAAGAGACCAAAATGCGATTCTAAAGGAGAAAATACATGATTCAAGCTGGCAGAGATAATTTTGAATGAAAGGTCTGTGAATTTGCAGAGAAATTATTCTGTAGTGGTATAGAGTCTTTGGAAGGCCAGGAGACCCACCTTCTTAGACAACCTTCTGCTAGCCTTAAAGGCTTTTACACTTGAGAACAAAATTATCACATGCACACACACAAAGAAACCCATAACAAAGCAACTGATCTAGATCCAGATCTCTAGAAAACCCATTCCGTTGACAACTGTTTCTCTGGATCAATGGGCCTGTAGCAAACATTGTTGGCTGTCTACCTAGCATCTTTTTCTCACTTTCTATGCCTCTGAGGTCCTTTCAGTATCCACCTCTCCCTCCAAGCATTCCTGTGCTTAGGGAAAATTTAGTCCAACCTGAGCTCTCCCCTCAGCCTTAACCTCAGTACTAGGGTCAGGGTAGACTAGTCTGTGGGTATTAACCCCCTTGCACCAATAGTCAATTCAGAGCTCCAGGCTTAAGACAACAAATGAGTGGCATTCTCCTAACCATTAACAGTTGGCTCAGGAATGATCATGTGATTCAATTCATGTCAACACAATGTGAGAAAAGTTTTGATGGAAACTTTTGTGGAAAAAAAAATTTCAAACAATGGCTATACCCTTTCTTTTTGTGGACATTATGGGCCTGGAAGTGCTACAACCATTTTGCCTCCATGAAAAAATCCAGACTGAAGGAAATATCAACATGCAGAGCTGAAACAACTAAGGAACCTGCAGAAAAACAGAAACAGAAAAGATTCTAAGAAGACTCCAAAGTTTTCAGCTGAAGTGGTGGGGTGATTGGTGCTTCCATTTGCAAAAATGAGAAAAGAAGAAGTTGCATAGGTTTGAACAAAAGATGGTCAATAGGACTTGGGATAGGTTGAATTTGAATAAATAATTATTATCAAAATTAAGTTAATATATTGGTTTGAGGGCAGTACCAAAGATTGGATACAGCCAATCCTGAAGCCAACTTTATTATACTTCTACTGAAAGGACCAGGGTTTATATTGGTACAAACGAATAGAAGTCTTTAATTAAACCTCTTTCAGTTTGCTTTCTACTACTTGAAGCTAAATTATCATACTTCTTACCTAGTCTGACAAGACATTTTCTTTCTTTAGGTCCTTATATGGCCTGCAGGACATTTAGGTATCCAGTAGCATGACATGCTGCTATTGTTGCCAATCTAGCACCAAGTCCCATACTGAAAGAAGCCACATAATATGGAAAAAAAATTTTTGTATCCACTTCATAGGGCTTTCTTTCCCCTTTAACAGCCCCAGCTCTGAAATCAAACACTGGACGTCCAACCATAAAACCATGCCTGCCATCTGTCTTGTCTGTTTTTGTTACTATAACAGAATACCTGAGATTGGGTAATCTATAAAAAAAAGCAATTGATTCCTCACGGTTCTGAGAGCTGAGAAGTCCAAGATCAAGGAATCAGCAGCTTCAACATCTGAAGAGAAGGTTGAGACATTGAAGCTGCTGATTCCTTGATCAGGACCAAGATGCCACCTTGTTCCAAGATGGCACCTTATTGCTGTGTCCTAACATGGCAGAAGGGCAAGAGAAGGCAAGAGGGAGAATGATGGCATTAATTCCACCCGTAAAGGCAGAGCCCTCATGGACTAATCCCCTCTCAAAAGTCCCAGCTGTTATTATTGTTACAAAGGCAATTAAATTTCAACATAAATTTTGGAGGCGACAAACAACAGCAGCATCCTTTCTGTTTCATGTAGATAATTAAATGAGGCATCTTTTATGTCATTTGCTTATTGTCAGTACCCTCTTTCTTGAGGGAACTGAAACTGATTCAAAAGGAACAGTTCAACATGAAATAGCCAATAGTACCTTCTCTCTATTGCAGTATATGGTCTTTCAATCCCTAACTTGTGTACTTCACTTTCTCAAAAAGGTAAATTACTTTTCTGCCAAGGTCTTAGCTGGGGAGGAGGCATGGGGCCAGGGGAAGATATAGGGGTGACCAGTGAACCTAATATTTGAAAGTTCTTATCCACGAGGTCTGGCTATCAGCCCCAGAAGTAGCCAGTCAATTTTGCTTTTCATAAAGCTTCTTAATTTTTCTTGGAATGAGACCCCTGTCAAGAAACTCCACTAGCACTCTGGATAATTCAAAATATATCTGAATAGGCTAAAAGTGCCCAGACAACTTCTAGGGATATTGACATGAATGTCATGGTTCTTCATCTCAAGAGGTTCCCAACAAAGTGGAAGAGATGCCAAATAAACAGAAAATGCTAGGTATACTTATTAAAATAATCCCGACTTGAGGCAATGAGTCAGCTGGATGCAAAGGCTGAGAGTGAGATAGCTAAATATAGGAATCTACAGGTAGAAGATACAATGGACTGGACTTAAAGACTGAAAAGATATAGAAAATGAAGAAAAGGAATGATTCCCAACAAACTTCAAAATTTCTAGTCTAAATGATAGAGTGTTGCTGTTAATGTCAAAAATAAAGAAACTTGGAGGGAGAACAGGTGGGGAGAAAACATGACTAATATGTGTGCTGCATTAAAAGTAAACAACCATGTACTGAATATCTACAATGAGCCAGACAAGATTATCCAAGTTTTGAGGCCCTATCCTAACCCTCCTCTAACTGTGCTTCTATCCATAGGGTGAAGAGTTCATAAACCCAAGGAACAAGCTCATTAAGAGTCTACATTTCTGTTTTCAGGCCACATTCCAGGGATCTACACATGTCTATGGAAAATTTCTCTCGTCTTGGGCAGAGCCAGTCATGAGAAGAGAACATGAATGAACTGCAGGCTAGGGGATAGCTTTCCCACATACCAGCACATTTTGGCATGGCACTCAAATGCGTCCAAGAATTCTATATTTAAATATGGTCTTCAAAGTTGTTAGAAAAATGTATTTGTCAAGGTAGGAAGCTAGCATCTTGTTTAACAGTTAGTCAACTTGATTGACTTCTAAATATTTGAACGAATAATTTGTGGGCTTCTATTTGTTATCCTTGCCCTAGGCCCTACTGCTGTTAGAGACAATGAACCTTTTCTGCCAGTGACTGTGCACATATATGATTTAATTTAAGCCTCATAACCAAACATCCAGTGTGGCTAAGATTTACTAAGCCATTTTAAATTTGTACAACACAGGAGATTTTGAAGAACAAGTGTTATTAACACTGTCAAGTACTGCAAAAGACTAGAAGAAAAAGGTGATCAAAACAGGACACTGGACTTAACAAGAAATCTTTAAACACAATCTTCAAGGATGGAGGTTTAGTGCATTGGTGGAGTTCAAAGCTAGATTGTATAACAGGAAAAAAACAGTGGTGGAAAAAAAGAGACATCAAGTTAAGGCTTCCCCTTGAAGTCAGGCAACAAAAAGAGGAAGTATGATGTCTGCCTAACACAGAGGATGTAACCATAGTGAAGACAGAGAACTGAACGTTATTGTGAGGAGAAAATGTGATGACACTGGAGGAAATGGAGGTGAATATCAGAAGATATATCTCAGCATGGTGTGAGAACGTTCAACAAACACTGAATGCCTTATCTGCTCTAGGTCATGAAGTCTTTAGAGATGTGCAAATAAATGGCATGATCCCAGATCTCAGGCCAAATGGGAAGTCTACAAGTTCTCACAAGTCAAGCAGGAAAAATAACAAGTAACTAGAAAATTACAGTAGCGGCTAATGAATGTTTTAATGGGGATAAGCATGAGTAAAAGGGGAGTGAGCTGGTTTGTAAATAGGCTACTCTAGCAAGGCAATGCTGGTTAGTAAAAAGATAATATATTTGACATTTTGCTAAAGAGTTGGGAAGTTGAGGAAACAGTTGTAGTGTGATAGAACACTGAATGGCCAAATTTGCAAAGTTCTTACCCAACTTTACAAATCCTGCTGGTGTAGATATACTACAAAGCAGAAGTGACAGGTTAAATTTCAAGATTATTTTATATTTGTATGCATTCCCTCAACAAATACTTACAAATTAGGTCCTGCTGAGGGGAGGCTTGCCCTTTAGTGAGGCAAGGCAGGCTACAAAACATTCAAAAACCAAATGGTGTAATCAATGCCCTCAGAGGAGAGTGCAGGGAACTGTGGGAGCCCACAGAGACTTGAGGAGCCCTAATACTTGCATTTCTCCTTATTCACATATGCTTCCCTGCTAATGACCAGGTAATCTGAGGCAAGTTTTCTCCCAGCTACACCCTGAATTCTTTGAAATAAACCCAATACAGGTACTTGAGTGTATTTCCTGAGTTGACCTCTGGGACGATAGCTACTAGGCTGTGCCCTTAGTGCTACATAGATTACATAAACTGGAGAGCTGCAAGAGTTAAGAAACTGAATTCAGCTACCTCTTGGGGAGCTGAGTGACTATTCTAAAGAGAGATGAAGTGGATAGAAATTCCTGTATTCAGAATTAGTGATCAGGGTTACAAATCTGGAGCTGAGCTGTGAGTGTTAGGTTCCCTACCTATAAAATAGGGGTAACAGTCTTCACCCTACCTACTGCAGAGATCTTTGTGGATGTTGAGTGAAATAATTGGTGTGAAAGTAGTTTTCAATGGTGTAATTTAGGGCATATCATTTCCTTGTTGAAAACCCTTCAGTGAGAATAATATTACCTAAAAGGGGTTGTTTTTAGATTCAGTGAAAAAGTAGGTGCCAAAATAAGTGGACTTTACTGTTCCTACCCACTGGCCTGTCCTGCTAGCTCTACCTCCAAACCATATACTGAATCTGAGTACTTCACTCCCTCTTCTCTACCACCTCCCAGGCCTACCCCTGCAGTATTCCAACTGGTCCCTCCACTTGCAATTTGCCCTTCTCCAACATACATTTTAAAATAGCAGTTAAGGGTAATATTTCTTAAAATCTTTCAATACCTTCCCAATGCATTTAGAGCAATAATTAAGTTCTTTCCTATGGTCTACAAAATCCCACCTGTTATAGTCCCTGACACATTACTCTACCTTATTCTTTTTCAATGCTTGTATTACCATCGGAACTTCTTTTTTTTATTTCTCGCCTATATACTTCTCTACAATGTAAGCTTCACAAGGACAAAGACAAGCTGTGTCCCTGGAGCCTACCGATGTCTGGTAAATAAATGTTTGTTGTGTTATTAAATGAATAAAGAACTGAATAAATGTGCCTTCTTATTACCTGAGAAAATTATACCCATCTTTTAGACTGAAGCTAAATGTCACCCCTTCTATAAATGTGCCCCTGATTCTCCTGCTAAAAGTCATCTCCCTTTGAGTCTTTATGTTTATGATTAAGGGGTTGGATTCCTTGCATGATTGTCTGAATTTGTGTGCAGTCCTGACATGCTAAAAAATGCAACTTCAGAGGGTTCTGCTAGGGTCATTTTACTGCAGCCATTTTGCTATTTCTTTTGGTAATGTGATAGGGACTCATTTCTCTAATATTATAGCTTAGGGTAAGCTTCCGCAATCACTGAATTTTTCTGGATAAAGTATATTAGAAACTGCCAGCTTAAATCTAATAGATATCTAATATCTGGCACCCAGAATTAGTTGCATCCTCCAGTAGCCACTTGGTATGAATATAGACCTGAAATTAGCAAATTGTTCAAAGATTAGTCACTTGGATATTTCTATCTTAAAATTTGCAATGAAGCTCTGTTTTAAAAGACACAATTTTTCTACTGTTAGTCACAGTTTGTAAGTACAATTCATCCATAGTTTTAGAGTGAGTTAATATTGCCTTTTGTCCTGATTTTTATTTTTCATAAACTTTTATTTTTATTCATTTTCTTCAGCTGGTATTCTTCTTCACATACTAGAAAGAGACAAATAAGCCTAAAATTACAGCAGGAAAAAATGTACAATTACAGCATCTCAGAAGTGGAAAGAGTCTTAGATCTAGTAGTGCAATCTTCCACAAAATAGAGGAATCATTTCAACATTATCCCTGTGAGATGCGTCATCCAACCTTTGCATATCTCTGGTGTTGAACAGCTCACTATTTCCAAAAGCAGCTTCTTTCATCTGATGACAATTCTTCCTTCTATTGAGCTGAAACCAGCCTCCCTGTGGCTTTCACCTACAAGTCCCAGCTCTACCACCTGCAAACACACAGTCCCTGTCTTAGTCCATTCATGCTTCTATCACAATATACCATAGACTGGGTAATTTATAAATGAAATAAATTTATTTCTTACAGCTATGGAACCTGGGAAGTAAAATATCCAGTTGCTGGCATTTAGTTCCTAGTGAGGGCACTCTTGCTGCATCCTCATATGGTGGAAGGGATTTTTTAAGGCAAAAGGGGGATAAATGATGTGCTCTCACATAATGAAGAGCAGAAGAGAACAAACCGACTCTCCCAAGCCCTTCCTTAAGAGCCCCAATCTCAGCGATAAGAGTTCTGCCCTCATGACTTAATTTTATCGCCTAAAAGCTCTACCTTTTAATACTATCACATTGGCCATTATGTTTTAGCACATGAATTTGGGAGGACACATTCAGGCCACAGCAGACCTTGTCTTCTTCGTTACAATGACAGCTCTTCGGAGGTCTGAAGACGGAGACCACATTTCTGAACCTTCTCTTTCTTCTCTAGGCATGCTGCTCCAGCTCCTTTCAACCACTATTTATGGAACCTGAAATCCAGCTTTGTCTCCAGCCTACTTACTCCTATCCAGTTAGTCTGTTTCTCCTTTAAAGTGCACAGTCAGGTTAGAAGAGATCAGAACCATCATAACCCACTTTCAGCCATTTTGGCTTAAGGCAAAGACAGACTGGATGTTCATTTAACATGTTTTACTTTCCTGCTTGTCACGCACTTAACTACATTTTCTAGCCTCTCTTGTTGCTGCGTATAGCCATTTAACTGAATTCTAGGAAATGGAATATAGGTAGAAGTGATAATTCACCACTTTTAGCCTTGGCATGTAAATACTTCCATATTTTTTCTAATCTTCCAGCTGAGTATTAACTCCCATAAAGATCTTGAGAGTCACACTTTGAGCATGGCAGAACCTCCAGTCAGTCTGAATCCCTCAGTAACTGTGTGAAGATCAGTACCTTTCTCTGTCACCACTTATTAAACTTTCTATTGGTGAAAAAAATTCACTGTGTTAAGTGACTGAGGTTTTAGAATTATGATTCAAAGCAGTTGTTGTTACCTTAGCTAAACAAACACACAATAGCTTTTATAGCTACACTTTCCACTGCTGAGCTTTTCTGAAACACCTTCTTCCCTTACTTTTCCTCACATACCAATGCCACCCCAGAATTTCCCATTCTGTGCCTGTGCAATTGTCAAGACCAAATGGCAGCTTCACATAAACCTCTCTTCAATTCCATCTGGTTCTACTCAATCTACCATTGTGTAGCCTGTGGACATGTTCTGGGATCCTGAGTGTATTTTCTAATTCATTTATTCTACACTCCCTGCCCCAGTTTTTTATCATCTGCAATTGTTTTATGCTATTAAAGTCCTCACCAAAAATTATTAATAAAAATATTGAGTCAGAGTTAAGGACCAACACCTGCAGCACACTTTAAAAAACCTCCAACTAGGTTGACATAATTGACTCTGCTTGGTTATGAGGCTTTAGCCATTCACAAATCTTCGCTACACTGTCAAGTGCATTCTTTCTCAATCATATCAATAGAAATATCCTTAGATATTTGCCAAACACTAGACCAAAATTGAGATACTCTCTAAACAACAGACTATATTAAACTTTTAGTCTGGTAATCTGTGTAATAAAACCAATGACTTAAGTTCAGTGTAAAATGCATAGAGAGTGCATTGCTGCCTCTTATTGTTGATCACTTACCTTTATGAGATTGCAAAACTGTCACATATCTATATTTCAAAATTAATTTAAAGTAATTAAAACATTGATCTGGGACTGAAGAGATCTGTATTCTGGTTTGTCACCACTACCTGACTGTGCGACCATAAACAATTCCTTTCACTTCTGCATCCATAAGCTATGAAATAGAGTGGATATAATAAATAGCTTATAAGGTCTCCTACAACTTTAGTTCTGCTTTCCGTCAATCAATTTGGTGTATGTAGTACCAAATATGTTTGAGGGATGTTTTTCATTTTTAATTTTACCTGTCAATGGTATTTTTCCATATTATAAAATATTTACTATAAAGGCTCTCTCATGCTGGGGTTAAGGCAGGTATCTGTGAACATAGATGAATAAAAAGTACATTTTTTACTTTTACTAACGTTTAACTGAAACTTAGCTCTCCCTTCAATTATGAATGTAAGCAACAAATCAGAATAGTTTTGATAATGTCTGAGTTCTATAGTCAGTAGAAATTACAAAATGGTCACATCACACTACTGTTGTTGCACATATCTTGGAATATCATGTTTGCTCATCACTACTTTGAAATTGTGGTGGTTATTAAACCTATAATTAGATCTTGCTATTTAGTGCACTAATAAAGAAATATATGTATATTTCTTTATCACAAACTTTGTTTTGTACAATTTGATAAGTACTTTTAAATACAATTTGTTTTCATTGTAATCTTCTATATTTTATTTTATCCATTCAAAGTATTATTCTAAGAAGGGTCAGTACATTATATCAGACTGCCAAAAGCATCTATGTTGCAAAGTAACTACAGAAATGACCTACTAGGTTAATGCTCAGTTCATGCTAAGGAGAACAAAACAAATGCTCAAAGGGAATTATACAAAATAAAACAAAATGGGCCAACGTTCAAATTGCTTTTTGTTCATCTTCCAATGTTACCAAATTTCTCACTTCTCCACCAGGACCTAATTGTCTTCATGATGCCCATGAGTGTCTTTACCCAGACAGGGTTGTGTACAGTAGACATCTATAAAAGAAAAGAAGGAAAAATAAAAAATAATACTGAGCACTTACTATGTGCCAAACACTTTCATAGAAACTATGTCAATGACTTATTTCCTTATCTTTAAGAGGAAGTATGATTTTTCCCATCTTACGGTTGAAAAAATGATGCTGAGAAATTTTATGGGCTCTGCACAGTATGACACAACTTATGAGTGAATGAGATGAAATTAGACCCTAATGATTTTTAAATATGAAGTCTCCTTCCATATATTCAGGCTGTATTTTATTACTAAAAATAATCAATACTTGACCATCTCCAATGTATGTTTGAAGCCCTTCTCTCAATGAACATTACCAGCATCTCTAAAAGGTCAATATTTTCTCCATTTTACACATGCAGAAAATGGAAAATTGATTCCCAGGCAAGACGGCTGAATAGGAAGAGCTCTGGTCTGCAGCTCCAGGCAAGACCAATGCAGAAGGCAAGTGATTTCTGCATTTCCAACTGAGGTACCTAGTTCATCTCATTGGGACTGGTTAGACAGTGGGTGCAGCCCATGGAGGGTGAACAGAAGCAGGGTGAGGTGTCATCTCATCCAGGAAGTGCAAGGGGTCAGGGAACTCCCTCCCCTCGCCAAGGGAAGCTGTGAGGGACTGCTCCATGGGGGACAGTGCTATCCGGCCCAGATACTATGTTTTTCCCACAGTCTTCACAACCTACAGACCAGGAGATTCCCTTGGGGGCCTACACCACGAGGGCCCTGGATTTCAAGCACAAAACTGGGTGGCTGTTTGGGCAAATGCAGGAGTATTTTCTCATACCCCAGTGGCACCTGGAACACCAGAGAGACAAAACTGTACACTTCCCTGGAAAGAAGGCTGAAGCCAGGGATCCAAGTGGTCTTGCTCAGTGGATGCCACTCCCTCAGATCCCAACAAACCAAGGTCCACTTGCTTGAAATTATCGCGGCCAGCACAGCAGTCTGAAGTCAACCTGGGATGCTCAAGGTTGGTGGGGGGAGGGGCATCCGCCATTACTGAGGCTTGAGTAGGCAGTTTTCCCCTCAGAGTGTAAATAAACAAAGCCACCAGGAATTTCAAATTGGGCGGAGCCCACCACAGCGCAGCAAAGGCTCTGTAGTCAGACTGTGTCTCTAGATTCCTCCTCTCTGGACAGGGCAACTCTGAAAGAAAGGCAGCAGCCCCAGTGAGAAGCTTGTAGATAAAACTTCAATCTTCCTGGGACAGAGCAGTTGGGGGAAGGTGCGGCTGTAGGCGCAGCTGCAGCAGACTTAAACATACCTGCTTACTGGCTCTGCAGAGAGCAGCGGATCTTCCAGCACAGTGCTTGAGCTCTGCTAAGGGACAGACTGCCTCCTCAAGTGGGTCGCTGACCCCTGAGCCTCCTGACGAGGAGACACCTCCCAGCAGGGGTCGACAGACACCTCATACAGGAGAGCTTCAGCTGACATCTGGTGGGTGCCCCTCTGGGACAAAGCTTCCAGAGGAAGGAGCAGGCAGCAATCTTTGCTGTTCTGCAGCCTCCGCTGGTGATACCCAGGCAAACAGGATCTAGAGCGGACCTCCAGCAAACTCCAGCAGACCTTCAGAAGAGGGGCCCGACTGTTAAAGGAAAATTAACAAAGAGAAAGCAATATCATCAACATCAAAAAAAAAAAAAGGATGAAGAGGAGAAAACCCCATTTGAAGGTCACCAACATCAAAGACCAAAGTTAGATAAATCCACGAAGATGAGGATAAAACAGCACAAAAAGGCTGAAAATTTCAAAAATCATAGTGCCTCTTTTCTTCAAAAGGAACACAACTCCTCACCAGCAAGGGAAAAAAACTGGATGAAGAATGAGTTTGATGAATTGACAGAAGTAGGCTTCAGAAGGTGGGTAATACCAAAATCCTTTGAGTTAAAGGAGCATGTTCTAACCCAATACAAGGAAGCAAAGAACCTGATAAAGGCTTACAGGAAATGCTAACTAGAATAACCAGTTTAGAGAAGAATGTAAATGACCTAATGGAGCTTAAAAACACAGCACGAGAACTTCGTGAAGCATACACAAATGTCAATAGCCGAATCGATCAAGCAGAAGAAAGGATATCAGAGATTGAAGTTCAACTTAATGGAATAAAGCAAAGCATGAAGACAAGATTAGAGAAAAAGGAATGAAAAGGAAAGAACAAAGCCTCTGAGAAATATGGGACTACATGAAAAGACCAAACCTACATTTGATTGGTGTACCTGAAAGTGACAAGGAGAATAGAACCAAGTTGGAAAAAACACTTCAGGATATTATCCAGGAGAACTTCCTCAACCTAGCAAGAAAGGTCAACATTCAAATTCAGGAAACACAGAGCACACCACAAAGATACTCCTCAAGAAGAGCAACCCCAAGACACATAATTGTCATATTCATCAAGGTTGAAATGAAGGAAAATATGTTAAGGGCAGCCAGAGAGAAAACTCTAGTTAACCAAAAAGGGAAGCCCATCAGAATAACAGCAGATCACTCTGCAGAAACCCTACAAGACAGAAGAGGGTGGGGGTCAATATTCAACATTCTTAAAGAATTTTCAACACAGACTGTCATACCCAGCCAAACTAAGCTTCATAAGTGAAAGAGAAGTAAAACCTTGTACAGACAAGCAAATGCTGAGGAATTTTGTCACCACCAGGCCTGCCTTACAAGAGCTCCTGAAGGAAACACTAAATATGGAAAGGAAAAACCTGTAGCAGCCACCACAAAAATATACCAAAATGTAAAAACCATCAATACTATGAAGAAAGAACATCAACTAATGGGCAAAATAACCAGATAGAATCATAATGACAACATCAAATTTACACATAACAATATTAACCTTAAATATAAATGGGCTAAATGCCCCCAATTAAAAGGCACACACTAGCAAATCGGATAAAGAGTCAAGACCCATCGGTGTGCAGTATTCAAGAGACCCATCTCACATTCAAAGACACACATAGGCTCAAAATAAAGGGATAGAGGAATATTTACCAAGCAAATGAAAAGCAAAAAACAGCAGAGGTTGGAATTCTAGTCTCTGATAAAACAGACTTTAAATCAACAAAGATCAAAAAAGAAAAAGAAGGGCATTACATAATGGTAAAGGGATCAGTACAACAAGAAGAGCTAACTAACCTAAATATATATACATCCAATACGAGAGCACCCAGATGAATAAAGCAAATTCTTAGAGACCTACCAAGAGACTTAGACTCCAACACAATAAAAGTAGGAGATTTTAAGACCCCACTGTCAATATTAGACAGATCAAAGAGATAGAAAACTGAGGATATTCAGGACTGGATCTCGGCTCTGGACCAAGCAAACTTGATAGAAATTTGTAGAAATACCCACACAACATCAACAGAATATACATTTTTTTGCAGCACCACATAGCACTTATTCTAAAATTGATGACATAGTTTGAAGTAAAATCCTCCTCAGCAAATGCAAAAGAATGGAAATCATAACAAACCATCTCTCACACCACAGTGCAATCAAATTAGAACGCAGGATAAGGAAACTCACTCAAACTGGACCCCTTCCTTACACCTTATACAAAAATTAACTCAAGCTGAATTAAATATTTAAATGTAAGACATAAAACCACAAAAACTCTAGAAGAAAACCTAGGCAATACCATTCAGGAAATAGGCATGGGCAAAGACTTCATGACAAAAACACCAAATGCCATGGCTACAAAACCCAAAATTGACAAATGGGATCTATTTAAACTAAAGAGCTTCTGCAAAGCAGAAGAAACTATCATCAGATTGAACAGGCAACCTACAGAATGGGAGAAAATTTTTGCAATCTATTCATCTGACAAAGCACTAATACCCAGCATCCACAAAGAGCTTAAACAAATTTACAGGAAAAAACAACCCCATCAAAAAGTGGGTGCAGAATATGAACCGACACTTCTCAAAAGACATTTATGCAGCCAAGAACCATGTAATAAAAAGCTCATCATCACTGATCGTTAGAGAAATGCAAATCAAAACCACACTGAGATACCATCTCGGTCCAGTTAGAATGGCGATCATGAAAAAGTCAGAAAACAACAGAGGCTAGAGAGCATGTGGAGAAATAGGAACGCTTTTACACTGTTGGTGGAAGCGTAAATTAGTTAAACCGTTGTGGAAAACAGTGTGGCAATTCCTCAAGGATCTAAAACCAGAAATACTATTTGACCTAGAAATCCCATTAATGGATATATACCCAAATGAATATAAATCATTCTATTGTAAAGACACATGCACATGTATGTCCGTTGCAGCACTATTCACAACAGCAAAGACATGGAATCAATCTAAATTCCCATCAATGATAGACTGGATAAAGAAAATGTGGCACATATACACCATGGAATACTATGCAGCCATAAAAAAGGATGAGTTCATGTTCTTGCAGGGACATGCATGAAGCTGGAAACCATCATTCTCAGCAAATTCACACAAGAAAAGATAACCAAACACTGCATGTTCTCACTCATAAGTCGGAGTTGAACAATGAGAACACATGTACCCAAGGAGGGGAGAATCTCACACCAGGTACTGTCAGAGGCTGTGGGGCTAGGGGAGGGAGAGCATTAGGAGAAATGCCTAATGTATATGACATGTTGATGGGTGCAGTAAGCCACCATGGAACCTGTATACTTACATAACAAACCTGCATGTTCTACACGTGTATCCCAGAACTTAAAGTATAATATAAATAAATATATAAAGTATTAAATTGTTGGGAAAAAAAGAAAAAACTCACTCAACACCGCACAACTACAAGGAAACTGAACAACCTGCTCTTGAACGACTACTGGGTAAATAATGAAATTAAGGCCAAAATAAATAAATTCTTTGAAACGAATGAGAACAAAAACACAATGTGCCAGAATCGCTGGGACACAGCTAAAGCAGTGTTTGAGGGAAATTGATAAAACTAAATGCCCACATGAGAAAGCAGGAAAGATCTAAAATCGACACCCTAACATCACAATTAAAAGAACTAGAAAAGCAAGAGCAAACAAATTCAAAAGCTAGCAGAAGACAAGAAATAACTAAGATCAGAGCATAACTGAAGGAGATACACACATACACACAAACACACACAAAAAAAAACCTTCAAAAAATCAAGGAATCCAGGAGCTGGCTTTTTGAAAAGATTAACAAGATAGATAGACTTCTAGCCAGAATAATAAAGAAGAAAAGAGAGAAGAATCAAATAGACACAACAAAAACGATAAAGGAAATATCACTGCTGATCACACAGAAATACAAACTACCATCAGAGAATACTATAAACACCCCTATGCAAATAAATCAGAAAATGTAGAAGAAATGGATAAATTCTGGGAAACATACATCTTCCAAAGACTAAACCAGGAAGAGGTCGAATCTCTGAGTAGAACAAAAACAAGTTCTGAAATTGAGTCAGTAATTAATAGACTACCAACCAAAAAAATCCCAGGATCAGACAGATTCACAGCCAATTTATACCAGAGGTACAAAGAGGAGCTGGTACCTTTTCTTCTAAAACTATTCTAAACAATAAAAAAGAGGGACTTTTCCCTAAATCATTTGATGAGGCCAGCATCATCCCAATACCAAAACCTAACAGACACACAACATCAACAAAAAAAAATTTCACGCCAATATTCCTCATGAACATTGATGTGAAAATCCTCAATAAACTACTGGCAAATTGATCCCAGCAGCACATTATAAAGCTTATCCACCAAGATCAAGGCGGTTGCATTCCTGTGATGCAAGGCTGATTCAACATATGCAAATCAATAAACTTAATTCATCACATAAACAGAACCAGTGACAAAGACAACATGATTATCTTAATAGATGTAGAAAAGGCCTTCAATAAAATTCAACACCCTTTCATGCTATAAACACTCAGTGAACTAGGTATTGATGGAAAGTATCTCAAATTAATAAGAGCTATTTATGACAAGCTCACAGCCAATATCATACTGAATGGGCAAAAGCTGGAAGCATTCCCTTTGAAAACCAGCACAAGACAAGGATGCCCTCTCTCACCACTCCTATTCAAAATAGTATTGGAAGTTCTAGCCAGGGCAATCTAGCAAGAGAAAGAAATAAGGGTATTCAAATAGGAAAATAAGAAGTCAAATTGTCTCTGTTTGCAGAAGACATGATTCTATATTTAGAAAACCCCATCATCTCAGCCCCAAAACTCCGTAAGCTGATGAGCAACTTCAGCAAAGTCTCAGGATACAAAATCAATATGGAAAAATTACAAGCATTCCTATACGTGAATAAGAGACAAGCAGAGAGCCAAAACATGAGTGAACTGTTATTCACAATTGCTACAAAGAGAATAAAATAACTAGGAATCCAACTTACAAGGTATGTGAAGGACCTCTTCAAGGAGAACTACAAACCATTGCTGAAGGAAATAAGAGACAACACAAAGAAATAGAGAAACATTCCCTGCTCATGGATAGGAAAAATCAGTATCATAAAATGGCCATACTGTCCAAAGTAATTTATAGATTCAATGCTATTCCCATCAAGCTACCATAGACTTCCTTCACAGAATTAGAAACTCTTCTTTGAATTTCATATGGAACCAAAAACCGTATGTATAGCCAAGACAATCTTAAGCAAAAAGATCAAAGCTGGAGGCATCACCCTACCTGACTTCAAACTATACTACAAAATTACCATAACCAAAACAGCATGGTACTGGTACCAAAACAGATATATAGACAAATGGAACAGAACAAAGGCCTCAGAAATAACACCAAACATCTACAGCCATCTGATCTTTGCCAAAACTGAAAAACAAGCAATGATGAAAGGATTTCCTATTTAATAAATGGTTTTGGAAAAACTGACTAGTCATGTGCAGAAAACTGAAACTGGACCCCTTCCTTACACCTTATACAAAAATTAACTCAATATGGATTAAATATTTAAATGTATGACTTAAAACCACAAAAACCCTAGAGGAAAACCTAGGCAAGACCATTCACAACATAGTCATGGGCAAAGACTTCATGACAAAAAACACAGAATCTACAAGGAACTTAAATTTACAAGAAAAAAACAAACAACCCATCAAAAAGTGGACAAAGTATATGAACAGACACTTCTCAAAAGAAGACATTTATGTGGCAAAAAAACACATGAAAAACAGCTCATCATGTCTGGTCGTAAGAGAAATGCAAATCAAAACCTCAATGAGATACCATGTTACGCCAGTTAGAATGGCAACCACTAAAAAGTCAGGAAACAACAGATGCTGGAGAGGATGTGGAGAAATAGGAAGACTTTTACACTGTTGGTGTGAGTGTAAATTAGTTCAACCATTGTGGAACACAGTGTGGTGATTCCGCAAGGATCTAGAATCAGAAATTCCATTTAACCCAGCAACCCCATTACTGGGTATACACCCAAAGGATTATAAATCATCCTACTGCAAAGACACATGCTCACGTATGTTTATTGCAGCACTATTCACAATAGCAAAGACTTGGAACTAACCCAAATGCCCATCAATGATAGACTGAATAAAGAAATGTGGCACATATACACCATGGAATACTATGCAGCCATAAAAAACAATGAGTTCACGTCCTTTGCAGGGATTTGGGTGAAGCTGAAAACCATCATCCTCAGCAAACTAACACAGTAACAGAAACCCAAACACCACATGTACTCAATGACAGGTGGGAGTAGAACAATGAGAACATATGGACACAGGGATGGGAACATCACACACTGGGACCTGCTGGGGGGTGGGTCAAGGGGAGGGATAGCATTAGGAGAAATACCTAATATATATGATGGGTTGATGGGTGCAGCAAACCACCATGGCACATGTATACCTGTGTAACAAACCTGCATGTTCCTCACATGTATTTCAGAACTTAATATATAACAAAAAAAAAAGAAAAGGAAATGGAAAATTACTTGCCAAGTATTCAGTAGAGCGAAGAATTTAATCATGGTTCAAGGCAAATGCCCCAGTTCCCACCATGTCATCTGTATTCTAGCCAGCAGAAGAGGGAGCCACTTAGAAGCTACTTATGTCATTTTTTTTTTCAAATCTATTTTCCAATTATTAGTCACATAGCCATACCTACATCCAAAGGAGGAAGGAGGAGCAAAAATCTAAAATTTTGTTGAGTGACCACATACCAGCTAAAATTTGTATTGCCATTTAATCAGAGAATATAAATATAAGAGGATAATTAGCAGTCTCTGCTACAGGTGGGTATTTTTTTCAGATGTGGAAACTAAAACTCAAAGAGATGAAGTAATTTGCCTAATGACTATTCTCTAGTAAGTGACAAAACTAGGATTCCAATCCTAGTCTGAGTGGCTGTGAAGTTTCTGTTTTTCAACAGAATATTTGGGCAAAAAAACAATCAGTGAACTTGAAGAAAATAAAATTTAAATTAGAAATTCAGAGGAGCAGAGAAATAAATGAATACAGAAAAGTTAGAACTTGCAGGACTTGAGGGACACCATCAAATGGACAAACATACATATAATGAGACTCTCAGAAGAAGAGAGAGAGAAATAGGCAAAAAAGATTGTTTGAAGAAAGAATAATGAAAAACTTCTCAAATTTGAGCAAAGACATGAATTTACCAAAAACTAGGATAAACCAAAAGAGAATTACATGAAGAAATTAACAAACCCTGTATAGTTGGATATACGAGTGTCAGTTTAGATATAATGATACAAATAAGTTGAAAGTGAAAGGATGAAAGAAGATATCCATGTTAACAGTAATCAAAAGAAAGCTGGGTTGGCTTTACTAATATCAGACAAAATAGACTTTGAGTAAAAAACTGTTAGAGTAGACAAAAACTGATATTATATAACAATAATAAGGTTAATTCACTAAGTAGATATGACAATTATAAACACATACACATCGAAATTAATGTTCTGAAACACGAAGCAAATATTTTTTAATTGACAGAATAAGAGGGAAATAATACACTTATACATGAATACTAGGGAACTTCAATACACCAATTTCAATAACAGATAGAAAACTCACCATAAACCAATTAGATTTAACAGACATATACAGAACATCCCACTCAACAACATCAGACTACACATCTTTCTCAAGTGCACAGGAAACATTTTCCAAGTTAAATATTTCCTCCAAATGCGTTGAAAATAACATCAATTTTATAATTTTTGATTCAACTGCCAAATATAATTTATAAGACTCAAGAGAAAAATAGTCCATTTTGGCTGGGCACGGTGGCTCACACCTGTAATCCCAGCACTTTGGGAGGCCGAGGCGGGTGGATCACCTGAGGTCAGGAGTTTGAGATCAGCCTGACTAACATGGTGAAACCTCGTCTCTACTAAAAATACAAAAATCACCCGGGTGTAGTGGCAGGCAACTGTAATCCCAGCTACTCAGGAGGTTGAGGCAGGAGAATTGCTTGAACCCGAGACACAGAGCTTGCAGTGAGGCAAGATCGCACCATTGCACTCCAGTCTGGCCGACAGACTGAGACTCTGTCAAAAAAAAAAAAAAGTCTGATTTATTTACCCATATTTTCACTCTTCCTATTGTTCATTCTTCCTTCTTGATGTTCCAAGATTACTTCCTTCAATTCTTTTCTGTTTCAAGGATTTCATTTAGCCACTCTTTTAGCATAGATCTGTTGGTGAAAAATTCTCTGAATTTGCTTCCACTAGAAAATATCTTGATTTCTCCTTCATTTATAAAGGACATTTTTGATGGATACAGGAGTTTGTGTAAACAACTGTTTTCTTTAAGCACTTAAAAATTTATTACTTCCTTATGGCTTTTTGATGTGCTTCTGGATTCTGTTCGCAATTACTTTGTTGAGGATTTTTGCATCAAAGTTCATCAAGGATATTGACCTGAAGGTTTTTTTGTTGTTGTTGTTGTGACTCTGCCAGGTTTTGGTATCAGGATGATGCTGATCTCATGGAATGCATTCAATTTAAGATTTTTCCACGGTTTTACATGAGTGAGTTTCAGCTACATACTAGATGGACATTTTGGTATTATGCTATGAGACTCTGGATCTTATTTAAATCTTCTATCTTTGCAGTCCTCCACTGTGCCAGGAGGGAAATGGAGAAGCAACCGCGTTATTACTAGGGAGTGGAAGTGGAAGTCTGGGCTCCCCTCTCAGCCTCCAGTGGTACCACCCCAAAAGGGAGTGGGAGGGATACCTTGCAAGTACTAAGCAGGGATGAATGTCTAGGTTCCTCACTGAGCCTCCACTGATGTGGCATGGAAGAAGTTGTGGAATTTTTTTTTTTGTGATGTTTCTCTGGAGTAGAGCAAGTATTATCAAAAATGTTTCTGCCCATCTAGGCCATTCTTTTCCAAGCCTCTGGCTGGAGAGCACAGACTCTCCTTGAGAATATTTTTTCTGTGCCTATTTGTATTTTTAGGAGATGAGTGTCTCTAACACTTTGTCTGAGATATATAGTAGGCAAAAAGGAACCTCAGGAAATATACTACTGATTCAGTCCTTGAGTCCCAAGGTATCCACTGAGTTTACATTTGTTTCTACATCTTTCAGAGATTTTTATGAGTTTTATATATTATGTCTAAAGTAGTTAGTTGTATTGTGCAGAAGGAATAGGGAGAAATATGTCTACTCCACTTTATCTGAACTAAAACTGTTTTTCTCTGTTTTTAAATTTATGTTGTATCAATGGGCTAGTGTGACAATTATTCACAAGTTTGCTTAAGTCTCTTCTAAGGCTGAGGGATTCATTATAGGAATAAATAGATCATAATACACAGTGTCAGCAAAGTTTCAGGATATAAAAATCAATGTCCAAAAATTACTAGCATTCCTATAAACCAATAACAGACAAGCTGAGAGCCAAATCAGAAAAATAATCTCATTCACTATTGTGTCAAAAAGAATAAAATACCTAAGAATAAAGCTAATAAGGAAGGTGAAAGATTTCTACAACAAGAATTTAAAAATACTGTTCAAAGAAATCAGAGATGACACAAACAAATGGAAAAAACATCCCATGCTCATGAATAGAAAGAATCAATATCATTAAAATGGCCATACTGCCCAAAGCAATTTACAGATTCACTGCTATTCCTAACAAACCACCAGCAACATTCTTCACAGAACTAGAATAAAATTATTTTAAACTTCACATGGAATCAAAAAAGAGCCTGAATACCCAAGGCAATCCTACCCAAAAAGTACAAAGCTGGAGGCATCACATTACCCGACTTTATGCTACAGGGCTACAGTAACCAAAACAGCAAGATACTGGCACACACACAAAAAAAACAGGCACATAGACCAATGGAACAGAATAGTGGGCCCAGAAATGGGGCCAAGCACCTACAGTCATCTGATCTTCAACAACCTGAGAAAAACAAGCAATGGGGAAAAGACTCTCTATTCACTAAATGATGCTGTGATAACTGGTTAGTTAAATGCAGAAAATGGAAACTGGACCCCATCCTTACACCATATATAAAAATCAAATCAAGATGGATTAAAGACTTAAATGTAAAACCCCAAACTGTAAAAACCCTGGAAGATGTCCTAGGCAATACCACCCTGGACATAGGAACAGGCAAAGATTTCATGGCAAAGACACCAAAATAAGTCACAACAAAAGCAAAAAAAAATAAGTGGGACCTCAACTTAATAGCTTCTGAACAGCAAATAAACTATCAACAGAGTAAACAGAAAACCTATAGAATCAAAGAAATTATTTTCAAACTATGCATCTGACAAAGGTCTAATATCCAGCATCTCTAGAAAAAAACAAATTGACATGAGAAAAACAAACAAACCCATTAAAAAGTGGGCAAAGGGCATAAACAGACACTTCTCAAAAGAAGACATACATGCGGCCAACAGGCATATTAAAAAAAAGGTCAATATCACTGATTATTAAAGCAATGCAAATCGAAAGCACAATGAGATACCCTCTCACACCAGTCAGAATGACTATGATTAAAAAGTCAAAAAATAACAGATGCTGGTTAGGTTGTAGAGAAAAGGGAACACTTATACACCTTTGGTGAAAGTGAAAATTAGTTCAACCTTTATGGAAAGCGGTATGGTGATTCCTCAAAGAGCTAAAAGCAGAACTACTATTTAACCCAGCACTACCATTACTAGCTATATACCAGAGGAATATAAATCATTCTACCATAAAGACACATGCATGTGAATATTTATTGCTGCTTTATTCACAATAGCAAAGACATGGAATCAACCTCATGCTCATCAATGACAGGTTGGATAAACATAATGTGGTGCAAATACACCATGGAATACTATGGACCCATAAAAATGTATAAGATCATATCTTTTTGGGGACGTGGATTGAGCTAGAGACTATCATCTTTATCAAACTAATGCAGGAATGGAACACCAAATACCACATGTTCTTACTGAAAAGTGGGAGCTAGATGAAGAGAACTTATGAACACCAGAAGGAAACAACAGACACTGGGGTCTACTTGAGGGTGGAAGGTGGCAGGAAGGAGAGGAGCAGAAAAGATAACTATTGGTACTAGGCTTAATACCTCAGTGATAAAAGAATCTGTACAACAAAACCCCATGACACAAGTTTACTTATGTAACAAACCTTCACATGTGCTCCTGAATTTAAAATAAAAGTTAAAGAAAAAAACTTTAGGGTTTTTCCCAAGCTGCAGAGGGTAAATCTGATTAGTGTGAGAAACTCATAATAATCCCATTCTCCTAGCCAATGATTGGTTTATGAATGGGTAAGCAGTGCAATCTGGACAATTAGATGCGAGGAAAAAGCTACTAGTGTGTGCATGGAGGGAGAGGAATTCTGGAAAAAACTTCCCCACTCAAAAAAGACACAAAGAAGGTATTTCCGTTTCTTTCTGCCCTTGGTTTCTATTGTGTGAGGTTGTGATGCTTGGATTTCCTGCAGCTATTTTATGAACATAGAGGGCCAACCTAAGGAGAAAAACAAAGAAATTCAAGATGACAAAGCAGAAATGGAGAATGTGTCCTGGACATTGATGATAAATTGTTTGATGAAGGATTTGTTTTTGAAAAATCACCTGTAAAATTTTCTGAAAATCTAATATAGAAGAAGATGAAAGGCAGAGACTTCCCAAAACCTGTTCCTCCATAAAGTTATTGACAACACTGCCAAAAAAAATTGTTAAAATATACGTACCTAAAATAACTGTAAAAATCAGCACCCTAGCAGCCACTGAGAAGTGGATACCAGGTTAAGAACATCTCAAAAATACCCATCCCCAGAAAGTGTTCACTATCTGACTTGTCTGGAAACTCTCTAGAGAGTCCCTTTTAACGGGTCTTGCCATTTGATTTGACTCAAAGCCTGTTTCATAGAAATAGGCATACATCCATGGAATTTGGTAAAAATTATCACTGGCAATTATTTAATATTGCAGCTGCCTGAGGTGGTGACTCACGTTTGGGCAACAAAAAGGCTGGCAAAAAAAAGAAAAGAGAAGAAAATTAATAAAATGTACGTGGGTGAGTGGGAAAGATCCTACATATTCCTTGTAATCTGGTAGGCCATGACATGTACACATGCTCAAGAGAGATGCAACAGAGACCCACTCTTCTAGCTCTAGCTAGACCTGAGTTTCCATGCAAGAAGAAAATGAACTTTAAGGTAAAATTGGATATTGCTAGTGTACTGAATGCATGCCACAACACACACATATTCTCTCCTCTCTCTCTCACACACACAGACACACAATTAGCAAAGGATTGAAGATTTATTGGCTCAAAACATTTAAGAAAATCTCTGTCTAATTGTTGGCTGAAAACTAAGCTCGTTAAGCAGACTTCAGTGGATACAAATAATATGGAATACAGATGTATAGAACTAATTCAGGTAAGTTACTAAAGAAACAAACAACAAGAAAATACTGGGAGAAAAAGAATCTGATTTCCACATTTGCAATATTATATTATTTAAAATATCTGATTTTCAACAAAAATACTAATGGGTATGCAACGAAACAGGAAATTGTGGTCAAAACAAAGAGAAAAAAGCAGTCAATAGAAGTTCACTGGGAGGTAGCCTAGATTTCGGACTCACTACACAAAGACTTTAGTATTACAAAGTTTCTCAAAGAACTGAAACAAGCCATGTATAAAAAATTAAGGATATTATGAGAATAGTGTCTCACCAAATAGAGAATATAAAGATACAGAAAGGAATTATTACAAAGAGCAAAATAGAAATCCTGCATTAAAATAACAACCTAAATTAAAAAATGTATTAGATGAGCTGAATAGCAGGTTTGAATCAGGAAGCTAATCCACAAACTTGAGAAAAAATTAATTTAAATTATTCAGACTGAGAAATAGAATAAAAAAGAATAAAGAAAAATAAGCAGAGCTTCAGGGACTCATGGGACCCAGAAACATGTTAGCAATTAAATTAAGAGCACCTTGAAACACATTAGTAATAAAGTGCATTTGTAGAGGTAACTACACTGATAAAGGTAAAGACAGAGGTAAATATAAAAATTAGTGTAAAGGTTTTTCTTGTAACTTTTTTTATCTGATCTGATTTGAAAGAAACTGCATAAAGCAATAATTGTAAATCTTTTGGACAGGCTTTAAATATATAATGATATATTTTCACAATAAAAACTTAAAGAGGGAGAAAGACATTAACATATAGTGGAGCAAACTTTTTTATACCATATAGCTTATTTAGTATTAAACTGAACTAGATTATTTTAAACTGTTTACTGTAATTATCATTAATAAATTATTTTAAAACTACATAAAATAAATTAAAAATTATTTTAAAATAAGTAATTATAAGGGAATATACATTTATCACAAAACAAAGGAGTAATGGAGAAAAAGAGGAAAATAACATATGACATGTCAAAAATAAATAGCAAAATGGCAAAATAAATCCTATCTTTACAGAAATTGCATGAAATGTAACTGATATAAATGCTCCAATTAAAAGGCAAATAGTGGCAGAATGAATAAAAGATGATCCTTATTTTTCATACTGTCTACAATAGATGCACAAAATTCTGTCAGCATTTAAAATAAAGGATGGAAAAAGATAAGTCATGAAAGCAATAACTAAACGAATGCTCAAGTGGCTATAATAATATCAGACACAATAGTTTTTAAGACAAACATTTTTATTATAGTAAAAATAGTTATCAGAAAAATATAACAATTATACATATACATGCACCTAATAACAAATCCCCAAAATAAATAAGGCAAAACTGAACATAATTGAAGTAAGAAATAAATAATTAAGCAATAATAAAGATGTCAATATCACAATTTTATCATGGTAAGAACAAGATGCAGAAAATATATATGTGTGTGTGTGTATCTATATATACACACAATATTATATATATACACAATATTATATATATACACAATATTATATATATATATATATATGTATATGTACACAATACCATACCACCTAGATTTCAACAAGTTTTCAGGATAATAAGTCAATGTGCAAACATCAATTGTATTTACACACATTAGCAATAAAAAACCAAAAAAGCAATTTTATTTAAAATACATCAAAAAGAATAAAAAACATTGAAATGAATATTTCAAAGTAGTGCAAAACTTGTAAATTGAAAAATATTGTTGAAAGAACAAAAGGAAATTTAAATAAAATGAAAGGAAACATACTCATGGATTGGCAGATGATATTTTAAGATAACAATAATTTCCAAATTGATCTACATATTTAAAGCAATTTCTATCAAAATTTCAGAGCCCATTTTCAGAAATTTGGCAAGCTGATTTAAAATCCATGTGTAATTTAAAGAAACTCAGAATAGTCAAAAATAAATTTTAAAAAGAACACTACCCAATTTAAAACCTTACTTCAAAGCTATAGTCATTTGAACAGTGTGATCGTGATATATGGATTAACATATACATAAATAAAACAGAATTGTGAATCTTGAAATAAACTCTAACTTTTATACAAAATTAGTTTTTAACAAAGTTTCTAAAACTATTCAATGAAATAAAAACTCTTTTCAATAAGACTGTATAAAAAAAGTATGTAGTTAGACTGCTTTCTCTCACCATATTTAAAAATTAACTCCAAATGGTTCAGAGACCTAATGAATAAGACAAATATATAAAACTATTAGAAGAAAATATAGCAGTAATACTTTCTACACTTGCATTAGGCAATTGTTTCTAATATACAATAATAAATCACAAGCTATAAAATATAAATCAATAAATTGGACTTCATCAAAATGAAAATCTTTTGGTCTCTCGCTGCAGCTGTAGCTCCAGGTCTTGTCTTTACTTCTCTGTGTTCTCTGCTCCTAGAGGTCCAGCTTCTGTGGTCCTGTAACCAGCAAGTGTTGGGAGATGCACAGCTAAGATGCCAGGGCCCCCTGAAAGCCTAGAAATTGTTCTATTTAATGTTATGGGCAGAAACATCCATGTCATTTTAATAAAGTGCCTAATGTGACTCTAAGGAAAAATTGAAATTTAGGGATGTGGTCATAGAATTCTTTCTGGTGAAGTGACAATGCTTGGACACCGCACAGTGGAATTTATATAGTAATGTGATGTTAGAGAATTACAGAAACCTGGTCTTCCTGATCCCCAGTTATGTGTTCTCATTTTTCCCAGGACTTTTGGCCAGAGCAGATCATAAAAGATTCTTTCCAAAAAGTGACATTGAGAAGTTATGGAAAATGCAAACGTGAGAATTTACAGTTAAGAAAACGTGGTAAATGTGTAGATGATTGCAAGGTGCAAAAAGGAGGTTATAATGGACTTGATCAACGTTTGCTGACTACCCAGCATGAAATATTTGAATATGATAAATACGTGAAAATGTTTCACAAATCTTCAAATTTAAATGGACGTAAGATAAGACATACTAGAACAAAAACCTTTCAAATGTGAAGAATGTGGCAAATTATTTTGCGTGTTTTCAAACCTAACTCAACATAAACTAACTTATACTAGAGTAAATTTCTACAAATATGAATACTATGGAAAAGCCTTTAATGGGTCCTCAATCTTTACTAAACAAACATAAAAGAATTCATATTGGAGAGAAACCCTACAAATGTGAAGAATGTGGCAACGCCATTAACCAGTTCTCAAACCTTACTACACGTAAGATAATTTATACTAGAGAGAAACCCTATAAAAGTCAAAAATGTGTCAAAGCCTTTAATCTTTCCTCATATTTTACTACATATCAGATAATTCAAAATGGAGAGAAACCCTACAAATTTGAAGAATGTGGCAAAGTCTTTAACCAGTCGTCAATCCTTACTACACAAGATAATTCATACCAGAGAAAAATTCAACAAATATAAAGAATGTGGCAAAGATTTTAACCAACCCTCATACATTACTGAACATGAGAAAATTCATACTGGGGAGAAACTCTCCAAAGGTACAGAATGTGGCAAAGCTTTTAACCAGTCCTCACACCTTACCAGACATAAGATAATTCATACTACAGAGAAACTCTCCAAAGTTATAGAATGTGGCGAAGCTTTTAACCAGTCCTCACACCTTACCAGACATAAGATAATTCATACTACAGAGAAACCCTACAAATGTGAAGAATATGGCAAAGCCTTTAGGCAGTCCTCACACCCTATTACATATAAGATAATTCATACTGGAGAGAAAACCTACAAATGTGAAAAATGTGCCAAAGCCTTTAACAAGTCCTCACACCTTACTAGACATAAGAGCATTCATACTAGAGAGAAACACTACCAATGTGGAAAATATGGCAAATCTTTCTATCGATCTTCAAAACTTACTGAACATAAAAAAATCATACTGGAGAGAAACTGTACACATGTGAAGATGTGGCAAAGCCTTTAATCATTTCTCACACCTTACTACACATAAGATAATTCATACTGCAGAGAAACCCTACCAGTATGAAAAATGTGGTAAAGCCTTTAATCAATCCTCACACCTTACTAGATAAGAGAAGTCATACTGGAGAGAAACCCTACCAATGTGAAGAATATGGCAAAACTTTTAACCAATACTCAAGCCTTACTGGACATAAGAAAATTCATGTTGGTGAGAAACTCCACAAACCTAAAAGATGTAACAATGATTTTGACAACACCTCAAACTTTTCTAAACATAAAAGAAATTGTATTGGTGAGAAATCTTAGAAATGTGAAGAATGTAACAAAGCTTTTAAATGGTTGTTACACTTGATTGAACATAAGATAATTCATACAAAAAAACAACTTGTACAAGTGTGAAGAATGTGGCAAAACTTTTAACCAATGCTCACACCTTACTGCACAGGAGATCATTTGTGCTTGAAAAAATCTTTACAAATATAAAGAATATGAAAAAGTCATTAATATCTGCTCACATCTTACTCAACATCAGAGAGTTCAGACTTAATAAAAGTAGTATAAATGCAAAAAAAAAAATTTTCGTACTTGAAAGTACAGCACTGAAAAAATAAAAAGACAATTCACAGAATGGAGGAAAATTTTCCAGGTTATTTATGTGATGAGGGATTTGTATCCAGAATATATAAGAGATGCTTACAACTCTATAATTAAAATAAAAACAGAAAATACTTCATTCAGTTGGGCAAAGGTTATCAGTAGACATTTCTCCAAAACAGATATACAAATGGCTACTAAGAACATAAGAATGCTCAACATCTTTAGTCCTTACAGAAATTAATATTAAAAACACAAAGAGTATTCCTCTTTTGGATTACAGCCTGAGGAATTCCATGAACCCTATACCCAGCAAATCAAGCAAAACTGGTCAAAATATTATGAAGAACAATTTTAAATGTTTGAAAATTGACTAAAGTGCAAAGAGCAAAGTAGAAAACATCTATTCAAGAAAATATACTAAAAATCAGTAATGATGCCCAGAGTCAAGAGAATTTGAGCCACAATCCATTCTTTCTCACCTTGCCCAACTCAACATTATGGAACTTCTACTCTCAGTAAGTATAGCAAAGAACCTTTCAATTTTAAGTAGAAGAGCCTAAATTTTTGGTGAGTATGGCCAAGTGGTAGGAATCTCACTTCCTCCACGCAGACCTTATCTAAATGATGGAAGCTGTACCAGAAGCATGGATGGCCAGCATAATAAAACTTTGACTGTCCTTGCATGAGCTTATTTATAAATGCAGCTGAGACAACCGGAGGGTATACCACCAAACCTATTGCTTAGAGAGCTTGTCCTGAGGGAACAGCAGTCTATAGGAAAAGAGAGTTCCTAATTTCTCCCAAACATAATTAACTTTATTTGAAGCATAAAGTGAGGAAGTTGAATCTTAAAGCCACTCTTGGAAAAAAAAAATAGTTATTCTTAGTTAAGGGCAGAAGCAAAACTATGGACCAGCAAGTCCACCAAAAAGAACCAGAGAAAGAGACAGTCAAGAGTCCTTCTGGTGTCAGAATAAATATCAAAGACCAACCTCAAAAACATCTTCAACTGAATTTAATTGAATCAGACTTCTAAGCAGTTTATGCAATGGGGGAATTGTCAAAAACAATAGAGCAATCAACTGGTAATTAACAGGGCCTGACTGGCAAGGTGCATTACCAAATGAAGAACACAGCTTAACAGAGAGATTAGGAAAATAGATTCTAAGAAATCCATTCTAATATCACAGGCATCCTAGGGTAACACAAAACACACTGAGGATTGTAGGATCTGAAAAATGAAACCAAAGTGACACTATTTCCTTCTCAATATGGAGCAAAAATATTTTCCTAAATTTACTAGAATACTTTAGCAAAGAAACAAAAACCAAATAACAAAATAAGCCACAAAGAGGTGTGGGAGAATTAGTATCCAAGGTTACTACAACATACTGCATAAAAAGTCCAGTTTTTCAAGAAAAAAAAAGTGACACATAATTTTTCTGGGCCACTTTGCCAACTGGGGAACTTCATGTCCAGTGACACACCCCACCCTCCCCCAGGTCTCACTCAGTCCTGGGCCTGTCACTGGAGGCACCCCACCCACTTGGCATGGCTGCATTATGGCTTGTACCTATGTTCAGCAGTTCCTGAGGTCTTGTCCTCCATCCAAGAAGAATGAGGATACACTGACAATTCAAAGGGTGAAGAGAGCAGAAGAGAATTTAACTAACTGACAGAGCAGCTATCAGTGGAGAGGGGATGAAAAGCTGTTCCCCCACCCCTGCAGTTGAAGCTTTTATGGGCTCAGAATAGAGGTGTACATGCTGATTGGTTTGTAAGTATGCAAAGAAAGGCTAAAGCAAAGTCACCACATAAGGTGGACATGACAGTGTCAAAAACCAATTAGGAAAGGGTAGATATATGTAAAATAGGTGAAGAGGAGGATCAATCAGAGGAAAGCATGCAAAACAGGAAGACAGGTTTTCAATCCAGTCCATGGATTTGACTTGTAGCTTGGCTTTCAAGTTTTAAACTGTCTTTGACTTTGAGGTCAGGTTTAACCAGGCACCCACCCCTATATGCCTAGACATTTGTCTGCCTCCTGCTGCTATCAAAAGTTCAAAACTAGCAAAGAAACAGAAATGTGTGCCCCATTCAAAGGAAAAAAATAGGCAATAGAAACTATCTGTAAGAAGAAAGAGATGTCAGATTTAACAAAAATTTCAATGCAACCATTATAAATATGTTTAAAGAACCAGAGGAAATTATGTTTAATTAAGAAAAGTAAGATATAAAGAGAAGGTCTCATCACATATATAATATAAATAAAAAGATGTAATATAAGTGATAAAATATAAGTGAAAAAGAATAATATGGAAATTCTGGAGTTGAAAATTACAATAACTAAACTAAAAATTTATTACAAGAGATCAGCAGTAGATTTGAAAAACCAAGAGAATGAGCAAAATTGAAGATATATCAATAGTTATTATGCAATCCATAAAACATAGAAATAATAAAATGAAGACAACTAAACACAGCCTCAGATAAATGTGGGGCACATGTAAGCACAACACAATGTAACTATTGAGTACTGAGATTAATAACTGGGTGATGTAGTAATATGTACAACAAACCCAAGTGACACGTGTTCATCTATGTAACAAACCTTCACATGTACCCCCACACCTAAAATTAAAATTTAAAGAAAAAATGAAAAATCAGAAAACTAAATTATATCACCAGAGAAAATCATCTTCACTAGAGAAAGACAGGAATGAAGGAAAGAAGAAAGAGAAAGCTGCAAAACAACCAGAAAATAATAAGAAAATGGCAGAAGTAAGTCCTCACTTATCAATAAAAACACTGAATATACATGGATTAAATTCTCCATTCAAAAGAAATAGACTGAATGAATACATGAAAAAAAAAGACCCATAGTTCTGTTGCCTACAAGGAATATACTTCACAATAAAGACACAAAGAAACTGAAAAGCAAAAAGATGGAAAAAGTTACTTCATGCCAATGGAAACCAAAAATAGCAGGAGTTGCTATACTTATATCAGAAAAATAAATTTCAAGATAAATCTATAAAAGAATAAAAAGAAGGTCACTACATAATGGTGAATGAAAAAGAAGGTCACTACGTAACGATGAATGGGTAAATTCAGTAAGAGGACGTAGTAATATCAAATATGTATGCACCCAACACTGGAGCACCCAGATATATAAAGAAAATATTATTAGAGCTACAGAGAGATGAGTCCCAATACAATAATACCTGGAGACTTCAACATTCCACTTTCAGCATTGGGCAGATCTTCCAAACAGAAAATCAACAAAGAAATAATTTATGTCATCAGACATAATTTGCACTATAGACTAAATAGATCCAATATATATTTACAGAACATTTCATCCAAGAGCTGCAGAATACACATTTTTTTCTTGGCACATGGATTATTCTCAAGGACAGACCATTTTTTAGGTCACAATTCTTAAGATATTCAAATAATTGAAATTATATCAAGAATCTTCTATGACCACAAGGGAGTAAAACTAAAAATTAACAACAACAGGAATTTTGAAAACTATAGAAATATATTGAAATTAAACACTATGCTCCTGAATGACCAGTAGGTCTACGAAGAAATCAAGAAGGAAAGTGAAAAATTTCTGGAAACAAATGATAATGGAAGAACGACATACCAAAACCTATAGAAAACAGGAAAAGAAGTACTAAAATGGAAGTTTATAACTATAAATACCTATATCAAAAAAGAAAAAAACTTTAAATGAACAATCTAACAATGAATCTTAAAGAACTGTAAAAGCAAGAGCAAACCAACCTCAAAATTATTAGAATAAAACAAATAATATAGGTAGGAGCAGAAATCAGTGAAATTAAAATGAAAACAACAAAACAAGATTGATAAAATGAGAAGTTGGTTTTTTGAAAAGTTAAACAAAATTTACAAACCTTTAGTCAGACTAAGAAAAATAGAGATAAGATCCAAATAAATAAAATCAGAAATGATAAAAAGGGATATTATGACTGATACTGCAAAAATTCAAAGGATCATTAGTGGCTACTATGAGAAACAATATTCCAATAAATTGAAAAATCTGGAAGAAATGGACAAATTCCTAGATACACACAACCTACGAAGATTAAACCAAAAAGAAATTCAAAGCCTAAACAGATCAATAACAAGTAATGAGATTGAAGTTTAATAAAAGGTCACCCAGTAAAGAAAAGCCCAGGACCTGACTGTTTTACAGCTGAATTTTTCCAACTATCGATAGAAAAATTAAGATCCATCCTCCTCAGATTGTTTCACAAAATAGAAGAGGAGAGAACACTTCCAAACTCACTTTATAAAGACAGTATTAACATGATACAAAACTCAGATAGACACATCAAAGAAAGAAAACCACTGACCAATATATCTGATAAAAATTGATGCATAAATTCTCAACACAGTATTAGCAACCTGAATTCAATAATACATTAGAAAGATCATTCATAAACACCAAGTGGGATTTATTCTTGGGTTGCAACGATGGTATGGTTCAACATAGGCAAATAAAACAATTTGATGCATCATATCAACAAAATGAAGGATATAAACCATAGGATTATTTCATTTGAAGCTGAAAAAAATTTTTGAATAAAATTCAACTTTTCTTCAATATAAAACTCTCAAGTAACCGGTCTAGAAGTAACATTAGATAATAAAAGCCATATACAACAGACCCACAACTAGTATTATACTGAATGGAGAAAAATTGAAAAGTTTTTCTCTAAGATTTAAAACACGTGAGAATGCCCACTTTCACCACTGTTATTCAACATAGTACTGGAAGTTCTAGCTAGAGCAATTGGAGAAGAGAAAAAAATAAAGGACATTAAATTAGAAAAGGAAAAGTCTAATTATTCTTTGTAGATGATATGATCTTATATTTTGAAAAACCTAAAGACTCCACAGGAAAACTATAAGAACTGATAAAAAAAATTAATAAAGTAGAAAGATACAAAATCAACATACAAAAAATCAGTAGCATTTCTATATAATAATAGTGAACAATGTAAAAAAATAAAAACTGTAATCCTATTTACAATTCCCAAATATAAATTAAATACCTATCAATTAGTTTAACCAAAGAAATAAAAGATCTCTATAATGAAACTATAAAACACTGATAAAAAATTGAAGAAGACACCTGAATATGGAATAATATGCCATATTTACAAATTGGAAGAATCAATATTGTTAAAAAAGTCCATACTACCCAAAGAAATCTACAAATTCAGTGCAATCCCTATCCAAATATAAATGACATTCTTCATAAAACTTTTTTAAAAAGTGCTAAAATATATATGGAAACACAAAAGACCAAAAATAGTCAGGGCTATTCTATGCAAAAATAACAAAACTGGAGGAATCACATTTCTTGACATCAAATTATGCTACAGAGATATAGTAACTAAAACAGCATGATACAGGCATAAAACAGACACATAAATAAATGGAACAAAATAGATAACCCAAAAACAAATTCACACACCCACAGTGAACTCATTTTTGACAAAGGTAGCAAGATAGAACTTACACTGGGAAAAATATAGTCTCTTCAATAAATAGTGCTGGGAAAATCAGATATTTGTGTGCAGAAGAATAAAACCAGACCTCTATTTATCATGATATACAAAAATAAAATCAAAATGAATTAAGTACTTAAACCTAAGACCTCGAACTATGAAACTACTACAAGAAAATTGATGAAACCCCCCAGGATGTCAGTCTGGATAAATATTTCTTGAGTAATACTCCACAAGCAAAGACAACCAAAGTAAAAATGGGCAAATGGAAACACATCAATTAAAACAGCTTCCGCACAGCAAAGGATACAAGCAACAAAGTGAGGAGACAATCCACAGAATGGGAGAAAACATTTGCAAACTACCCATCTGACCAAGGATTAAAAATCAGAATATCAAAGAGTTCAACAAATCTGCAGAAAAAAAATTTGCAAACTTATAAATATTTTTTAGCTTTACCTCTGGTAAAAGTAGTGATGAGCCAGAAAAGAAGTAGGGATGGTTAAAGAATAAACAAAAAGCAAGAAAAAGTTAATAAAAGATGGGGAAAAGATTTAAACAGACATTTCTCAAAAGAAGGTATACAAATGGCTAACAGGCACATGAAAAGGTGCTCGACATCACTGATCATCAGAGAAATGCAAATCCAAACCTGCAAAAAAAAATCTCTCTCCAGTACAAATGGCTTATATCCAAAAGACAGACAATAACAAATGCTGGGAAGCATGTGGAGAAAAGGAAACCTTGTACACTGTTGATGGGAATGTAAATTAATACAACCACTGTGGAGAACAGTTTGGAGGTTTCTCAAAAAAACTACAAATAGAACTACCAATGATCCAGCAATTCTATTGCTGGGTGTATACCCAAAAAAAACTAAATCAGTATATCAAAGAGATATGTGCACTTCTATGTTTGCTGAAGCACTGTTTACAAAAACTAAGATTTAGTAGCAACCTAAGTGTCTATCAATAGATAAATAGATAGAGAGAATTTGGTCATATACACAATAGAGTACTATTCATAAAAAGGAATGAGATCCAGTCATTTCCAACAATATGAGTGAAACTGGGGATCATTATGTTAAGTAAAATAAGCCAGTCAAAGAAAGACAAACATCACATGTTCTCACTCATTTTTGGGATTTAAAAATCAAAGCAATTGAACTCATGGACATAGAGAGTCAAAGAATTGTTAGCCTCTGGTAAAAGTAGTGGTGAGCCAGGAAAGTGGTAGGGATAGTTAAAGAATAAAAAACGCTAGAAAAAATTAATAAGACCTACTGTTTGATAGCACAATAGGGCGACTATAGTCAATAATGACTTAATTGTACATTTTTAACGAACTTAAAAAGTGTAATTGGATCATTTGTAACACAAAAAATAAATGCTTGACAGGGTGAACACCTCATTCCCCATGATGTCCTTATTTCACATTGCATGCCTTTATCAAAACATCTAATGTACCTCAGAAATATATACACCTACTATGTACCTACAAAAATGTGTTAAAACAAAAACAATAGTAATAAAAATAAAAAATTATACAATATTTGTAAAAAGTATAAGAATAATAGCACAAAACAGAAACAAAACTTCATAGGAGGGTTATTTTATAACATCAGAATTAAGCTAATATAAAACTGCTCAATATGCAAAAATTAAAATTAATATGGTAACTCTAGAGCAACCACTAAAAAATAAGTTTTAAAACATATAGTGAGAAATAATTATTAAAGAAATGAACATGTTACACTAGAATATATTTACTTAAAGCCAAAGGAAACAGAAGAAAAGTTGAGAAAAAGACATGAGAGATTTAGAAAACAAAGTGGGATACAGCAAAACTAGTTCTCAAAGGAAAAATTACATAAGCAAATATCTACCTCAGGAAAAGAAATCAAGCCAATAACCTAAATTTCCACCCTAAGACACTAGAACAAGAACAGAAAACGAATCTCAAAATAACAAGAAGAAAGAAACCAATATAGATTAGAGCACAAGTTAATAAAATAGAGAATAGAAAAGCAAAAGTGAAAATTTGTGAAATCAAAAGTTGATTCATCAAAAAGATTAACAAAATTGGCAATCATTAGCTAGAGTTCCCCCCCAAAAACCCCCAAAACACAAAATAAAACAAAAGATAAGATTCAAATTATAAAAATTATAAATTAAATAACTAGCATATCATTAACTTTGCAAAAATATAATGAATTATAAGGGAATACTATTATCTATATACTAGCATGCTATATAACTTAAATAAAATTCTCAAATTCTGAAAAGGTGCAAGTATCAAAACTGACTCAAGAAGCAATTGACAATCATGAAGAGACTTGAAAAAAGTAAGGAGATTGAATTAGTGATTAGAAAACCTTCCCCACACAAAAAAGCCCAGAACCAGATGGATTCACTAAAAAGTTATATCAAATATTTGAAGAATTAATATTGATCTTCACAAACTCTTCCATAATATAGAAAGGGAAGAACACCACTCAACTTACCCAATGAGACCAATCTTACCTACATCCTAAATCTTGACAAATACATGACAAGAATAGCTAATTTAGGACTAACATATTTTATGAATATAGACACAAAAATCAAGAAATCTTCAAAAAATACTAGCAAACTTGCTATGCAGGAGACCAGAGTTCAATTCCTGATGGGGAGGCAAAAAAAATAAAAATTAAAAAACTAAATACAGCAATTTATTTAAAAGATTATACACCATTGCCAAATGAGGTAGATCCCAGGAAGGTAAGATTGGCCTAACATACAAAAATCAATTAATGTAATACACTACAACAGTAGAATAAAGAATACAACCACATGACCATCTCAATAGATGCAGAAAAATACTTGACCAAAACCAATACCTCTGCATAATTTGTATTTCTTAAAAAACCTTAAACTGTGAATAGAAATATAATTTCTCAACTTGGTAAAGTGTATCTATGAAAAATTCATAGATGACAAATTTAACTCACATGCAAAAGACTGAAGAATATCAGGAATAAGACAAAAATGCCTTCTATTGTCACTTCTATTCAACATTGTGCTAGACGTTCTAGCTAAGGCAATAAGACAAGAAAATATTTGTATTTCTATTTGCAGAAGACATAATCTTGTATATAGAAAACCAGCTTCTCTATTAAAAAATTATTTTGTACGGGACAGAACAAGATGGCCAAATAGAAGCATCTGCCAATCATCCTCCCCACAGAAACACCAAAGTTAACAAGTATCTACACCAAAAAAGGCACCGCTATTAGAACCAAAAATCAGGTGAGCAATCTGTACCTGATTTTAACTTCATATCACTGAAAGAGGCACAAAGAAGGGTAGGAAAGTCAATCTTGAATTACCATCACCACTCCTTCCCCACTCCGCATTAGCTGTGTGGCTCAGAGAGAGAATCTGTGCACATGAGGGAAGGAGAGCACACTAATTGCAACAATTTGCATTGGAATGCAGTGCTATCCTGTTGCAGTGAAAAGAAACACCAGTCAGAACTCAGCCAGTGCCCACAGAGGGAGCATTTATAGGAGCCCTAGCCAGGGGAAAATGGCCTATCTCAGCAGTCAGAGCTTAAGTTTCTGCAAGCCTAGCCACTGCATGCTAAAGCAGTTCGGGTCCTAAATAAACCTGAAATTCAGTCTAGGCCACAAAGACTGCAATTCCTAGGCAAGTCCTAGTGCTGTGCTGATCTCAGAGCCAGTGAACTTAAGGGGGCACATGACCTGTCAGGGCATTTCTGCTAAAGGAGAGGGAATGATTTAAAATAATTTATAAATATTACAAATAATGTTTTTTTTTTTTTTAAAAAAAAAACTTGTCTTGCAACTTGGATACCAGCTCAGCCACAGTAAAATTTGGCACCAGGAAGAGTTGGGAGATCTTCATTTTATGCACTGGCTCCTGGATGACATTTCTAGACATATCCTAGGCCAGAAGGAAATCAACTGAGAAAGGACCAAGTCTTGGCAACATTCATTACTTGCTAATAAAAGAGTCCTTTTTAGCTGAATAATCAACAGTGAGGTCCAGGTAATATAATTCATGTGTCTTGGTTGAGGCTCTGAGATGTGCTTCCTTCATGTGTGACTCAGCACATTCCCAGTAATGGTGGCTATGGGGAGAGACATCTTGTGCTTGAGAAAAACAAAGAGAAAAGTAAAGGAGATTCTGTCTTGAAGCTTAGGTAACATCTTGGACACAATGCGGTAAAGCATCAAGCAGGCTCTTGGGGTTCCCAGTTCCAGGCCTTGGTTCTTGGGAAGCATTTCTGAACTTGCCCTAGGCCATAGGGGAGCTCATTGCTCTGAAGGTCGTGTTCCAGACCTGGAAGCATTCACCACAAGCTGACTGAACAGGTCTTGGGCCTTAAGTGAACATTTGTGGTAGCCCAGGATTACTTCCCATGAGCCTGGAGTGGTGGTGGCTATGGAAAGAGACTCCTGTGCCTGTAGAAAGGAAAATAGAGAGTGGAAAGGACTTCATCCTGGGGTTTACCTGTCAGGTCAGCCACAATAGACTAGAGAACCAAGTAAATTTCTAAAATTTCTGACTCTAGGCCATGGCTCCTAGACAGAAACTTTGGACCCACCCAGGACCCAGGAGAACTTGCTGCTCTGAAGGGAAGGACACATGCCTGGCTAGCATTGGCACCTACTGATTATAGAGCCATAGTGCAAACATAAGCTGTAGCCAGGTAGTGGTCAAAGGAGACCTTGAGCGAGACCAAGTGCTACGCTGGGTTCAGATTTGACCCAGATAGTCCCAGTAATGGTAGCCATAGGATTGCTTGTGTCAGTCTATCCCTAGCTCCAGGCAGCTCATCACAGAGAGAGAGAGACTTCATTTATTTGAAAAAAAAGTATGGGAAGAGAGTAAGGGTCTCTGCCTGGAAACCAAGAAAATTCTTCTGGATCTTATCCAAGTCCTGGAATGTAATATCTCAATGAGTCTGCAAGACCCACAGCACTACTGAACTTGGGGTACTCCATGATGCAGATACATCTGTAGGGACTAAAAACTTAGATCACAAAACTCAGGTCCTTCTGAATACCTGGAAAGCCTTCTTAAAAACGATGGTATACTTAGGATTATCTTGGCTATATGGGCTATTTTATGGTTCCATATGAAATTTAAAGTAGTTTTTTCTAGTTCTGTGAAGAAAGTCAATGGTAGCTTCATGGTGATAACATTGAATCTATAAATTATCTTGGGCAGTATGGCCATTTTCACAATATTGTTTCTTCCTATCTGGAGGCACCATGCAACCTGACTTCAAACTATACTACAAGGCTACAGTAACCAAAACAGCGTTGGTACTGGTACCAAAACAGATATATAAACCAATGGAACAGAACAGAGGCCTCAGAAATAATGACACACATCTACAACCATCTGATCTTTGACAACCCTGATAAAAACAAGCAATAGGGAAAGGATTCTGACAGTCCAGGAGATTCTGTCTTGTGCCTGGCTCGGTGGGTCTTATCCCCACAGAGCCCAACAAGCTAAGATCCAATGGCTTGAAATTCTAGCTGCTAGCACAGAAGTCTGAGGCCTACCTGGGATGCTCCAGCTTTGTGGGGGGAGGGGCATCCATCATTGCTGAGGCTTAAGTAGGCGGTTTTACCCTCACAGTGTAAACTAAGCTGTCGGGAAGTTTGAACTGGGCGGAGCCCACCTCAGCTCCCTGAGACAGAGCACCTGGGAGAAGGGGCGGCTGTGGGCACAACTTCAGGAGACTTAAACATCCTTGCCTGACAGCTCTGAAGAGAACAGTGGTTCTCCTGGCACAGTGTTCGGGCACAGTGTTCGAGCACAGATAAGGGACAGACTACCTCCTCAAGTGGGTCCCTGAACACTTGTGTATCCAGACAGGGAGACACGTCCCAGTAGGTGCTGACAGACACCTCATACAGGAGAGCTCTGGCTGGTATCTGGCATGTGCCCCTCTGGGATGAAGCTTCCAGAGGTAGGAACAGGAAGCAATCTTTGTTGTTCTGCAGCCTGCAGTGGTGAAACCCAGGCAAACAGGGTCTGGAGTGGACCTCCAGCAAACCAGCAGGCCAGCAGCAGAGGGGCCTGACTGTTAAAAAGAAAACTAACGAATAGAAAGGAATAGTATCAACATCAACAATATCAAAGACCAAAGGTAAGTAAATCCGTGAAGATGGGGAGAAACCAGCACAAGAAGGCTGAAAATTCCAAAAACCAGAATCCCTCTTCTCCAAAGGATCACAACTCCTCACCAGTAAGGGAACAAAACGGGACAGAGAATGAGTTTGATGAATTGACAGAAGTTGGCTTCAGTAGGTGGATAATAACAAACTCCTCTGAGCTAAAGAATCATGTTCTAACCCAATGCAAGGAAGCTAAGAACAATGAAAAGAGGTTAGACGAATTGATAACTAGAATAACCAGCTTAGAGAAGAACATAAATGACCTGATGGAGCTGAAAATCACAGCACGAGAACTTCATGAAGCATGCACAATATCAATAGCTGAACTGATTAAGCGGAAGAAAGGATATTGGAGATTTAAGATTAACTCAATGAAATGAAGCAAGAAGACAAGATTAGAGAAAAAAGGAGTGAAAAGAAACAAAAAAACCCTCCAAGAAATATAGGACTATGTGAAGAGACCAAATCTATGTTCGATTGGCATACCTGAAAGTGACGGTGAGAATGGAAACAAGTTGGAAAACACTCTTCAGGGTATTATCCAGGAGAACTTCCCCAACCTAGCAGGGCAGGCCAACATTCAAATTCAGGAAATACAGAGAACACCGCAAAGATATTCCTCAAGATGCGCAACCCCAGGACACATAATCATCGGATTCACCAAGGTTGAAATGAAGGCAAAAATGTTAAGCGCAGCCAGAGAGAAAGGTCGGGTTACCCACAAATGGTAACCCATCAACCTAACAACAGATCTGTCTGGAGAAACCCTACAAGCCAGAAGAAAGTGGGGGCCAATATTCAACATCCTTAAAGGAAATAATTTTCAACCCAGAATTTTGTATTCAGCCAAACTAAGTTTCATAAGCAAAGGAGAAATAAAATCCTTTACATACAAGCAAATGCTGAGAGATTTTGTAACCACCAGGTCTGCCTTACAAGAGCTCCTCATGGGAACATTAAACATGGAAAGGAACCACCAGCACTAGCCACAGCCAAAAATTCCAAATTGTACCATCGAGGCTATGAAGAAACTACATCAACTAACAGGCAAAATAACCAGCTAGCATCATAATGACAGGATCAGATACACACATAACAATATTTACCTTAAACGTAAATGAGCTAAATGTCCCAATTAAAAGACACAGACTGGCAAATTGGATAAAGAGTCAAAACCATTTGATGTGCTGTATTCAGCAGACCCATCTCATGTACAAACACACACATAGGCTCAAAATAAAGGGATGGAGGAAGACTTACCAAGCAAATGGAAAGCAAAAGGCAGGGGTTGCAATCCTAGTCTCTCATAAAACAAACTTTAAACCAACAAAGATCAAAAGAGAAAATGAAGGGGAATACATAATGGTAAAAAGATCAATGCAACAAGAAGAGCTAACTATCCTAAATATGAATGCACCCAATACAGGAGCACCCAGATTCATAAAGCAAGTTCTTAAAGACCTACAAGGAGACTTAGATTCCCACACAATAATAGTGGTAGACTTTAACACCCCACTGTCAATATTAGACTGTTCTATGAGACAGAAAATTAACAAGGATATCCAGGGCTTGAACTCAGCTTGGAACCAAGCGGACCTAATAGACATCTACAGAACTCTCCACCCCAAATCAATAGAATATACATTCTTCTCAGCAATGCATCAGACTTGTTCTAAAATTGACCGCATAATTGGAAGTAAAACACTCCTCAGCAAATGCAAAATAATGGAAATCATAACAAACAGGCTCTCAGACCACAGTGCAATAAAATTAGAACTCAGGATTAAGAAACTCACTCAAAACCGCACTACTACATGGAAACTGAACAACCTGCTCCTGAATGACTACTGGGTAAATAATGAAATGAAGGCAGAAATAAAGATGTTCTTTGAAACCAATGAGAACAAACACACAACATACCACAAGAAAAAGCAGGAATGCTCTAAAGAGAAAGCAGGAAAGATCTAACATCAACATCCTAACATCAAAATTAAAAGAAATAGAGAAGCCAAAAGCTAGCATAAGAAAAGAAATAACTAAGATCAGGGCAGAACCGAAGGTAATAGAGACACGAAAAACCCTTCAAAAAATCAGTGAATCCAGGAACTGTTTTTTTTTTAAAGATCAACAAAATAGATGAACTTCTAGACAGACTAATAAAGAAGAAAAGAGAGAAGAATCAAATAGATGCAATAAAAAATGATAAAGGGGATATCACCACCAATCCCACAGAAATAGAAACTACCTTCAGAGAATACTATAAACACCACTATGAAAATAAACTAGAAAATCTAGAAGAAATGGATAAATTCCTGGACACGTACACCCTCTGAAGACTAAACCAGGAAGAAGTGAAATTCCTGAATAGGCCAAAAACACGTTCTGAAATTGAGGCAGTAATTAATAGCCTACCAACCCAAAAAAAAGCCCAGCATGTGAGGGGTTCACAGCCAAATTCTATCGGAGGTACAAAGAGGAGCTGGTACCGTTCTTTCTGAAGGTATTTCAAACAGTAGAAAAAGAAGGACTCTCCAAAACTCATTTTATGAGGCTGGAATCATCCTGAAACCAAAACCTGGCAGAGACACACACACACACACACACACACACACACAAAAACAGTTTTAGGCCAAAATCCCTGATGAACATCAGTGCAGAAATCCTCAATAAAATACTGGCAAACCTAAACCAGCAGCACATCAAAAAGCTTATCCACCATGATCAAGTCAGCTTCATCCCTGGGATGCAAGGCTGGTTCAACATGCACAAGTCAATAAATGTAATCCATCAAGTAAACAGAACCAATGACAAAAAAACACATGATTATCTCAATTATGCAGAAAAAGCCTTTGATAAAATTCACCACTTCTTCATGCTAAAAGCTCTTAATAAACTGGGTATTGATGGGACATACTTCAAAATAATAAGAGCTATTTATGCTATTTATGACAAACCCATAGCCAACATTACACTGAATGGGCAAAAGCTGAAACTATTCTCTTTAGAAACCAGCACAAGATAAGGATCCCCTCTCTCACTGCTCCTATTCAACATAGTATTGGAAGTTCTGACCAGGGCAATCTGGCAAGAGAAAGAAATAAAGGGTATTCAAACAGGAAAAGAGGAAGTCAAATTGTCTCTGTTTGCAGATGACATGCTTGTATATTTAGGAAACCCCATCATCTGAGCCCGAAATATCCTTAAGCTGATAAACAACTTCAGCAAAGCCTCAGGATACAAAATCAACATGCAAAAATTACAGGCATTCCTATAGACGAATAATAGACAAACAGAGAGCCAAGTCAGGAGTGAATTCCCATTCACAATTGCTACAAAGATAATAAAATACTTAGGAATACAATATACAAGAAATGTGAAGGACCTCTTCAAGGAGAACTACAAACCACTGCTCAAGGAAATAAGAGAGGACACAGACAAATAGAAAAACATTCCATACTCATGGATAGGAAGAATCAACATCGTGAAAATGGCCATACTGCCCAAGGTAATTTATAGATTCAACGCTATCTCCATCAATCTGCAATTGACTTTCTTCACAGAATTGGAAAAAAAAGACTTTAAATTTCATATTGAACCAAAAAAGAGCCCACATAGCCAAGACAATCCTAAGCAAAAAGAACAAAGCTGGAGGCATGATGCTATCTGACTTCAAGCTATACTACAAGGCTACAGTAATAAAAACAGCATGGTACTGGTACCAAAATAGATATATAGACTAATGGAACAGAATAGAGGCCTCAGAAATAACACCACACATCTACAACCACCTGATCTTTGACAAACCTGACAAAAATAAGCAATGGGGCAAGGATTCCCTATTTAATAAATGGTGCTGGGAAAACTGGCTAGCCATATGCAGAAAGCTGATACTGGATCCCTTCCTTACACCTTATACAAAAATTAACTCAAGATGGATTAAATACTTAAATGTGAGACCTAAAAAGCATAAAAACTCTGGGGGAAAACCTAGGCAATACCATTCAGGACATAGGCATGGGCAAAGACTTCATGACTAAAACACCAAAAATAATAACAACAAAAGCCAAAATAGACAAATGGGATCTAATTAAACTAAAGAGCACTGCACGGTAAAAGAAACTATAATCAATGTGAACAGGCAACTTACAAAATGGGAGAAAATTTTTGCAATCTATCCATCTGGCAAAGGGCTAACATGCAGACTCTATAAAGAACTTAAACAAATTTACATGAAAAAAACAAACAATCCCATCAAAAAGTGGGCAAAGTATATGAACAGACACTTCTCAAAAGAAGATTTTTATGCAGCCAACAAACATATGAAAAGATGCTCATCATCACTGGTCATTAGAGAAATGAAAATTAAAACCACAATGAGATACCATCTCACACCAGTTAGAATGGTGATCATTAAAAAGTCAGGAAACAACAGATGCTGGAGAGGATGTGGAGAAATAGGAATGCTTTTACACTGTTGGTGGGAGTGTAAATTAGTTCAACCATTGTGGAAGAGAGTGTGGCAATTCCTCAAGGATCTAGAACAAGAAATACCATTTGACCCAGCAATCTCATTACTGGGTATATACCCAAAGGATTATAAATCATCCTACTATAAAGACACATGCACACGTATGTTTATTGTGGCACTATTCATAACAGCAAAGACTTGGAACCAACCCAAAAGTCCATCAATGATAGGCTGGAGAAAGAAGTTGTGGCACATATATACCATGGGATACAATGCAGCCATAAAAAATAATGATTTCATGTCCTTTGCAGGGACACGGATGAAGCTGGAAACCATCATTCTCAGCAAAGTAACACAAGAAGAGAAAACTAAAGACTGCCTGTTCTCACTCATAAGTGAGATTTGAACAATGAAAACACATGGACACAGTGAGGGGAACATCACACATCTGGTCCTGTCAGGGAGTGGCAGGATGTAGGAGGGATAGCATCAGGAGAAACACCTAATGTAGATGATGGATAGATGGGTGTAGCAAACCACCATGGCACATGTATACCTATGTAGCAAACCTGCAGGGTCTGCACATGTACCCCAGGACTTAAATTATAATAATAAAAAAGAAAAAATATATCAATGAAAATGAATTATGGTCTTAAATCTAGGTCATCAAACTATGAATCCACCAAAATAAAACTTTGGGAAAACTCTGCAGGATATTGGACTGAGCAAAGATTTCTTGAGTAATATTCCAGAAGCACAGACAACCAAAGGAACGTGGACAGATAGAATCACATCAAGTTAAAAAGCTTCAACACAACAAAGAATACAATCAATAAAATGAAGGGACAACCCACAGAATGGGAGAAAATATTTGCAAACTACCCATCTGAGAAGGGATTGATAAGCAGAATATAAAAGAAGTTCAAACAACTCTATAGGAGAAAACAAACTAACAATCTAATTAAAATGGGCAAAAGATCAGAATAGACATTTCTCAAAAGAAGACATACGAATGGCAAATAGATATATAAAAACATATTCAACATTATTGATCATCAGAGAAATGCAAATCAAAACTACAACAAGATATCATCTCACCCCAGTTAAAACGACTTTTATCCAAAATATAGGCAGTAACTAATCCTGACAAGGATGTGATGAAAGAAAATCCTTGAACTCTGTTGGTGGAAATGTAAATTAGTACAATCATTATGGAGAACAGTTTGGAGATTTCTCAAGGAACTAAAAAATAGAGGTGCCATATGATCCAGCAATCCCACTTTTATGTATATACCCAAAAGAAAGAAAATTAGTGTATCAAAATGATATCTGGATGCTCATGTTTACGGCAGTACTATTCACAATATTCAAGATTTGGAAGCAACCTAAATGTCTATCAACAAATGGATCAATAAAGAAAATGTGGTACATATAAACAATGGAGTACTCTTCAGTCATAAAAAATAATAAAATCCAGCCGCTTGCATCCACATTGATGTAATTGGAGGTCAACTTTTTAAGTGAAATAAACTAAACACAGAAAGGACAAACCACATAAACTCACTTATTTGTGGGAACTCAATATTAAAACAATTGAACCTATGGAGATAGAGCAAGAATGATGGTTACCAGAGGCTAAGAAGGGTAATGGGAGATATTGAAAAATGGAGATGGTTAATAGGTACAAAAAAAGTAGGATGAATGAGTAAGATCTTGTATTTGATAGCACAACAGGGTGACTATACTCAATAATCATTTAATGGTACTTTTTAAATTTTTATTTTATTTCAATAGATTTTGGGGTTCAGTGGCTTTTGGTAACATGGATAAGTCCTTTAGTGATAATTCTGAGACTTTGGTGCATCCATCACCTGAGCAGTGTACACTGTACCCAATATGTAGTATTTTATCCATCACTCTCTCTCCTACCCTTCTCCGCAAGTACCCAAAGTCCATTTTATTTTTCTCATGCCTATGCAGTCTCACAGCTTAGCTCCCACTTACAAGTGAGAACATACAATATTTGTTTTTCCATTCCTGAGTAACTTACTAAGAATAATGGCCTTCAACTCTATCCAAGTTGCTGAAAAGGCCATTATTTCATTCTGTTTTATGGCTGAGCAGTATTCTCTGGTGTATATATACCACATTTTCTTTATCCACTCAATGGTTGATGGGCATTTAAGTTGGTTCTATATTTCTGCAATTGTGAATAGTGCTGCTATAAATATGCATGTGCTTGTGGATTTTTCTTTTCTTTTTTAAAAATTTATTTTAATTTTAATTTCTGAGATACAAGTGCAGGATGTGCAGGTTTTTTACATAGGTAAATGTGTGCAATGGTGGTTTGCTGCACCTATGAACCTATCACCCATGTATTAAGCCTGCATGCGGCTTTTACATAAAATGACTTCTTTTCTTTGGGTAGATACCCAGTAGTGGGATTGCAGAATAGTAGTTCTGCTTTTAGCCCTCTAAGAAACCTCCATACTATTTTCCATAGTGGCTGTACTATTTTACATTTCCACTAGCAGTGTAAAAGTGTTCCATTTACACCACACCAGTATTTATTATTTTTTATTTTTAAATTATGGCCATTCTTTCGGGAGAAATGGGGTGATTTATTGTGGTTTTAATTTGAATTTCCCTGATAATTAGTAATATTGAACATTTTTCCTATATTTGTTGCATTTATATCTTAAGAATTGTCTGTACATATTTTTGCCCAATTTTGATGGAATCATTTGTTGTTTTTTTCTTGTTGATTTGAGTTCTTTGTAGATTATCAATACTAGTCCTTTGTCAGTTGTGTAGTTTGCAAAGATTTTTTTTTTCCATTCTGTGGGTTGTCTGTTTACTCTGATGATTATTTATTTTGATGTGCAGAAGCTTTGTAGTGAATTAGGTCTGCTTTAATTATTATTGTTTTTGTTGCATTTGCTTTTGGGATCTTAGTCATGAATTCTTTGCCTAAGCCAATGTCTACAAGAGTTTTTCCAATGTTATCTTCTAGAGTTTTTATGATTTCTGGTCTTAGATTTAAGTCTTTTATCCATTTTTAGTTATTTTTTATAAGGCAAAAGATGAAGATCCAGTTTTATTATTTTACATGTGGCTTACCAATTTTACCGACAAAATTTATTGAATAGGGTGTCACTTCTCCACTTCAAGTTTTTGTTTGCTTTCTCAAAAACAGTTGGCTGTAAGTATTTGCCTTTATTTCTAGTCTTACTATTCTATTCCATTGGTATATGTGCCTATTTTATACCAATACTGTGCTATTATGATGACTATAGACTTGTTGTATAGTTTGAAGTCAGGTAATGTGATACCTCCAGATTTGTTCTTTTTGCTTAGTATTGCTTTGGCTATGTGGGCTCTTTTTTGGTTCCATATGAATTTTAGGATTTTTTTTCTAGTTCTGTGAAGAATAATAATGGTATGTTCATGGGAATTTTATTCAATTTCTAGTTTGCTCTTGGCAGTATGGTCATTTTCACAATATTGACTTTACCCTTTCATGAGCATGGGAAGTGTTTCTGTTTGTTTGTGTCATCTATAATTTCTTTCAGCAGTGTTTTGTAGTGCTCCTTGTAGAGATTTTTCACCTCCTTTGTTAGGTATATTCCAAAGTATTTTAAATTTTTGCCACTGTCGTAAAAGGAATTGAGTACTTGATCTGATTCTCAGCTTGATTGTTGCTTGTGTATACCAGTGCTACTAATTAGTGGGCATTCAATTTGTATCCTGGCACTTTACTGAATTCATTTATCAGATCTAAACACTTTTGGATGCATCTTAAAGTTTTCTTAGTGTACGATTATTTCCTTTAGTATTATGATTATTACACTTTAAGTTTTAGGGTACATGTGCACAACGTGCAGGTTTCTTACATATGTATACATGTGCCATGTTGGTGTCCTGCACTCACTAGCTCGTCATGTAGCATTAGGTATATCTCCTAATGATATCCCTCCCCCCTCCCCCACCCCACAACAGTCCGCAGTGTGTGATGTTCCCCTTCCTGTGTCCATGTGTTCTCACTGTTCAATTCCCACCTATGAGTGAAAATATGCGGTCCCTACAAAGGACATGAACTCAGCATTTTTTATGGCTGCATAGTATTCCATGGTGTATATGTGCCACATTTTCTTAATCCAGTCTATCATTGTTGGACATTTGGGTTGCTTCCAAGTCTTTGCTATCGTGAATAGTGCCACAATAAACATAAGTGTGCATGAGTCTTTATAGCAGCGTGATTTATAATCCTTTGGGTATATACTCAGTAATGGGTTGGCTGGTTCAAATGGTATTTCTAATTCTAGATCCCTGAGGAATCACAACACTGACTTCCACAAGGGTTGAACTAATTTACAGTCCCACCAACAGTGTAAAAGTGTTCCTATTTCTCCACATCCTTTCCAGCACCTGTTGTTTCCTGACTGTTTAATCAGCGCCATTCTAACTGCTGTGAGATGGTATCTCATTGTGGTTTTGATTTGCATTTCTCTGATGGCCAATGATGATGAGCATTTCTTCATGTGTTTTTTGGCTGCAAAAATGTCTTCTTTTGAGAAGTGTCTGTTCATATCCTTTGCCCACTTTTTGATGGGGTTGTTTGTTTTTTCTTGTAAATTTGTTGGAATTTATTGTAGATTCTGGATATTAGCCCTTTGTCAGATGAGTAGGTTGCAAAAATTTTCTCCCATTCTGTAGGATGCCTGTTCACTCTGATGGTAGTTTCTTTTGCTGTGCAGAAGCACTTTAGTTGAATTAGATCCCATTTGTCAATTTTGTCTTTTGTTGCCATTGCTTTTGGTGTTTTAGACATGAAGTCCTTGCCCATGACTATGTCCTGAATGGTATTGCCTAGGTTTTCTTCTAGGGTTTTTATGGTTTTAGGTCTAACGTTTAAGTCTTTAATCCATCTTGAATTAATTTTTGTATAAGGTGTAAGGAAGGGATCCAGTTTCGGCTTTCTACATATGGCTAGCCAGTTTTCCCCGCACCATTTATTAAATAGGGAATCCTTTCCCCATTGCTTGTTTTTGTCAGATTTGTCAAAGATCAGATAGTTGTAGATATGCAGCATTATTTCTGAGGGCTCTGTTCTGTTCCATTGGTCTATATCTCTGTTTTGGTACCAGTGCCATGCTGTTTTGGCTACTGTAGCCTTGTAGTATAGTTTGAAGTCAGGTAGCATGATGCCTCCAGCTTTGTTCTTTTGGCTTAGGATTGACTTGGCAATGTGGGCTCTTTTTTGGTTCCATATGAACTTTAAAGTAGTTTTTTCCAATTCTGTGAAGAAAGTCATTGGTAGCTTGATAGGGATGACATTGAATGTACAAATTACCTTGGGCAGTATGGCCATATTCATGATATTGATTCTTCCTACCCTTCAGCATGGAATGTTCTTCCATTTGTTTGTATCCTCTTTTATTTCACTTAGCAGTGGTTTGTAGTTCTCCTTGAGGAGGTCTTTCACATCCCTTGTAAGTTGGATTCCTAGGTATTTTATTCTCTTTGAAGCAATTGTGAATGGGAGTTCCCTCATGATTTGGCTCTCTGTTTGTGTGTTATTGGTGTATAAGAATGCCTGTGATTTTTGCACATTGATTTTGTATCCTGAGACTTTGCTGAAGTTGCTTATCAGCTTAAGGAGATTTTGGGCAGAGATGATGGGGTTTTCTAGATATACAATCATGTCATCTGCAAACAGAGACAATTTGACTTCCTCTTTTCCTAATTGAATGCCCTTTATTTCCTTCTCCTGCCTGATTGCTCTGGCCAGAACTTCCAACACTATGTTGAATAGCAGTGGTGAGAGAGGGCATCCCTGTCTTGTGCCAGTTTTCAAAGGGAATGCTTCCAGTTTTTGTCCATTCAGTATGATATTGGCTGTGGGTTTGTCATAGATAGCTCTTATTATTTTGAGATACTTCCCATCACTACCTAATTTATTGAGAGTTTTTAGCATGAAGAGTTGTTGAATTTTTTCAAAGGCCTTTTCTGCATCTGTTGAGATATCATGTGGTTTTTGTCTTTGGTTCTGTTTATATGCTGGATTACATTTATTTATTTTCGTATGTTGAACCAGCCTTGCATCCCAGGGATGAAGCCCACTTGATCATGGTGGATAAGCTTTTTGATGTGTTGCGGGATTCGGTTTGCCAGTATTTTATAGAGGATTTTTGCATCAATGTTCATCAAGGATATGGTCTAAAATTCTCTTTTTTTGTGTGTCTCTGCCAGGCTTTGGTATCAGGATTCCAAAATTGACCACATTGTTGGAAGTAAAGCACTCCTCAGCAAATGTAAAAGAACAGATATTATAACAAACTGCCTCTCAGACCACAGTGCAATCAAACTAGAACTCAGGATTCAGAAGCTCACTCAAAACCGCTCAACTACAAGGAAACTGAACAACCTGCTCCTGCATGACTACTGGGTACATAACAAAATAAAGACAGAAATAAAGATGTTCTTTGAAACCAATGAGAACAAAGACACAACATACCAGAATCTCTGGGACACATTCGAAGCAGTGTGTAGAGGGAAATTTATAGCACTAAATGCCCACAAGAGAAAGCAGGAAAGATCTAAAATTGACACCCTAACATCATCAATTAAAAGAACTAGAGAAGCAAGAGCAAACACATTCAAAAGCTAGTAGAAGGTAAGAAATAACTAAGATCAGAGCAGAACTGAAGGAAATAGAGACACAAAAAAACCTTCAAAAAATCAATGAATCCAGGAGATGGTTTTTTGAAAAGATCAACAAAATTGATAGACCGCTAGCAAGACTAATACAGAAGAAAAGAGAGAAGAATCAAATAGATGCAATAAAAAATGACAAAGGGGATTTCACCACCAATCCCACAGAAATACAAACTACCATCAGAGAATGCTATAAACACCTCTATGCAAATATACTAGAAAATCTAAAAGAAATAGATAAATTCCTCGACACTTACACTCTCCCAAGACTAAACCAGGAAGAAGTTGAATCTCTGAATAGACCAATAACAGGCTCTGAAATAGAGGCAATAATTAATAGCTTACCAACCAAAAAAAGTCCAGGACCAGATGGATTCACAGCCAAATTCTACCAGAGGTACAAGGAAGAGCTGGTACCATTCCTTCTGAAACTACTCCTGTCAATAGAAAAAGTGGGAATCCTCCCTAACTCATTTTATGAGGCCAGTATAGGATATTTCATCAGTGAACAGCAAAGTTTGCTCCTCTTTTCCAGTTTGGTTGCCCATTATATCTTTCTTTTGTCTGACTGCTCTGGCTAAGACTTCCAGTATTATGTTAAATAGAAGTGGTGAAAGCGGGCATCCTTCTGCTCTTCCTCTTCTCAGGAGAAATGTTTTAAACGTTTCCCCATTCAGTATAAGGTTAGCTGTGGGTTTGTCATTGATAACTTTACTACTTTGATGTATGCCTCTTCCATGCTAATTTTGTTGAGGCTTTTTATCAAACAGGATGCTGGATTTTACAAAAGGCTTTTTCTGCATCTGTTAAGATAAACATATAATTTTTGTTTTTAATTCAATTTATGTGATGTATTACATTTATTGACTTGCATATATTAAAACATACCTGTATCCCTGGTATGAAACCCACTTGATCATCCTGTATTGTCTTTTTTATATGCTGTTGGATTCAATTAGCTAGTATTTTGTTGAGAATTTCTACATCTTTTTCATCAGGGATGTTGGTCTGTAGTTTTCTTTTTTTGTTATGTCCTTTCCTGTTTTTGACATTAAGGTGATGCTAGCTTCATAGAATAATTGAGGGAGAATTCCTGCTTTCTCTCTATCAGTTGGAATAATTGCAGTAGGATTAGTACCAGTTCTTCTTTTAATGTCTCATACAATTCAGCTGGGAATCCATCTGGTCCTGGATTTTTGTTGTTGTTGTTGGCAATTTTTTTCTATTACTGGTTCAATCTTGCTACTTACTTTTGGTCTGTTCAAAGTTGCTATTTCTTCCTGATTTAATCTAAGAGGGTTGTATATTTCCAGGAATTTATTTAACTTCTCTAGACTACAAATAGTTTGAGAGTGTAATGGTATTCATAGCAGCCTTGAATGGTCTTTTGTATTTCTAAAGTATTGGTTGTAATATCTCTCATTTCATTTCTAATTGAGCTTGCTTGCATCTTCTCTCTCCTTTTCTTGGTTAATCTTGCTAATGGTCTATCAATTTTGTTTATCTTTTCAAAAAACTGGCTTTTTATTTATCTTTTGTAGTATTTGTTTCAATTTCATTTCATTCTGCTCAGATCTTTTTTTTTTTTTTACTTCTGCTGGGTTTAACTTTAGTTTGTTCTTTTTTCTCTAGTTCTTTGAGTTGTGAACTCAGATTGTATATTTGTGCTCTTTCAGACTTTTTCATGTAGGCATTTAGTGGCATGTCCTTTCCTCTTAGCACTGTTTCTGCTGTATCCCCAAAGTTTTAATAAGTTGTGTCACTATTTTCATTCAGTTCACAGAATTTTTTAATTCACATTTTGATTTCCTTATTAACCCCAAAATCATTCAAAACAAGATTATTTAGTTTCCATGTATATGTATAGTTTTGAGGATTCCTTTTAATTTTCAGTTTTATTCCACTGTGGGCTTAGAAAATATTTGATATGATATTGATTTTCTTAAATTTATTAAGACTTTCTTTGCCTATCACCTGGTCTATCTTGGAAAATGTTCCATGTGCTGAAGAGAAGAATGTATATTCTGCAGTTGTTGGGTAGATGTTCTGCAAATATCTTTTAAGTTCATTTGTTTTAACGTGTAGTTTAAATCCATTGTTTTTTGTTGATATTCTATCTTGATGACCTGTCTAGTGCTGTCAGTAAGGTATTAAATTATCCCAATATTATTGTGTTGCCATGTATCTCATTTCTTAGGTCTAGCAGTAATTATTTTATGAATTTGGAAGCGTCAGTGTTAGGTGCATATATATTTAATATTGTAATATCTTTCTGTTGGACTAATTCTTTTATCATTATATAATGTCCTCTTGTTTGCTGTTGCTGTTTAAAGTCTGTTTGGCTTACATAATAAAAGTTATTCTTGTTTTCTTTTGGTTTCCATTTGCATGAAATATCTTTTTTTACCCCTTTACTGTAAGTTTATGTGAGTCCTTATATGTTAGATGAGTCTCTTGAAGACAGCACATACTCGATTGATGGATTCTCATCCATTCTGCCATTCTGTATCTTTTAAGTGGAGTGTTTAGGTCATTGTCATTCAATGTTAGTATTGAGATGTGAAACACTGTTCTATTTATTATGTTATTATTGTGTACATACCTTGTTTTTTTTTTTATTGTGTTACTGTTTTATAATTCCTGTAAGATTTATGCACTAAGGAGGTTCTACTTTGCTGGATTTTGAGGTTTTGTTCCAAGATTTAGAATTCCTTTTCTCATATTTTGCAAATTCTCTCAACATTTGTTTGTCTGAAAAAAAAATGTATAACCCCTTTTTATTTATGAGGCTCAGTTTTGCTAGATACGAAATTATTGATTGGCAATTATTTTGTTTAAGGAGGCTAAAGACAGAACCCCAATCCCTTCTGGCTTTTAAGGTTTCTGCTGATAAATATACTATTAATCTGACAGGGATTTTTAATAGGTTGCCCGATGCTTTTGTCTCACAGATCTTAAGATTCTTTTCTTCATCTTGACTTTAGATAAACTGATGACTGTGTGATTGATGATGATCATTTTGGGTTGAGTTTCAAAGGAGTTCTTTGAGCTTCTTGTATTTAGATGTCTAGATCTTTAGCAAGGCCATGGAAGATTTCCTCAATTATTCCCTCAACTAAGTTATACAAATTTTCAAATGTCTCTTCTTTCTCAGAAACACCAATTATTCTTAAGTTTGGCTCTTTAACATAATTCCATATTTCTTGGAGACTTTGTTAAATTTTTATTATTTTTTCTTTGACTTTGTCTAATTGGGTTAACTTGAAAGCCTTGTCTTCTAGAGCTGAAGGTATTTCTTCTACTTCTTCTAGCCTATTGTTGAAACTTTCTACTGCATTTTGTATTTCCCTAAGTGTACTTTTTATTTCCAGAAGTTATGATAGTTTTTTATCTTTATATATATTCCTCTGGAAAATTTTTCATCTATAGCCTGTATTTTTTTAACTTGATTTTCACCTTTTCCTGATATCTCCTTTAGTTGTTTCATAATCAACCTTCTGAATTATTTATCTGGCACTTCAGAGATATCTTCTTGGTTTGGATCCATTGCTGGGGAGCTAGTGTGAAATTTTCAGGGTGTTAAAGAACAGTATTTCTTTCGTATTACCAAAATTACTTTTCTGGTTTATTTTTTCATTTGGGTAGAATATTTCTTCAAATTGTTTTTGAATTTATTTTTAATTGGACTATGTTTTTTAATTTATTTATTTTTCTTCCTTAAGGATCAGACTTTAATGTTTATTTTAGCCTAATTTGATTATTGGTGCTTGTAGAGGTGAAGACTCTGTTTAAGCTTCTTAGTTATAGAGTCTTTGTGTGCTGGCTTTCCCTGATGCTGGTTATAGTAGTTATGTGCTTGGTGTATGGGTGAGTTTATTGTCTCCTATGGAATTGCAGTTCCTGCAGTGGCAGGAATCTCTTGAAGATTATCTCATTCTCTCATGATGTGCATTCATTTATTTGTTTAATTTTTCCCCAGTATTTTATTCACTGAGTTGATTATTCAGGTTTCAGGTTTAAAGGTGAGATATCCCTGGGTAGGTATTGGCTGTAGCTAGGGAAAGTGGATAGATGTAACACCTAATGGTGGGCTGATGTCCCGCCCTTGTTGAGATTGGCTGGAGGAGTTTTCAATCAGATGTGCTGAGGTTTTCTCAAGGCGAAGAGTTGCAGCTACCTCAGCTCCCTGCCAGGTCAGCAGTAAAGCTATTCACCTCACAGCCTCACTCCTGACTCAGTGTTTAAGCTCTTCAGGTCAGACAGGCACATTTTTTACGTATAGAAATATTGATGTTCCAAGTAGGGAAGAACTATAACTCTGCCCCTTTTGCAAGCATGAGTCTGGGGAGTGCTCCTTCTGTGGGGCTTCATTCATCCTTGATTGTTACAAGAAGGCTGCCTATAGGTGCCTCCATACTGCATTCCTGTGGAGAATTCCAGCTGTTTTGTGATGGATTTTTGCCAAGGTGAAACAAGGACTCCTTCTCCAAGGCCTTTCATAATTACAGAGGCTTCTATCCTGTTGAGGTCGAGGTGCAGACTTTCCCTACTGCACTGCCCAGCACAATTGTGTCTCTGCTGTTAGAAACTACCCACCAGTGGAAAGATCTGAAACTCCAGGCCTGCCATTCAGATTCCTTTGTCCCATGGGTTGATTCCTTTATTTGGTGCTCTCTCTGTTCCTCCAGTAAAAGAGCTTCCTCAGAGCTGGACTTCAGTGATTATTATTCCTCTTCTGGGTCTAGTCACTCCATGGAGCTACCAGGCTCCAGGCCAGTTCTGGGGAATGTCTTCAAGGAGTCCAGTGATGTGACCAGCATTTAGTTCTCCCAGCTGTGAATGCCAGCACCTGGTTTGATGGAGGTGGCAGGGGAATGCTGTAGAGTGTGTGTGATTTCTTGGTTGTAGGTATGTTTAGTGTGCTGGCTTTCTCAAATGCTGGTTATGCTAGAAGTGAAGTTGTCACATGGGTGGACTCAGGACCACTGGTTAGACAAGATATTGTAGGCAATAAAATTAGCTGGAGTTTTCTCCTTCCTGGGAAAAATGTTATTCTCTCATGAGTTGCTGTAATGTCCTTAGTTGGTTGGCCTCTAGCCAGAGGTAGTGCTTTGAACAGAGCACCAGCTGTGGTAATAACAGTGGGACTTGAGCTTGCCCTAAGTAAGCCAAAAAGTATTCTGGTTTCTCAGGCAATGGTTGGGACCATAAAGCTCCTAAGAATTTATATATTTTGTGTTAAGCTACCAAGATGGGCAGATAAATACTATCAGGTGGTGGCAAGGTTAGACAGGTCTGAGCGCAGAAACCCTGGGCAAGGCTTGCTGCATCCACTGTAGGGGGTGAGGAGGCTGGTTCTCAGGCCAATGGGGTTATGTTCCAGAGGGGAGTCTGGCTGTCTCTGCTGTGCAGTAGTTTGCTGGGGGAGTGGGGATTAGCTAGTAGTGAGAGTCCTCACCTAGCTCTCATACAGTTTTTGAGGCTGGTCTTGATCTTGCAGTGCCCCACTAACAGTACCAAGTCTAGAACCAGGCAGCCTGTGCAAAAACTCAGACCTATCACAGGCCATAAGCTTCCCCACTGAAAAAGCAAACAAGGCTTTCAGACGATGACCCTCCCCATCTGCCCGCAATGCCAGATGCCCAGCTCCTGTGCTCATATTTGCAGCAGTTTTCATTTGTTTCCCAGATTCTGGTCAAGGGAGTTTGTTTCCACTCAAAATTATCACACAACTCACTTGGGCAGTTCTTTCACCCTGAGGTCCCTCCCTAAGTTTGCTGGCTGCCTTCTCCAAGGGCTCCTGTGACATATAGTCAGAAATGGCCTCCCTGGGCTCAAGCTGGAGACTGGGAATGCCTACAAGGTTCTCACTGCTGCTTGTACTTTTATATTTCACACCATTCCCTAAATCCATTCCAGCTCTACATAAAGTTAAAGTATCTTCCCATGATCTGGATTTTCAGATTTTCCCAGTGGGAATGTGTCTTTCAGGGGATGCCTTTCCCTCTGTCATTCTGGGAACTCACAATTTTATGGCTGTCCTACAAAGTTTGCTGTGGCATGTTACTTCTTTCAAAAGGTCTGTGAATTCTTTCAGTTTCCTCTGGTAAGTTTCTGTGGTGGTTCATGGAACACAACTTAACAGTGTGAATTTCCACACAGTGTTCTTTTCTTCCAAGTAGGAGAGGCATGCTAGCACTGCATCTTATTCACCATCTTGGGAAAAAAAAGAAAAAAAACTAATTGTGTATTTTTAAAAAGCTTAAAGAATATAATTGGCTTCTTTGTAACACAAAGGATAGATGCTTGAGGTGATGGATACTCTATTTATTCTGATGTGGTTATTATGCATTGTATGCCTGTATCAAACTATTCCATGTAACCCCTAAATATATATATGCCCATTTTGTACCCAAAAACATTTTTAAAATATTTTAAAATAAATTATTTTCTAAAGAATTAACTAAAATCTTTTAGAACTAATAAATGAGTTTATGGAGACTAGAAATAGAAGATCACTATACAAAACTCAATTGTATTTCTATACAGTATCAATGAGAAAACCAATAATTAAATGAAGAAAATAATTTCATTATAATCACTTCAAAAGGAAAAAAATATTTAAAGATAATTTTAACAAAGGCAATGCAAATTATGTACCCTGAAAACTGCAAGACACTGTTGAAAACAAAATTTTTTAGTGAAGGAGTTTCACTCTGTTGCCCAGGCTGGAGTGCACTGGCTCAATCTCGGCTCACTGCAACCTCCACCTCCCAGGTTCAAGCAATTCTTCTGCCTCAGCCTCCTGAGTATCTGGAACTACAGGTGTGCACAACCTCACCCAGCTAATTTTTGTATTTTTAGTAGAAACGGGATTTCACCATGTTGGCCAGGCTGGTATTGAACTCCTGACCTCAGGTGGTCTGCCCACCTCAACCTCCCTATGTGCTGGGATTACAGGCATGAGCCCCTGCACCCATCCAAAATAAATTTTAGAAAGAGCTACATCAATAGAAAAACATCTCATGCCCATTGGTTAGAAAACTGTATTGCTAAAACAGCAATGCTCCCCAAATTCATGTACAGATTTGAGGCAATTGTTATGGGAAATGCAGGTGACTTAGTTGCAGAAATTAAAAAGCTGGTTCTAAAATTTATACATAAATGCAAAGGACCCAATATTACCAAAACAATCTTGAAAAAGAACAATGTGGAAAAACTTACACTTCCAGGTTTCAAAATTACAAAATTTACTGCATATCTGAACATGTATAGATTTCAAGGCCTGGGTAATCAAGACTGTGTGGTACTGGCATAAGAACAGACGTACAGATTAATGTAATAGAACTGAGAGACCAGGAGTAAATCTTCACCATTGTATTCAGTTGATTTTAGACAAAGGTACCAATAAAATTAAAGGAGAAAAAAATCATCTTTCAACAAACAGTGCTGTGACAACTGGGTAACGGCATGTTAAAAAATGAAGTTGTACTCCTAGCTTACATACAAAATTAACTGAAAATGCATTTACAACCTAGATGTAAGAACTAAAACCATAAAACTTAAAAGAAAACACGAATATAAATGTTTATAACCTAGAATTGAGCATTGGTTTCTTTTATTATTATTATTATTGTTAACTTTTCTAGCTGCATAGTAGCTGTATATATTTATGTGTTACAGGAGATATTTTGACACAGGCATGCATTGCTTTCTTAGCTATGACACCCATTTGCAAGAAACAAAAAAAAAGTAGTTAAACTGGAAGTCACCAACATTTTAAAAATATTGTTCTTCAAAATATATCATCAATAAAGTGAAAAGACATCTTCCAGAATGGGAGATAATGCCACAAATCCTATATCTCATGTGAAACTTGTCTCTAGAATATAGAATGTACTACTATGTTCTATATTTTTTTAAGAAAACAGAAACCTAACTTTTAAATAGGCAAAAGGTCTTATTAAACAGTTTTACAATGTAGATATACAACATAGCTAATTAGCACATGGAAATAGTACAATATCATTAGCCACAAGAAAACATAACTCCATACCATAGTAACATACCACTTCACATTCACTAGAATGATTAAAATAAAGAAAAGAAATAATAAGTCTTTCGAGGATCCGGAAAAATAGCAACCTTCATATAGTTCTGGTGAAAATATACAATGTTGCAGCCCCTTTGGAAAGCAGCTTGGCAGTTCCTTAAGTGGTTGAACATAGAGCTATCTTTTGACCCAGCAATTTCACTCCTACTATGTACCTAAGAGAATTAAAAACATATGCTTACACACATGTGCTTGTGCACAAATGTTTATAGCAGTATTACTTATAATAGATAAACATTAGAAGTAATCCAAATGTCCTTCAATTTATGAAGATATAAAACCATAAAATAATGGAAAGTTATTCAGTCATAAAAAGAAATGAGGCCAGGCATGGTGGCTCACGCCTGTAATCCCAGCACTTTGGGAAGCCAAGGCGAGTGGATAATGAGGTCAGGAGATCGAGACCATCCTGGCTAACAAGGTGAAATCCTGTCTCTACTAAAAATACAAAAAAATTAGCCAGGCTTGGTGGCGGGCACCCGTAGTCCCAGCTACTCAGGAGGCTCAGGCAGGATAATGGCATGAACCTCGGAGGTAGAGCTTGCAGTGAGCCCAGATCATGCCACTGCACTCCAGCCTGGGTGACAGAGTGAGACTCCATCTCAAAAAAAAAAAAAAGAAAAAGAAAAAGAAAAGAAAAGAAAAAAAGAAATGAAGTACTGATCCATGCTAGAACATGGATAAATCTTGGAAACATTGTACTGAGTGAAAGAAGCCAGTTACAAAATGCCACATATTGTGCAATATGCAAAACTCAGTATTATACTTTCCATTTATATGAACTTTCCAGAATAGGTCAGTCTATAGAGACAGAAAGATTAGTAATTGACCACTGTTGAGCGAGGTGGAAATGGAGAGTGACTATCAAAGAGCAAAGGGTTTATTTTGGGAGTGAGGAAATATTGTAAAATTAACTGTGGCTGTGTTCATACAACTCTGTAAATATACTAAAAAAACAGAACTGTATATTTTTAAAGGTTGAATTCTTTGAATCATATCTCAATACAGCTGTTGTTAAAATGTGGGGGAGGAGTTGAATAAATATAGCATATTCACTCAATCAAATATTATGCTAGCATTAAAAATTATAATATGGATGTCTGCACATTTACAGAAAAATGTTAATGTGTAGATAAGTGAAAAATGTTATAAATCTGCATATATGGTATATAAGTTTGAATGGGTATATACACTTAGAATGTTCTAGAAGAATATATACCAAAACCTTGAGTGATTATTTCTTAATGGGAAATTACTGGTGATTTTTGCTTCTTTTTTTTATGCATTGTCTGAATGTTTGCAATGATATCTATTTGAATAATCATGAAAATAAAAACTTGCAATTAAAGTGTTTAACATACAATTCAAAGTAGAGGAAATACAAATCTCTATGAGTTCCTGAAAATAAGTTTAATGTCTTTGGTATTTTAATTAATATAAATTAAGGCAAGATACTTTTTATCTATTAAACTAGCAAACATCACCAGCAGTGATTATTCACAATGCTGGTAAGGGTATGGAAAAAGCAGGATTTATGCATAACTAAAGTAATCTTAAATTGGAGCAAACATCCTGGAATATAATTTGGCATTATGAATCAAGGGCCTTAAAAATATACCTCAGATTCAGTGATAACGGTAATAGCAAACACTGTGACAGAGCACTTACTATGTGATAGACACTAAGAATTTTTCATATATTATCTCATTTAATTCTAAAATTTGTCCTGTAATATAGTTGAGATTATTATCTCTATCTTATACATGAGGAAATTGAGGTATCAGTGAACTCTCTAAATTCCCCCAAGTTACACCCTTGTAAAGTAGTGGAATTACAATGAAGACTTAAAACATTCTGTTTTCACAGTGCATGCCATTAACACTCTGGTATACTATTGAGAGGTGACAGCATGCTGACAGCACTCACTTGCTCTCAGTGTCTCCTTGGCCTCGGTGCCCACTCTGGCTGTGCTTGAGGAGCCCTTCAGCCCACCGCTGCACTGTGGGAGCCCCTCTCTGGGCTGGCCGAGGCCGGAGCCAGCTCACTCTGCTTGCGGGGAGGTGTGGAGGGAGAGGTGCGGGTGGGAACTGAGGTTGCACATGGTGCTCGTGGGCCAGCGTGAGTTCTGGGTAGGTGTGGGCTCTGTGAGCCCCGCACTCTGAGTGGCTGGCCAGTTCCACTGGCCTCGGGCAGTGAGGGGTTTAGCACCCAGCCCAGCAGCTGTGGACGGGGTGCCGGGTCCCCCAGCACTGCCAGCCTGCCCATGCAGTGCTCGAATTCTTGCCTGGCCTCAGCCACCTCCCCACAGGGAAGGGCTTGGAACCTGCAGCCTGCCATGCCCGAGCCCCCCCAGTGGTGGGCTCCCAAGCGGCCCGAGCCTCCCTGACAGGCACCGCCCCCTGCTCCACAGCACCCACTCGCATCCACTGCCCAAAGGCTGAGGAGTGCAGGCACACAACGCTGGACTGGCAGGCAGCTCCACCCACAGCCCTGGCACAGGATCCATTAGGCGAAGCCAGCTGGGCTCCTGAGTCAGGTGGGGACTTGGAGAACTTTTACGTCTAGCCCAAGGTTTGTAAACACACCAATCAGCACCCTGTGTCTAGCTCAAGGTTTGTAAACACGCCAATCAGTGCTGTGTCTAGCTAATCTAGTGGGGACTTGGAGAACTTTTGTGTCTAGCTAAAGGTTTGTAAAGGCACCAATCAGCACTCTGTCAAAATGGACCAATCAGCTCTCTTTAAAACGGACCAATCAGCTCTCTGTAAAATGGACCAATCAGCAGGATGTCGGTGGGGCCAGATAAGGAAATAAAAGCAGGCTGCCCAAGCCAGCAGCGGCAACCCGCTCGGGTCACCTTCCATACTGTGGAAGCTTTGTTCTTTTGCTCTTTGCAATAAATCTTGCTGCTGCTCACGATTTGGGTCCGCACTGCCTTTATGAGCTGTAACACTCACCACGAAGGTCTGCAGCTTCACTCCTGAGGCCAGCGAGACCACAAACCCACTGGGAGGAATGAACAACTCTGGATGGGAGGAACGAACAACTCCAGATGTGCCACCTTAAGAGCTGTAACACTCATCACAAAGGTCTGCAGCTTCACTCTTGAAGCCAGCAAGACCACAAACCCACCAGAAGGAAGAAACTTTGAACACGTCTGAACGTCAGAAGGAACAAACTCCAGACACACCATCTTTAAGAACTGTAACACTCACTGCGAGGATCTGCGGCTTCATTCTTGAAGTCAGTGAGACCAAGAACCCATCAATTCCCGACACACTATTATGCCCTCTCTCCTTTTCTGGAAATCAGTTTTAAAAAATGATCAGAAATGTGCATGAAGCTTAACCCATAAAGATGTTCTTCACGGAATGATATGTAACAGTGTGAAAAAAAGAAACCACTTAACTATCCATTATTAGGAGAATAGTTAGAATTGTGTCACATCAATACTATGAAAGTTAATTTTGAAATGTTAGTAATATGAGAAAATGGTATAATTCTAAACAAAGAAAGCAAGTTACAGAATTAAAGTATTGTATATAAATTATGAAAAAAAAAATCCATCAAAATGAGAATGAAAGGTCAAAATCCTGACAGGGATTACCTCTACCTAGTGGGATAATAGTTGACTTTTCCACAACATTCCATTTTTCTGTGCTTTATGAAACTTCCTTAATGAACACACATTTATTTGAAAATGAAAAACAATAAATAATGAACAAAAAAATGAAACAAACAAGTCCAGATATAGGGATGGGTGAACATGGGACATGCAGCAACAGGATTGTTGGGACTAGTGGTGGCCATGGCCTTTGCTTTTATAGCCATAGGAAGACAGTCAAAGGAAAGAGTGACTGCCCCGTGAGACCCTCAGCAGTAACATACTTTAAAGGGAAAGATTAAGCTTATTAAAGTTTAAGCTGAGTAAAGTTTTTCCCTCTTTGTATCTATTGAGGGAAAACGTGAGACAGAGATGAAGAAAGAGAGATATTGCAGAGAGCTTCACAGTCTGTCCCCCAGAGTTGAGGACTCCTCGGGCCCATTTAACTCAAACTCAACCTTTCCTTCAAAGCAGCTCTTAGTAGTTTCTACCTCAGTAGGAAAATATTTTTTTAATTGCTTGGTAATTGAGAGAGCTAATATTGCCAGAAAGAGAAATAAAATTAGTGTTTTCATAGCTATGTACCATGTCCACATTTTTCAAAGTGACAGGATGCCAAAAGATTGATCAAGCCAAGGATAAATAAGAGAACAACTTATTACCAGTAATCCCAGCATTTTGGGAGGCCGAGGCAGGCAGATCACGAGGTCAGGAGATCGAGACCATCCTGGCTAACAAGGTAAAACCCAGTCTCTACTAAAAATGCAAAAATTAGCTGGGTGTGGTGGCGGGCACCTGTAGTCCCAGCTACTCGGGAGGCTGAGGCAGGAGAATGGCGTGAACCCAGGAGGTGGACCTTGCAGTGAGCCGAGATTGCAACACTGCACTCCAGCCTGGGCAACAGAGTGAGACTCCATCTCAAACAAAAAAAAAAAGAGAGAGAGAGAGAGCATCTTACTAAAGCATCAACTGGACTCTGACATCAGGATTGCTATATATATATATATCACAAATTAATTATAACAATTTAATTAAAAACAAATAAATCTTAAAATTTTAAAGAAGTAGAAACAAACTTTTGATATGTCTCTGTGATCTATATCCATCTATCTAACACAATATAGATATAGATCACAGAGGCATGGAAAGTTATCTTACACTTCTTTGAAGTTTTAAAATTTATTTGTTTTCAACATTTTAACATTTGTTTTTTACTCAAATGACAGCACTTCATATGTGCTGCTCTGAATCTTGCTTTTTAATTGTGGTAAATATATATAACAAAATTTAACAATTTATCCTTGTTTAAGTGTACAGTTCAGTGGCATTAAGTACATACATATTATTGTACCATTGTAACAACTATCTCTAGAAATCTTTTTAACTTTTATTTTTAGTTCAGGAGTAAAAGTGCAAGTTTACTACATAGGTAAACTTGTGTCATAGGGATTCGTTGTGCAGATTATTTCATCACCTAGGTATTAAGCCTAATACCCATTAGTTATTTTCCTGATTCTCTCCTTCCTTTCACCTTCCACCCTCTGAAAGGCCTCAGTGTGCATTGCTCCCTTATATGTGTCCATGTGTTCTCATCATTTGGCTCCCACCATCCCAAAAGGAAACCTGTACCCATTAAAGAATAACTCTCCATTCTCCCCATGCCCATCCCCTGGCAAGCATCATTCTATGTTCTCTTTCTACTAATCTGACTAGGTACCACACATACATGGGATCATACATGATTTGTTCTTTGCTGACTAACTTATTTCATTTAAGATAATGTTCTCAAGGTTTAGTCATCTTGTCACATGTGTCAAACTTTCCTTCCTTTATACAGCTGAAAAATATTCCATTGTAATTCTACACTATATTTTGTTTATTCCATTTATTTGCTGATGGACAAATTATTTTCATCTTTTGGATAGTGTGAACAATGTTGTATGAACATTGTTGAGAAAGAATATGCTTGAGTTCATGCTACCAATTCCATTGAATGTATAACTGGAAATAGAAATTATATGGTAATTTTGTGTTTAAATTTTTGAAGATCACCATACTGTTTTCCATAGTGGCTGCCACATTTAACATTCCCACCAGTAATTCACTAGAATTTCCAATTTGTCCACATCCACAAGGAAACATATAATTTCCCTTTTTGAAAAATAATAGCTATCATAATGAATATGAAGTAGCAGCTTGTAGTTTTTATTTCCACCTCCCGAATGACTTATGATGATAAGAAGCTTTCATGTGCTTTTTTCTCTTTCTAAATCTTTTTTAAATTATTGTTTTTTAATGTTTTAAGTCTGATTAGCTTTAGGGATACAAGTAATTTTTGGTTACATAGATTAATTGTGTAGTGGAGAACTCTGGCCTTTTAGTGTACCAATTACAAGAAGAGTGTACACTGTAACAAATAGATGAGTTTTCACTTTTATTTCCCTCCTATTCTCCCCCTTCTGAGTTTCCAATATCCATTATACCACTCTGTATGCCTTTGGATACCCATAGCTGAGTTTTCACTTATAAGTGAGAACATGTGGCATTTGGTTTTTCATTCCTGAGTTACTTCACTTGGGATAATTATTTCTAGTTTAACCTGAGTTGCTGCAAAATATATTATTTATTATTTTTATGGATGAGTAGTATTCTATATATATACACACATATATATACACGTATATGCGCACACACACACACACTATACTAGTTTACATTCCCACCAGCAGTGTAGAAGTGTTCCCTTTCATAGCATCCACATCAACATCTATTATTTTTTGATTTTGTGATTATAGACATTCTTGCAGGAGTAAGGTGGTATTGAATTGTGGTTTTGATTTGCATTTCCCCAATTATTTGTGATGTTGAGCATTTTTCTTTTTTTTTATTATTATTATACTTTAAGTTTTGGGGTACATGTGCACAACATGCAGGTTTGTTACATATATACACATATGCCATGTTGGTGTGCTGCACCCATTAACTCGTCATTTAGCATTAGGTATATCTCCTAATGCTATCCCTCCCCACTCCCCCCACCCCACAACAGTCCCCGGTGTGTGATGTTCCCCTTCCTGTGTCCAGGTGTTCTCATTGTTCAATTCCCACCTTTGAATGAGAACATGCGGTGTTTGTTTTTTTGTCCTTGCGATAGTTTGCTGAGAATGATGGTTTCCAGCTTCATCCATGTCCCTACAAAGGACATGAACTCATCCTTTTTTATGGCTGCATAGTATTCCATGGTGTATATGTGCCACATTTTCCTAATCCAGTCTATCACTGTTGGACATTTGGGTTGGTTCCAAGTCTGCTATTGCGAATAGTGCTGCAATAAACATATGTGTGCATGTGTCTTTGTAGCAGCATGGTTTATAATCCTTTGGGTATATACCCAGTAATGAGAGTGCTGGGTCAAATGGTATTTCTAGTTCTAGATCCCTGAGGAATCGCCACATTGACTTCCACAATGGTTGAACTAGTTTACAGTCCCAACAACAGTGTAAAAGTGTTCCTATATCTCCACATCCTCTCCAGCACCTGATGTTTCCTCACTTTTTAATGATTGCCATTCTAACTGCTAAGAGATAGTACCTCATTGTGGTTTTGATTTGCATTTCTCTGATGACCAGTGATGATGAGCATTTTTCATGTGTTCTTTGGCTGCATAAATGTCTTCTTCTGAGAAGTGTCTGTTCATATCCTTTGCCCACTTTTTGATGGGGTTGTTTGTTTTTTTCTTGTAAATTTGTTGGAATTCATTGTAGATTCTGGATATTAGCCCTTTGTCAGATGAGTAGACTGCAAAAATTTTCTCCCATTCTGTAGGTTGCCTGTTCACTCTGATGGTGGTTTCCTTTGCTGTGCAGAAGCTCTTTAGTTGAATTAGATCCCATTTGTCAATTTTGTCTTTTGTTGCCATTGCTTTTGGTGTTTTAGACATGAAGTCCTTGCCCATGCCTATGTCCTGAATGGTATTGCCTAGGTTTTCTTCTAGGGTTTTCATGGTATTAGGTCTAACATGTAAGTCCTTATTCCATATTGAATTAATTTTTGTAAAAGGTGTAAGGAAGGGATCCAGTTTCAGCTTTCTACATGTGGCTAGCCAGTGTTCCCCGCACCATTTATTAAATAGGGAATCCTTTCCCCATTTCTTGTTTTTGTCAGGTTTGTCAAAGATCAGATAGTTGTAGATATGCGGCATTATTTCTGAGGGCTCTGTTCTGTTCCATTGATCTACAACTCTGTTTTGGTACCAGTACCATGCTGTTTTTGTTACTGTAACCTTGTAGTATAGTTTGAAGTCAGGTAGCATGACGCCTCCAGCTTTGTTCTTTTGGCTTAGGATTGACTTGGCTTTCATATGTTTGTTGGTCATTTGTATATCTTCTTTTGAGAATTGTCTATTCATGTCCTTAGCCTATTTTTTGATGGGATTGTTTTTTTTCTTACTAATTTCTTTGTGTGCCTTGTAGATGCCGGATATTAGTGCTTTGTCATTTGTATAAGTTGTGAAAATTTTCTCCCACTCTGTGGATTCTTTACTCTGCTGACTGTTCCTTTTGCCATGCAAAAACTCTTTAGATTAATTTAGTCTCAGCTATTTATCTTTGTTTTTGTTGCATTTGCTTTTGGGATTTTGGTCATGAAGGCTTTATTTAAGTCAATCTCTATAAGGGTTTTTCCAATGTTATCTTCTAGAGTTCTTATAATTTCACGTCTTAGATTTAAGTCTCTGATCTATCTTTAGTTGATTTTGGTATAAGATGAGAGATGAGAATCCAGTTTCATTCTACATGTGGCTTCCCAATTATGTAAGCACTGTTCGTTGAATAGGGTATCATTTACTCACTTTATGTTTTTGTTTCCTTTGTCAAAGACAAGTTGGCTGTCAGTGTTTGGGTGCATTTTTGGGTTGTCTCTTCTGTTCTATTTGTCTCTGTGTCTATTTTTATACAAGTACCATGCTGTTTTGGTGACTATAGCCTTATAGTATAGTTTGAAGTCAGGTAATCTGATGCCTCCATATATATATCATATATATATCTCATATATATCTCATATATCTGATATATATCTCATATATATCTCATATATATGAGAGATATATGATATATAACTCATATATATCATATATATATCATATATATCTCATATATCTCATATCTCATATATATTATATATCATATATATCATATATCATATATATCATATATATCATATATCATATATATCATATATATCATATATCATATATATCATGTATCATATATATTATATATCATATATATCATATATATTATATATCATATATATATCATATATATCATATATATCATATATATCATATATGTCATATATATATCATATATATCATATATGTATCATATATATATCATATATATCATATGTATCATATATATCATATATATCTATATATCATATATATCATATATCATATATATCATATATCATATATGTCATATATCATATATATCATATATATCATACATATATGTATCATATATATCATATATATCATATATATATCATATATATCACATATATCATATATATATCATATATATCATATATATCTATATATATCATATATATCATATATGTCATCTATATCATATATATTTTTTTTTGCTTAGTCTTGCTTTGGCTATGCAGGCTCATTTTTGGTTCTGTATAAATTTTAGTATTGTTTTTTCTAGTTCTGTGAAGAATGGTGATGGTATTTTTATGGGAATTGCATTAGATTTGTAGAATCCTTTTGTCAGTATAGTCATATTCACAATATTGATTCTACCCATCCTTGAGCATGGGATCTGTTTCCACTTGTTTATGTCATCTATGATTCTTTCAGCAGTGTTTTGTAGTTTACCTTGTAAAGGTACTTCGTCTCCTTGGTTAGGTGTATTTTTGTGCTTTTTTGTTTGTTTGTTTTGCAGCTATTGCAACAGTGGTTGTCAAACTGTTACTGTTTGCTGATGATGTAATTGTATATCGAGAAAACCCTAAGGACTCTGCCAAAAAACTCCTAAAACTGATAAATGAATTCAGCAAACTTTCAAGATACAAAATTAATGTACATAATTAGCAGTTCTGCTATACACCAACAGTAACCACACTGAGTAGTTGTATTTCTAATTGTTCAAAGAAGCAAAGAATCTGCAAACTGTTTTTCATTATGGCTTTATCAATTTACATGTCCATCAACAAAGTACAAGGGTTCCCTTTTCCTCCTGTTTTTGCCAACATTTATCTTTTCGTTTTTTGTATAATAGACATTCTAAAAGTTTTGAGGTGATGTCTCATTGGGGTTCTGTTTTTCTTTTCTTTTAGTAATATTGAGAATTTTTCATAAACAAGTTGGCCATTTTTATGTCCTCTTTTTCAAAATGTCTGTTCGGGTGCATTGCCCATTTTAAAAAAAATTGTGTACTGTACAGTTTTGATTACTGTAGCTTTGCTGCATGTTTTGAATCCAGGAAATGTGAAAACTCCAACATTTTTCTTAAGATTATTTTGGATATTCCAGGTTTCTTAAGTTGATATAATATTTTTAGGATGAATTTCTTCTATTTCTGCAGAAAGTACCATTAAGATATTAATACACCAACAGTATTACAGCAAATTTGCAGATTATAATAGGTAGTATTGTCATGCCAACACTATTTAGTCTTTCAATCCATGAATAAATACTACTTTTTTCCAATTTTAATGTCTTTTATGTCTTTCTCTTGCCTGATTGCCTTGTCTAGGACTTCCAGTACTATGTTGAAAAGGAGTGGTGAAAGTAGGCAGCTTTGTCTTATACCAGTTCTTAGTGGAAATCATGTCAACTTTTCCACATTCATTATGATGTTAGCTGTGGCTTCGCTGTATATGGTCCATATTATTTTGAGGTATGTTGCTTCTTTGCCTAGTTTGTTGCTGGTTTTTATCATGAAGGGATGCTAAATTTTATCAAATGTTTTTTCTGTGTTTATTGAAATAATCATATTGTTTTTGTTCTTAATTCTGTTTACATGATGTATCACATTTATTAATTTGCATGTGTTGAACCATCTTTGCATCCCTGGCATAAAATCATTCCTGTTTGCTGATGACATAATTGTATGTCTGAAAAAATCTTAAAGATTCCACAAAATATTAACATTTAGATTTAATAAATAAATATAATAAATTATCAGGGTGCAAAAAATAACATACAAAAATTAGTAACATTTTTATACACTGATAATAGTCAAACTGAGAATAAAATCAATAGGGCAATCTCATTTACAATAGCTACAGTAAAGGAAAATATGTATCAACAAATTTAACCAAGGAGATGAAAAATCTCTACAAGAAAAACTATAAAAATACTGATGCAAAGAATTGTAGATGACACAAACAAATAGAAAAATATCCCATGCTCATGGATTAGAAGAATTAATATTGTTAAAATGACTGCAATTCTCAAGGCAATCTACAGATTCAATGAAATCCCGGTCAAATTACCATTGTAATTCTTACTGAATTAGGAAAAAACCCCTAAAATTCATGTGAAATCAAATAAAAGCCTGAATAGCCAATGCAAGTCTAAGCAAAGAGAAGAAAATGGAGGCATCACATTACTTTATTATTAAATTTATTACAATCCTATAGTAAACAAAACAGCATGGTACTGCTATGAAAATAGAAACATAGATTATTGGACCAGAATAGAAAACTCAGAAATAGAGCCACAAATTTATGGACAACTGATGTTTGATTAAGTCTACAAGAACATACATTAGAGAAAGGACTCCCTCTAATAAATGGTGCTGGGAAAATTGGGTTGCCATATGTGGAAGAATGAAACTTTTTAACTCACAGGAATTGCTTTATTTTCTAGTAATTTGCCATTGTATTACTAAATAATGAACTGAACACTATTTCTGACATTTTTCATCCTTTCACCATGGCATGTTAGCCTAGTAGAAGAATGAAATTTGATATCTATTTCTCGCCATATAGAAAAAACAAGTTAAGATGAATTAAAGACTTAAACATAACAACCAAAACTATAAAACTACTAGAAAACAACCTAGGGAAAAATCTTTTGAACATTTGTATAGACAAATAAAAATATGACTAAGACTCAACAGCATAGGCAATGAAATAAAAAATAGAGAAATGGAGTTTAATTAAACTAAAAAGCTTCTGCACAGCAAAAACAAAAAAATCAACAGAGTAAACAGACAACCTGCTGCATAATGGGAGAAAATATTTGAAATCTATTCATCCTACATGAGATTAATATCTACAATATACAAGGAACTCAAACATCTCGACAGAAAAAAAATAATTTGACTTTAAAGTGGGCAACAAATGTAAATAGATGTTTCATTTCTTAGAAGAAAACATATAAATAGCCAACAGGTATATAAAAAATGCTCATCATCACTAATCACCAGAGAAATGCAAATAAAAACCACCATGAGATATCATCTTACCCCAGTCAGAATGGCTATTATTAAAAGTTAAAAAAAAAAGATGTTGGTGAGAAGGTGGAGAAAAGGGAACTCTTACATGCTGTTGTTAGAAATATAAATTAGTGCAACCTCCATGAAGTATAATATGTGTGTTTCTCAAATAACTAAAAGTAGATCTAACATTCAATTCAGCAATATCACTACTAGATACCTACCCAAATGAAATGAAATCAAGTCAGGCAGAGTGGCTAACGCCTGTAATCCCAGTACTTTGGGAGGCCGAGGCGGGTGGATCACCTGAGGTCAGGAGTTCGAGACCAGCCTGGCCAATATGGTGAAACCCTTTCTCTACTAAAAACACAAAAATTAGCCGGATGTGGTGCCGCAAACCTGTAACCCCAGCTACTTGGGAGGCTGAGGCAGGAGAATCTCTTGAAGTCAGGAAGCAGAGTTTGCAGTGAGTCCAGATTGCACCACTACACTCCAGCCTGGGAGACGGAGTGAGACTCTGTCAAAAAAAAAAAAAAGGAACAAGGAATCAGTTTATCAAAAAGATGCTTATCACAGCACAATTCACAATAGCAAAGATATTAAATCAACCTAAGCATCCATCAGTGGATGACTGGATAACAAGAATATTGTATATCTACAAAATGGAATACTATTCAGCCATAAAAAAATGAAATCAGGTCTCTTGCAGCAACATGGATGGAGTCAGAAGTGATTATCATAAATTAAACAAGCCAGTCACAGAAAGTCAAATGTCACATGTTCTCACTTATAAGTGGGTTCTAAAAATTTTGTACACATGGATGTAGACTGTAGAATGATAGGCAATGGAGATTTGTAAGAGTGAGGGAATGAGAAGGGAGTGAATAATAATAAAAAAATGCTTACTGGATACAACGTACATTATTCAGATGAGTGATTCTGTGCCATGTATGCATGTTACAAAATTGCACTTTTACCCCATACATTTATACAAATATAAAAACACACCTTTCCATTTAATTGTGTGTTTTTTCTTTTTTCAGAATTGTTTTTTAGTTTTCAGTGTATGAGCTTCTCGATTCCTTTATTTTTTTTAGGTGTTTTGTTCTTTTGGATATTATTGTAAATGAAACTTTTTATTAATTTCCCTTTTGAATTGTTTATTGATTTTAAAAAACACAACTGATTTTTGTGTTGATTTTTTATCCTACAACCTCTAATAGTTTTTCTGTGGAATCTTTATGGTTTTCTCCTTATCCGGCCATATAAACTGGAAACAAAGGTAATTTTACTTCTTCCCTTCCAATTTAGATGACTTTTATTTCTTTTTTTTTTTCCCTAATTGCTCTGCCTCGATTTTCTAGTAATATCTTGTATAGAAGTGGTTGAAATGGACATTTGTTTTTTGTTTTGTATATTAGAGGGAAATCTTACAGTCTTTCACAATTGAAGGTAATGTTAGCTCTGGACTTTTTGTATATCGCCTTTATAACGTTGAAGATGTTATCTTGTATTCCTAATTTATTGAGAGTCTTTAATATAAAAGGTGTTTAATTTTGTCATGTGTATTTTCTACATCAGTAAGAAGATCATGTGATTTTTTCCACTTCATTCTATACAGTAATGTATTATGTTAATTTATTTTTGTATGTTAAAACATCCTTGTATTCCGGGAATAAATCCTAACTGGTAATGGTATATAATCTCTTTAATATGTTGATGAATTTGTTTTGCTAGTATCTTGTGGAGAATTTTTGCATCAATATTGATATTAAATATTAGTCTGTAATTTTTTTAATATAGTGTCTTTGCTTCACTTTTCTTCAGAGTAATGCTGATCCCATTAAATGAATCCCAGGGCTTTCATTTGTTGAGAAGATTTTGTTAAGTTATTTAATTCTCTTACAGGTCAATACCACTTTTTTATTACTTCATAAATTAATGTTGGTAAGTTGTGTGTTTTTAGAAATTTGTCTATTTCATCCGTGTTATCAAACTTTTTGGTGTACAAATGTCCATTGCATGCTCTTATAATCTTTTTATGTCTGTAATACTGACTTTAATATTATCAGCTTATTTCTAATTTGTGTAATTTGAGACATTTTTCTTAGTTACTCTAGCTATAGGCTTGTCCTTTTTGCTATTATTTCAGACTCAACTTTTAGTTGATAGTCTCTTTTTTCCTAATCTATACTTTATTTCTATTCGATCTTTGCAATTTTCTTCTTCCTGCTAGCTTAAATTTCAATTTACTTTTCTTTTTTTTAAGGTTAGGTTACAGATTTGGAATATTTCTCTTGTTTTCATGTATGCATTTACAGTTCTAAATCTTCCTCTTATCACTGTGTTAACTGTTTCAAATTAGTTTTGCTATGTTATCGTTTAATTTTTATTTTTCCCAAAATATTTTCTAATTTTGCTTATGAGTTCTTCTTTGTCCCATTGGTTGTTTAAAATGTGTTAATTTCTACATTTGTGAACTTTATAATTTTCCTTCTGTTTTTGATTTCTAGCTTAATTCCACTATGAACAGATAATATACTTTATAGGATTTTAACCTTTTTAAATTTATTAAAAATTGTTTTGTGGCTTAATATGTCATACATCCTGGTGAATAACATATGTGCACTTCGTAAAAATGTGTAGTCTGCTATTGTTGGGTGGAGTGTTCTGTGTATGTCTGTTAGGTCTAACTGGTTTATGGTATAAAGTTCTCTGTTTTCTTTTCTTTCTTTTTTGTAAATTACACTTTAAGTTCTGGGATATATGAGCAAAAAGTGCAGGTTTGTTACATAGGTATACATGTACAATGGTGGTTTGCTGTACCCATGAACCCATCATCCACATTAGGTATTTCTCCTAAGCTATCTCTCCCTTTATCCCCCACCCTCCAACAGGCCATGATGTGTGATGTTCCCCTCCCTGTGCCTATATGTTTTCATTGTTCAACTCCCACTTATGAATGAGAACATGCAGTGTTTGTTTTTCTGTTCCTGTGTTAGTTTGCTAATGATGTTTCCAGCTTCATCCGTGTCCTTGCAGAGAACATAAACTCATTCTTTTTTACCACTGAATAGTATTTCATGGTTATATGTGCCACATTTTCTTTACCCAGTCTAATATTGATGAGCATTTGGGTTGGTTCCAAGTCTTTGCTATTGTGAATAGTGCTGCAATAAACATACGTGTGCATGTGTCTTTATAGAAAAATGCTTTATAAACCTTTGGGTATATACCCAGTAATGGGATTACTGGGTCATATGGTATTTCTAGTTCTAGATCCTTGAGGAATTGCCACACTGTATTCCAAAATGGTTGAACTAATTTACACTTTTACCAACAGTGTAAAAAGTGTTCCTGTATCTCCATGTCTTCTCCAGCAACTGTTGTTTCCTAACTTTTAATGATCACCTGCTAACTGGCATGAGATGGTATCTCATTGTGGTTTTGATTTGCATTTCTCTAATGACCAGTGATGATGAGCTTTTTTCATGTTTGTCCACCTCACTTCTTTTGAGAAGTACTTGTTCATATCCTTCTCCCACTTTTTGATGGGGTTATTTGTTTTTTCTTGTAGATTTGTTAAGTTCTGTATATTAGCCCTTTGTCAGATGGATAGATTGCAAAAATTTTTTCTCATTCTTTGGGTGGCCTGTTCTCTCTGTTGATGGTGTTTTTGTTTTTTGTTTTTGTTTTGTTTTGTTTTGTTTTTGCCATACAGAAGCTCTTTAGTTTAATTAGATCCCATTTGTCAATTTTGTCTTTTGTTACCATTGCTTTTGGTGACTTAGTCATGAAGTCTTTGCCCATGCCTATGTCCTGAATGGTATTGCCTAGGTTTTCTTCTAGGGTTTTTATGGTTTTAGGTCTTACATTTAGATCTTTAAACCATCTTGAGTTAATTTTTGTATAAGGTGTAATGAACAGGTCTAGTTTCAGTTTTCTGCATATGGCTAGCCAGTTTTCCCAACACCATTTATTAAATAGAATATCCTTTCCTCATTGTTTTTTTTTTTTTTTTTTTGCCAGGTTTCTCAAAGATCAGATGGTTGTGGATGTGTTGCATTATTTCTGAGGCCTCTGTTCTGTTCCATTGGTCTATATATCTGTTTAGGTACCAGTACCATGCTGTTTTGGTTACTGTAGCCTTGTAGTATAGTTTGAAGTCAGGTAGCGTGATGCCTCCAGCTTTGCTGTTTTTGCTTAGGGTTGTCTTGGTTATACAAGCTCTTTTTTGGTTCCATATGAAATTTAAAGTAGTTTTCTTCCAATTCTGTGAAGAAAGTCAATGGTAGATTGATGGGAATAGCATGAAATCCATAAATTACTTTGGACATTATGATCATTTTCACAATATTGATTTTTCCCATCAATGAGCATGGAATGTTTTTACATTTGTTTGTGACCTCTCTTATTTCCTGGAGCAGTGGATTGTAGTTATCCTTGAAGAATTCCTTCACTTTTCTTGTAAGTTGTGTTCCTAGGTATTTTATTCTCTTTGTAGCATTTGTGAATAAGAGTTTGCCCGTGATTTGGCTCTCTGTTTTTCTATTATTGGTGTATTAGTGATGCTTGTGATTTTTGCACATTGATTTTGTATCTTGAGACTTTTCTGAATTTGCTTATCAGCTTAAGGAGTTTTGGGGCTGATACGATGGGATTTTCTAAATATACAATCATGTCATCTGCAAAGAGAGATAATTTGACTTCCTCTCTTTCTATTTGAATACTCCTTATTTCTTTCTCTTGCCTGAATGTCCTGTCCAGAACTTCCTATACTATGTTAAATAGGAGTGATGAGAGAGGGTATTCTTGTCCTGTGCCAGTTTTCAAAGGGAATGCTTCCAGCTTTTGCCCATTCAGTGATATTGGCTGTGGGTTTTTCATAAATGGCTTTTATTATTTTGAGACATGTTCTATGAATACCTAGTTTATTGAATGTTTTGGACATGAAGTGGTGTTGAATTTTATGGAAGGACTTTTCTGCACCTATTGAGATAATCATGTGTTTTTTGTCATTGGTTCTGTTTATGTGATGGATTATGTATATTGATTTGCGTATGTTGAACGAGACTTGCATCCCAGGAATGAAGCCGACTTGGTCGTGGTGGATAAGCTTTCTAATGTGCTGCTGGATTTGGTTTGCCAGTATTTTATTGAGGATTTTCACATTGATGTTTACCAGGGATATTGGCCTGAAATTTTCTTTTTTTGTTGTGTCTCTATCAGGATGATGCTGGCCTCATAAAATGAGTCAGGGAAGAGTATCTCTTTTTCTGTTGTTTGGAATAGTTTCAAAGGAATAATATCACCTCCTCTTTTTACCTATGGTAGAATTCTGCTGTGAATCGTCTGGTCCTGGCTTTTGTTGTTGTTGTTGTTGTTGTTGTTATTGTTGTTAGGCTATTAGTTACTGCCTCAATTTCAGAAGTTGTTATTGGTTTATTCAGGGATTTCACTTCTTCCTAGTTTAGTCTTGGGAACGCGTATGTATCCAGGAATTTAAACATTTCTTCTAGATTTTCTAGTTTATTTGTGTAGAGTTGTTTATAGTATTCTTTGATGGTAGTTTTTGTTTCTGTGGGATCAGTGGTGATCCCTCCTCTATCATTTTTTATTGTGTCTATTTGATTCTTCTCTATTTTCTTCTTTATTAGTCTGGGTAGCGGTGAATCTATTGTGTTAATCTTTTCACAGAAAAGCTCCTGGATTCATTAATTTTTTGAAGGCTTTTTCTTGTCTATATCTCCTTCAGTTCTGTTCTGATCTTAGTTATTTCTTGTCTTTGCTAGATTTTGAATTTGTTTGCTCTTGCTTCTCTAGTTATTTTAATTGTGATGTTAGGGTGTCGATTTTAGACCTTTTCCACTTTCTCATGTTGGCATTTAGTGTTATAAATTTCCCTCTAAACACGGCTTTAGCTGTGTTCCACAGATTCTGATATGTTATGTTTTTGTTATCATTCATTTCAAAGAACTTATTTATTTCTGCCTTAATTTTGTTATTTACCTAGTACTCATTCAGGAGCAGGTTGTTCAGTTTCCATGTAGTTTTGCGGTTTTGAGGGAGTTTCTTAATCCTGAGTTCTAATTTGATTGCACTGTGGTCTGAGAGACTGTTTGTTATGATTTTCATTCTTTTGTATTTGCAGAAGAGTGATTTACTTCCAATTATGTGGTCGATTTTACAATAAGTACTATGTGGTGCTGAGCAGAATGTGTATTTTGTTGATTTGAGGTGGAGAGTTCTGTAGTTTATTAGGTCTGCTTTGTCCAGAGCTGAATTCAAGTCCTGAATATCCTTCTTAATTTTCTTTCTCATTGATCTGTCTAATATTGACAGTGGGGTGTTAAAGTCTTCCACTATTATTGTGTCAGAGTCGAAGTTTCTTTGTTGGGCTCTAAGAACTTGCTCTAGCAATCTGGGTGCTCCTTTATTGGGTGCATATATGTTTAGAGTCGTTAGCTTTTCTTGCTGCATTGATTTCTTTACCATTACTTAATGCTCTTTTTTGTCTTTTTTTGACATTTGTTGGTTTAAAGTCTGTTTTATCAGAGACTAGAATTGCAACCCCTGCTTTTTTTTCTTTTCATTTGCTTGGTAAATCTTCCTCCATCCCATTATTTTGAGCTTATGTGTGACTTTGCACATGAGATGCTTATCCTGAATATAGCTCACCAATAGGTCTTAACCCTTTATCCAATTTGCCAGTCTGTGCTTTTTAATTGGGACATTTAGCCCATTTACATTTAAGGTTAATATTGTTATGTGTGAATTTTATCCTGTCATTATGATGCTAGCTAGTTATTTTGCCCATTAGTTAATGCAGTTTCTTCATAGTGTCAATGGACTTTACATTTAGTGCTTCCTTTAGGATATCTTGTAAGGCAGGCCTGGTGGTGACAAAACATTTCAGCATTTGCTTATCTGTAAAATATTTTATTTCTCCTTCACTTATGAAGCTTAGTTTGGCTGGATATGAAATTCTGGGTTAAAAAATTCTTTTCTTTAAGAATGTTGAATGTTGCCCCCTACTCTATTCTGGCATGTAGGATTTCTGCAGAGAGATCCATTGTTAGTCCGATGGGCTTCCCTTTGTGGGTAACCCGACCTTCCTCTCTGGCTGCCCTTAACATTTTTTTTTTCATCATTTCAACCTTGGTGAATCTGACAATTATGTGTCTTGGGGTTGCTTTTCTCCAGGAGTGTATTTGTGGTGTTCTCTGTATTTCCTGAACTGGAATGTTTGCCTTTCTTGCTTGGTTGGGGAAATTCTTCTGGATAATATCCTGAAGTGTGATTTCCAACTTGGTTCCATTCTCTCCATCACTTTCAGGTACACTAATCAAACTTAAGTTTGGTCTTTTCACATAGTCCCATATTTCTTGGAGGCTTAGATCATTCATTTTCATTCTTTTTTCTCTTACCTTGTCTTCACACTTTATTTCATTAAGTTGACCTTCGATGTCTGATATCCTTTCTTCCGCTTGATCTATTCGGCTATTGATACTTCTGTATGCTTCACGAAGTTCTCATGCTGTGTTTTTCGGCTCCATCAGGTCATTTATGTTCTTCTCTAAACTGGTTATTCTAGTTAGCAATTCCTCTTATCTTTTATCTAGGTTCTTAGCTTCCTTGCTTTGGGTTAGAACATGCTCCTTTAGCTCAGAGGAGTTTGTTATTACCCACCTTCTGAAGCCTGCTTCTGTCAATTGGTCAAACGCATTCTCTGTCTAGTTTTGTTCTTTTGCTGTTGAGAAGTTGCGATCCTTTGGAGAAAAGTCATTCTCGTTTTTGGAATTTTCAGTCTTTTTCTCTGTTTTTTTTTCTCATCTTCATGGATTTATCTACCTTTGGTCTTTGATATTGGTGACCTTAGAGTGGAGTTTTTGCATAGTCATCCTTTTTGTTGATGTTGATGCTATTGCTTTCTATTTGTTAGTTTTCTTTATAACAGTCAGGGTCCTCTTCTGCAGGTCTGCTGGAATTTGCTGGGGGTCCACTACAGACCCTGTTTGCCTGGGTGTCACCAGCAGAGGCTGCAGAACAGCAAAGATTGCTGTCTGTTTCTTCCTCTGGAAACTTCATCCCAGAAGGGCACCTGCAAGATGCCAGCCAGAGCTCTCCTGTATGAGGCCTCTGTCAACGTCTGCTGGGAAGTGTCTTCCCATCAGGAGGCACTGGGGTCAGGGACCCACTTGAGGAGTCAGTCCCTTAGCAGAGCTTGAGAGCTGTACTGGGATATCTGCTGTTCTCTTCAGAGCCCGCAGGCAGGAACGTTTAAGTCTGCTGAAGCTGCGCCCACAGCCATCCCTTCTTCCATGTGCTTTATCCCAGGGAGATGGGAGTTTTATCCATAATCCCCTGACTGGGACTGCTGCCTTTCTTTCAGAGATGTCCTGCCTAGACAGAAGGAATCTAGAGAAGCAATCTGGCTAGAGTGGCTCTGCTGCGCTGTGTTGGGCTCCACCCAGTCTGAAATTCCTGGTGGCTTTGTTTACACTGTGAGAGGAAAACTGCCTACTCAATCCTCAGTAATGACAGATGTCCCTCCCCCAACCAAGCTTGAGCATCCCAGGTCTACTTCAGACCACTGTGCTGGCAGCAAGAATTTCAAGCCTGTGGACCTTAGCTTGCTTGGCTCCATGGGGGTGGGATCCACTGAGCAAGACCACTTTGCTTCCTGGTTTCAGACCCTTTTAAGAGGAGTGCATAGTTCTGTCTCACTGGCATCCCAGATGCCACTGGGGTATGGAAAAAAAAAAAAAAAAAACTCCTGCAGCTAGCTCAGTGTCTGCCCAAATGGCTGCCCAGTTTTGTGCTTGAAATCCACGGCCCTTGTGATGTAGGCACTTGAGGGAATCTCCTGGTCTGTGGGTTTTGAAGACTGTGGGAAAAGCATAGAATCTGGGCCCAATAGCACAGTCCCTCATGGCATGGCCCCTCATGGCTTCCCTTGGTTAGGGAAGGGAGTTCCCTGACCCCTTGCACTTCCTGGGTGAGGCAACACCCCATACTGCTTCTCCACGACCTCTGTGGGCTGCGCCCACTGTCTAACCAGTCCCAATGAGATGAATTGGGTATCTCAGTTGGAGATGCAGAAATCCCCCGCCTTCTGTGTTGGTCTCACTGGGAGCTGCAGACTGGAGTTGTTCCTATTTGGCCATCTTGCCCAGTAAATCCACTGTTTTCTAATATATTGTCTATTTTTTTTTGTTTTGTTTTGTTTTTTAATCCACCACTGAAGGTGGCATGCTGAAGTCTCAAACTACTATTGTAGGATTGGTCTGCTTCTATCTTCAATTTTGTCAAAATTTGCTTCACATATTTGGGAGTCCCAATGATTTGGTGCATATATGTTTATAATTATTATATCCTTTTAGAGAATTGACCATTCTATTAACACATGATATCCTTTTTGACTCTTATGGCAGTCTTTTACTTAAAGTCAATTAATTCTGATATTAATATAGTCACAGCTTTCTTTTGGTTACTATTTGCATAGAAATTTGTTTTCTGTCATTTTACTTGCAACCTATTTGTTTCTTCAGATACAAATTGAGTCTCTTGTATACAGCATATAGTAGGATCATGTTTTTTTTCATATTTTCAATTTATGCACTGTGATTGAGAGTAACCCATTTACAGTTAAAGTAATTACAGGTAAGTTAACTACTGCTTTTTTGCAATTAATTTATTTGCCTTGTATATTTTTGTGTCTAATTTTCTCTATTACTGCATTTTTTGTGTTTCAGTAGTTGTTGTAGTAACTCTTTTTGATACTTTTATCAACTATTTTTTAATTTTTAATTTTTAAGTTTTATTGGGATATATGTTTACATATTGTGGGGTACTTGAGATATTTTGATGCAAGCATACATTATGTAATCATCAATCACATCAAGGTAAATGGGATATCAATCGCCCCAAGCATTCATCATTTCTTTGTGCTATGAACATTCCAATTGTACTCCCTTTATTATTCTAGAAGTTATAACCAATTATTGCTGATTATAGTCACTCTGTTGTGCTACCAATTGCTAGATCTTATTTATTGTATCTCATTATATTTTTGTTTCCATTAACCATCCCCATTTTCCATCCACTTCTCCCTTGCACTACCCTTCCTTTCTTCTGATAACCATCATTCTACTATCTCCATGAGTTTCATTGTTTTAATTTTTATCTCTTACAAATGTGTATCATTCATTTTGATTTGTTTATACATTTTCTTTGTTGTTGCCATAGGGATTATATATATAATATCCTAAAGTTACAACCATCTAATTTGAATTCATACCAACTTATAATTTTATAAATATTTTAAGCATTTGTCTTTTAAATTCTATACAAATTTTAAAAGGGAGTTTATGATTCTGTTTTGCATTGCTATAAAGGAATACCTGAGACTGAGTAATTTATAAAGAGAAGAGGTTTATTTGGCTCAGAGTTCAACAGCCTGTACATGAAGTCTAGTGCTGGCATCTGTTTCTGGTAAAAGACTCAGAAAGCTTATAATCATGGCAGAAGGAGAAGGGGACCCAGTGTGTCACACAGCATGAGCAAGAGAGAGGTGGGATGTGCCAAGCTCCTTTGAACAACCAGATCTTCCATTAACTCCCAGAGAAAGAACTCACTCATTACCATGGGAATGGCACCAGGCCATTCATGAGGGATCTGTCTCCATGACCCAAATACCTCCCATCTCCAACACTGGAGATCACATTTCAACATGAAATTTGGAAGAGACACACATCCAAACTATATTAGAGTTACAAGCAAAAAATTGCAATAGCACTGGCTTTTACATTGGTCTATATATTAACTTTACCAATGGACTTTATATCTTCATGTGACTTTGAGTTACTCTTTACCATCCTTTCATTTAAATCTGACAGACTTCCTTTAGTATTTCTTGCATGGTACATGTAATGGTAATAAACTTGCTCAGCTCTTGTTCATTGGTAATGTCAAAATTTCTGTCATATTTAAAGGACAGACTTTTTAGAGATATAACTCTCAGTTGACAGTACTTTTTCCTTCAGTATTTTTAATATATCATCCCATGGCCTCTGGCTTCCATCATTTATGATGAGAAATTGGCTGACTCCTATTGAGGATCCCTTGTCCATGATGGCCACTTTTCTCTTTCTGGTTTCGGGTGGTCTCTGCCTTTGGCTTTGATAGTTTTCTTATAATTTGTCTCAGTGTCACTTTCTTTGGAAGAATCTTACTTGGAGTTTTTTGAGCTTCCTGGATTTACAGATTCATGTATTTATCAAATTTGGAAAGATTTTGGTAAGTATTTATTTAAATGATATTTTTTTGCCCGTTTCTCTTTCTTCTCTCATTCTGAGACTCCCATAATATGTATGTTGGTCTGTTTATGTTTTCCCATGAGCTCCTTAGACTCTGTTTCCTTTCCTTCATTCTTTTTTTCCTGTTCCTCAGACTCAGTAATTTCAATTATCATGTACGTAAGTTCACTGATTCTTCTTCATGTTCAAGGATGCTTTTGGATCTCTCTATTAAGTTTTTTTATTTTAGCTATTTTAGTTTTTAGCTCCAGAATTTCTGTTTGCTGTTTTAAATAATTTATCTTTGTTCATATATCATTTTCTTTTTTTGAATAATTTATATCTCTTTGTTCACATATCATTTTCCTATTTTCTTTTAAATATCAGTCCATGTTTTTCCTAACCTTTTTGTGCATATTTAAGACAATTTTTGTAAAAGTCTTTGTTTGTCAGGTTCACTGGGCTGTCTTGGGAACAGTTTCTGCCCATTTAGTTTGTTAGTTTCACACATGATTTGCTGTTTATTTGTGTGACTAGTAACTTTTGTTGTTGTTTTTGTTAAAATTGAACATTTGACCATTTTAATGTGGCAACTCTGAAAATCAGTTTATCATGTTTCTCTATCATTTTCTATTTTTTATATTGTTGAAAGCTGTAGTTAGTCCACTTGTTTTAAGATTTTTCCAAACTATGTCTGCAAAGATTATTCCTTGTCATCTGTGAGCCCTGAAGTCTCTGTTTTTTTAGTTTATGCTCAGTTAATGCTTTGACAGAGATTTCCTTGAAATTCAGGAGCTGAACAAACAAACACAAACCAAAATGGAAAGAATGACTGACTCCCAGTTTTTAGAGATTGGCTCTCTGAAGCTGCACTCCACCACATAGTAAGGCTTCCTCTGTGCCTAGTGATCAGCCTGAGGTAAAGCTTAAGGTATTCTCAAGACTTTTCTGGGTATATATCTCACCTGTACATACTCATGACTTTCTATATTCCCACATGTATATGGCCATTTTTAAATGTCCTGGTTTCCCAAGGAGATTGTTTTTCAGGCCTTATATGGTTTATTGTATGTCTCCAACTATAATCTCCTGCCTCAGGCATCTGGGTTTGTAGTCTACCTTGTGGCTTTTAGGACCATGCCTGCCACTTGTGTTCTGAGTTAGGCAAAACAGAGATAAGCACCTTGCACCCATCATTTGGGATTTCCCATGCAGATTAAAAAATATGAACATAAAAGTTTGCAAATAAATTTGCTCTGCTCCCTCTAGTTCCAAGGGCAAGGCACTGGGAACTGGGCTGTCACTTGCTCAAGACCAAGACCACTGCATTAGGTCAGGGATAAGGCAAAGGTGATTAAAGAACACCACAAAACTTTTCTACTGTTTTAAAGTTGGTTTTTCCTTGATTGGACATTGCTTAATGAGTGTAAACCATGTATTGTTTGTTAGAACTCTTATAGTGCTGATTCTGACAGCCCTGGTGGTTTTGTTTTTTAAGTTTTCTGTAAGAGAACAAGAGCTTGAAGCTTCCTGGACAACCATTTCACTATCGTCACTCTAAAGCTCTCTTAACTTTTTCAAATATTGTCATTTAGTCCTCACAACAACTCTGAGGTAGATATTATCAGTCTATTTAAAGATGCTAGGCTATAGCAAAGAGAAGAGATCATATATGTTAAGTTCCCAGCACTGTAGAGACAGAGTAATATCTGCCTCTTTCTTACCTATCCATCCACCTTGCACACTTAGATCCATCAAGGATGGACCTATTTTACAATGTAAAAAATACTAGGCTAGAATTTATGACATCCAAAGTCTATTCTTATCTCTGTGACTAGCTCATTCTGTAAATTTAGATAATTTTCCTGTATAGTCCTCAATCTCCCCATACATAACATAAAAGGTTAGAACTGGATGGTTTCAGAGGGCTCTGTCAGCTCTGATATTTTAGAATCCCTAGTAGAAAGAAACTAAAGTTTCCTTCTTTCCCACTCCAGGCTGAGAATACATTTCTGTTGCCTGGGCAAAAAGCAAGTAGTTATTTGCATAGCTAAATTATATTTGTTAAAAATAAAAGAGAAAGTAGATAACCCAGGATTCTCCCTCTGCCCAATTCCTGCTGCCCCTGGGAGCAGAGAAGTGGCTTAGCTTAGGGCAACTATTCTGTAAATAAACTCTTCACTCTTTCTGAATGGGCTTCACCCAGGAAATTGGACCCTCAGCCTGACCATTGATGATATCTCCCTTTTCCCCCTATCCTGAGAATTAATTGGCATCTCCAAATCCTAGGACTTTGCCACTGCTGCCCCCTCCGCAATTTTATCCATTCCAAGATGCCAGGGCAATCCCTTCATGAAATCCAAGGGACAAGCCTGGCATAGCTGAGAAGGGTTAGTGGGTCTGAGGACTGAGGAGTATAAAAGGCAAGAATACAACCACAATCTTCTCATAAAGGTGGAGAAACCAAAGTGCCTTCAGTACATGGAAGGGATTTCAGGCTGTTTTCAATCTGTGTCTACGACACCAGAGGACAAATGGGATAGTATAAAATGAAACATTTTCACACATTAAGGAGGATGCAGGCCCCTGCTGTAGATAGAAAGCCAGAGCCCGTGGCCAGATGTGTGTCTTGGGTATCCTTCTCTCTCAACCTCTGCCCCACGTTTCCTCTGCCCTTCTCTGCTGGATAACATGCATATTTATTTACAATTTCTAGTCTTTTGATTTTATGTGAAGAAGAGAGACAGAGAGAACTAGTGGAAAGAAAGCAGTTTTTGAAACCAAACATCTGGCTTTAAGCTGTGACTTAGTCACTAACTATGTGACCCTTGGCACATTGCTTGACCTTTTCGAACTTCATTATCCTAATGTGTATAGCAAGTGTGAATAATAAAAAATACGGAAATGGTAAGAAAATTCTGCTACAATCTCTTGAAATTGTCTTCAACCATTAATATCCTGATTATGAAAAATATGTATTAACATAGAAAAATGCAAGGTTGAATTTTTATAGTGGGGCTTAACAAGGTTATTATATATTTTTTCAAGTGTTAATACCATTGATCATTTATTATCAAGCATTAATGGTTATTATATTTTAACTATGTGAAAGTACTGAAAGACAAAAAGGCTGGGAGAAAATATATCTCTGTTAACAGTAGCCATAATGAGGTAAGATATTGGCGTGATTTCCCTTCTATTTTCTCCTTTCTAGTATATTCTCATCAAAGCACATACAGTATTACTAATAGCTATGTCTCAAAGGAATGAAGCAGCAGGAAAATTTCCCTAGTTTGGAATTAGGATGGCACTTGTCCTGGAGGTATATGTTGTGTAAATAATAATAAGAAGAACAAGAAGAATGTTTCTAAAGAAATAAAATGGTCATTATTATCGCTACCTTATAGAACTATTTAGAGGATTAAGTTAGGTAATGAGTGTAAACAAACTAGGTACTTCGTACACAGGACATCTGCCTCTTCTATGATATCCCATTCCTAGCTTCTCAACTCACTTCCACTTGGGCTCCAGATCCTAAAACAATTGCATCCTTCCCCTTCTGGGACTCAACCCTTTCAATACCAAGGTCCATGCCCTCACTAAGATGGGTAGAGTTGTGGATAGAAAGAAATCCAGACACTTGCAGAATCTCAGAATTGAGCTCATATACTCCAGTCCTTACACATGTTAGTAACCACTATCTCTTGGTTATCACTGTGCAAGGTGCATTTACATCCATGCTCTTATTTTTTTTCATATTCATTTATTTTTTCCCAAAATACCCATTCCACAGACAAGAAAACTGTAATGCAGAGAGGCAACAAGATAACTGAAGTAGCTAGGGACAGATTCAGGACTCAGACTCTGGCCTCCTGACTAAATTGTATCCTTCTTTCCTACACCACAGGCTGAATCCTGAATTCCCTTTACAATTATCTTGTCAAGTGGTTGACTTTCTCATCATAATTAATGACATTATAAATGGAATCCCAATTCCATAATTATAATAATAATCATCATAATCTGCTTCATAATAATAATGACAGATTACATCCTGTCATTTCATAATACATCACACACCTTGCTTTAAGTGCATTATGTTATTCAACTTTTACAAGAATCTTATGAAACAGGTAGGTAGTTTATTAACACCATTTCACAGATGACAACATTGAGTTTCAAAGATTACAAAATTTATTCAAGTCTATTCATGCAGAATAAGAAGCAGAGTTTAAATTCTAACACAGTGCTGTTTATTCTTAAATCTCTGCTCATAATAATGCCACATCACGCTGCCACCTGAACAGCAGTGACTCTAAGTGATAGTATCCTCTCTATGTTTCTAGCTTGGGAATAAACTGTAATTTGCTAATTCTCCTGGACACTTGCAGGAGCACTTCATTTTTAATTTTGTTTTCAAATTCTTAGCAGTGGATGACAGTGTGCTGGAAAAAATTTAGGAGAACCCTGCCAGGATGCTTTGGTAATATACAAAACCTTCTTCTATCCCCATCCCTCCCACCTTGACATACATTCATCTGAATTATTGAGCATGATTTAAACAGTGGCTCCACATCTTCCCTCTGACTTTCTTTTTACATTTATAGGATGTTAATGATTATATCTTCCTCAGAGTGAGTATTAAATGACACGATACTAAGTGGAGGCTGAGAATGGTTACCTCCCTTGTTCATGTCCTTATCAGCCCAAAGAGGAAAATTGAATATGAAACCTGTTGAAGGACCCCAGCTTTCCTTTAAGATAGTGGTTTTCAAATACTTAGTGCTTACGACACACTTCCAAAAACGCTAGAGTTTTGAGTGGCACACTTAAAAGACATCAAATATGAATACAAGTATAATAAAAACAAATGCTTAAAGAATGAAAGTTTTCAACTTATAATAGCATATAATGCTCTCTCTCTACATATATATATATATATATATATATATATATATATATATATATATATGCATATATATGATATTTGGTACAAGGCAGGTAACTTTTCAGAAAATGCCTGAATAAGTTAAGTATCCTCAAGGTCTCCAGATAAAACTCTTCCTGAGGCAATACAGATTTGAATTTCAATGGCTTGGCTACTGGGAAAACTCTCTACAGGAATTACCTAAGCCCAGAGCCCACTTTCTCCTACTCTCAGGCATAGAGTTTGGATTTCAACAGTTCTGGTAATATTTCTGAACATGGCCAGAGCACAGGGTTCAAGAACTAGATTAATAATTCAGATTGGATCTCAAGCTAAGAATGAAGTATTGGTGCAAAAAGATATCAGAAAATCTGAGCCAGATTTGTAAGGACAGTGTCTGAGACTGGTCTAATGTTAAACACCTCTGACCTTCTATTCAATGGGCCAATTAGAGGCACCTCTACACAGAGCCCTTTCAAGAGTGACAACTACGAGGCTTGGCTTGGTTGTGATTATGCCCACTCACTGGAATGAGTGGCCCTGTGATTACGCAGTGGGAAAAAAAAACAGGTATTACTTCGTCTTAAGAGATGAGGAGAGAGACAGATGGGAAGAAGTTGGGGAAATGAATGAGAAAAAGAAATTTCAATGTCTGAAGAAAGTCATATTAAAATAACTACTAACCCCTGAACAAGAAAGTCAGTGTGTTGGGAGATTATTGGAATAGATGATCAGTTAAATAAGTTCAACTGTCTGTAAAAGGAAAGGACTTAGATACATTATAACCTGAGCACAAAAGACCTTTACTACTTGCCAGTGACTGTTGGCAAATTGGAAACACACAAGACCAAAAGGTCACCAGAAGTCACAAGGCATCCAGTGTAGTGGCTTGGCTGCCAGTGGGCAGGATTTTCAGTCTGGGGGAATCCTGTATTTCTGGCTAGAATAAAGTGTTACACATTGCTACTACATGTCTAAAGCACGCCTTTACAGTCCACCTTCAGTGGAGGCACAGAGCAGTGAGGGTGAAGAAAAGAAGTAAAGAAACTAAATGAATGCCTACTAAGTGTCAAGCACTGTTATTTAAACTTCGTAACACTTGAGGTAAATAGTATCTACATTTTTTTATCTTGGTTCTATCCCCTCTTGGACAGTCACAACACACATTAGCATATCAAAGATTCCAACGGGTCCTGTAAATGAAAGTTAAACGTAAATAACATGTTTATCTTGGCTGAACAGTTTCACAATTGATTTGGTTATGGAACCCTCATTGTTTTCTAGAATATTCATTAATATTTCAATAAGCAATAAGTCATTCTGTTTCAATTCTCTTGTCTAAAATGTATGGTGTGTAGTATTTTAAAGGCCAAGTGTGATAACACATTTCATTTCACTTGACCTATAAAGATAACCCTGTGAAATTAATATTATTAACATACCCACTTTACACTTTAGGGAACTAAAGATAATGTAGGCTAACAAGCCCCAAATTACACAGCTGCTGACTGGCAAAGCCAAGAATTGAATTCAAGTCTTCCTTGTCTAAGTCGAATAAGTTTTTAAGGAAGACTTTAACTCTAAGTTATGAGTCTATGAGCTGTGTGACTTTGAGCTACTTTTTTTCCATTTCTGGGTCTGTTTTTCCATCCCAAATGAGCTAGTAGAATTATATAATTTCTAAAGGCTTTGTGGAATCTCAGATTTTAAGGCTCAATCATAAGTATCTCAGGTCAAGTTGAATTTTTTTTCAAAAGTTTAGATTACCAAACCCAAGGAAGGTGAAAAAATGTATATAAATATGGTGGTATTTTTAGCCACAAGTATCATTTAGGGCCTGAGACTCCTAGGATAAACAAATTTCTGAATTTGAGCTTTCAGATAAGCTAGTTTAAGAAAATTTCATACCACTCTTACCATTCCCATCTAGCTAGTATCTCAACAAATGATAGCAACAACTGCCCTGTCAAAGAAGCTTGATAGGCTTCTCTAGCTACAGAATTGACCTGGGTGGGTGGGTAGCTCCCCAAACATTAAAGTCCCTGCCTATTTCCCAGAACCAGGCAGCCTAGTCTACTAGAAAAACCTAGGCAAATAATTAGTAGAAATTAAACTATCCTGGCTTAAGAGGTACACTACTGTTTCTTTCCCATGGTCAGTGAGAAAGACCCATGGGAGACTGTTGGCAGAGAGACTGTTTCACCCTGCCAGGATAGAGCTCATTTTTTTTTGTCTATGCATAGAGTAGCTGGAGTATTCAGGAGTCAAAATGAACTTGACTTAGCCTCTCAAAGGCAAATCTACCTTGACTCCTGAATCCTTCAGCTCCTCTTTAGAGTCCATATTTCCATCATCCAAATGTAAAGCTTTGGCTTTCAGTTCAGTCTGAGGAATTCTTAGCAGGTTGTAGGTTCTTGACATTTCAGTGTTCTAAGAACAAGAAGGGAGCTTACAGCTCTATTGTAACTTCCCACCTAACACAGGAATCACTTCTGTAACATTCTAGTCAGGTTATCCTAAAACAGAATCTTCCTTACTTCCTCCCTCCCACCTTCCTCCCTCCTGTTCTCTCTCTCTCTTTTTTACTCTTTCTCTCTCCCTTTTCCTCCTTTCAAATCTTTCTTCTTTCCTTCAATTCTTCTTTTCACTCAATTGTTATACCAAAATTTGGAATGCCTATGTACAGTCTGACCCTGGAGATACAAAGTCAAAAGAAGCCAAAATATCTTTAGATATCAGAGAGCCTGATATCTGAAGCTAAGCTTTCCACTTATTTCCTGGGCTCCAACACCGTCCACCTTCTCAGAAGCCTCACTCTAGTAATTATTATGCCCTTTCATAGACGTCTTCGTACTCTGTCATTATAGATTCCTACTCATTTGCCTTGAGGCATGCTCAAGACTTCTATCTTTAAAAATCTCTACATCCTATGTCTCACTACAGTTATTGCCCTCTCTCCTTCTCTTCACAGCTAAACTTCATGAAGGGGTTAACTATAGTTATTATCTCTGGTTTTTTTCCTCCCACTCACTTTCAACCCACTTTTGATATCTACTCACATCACTCCGTTGACACTGCCTTCACTAAGAGGACCAATGACTTCCCTTTCAGTCTAGCCAATGGACTTTGTCCATCTTATTCAAATGTTTTCCCAGTACCTAGAACAGTGTCTGTAACAAAGTCCGTACCCAATAAATATTTGTGGAATTAATGTGTGATGTTTTTTCAGGCCTTAATTTGCCAAATTGTTACATGATCTGAACACTTTGCTTTGCAACATTTCCTTTCACTGGCTTCTGTGACACTATTCTGGACATTTTCCTCTTACTTGTCCGACTTTTCCTTCCAATCTCCAATACTAGTGATTCCTCTTCTACTAACCTTTAAAATGTATAGCTTGGACCCTTCTTTATGCATTCTTCTGTTCTGACACATTCTCAGTCGTTACTTCATCCATGGCCATGGCCTTTACATGATGATTTCTCTTCAATCTATTCCTCAAGCTCAGACCTTTGTCTTAAATTACAAACCAGTATATCTACTTGCCTTCTAGACATCGTCACTGGATGTTCTACAGTCACCTCAAACTCAACATATTCAAAATTGGACTTTTACAACCCATCATCTCCCAGAATTAGTCTGTACCTTCTCTAGTGCCCTTGGTTCACCAAATGCCACCTCTATCCTCCCAGTTGCTCAAGCCAGAAATCTGGATATTCATTGCACTTAAAATTAATTTCAAACACTACCTCATCCAGGAGATCATGATCAACATTAACACTGATGAATCATGTTAATAGCATATCTTTGGTGTGATGCATTGAAAAAGGCACTTTATGTCTGTGGTCCTCCTCACCAAAACCCACCCCAGCCTAGTTATAATAAAAACACCAAAGAAATTCCAATAAAGGTACATTCTGCAAAATGCTTGACCTGCATTCCTCATAATTATCAAGGTCATCAAAACAAGTCTCAGATAACTGTCAAAGCCTCTTGGCTAATGAGCCTAAGGAGACATGAGAACTAAATAGCTCTTGCATCTGGACCAGGAATTTGCTCCCTGCCTTGTTTTTTAACTAGAAAACTCATACTCATTTTCCAGGCCTCAGTTTGAGTGTCACCACTTCAAGAAAGCCTTTCTTGACTCCACAGACTAAGTTAAATCTCCTTATTCTTTGCTCCCAAGCATCACCACATGATTTTTCTCAGAGAAGACTCCTTAATTCCTGTAATGGTTTGCCCAGTGTACATATCTCTCTGCTAGACTGTAAGTGCCTTGCAAATGAGGACCTACCACTAATAAACTGCTGTATCTCCAGGATTTCAAACACAGGCTGGAAAACTGGCATATGACCAAATCTGTCCACCACATTTTTGAAAGTAACATTTTATTGGAACACAAACATGCCCATTTATTTATGGATTGTCTATGGTTGCTTTCACACTATAACAATAAAATTGAGTAATTTAAACAGAGATGTATAGTCCACAAAGTTTAAAATATATACTATGTAACTCTTTACAGAAAATGTTTTATCATCACTGGCCTAGTACAGGCTGGGCCATCATTAAATATTTACCAATTAGTTAATTAGTAAATTTGCCTCAATAGAAAAAAATACACATTTGTTGAGTCTTTTGATTATTTTTAATTAATGTTGAGTTTTAGATAGAGTTACCATCTCCTCAACTATAGAGGGATTCCTTCAAAGGCAGGATTGGATTGTTTTTTCTATTTGGATTCCTCACAATTCTTAGTTCTGGGCTTTCTAAAAGGACTGCTGTCACAGTGTCCCCACCCATTCTTCATGCCCTAGATCACAACAGCCCATTTAACAGCAGCAAGGTAATGACTAACATTAAACACCTTGGCTAATTCACTTCAACAAGCAAAACCAAATAAACTTATACTGTGGCCAAACTTCCTAGGTAGAAATATCTGCCATCAGAGGAAATAGTGGAGCCCTGAAAATAGAGCACTCTCAAGATGAAAACAAACAAACAGAAAATTGTTTAAGGACAAAGAGAACCTGACATAGAAGCAGATGAAATAGGAGACAAATTTGGGTCCTGTGCCTATCTGGCCATTAACTGGATATCTAAAGCCAGGCAAGTCACTCAACCTCTCTGAACTTCAGTTTTTCCACATGCAAAATGAGAGATAAGACTTAATTTGTAAGACTTTCACTTTAGCGATGTTGGTACTAAAGAAATCTTTAAGGCCTACTTCTGAGAAGCCTAATGGCAGCTCAGAGTAATGACTGTGCTCAACTCAGTGAACCACAAATTCCCCTGTGCAGCCCACATATGTCTTTGACTAATACAAATGGAAACACAACTTAGTTATTGCTTAATAAATGCTGTTTATTTTAAAGACAAATGGTTTTTAAATTTTTTTTCATTCCTTCTTAGTTTGCATTGTTATTTTCTAGAATTTTTTAAACTTTTATTTTAGATTCAGTGGCACAAGTGCAGGTTTGTTATACAGGTAAATTGCACATGTTGTGGGGGTGTGGTGTACAGACTATTTTATCACCCAGGTGATCAGTATAGTACCCAATAGGTAGTTTTTCGATCCTCACCTTCCTTCCAATCTCCACCCTCAAGTAGGCCCTGGTGTCTGTGTACCATTCTTTGTGTCTATACGTATTAAATGCTTAGTTCCTACTTATAAGTGAGAGCATGAGGTATTTGGTTTTCTGTTCCTGTGTTAATTAACTCAGGATAATGGCCTCTACATCCACCCATGTTGCTGCAATGGACATAATCTGATTCTTTTTCATGGCTGCATACTGTTCCATTGTGTATATGTACCACGTTTTCTTTATCCAGTCTACCATTAACGGGCATTTAGGTTAATTCTATGTCTTTACTATTGTACATAGTGCTACAATGAACATACACATGCATGTGTCTTTATGGTAGAATGATTTATATTCTTTTGGGTATATACTCAATAACGGGATTGCTGGATAGAGTGGAAAGTTCTTTGAGGAATCGCTGCACAGCTTTCCACAATGGTTGAACTAATTTACACTCCCACAAGCAGTGTATAAGCATTCCCTTTTTTCTAGAACCTAGCCAGCATCTGTTTTGACTTTTTAATAATAGTCATTCTGACTGGTATGAGATTATATCTCATTGTGGTTTTGACTTGCATTTATTCAATGATTAGTAACATTGATCACTTTTTCATATGCCTGTTGGCAACGTGTATGTCTTCTGTTAAAAAGTATATTTTCCTGTCTTTTGCCCACTTTATAATGGGGTTGTTTGAGTTTTGTTTGTAAATTTGTTTAAGTTCCTTATAGATCCTGGATATTAAGCCTTTGTTAGATGTCTGGTTTGCAAAAATTTTCTCTCATTTCCTAAGGTTACTGAGGTTACTGTTTACTCTGTTGATAGTTTTATTTTCCCTTGCAGAAGCTCCTCGGCTTAATTAGGTCCCATTTGTCAATTTTTGTTTTTGTTGTAACTGTTTTTGGCATCTTTATCTATGAACATAGGACCTGGAAAAGAAAAATGATTTCAAAGGACAATAGAAAAATTAAATCCAAAAGGTTCTGAGAGGTGAGGAGGTTGGAAAAGCATGGAACTAGGTGGTCTCAAAGTCCCCTTTCAGGCCTGACACTTTATAGTTCTATGATCTTATCTCATCCAACTTCTGAGAACTAAAACAAACCAGCCTTTTAAAGGACAAGAAGCTGCTGGACAATTGATGTAAGCAGAAAATAATGATACATTTAAAGACAAAAAGACCAGAGATTAAATCCTACCTTTGTTGCTTCTCTGTGACCTTGGTGGGGCCACTTCACTTTTATGAGCCTCAATTTCCTCCGTTATAAAATAATATGGTCAATAATGGCTATCTCATAAGATCAATGCAAAGACCAAATGAAATAAAGTAGTAAAGTATGTGACACATCGTAAACACTCAGACTCTTGAAAAGTATGAGAGCCATCCCATCTCCCTCTCCACTTTCACTTTTTTCCCTATGACTCATCTCATGTTGCGCTCTTCCTTCATTCTGCTTAGAGATCAGCAAAGCTACTATATAGAGGATTTCCCCCTGTTCCTAGTCTACTTCTCTTCCCCTAGGATGTACAATATACTCCTTCCACTTGGCCAGTGACAGATAGAACAAGGGGAATTTGAGGCCCATTCAGCAGGCCAAACTTTTAGTCTGATTTGAAATAGGTTTTGTCTATTATTTTTGTACCTCATGTTGGCATTAGTGGAAGCACATAAGACCATGGAAAAGAGTACCGGCCCAGGTGGCAGGAGGCCTACATGAGTCTATTCCCATCTCTGTGAAGTGGGAAGTTGTATGTATATTGTGGGTGAGCAGACTGGCATTGAAAGATAATCTTCAGTGTTCTCTTAGCAATAATGTTCTATAAATCAAAGGACTGATGGTCCAAATTCACTAACATTTGGAAACTGGAACCAAAGTAGCCTAAAATTCTTGAGCTTCACTTTTCATTTATTTCACAGGGCCATGATCCTAGGCCCTCTCTCCTTAAGGGAGAAATGTGTTTGTATCAAACACATGGGAGACACAGAGGGATTCTGGTCTGAGTAATTCAGAATGAGAAGGTAGTGAATGCATTTGAAGGGGTGACTTGTTTAAAAATTTAAAACAAAATACCCAGAGAGAGAGAAATTCAAGCCATTGTCACTATTCCAGGAAAATGTACCACACGTGCAGCTGCCCAGGGCTTCATGTTTATCTGTCTGAGCCATGCGTGTTTGTTCCAGCAAGGAAGGATGCTGATACATTTAAAAGCCATGGTGATGCATTGCCATTCTCCCTGGCACAGTGTGTTGCCAAGACCAATTTTATTCCATAAAAAATTATGTAAAGCTCAACAAGACCTTCTTCAATAAAACTGTGAGCGTCTGGAATACTAATGATACTTGAGATTTTTCTCTAGGCATCTGGTGGTCATTCAGTTACAAAGGACTACATTTACATTTCCTTTCTTCCATTTAGCCACTTTTCTTTTTCTTTTTCTTTATCTTTTCATTTGTACTTCTCTCCAGATTCTCAGCTCCTTTTCTCTACTTCTCTTCTGTTTTCTTCTTCTTGTATTCCTCATGTCTCTTGTCTTCTTCACTTTTTTCTCCTCCCTTTCTTTCCTATTTTCCTCACCATATGCCCTTTCCATTTCCTTTCTTACTTCTTCCTTTTCCCTCATCTTCTCTCTGATCTTTTTTTCTTCCCTCTTGCTCCATTTTATCTCCAGTTTTCCTCTTCTTCTTTAATCAATTCCCAGTATTGTCAAGGAAAAAATTCTTATGGCCATTTTCCTCTTTCCAGGAGAGTTGAAACTCCAACTAGAAATATAGAAATAGATTACATTTAACTTAAAAATACTTACTCAAGGAGCTTTCCCAGGTAGGTCCCACCAAACTCCATTCAGTCCACTCCCACTAGCCATCTCTTTGCTTCCATGTACTCTCTACCTCTCACTGCTAGGTATCCACTCACTACTAGGCTGCTTTTATCACCAAAAACTCTGTAATCAGGAGCTAGCTCTGTAAGTGTACCAAAGTAATACTCAGGTCCCTTCCCCAAAGAGGCTTACAGGCCATAACAGATAATACTTGATAAAAGCACATAAAAAGCATAAAATTATCAAACATCAGAGCAATAAACTACCAAGTCTACAACTCTGATATTATGTTGTTATGAAACTAAAATTCAGAGAGGAAAATTACCTTACCGTCAGTCAGGGGGCAGATCACGTAGGCCTTATTGTGGAATTGGATGATGTTTTAACTACAAAGGGCAGCCCTTTATTGGCCACCCTTCCCTTATCAAGGGGTGGAGTCTCATTTGTTTCTGTAATACTAACACCTAGTATAGGATCCTCTCTACTAAATGAGTATTGATTGACTGACCTCTAGGTTAGGACAGAATCTTACATTGCACTTCTAGAAACTTATCTTGGTTCAACTATTAAAAAAAAAAAGGGGATTAGTGACAGTATCTCTCTCATAAGGTTAATGTGAGGTTTAAATGAGAAAATCCATATAAAGCACTCAGAATAGTGCCTAGAACATGAAAAGTGCTGTGTAATCTTTAGCTATTATTATTATTAACACATATATTCACAGATATTGTGGCTCAAGTATGTTTTTTTCTGAATAACTCAAAGATTATAGAGTGTATTTGTGAGTAGGTGTTAAACTTATCTTGACCCTATTCTTTACCCACTAGATGTTAACAACACTCCTTCCAGTAGTGTAATAACCAAAAATGTCTCCAGGATTGCCAAATGTTCCCTGATAGGAGAGCCAAAGGGCAAAATTGCCCCTACTGAGGAACAACCGACCTCAAAGGATATCAAAGTACAATGCCATGTGCTAGCTATTTTAAGTTACAAGAGGCCAAGATAAGTTTGTATCTTCATTTAGATGCCAGTTGTTCAAGCCTAGGTGAGGAGAAGGTAAAAATGGGATCTGGGGATTTACAGCTTGCATCTAAATTGAAATTCAGACAGATCAAGCATGCCTGGTAAACTGGTGGGTGGGCCTGCCAGAAGCTTATATGACAGAGGATCAAGGAGCCTCCTCAGATCAGATACTGAAGGAAGAAAGAGTCATGTTTGAGGAGCTTATGAAAGTGCTTTTTTGCTGAAAACTGAATGAGTAAAAGCTCAAGTAGTACTGATTAGAAATGTCTCTTACAAGGCAGAATGCAAGTGGAGGAAAGGTATTTTCCCCTTCTTTGACAGAGGCTATCTGGTAACTTTGCCATAATGAGGGCTCCAGTGGTATTTCACAAGGTAGGTGGCAGGGCTAGGCAGAACAGAGGTGAAGAAGAGGAAAAGCAGACATAGATACAAGTAAGATACGTGAAATCCCTGGAAATATTACATAGGCTTCCAAGACGGTCTTTAATTAGTTATGTGGGATCAAGAAACAGTGAAATGTGTAATATTACTATATTGTTTGTGTGTCTGTATATGATACTGCAAGTTTGTGAAACCTGAGGATATCCAAGACCCAAGCCAATATTGATCAGTAAATATTCATTGAACAAAGTGATGATCAAATAAATGGGTCTCCAGATAATGGCTTTAAGAAAACATCAATGTGAGTGCCTGAGACTTAGGAGACCTTACTGCCAATCTCCCTGTTTGAACTTGTGCAGTCATTTCCCTTCACTTGACCTCAATTTCCTCATACTTGGAATAGGGAGGTTGGACTAGACAATCTTTAGGATTACTTTCAGCTCTGACATTCTAGACATCTATGATTCAACACACAGTTGTGGATCAATGAAAACATTCATTTATCTTATAGAACCTTCTCAACAAACCAGAAATGCTAAGGAATAGACTTATTCTTGAGATCTTTCTATTCCCTGGTTCACAACCTGGAGGCAGGTGGGTTTTCTATAACATGTTCTTGTTATGCTCTAATTTATTTTTAAAGAAAAAATAACTCCAGGTCTCCCATTTTATATCTTAAGTCCAATTGAACACTCTCTCCTGCTGCTGCTTAAAGATTATCTAGTCTTCTTTCAATTCTACTTGCAACCCCTTTATATGAATTAGAGTTTCCAGAGTATTTTCTAGGCTCTCTCTTGATCAGGCCAAATTTAATCTTCCTAGGCCTATTCGCCAATCTGTTAGTCATAATCATTTTTCTCCCCTGCTTGTGTTCAAGTACTGGACTGGAAATCAGAAAATCTGAGCTCATAATCCTGGCCCTACCACTAACTTCCTCTGTTGTGAGTAGCAGATTATTTATTTTTTAGACCACAATTTCCTCAATTGCAAACTGTGGCTAATAATCCCTGCTCTGCCTATGGATTGAAAGTGGAGCAATATTGAAATCATGACTTTGAAAGCAGTATAGAGCTCCTGACAATTTGCCATTGTCAAGAGCTGACCATTAAATACTGACAATAAAATTAACCTAAAATGGAAAAACAAACTGTAGTATATCCAAACCATGGAGTACTGTTCAAATGGAAATGATTATCACATCCATTTTGCTATGTGAAAGGTGCCAGATCCAAAAGCCTACATATTTAAATAACTCTATTATACGACTTTCTGGAAAAGATAAAATTATAGAGATGAAAACAGATCAGTAGTTACCAGAGATTAGAGTTGAGAGAAGAGATTCACTTCAAGGCTGCAACATGAGATAATTGGTAGGGTGATAAAATTGTTCTGTAAGGAACTGTGAAAGTAGACACCTGGCTCTATGCAATGGCCAAAACCCATTCAGCTGAAACTCCTGAAAGATATGCATTAATTATGAAAGACAAAATAGTAAAATTACTCTGAGGAAACCTCCCAGAAACTACCTTAACCTAGGGATCAAGTGATCAATTGATAATAAGACAACCAATAAGACATATTACCATCATGTTTCTCTTGATAGGACACTCTGAAAAAGGTCCATTATCTCTCTGGTATTATTTCCTAAAATCCAGTCTAATCAAGTGAAAACATCAGGAAAACTCAAATTGAAGGATAGTCTACAGAGTACCTGAACACTTCACTTCAAAAGCATCAGGATCATTTAATACAAGGAAAGACCTCCACAGTTCCACCATTTATACCACCAGGAAACCCAGCACGCTCTTTAAAAGCCAAGAAAAATCCTCTCTTGTTTCTGTAGGGAAAAGGAAAGCTATTTATAATACATGAAGAATATTTTCAATAACAAAGACCTACACTTGAGGGAAAAAGACTACCAGAGTGTTATTAAAACTCAGGGAAGGTTATGTACTACATTCTAGCCTCCTCTAATCTTCCTGTCTCATTTATGAGTGGGACAGAAAGCAAAGAAATACTTGTGAAGTGACATAGGCTCACAAAGAGAATAAGAAGTAACAATTCGATTATAGAACTTCCCCTGCTCCATAAATAACCACAACATCAACAAGACTCCTGTGAAATAATAGTGGATTACAAATAAAAGAAGTTCAAGGTGCTGACTTTATTTAAGAAAGAATTTTAAGGAAACTCAAAGACAATAAGGGAGGGCAAAATAGGGACACTGGGAAGAATTAAAACCTCTGGTGCCTACAGCTACAGCAAACATTAAACACAGCCAATTCCTCGCCAGATTAATATGAAATCTCACTCTAAATTTCTATTTACTTCAGTTTCTATTATGTAATGAGAACTTGGGTTATCATGTTATTACATCCGGCTTTCAACTTAAAAAGTTAGAATAACACTTACTTTTCTTACTAAAAAGTAAGAAAAACACTGTCAGAACATATAAAGAAACATCTGAATCAGACTCAGATATGATAGATTTTGAAAAGTCTAGAATGGAAATTTAAAATAACTGTGATTGCAATGTTAGGGATGCTAATAAAAACATAGTTAACATTCAGTTATGTAAGATTATATAATAAGCACAGATATGGAAACCCCAAGAATAAAATAAAGAAGAAATACTAGAAATAAAAGAACCTGTATAGAAGTGAAGAAAGTCTAATGGGATCATCAGTAGACAGACCACAGCTTAAGAAAGAATCAAATGGCTCAAAGATATAGTCAATAGAAACTTTCAAAACTAAGACAAAAAAGAAAATAACTTTAAAAACAGAACAAAATACCCAAGAATTGTTTAACAATTTCAAAATATTCAACATGTGTGTAATTGGAATACCAGAAAGAGAAGAAAGGATAAAGCAGATAATATATTTGAAGTAGTAATAGCAGACTTTGAAAATTAATGAATGACAAAAAACCACAGTTTCAGGGAGTGTGATGAATGTCGAGCAGGATACGTACAAAAAATATATCTAGGTGTATTATATTTAGATTGTAGGAAACAAAAGAGAAAGAGAAAGAGAAAAACTTGAAATAAGCAGGAAGGGAAAGGGAGGAGAAAAACTTACCTATAGGAAACAAGAATAAGAACTACACTTGACTTCTTGTCAAAATCATACAAGCAAGAAGTCAATGGGGTGAAATATTTAAAGTGATGGAAGTAAAGCAAAACCAAATACTAATCAAGAATTATCTATCCTGACAAATCATTCTTCAAAAGTGAAAGAGAAATAGACACACTCTGACAAACAAAAACTAATGGAATTTATCACCACCATATCTGTCCTTAAAGGAAAATAAGAGGCCCCTTGGGACACCCTCTTCAATAAATAGTGCTAGAAAAATTGGATATCAATAGGCAGAAAAATTAAACTAGCCCTATACCTCTCACTATATACAAAAATCAACTCAAAATAGGTGAACAACTCAAATGTAAGACCGAAAACTATGACAGCACTAGAATAAAACACAGAGAAAATACTTCAGGACATTTGCTTAGGCATATATTTTATGGCTAAGATCTCAAAACTACAGGCAACAAAAACAAAAAATAGACAAATGTAACTATATTAGAAAGCTTTTGCACAACAAAGAAAACAATCAACAAAGTGAAGAAGGAACTTGTTGAATGGGAGAAAATATTTGAAAACTCTTCATCTGACAAAAGAATAATGTCCAGAATCTACAAGGAAATCAAACAAGTCAACACCAAAAAAAAAAAAAAACAAAAAAAACTAACATTCCCATTAAAAATGGGCAAATAACCTGAAAAGAAATTTTTCAAAGAATACATACAAATGGTCAACAGGTACATAAACAAATATTCAACATCACTAATGATCAGGGTCATGCAAATCAAAACCACAGTGAGACATTATTTTATCCCAGTAAGAATGGCTATTATAAAAAAAAATTAAAAAAAAGACAGATTCTGTTTTCCTATTTGAATACCATTTATTTCCTTCTCCTGCCTGACTGCCTTGGCCAGAACTTCCAACACTATATTGAATAGGAGTGGTGCGAGAGGGCATCCCTGTTTTGTGCCAATTTTCAAAGGGAATGCTTCCAGTTTTTGCCCATTCAGTATGATATTGGCTGTGGATTTGTCATACATAGCTCTTATTATTTTGAGATACGTCCTATCAATACCTAATTTATTGAGAATTTTTAGCATGAAGGTTGTTGAATTTTGTCAAAGGCCTTTTCTGCATCTATTGAGATAATCATATGGTTTTTGTCGTTGGTTCTGTTTATATGCTGGATTACATTTATTGATTTGTGTATGTTGAACCAGCCTTGCATCCCAGGGATGAAGCCCACTTGATCATGGTGGATAAGCTTTTTGATGTGCTACTGGATTCCGTTTGCCAGTATTTTACTGAGGATTTTTGCATCGATGTTCATCGGGGATATTGGTCTAAAATTCTCTTTTTTTTTGTTGTGTCTCTGCCAGGCTTGGGTATCAGGATGATGCTGGCCACACAAAATGAGTTAGGGAGGATTCCTTCTATTTTCTATTGATTGGAATAGTTTCAGAAGGAATGGTATCAGCTCCTCCTTGTACCTCTGGTAGAATTCGGCTGTGAAATCCATCTGGTCCTGGACTTTTTTTCGTTGGTAAGCTATTAATTATTGCCTCAATTTTACAGCCTGTTATGCTCTGTTCGGAGATTCAACTTCTTCCTGGTTTAGTCTTGGGAGGGTGTATGTGTCAAGGAATTTATCCATTTCTTCTAGATTTTCTAGTTCATTTGCATAAAGGTGTTTATGGTATTCTCTGATGGTAGTTTCCATTTCTGTGGGATCAGTGGTGATATCCCCTTTATCATTTTTTATTGTGTCTATTTGATTCTTTTCTCTTTTCTTCTTTATTAGTCTTGCTAGCTGTCTATAAATTTTGTCTCAGCCCAAAATCTGCTTAAGCTGATAGGCAACTTCAGCAAAGTCTCAGGATACAAAATCAATGTGGAAAAATCACAAGTATTCTTATACACATATAACAGACAAACAGAGAGCCAAATCATGGGAGAACTCCCATTCACAATTGCTTCAAAGAGAATAAAATACCTAGGAATCCAACTTACAAAGGAAGTGAAGGAACTCTTCAAGGAGAACTACAAACCACTGCTCAATGAAATAAAAGAGGATACAAACAAAGGGAAGACCATTCCATGCTCATGGGTAGGAATAATTGATATCGTGAAAATGGCCATACTGCCTAAGGTAATTTATAGATTCAATGCCATCCCCATCAAGCTACCAATGACTTTCTTCACAGAATTGGAAAAAACTACTTTAAAGTTCATATGGAACCAAAAAAGAGCCCGCATTGCCAAGTCAATCCTACGACAAAAGAACAAACCTGGAGGCATCACGCTACCTGACTTCAAACTATACTACAAGGCTACAGTAACCAAAACAGCATGGTACTGCTACCAAAACAGAGATATAGAAAAATAAGAAATGGGGAAAGGACTCCCTATTTAATAAATGGTGCTGGGAAAACTGGCTAGCCATATGTAGAAAGCTGATACTGGATCCCTTCCTCACACCTTATACAAAAATTAATTCAAGATGGATTAAAGACTTAAATGTTAGACCTAAAACCATAAAAACCCTAGAAGAAAACCTAGGCATTACCATTCAGGACATAGGCATGGGCAAGCACTTCATGTCTAAAACACCAAAAGCAATGGCAACGAAAGCCAAAATTGACAAATGGGATCTAATTAAACTAAAGAGCTTTTGCACAGCAAAAGAAATCACCATCAGAGTGAACAGGCAACCTACAGGATGGGAGAAAATTTTTGCAATCTACTCATCTGACAAAGGGCTAATATCCAGAATCTTCAATGAATTCCAACAAATTTACAAGAAAAAAACAAACAACCCCATCAACAAGTGGGTGTAGGATATGAACAGACACTTGTCAAAAGAAGACATTTATGCAGCCAAAAGACACATGAAAAGATGCTCTTCATCACTGGCCATCAGAGAAATGCAAATCAAAACCACAATGAGATACCATCTCACACCAGTTAGAATGGTGATCATTAAAAAGTCAGGAAACAACAGGTGCTGGAGAGGATGTGGAGAAATAGGAACACTTTTACACTGTTGGTGGGACTGTAAACTAGTTCAACCATTGTGGAAGTCAGTGTGGTGATTCCTCAGGGATCTAGAACTAGAAATACCATTTGAACCAGCCATCCCATTACTGGGTATATACCCAAAGGATTATAAATCATGCTGCTATAAAGACACATGAACATGCATGTTTATTGCGGCACTATTCACAGTAGCAAAGACTTGGAACCAACCCAAATGTCCAACAATGATATACTGGATTAAGAAAATGTGGCACATATACACCATGGAATACTATGCAGCCGTAAAATTGATGAGTTCATGTCCTTTGTAGGGACATGGATGAAGCTGGAAACCATCATTCTCAGCAAACTATCGCAAGGACAGAAAACCAAACACCGCATGTTCTCACTCATAGGTGGGAATTGAACAATGAGAACACATGGACACAGGAAGGGGAACATCACACACCGGGGCCTGTGCTGGGGAGGCTGGAGGGGAGAAGGATAGCATTAGGAGATATATCTAATGTTAAACGATGAATTAATGGGTGCAGGACACCAACATGGCACACGTATACATATATAACTAAGCTGCACATTGTGCACATGTACCCTAAAAGTTAAAGTATAATTAAAAAGAAAAAAGAAAAGATAGATTCTGGCAGGGATGTGAAGAAAAGAGAACTCTTATACATTGTTGCTAAAAATGTAAATTAGTACAGTCATTACAGAAAACAAAATGAAAGTTTCTCAGAAATGAAAAATGAAGCTACCATACAATCCAGCAATCCCACTACTGAGTATTACCTAAAGCAAAGAAAATCAGTATATTAAAATGGTACCTGCAGCCCTGTTTATTGCAACACTATTCATAATAGTAAAAATATAAAAATAACATAAATGTTCATCAACTTAAATAAAATGTGGTAAATATACACAATTGAATAATATTTTCCATTAAAAAGAATCAAATCCTGTCTTTTGCAGCAACGTTGATGGAACTAGTGGTCACTATGTTAAGTGCAATTAGCCAGGCACAGAAAGTTCATCACATGCTCTCACTAATGTGGGATCTAAAAGAATTATTCTCATGGAAGTAGAGAGGACAATGATAATTACTAGAGGTGGGGAAGTATTTGGGGGGATAAGGGAGAGGTTGGTTAATGGGTACACATGTACAGTTAGATAGAAGAAATAAGATCTAATGTTTGATAGCAGTTGGGTTACTATAGTTAACAACAATTTATGTTATATAAAAAATTGCTAGAATAAAGGATTTAGAATGTTCTCAATACATAGAAATAATAAATACACAAGGTAATGGATATTCTAAATCCTCTGACTTGAGCATTTACCATCCTATGCTTGTACCAAAATATCCATGTTTCCCATAAATATGTAAAAACATTATGTGTAAAAAGGATGCTCTAGCCAGGTATGGTAGCTCATGCCTGTAATCTTAGCACTTTTGGAGGTCAAGATGAGTGGATGGCTTGGAGCCCAGGAGTTTGAGGTCAGCCAGGCAACATGACAAAACCTAAGTCAGAAGAAGAAGAAGAAGAAGAAGAAGAGGAAGAAGAAGAAGAAGAAGAAGAAGAAGAAGAAGAGGAAGAGGAAGAGGAAGAGGAAGAAGAAGAAGAAGAAGAAGAAGAAGAAGAAGAAGAAGAAGAAGAAGAAGAAGAGGAAGAAGAACAAGAAGAAGAAGAAGGAGAAGGAGAAGGAGAAGGAGAAGAGGAGGAGGAGGAGGAGGAGGAAGGAGGAGAAGAAAGAGAAGAAAAATTGTGCCAGATACTTGGGAGGCTGCAGTGGGAGAATCACCTGAGCTCAGGAAGTTGAGGCTGCAGTAAGCCGAGATTGTGTCACTGTACTCCAGCCTTGGCAATGAGAGTGAGACCCTGTCTCAAAGAAAATATTTTTAAAAAAAATAAGGAAAGAAGCTCTTTAGGAAGAAAAAAAATTAAATAGGTCAAATATATAGGACTTACATTAAAAACAAGAACGTCAGATAAAACATAAATTAAGGTAAAATAAAATCTTTTATTCTTTTCATTCCTAATTGATTTAATAAGATAGTTTTTCAAATAATAATAGTAACAATTCATTGATAGATTATAGCATAAGGATTAGTTAAATGAAAAACAGCAATACTATGTTATGTAACGCCTGCACTACTGAAGAAACAGTATAATGTTGTTTGAAAGTGGATTTAAATTTGTTGTAAATGTATAATTGCAAACTCTAGAGAACTACTAGATTTTTTTAAAAAAGCAGAAATGTAATTCATATAAGAAAGAATATGCAATTACATGAAATGCTCAATTATAACTAGAGAAGTAGAAAATGAGGGAGAAGAAAAAGAACAAGAGCAACGAATAGAAATCAAATGCAAATATAGTATCTATTAATCTAACTATATCAATAACCACTTTAAAAGTGTGTTGCCTAAATACACCAATTAAGAAACAGAGACTGTCAGAGTGAACAAAAAATAAAACCCAACTCTATGCTGTCTACAAAAATCAGTTCAAATATAAAGATACAAATAGTTTAGTAGTAAGAAAATGAGTGGCATCACTGAAAACAGTGAAGCAGAAAGCTGTAAAAATCTGTTCCTCCATTGAAGCAACCATTAAGCTGTCAAAAACTTTTGCAATTCAATTTTTTTGAATATTTGGGAATACAATTTTTTAAAACTAGCCACCAGGGCAGTGCTTACTGAAGATAGATGCTGATTCATTGTGGGAAGAAATCACTATAGGATTTTTGCTGACTTTTGCCTACAATCCTCCATTCTCAAGCTTGGTGGCAGCCAGTATTTCTGGTGTGACTTGCTAACGCCAGAGCGTGCTAAATAAACCTAGTTTATTATATATTATTGATGAACATACTGAACTGTCTGGCAGTTCCCTGAGAGCCCAGATCTGAGACTTGCCTTCATTTTGCTCCCCAAAGAACTCCCTCAGAGTTTGAGTGGCTGCCTTGGTAGCACCTGTCAAAAGCATTTAAGGACATATAGTATCAACATCTAATTAGGTCAAAAGATATTAGGCAGGGGAAACAGCAGACAAATCAGAAATTCTGGGAAGGAAGATACAGGGAAGAATAAAGGCTGTTTGAAAATGCCGCATATATACCAGAGAAATGATACTGCAACACACCTGCCCAGGACCAGACAAATGTTCAGAAAAGAACTTAAGGGACCCTAGGCTTGCAGTTCTGGCTAATCTATACACTTTACACATTCATAAAGTGAAGGTTAAGGTAGGTGTAAATGCTACATGTTATAGGAGTGTCCCAATTCAGAGCCAATCTACAAAGAACAGGAGCACTATTTGTGTTATGTTTTCTTCCTTTTTTTTCTCCAGGCATTTAAGGAAATTTCTACAAGGACATGAGCTAAATGCTGAAATAATGGAATGAAAACTTCAACAACCACACAGAACAAGTAATATAGCTTTGAAAAAATAGCTTAGAAAAATAAGTCATTAAACAAACATGTGATTGCAGCCCAATAAAGAAACAACAATAAACCCTGGGGAGGGAGGAGAATCTGATTTCCAAAATTTTCATATTGTAAGATTACAAATGTTCAAGTTTCAACAAAAATTATAAAGCATAAAAAACAGAAAGTATGACCCATTTATGGGGAAAAAACTGACAGAATCCTTTCCTGAAGCCCAGACGTTAGACTTGCTGGACAAAGACTTTAAAATGACTTTCTTCAATATCTTCAAAAACCTAGAAAAAAATCATGGAAATATGACTAAAAGAAACAAGGAGAGTACTATCTGAACAAATTTAAAAAATCAGTAAAGGTATAAAAATTATTAAAAGGACCAAACAGAAATACAGGAGCCAAAAAATACAATAGTGGAAATGTAAAAGAACTGACTAGAGTGATTCAAAGCAAATTAAAGGCAGAAGACAGAATAAGTGATCTTGAAGGTAAGTCAATAGAAATTTTTCACTATGGGCATCAGAAAGAAAAAAATATAAAGAAAATGAACAGAACATAAGGGACCCATGAGACAACATCAGTCATACCAACATATACATAATGAGAATACCAAAAGGAAAGGAAAGATGGAACAGAAATTGTTTTGAAAATTTAAAGTCTGAAAACTTCTCAAATACAATGAAAAACATAAATTTATACATCTAAGATCTGTAATAGAAAAAATGCTAAATGATCCATACCAAGACACATTTTAATCAGTTGACAAAGACAAAATCTCAAAAGCAACAAGTCACAAGTGACTTATCGGGCATAAGAGATCCTCAATAAAATTAACAGCCAATTTCTCATCAGACATCATGAAAACCCAAAGGCAATGTACTGGCATAAAGTGATTAAAAAATAAAAAATTCAATCAGTAATTCTCTACTTTGTAGAACTGTTGGCCAAAAACAAAAAAAGAATCAAGACCTTCCTTGAAAAACAAAAGCTGAGAAAAATTTTTGCTAGTAGTCCTGTCCCAGAAGAATTGTTTAAGGGAGTTCTTCAGGCTCAAATGAAGGGACACTAGAAAGTAACATGAAGTCATAAAAAAATTAAATGGCAGAAAAGATAACTACAGTACAGAGATAACTGTAGAACCAGCATTATTTTATGTATTATTTATAACTCCTTATTTTTCTACATGATTTAAAAGACATAAAATCATAAAACAATAACTTTAAATCTATAATAGCACACAATGTATACAGACATAGTTTGTGACAATGACAATAAACGAAGAGCTTTTAGGACCTGATAATTTGCATGATACTTAGCTAAACTGATATAAATTCAAACTAGAATGATAAAATCTGGGATGTTAATACTAACCCCCATGGTAACGACCAAGAAAATAAATAAATAAATAAATAAATAATACACAAGAAAGGAAATGAGAAGTATATCCAACTGTATAGATTAATACAACCTTTATCAAAATTCCAATGGTGTCTTTTGCAGGAATAAAAAAATGCATTCTAAAATTTATATGGAATCTCAAGGGATCCTGAATAACCAAAAAAATCTTGAAAAATAAAAATATGTGAAAGTCTCACATTTCCTGCTTTCAAAATTTACTATAAAACTACAGTAATCAACACAGTGTGGTTCTGGCATAAGGAGAGACATAGAGATCAGTGGAATAAAATAGAAAGGCAAGAGATAAACCTCTCACATGTGGCCAAAGGATTTTAAACAAGGGTACCACAACTATTAAATAAGGAAATATTTCTAGTCTTTTCTATAAATTGTATTAGAAAAACTGAATATCCACATGTAAAAGTATGAAATTGGACCCCTTCTTTATACAAAATTAACTTAAAATGGATCAAAAGCCTAAACATTAGATTTAAAACTATAAGAGTCTTAGAAGAAAATATTGGGGAGGGGCCAAGATGGATGACAAAAGCACTGGGGATCAGAGGCTCCCATAAAAAATAAATAATAACTAGTATGTGAATCCTGCACTGGCAACCAAGGTATCTAGTTTATCTTATCAGAATTGACTAGGCGGCTGGTGTTGTACATGGAGAGAAAAGAGAAGTGTGTTGCGGTGGCCCACCTGATAGCCACACAGGGCAGGGGAGTCCCCAACCTCTAGCCAAGGTAGGCAGTGAGTGAGTGTGCTACCCAGCTGGGAAACCATTCTTTTTTCCACCAAACTGTGCAAACCATAGATTGGAAGACCTTACTTGTGAACCCACACCACTGGGGCCTAGGGTCCCAACCCTGAAGTTGTGTAGATTCTCAACAGCCTCTCAGCTAGAACCTGCTTAACCCTGCCAAGTTCTCAAGGAGAGAGGTGACAAGCACCACAGCTGTGGCTGCCTACTGTCTAAACTGTTTGAGCTCCTTGGGGGAGGGGCAGCAGCCAGCACTGGGACTCATAACTGCCTAACACTCTTAAGCTCCCTATGCGATGGGGTGGGGGGAAGGTGGCATCCATCTCTATAGCTCCAGGCCACTCTTTTCCCCTGCTGGAGCCAGGGAGGATAGATGGCTTGGTCCCAAGAGGTTTTCCCCACAGCTCAACACACCTGCTGTGGCAGACTGCAGCCAGACCACCTCTTCAGGCCTGACCCCTCCTTCCTCACTGGGTGGTGCCTCCCTGCAGGAACTTGAACAACTCCATCCAGAGGCTCAGGGACAGGACCCTGATGTCCCTGGGCATGAGCCCATAGGAGGAGGGGTAACCACAGTCTCTGTGGAGCAGCAGACTTAGCCTTTCCTCCTGGCAGTTCTCAGGAATCTGGGCAGCCTAGGTGAGTGGGTTTCCACCCAATGAAGCACACCCCCTCCACCAAGGGAGAGACAAAGTGCTTTTTTAAACAGGTATTTTTCCCTGTGCCATCCAACTGTGTGAGACCCTCCAAGAGGGGTTGTCAGACACCCTATACAGGAGCGATCCTACTGGCATCAGGTTGCTGCCCCTTGAGGTCAGAGATCCCAGAAGAAGGAGCAGGCACGCCTCTTTGCTGTTCTCCAGCCTCCTTGAGTGACATCTCCAGGTGTGGGAGTGAGCCAGATGACTAGGTCCTGAAGTGAACCCCCAGCAAATGCCAGCAGCCCTACAGAAGAGGGACATATTGAAAGAAAAACAAACAGAAAGCAACAACAACAGCATCAACAACAACAAAGCATCCCCATTAAAACCCCATCCAAGGGTCAGCAGCCTCAAAGATCACAACTAGACAAACCCATAAAGATGAGAAAGAATCAATGAAAAAACACTGAAAACTCAAAAGGCCAGAGTGCCCATTCTCCTCCAGATAATTGCAATGTCTCTCCAGCAAGAACATAAAACTGGATGGAAGATGAGATGGGCAAATTGATAGAAGTAGGTTTCAGAAGATGGGTAATAAAAAAACTCCAATGAATTAATGGAGCGTGTTCTAACCCAATGCAAAGAAGCTAAGAGCCTTGATGAAAGGTTAGGGGAACTGCTAACTAGAATATCCAGTTTAGAGAGGAACATAAATAAACTGATGGAGTTGAAGAACACAGCACAAGAACTTTACATAAGTATCAATAGCTGAGTTGACCAAGCGGAAGAAAAGATATCAGAGTTTGAAGACCACCTTGCTGAAATAAAGAATGCAGACAAGATTAGAGAAAAAAAGAATGAAAAGGAATGAAAAAGCCTCCAAAAAATATGGGACTACATAAAAAGATGGAACCTATGATTGATTAGAGTACCTGAAGGAGACAGGGAGAATGGAAACAAGCTGGTAAACACACTTCAGGATATTATGCAGGAGAACTTTCCCAACCTAGCAAGACAGGCCAACATGCATAATCAGAAAACACAGAGAACACTACTAAGATACTCCACGAGAAGATAAACCCCAAGACATAATCATCAGGTTCTCCAAGGTCAAAATGAAGGAAAAAATGTTAAAGATAGCCAGAGAGAAAGGCCAGAGAAGCCCAACAGACTAAAAACAGAATTCTCAGCAGAATCCACACAAGCCAGACAAGATTGGGGGCCAATATTCAACATTCTTAAAGAAAAGAATTTTGAACCCCAAATTTTACATACAGCCAAACTAAACTTAATAGGCAAATGAGAAATAAAATCTCTTCCAGACAAGCAATTACTGAGGGATGTCATCACCACAAGGCCTCCCTTGCAAAATCTCCTGAAGGAAGCACTACATATTAAAAGGAAAAACCAGTAACAGCCACTGCATAAACACACCAAAATATAAAGACCAATGACACTATGACAAAACACCATCAACTAGTGTGCAAAATAACTGGATAGCATCATGATGACAGGATCAAATTCACACAGAACAATACTAACCTTAAATGTAAAAGGGCTAAATGCCTTAATTATAAGACACAGACTGACAAATTGGATAAAGATTCAAGACCCATTGGTGTGCTGTATTCAGGAGACCGATCTAATGTGCAAAGACACACATGGGTTCAAAATAAAGGGATGGAGGAAAATTTACCAAGCCAATAGAAAGCAAAAAAAACAGGGGTTGCAATCCCAGTTTCTGACAAAACAGACTTTAAGCAAACAAAGCTCAAAAAAGACAAAGAAGGCCATTACATAATGGTAAAGGGATCAATGCAACAAAAAGAGCTAACTATCCTAAATATATATGCACCCAATACAGGAGCACCCAGATTCATAAAACAAGTTCTTAGAGACCTGCAAAGAGACTTCAGCTCCCACACAATAATACTGGGAGATTTTAACACCCCACTGTCAATATTAGACAGATCAACAAGACAGAAAATTAACAAGAATATTCAGGACTTGAACTCACTTCTGGATCAAGTGGATCTAACAGTCTTCTACAGAACTCTTCAGCCCAAATCAACAGAATATACATTCTTCTCACTGCCACATAGCACTTATCCTAAAATCAACCACATAATTTGAAGTAAAACACTCCTCAGCAAATGCAAAAGAACTGAAATCATAACAAAGAGTCTGTCAAACCAAAATGCAATCAAATTAGAACTCAGAATTAAGAAGCTCACTCCAAATCACACAATTACATGGAAATTGAACAACCTGCTTCTGAATGACTCCAAGGTAAATAACAAAATTAAGGCAGAAATCAAGTTCTTTGAAACCTATCAGAAGAAAGAGATAATGTACCAGAATCTCTGGGACACAGCTGAAGCATTAAGAGGGAAATTTATAGCACTAAATACCCACATCAGAGAGCTAGAAAAATCTCAAATTGAAACCCTAACATCACAATTAAAAGAGCTAGAGAAGTAATAGCAAACTAATCCAAAAGCTTGTCTAGTGGAAGAGAAGCTTTTCTCGTCTAGTGGAAGACAAGAAATAGCTAAGATCAGAGCAGAACTAAAGGAGATAGAGACACGAAAAAGCCTCCAAAAAATCAATGAATTAAGAAGCTGTTTTTTTTTGAAAAAAAATTAACAAAATAGACTGCTACCTAGAGTAATAAAGAAGAAAAGGGAGAATAATCAAATAGATGCAATAAAAAATGATGAAGGGGATATCACCACTGACCCAACAGAAATAATAACTACCATCAGAGAATACTATAAACACCTCTAGGCAAATAAACTAGAAAATATAGAAAAAATGATAAATTCCTGGACACATACACCCTCCCAAGACTAAACCACGAATAAGTCAAATCCCTGAATAAACTACTAACAAGTTCTGAAATTGAGGCAGTAATTAATAGCCTACCAACAGAAACAGCTGAGGACCAGTCTGATTCACAGCCAAATTCTACCAGAGGTACAAAGAGGAGCTAGTTCCATTCCTTCTGAAACTATTCCAAACAATTGAAAAGGAAGGACTCCTACTTAAGTCATTTTATGAAGCCAGAATCATCCTGATATGAAAACCTCAAAGAGACACAACAAAGAAAGAAAACTTCAGGCCAATATCCCTGATGAACAAAGATGCAAAAATCCAAAATAAAATACTGGCAAACTGAATCTAGCAGCACATAAATAAGCTTGTCCACCATGATCAAGTTGGTTTCATTTCTGGGGTGCAAGGCTGGTTCAATATATGCAAATTAATAAAGGTAATCAACCACATAAACAGAACCAAGGACAAAAACCACATGACTATCTCAATAGATGCAGAGAATGCCCTTGATAAAATTCAACATCTCTTCATGTTAAAAACCTTCAATAAATTAGGTATGGATGGAGCATATTTCAAAATAATCAGAGCTATTTATGACAAACCCACAGCCAATATCATGTTGAAAGGGCAAAAGCTGGAAGCATTCCCTTTGAAAACTGGTATAAGGCAAGGATGCACTCTCTCACCACTCCTATTCAACATAGTATTGGAAGTTCTGGCCAGGGTAATCAGGCAAGAGAAAGAAATAAAGCATATTCAACTAGGAAGAGAGGAAGTCAAATCACCTCTGTTTGCAGATGACATGATTCTACATTTAGAAAACCCCATCATCTCAACCCCAAAACTCCTTAAGCTGATAAGCAACTTCAGCAAAGTCTCAGGATACAAAACCAATGTAAAAAAATCTCAAGCATTCTTTACACCAATAATAGACAAGCAGAGAGCTGAATCATGAATGAACTCCCACTCACAATTTATATAAAGAGAATAAAATGCCTAGGAATACAGCTGACAAGGGATGTGAAGAACCTTTTCAAGGAAAACTACAAGCCACTGCTCAAAGAAATAGGAGAGGACACAAACATATGGAAAAATATTCCATCCTTATGGATATGAAGAATCAATATTGTGAAAATTGCCATATTGTCCAAAGTAATTTATAGATTCAATGCTATTCCCATCAAACTACCATTGACATTCTTCACAGAATTAGAAAAAAACTACTTTAAATTTTATATGAAATTAAAGGAAACCCCATATAGCCAAGACAATCCTAAGCATGATGAACAAAGCTGAAGGCATCAGGTTACCTGACTTCAAATTATACTACAAGGCTGCAGTGACCAAAACAGCATGGTACTTGTACCAAAACAGATATATAGGCCAATGGAACAGAACAGAGACCTCAGAAATAATACCACACATCTACAACTATCTGATCTTCAACAAACCTGACAAAAACAAGCAATGGGGAAAGAATCTCCTATTCAGTTTAATGGTGCCAGGAAAACTGGCTAGCCAGATGCTGAAAAGTAAAACTGGACCCCTTTCTTGCACCTTATACAAAAATTAACTCACAATGAATTAAAGACTTAAATGTATAACCCAAAACCATAAAAACCTTAGAAGGGAACCTAGGCAATAGTATTCAGGACATACTCATGGGCAAATACTTCATGACAAAAATGTCAAAAGCAAGTACAACAAAAGCCATAATTGACAAAATCTATTTAAACTAAAGGGTTTCTGCACAGCCAAAGAAACTATCATCAGCATGAACAAGAAATCTACAGAATGAGAGAAAATTTTTGTGGGCTACCCATGTGACAAAGGTCTAATATCCAGAATTTAAATGAAACTTAAACAAATTTACAAGAAAAAAACAAACAAACAAACAATCCCATCAAAAAGTGGGCAAAAAATACGAACAGACACCTCTCAAAAGAAGACCTTTACATGGCCAACAAACATACAAAAAGAAGCTCAACACCACTGATCATTAGAGAAATGCAAATCAAACTACAATGAGATACCATCTCACACCAGTCAGAGTGGCTATTATTTAAAAGTCAAGAAACAATAGATGCTGGCGAGGATGTGGAGAAATAGGAATGCTTTTACATTGTTGGCGGCAATGTAAATTAGTTCAACCATTGTGAAAGACAGGATGGCAATTCCTCAAGGATCTAGAACCAGAAATGCCATTTGACCCAGCACTCCCATTACTGGGTATATACCCAAAGGAATATAAATCATTCCACTATAAAGACACATGCACATGTATGTTTATTGCAGTACTAATTACAATAGCAAAGTCATGGAACCAACCCAAATGCCCATCAATGATAGACTGCATAAAGAAAATGTGGTACATATACACCATGGAATACTATGCAGCCATAAAAAGGAATGAGATCATATCCTTTGCAGGGACATGGATGAAGCCGGAAGTCATCAACCTTAGCAAACTAACACAGGAACAGAAAACCAAACACCTCATGTTCTCTCTCATAAGTGGAAGTTGAACAATGAGAACCCAGGGGCACAGGAAGGGGGACAACACACAGCAGGGCCTGTTGGGGGTGAGTGGCGAGGAGAGGGAACTTAGATGATGGGTTGATAGGGGCAGCAAACCGCCATGGCACATATATACCTATGTAACAAACCTG